>NC_000014.9:90861713-92111713 GCF_000001405.40 Homo sapiens
ATGGTGAAACCCCGTCTCTACTAAAAATACAAAAATTAGCTGGGTGTGCTGGCTTGTGTCTGTAATCCCAGCTACTCGGGAGGCTGAGGCAGGAGAATCGCTTGAACCAGGGAATCAGAGGTTGCAGTGAGCCAAGATCGTGCCACTGCACTGCAGCCTGGCGACAAAGACTCCATCTCAAAAAAAAAAAAAAAAAAGGGGAAAACAGATTTAAACTGTCATAAAATTCCTGCATTGTTGGGAAGTGGTAATGTACCAATTTAAGGCAGCAAGTCAAAGATACAAGCTGTAATCTTTAAGGTACTAAATGAATTTCTAAAAATTACTAACGAACTAACATAGGAGGAAACAATGGACAAAAGAAAATATTTGGTTTATCAAAAGAAGACACAATACAGGAACCAAGAGGATATAGGACAAAAATGTAAAAGAAATTGTAAGATGGTAGACTTAAAACCAATAATAATTACATTAACTGTAAGTAGACAAGATATATTCCAATTAATGACAACTTTCCCACAAAGAAAACTTCTCATTCAAGTGGCTTCAATGGTGAATTATTTTAAACAGGAGGAATAATATCAGGTGCAAACTCTTCCAGAGTGTAGAAAAAAAGGGAACACATCTCCAACTTTTTTTTTATGAGGCCAGAATAATCTTGATACCAAAACTTGACAAAAATATTAAAGACAGAAAAATTACAGGTCTGTCCTTCTTCTTCCTCCTCCTCCTCCTCCTCCTCCTTCTTCTTCTTCTTCTTCTTCTTTTTTTAATGCTAGGCTCCTGCTCTGTTGCCCAGGTGGGAGTACAGTGGTACAATCTTGGTTCACTGCAACTTCTGCTTCCTGGACTCAAGTGATTCTCCCACCTCAGCCTCCCAGGTATTTGGTACTACAGGTGTGCACCACCATCCTTGGCTAATTAATCTTTTGTAGAGATGAGGTCTCTCTATGTTGCCCAGGCTGGTCTCCAACTCCTGGGCTAAAGCAATCCTTCCTCTTGGCCTCCCAAAGTGTTGGGATTACAGGTGTGAGATACCACACCCAGTCTAGGTCTATCCTCCTTATGATCCAAAAATCTTAGGCAAAATATTAGCAAACTATATCCATTGATATATGAAAAGGGCAATACATCATGAAAATGGAATTTATTCTATTTTCAGCATTTGAAAATTGAAGAATAAAGAAGAAAAATACAAGATTATCTCAACAGAGGCAGAAAAAGCATTTAGTAAAAACTCTCTGAAAATTAGAAATAAAACAATCTGCTATATGATATCTATAAAAAAATTAAATAAAACATAATATTGGGCTGGGTGAGGTGGCTCATGCCTGTAATCTCAGCACTTTGGGAGGCTGAGGCGGGTGGATCACGAGGTCAGGAATTCGAGGCCAGTCTGGCCAATATGGTGAAACCCCATCTCTACTAATAATACAAAAATTAGCTGAGGGTGGTGGTGCATGCCTGTGGTCCCAGCCACCCGGGAGACTGAGGCAGAAGAATCACTTGAACCTGGGAGGTGGAGGTTGCAGTGAGCTGAGATTGAGCCACTGCACTCCAGCCTGGGTGGCAGAGCGAGACTCCGTCTCAAAAAAAAAAAAAAAAAAAAAAAAAAAAGAAAAGAAAAGAAAAAAATATATATATATAGAATAGAAAAATATTGAATTCTTATTCTGAGTTGAAGAAGTTTAAGGAGTCCATTGTCATTACTTCATTTAGCATGTTATTGGAGGTCCTGATCAGCTCAATAAGGCAAGAAAAATAAAAATTGAAAAGGCAGAAATGAAACTGTCATTATTTACAGACGATATAACTGTAGACTTAAAGAAATCTAAAATAATATACAGATTAGAATTAAAAAGTGAATTTAACAAGGTTTCTAAGTGAAAGGGTAATATACCAAAAAAACTATATTTCTATAAACTAATTAAAAACAATTTGATAATAAAGTAAAACTGTCAAAAACCTAGATATAAATCTAACCTCTACATGTAAATCTATAAAACACTGGTGAGACAAATTAAATACCTAAGTAAATAGAGGGATATACCATGTCCATGCATTGGAAAACTCAAAATTGGTAAGATATAATTTCTCCTGAAATTGATTTATACATTCAATGCAATACCAATTAAACCCTAACATCCTCTGCCCCCAAAACTAACAAGGTGATTCTAAAATGTATATGGAAATGCAAAGGATTAAGAATAGCCAAAACTATTAGAACTATTAGATAAAAGTTAGAGGTCTTACACTACCAGATATGAAGACTTCATAAAAATTACAACTCAGCTTTTCAATACATTGTGCTGGGTCAAGTTAATACTCATATGGAAATACATAAACTTTGGCTACTATTTCACATCATATACAAATATCAGCAGTAGATGGACTGTAAACCTAATGTGGATGGTAAAACAATAAAGCTTTTAGTTTTATTTTTTGAGACAGAGTCTCGCTCTGTTGCCTAGGCTAGAGTGTAGTGGCATGACCTTGGCTCACTGCAACCTCTGCCTCCTGGGTTCAAGCGATTCTCCTGCCTCAGCCTCCCACGTAGCTGGGATTACAGGCATGCACCACCATGCCTGGCTAATTTTTATACTTTTAGTAGAGATGGGGTTTCACCATGTTGGCCAGGCTGGTCTCCAACTCCTGACCTCCAGTGATCCACCTGGCTTGGCCTCCCAAAGCACTAGGATTACAGGCATGAGCCACCTCACCCGGCCAATAAAGCTTTTAGAAGAATATAAGAATATCTTCATAACCTTGGTGTGAACATTTATTAAATACGACGCAAAAGTATTAGCAATTAAATAAAAGACTGGTATATTGGACTTCATAAAATTTTTGGTCATCAAAGGAAAGCACTTAGAAAGTAGAAAAGCAAACTAAAGAGAAGACATTTATGGTAAAATATCAGACAAAAACCCTCATATCCATAAAATATAAAAGACTCCTGCAAGTCAGTAAGAAAAAAAGACAACCCAATAAATATGAACAAATGACTTGAACAGGCACTTAATTGAGGATAGCCAAATGACTAATAAAAATATAAAAAGGTGTTCCACACATCACTACTTATCAGGAAAATACACCTTAAAATCTCAGTGAAATACAAAATCACCAGAATGGTTAAAACCACAATCAAATATACACATTTGTCAGAGTGGCTAAACTACTAGGGCTGATGGTACCAAGCACTGATGAGGATGTGGAAGAACTAGAACACTTACACATTATTGGTGGGTATGTAAATTGGTACAACCATTGTTGAAAACCATTTGGTAATATCTTCTACAGCTAAATATATATTCATCTTATGACTCAGTAGTTTCACTCCTTTTTTTTGTCTGTTTTTTTGAGACAGGGTCTCACTCTATCGCCCAGGATGGAATGTAGTGGTGCGATCAAGGCTCACTGCAGCCAGCTGTTTCACTTTTAAGTGGACACACAAGAGAAATGAGTGTACGTGTCCATTAAAATATATGCACAAGAATGCTTATGGCTGCTTTAAACACAAAAGCTAAAAATTACAAACAACCAAAATGTCTATCAGTGGGAGAATGGATAAATTGTGATGTATTTATCTGATGGAATACTACAGAGCAACGAAAAAGAACAAACTACTGTTATTGCTACATGCAACAACATAGATGCATTTCACAGACATAATGCTGATCAAATTAAACCAGACACAAAAACCTATAGACTGGATAATTCCATGTATAGGAATGTCAACAACAGTGACAGAGGTCAGAGTGGTGGTTATGTATGAGGACTGACTGGGAGCCTCATCTTGATCTGAATGATGGTTATATGGGCGCATATATATGTAAACATTTATTGAGCTGTATATTTCAGACCTGTGCACTTTACACACCATGTTGCAATAACATTTTAAACAATATGATCACTATCTATATGTAGTTTTAGTGCTCCATTTGGACTGGTCTCTGGCCACTGGATGTCAGTGTTTGGAGCAGTGGGCAGCAGGAAAAGCTGGGGAAGGAGTGGGAAAACAGAGGAGAGAGCTATCACATGGGCTTCCTAGAGAAAAATAAGCACTTTATGAAGCTTATAAGTTCCTTTATGTACACAGTAGACAAAGCCTTTTAAAGAGATTTGTCCATACGGGCACTGAAATAACATTTTTGTAAAGTAGCCTTCTCTATGTTGATTGCAGATGTTTCTATCTCAGAATTTAAGTCTACTTGCTTTCTCACACAGCATCATTATTTCCTTATTCCTAATAATTTTCATCACAAACATTTCCCAGCTCTGTCCCAATCAAGTTCTTATTTCTCTGAACGGAATTACAATTTATAAATGTAGGTCCACATGCAGATATCTTAATAAGTAGTGAAATACCAGTGTAGAAATACACAAATGAGTGTGGACACACCATAGAAAAGCAGAAAAATACGAGAAAAAGTGCATGTACGGAGTATGGGATGAACTGATGCAGTTAAGGAAGACAACTCACAAAGCAACTCACGGCTGGGCAAAGCTGGGAGGCTGAGGCGGGAGGATTGCTTGAAGCCAGGAGTTTGAGACTAGCCTGGGCACCATACTGATACCTTGTAGCTATTAAAAAAAAATTAGCTGGGCATGGTGGCTCATGCCTGTAGTCTACTTAGTCAGCTGCTTAGGAGGCTGAGGTACAAGGATTGCTTGAGCCCAGGAGGTGGAGGTTGCAGTGAGCTGTGATCACGCCACTGCACTCCGGCCAGGGTGACAGAGTGAGACCCTGTCTCACACAAAGGCAACTCATTTGAGCTGAGGCTTGGCTATACTTTTAATTGTCCACATAGAATAGAGGAAAAACAATGTTTTTCATCTTTTTTAATCTTCCATTTACCTTTTAGTAAGACAAATTCTTATCTTTATGTAAAACTGTGGAAGAGCAGTTACATAGATTGTTGCAGCTTAGATTATTTTCAAGAAGTTTAAATTCTACACATAAGGATACATACCATTTTTACCAGCTATACTTTAAAATGCCAGTCTTTAAAAATTCCTCTATGTGTATATGTGGTTTCTTCTTCTTTTCAAAAATTCATGCCTGTGAAGTTTTTAGGAATATTTTTCAAAACTTTAGTACTGAGGCATTAACTGTTTATGTGACACAGCACCTTTAAATTTCTGTTTTTATTCAGCCAAAGAATGAGAATTATTGTACATTGCTAGTATTTATAATTTCAGCAAATAGGATAGCAGTATAGTACCTAAAATAAACTATTAGGAATAACTGAATGCCTACCACAGCAACAGAGCTTTAATGAGGTTAATTGTCACATACATATCCATTCCAACATAGCAGTGCACATTTCACATGACCAGCCTCTTATGTAGTTAAAAATAAAACTGCAGTTTTAAAATGTCAAGTTCCTCAACCTTACTGGATTTTAAAACAAAGCAAACAAAAGAAACAAGGATTTTCTAATCTATCTATAAGCAGAAATGTCAGAAAATAAAGCTACAGTATTCCATAAAACTTAAAATTTCCTTTTCTAAGTCATGACATTTCTCTTTTGTTCTGTTTTCTTTTTCTTCTAATATTAAGAAAATTTAAAACGTAAATGAAAAAACTGCTTAATGTGGCAAGGAACAAGAATGAAACTAGATTTTTTTTTTTAGTAAAGGGGCAAATTGTATACCAACATATAAATTAAAAGTGTTATGCAATGAGAAACAATAATGGAAACAGCATAATACTACATACTATCCCAGTTTCCTGTGCTCTGAAGAACAGCTGCTATACTAAATACTAACTTGACTTATCTGAAGTATTCAATACTTTCTGATAACCCAAGCAGCATTATATTAATAGTTAGAATACTACTACAAAATGTCCTTCTACCTCTCCCACAAGAAATACACCAGGAAACTTAAGCCTGATGAATAACTACTAAGAATCTTGTCTTTTAATACAAGTCTCCTTCTAGACACAAAATCCTAGCTTTTTGTAATGTGGTTAAAAGGAGTAATGGAAAAGAAATGACTGCCAATAAACATTTCCTATTTTGCACTAGGGTGAAGAAACCAAGACACAAACATTTGGAAGCCACTTTAGTTTCTTATTCCTTTTCACCCTAATAGTAGGAAAATATTAGGCACCTACTTAATTCACAAATTCATGAAACAGGGTGGACAACAGCCTTGTGTAGGGGAAGCATTTGGAATGGTAATCAACTACTTAATTACATAACAGGGAGCTGGGCATACAAAGAAAAGGGCTCAGAAGAAATATCTTGAAAAGTAAGCAATATAGAAGGTGAGGACAGAAGTGAGGCTAATCAAATGTTCTTAGCAAGATGTTGCCCCCCTGAAAATATGCTCCCCCAATAAAACACGTAAATAACTACTCTTAAGGAAAATATTTTCTCTAAAGAATGTCACAATTTGGAGTGAAGTTACTTAACAAAACAGGGAATAAAACCTTTAATGTTGGCTGTAGCAGTTATTTTCTTTGGGTAGATTATACTTAAAATATTTCCTTCATACATACTTCTGTTAAAATTTTTTTTTCCCATTCTTGAGTTTTACAATGTCTCCTATCCAAACTTCAAATTTCATTAGAGCCGGCTACATTTGTTTTAGTGCCAGATACAGGTATCAAGTGATGACAGACACTTACGTGAGGTATACAATCAATTAAAGACTGGAAATTGGGGTATTATCATGTAAGACATTTGAGAGGCCAAAAGTCATATAATTTTAAGATACTTCATGATGTTACAGTAATAATTCATCTATATAACAATTATTTTGACATAAGTGGCATATCAGAATTTAACTTATTTACTTAGATCTTAAGGAATATTAGATGTATTCTCACATGAACACTCAAATCATGCTATTATTATCAGTCACTGGGAGAACAGCCAAAGTAATCAGGCAGTCTAAGGCACATATAGACCCAATAATTTAGAAATTTTCACCATTATGAGGTACCCTGTTTTTAATAAATATGACAATAACAGGCGCTTGAAATGGGGGCAAGGTGAATAAGTATCCAGTCAATTGTATACTTTTATAAAGTAGTGTATTTGAGAACATAAACTGAGATACAAAAGGAATTTCCTTACTTTAAAAAAAGTGACTTCTATCTTAGTAGATTTCTTTAAAATAACTTACCTTATATTTAAAAGTTAGTCATTTACATACTTAAGAAATCAACAGTAATCTAAAAAAATTAAAAGGCAGTTTTCTTGGGTAATGAACCTGTGACTCCAAGACAGACAACAATGTGGAAATTAACTCAGGAGACTGACTTTCTATTCTAGTAATTCAGTGGTTTCTTACTTTATAAAGGTTTGGAAGAATTAATGAATTTCTTTTTTTCTTAAGACAGGGTCTCGCTCTGTTGCCCAGGCTGGAGTGCAGTGGTGTGATCACAGCTCACTGCAGCCTCGAACTCCTGGGCTCAAGCGATCCTCCACATGTTGGCCTCCCATGAGCCACCATGCTCAGCTAATTTTTATTTTTATTTTTGGAGAGACAGTGTCTCACTATGTTGCCCAGGTTGGTCTCTAACTCCTGGTTTCAAGTGATTCTCCAGTCTTATACTCCCAAAGCACAAGGATTACAGGCCTGAGCCACCACACTCAGCCAATCAATTTCAAAATGCTAATTAACCTCTTTCAGACACACGATCTGGCAGAGTAATTAGAAGAAACTGGTCTTTCTTAACATCTTTCCTCTATTATCTTCCTTTTCTTATTCTTGCCTCTCAATTTGTCATATACAGTTACAAAATATATGAATCAGGATTTATGTTGGCATGAAAATTATATGCAATACAATCAGTAAGTGAAGAAGGGAGGGGGTGGTGTGGCTCTAGTCCCAAAGTTAATGTCATAAGGAGAAATAATGTAAGTATTTGTATTTCTTAGATCTTCTTCTATTTTACTCTTAATACCAAAAAAAGAGTCCTATCATTTAACTTTTTATATATTTTGTAGTGTTTATTTTTGATGTGACCAAATGAAAGCTTTCTGAATTTTAAAGTGCAATTCACTGTATGTTAATACACAGCCTGCATAGGACCTAACTGCTTCAAACTTGGCATCAAATGCTGTCTTTTTGGTACTTATAAGTAGGGTGTAGATAAAGATATTTGACAAGAGTGCAACAGTGTTTGTTAAGGTCTTTTCAAAAGCCCATTTGAGATTATTCAGGCAGGCTCATCAGTTGACAGCTAGCCTATCTTTCCTTCTTCCTGTTAGTCTGACTGCCTTTTTACCCATTTCATCGCCTGTCGAATCCTCCTCAAGAAGAGGCAAGGGAAATAAATGAAAATGAAACCCATTAATTTCCAATATTCACAATGAAATCAATCACATCATCAATCTGTATACTGTCTGACCATTTTTCTGGATCATTTTCTATTAGCAACATAGTCCCTTTAGTTTGTACTTTATAACTAGTATTTTCTACCAGGATGCACAGTTTAAAAAATGGCTTGAAGAGCCAAATATGTTCCCAATATGTCCAATATAATTATAAATATGGTCATTTTCTTGATTACTAGAGATCTGTGCCTGATGGAATCACATTTTGTGAATTAGCAATAGTTTGGTAATAATTCACACAAAATTTCCCATAATTACTAGGAATAACTGAAAGCTGGGAGTAGAAAACTTTCATTAACTCAATATTATGTAGCCATTTGGGCCAGCAAAAAGTGTAAAATATTATTCCCAATAACCACTGTGGACAAAATGTGAACAGGATAATATAATATTTTGAAAATATTTTAATATTTGCCATTTTTTGCCTGTGCTATTAATATATACATTGATTTAGTAATAAATATACTACTATTACATAGAGTGCAATATTTTTAGTATTCATAACTGGTTGAAATTAATGCTGCTATAACCTCAAGAAAGGAATAAATAAATATCATGTCCAAATTCCAAACTAATGCTCAAAAGGTTATCATTAACAAAAACTATAAAATAAACATGTTGGGCATTATCTCTTTAAGCATGATTCCTGTAAACAAAGCAAAAAAATCACTTTTCTCAGTCCTGACATTTCACATGATGGCTTTAAAAGAAAATATAACACACAAACCCTATCACTTCTTTTTTTTTTTTTTTTTTTTTTGCATAGGGAACGAATTAATTGTATTTTTAAATGCAGCAATCTTTTAATGAAATGTTTTCATCACATAGTACTTGTTTTCTGTATGAATTCAGAACTTTTGAGCAATAAAAGTGCTCTGCATAAGTTTATAAAATATGCTTTCTGGATTTAAAATTTAACAGAAAAATTTCCAAACAAGTCATAGGTATGATTCTAAAATATTATGTACATAATATATGACTACAGGAGGAAATTCCTCACTGTAGTACAACACAGTGTACAAATATGAAGCACAGTGTTTAGTTTAATTTCCCTTTAGGTTTTCCTCACATTGGTGCATAAGTGGCTGACTACATGACACAACATGCCCCATTCTACTTGTTGCATACAAAGTAGAAGAGGAATGTGAGGACAAATTTAAAGTAGAAAATGAAAATAAATGGCAAAAATACAGTGCAAATGCTTTAAACAGTGCACTTTATAAAATAGTTTGCTTTATTCATACTTTTTTATAAAGTGCAATATTACTTAAAACAGAGAGACATGTACCTTAATATTCTGCAATAACCATTAAAACAAATTGCCAGGAAAGAGCAGTGCAAAATTAAAAACATACACATAGCTTAGCATGCATCTCAGATGGATCCCGAATACAGAGTATGGGACCTTGAGTTCTTATATCTTTTTTTTTTTTTTTCACTTTTTAGAAAAAGTTTAATAATAGCAGGTTATCATCATATGTAACCATAAAATAAAAACAATAAGTTAAAATCTTCTCTCAAGAAATAAGTATATGCCACACATAAAATTCATTACAGAATCTTTTTTGAAAACAGACCCCTTTCTCTGATAAATCATTGTTTGAAGGGTGCAAATTTCAAAAACCCACATTGTCCACAAGGCAAAGCAAAAGGTATCATCACAGTATGAGTCATTTCTTGTTGGCAGACATCTGGAAAACCTGTGACTTACAAGCAGCTCAAATCTAGCCCTAATTAAATTTACAGGAACCTTTGCTCTTTCAAGAATAGTCTTGTTGGCATCATGCTAGGTTGCTAAAAAGAGTAATATGTGCTCTATTCACAGTAACATTCTCTGTCCAGTGCTTTTGAATGAGGATAACCAAACAGGTTTTCCTGAAAAAAATCATTAGGAGGCAGATTCCAATGAGACCAACGGGAAACATTTTTAAAAGCATAAAAGATCGCCTCAGGCATATGCTGAGGGAATAAAGGTGCAATGGATCACTGATACACTCCTACCATGCCTAAGCTACTGAGTCCGAGAACTGGAAGAGGGTCTCCGGGTTATTGCTGTCGGCAGGATTGCTGGGCTGCAGTGTCTTGGTGGGTGTAGTTTTACCGTGAGAATGAGAGGAAGAAGAATGGGAACTCTCACTGGAACTGCTGCGCGTCTCGGTACTGGTGCTAGTCTTTTTCATTTTTCTTCTCTTAGCCAAAGGGGCCTTATCAACATTCTGAAGGCAAAACCCCTCTCTCTTGTATTTGTTAAAGGCCTGGCGGGGGAAAAAAAGGGAACCCCTGTGAAGGTAAAAGTACTGAAGCTTTCCTAGCAGTTATGACTTACAGCAGAAGACAACTTTCCATTGGCAACTGCAGCCCCAAGTTGTTTTAAGGGAACAAAGCTCTTAAAACCTTTATATCTAAGTCTATTGGCAGGGTGGAGAAGTTCATGGGAAAAAAATTCTGAGGGCTCTGTTTATATCAAACTAGCTAGGCGGTCTGAGAGTCACAATTCTAATAAATCTTTTGAAGAAGTTAGTACTACATCCTAATACGAAACAATTGACTGGAAATTCCTGAAGACCATCAGTAATCTAAACTATCCCCATTGCTTTTACTGGTTCTGTGTCTAAGATTTAAAATTCTGAACACAAAGTCCCAATGCAAGCAGACTTGACGCATTCTGAGTCTTTGCTCTTCAGTCCCATTCAATGTCATTTGGATATATACTGGACACTTACACGCATGGAGAAGCACAGCTCTACAGCTTTGCCCTGGCTTCCTCCTCCTGCAGCCTGTCTTCACTCTCCTTAGCCTAGGCTTGGATAATGCTGCAGTTACACCTTGTAGTTGTCACCTTGCAACCTATGTCACTGAGAAGATTTGGATCATCTGATAGAAATTCTTGCAGTTAATCTCTTTACCATCTCAACATTTCCTAGTTTATTACTTTTTAAATCCATTTCTGCTGCTGAAGAAGCACTATCCCTATACCTTCTCCTTTCTCAAAATAATCCCTTTGAAGGTGACTTTCTGTTTCCCTAACTCATCTTATACTATACTTCACATGAATTATCTTAATATATTTGCATCTGCTTGGCACAAATGTGCATAATCCACAGTTTCTACCAAATAGTCTCAGTCTTTCAAACATACAATCTATACTTAATACCAATGAACTTACTTCATATCCCTCCCAGTTTTAAGAATGTGTGATGTACTAAATGGTTGTAAAATGAATGGACTTTCAAATATGCCTTAGTTCCTAATGTTTATTATGGTTTTTAAAGAAATTTAGTCAGTCTATTTGAGAGGAAAAAGTTCTATTATCTCATCTCATAAGGTCATTCTAAAAATTAAATATGTATTTTGTGGGTTAGCAGTGACTCTGGTCCCCTGTGCACTTATTGTTATAAAGTGTTTATAACCATGAAGCAATTTATAAAAACATACCTAAAAGTAAAAGGACACATATTATTTTAAATGTGAAACAAAGAAAACGTATCTGAGGCTACAGAGTAAGAACATTTGATTATGATTCCTACTCAAACCGCCCAACATGTACAGAGCACAGGGCCTTACGTGGAAGGTTGCTTTCACACAGGTATGCACGGCAGCTCCGGAAGATCCTAGAATATCCGGAGTCATCAGAGGATTGGAGGACAGCTGACTTCCATCTTGTAGCCATTCATTGTACCTCAAGCCAGACATTTTAAGCCTTTTGTTTGGATCTACTGTGAGAAGTCCTTTGGGAATAGATATTTTTATTTTATGATTTGTCATTTTAAACATGGTTTAAAAAC
The DNA here is from genome assembly GCF_000001405.40 of Homo sapiens. NCBI lineage: Eukaryota > Metazoa > Chordata > Mammalia > Primates > Hominidae > Homo > Homo sapiens. Next base: position 90,873,853 of record NC_000014.9, read on the forward strand.
AAACTCAGAAATAAATCTCAGCTATGTTCACATGACATAATGGTTTCTATATAGCTTTAACCTCCTACAAAGATAATTAGATTTTCCTATTCATTTAAATTCTTTTGTGAATGCTGGAGTCTAATGATAAAGTCACAGTAGCCTATTTCTAGGAAGCTCCAGGCGAAGTGGCTTTTCAATCAGGAGAAAATAAACATCCAAAACAAAGATTCCCACTGGTGACTTCGTAAGCTCCAAATGAGCAAAAAGCACACAGATCTACTTCATCCATATACCAAACATTTACTGGCCATCTTCTATAGGTCAGGGAGTGCAGTAAGGCACTAGAGATATGGAGATGGAGATGCAGAGAGGAGCTATTAATATCAGAAGACACACAGGCAAAACCCCAGCTATTATAACATCAGGGATAAGTGCGATAGCAAGATACACAGGCACAGTGTGTTAGCAGGCCTGAGGGAGAGTGTAGCCTAGGGAGTGAGGGCATCCTGGAAGGCTTCTAGGAGATGAATCCTGTAGGATAAGGAGAAGTGGCTATGGAAGAGGATTAAGAGCATGTAAAGACACGGAGGGATCTGAAAGCTCAGCATATCTGAGGAATTCAAATATCCTGCAACGGCAGAGCTGGGGTGAGGAGGAAACAAAGGCAGACAGGACCAGGTCATGAGGGGCTTTGAATGTTAAATGCTAGGCTAAGGAGTCTGACCTGAAGCAAACAGAGAGTCTCCAAAGGATTTTTGGCAGAAAAGAGGCATAATCACATAGGGATTCTAGAAAAGTCCCTCTATTGACAGATGATGAACAGCTTAAGTCAGAGGAAGTGAGGCAAGGTGAAAGGATGCTGCAGGATTTGGGGAGAGAAATGGTGATGAGAACAAAGGCAACGGCAGGTGAATGGGAAGGAAGGGACCGGACTGCTAGGAGCGCTGCTGAATGTGTAGAACTCTGTGACTGGCTGCAGAAGGCAGGCAGGTGCAGGTATCCAGGAGGACGCCTAGGTTTCTGTTTTGGTGATCTGGCTTCTTAGCAGTGCCACTGTTGACAGGAGGAAAGACAGGAGGAGGAGCGTGTTTGGGGGGAAGGACAGTCAAAAAGTATTGGTTTGTTTTAGATGTGCTTGACTGAGATGCCAGTGGAAGTCAAGTGCTAGCTCATGTTAGAAATGTGGATACCATTACTAAAGAGAATGTTCTGATAAGAAAACAAGGCTGAAGAGAGTAGCCTGGAAGCCTTTTAGAATACACATGGATTCCTCGAGTAATTAACATATGAATGTATGTGTAATGGCCATGATTCTACTTCAATCACTACACATCATATAAAATGTAAAATTTCATTAGATTCTTACCTTGGATCAAATCTTTAGCCTCTTGGGATACATTCTTCCAGGCTTCTCCTTCAAAGGAGAAATCTCCCTTTTTAATTTTCTTCATGATTTCCACCGCGCTGGTACACGTCAAACTTCGGTCATGAGATTGGAAGGGAACCTGTCCTGACAACATTGTGTACTATCAGGGAAAAAGTAACAAAACAGAATGACTACCCAGATCTGTTAAAGCCACTCTAATAATCCTAATAGTAACGTAACTGGTGTAATTTACCAATTGCTACAACTAGCATGATTGAGTTTAAAAGATTACGTGATTCCTCAGGGATCTAGAACTAGAAATACCATTTGACCCAGCCATCCCATCACTGGGTATATACCCAAAGGATTATAAATCATGCTGCTATAAAGACACATGCACACGTATGTTTATTGCGGCACTATTCACAATAGCAAAGACTTGGAACCAACCCAAATGTCCAACAACGATAGACTGGATTAAGAAAATGTGGCATATATACACCATGGAATACTATGCAGCCATAAAAAATGATGAGTTCATGTCCTTTGTAGGGACATGGATGAAGCTGGAAACCATCATTCTCAGCAAACTATCGCAAGGACAAAAAACCAAACACCACATGTTCTCACTCATAGGTGGGAATTGAACAATGAGAACACATGGACACAGGAAGGGGAACATCACACACCGGGGACTGTTGTGGGGTGGGGGGAGGGGGGAGGGATAGCATTAGGAGATAAACCTAATGCTAAATGATGAGTTAATGGGTGCAGCACACCAACATGGCACATGTATACATATGTAAAAAACCTGCACGTTGTGCACATGTACCCTAAAACTTAAAGTATTAAAAAAAAAAAGATTACGTGACTTCTATCACTGAGGCAGTGAATACATCTCAAAGACTTGTAAACCAGTGGCATGGCTTGTTATGATATAGATTTAAAATCACATTTATGACTATATTCAGAGCAATAAGAACAGAAAAGGATAATCCAACTGCTTCAAAAAGATGGTATTGATGTTAACAGAAAATAGAGAGATAGCAGAACTCCTGAATAACTATGTTTTTCTATTCCATTTCCACCATCCTTTCCCCAGGACATGTAACTATGGTTAAGGACTTGAAAAACTTCATATAGGCCTTCCTATTTGATCTGTAATTACCCCTGTTTTTATTTTATTTTTCTCACTGTTGTCTTAAATACAGTGAATTATCTACAGCCACCTGTTTTCATTGTAGCCATATGTTTGAAATCTATGTTTAAGATTTTCCCCTTTATAAAGTTAACAGAATAACAAACAAGCCAAGGCTTATCTTTGTAGCAGAGATTGGATTTTAGAAAAGTGATCCTTTAAAATTCTTGGGGGTGGTTTTCTCTGCTCACTGATTTTTGGTCTTGCAGAGATGGTGGGTTGGTCATCAATGGTGGTGGGTTGGCTGGTGTTAAGTAGCTGTGTCTGGGTATGGACCAGAGAGGACCAAAAGGCGGCCCTACCAGATGGTTTGAGAAGGGAGCAGTGGTGTCGGCAGGAGCCTGGGCTGAGGGAAGCGTGCTCATCCTGGCACTTAGGAAGGGACATGGAGGGGAGGCTCAGTGTCAACCCCAGCCCTAATTAGGAGACATGGAAGCCACAGGATGTTCCGGTGATCTAGAAACAATATGCCATCTTTCTTTTCTGGTCACGTTTCTGACAAGTAGGCTTGTCCTCACTATGGCAAGATGGTGAAACAGCTCTTACACACTGGCTCTTCAGAAAAGATGGAAACTCCTAGACAGGCTAATAAAAATAACATAAAAAGGACAACCAGGAGATCCAGTAAGGTAGGTAATAAACAAAACATGAGTAAGAAGGATGGAGAAGACAGGAATAAGACCCAGATGCAGCAGGAAGAGAAACTTGACACCTCTGAGGTTACAAGAGGCTAGAAGGCTTTGGACAAGTTTGGATTTTCTGAAATAGAAAATTGTGCCTGAGAAGAATAAAAACTATATGCATGAGAATGCGCAGAGTTTGAAAATAGAAGACACGGAGAAGGAACCTCAGTTTCTAATCTGGAGCAACCTAATGAAGAAGATTAATTGCTCTAAGAAGGGCAATGTCAGAACGTCTGTAGAAGGCAGACAAAACTCCCTAAATCCTTGATGTAGCTTGAAGGCAGGCTACGACTAGGTCTGAGTGAGCCAGTCCACAGGCTGGCAGTAACTGTCCAAGATTAACTGGAGTCTCATAACTGATGCTGTGCCTCCACCTGCCCCCAACCTCACTTCTTCCCTCCTGTATCCTTCATGCAGACACCAGAGTAACAGTCATGCAACTTAAATCTTACAACATTCCCCTATCCAAATCCCTTCACTGGCTTCCTTCAGTCTCTGACTCTTGCCTTTCTTTTTCAGCCTCAGCTTCTGCAGTTCCCCATATTCCAATCCTGTGTTCCCAACAACAGTTCTCAGGGCTCTGGGACTTTCCACATGCTGTTTGGTCTCCTTAGAATGCCATTTTTTTTCTTCAGCTGGCAAAGTCCCATGCATCCTAGGGTGCCTAGAGTATAACCCAGTTACCCAGTTTGGGTAACTACACCTGGCTGCAAACAACTGCTTTGTCAATAACTAGCTTCGGGATGGGCAAATTCCTTAACTTCTCTTAGACCATTTCTTCGCGGGTAAAAGTAACAAGTGATATTATAAGGTTACATGAAATCATACATTTAACATACCTAGTATTGTGCCTGGCACACAGTAGGTGCTCAGCAAATGGTTAATAAGTTTGTCTCTTAATGCTTCCCCTCTATGGAAAGAATCCTTTCTTCACGATCTTATTCTCCACTACTGTATCCACAGAGCTATCTACACAGCCACTGAACTGGTGTGCACACCTGTAGATGCCCTATCACTTTGTGGGGTAACTCAATACAACTGTCCACATTGCTAAACCATGAGCTCCCTGGAAGCAGAACTATGTCTCATGTATCACTGTATCCCCTGAACCTTGCGTAGTGCCAGAATTTGCTATCCCATGCTTATTTCCTGAATGAGTAAGAACCCTTTAAGAACACTTAAGACAGTGATATGATAGAGACTGTACTGTGGTCTTGATTAAACAGAGGGATGCCACCAAATGACAGCTCTGATGAGTCTGTGGAACTTGTGTCACATGTGTTCCAGATCCCCCCTCCCCTTCCTCGGATGCCAGGAATTCCGCCCCTTTTCCCTAAGTTTCTAGAATCCTATTTCCCTGACTCTTGCTATTGAATAGAATGTAGTTTCCCCAGGCCTTGCCTTTCTAGCTGCAAGTTTACCTCCCCAAACATGGAACAAAAGCTCTTCTAATATCTATAGTGAAGGAAAGAAAGGAAAGCAGAGCAAAGTTAGTCCTGTTAATGCAATTAGGCACCATTATAGGGTATTTTCCTCATTCCGCAGAAGTGGAATGATGTAATTCTCATTCTGCAGAGCAGAAAACTGGGGCTCCAGTGGTCAGGGACATAATGAAACATCCTCCTCTAAAAGACAACCTACTGTACCTTGCACCACTAAGAAGCGGGAATAGAACTTAGTGGGCTTCTTTGCATTTTGGAGGTAGCATACGTTGCACTGGAGAATACTGCTCTAAGAAATTTATCAAGTGACTCGGAAGGCTACCTGTTTCAAGTGGGGCCTAGCATAGGCTTTTGTTATAGGTCCAATCCTGCCAATTAGCAGGAAGCTACTTGGGCCATAGGTTTCAGTTGCTCTGATTGTACTACAGGTATCTGTGAAAGATGAGACTCTCTCGCAGCCACAACAGGAGAGTCTCAGAGCAGACCTGAAGTATTCTGGTGCAAGGTGGGGCCTTCTGTGGCAGGTAACTATTTTCCAAATAACTGCTCCTGAGATGTTACTAGACCCCGGCAGGCTCTGAGTGCCTCAAACATGTGATCCCAAGAGCAGTGCATCATGTGCTAAGATCAGCAGATGCCTTGATTCACCAAGTCAGGTAGGCACAGCAACAAACCAATGCACTATGGAAATGGCACACTCAGAATCTGCCCTGGGCAGTCCAGAACGCATGAGTAAATAACGTGCTTACACACATGTCACTTGTCTTGGATGCACTAACACTTCTTCCTTAACTCACACTATGGCCTCACTGAAGGAGGTTCCCTATGATCAACTGATAAGCCTGGTTGGCAGATGGTTCACTTAAGTGCAGCTGGCCTGTAGAACATGGCAGACTCAGCAAAGATACCACCTGGCTCAGGATAATACCTTGTGGGGTCGGGGTGCTGTCTCTGAGAGCTGTGCTGAACCAATGGCTGATGGGTCCAGGTCCTCTGTATCTAGATTTTATGGGTGCACGACCCACTTAGAGAACTCATGCTTCCTGGCTCTGCTCAGAGGTCTGTTCCATGAGCTCAAGTGATCAGCTGCACTTGGTGATGACACGTGGCCAGCCCAGTAGCACATGCTCTGCTCTCTTTTCCTCAGTCCTGCACCCTTGGGATTATGCTCTTTAATAACATAATATGACACAAGTATTAGCTTCAGGTTTCGCTTTCCGGGGAACACAGAATAGAATATCTTTCTCTCCACTCCTAATTTTTTTTTTTTTTTTTTTGAGTTGGAGTCTCGCTCTGTCGCCCAGGCTAGACTGCAGTGGCACGATCTTCGGCTCACTGCAACCCCTGCCTCCTGAGTTCAGGCAATTCTCCTGCCTCACTCTCTCAAGTAGCTGGGATTACAGGCGCCTGCCACCATGCCCAGCTAACTTTTGTGTTTTTAGTAGAGGTGGGGTTTCACAATATTGGTCAGGCTTGTCTCTTGGCCAGGCTGGTCTCAAACTCCCGACCTTGTGATCTACCCGCCTTGGCCTCCCAAAGGGCTGGGATTACAAGAGTGAGCCACCATGCCTGGCCACCACTCCTAATTTTTTATTGTGTTAAAATACATTTAACAAAATGTACCATGTTAACCATTTTTAAGTGTATAGTTCGATGGTATTAAATATCTTCACGGTATGCAACCATCATCACCATCCATCTCTAGGACTCTTCATCTTGTAAAACTAAAACTCTATACCCATTAAATAATAACTCCCCATTCTCCTTTCCCCCACAACCCCGGCAACCACCATTTTACTTTCTGTCTCTATGATTCTGAATACCCTAAGTATCTTTTCTGAACATACACTATTTGTCTTTTTGTAACTGGCTTCCTTCTTTAGCATAATATCCTCAATAATCATCTATGTTTTTGTACATGTGAGAACTTCCTCCCTTTTCAAGGCTGAATAATATTCCAGTGTATGTATACAGCACATTTTGCTTGTCTATCATCTATCCATGGAAACTCAGATTGCATCCACATTTTAACTCTGTATGTGTCCATTAGATCTAGTTGGTTAAGTCCTCTATTTCCTTCTTATCTTCTGGCCGGTTGTTTTATCCATTATTGAGAGTTGGGTATTGAAGTCTCCAATAATTATTACAGGACTGTCTACTTCTCCCTTCAGTTCTGTCAGTTTTTGCTTCATGTACTTTACTGGTCTACATTAGGTGTACAAGTGTTTGTAATTATTACATCTTCCTGTTGAATTGGATATTTTATTAATATATGAGGACCCTCTGACCCTCTTTGTCTTTTGTAAACTTTTTTTTTTTTTTTTTTGTGAGACAAGGTGTCGCTCTGTTTCCAAGGTCGGAGTACAGTGGCGTAATCACGATTCACTGCAGCCTTGACCTCCCCAGGCTCAAGAGATCCTTCCACCTCAGCCTTCTGAGTATCTGAGACTACAGGCACATGCTACTACATCTGGTTAATTTTTAAATTTTTTGTAGAAATGAGGTCTCACTATGTTGTCCAGGCTAGTCTCAAACTCCTGGGCTCAAGTGATCCTCCTGCCTCAGCCTCCAAAGTGCCGGGATTACAGCTGTGAGCCACCATGCCCAGCCTCTTGTAAACTTTTTTGATTTAAAGTCTATTTTGTGGCCAGGAGTGGTGGCTCATGCCTGTAATCCCAGCACTTTGGGAGGCTAAGGCAGTCAGATTGCTTGAGTCCAGGAGTTTGAGACCAGTGTGGCCAATATGGCGAAACCCCATCTCTACTAAAACTACAAAAATTAGCTGGGTGTCATGGTATATGCGCCTGTAATCCCAGCTACTTGGGAGGCTGAGGCATGAGAATTGCCTGAACTCGGGAGGCAGAGGTTCCAGTGAGCTGAGATTGTGCCACTGCACTCCAGCCTGGGCAACAAAGCAAGACTCTGTCTCAAAAAAAAAAAAAAAGTCTATTTTAGTGTAGCCACTCCTGAGCTCTTTTTTGTTTGTTTGTTTCTGAGACGGAGTTTCGCTCTTGTTACCTAGGCCAGAGTGCAATGGCACAATGTTGGCTCACTGCAACCTCTGCCTCCTGGGTTCAAGCGATTCTCCTGCCTTAGCCTCCTGAGTAGCTGGGATTACAGGCACACACCACCACGCCTGGATAACTTTTGTATTTTTCGTAGAGATGGGGTTTCACCATGTTGGCCAGGCTGGTCTCGAACTTCTGACCTCAAGCGACTCGCCTGCCTCGGCCTCCCAAAGTGCTGGGATTACAGGCTTGAGCCACTGCACTCAGCCCTGATCTCTTTTGGTTACTATTTGCATGGAATATCTTTTCCCATAGTTTCACTTTCAATCTATTTGTGTCTTTGGATTTAAAGTGATTCTTTTGCAGACAGCATATAGTTAATCATGTTTTTAAATCCATTATGCCAATCTTTGACCTTTGATTAGAGTTTAATCCATTTGCATTTAAAGTAATTACTGATAAAAAGGAACTAACTTCTGTCATTTTGCTATGTGTTTTCTATATGCTTGATAACTTTTTTGTCCTTCATATTCTGCATTACTGCCTTCTTTTATGTTTAGTTTATTTTTTTGTAATAAAACATTTAAATTCCTTTCTTTTTTCTTTTTGTATATATTCTATAGCTATTTTCTTTGTGGTTCCCAAGGGATTACATTTACTATCCTAAAGTTATAACACTCTAACTTGAATTTGTATCAGTTTAACTTTAATAATGTAGAAAAACCTTTGCTCCTCTAACAGTTCTACCCAACTTCTTTTGGTTGTTTATGTTACAAAACTACATCTTTATACACTGTGTGCCCCAAAACAAACCGATAATTCTTTTAAATGCATTCGTCTCTTATGTCACGCAGAAAACAAAAGGTGAAGTTATAAACTGTTGTCACAATAATGCTAGCTTTTTACAACTGGCCTTGTATTTACCTTTATTGACATCTTTATTTCTTCATAAGGCTTTGAATTAACTGTCTAGTGTCCTTTCTTGTCAGCCTGCAGGACTCCCTTGAGCATTTCTTACAGAGCGGCGTTAGTGGTAATGAAGTAATGAACTCCCTCAGCTTCTTACGGATCTAGAAATATGTTAACTTCTCCCTCCACTTTGAAGGACAGCTTTGCCAGAGATAGGATTCTTGGTTGACAGTTTTTTTTTTCCCTTTTAGTGCTTTGAATGTATCACTCCACTGCCTTCTGAGCCACCTTCTGATGAGAAATCTGCTGATGATCTAACTGAAGATCACTTGTATGTGTGGAATTGCTTTTCTCTTGTTGCTTTCAAGATTCTATTTTTTTTTTTGAGACAGAGTCTCACTCTGTCACCCACTCTGTCATGATCTCAGCTCACTGCAACCTCCGCCTCCCAAGTTCAAACGATTCTCCTGCCTCAGCCTCCCGAGTAGCTGGGATTATAGGTGTGTGCCACCACGCCTGGCTAATTTGTGTATTTTTAGTAGAGATGGGGTTTCACCATGTTGGCCAGGGTGGTCTTGAACTCCTGACCTCAAGTGATCAGCCCACCTCGGCCTCCCAAAGTGCTAGGATTACAGGTGTTTCATTATAATGTGTTTCAGTGTGGGTCTCTTTCAGTTAGTCTTACTTGAATTTTGTTGAATTTCTTAGTTGTTTATATTGTCTTTCATCAAAATTGGAAAGTTTTCCACCAATCCAATAGAATATTTCTTCCAATATTCTCTCTGTCCCTTTCTCTTTCTTCTCCTTCTGAAACTCCGACAATGCATATGTTGGTCCTCTTGATGGCATCCTATGGTTCCTTAGGCTCTGTTCGCTTTTTTTCATTTTTCTCTCTGTTCCTCACACTCAATAATTTTAATTGTCCTAACTTCAATTTCACTGATTCCTTCTTCTGCCTGCCAAATCTGCCTCTGAAACCCTCTATTGAATTTTTCATTTTAGTTACTGTACTTTTCAGCTCCAGAATTCCTTTTCATTTTCTTTTCAGGTTTTCTATCTCTTTACTGTTATTTCCATTTTGTTAATACATTTTGTCTTGATGTTCCCCACATACTCCTTTAGGTCTTTCAATGTCTTTAACACAGTTGTTTTAAGTCTTTGTCTAGGTGAATTTATCATGAGGCCTTTTTCAGAAACAGTTTCTGTTGATTTATTTTTTTGAGTGGGCCATACTTTCTTGTTTCTTTATATACCTTGTGATTCTTGTTGAAAATGGGACCTTGAACTTAATGATGTGGTACCTCTGGGAATCAAAATTCTCCTCCTTCCCTAGGGTTTGCTTTTTTTGTGTTTGTTTTTGTTTATTGCTTTTCGTTTTTTGATTGTTATAGGCTGTCTCTGTGCCGAGGATCAGCATGGAGTACAAACTTAAGGTCTTCTCAGGTCTTTGATGAGCCTGTGGCTTTGCCTGGGCATGCCTGGTAGCTTTCTAATTTTCCCTGTATAAGCAGTTGCTTTGGAATGTATGAGTACTGAATGTCTGGCTCCCAAAGGGAAAAAGGGGGACTGGTCCTTTAAGTACTCCTGGAAATCACTTCATCCAGAGGAGGAGGAGGGGCTTGCAGTAATGGTGGCAGGCACAACAACAATGACCACTGCCCTCTTTGCACCTCTATAGTGAGAAGCAGCAATTATAGCAATTCAGATCACAGATGCTCTATATTTAGAGGACAAGGTCCTTTTTGCCCATCCTGGCTCCCACAAACTGTGTGTAGGTTGTTTTAGGAATACGTGCATGGCTGTCTGCTACAGGGTTGAGGGTGGGGAATGGGTGGCTGCTGTAAGTTGAGCATCCCTAACTTGTAAACCCAAAATCCAAAATGCTCCCAAAACAAACTTTCTGAGCGCCAACATGCTCAATGGAAATGCTCACTGGGGCACTTTGCATTTTGAATTTTCAGATTAGGGATGCTCAACCAGTATGTATTCTGCAAATATGCCGAAATCCAAAGAAATCCGAAATCCAAAATACTTCTGGTCCCAAGCATTTTGAATAAGGGATACTCGACCTATACTGTGCTAAGAGCTAAAATTGACCAAAATTAACTGCACTTTACTGTCCAAGCCTTTCCCTGGAAGTTGAAAACTTTCAATGGACTTCAGAGTTCCAAAATAGTTACGTCAGAGAGATTCTGCCACTGCAGTTGGTGGTGAGACAGATTCCTGGTGCTTCCTGCTGCACTGTCTTCCCAGCATCCTCTCTTTAAAATATCCTTCTATTGTTGATGAACATTGGGTTGTTTCCAGTGTGGGGAATTTTGAATCATGCTGTTATATATCTTCTTATACATGTCTTTGTTACAGAAATATACATATTTCTGTTGGATATATTCCTGAATTGGAATTGCTGGATTATTTGGTCTGCATATGTTCAGTAGATACTGCCAAATAGTTTTCTAAAGTCTGCTCTACTTCTTTGTCCTGCCCCACTTCTTAACAGGTATGTTTGTGGCTAAATATAAGAAAGCAGGGCAGGGAACAGGGGCTCACACCTGCAATCCCAGAACTTTGGGAGGCTGAGATGGGTGGACTGCTTGAGCCCAGGAGTTTGAGACTAGCCTGGGCAACATGGCAAAACCCCACCTCTACAAAAAATACAAAAATTAGCTGGGCATGGTGGTGTGTGCCTGTAATCCCAGCTACTCGGAAAACTGAAGCAAGAGGATCACCTCAGCCTGGGAGGTCGAGGCTGCAGTGAGCCATGAACGTGCAACTACACTTCAGCCTGGGCAACAGAGCAGGATCTTGTCTCAAAAAAAAAAAAAAAAAGTGCTGGGCACGGTGGCTCACACCTGTAATCCCAGCACTTTGGGAGGCTGAGGTGGGCAGATCATGAGGTCAGGAGATCGAGAGGCATCCTGGCCAACATGGTGAAACCTCGTCTCTACTAGAAATACAAAAAATTAGCCGGGCGTAGTGGCGGGCGCCTGTAGTCCCAGCTACTTGGGAGGCTGAGGCAGGAGAATGGCGTGAACCCGGGAGGCGGAGCTTGCAGTGAGCCGAGATCCCGCCACTGCACTCCAGCCTGGGCGACAGAGCGAGACTCCGTCTCAAAAAAAAAAAAAAAAAAAAAAAAAAAAAAAAAAAAAAAATTAGACGGGCGAGGTGGCGGGCGCCTGTAGTCCCAGCTACTCGGGAGACTGAGGCAGGAGAATGGCGTGAACCTAGGAGGCGGAGCTTGCAGTAAGCGGAGATCACGCCACTGCACTCCAGCCTGGGTGACAGAGCAAGACTCCATCTCAAAAAAAAAAAAAAAAAAAAAAAAAAAAAAAAGAAAAAAGAAAAAAGAAACCAATCTTTATAAATAAAGTTTTCTTGTTTTCTGGCATGTAATAATGCAACAGGTTGTTGGGTGAAAAAACTAACTTTCCAACTTTGGAAGTACTGGAGAGGATATTGGTGATAATATAAAAGATCCCTTTTCTGGAAAAGGCAGAATTAAACAAACTTTAGGATCCTCTCAGTTCCAAGCTCTTAAAATTTTAGTTGATTATCTAGAAATATCTGTTAAGGATAACTTTGTGTCTGCAAATTGTTTGCAAATACTGTAGCAAGGTATAGCTCTATCTCTACATAAAGATATATATGTATGTCTGCATATATGTATTATATATACTCATATATATACATATACACATACATATAAAGAAGAGCGTGCACACTAGAAATAATTAGAGAGAAAGAAAAAGGAAATGCAGCAAAATGTCAGATGTTCATAGTAATATTCTCTCATATTTTCTCTAGCATTAAAATGTTCAAAATAAAATTGTGGGAAAAAAATTAAAAAATAAGGTCCTGAGAATAAAACACTTTAAACAAAATTTTATAACACTTCACAGGTATGTTATATATCTTATCCTACTTTCTCTAAATACTGTGTACCGTGGACTGAATGTTTGTGTTCTCCTTGCACCCGCTGGGGATTCACACGCTGAAGCCCCAGCTCTCCATGTGACTGTATTTGGAGACAGGGCCTTTAGGGAGGTAACTAAGGTTAAATGAGGTTATACGGGTAGGCCCCTGATCCAAGAGAATTAGTGTCCTTAAAGGGACAGACACTTTCTCTTTGTGAGTGTGCAGACCAAGGAAAGGCTGTGTGCGGACACAACAAGCAGGTGGCCATCTGTAATCCAAAGAGAGGGCCCTCACCACACACCAATACTGCTGGCATCTGGTTCGTAAGACCACCCAGCATCAAGAACTGTGAGAAAATAAATTTCTGTTGTTCAAGCTGCCTAATTTGTGGTATTCTGTTACAGCAGCCTAAGCAGATTAATATACCGTGTAAGCTCTATTTTTATTAAAGTCCTATACATTTCAGACAGGGATTGTATATCCATCAGGTATAATGGGTTGTAATCAAAACCTCATAATACTACATGATGTATTTTCCTGGAGTATTTATTTTATTCAATGAGGACAATATAACTTGTTTTCATATTAAAATATCCACATACATGTTTATTAGATGTAAAATACAAAACTTCCATTTATTTCTGAAACAAATCAGGAGACTTCAAATAAATTTTGTGCTTGTTATGGGATAATTCAGCCTTTGTATCTAGATATGCATTCATTTATATAGAAAAGTTAGCAAAGCACTCTTTTTTTTCGGATAGTTTAATGAAGGTATTATTTTTGTTCATTTTCATCTGTATTTTATCATGTACCTCTAAAAAGAAAGGACTTTTGTTTTTTGGAGACAGGGTCTTGCTCTGTCACCCACTGTGGAGTGTGGTAGTGTGATCACGGCTCACTGCAGTCTCAACCTCTGGGCTCAAGTGAGCCTCTCACCTCAGCCTCCCAAGTAGCTGGGACTACTGGCATGAGCCACCATGCCCAGCTAATTAAAATTTTTTTTTTTTTCCTTTTAGAGACTGGGTCCCACTGTGTTGCCCTGGCTGGTCTTGAGCTCCTGGGCTTAAACAATCTTCCTACCTTGGCCTCCCGAAGTGCTGGGATTACAGACTGTGTCTGTCCATAAAAGGCAAGCACCTTTAAAACCACAACCACAATATCAGTATCACATCTAAAAAAAATTAGTAGTAATTCCTTTGTATCATTCAACATCTAATCAATATTCAAATTTCCCTAGCTGTGGTATATACATAGTATATAAATTAGATCTATATGAATTACATTTAATTTGAATTTAATAAATAGAATTTAAATTAAGCTGGGCACTGTGGCTCATGCCTGTAATCCCAGCATTTTGAGAGGCCGAGGCGGGAGGATCACTTGAAGCTAGGAATTTGAGACCAGCCTGGGCAACAAAGCAAGACTTCTTTTCTATTTAAAAAAAAAAAAAAAATTAGCTGGGGTATGGTGGCATGTGCCTGTGGTCCCAGCTACTCAGGAGGCTGAGGTAGGAGGATCACTTGAGCCTGCAGTGAGCTATGATGGTGCCACTGCACTCAAGCCTGGGCGACAGAGGGAGGCTATCGCAAAAAAAAAAAAAAAAAAAAAAAAAAGGAATCTAAATTAGAAAGTGCTTAAATCAGGATTTCAGTAAGATGCAAACATTGTTTCTTATGTGTCTTTTCATCTATAAGTTCTCAGTTTACCTTTTTTTACCATTTATTTGTTGAACAAACTGGGTTGTTTGTTTAGTGGAACTTCCCACAGACTGGATATTGTGATTATCCTGTGATATCATTTAACCTGTTTTTTTGTCCTATTTTTCTTAAAAATTTGACAATTAGATTTAGAGAGAAGCATGGCTTCCATCCATGTCATTACACAAAGTTATTTCTATAGTTAAGGAATTCAGAGGCTCCAAAATACACTGCTGCATGTTTAAGACTGCCTTTTGAAACCTTAAAGAGCTTGATGGACATAATTGGCCTTTAGCAAGAGAAAAGAAATTACTAAAAATGAAAGTCTCTTTTTTATTTAGATTAATCTTTAAGACATGCTACTAATAAAAATGTCTTCAATTTAAGTCCTTCAACAAAACTCAGATCTACAAGTCAGTTTATTTTTGTTTAAAATGTTATTCACAAATATGTAAGTTTAGTTTGAAAATTATAAATGATGACTGAAAACCGATGAGATAAAAACTATATAAAACTTAAAAATAAAAGAAGAACCATCCTGCAGGGACAACTGACTAGTCATTGGGGGAAAACAACTGACACTAAAATAAATTCCAGACTTAAGTGTAAGAACAAAATAATTCTAGAGAAAAATTTAGGACAATATTTTCATAAACTTGCGGTGGGCATAGGAGTGGAGTGACAATCTGACATAAAAGTCAGATATCATAAAGAAAAAGACTGACATATCTTACTACATAGACATTTAAGAATCTTCTCTGTTTAAATCCTTCTAAAAACAAAATCAAAATACCGTATTACCATAAACAAAGTTTTAAAACAAGTGACACACCAGAAAAAACATTTCCAATATTAACGTCAAAGAATGAAAGTCTTTAATAGAGCTTTAAAATGCAGTAAGAAAAATCTCCCCATAGGAAAATGGGCAAAGCTCATAAAGAGCAATTCATAAAAGAGGCTGGGCACAGTGGCTCTCGCCTGTAATCCCAGCACTTTGGGAGGCCAAGGCAGGCGGATCACCCGAGGTCAGGAGTTTGAGACCAGCCTGACCAACATGGTAAAACCTCGTCTCTACTAAAAATACAAAAATTAGCCAGGCATGTTGGTGCACACTTGTAATCCCAGCTACTCAGGAGGCTGAGGCAGGAGAATCGCTTGAATCCGGGAGGCGGAGGTTGCAGTGAGCCAAGATTGTGCCACTGCACTCCAGCCTGGGAGACAGAGCAAGACTTTGTCTCCAAAAAAAAAAAAAAAAAAAAAAAGAGTAATTCATAAAAGAGAAAATACTAATGTTCAAATGCATGAAAAGATGCTCTAACTAAATATTCATCAAAGAAACACATGCAAATTATCACAATGGGATATCATTTCAGATGAAAACTGATAGCCAATGTACTCCCATATAGTTGATGAGAACATAATCTGATAAATCTTTTAGAAGGAAATCCAGGCACACATGTTAAAGGAAAGTTGTGCATACCCTTCTTCTGGGAATCTATCCTAAGGAAATGGTGAGACAAACACAAACACATATATAAAAAAAATTCATTTGTGTAGCTTATAATTAGTGAAAAAGTGAAAAAAAGCTAACTGCTTATTAGTAAATAAATGGTTACATAAGTTTCAGAGACTCAAAATACAGGTATAATATAATCTTATTTGTTAAAAAATTCAAATATGTATACATGTATAGAAAACATGTGGAAAGATGAAAAGCCTACATATCTAAAGGGGAGGAGGGGCTGAAGGGAGAGAGAGAGCTTGAGGTATATCACTTCTCAATGTGAAGAATATGAGTAATTTTCACCTTGCTCCTTCTTTCTGTACTGTCTGAAAATTTCCCAAGATCATGCATTACAAATTATATGCAGAAAAAGTAATGATATTTGGAGAAAAAAAACACAAGATTTTTCTAGCTTAACGTTCTATTTCTAATCACAGCAGCCAAGGACATTTTGTGAAAAGCATGCTCACATTACTTTAAGTTACGTAGTAGAAATATTTCTAATTTCATCTATTTATTTGTTAATTTAGCTTAAATGGTATTCTGTAATTACATTTTAGTCTGAAACTTCACAGAAGTTTTTTAAAAATGTTTTTCTATTGATGAATCATTTTGCTATTTTCACATTATGTCCAATATAATATGTGTCTTTAAAAATATATGCTATAGTTCCTTTAACTCTCATTGATATAAAACACAGCTAACTTAAATATTTCAAAATAAACCAAAATAGAAATTCTTACATTTTCTTTAATATACATTTTAAGACAGGGAAATACTATTCAGTCAGGCCTCTAACTGGCTGTACAGAAAAGAAACCACTTTGCCAATTTTTTCATGAATGTAAGGAAACAGTGAAGAGTGAGATAAGGAGAGAGGACACCAAAGAAATAAGCAGGTTTAATGACTGTATTGAAAAGAACTCACCAAAATGACGCCCAAGCTCCACAGGTCACAGGACTCATCGTAGCCGTTCTGATTCAAGAGCTCTGGGGCGGCATAATGAAGGGTGAAGCATGGAGTCTTCAGGGGCTGATTATCCGGTGGCTTTAGCCGTGCAAATCCAAAATCAATTATTTTAATTTCCAAATTGTCATTTTCATCGGTGAACAATAAATTCTGCAAGATATCAATGCTTACATTAGTTTCTCACTAGGCATGTCTTGGGAATTGCTGGTACTATTTATGTAACACTTTGTATATTGATAGTTGATTCATGTGCAGAGAGGTCTCATGGGGAGGCGCGAGGGCAGGACATCAATACACTGCTGCTCTCTGCTTGATGCTTTTTGGTATTATTTCAATTTTACCATGTCATGTGAAACATTTTTCAACTGCACCATGCCTCTTCTGATGTCAGACCCTTTTTCTAAGCTTTTCCCTCTGCTTGTGTTTGTCTTTTGCTTCCTCCGCCAACCTACCTCCCCCCATCTACTCCTCATTTAGAGATACTATCCTAACTGTCCTACCAAACTGAAGTTAAAACGTTTAATATTTTTTCCTAACACTATTTACTTTTCCTTTCTGGCACTTACCACCTCTGTATTGCTAGCTTAATGTCTTCATCCCCATTATGTCATAATTCCATAAGGACGGGGACTATGTGTCTACCTTATTTTTGACCCTACCCCAGGGCCTGGCACAGACATAGAGTAGGTGCTTTGGTAAACATGTGTTCATTGAACAAAGTCATAAATAAAATAGCTATATAATATCTAGTATTGCCTATTGAAGAAGACATGGTAGAGACACCCATTACATTTCAGAAATATTTTCTCCAACAGCTAATACTTCAAATATTCAGAAAACATTATTATTTTGAATCATTCATCCACCAAGGCTTCTTGATCACTAAGACTCTGTAGTACTACTTTTTGTATTTATCACATGCTTAATACTTACTGATGCACAAATTATTTTAATAAGTACATTAAGCTAGTACTGAAAGTAAGTGAAATCTGATTATATCGTCTTTAGGCATCCTAACAAAATCCATTATGCCTTTATAGTCATTAAATTATTCCCAGCTCTGGAATATTATTTGCTTTGTTAATACTATTCTAGCTGAAATAAAACACATTATAGATGGTATCACTGATGCAAAGAAGAAAAATCTCCTAAGTCTTCCATCTGAAAGTCAATAAAGTGGGTGGAAAGAAAAACAAAACATTAACTAAAAATTGTCTTAAATTTTCTAGCATACATTGTTTAATCTTGAATTTGTGACACTGAAGCCACGGCTGGGGTTGATGGATGCGTGCTTGGGAGAAGTCTTTTAGCAAGTAACACCTGAGCTCCTTTGCAGTGTAAGGCACTGTCCACACAGAACAGCTGAATGAACCACAGCTGGCCTTGTCTTCATTGAGCCTGCTAAGTCTTTGGAAATGACCATGTTTATTCTATATTAAGATTGGAAAAGGGCTTCCTTGATTTTAGTTCTTTTTTTTTTTTTTTTGAGAGAGACAGTCTTGCTCTGTTGCCCAGGCTGGCGTGCAGTGGTGCGATCTTGGCTCACTGCAACCTCCACCTCCTGGATTCAAGTGATTCTGCTGCCTCAGCCTCCCAAGTACCTGGGATTACAGGTGCCCGCCACCATGCCTGGCTAACTTTTTTTGTATTTTTAGTAGAGATGAGGTTTTGCCATGTTGGCCAGACTGGTCTCAAACTCCTGTCCTCAAGTGATCCGCTTGCCTCGGCCTCCCAAAGTGCTGGGATTACAGGTGTGAGCCACTGCGCTCGGCCAGTTTCACTTCTTAAAGCAGAAGAAGTGAGAGGATGTGGCAATCACTTTAATTTGGTGACTTTAATCCATTCCTCCTATTCCGGAATATGTAAAATTGAGAAACACTGCTCACTTGCCTACCTCTTCTCTCAAAGCTCAAAGTTAGAGACAGTTCTACATGGAGGAGGGTGTGCCTAGTCAGGAATGGTGGGAAGTAACCATTCAATCCCCTTTTATCCTCATCTCAAGTTCTGCCTGAAACAAATTGGATGTATGCAACTTTTCTTAATCTCAGAAGAGTATGGGACAAGTTTGAAAAATACAAGGCAGCTTACTAAGAATGTCAGCCAGCTTCTAAATTTATCTGACTCTTACCTAGACTTAGGATTCTGCCTATGCAGAAAATGAATCCACATAGCTACCTACCAAAAGATAGATAATCAGACCTTAAAGTGCCACATGGGAAAATATTAAACTTTTAGTTTAGAAATAATATACACTGCCATTTAAAAGTCAAAGTGAAAGACATTTTATTATGAAAATGTTAGTTCAAAGGTCTATTTTCATTTCTCCAAAATCTAGTTTGATTTAGGACTATAATTGCAGTAGAATGTCCTAAATAATCTGATAGTTCTGCCCCATTTCAAGTGAGTATTTGAAAGAAAAGCCTTATAACAAATAAGAAGAATTAAGCTACATAAGTTATCTTTTTATCAGGAAAGGAGGAATGCAAATCTAAATTCTGCAAGAGAGGACAGTTGCCTCATTTGAGACTCATGAGGTGACAGATGGCCAGTTATCAAAGAATAAAACATGTGAAAATGAATTCTATACAGTCATGGAACAGATCTTTTCAATTAAAAAAAACTACATGCTTGTTCCTTGTCTATCAAGAAAACATTTAAGTGGTGTGCTTTCACATTTAAAAATAGACAGCTAATCTCCAATGTACAGAGCACCATACTTTCAGTGGGTGTTATGTAGGAGAGTGAGAACTATGATGAAGGAAGCAGAGGGGAACTATCATAGTTGCAAGTTAATAAAACAGAATTTACTTTTGATTAATTACTAGTACTGTGAATAATGGTAATAGAAAATACATAGAAGTCTAAATACATGAAAGGAATAAACCAAATATATTTTAATGCACAGAATTTCATTTTAAAAATTTTCTTTTCCATGTGAAGTAGAGAAGAAAAGAATTCCATTTTTAAAACATCCTCTTCTAATAATTCAAGATACCTAAGTAAAAGGCAAAAATAGTGCTTTTAGAGAAATAATCTTTTGTGGCTTAATCACAAAAGGAACATCAAATAATATTTTATATATACTCGAGAACATATTATAATCACATGATAATTAAACAAAGTTCTATTTTGGAGAGAATATGTATAATCTTGTATATGGTAAAGGATGAGTCATCATTATCTTTTTATACAGTATTGATTTTCGTTTTTCAATTTTCATTATTTTGTTGATTTTCTAAAAGGAGGGAATTTTCATATTTTTGATACTAAAAAGGGATCATTCTAAGAGTTAGAACATTCTTTATTAGCCTTTCATAAGAGGAGACATATAAATAGCTGTTACTTTTGCATTGCTACATATAGTTCTATAAATATTATAGCACGATCATAGAAAAGCACATAGAAAGACGGCATAACTAATTAAACCAAGACAACTCTTTAAGTATTTAGAATAGAATTATATACATTTTTATTCATGAGCTAACCAATTTGATTACAAATGTAAAAAATAAGTTTTCAAAATACATCATTTGGAAAAAAAACCCTCTAAAATTATATGTAAGAGATATTATTTTCTGCTATAAAAATTTCCATTGCTATTTTTAGTCCACAACTGTTGCATAAAGTATTTTTTCCATAAAAGGTTCTCACACTTACAAATATAACCTCAAGATGATCAGCTGGCAAAAAATAAACAAAGACAAATTTATTTTAGACTGAAATATAAAAGAAAAAACATCAAAGAAACGTATTTTCAATTATCTATTTAACAGCCTTGAAAAGTAAAAAAATAAGGAAACCTCCCCAGAAACTTCCCCCATGTTTGGGAGATCTTTAATAATGGTGCTAGACTGAATTACGTAAGAGATCCAGTGATTTTATACCTCAGGTTTCAGATCCCTGTGCACCACTCCAACATCATGCATGTGGCTTACAGCTGAAACAAGCTTCCTCATGATGTAGCTGGCTTCCGTCTCACTGAAGTGCTTCTTTTTCTTAATGCGCTCAAACAGTTCTCCTCCATTCAGAAGTTCCATCACTAGAAACGTGTGAAGCTAGAAAAGAGAAAGAATAACGTGGAGGGCCTTCCTGAAGCACAGAAGTCTATTAACATATAAAACATTTATTGACTATCTACCACCAATACGTTTAAATAATCCCCTGTTAAAATAATCAATGGCAATCCTCATATCTTAGAGAAAAGGGCTGAAAGATAATGTAGCTGTTTTATAATTCTATTTTGGTAATGGAAAATTTCAAGTACTGCAGTGAAATCTTTATACTGTATATCCTTTTTCCCTTCTGTGATGAATTCTTTCATTTGCAGTGTTTTGTTTTAAGAGATGAAGTCTCTAAAAAGAAATCTGCCCTTGAATTCCTGGGCTCAAGGGATTCTCTCATCTCAGGCCTCCCGATGAGCTGGGGCTATAGGTGTGCAATTGCATCCAGCTAATTCTTTCATTTGAATTCCACTCCAACCCTCTCTATCAAGTTTACACATCTTTCTTTTTAAACTGCTGACAATAATGTGACAATAATGTGAAGTCACTTGCTTTAAATAATACAGAATCTGAATACTGACTGAGTAGAATGGGCAACTGAGTAGGATGGGTGTGCCCATGTGAGGCCTGGCACACCCATCCAAGGCCTGGCACACCCATCCAATGGCAAATTAATCTTTTTAAAAGGGTAATGAGGCTGGGCTCAGTGGCTCACACCTGTAATCCCAGCACTTTGGGAGGCTGAGGTGGGAGGACTGCTTGAGGTCAGGAGTTCAAGACCAGCTTGGTCAACACAGTGAGACTGTCTGTACAAAAAAAATTAAAACATAAAAGTTTAAAAAGGTATTGTTTGATATTGTCATTTTGAACCTCCTGTTAGGACTCAACAGATTAGTTTCAGGGTTCCTGTTAATATTCATTACAAATACCCATAACTCACTATGGGTTTTTGCTTTAATCCCAACAATATTATCTTAATAGTTACTTTGTAAGTTATATGTTTACCATCCTTTCTCTTCTTCTCCACCCAGGCTCTTTTCTGTCAGAATGGATAATTTCCAAAAAATAATACAGGAATTATCAAAAAGCAAAGGGCTATAGATCCCAGCACATTTAGAGGCCAGGGTGAGAGGACTGCTTGAGCCCAGAAGCTCAAGACCAGCCTAGGCAACATAGTGAGACCTCATCTCTACAAAAAATAATAACAAAAATTAGCCAGACATGGTGGCGCACGCCTACAGTCCCAGCTACTCAGGAGGCTGAGGTGGGAGAATCACTTGAGCTCGGGAGGTCAAGGCTGCAGGGAGCCGTCACTGTGCCACTGCACTCCAGCCTGGGTGACAGAGACCCTGTCTCAAAAAAGAAAAAAAGCAAAGGACTTAATCAGCTCTCAAATGAACACAAATGGTTTAGAAAAAGATATCATGGCAATATACTGAATTCAGGTGCTATGCATTATAAGGCCAACATCACTTCACAAACAAAATGTTTCTTTCTGTATTAGCAAAACTCAGAATAAACTGCTTCATAAAAAAGACAATTATAAGTACATTATCCTGAAAGCATTAGACAAATTGCAGAGTGAACAACCCTTCTAACAAGAAAATTGCTCCCAGCCTACTAGACATCAAGCTAACTTGAGTTTCTACATCAGATAAAGTTGAGCTTGCAGGTCTGCTACAACTGTAGGCTGGTGAGCTTTAAAAAAGATGTAAGGCAATACTTGCAGTGGTGTACGAACAGATTTAGAGTTCAACCTGGATTTGAAGGTCAGTTCTGTTATTTATTCATGATCTTGGGATGCTACTTTATCTTATTAATTCTAGGATCCTTATCAATAAAATGCAGATAGCAATGAGAAAATGTATGCGTGGTAGAGCTTGAATGATGGCCCTCCAAAGTTGTTCATGTCCTAATGCCCAGAACCTGTGGTTGTTACCTTAGAAGGATGGCAAAAGGGCCTTTTGAGATGTGATTAGTAAATTAAGGAGCTTGAGATGTGAGATTATCCTGAATTATTCATCAGAGTTAGCAGTATGAGATGAGACCCTGGAGGCAAGATCTTAGAGTGATGCATGGAAGGCTCACAGCCAAGGAAATGTTGGGGGGTGTCTAGAAGCTACAAAAGGAAAGTAAATGGGTTGTCCCTTAGAGCCTCCAGAGCAGTGATCCTCAACATTTTTTTTCTTTTTTGTTTTCTTATTTTTTTGAGACAGGGTCTCACTCTATCACCCAGGCTGGAGTGCAGTGGTGCAGTCTTGGCTCACTGCAACCTCCGCCTCCCAAGTTCAACGGATTATCCCACCTCAGCCTCCAGAGTAGCTAGGACTACAGGCGCACAACACCACGCCTGACTAATTTTTTGTATTTTTTGGTAGAGATAGGGTCTCACCATGTTGGCCAGACTGGTCTCAAACTCCTGACCTCAAGTGATCCACCTGCCTCACCTTCCCAAAGTGCTGGAATTACAGGCATGAGCCAGGTCCGCAACTTTTTTGGCACCAGGAAATGGTTTCACGGAAGGCAATTTTTCCATGGACGAGGGGAGGCAGTAGTGGGGTGGGACAGGCATTAGATTCTTATAAGGAGTGCTGCAACTTTGATCCCTCGCCATGCGCAGTTCACAATAGAGTTTGTACTCCAGTGAGAATCTAAGGCTGTCGCTGATCTGCCAAGAGGTGGAGTTCAGGCAGTAATGCTGGCTCACCTGCCACTCACCTCCCGCTGTGCACCTGGTTCTGCTCAAGAGGGAACCAGCTCTGGTGACAGCTTGACTTTAAGCCAATGGGCCTGATTTTGGACTTCTGACCTCCAGACTGCAGGATAATAAATTTGTATTGTTTTAAGTTTGTGGTGATTTGTTGCAGCAGCAATAGCAAACTCATGGAGTACGTGAAACGCATATCATGGCACACAAAATGAACTATGCTATTGCACAAAGGCTGAAGACCCACCATAACCAATTTCACCCATTAGTTGAAGAAAAGACTGGATACAGGGATGATCTAGGCAACTGTGCCACCATTATGAGAAAACCCAAGATACATTACAACTGCATATTAGATTGATAATGTATTTATACTAGTTTGTATAGGATTATATCATGTGACAATTTATATTTTAGTAACTCCTGAATATATAAATAGCAAAACATCTACTTAATTTGTGACACAAATAAAAAATTAGAAATGTTGTTCATGGGACCTGACATTAGTCTGAAGGTCAGAGATCAAGTATCTTGTCTGGGATGTAGTTATGGGCACAGCTGCAAACCCAGAGGAGAGCATCTAAGATCACCCGTTGATTCCTTGAATGATGTGAATTTCCTCTATATCATCTTCAACAGGAGACTGTCTAGTGAGCCTCTTCTTAAGCACCTTCGTGGCCAGGGGACTCATTACCTCCTCTTGTGTCGAGTGGCTTGATGAGGCAAGAGGAGGTAGAGGATCAGGGAGAGCGGTTCCCCCTGAGTCCTTGCTTCAGTGGCATTTCTTTTCTGACTACAAGAACCAAAGAGTGAGTAGAGGATGATGCCATTTTGGGATGCTTACTGCCAGATGTGATTCTGCCTTCCCTAAGGCAGTAGTTTAAAGTAAATAAAAGCTTGTTGGGCTCTGAAGTTGGACTGTGTGGATTCAGATCCCAGCCTTACCACACTTACCAACTGTAAGACCTGTTACTTAACTTCTATGAGTGTCCATTTTCTCACCTCATGGACCTATGGTAAGGACTGAATAAGACAATACATGCAGAGTGCCTGGTACAGAACCTAGACCACACAAGATATGTGATAATAAATGGCAGCAGCTATTATGGTTATGGTGCTACTGCTGCTGCTGCCTGGTCTCACCATGATGTATCATTCCTGGCAATAGCACTCGAGGATATTTCAATGTGGTAGAGAACTGGGCCCCATCGATCCTAGGTCACAGATATTACAACAGCACAACAAAGAGAGCCCAGAACTGGAGTACAGGTTCTCCTTATTAGATTCGCATTGACATGCTATGTGACCTTAGACAAGTTTTATGAACATTCAAAATCTCAGTTTCTTTATTGGTAAAATTAGGGCAAAGCACATTCAGGATTGGTTTGTGCTCTTGTGCCTCCAAGTTGTCTTAAGTAGGACTGCATCACCCCACCTGGTCTCAGGGGCAGAGAAGTGTAATGGAGCAATTTCTGTCATGTGTGAGGTGAACAGACACGAACTGGACACACTGGCATCCTCCCATAGTTCCTGCTGCAAAGCAGGACTGAGAGCAGAAGAGGGGGCAGCATGATCTGGCCAGGGTTCTGAGCAGAATTTACCACCTGGAGCTAGAAGATAAAAGGAGTATCTTTGCTTTCTGCTTCCTATTTGTCCTTTAGCTTGCATTAATTAGGCTCCAGGCTCTCTCAGTTTTACTCTAGAAGTGAAAGGGAAGTTGGAGGCTCAAAATTCCTGAGTCCTGAGAGGTACTCCAGGATTAAGTGATGGTGGGTAGAAGCGGCACTGGCAACAAGCACATTGTAGCCAGTGACTGCACCACTGAGCTCCTGGCCCTCCGTCTTCCTGTCATAGGTGGTTAACTGCTGAGTGAGAAAAGCATGAGAGGTGAAGGGATAACCTGATTTGGGGTTGGGAAACAGTGTGTGGTTGGGGAGGGGTTTGAGAGGGTGGTTTCACTGCCCTTTCTGGTGGCTGGGTGATGTTCTATATCCCTGACTCTGACCCAGCAGCACCAACAAAACGCGTGAAAAGTACAACCCTGTAAGTGAATTAGTACACATGGGAAAAAAAAAAAAAAAAAGTAGGATACCTGATCATGAAAAACTTCATGCAACTTCACAATATTGGGGTGTCCTTCACAGAGTTTCAGAGCTGTTATTTCCTTTTGAGTATTGGCTTCCATCCTGCAAGATGAGACACTTAGCATCCACATGTCTCTTCAAGAAAGTTTTTATATCAGTACTGCCCCAAGACTAATTTTGTCTTATTTACAGTGCATTCAGAATATACATGTTACAGTATACTGTAATGAGGTTTCCATGAAAGTAATGAATTATACCACACACTAGAAAAAGTAATATTCTGGAGAAAATTATTATTTCTGAGTCAGAAAAGTACAAATCATATGAGGAAATGAATGCTCTACTTTCCTGACAATTTAGAGTAATAAGAATATGCAATCTTAATAATAATCATCAGTTACCAAAACAACTAGATGGCTCTCAAAGCTATCAGTAGCTTGCTAAATAATTTTAGAGAAAAATATTTCAAATACACAACTAGTAGAAATGGCAATGGCTGCCAAAATCACTATGTGAGCCTGATTAAATATGTCACTGTCACAAAGACGTTTTCTCTAGATAAACTCAAAAGCAAATAAGACTATGATTTATGTCTAAAATGGATTACTTTATCAGAAAATATCAATTAGAGCTAAAAGTATAATGGACCAACTGATGAGCCAAGTGGTTAAACCTTTGGGTAAGAAAGTCTTACAATATAATACTGGTTTCAATTAAAATAAATATCTTTTAATTTACAGAATTCATGAATACCTAAGAAAGAATATTATATTAAAAATGGTCATACCTTTTGCTGATTATTTTGACTGCAAAAGCTTGGTTACTTTTTTTATGCACACACTTTCGACAAATTGAAAAACTACCTTCTCCCAGGGGTTTGTCCTTCAAATCTAGGTCATAGTGTTGATAGAATGGAGAGTCCTGTCAAGAAATCAACATCATTTAACTTCAGAAAATGTCAGTAATACACAAAGGATCAATAAAATTGTAGAGTAAAATAAAATTATTAATATTAATAAACAGGAATAGAATACATTTATAATCTAAAATTCATCTTTATAGGTAACTTCTATTTTCATCTAAATAATTATTTAAGATACATAATTCTCTATAATTGTAAAAAGAAGTTCATTCAACTTGACGTTAATTCTCTAGGGAAAATATTGCTATATCCCACTTTTAAAATTGCACTTTAGTTGAATTACTAGACTTAAGAACATTAATTAGAGTTGGTATTTAAACACTCACAAAACCTACAAATATGTCATATAAGTTACCACATCTATATACCTTCATCATTGCACTCCTGGCAACATTTGTCACTCCAGGACGTTCAACTCCCATGTGAAACTGAAGAGGGTCTATGACAGCTGCATTACGCTTGAATAGGATGGAAGGAGCAACAAAGGAATAGCCCTAAAAACAAGACAAAGAAAGATAAAGAAAAACAACTTGCAGTTTTCCAGTTTAACACAGATTAGATTGTAATGACTTTTTTTCCTTAGAAAAACACTCAAATATTTGTTGAGATGAGTCTAATTTTATTTTATTTGCAATCTAAAATGCAAGGTTATTTCAAATCATTTGAAAAATGCTGTTCAGAAGGATATAATGCCATCTTCTGGTAGAACTAAACCAATTCAAAAATAAAGGTAGAAAAAGACTTCTTCCCTATTCCACCCCCAAAATCAGACTCATAGATGAAATTCTCCTGGTTTGCTGATGAAATTTGTTTACAAACATAACTAACTTCTCAAAAAAGGATACAGTCAAGGTATTAAACAAAGTGGTCTTTTTTTTTTGAGATTGAGTCTGGCTCTGTTGCCCAGGCTGGAGTGCAGTGGTGCGATCTTGGCTCACTGCAACTTCTGCCTCCTGCGTTCAAGCCATTCTCCTGCCTCAGCCTCCCAAGTAGCTGGGATTATAGGCACATGCCACCATGCCTGACGGGGTTTCACCATGTCTCGAACTGGTCTCAAACCCCTGACCTCAAGTGATCAACCCACCTCGGCCTCCAAAAGTGCTGGGATTAAAGGCCTGAGCCACCAGACCCAGCCACAAAGTGGTCTTTAAATGCTATTGTTTTTCAAACTGGAAAAATGGCAAGTCTCACTAAAGTTAGTTTCTAATTTAGCAATTATTTGATTCTTATTAATATCTTCAGAATAATTAAATTTAAAATTGAGTTTTGGAAAGGAACAAAGTCTAATGGCAGAATGATGCTCTGAGCTAAGTGGTACAAAGACGGATGATTAATCCGTTCAAGCTAGAACATTCACTAATCAACAAACATTTAAAAAAATGTTCAATAAGTGCCCAGTCACATACTAGACAGTGATAAGCAAAGAAGAAAAGACACCGTCTGGATGGCCAGATTAAGCCATACTAAAGGTATACTTATAGAAGTCAAAGAAGCAAAGCTCTGATGCCATTTAATAGTTAGAATATTTTATCTTGTGTGACAAATGCCCTTTTCTAAATATAAAATCTAAATCTTTTTTTAACAGCAGTTAAGATTAATTACTGAAGGTAAAGAATAAGGTAACATTGTGAACTAAAGAATGTTTTTATATGGGGGTTGAGGGGCACGGTGGCTCATGCCTAGAATCCCAGCACTTTGGGAGGCCAAGGCAGGAGGATCGCTTGAGGCCAGAGTTCAAGACCAGCTTAGGCAACAAAGTAAGACCCTGTTTCTACAATTTTTTTTTAATTAGGTGGGTGTGGTGGCATGCACCTGTGGTCCCAGCTATTCAGGAGGCTGAGGCAAGAGGATCCCCTGAGCCAAGCAGTTAAAAAGGCTGCAGTGAGCTATGATCATGCCACTGCACTCCAGCCTGGGTGACAGAGTGAGACCTTGTTTCTTAAAAAAAAAAAATTTTTTTGGCTGGACGTGGTGGCTCATGCCTGTAATGCCAGCACTTTGGGAGGCCAAGGCAGGAGGATCACTTGAGGCCAGGAGTTCAAGACCAGCTTAGGCAACATAGCAAGATCCTATCTCTGCAAAAAATAGAAAAATTAGCTGGGTGTGCTGGTTTGCACCTGTGGTCTCAGCTATCCCAGAGGCTAAGGTGAGAGGATCACTTGAGCCCAGGAGTCTGAGGCTGCAGTGAGCTAGGACAGCACTGCTACACTCCAGTCTGGGCATCAGAGTGAGACCCTGTCTATATAAATAAAAATTTTTAAATATGAATAGAGGTAAAATAAAAGATTATTGTATTTTCTATAAAAGAATCTGAACAAAAATAAAATTTCAGGTATAAAATTAAAACTTCCCTTATATCAAAAATAAATGCATAAACAATATCTGCTATTGAGCAAACTATAAGCTTCGGTTAACAATGTGCAATATTTCTGCATTTAATAATTTAGAGGATATTAGAGAATCCCATTTTTATGATGCCAACAAAACTACTTCAATATGGGAAATTTAATCTTTTCTTTCAAAGGACATATGGCCAATGTGCATGTGCACAGGATGGGAAATTACCTGAAACAGCTTCTCAGAACTCTGGGGCAGGGCTGCGGGAGAATAAGTGGGATCCATTTCTGTGAACTCTTCTGCAAAGTTACTCACATCTAATTCATCTCGAATGACTGGCTTAAATGGTGCAGGCACTTTTTTGGCGGCTAAATCATCCCAATTTATTTTCTAAAACAAAGAAAGTTGGTACAAAGTAGAAATCAATAGTCAAAATGTACTTTCTAAGAATAACAAAGATAAATTAGGATTTTGACTGGTAGGGAGAGAGGATAAAAATAAGAGAACATATTTCAAATCAATAATAAAAAACATATTTTCTCCAAACAAGATCACAGCAGTTTATAGCTCCAACCAATGCTGTGCCTCAAAGATGAGACTATCGCTGTTGAATCTCAGAGTGTCCTCTGGGGGGCACCAAGACACCCTAGTTTACCTTTAAAGACAACAGAAGAATACTTTTGTCCTGAGCCTCCTCAGAAAGGTGTTAAGCCAAAAAGAAAACAAAAAACCCAAAACAAAATAAAAAACTGAAATAAAGGGTTTCCAAAGGCTCTACAGATGTGGATATTAGCTCTAAAAGAATGTTCCTATTTTCTAGAGGCAGTGTTACTTAGCTCTCTGCCTGCACTTGCTTTTCCTCCTGGGCATCCAGACAGACTGGAAAATAAATCCACTGTAAATCAGGCATGTGCTTATGTCTAGAAGTTCAAATGATACCATCATATGGATGTGATCACTCTTTTCTTATTCAACTGTGTTCAAGCATTTTAAACACTGCCTCTTATGTCCCCCATAGAATAATGCAAGCCCCTTTTCCCTCTAGGTCACTTACTGAGTTATATTACTGAAATCCAACCCTTTGCTCTGTTTCTTTGTGCTCCTTCTATCATTTAAAACAATCTCAGATAACACTTACTGAATTAAATCCTACAGGTCTCCTACTACCACATTTTTTCAAATCTAAGATGCCATTACTGATAGTAAGATACACAATTATTTTATGTATCATTAAGAAGAAAAAAGTATTAATCATAAGAATATAAGATGATGGCCACTGTAACATGCATACTGATTTCAGTGACAGTAAAATATGAAAATGTGCACTTCTTGGTTGATAAAATTTAGTAAGTTTAATCAACTACCATAAATTTTTTTTTTTTTTTGAGACGGAGTCTCGCTCTGTCGCCCAGGCTGGAGGGCAGTGGCGCGATCTCGGCTCACTACTACAAGCTCCACCTCCTGAGTTCACGCCATTCTCCTGCCTCAGCCTCCTGAGTAGCTGGGACTACAGGCGACCGCCACCATGCCCGGCTAATTTTTTGTATTTTTAGCAGAGACAGGGTTTCACTGTGTTAGCCAGGATGGTCTCGATCTCCTGACCTAGTGATCCGCCCACCTTGGCCTCCCGAAGTGCTTCAGAAAGGTGTTAAGCCAAAAAGAAAACAAACAAAAAACCCAAAACAAAATAATTACAGGTGTGAGCCACTGCGCCTGGCCCATAAAATGTTTTTTATTATGCTGTCTTGTAGATGCAATAGAAACAAAATAATTAAATCACAGATCTTCAAATTTCTCAGCTAAAATGGAATTCAGATCATTTAGTTCATCTCCTTTATTTGATCCAGTGAAACTGAGGCCGAGAAATAAGAAATAACCTTTTCACCCAAACACCAGTTGGTGGAAGAGTCAGGATTTGAACACAGTCTCTTGACTTTCTAGTTAAGTGTTTTTTTCTCTCTGCAGCTGTAATGTTTTCCATTATAAGCACATAACTTGTGCTTGGCCATTGTATATATATTAAAATAAACTTCTAGAGGAAAGGGGTAATTTAAAGAAACATGTTGTTAGCAGGAGAATGTTTAATATGTAGAAAATGGAATGCTATTATGATCCTTTCCACCTCCGCTCCATTTATAGAGAAAAAGGCCATTTAGGCCTTTACAAGTAGAATTCTGGTCTTTCCAAAAGTGTCCCTATCATTTAAAAAGTCAAGGCAATTAAGTAATCTAAAATTACTATTCCAAGCTACTGAAAAGAGAAATTTCTCTAATATGAAAGACATCCTGCAATATTCCCAAATAGAGGGAGCAATGGAGAAAAAGATCCTAGGAAAATATGATTGGGTGTACTTTGCTCGACTTGTTTCTTAAATTTTACTGTTAACTTTTGAGATAAACTTCTGAACAAGATATTTGAAAGTTTGTTCAAAGAGTAATCCTTCCAAGCCATGTGAATCTATGAAATGCATATAGTGAGAAGTTTCTTTTATTCTAAATGTATTTCTCATTATGTTACTGAACTTCTATAAGATGTGCAGTAGTATTATAAAAAATAATTACATTGAGAGACTAAGAGAAATATGCCTTTTTTTGAGCACAGAAGAGCAGAGATAACTCATTTCTAATCAATATTTATTTTTATATATTTAAAAAATAATAACAACATGAAGCTTAACTGACAGTTTTTCTTCATTTTGCTATATTATTTTCATTTGTTTTGGTGATAATAATGTAAAAGCTTAATTTACAGAATAAAAAATAAAACCTAGATGGTCCCTTTAGACCATAAATATTTAGGTCAGGCTTACTGATATGATGAAGTTATTTAAAAGTCATATCTCCAGAGTTTTAGAAATCAAAGCCGTGGCATCCCCAGTTTGACGACTGAGGCTGGAAATAACTAGCCAACTCAGTTAATTTAAATGTTTTTTCTCAGTTGTTTAATATTTTGGTGTTTTTTTTGTACTAAACTGAGCAGATATAGTTGGTCCTCAGTAGAATGGTCTCATTAGGCTTTTTCAGAATAAGAGAAGCACTGTCACAGGACAAAGGAAATAAATGAGTAACACTCTATGTGTCATGAATATGTAACTGAGAAATAGGTAAATTTAAAATTTTTAAAGATTACTTCTGGGAAAAGAGGAAGTGAAGAAATCACTATCTAAAAGGTGAAACATAGTGGCAGTAATAGCTCATGAACTGAGACAGAAGTGAAAAGTACAGTAAAAGTCTCAGTCCATATGGCTAGATCTCAAGATCATAAATGGAAACCACCACCTAGAAACTCTAATGAATCAGTATGTAGAAAATTGAATGCTATTATGATCCTCCCCACTCCCACTCCATTGAGGGAGAAAAATACCATTAATGTTTATACAAGTAGAATTTTGGCCCTACTGAAAGGGTCCCTATCATTAAAAACAAAACAAAACAAAAGGTGCAATGTACGTGAAAATGCCAGTGGAAAATGATCCCAAAGGGGACTGTGTTCACTAATTTCACCAAGAACGCCAAGGACCCTGAAAACGGCAAGGAGTATGAAACCATTTATCTATTCAATAATTTCACCTGAAAGAAGAGATGTTCTTTGATTTCATCTGCATCACGTGGACCACATCCCAATCTCTTCTTGGGATCTTTCATCAAAAGACGCTGAATTAGGTCTTTCGCTAAAGCACTCATTTCTTGGGGATATGGAGGCTCACTTTTTAATATTCTCCTGTAGGCAGACAAAACTTGCTGTTAAAACAAACAGGATGACAAAAAAAAAAAAAAGCATGGTGAAATACACTTTGAAACTGAACCACATGTGAAAGAGAGATATAAATACTTAACATGAATCAATAATACCTCAATACTGTTGAAAAAATATTTAGAATGAGATACCATAAAGTCAAATTTCTGAAACTCAAAAGAGCAGTAACAAAAAATGTTGGCTCATTTTTTCAGTATAAGTCAATCCTGGTGGGAGGCTAACATCCCAAATATTTCACTAGGGGGAAAAACGGAAAAGCCTGGGGCTAGATTAGACCTCTCGTATATAGACTAGACTCTATGATTAAAGACTTCACAACATAAAACACTCTTAACAAATTCAGGTAAGGGAATTGAGCACTCAGATTTAAAAGGACAAAAGAGAACAACCATCTTTACCTCACTCCTCTTCCCCTGAGTGCCAGCAAACCTAAGGGGCCCATAAGAATGCAGAGGGAAGTCCACCGAGACAAGTGGGGTCAGACCCACTTGGAGATGGTTCAACCCTTGATATCTAGAAATGGGCACTACAGCTGGGGATTTTCATGGGGTAAAAGTACCTGCTTCAATGTTTGCTGCTATAAAACAGCCAGACAAGCCCTATGAGGCAGGTAGAGCTCAGAGATGGAGTAAAATCCACAATTTATTATGGAAAATAAAAACATAAGATGGTAATAAAGTTTCTTGATGAGAAATTTATTCTAAGGATACAGAAGAAATCAATCCAATCCAAGTGTACCTTTCTCCCTCTTAACATCCAGATCAATAATTTAGTAAGAAATATTAAAAGGATTGACTGAAATTAAGAACCTTAACACAATATATATGAAGACAGTTACTCCATTAATTGGGTTTGCAAAAAGATTCCCTATTGTGCATTAAAATATTAATAACCATTATGGAACAACAACAGATAATTAATGTATAAGAGACAGTATAGTGTGGTGAGTTAGAATATAGACTTTGGAGCCAGAATGAGCCCAACGCTGGCTCTGCCTTGACCTTGTGTGACCTTGAGATACCTAAACTCTGTACCTCAGTTTTCTCACCTGTAAAATGGGCATAACATCAGTACTTACCTAAAATAGGTATTATGATGCTTAAATAAGACCTGTAGAGTGCTTAACATAGTACCTAGCGCATAGCAAATGCTCAATCAATGTGAGCTACTGTTATACTCCCTCATTCCAAGGCAACCATATAGAAAATAGGCCTAGACGCTCTATCAAATAGCCACTGAGAATCAGTGAAATGATAATGAAACTGTAATTTTTTACAAAAGATTCCAGCAGTGTTGTTAATCTCAAAGTTAATTCTACCTCTAGCACTTAATTCTGGGAACCCAAGAAAATGTTGGTAAAACAAGGAAAGAAAGGAAAGAAATAAGCAACACCCTCTCTGCTTTTTGATTCTTTAATACTCTCCCATTGCTCACTGCTTGTCTGGATTTTCGGCATTAATAGACAATCCTCTTCTCAGATCAGACACAAGCATGTCTGAGACAGAAACTGGGAATCCTGCTTCTTGGGGAAAAATAAGCATAGCTTTTCCCATTTTCTCCACCTCTACTGTACTTTTTGCAGGAAAAAAGCTTTGCATAAAGGATCAGGGTCAAGATAAGCAAATTGTGACATTTACTTTTGTTGAATTAGGGTAGAAATATATGCACTTTGGCTGACATCATCTTAGCATACTGACTCTGCACCATCTTATTACTTCTTAAACCT
Organism: Homo sapiens; assembly: GCF_000001405.40. Taxonomy (NCBI): domain Eukaryota; kingdom Metazoa; phylum Chordata; class Mammalia; order Primates; family Hominidae; genus Homo; species Homo sapiens. The sequence continues at coordinate 90,908,062 of NC_000014.9, forward strand.
TAAGAACATTTCAACTTGTATTGGAAATCTACTCAATATCAGCTGCTGGGGAAAGAACAGTCAGTCCTGCGAAGGCAGAAAGGAGAAATGTCCACCATGGTGGGTTCATCCTCAAAAGGAGGAGTACCCAAAAACAGAAATGGCTCTGCTGAGATGCCAAGTCTGGAAAGAAGAACACAAGGAGACCACATGCAGGGAGCTAGAATTTTAAATTCAGATGAGGCAGGGACCACACTGGGAGAAATTGAGTACAAATCTGAAAGCATGTCGGCGGAAAACAGTGCTGATGAGGGAGCTTGGAGAACCACCAGTGATAGCCTAAACCCCTCCCATTCCTGAGTGAAAATCCTATGGCCAGAAGCAGCAGCAGGAGACCCTAGCAGGTGATGAGGAGTATCTTGCCCCACCCTGTGAAAACAGAAGATATGTGGAAGGAATATCACTTAGGCTCCCTGTTGTCTTGGTAAACGGAGTGCCACGGGCTTTCCTCAGTGATGTGAGGAGGTTCTAAAGCCTATTCCTGCTAGAAAACTGCAGTGACAGGAAGAGAACCAGACACTGGGAGTGGCGTGGTGAGGAGAAAGGGCCTATAGCAGGTTACATCTTTTCTCCATAAGAAAGTGATCCCAGATGTAACTATTTCTTATACCATACTCTTGAAATGTACTGGGTTAAGATAACTGGCGTGGCAGGTGGGTCAGGTGCTGTGAAAGCTCCTCCTGGAAGTGAGCTGCATCTGGACTGAGAGGTGTGAGCAGGCATGCAGGCCCCTGGAAGCCATGCTCACAGGCTGCTACAAGGGACAGTTGCTGCTCTGAGCTTCCCATGCTGGGGTGGTCCACAAGCTCCCCCTTATTTTCATCACCAATGGTTGAGTGTGTCTTGTGTGGGCTGGGAAGCCACGCATAGGTGGTGGGAAGGTCCCCGATGAAGATGTGTTTGATGCTGTAATGTCGATACACTGTTTCCTGTCCTGCATCCTTATATAAAGCTAAATAAAACTGGTGCCAGATTCCAGTCTATTGTGACATGTGAGTGTGAACGTCAATCTGAACCCTAGACCACTGCTGCCTATGCAGAATGGGCACTGCAGAAGTGGGGCTGAGGGTAGACGATTCTGTGGGACATTTAGTCATGACAATACTAGAGGATCCTGCAACAAGGGCAGGGAGACATTTCTTGGGTGTTGCTGTCACTTCTCCTCCTCCAATGTGCTTGATTTCTGAATTGGTAATATCCCAAAGTTATCTTTTTCTTGCTTAAAAATGGATCTGGGAAACTCCAGAAATGAATTACAATTAGGTAGAGCCCAAATAAATCTTAGAGCCTTCTGTAAAGTCAGAAAAAGCTCTGAGTTGATAAGCCATATTAAACCCCTCACGTGTATGTTATTTAATCCATATAATAATCCTATCAAAAGACTGCTATTTTTATCCTTCTTTCACAGATACGGAAAGACTCCTTTCAAAAAAGCAAGAAATATGAATATTAATTAAACTTACAACAAGGCCTTAGAACATGGGTGGCTTTAATATTCATTTGCAAAATATACAGCACAAGTAAGAAAATTCTAAGAAAGCAAATTGGGTTGATTGCCTAGCCACATATTACAATGTATCATGAAATGAAATTGTTAAAGTGAGGTGCTAGCAAATAAATTAATAGCCAAATCAAGTGAACATAGATGACACATTGTGAAAAATAACCAAGCTTATATAAAAACTTGAATTATTATTATTATTATTTTTTGAGATGGATTCTCGCTCTGTTGCCAGGTTGGAGTGCAGTGGCGCAATTCTCCTGCCTCAGGTTCAAGCAATTATCTTGCCTCAGCTTCCCGGGTAGCTGGGATTACAGGCACCCACCACCATGCCTGGCTAATTTTTGTATTTTCAGTAGAGATGGGGTTTCGCCATATTGGCCAGACTGGTCTCGAACTCCTGACCTCAGGTGATCTGCCTGCCTCGGCCTCCCAAAGTGTTGGAATTACAGGCGTGAGCCACCGTGCCCGGCCAAAAACTTGCATTATTTAAAAAAAAATGACCAGATCGCATAGCAAAAGGCCACAAATGTTGGGGAAACCAGCTGTACAGGAAATAAAAAAACAAAAGCAAGACCTTGCCTTATATTACAACCCAAATGAATTCCAAATGGATTGAGGAACGGCATGTAAAAAACCAAATGAAATAAAATTAAAATACACATCAGTAATATAAAAATGAATATAAAATTTCTTCCTACTCATGAATTAAGTTTCTGGAAACCTCTGTGGCAAAAGGAAATCACAAGTGTACAGAATAAAGGGTAGACACCAAAATTAAAATTAAACCTATGATGGGAGAGGTACAGATACATAGGCAGACAGGAAATAAGCAAGGATGATGAAATATTCATGGTAGAATTTAGGTAGTGAGTGTGTGAGTGTCCACTGTAACAAATGTTTGAAAACTTTTATAATAAAATGTTTTAGAAAAAGTAAACCTATGAAGCTTTGTACATGTGTTTTTGTGTGTTCACTAAAATATAACAAAGACCTGTCTCAAAAAAAAAATCACTGACCTTTAAGCACAAGTCTTAGTAACAATAGGCGATGCTCACTTCTTTTATTATTATCATTATTATTATTTTTTTTTTTTTTTTTTGAGACAGAGTCTGGCTCTGTCGACCAGGCTGGAGTGCAATGGCGCGATCTCAGCTCACTGCAAGCTCCGCCTCCCAGGTTCACGCCATCCTCCTGCCTCAGCCTCCTGAGTACCTGGGACTACAGGCGCCCTCCACCACGCCCGGCTAATTTTTTGTATTTTTAGTAGAGACAGGGTTTCACCGTGTTAGCCAGGATCGTCTCGATCTCCTGACCTCATGATCCTCCCACCTCGGCCTCCCAAAGTGCTGGGATTACAGGCGTGAGCCACTGTGCCTGGGGATGCTCTTAAACCCACTGAAGTCTTTGTTCAAGTGTCAACTTTTCAGAGAAGCTTGCTCTAACCATCCTATCAAGAATAGCCATTACCCCCATACTCCTTATCCCTTGACTCTGTTTTATTTTTCTTCATGCATACCATATGTTTATTTGTCTATTATTTATCTCTCTCAACTAAAACATAAGCTCTAATGGAGTAAGAATTCTCTTTGTTTTGTTCACTGCTTTATTTCCAGGGCCTAGAACATTGCTTAGCACATAGCAACTCCTCAACAAATATTTAGTGAATAAATAAATGTCAAATTGTTTTCTACTTACTGTATCTTGCCCACTCAGGACCTTTCTTCCTCACAGTTTCAGTGAGATGCCTGCAATAGCTCTTTTGCTTTTCTGCAGATGGCATGCATTCTCATGGGTTGTTTATTTATTTCTATTTGTCCTCCATTTAAAAGTTCACAATCTTTTCCATTTCATGACTTAACGTTCTTGACTTTCACTTCCTGGTTCCCATGTGGTCCCAGAATTATAAAATTATTTATGTGCCTGCCTGAGTTAGAAACAGCTCTCAGTAAGCTTCACTTACTCTACATTTTTGTCCAACACTAGGGGAAAAGTGAAACATATTATGGTGTATCCACTCAATAGTACATTAAGCAGCCATTACAAAATTATGTTTACAGAGAGTTTTCTAATTAGAGAACAAAATGTTTACGACATAAATTTCAGCAAAAACTGAAAAATACAAAATTATATTTCTAGTATGAGTACAACATTATACAAGTAAAAAAGAATAAAACATAATATACCAAAACATTAATAGTATATGTCTCTGCGTGTTATTATTGACTCTTTACCCCATATGCGTATCTTAAACTATAATGAACATGACATTTAGAGTGGGAACAATAAAATGAGTTTCGCTTACAAGATCACGAACCCAATGGCAGGAGTACACAGAGTGGCAAGGAGGCAATGGAGTCCTGAACCTCCCATGTGCCACTGGGGGTACTTCCCCACCATCTTTTCTCTTCTACCCAACCCAGTCCGCATCTCCATCATGAATGCTTCCCTGACAGCCCACCCCCAGGGAACCAAACCTCCTTTGTCCTCCCCCAGCATTCTTCTTACCTAAAAGCACTCAGACATTTGTCAAAACTCCCTGATACTATGAATTTTCATGTATTTATTCCATATCCTCCCAAATGCTATATAAATAAATGTTCTTAGGACAAGGACTTTACCCTCTATTTCTCTTTCTCCTTAGGAGTAAAGAATTATTCAACAAATAGTCCACTGATTAATGAAATCAATTCCCTGCAGTCCGTGGGCCAGTACTTCCCAGTCTTTTACCTGAAATAAGCACCTGCCAGACTTGGAAAGAAAACAGCAGCATGGAAACAAGTGATACCCGTGAAGACAGCATGGAGTAACTTTCCAGTAACTCTGTATTTGATCCCAGTCCAACCTCACAGTAGCATTGAGTCCCAGGCAAGTTACATCCTAGTTTCTTCATCTGTAAAACTGCATATGCTACCACTTATTTTTCAGGGTTCTGAGGATTCCAGAATACAATGTGGGTGACTTCTCAGCACAGAGGCTGGCACACAGCGGTCCCCAGGTGAACGGTGCTGTTGATGTCACTCTATAGTAGTCTGTCTTCCTTTAGCTATGAGACAGGCTGTCACTTCACTTTTGGTGTTACTGAGTTCTTCCTTGATCCACTTAACCTGTGTTTCCCTAGGCCACACCAGCCAGGTCATTAATAATAATAAATTGAGATTATTTGGCTGGTATCCTTATCTGCTTCTGTGGAATCTGTGACTGCACTCAAAAGTCTCACCCACCCAGTAACTCTGGGAGTCGTCCCCAGGGCATGTCTTATGTAAGCTATAAATACTCTTCTTCACTGTCACATAAAGCATCTTTTTTTTTTTTTTTTTTTTTTTTTGGGTGGAGTCTCCCTCTGTTGCCCAGGCTGGAGTACACTGGTGCAATCTTGGCTCACTGCAACCTCCGCCTCCTGAGTTCAAGTGATTCTCCTGCCTCAGTCTCCCGAGTAGCTGGGATTACAGGCACTCGCCACCACGCCCAGCTAATTTTTGTATTTTTAGTAGAGACGAGGTTTCACCATGTTGGCCAGGCTGGTCTCGAACTCCTGACCTCAAGTGATCCACCCTCCTTAGCCTCCCAAAGTGCCAGGATTATAGGCGTGTGAGCCACTGCGGCCGGCCACATGAAGCATCTTATTTCCCTCTTCTGCCCAGTACACTAACCAGGTCTCCTACTACACTGCTGGGAAGCCATCTGAGAGGTGCACACTCCGGCCATTGCTTCTGGGACTGAAGGAAAAAACTTGTTTCTTTTACAAAGTTAGGGGAACCAAAGATGAATGCATGATACTGCAAAGATTTTGCTGAAAAGAGCTTTCTTTTTAATTTATAGCATCTTCTATCTAAAAGTGATAGATATTGCCAAAAATTGCCCTTCCTCTCAATGGCTAAGGCTTCCTTAGTGAACCAAACTGGTCTGCTGGAGGTCCTCACCGCTCTTGTACAGTTAGATTGTTGGTGGAGCTACTAGACTGGCTTGTTAGACGTGCCTGGAAGTGTCTTAAATAAGATTTAAAAGTTACTTAGTATGACTTTTATCGCCAGACCTCTTCCTGTCTCTCTTCCTTTGTACACTTTTTTTTCTGTAGCCCACACAATGCTGTTAAACCTTTACTTCTCCAATCATTCCATGATGGCCCTTAGACTACCTTTCCCTAACAGGGGGAAGATGATAGTGATGGAAGAGAGTGGTAAACTCAGACCTTGGGGGTTCCTTGGAGCCAAGTGGCTGCATGTGACAATAAAACTAAGACACTCAGAAGCAGACTTCAATGCAAGGAATTCCAAAGAGAAAGCTAAACTGAAAAGAGCTAGAGGCAGAGAGCAGCAGTCAGACTATAGAGACAAGATTATCACCCAAAATGATGAGACCTTCTTTGGGAGGCCATGGAGAACCATGAGTACATGAGAAACAGCAGGTGATCCAGAGACCAAAATGTGTGACAGAGTCGTGAACACAGAAAACTACCTTCTTCCTTTCACGGCCCTTTCCAGTATGTATGAGGCTGACCTTTTAGACTCTGGGTTGACTGTAGCAGTAGAGAACTGGCTGGGGTGGTGCACAGAGGTGGCGGCAAAGAATCTACACTGCAGCATCATCAGGGAAACAACAGAGGGCCAGGTCTCCGGTGAGAGACTAAGAAGGCCTGGGAAATGATAGGCAGACTGATGATGTTTCTGATGGACCTTTTCCACAGTTGGAAGAATGATCCCTAGGGTTTTTTTTTTTTTTTTTTTTTTGAGATGGAGTTTCACTCTTTCACAACAGGTTGGAGTGCAGTGGTGCAATCTCGGCTCACTGCAACCTCCGCCCCCAGGGTTCCAACGATTCTCCTGCCTCAGCCTCCTGAGTAGCTGGAATTACAGGCACCCATCACCATGCCCAGCTAATTTTTTAATCTTTAGTAGAGATGGGGTTTTGCCATGTTGGCCAGGCTGGTCTCAAACTCTTGACTTCAGGTGATCCACCTGCCTTGGCCTCCCCAAGTGCTAGGATTACAAGCGTGAGCCACTGCACCTGGCCTATCCCTAGGTTTTTATTCAGGACTCCAAATGCTCCACCCCGCTAGGGAGTGCCTCAGAGCAATTAATAACAAAGTATGATTCACCCCAACAGGTTGTAGAGTGAAGCAGTGCAAAACAAATGAAGAAAGGAAAGAAGATGCAGAGCTGAGGAGTATAAGTGCCAAGGGAAGGGCCATGTCACCCTGTCCTCTCCTTGCCATCCCCTCCTGCTGCTGGACTCTAGTCCGGAGCTGCTGCAATTGCCTCGTGTAGACGAATGTGTAGATGAGTAGCTACTGTGACAAACTTTAAAAAGTTTTTGGTTAACTAGTCAAAAAACCCTGGGAAACATAGATGCTCATATTGGGTACAGAAATACCCAAAATGAGGAAGAAAAGAATAAACCCCCAGCAAACTGAGAATCAAGGAGGCTTTATAAAATATGCCAAGAAAGGATTTTATCATAAAGACCTAAGAAAGCCAAGAAAGATAATACATTTGATTTCTTCTTAAAACAGGGTAAAAAAAAAGATACTTGTAGTTACTCTATACATGACTCCAAAAGCAACATATCTCAAAATTAATTACCTAGACCAAGGGTTGGCAATCTTTTTTGTAAAGGGCTCATGGTAGGCAGACTTTGAAGATGGCCCCAATGATCACTGTATATTTGCATTCACAGCCTCTTACCTGTGGGTTGGACCTAGTGCCTTCCTTATAACCAATACTGGGTACAGAAAGATGATAGGATGTCAATTGCGTGATTAGGTTACAAGGCATCCCATCTTCCTAGTGGACTCTACTGCCTTTCCAGCTCACAGGCTCTGACAAAGAGAGTTGTCAGGTTAGAGCAGCCCACATTGCAAGGAACTGAGAGTGGCCATTGGCGTAAAAGATGTTCTATACAGAAAGGCAATAAAAACTAATGGAAGCCAGGCGCAGTGGCTCATCCTGTAATCCCAGCACTTTGGGAGGCTGAGGCAGGCGGATCACTTGAGGTCAGGAGTTTGAGACCAGCCTGGCCAACATGGTGAAACCCCATCTCTACTAAAAATACAAAAATTAGGTGGGCGTGGTGGCATGTGCCTGTAATCGAGCAACTGGGGAGGATGAGGCAGGAAAATCACTTTAACTTGGGAGGCAGAGGTTGCAGTGAGCCGAGATCAGGCCACTATATCCAGACTTGGTGACAGAGTGAGACTCTGTCTCAACATTAAAAAAATAAATAAATAAATAAAATAAATTTATAAAATAAAAGCTAGTGTAAGACACGTAAGAAAAGCACATGTACATGTATTTTAAAAAATAAGAAACAGACTCACAGAAAAGCTAAAAACCAATCATTCCAATCAATAATACTGATAATTTAATATTTGCCCAAAATAGTATCAGGATATGAGAAATCTAGAAATGATTTCTAATGAATAGCTAAAAGATTTATCCTAGATAAAACTATCCTTAAAGTAATGTCTGGAAAGAAATAATAGAATTATTCCATGTTCTTGAGCAGGCAGGACCAAAATTAACATTCAGAAATGAGAAAATAATAATTTCAGTTTAAGAGGGGGAAAACTCTATACAACTAAAGTTGTCCATTAATGAACATGGCTTCCTTAAAAACACCTTATAGAAGCTCCATCCTTTCCATGATGGCACAACTATCAGGGATTCTTACAGAGAAAGGGATTCTTATGTCAGGGGAAAAGCTGGACTCTAAGTTTCTTCTCATTCTAAGTTCTTAGCATATTTTGAAATTTGATATACTAGAAAAACATTTTTATTCTAGGCTACCTGTAGACAAAAATGGCGAACAGATAACTTAAATAATACATTACTTTGAACCATTTCAAACAAAAAATACGGAAAGTATGCAGAGTTCAGGGAAGATCATAATAATTAATGAATGGAAAAATTCAATGATGATAAAAAGCCTGAGCTAATTAAGACACTGGGGACAGATAATGGCACATTTATCTAAATGATACATACAAGATTTATGCCAGGAAAGATACTCAGAATGATTATTTTGAAAGGAAAATGTAGTGTAGGATAATTTAGTTATCACATTGTTTGTAAATTTCTGTCACACACACACACACACACACAAAACCATGAAATTACAGGTTGACACCATGACAAAGTGGATAATTAATTGATTAAAGGGAAGGAATCCTATTTAAATTCTTGAAAAGTCTATTTGCTTTAGTTGTAAGGTTTTAAACAATCTGATTCAGGCTCTCTTTCTCTTTCTAAAACCAGAATGCCAATTGATTGATATAAAGGGAATAAAAGCAATTTAAATGTGAACATTACTTTGTTCAGAATATTCTTGCCATCATAAGAAATATACTTCTCTCCACACTCAGACCTACAGTGGAAAGGAAAATTATTTTATAAAGATTGCCTGTATATGTGGAATCAGAAAGAGGGGAATTAGAGAAGCCACCACTTAATGTTGTCAGGCTAAGGCGACCCTTAGTACCTGTCACCATGACAGGTATGATCTTACAACTGGACCCAAATTCTCAGGACGGTGGCCACAGTTTCCTATAGTCTGAGGTATTTTCAAACTGCCAAAAAATCAATTTAAAATAAACAAAGTCATATTTATAATTTTTCATAAGAGGTGAGATTTTAACTCACCCTGATTTTAAAAAGAAGTACTGCTCACTTAACTTTGGCATTAAATAAATTGAAACAGTGAGAAATCATTTACTTCCTAGCCTGTCCTGGAAAAGGTACACTTTAAATTTTTAACAGTTTTATTGAAGTACAATTGACGTACAATAAAATTCCCACATACAAAGTATATAATTTTATGTTTTTTTAATTTCATGGAAGAAAATGTTCTAAGTTTGATAAGTTTTGACATATGTATACACCTGTGAAACCATTGCCACAATCAAGAAACAAATATACTCATCACCTTCCAAAGTTTTCCTACGTACTGTAATCTCTCCTGACCTCCCCCAATCCCAGTCCCTAGGCAACTGCTATTCTGCTTTTTGTCACTGTAGGTTAGTTTGCATTTTCCAGAAATGGAATCATATGGTATATATTCTATATTTTCTCGCTTCTTTCACTTGGTGTAATTATTTTGAGATTCATCCATTTGCAAGAGTATAAACAAATCATTCCTTTTTTTTAAAAGAGATAGGGTCTTGCTACATTGCCCAGGCTGACCTCAAACTCCTGGGCTCAAGCAATCCCCCCACCTCACCCTCCTCAGCAACTGTGACTACAGGTGCACTACTGCACATGTCTTAGATAAATTCCTTTTCATTGCTAAGGAGTATTCCATTTGTATGAATAAACCACAATTTGTTTAACCACTTACTTGTTGACAGATACCTGGATTATTTCCAGTTTTCAGTTATTACAAATGAAAGTTGTCATTAACATTCATGTACAAGTTTTTATATAGACATATGTTTTCATTTCCCTTGGTAATTACCCAGGAATGGAATGGACAGATTAGACAGTGAGTAACGTTTAACTTTTTAAGAAATTGCCTATTTTCCAAAGTTTTTGTACCATTTTACATTTCCCCTTGCAGTGTATGAAAGTTCCAGTTCCTCTAAGTCTTTATCAGCACTTGGTATTATCAGTCTCTTTATTTTTAGCCATACTAGTTGAATATATAGTGGTATTTCATTGATGTTTTAATTTGCATTTCCCTAAAGACTAAAGGTGTTGATAGTCTTTTCATGTGCTAATTTGCCACCTACACATCTTCTCTGATGAACTGTCTGTTCAAATTTTTTGCCCATTTTTAAATGCAGTTGTTTGTTTTCTTGAGTTTTAAGAATTCTTTATACATTCTGGATACCAGTCCTTCAGCAGACATATGATTTAAAATTTTATCCCAGTCTGTGGCTTGTCTTTTCATTCTCTTAACAGTTTTGAAGAGCAGAAATACTTAATTTTGATGAAGTCCAATTTATTAATGTTTTATGGATTGCACTTTTTGTGTCATATCTAAGAAATCTTTACCTAAACCAAGCTCACAACGGTCTTCCTTTATGTTTCCTTCCAGAAGTTTTATAGTTTCAGGTTTTACATTTAGGTCTATAATCCATTTTGAGTTAATTTTTCTATATGGTATGAAGTATTTCTTGAAGTTCACTTTTTTCCATCTGGATAGCCAGTGGTTCCAGCACCATTTATTCAAAACTATCTTTACAGAAGTGACTTTGCATCTTTGTCAAAAATCATTTGCCATTGATCATTTGTCTATCCTGACACCAATATCACAATGTCTTAAATTACTGTAACTTAGAACAAAGTTTATTTCAAGACTTATATTTCTTTAAAGATAATTTGGCTATTCTAGGTCCTCTGCATTTTCATAATGAATTTTAGACCCAGGTTGTCAATTTCTAAAGAAAAAAAAATGCCTGCTGGAAATGTGAATGCATTGAATCTACAGTTCAATTTGGCAAGAAATAACATCTTCACTATATGGAATAGTTCCCTCACTGTGTGCTTACCAACACTCAATTGAATACCTCTGCACACCTCTGGACTTCCCTCTGGGTGCCACTCTCCTCTCCCATACTCTGGCCTGCAAACTCTAGCTGTCTTGATCTTCTTGGACTCTCAGTTCCACCTCCTGAACTGCGTCTGGGTTTTGCGGCCTGGAAATGCTCTCAAGGCAGTAAGCTGGGGCAATCATAGGGCTCACCTCATTTATTTTTCCGCCTCTCAAAGAACACTGTCCTTCACTTCCAGATGTCCAATGTCTTCAAATCTGTTGTTTCATATATTTTGCCCATTGTTAAAATTGTTTCAGGCAGGAAAGTAAATCTGGTCCCTGTTTATTCCATCTTCTTTGGAAGTGGAATCTCTATTTTTAATTTTTAATGTCAAATCTGTTCTCAAAGTTACAAAATTCAAGTAAAAACAGGACAAAAACATAACTAGTAATTAGTATAATGTTGGTCACTATTCACTTATTTGTTCATTAACCCATTTTATCCCTCAAATATTTACGGCATTCTATATAGCAAGTACTGAGAATCAAAGCCAGACATGTCCCTTACTCTCACAGAGCTTACAATCTAGTGTGACAGATAGACATTAATCAAATAATTATAAACAAAAATGCAACACTGCAACTGTGATAGCTGCTCTGAAAGAAAAGAAGAGAATAATGCTCTGAGACCTACAAGAGGATAATTTTACGATATTTGTTTCTATTGAGACTACATTCATGAGTTCAAAAATATCATTACTGTTTCTTCATGTTAAAGTCACAAAGAAATAAATTACATATACAGTAGAGAAAAAAGTATCCATTAAATAAACTTCTCAATATATGACGTATCTACTAAGTGTAAGACAATATGCTAAGTGCTCTGGGGCACACCAAAATCATGACACTATAGATCATAAGTTAACTTCAGATTCAACTGGGCACATAAAATCAGTATAAAGAAATGTAAAGGTAACATATCTATATGCCATATGATAGAAATGAAAATTTACCACATAAACATCACTTTGTCTATCCTCATTTTAAAAAATTATCGTTTACATCAGCCTAACCGCAGAAATGTGATCAGTTCCTTTGAGAAAACAATGCATTTATTTTATTTTGTCAAATCTTACCTAGATATCTCAGCTTGGGAATTTTTTTCTCCATCAACAGTGAAAGGAGATGCTCCAGTTAGTAATTCATACATTAGAACACCCAAACTCCACCAGTCAACTGCCTATAAAACAACAATAATTTCATTTTATAGAATTATCAACTAAAATATTTTATAAGAAAGAAAAAATGAATAAAAGCTATCTATTAGGAAAATGTTTTAAAAAATGATTTTGTACACCTCCTTCTATGTAAGGAGTATTAAATTAACACATGCAAGAAAGACATTTAGAGAACAAATATCCAAGTATCCTCAGCACAGAAAGCATGTTATTTCTTAAACTAGTAACCGTTTACCTTGATAATTTAAAAAATTTAAACTTTATATAAATTTTTAAAATTTTAAGTAGGTGATATTTCTTTGGGCTTATGATAGGGAACTAAAGTATTCAGCTCCAGTGAGCCTTATGAAATGTCTAAAATTCAAAGAACAATAAATGAAAAAAAAAACCACATCCAAGGGTATGTTATTTTTTCCTAACTGCCTAAATCAATTTTTCTTATAGAACCTATCACACATAAACCTCAGAGTCTTCACTGATGGGAAGATCTAAAATAATATAAAATAAAATGTGTTCTAATTTGGAAACCAATTTATACATGCAGTTACCTGAACTGAGAACATAGAAAATTATATATAATTTAAAGAATCTTTTATTTTATTTTATTTGAGATGGGGTCTCACTATGTTGCCCAGGCTGGTCTTGAACTCTTAGGGTCAAGCAATCTGCCCACCTCAGCCTCCCAAAGTGCTGGGATTACAGGCGTGAGCCACCATGCCTGGCCTAAAGAATCTTGATGTATTGAAAATTACTTCTTTTGTAATTAGGCAAATCAGAATTTTAATAACTATTGAATAAATGAGTGTACACCAATGAGAAATATTAACTAGATGTTAAAATTTCAAACTATTTGCTTCCAATTTCCAGGGCCTAAGTTTCAGAGAGGTGACAAAATTTATGAGCCTAGAGCTATTAAGAAAATACAGAGTGCTGACATACAAAACACATCAGGCAGACTAAAATCGTGAGAGCAAAGGTATTTACTGAATATTTTCCTCATGCCAGGCACTATGATGAGCACTTTGCATACATTATATCATTTAATAACTGTCAGGTTGTTCCAGGTGTGGGAAAAAATATTTATTGACTAGGTATATTCTGCACCTTAGGTATGTAGAAATTCTAGGAGTAATATAAGATTTTCTTATGTGAAAATTGGTTCCATTAGGTCTCTGAAGATAATTTTCAAATTAACAGGTATAAATTCCTACCAAATTCCCCAACAGCTTCAAAGAATATCAAGAAGCAAACTAAGCCAGCAATTAAACTCTTCCATTAATACAAGCAGTTTGACTGCCATTTGAGTCAGAACCCTCAGAATGTTTTGCTGTTGGATTTGAAACCACATTATTCAACTGACAGAGATCAATAATCAGATTCTTAGCCCTGGGTTCCAAAACCAGTAACACACAAACTTGAAGAACATGCTTTTAAATACATGATTAGTCGTCAGGAAGGAGACCAAAGATTCTCCACAGCCAGATATCTGAACTGCATATGTGGGACTCTGAAAGGGAATGAAGGAGAAGGAAAGATGGGGAACAAAAAGTAGAATACCTTATTTGGATAAAGCTATTAATAAAACAGAAGTGTTAAAAAATGAACAAATTTTGTACCCTTTAATACAGAAAAAAAACCATGACCTAGATTTTATAACATAATTACTTAGAAAGTTTCTTCTAGAATCTTCATTTTGCACATACAAAGGCAAGAGAGGAGGCCAAAAAAATTGAGCTTTTTAGAGGGCTTAGGAAAACAAACTTAAACTATCTAGAACTCAGGATTTTTTCTTTCACCAAGGGTTGTTAAAATATTTATTTCTGTTGGGAAGATAATCAACAGTCTCCAGTGTCTCTGGAAAGTTAAAGGCAGAAACTGGGAATAAGAAAATATCAGTGATTCCCTTTTCATTGACCTCTTAGTGACAGCTTAAAAAGCCAATTATTAACTAAAGGTGATACACATGACTATATGTTTCCGAATGTTTTTCTAGTAGAAATTAAAAATGCCAATAAATACTGTCCAAAACCATTCATCACGACTCAGACAGGAACAATGTGCAGTTTTACATGCCGTGACCCTTCTGTATTGCATTGTGGTTCACTTGTATCCTAAAAGGCCAGGGTCTCATGCAAAAATAAGTAAGTAATTTTCTTTTGAGTCGTTGTCTCACTCTTGCTGCCCAGGCTGGAGTGCAATGGCACAATTTCTGCTCACTGCAACCTCTGCCTCCCGGGTTCAAACATTCTCCTTCCTCAGCCTTCCGAGTAGCTGAAATTACAGGCGCTCGCCACCACGCCCAGCTAATTTTTTATATTTTTAGTAGAGATGAGGTTTTGCCATGTTGGCCAGGTTGGTCTCGAACTCCTGACCTCAGGTGATCCATCCACCTTGGCCTTCCAAAGTGCTGGGATTACAGGCCCTTAATTTTTTAAAAGAATGGAGTCATAGTTTGTACTCTAAGAAATAGGCTCTCTCAACAGAAATAAAATAAAAATTATTTGACTAGTTTGGAGGTCTCAACTTTAACAAGAGTGTTACTCTATAAAATAAAACACAATTCTCACCAATAAAATCTTTAAAAAGGGAAATCTAGAATGTCCTAACCTTTGTATTATCTTTTTCCTCCAAAATACTAGATATCATAATGTGTTCAGGAATACAAAGCAAAAGAGAAAAAAAGGAAGGTAAGACAATCAACACCAGAAAGACGGCTCTGTTGAAGAGATGACCTAAGTTGTTAACTAGGATTCTTATAGTACATTTTATAGAAATACATAAAGAAGCATCAAAAATAGAACATACCTTGTCATGTCCTGAATCTCCCCCTCTGACAATATCTGGTGCCATGTATTCAATAGTTCCACAAAAGGAATATGCTCTTTCAGTCTTGAACAAACAAACAAAAAAGGGATTTGATTTCAAGCTAGTATGACAAGTGACAAAAGAAGAAAGTAATACATGTTAGTGGTTGAGATACACTATAGTGGCAAAGTAGTGGTAGAATCTACTTGACAGACCCACTCTTCACTGGAACAGACCACTGTCTACATAATATGAGTCCTGGGTATATGTCATCCCATCCCATCAGAAAGACTTCTCATGCATGAAATGGTACCATCATCCATCCATCCATCCATCCATCCATCCATCCATCCATCCTTTCCATGAATCCATTCATTTATTCTTGTTCACTTTTTGCATGCATGTATATTTCAGTTGCTGATTTAACCCTTTTTTTGAAGAATGCAAATAGTCCTAGTAAGGCAACATGAACTGTCTAACACATTAGTATGAATGACTTTATTAGGCAAGATTGAGAAAACACTGGGTAACTTGAAGGGGTAGGAAAGACCAAATTCTAAGAGGGGGAATAATAAACCCAAAGATAAAAAAGAATAAAAATTTTTTTTTCTACCTTACCATCTTGTGTAGGTTTGACAACGCTAATGTTATGTTTAACGATGGTAAACAAAACTGTCTTTAAAAAAAGATTATTTCTTAAAGATAGATGTTTCCTTTTTATAGAATTTTAAAAATTCAAAAGGGCTAATATATCATGCCTGAAAGTTAACCTAAAAATTATTTTTTAGATAATCAATTATGCAATTACGTAGCTCATTTATTATCTCAACTTAGAGGAAGCTCACAACCACCCCAAGTTAAGTGCTTAAAAGATTTTTCTTCTACCTTTTCCAAGTAATTTTTGGCCTCTCTTATAGTTCATTTTAGCTTATCTGGTGCTTTGGGGGAGGAGTTGATAGGGTATACATTAATAAATATTTATTTATTTGATAGAAATTCCAGAATATAGAAAAACTAAAGCTTAAATGTTGAGAAGTCCCAATCACTGAGAATAGTAGTAAATAAAGACAAACATCTCTTAATTCTCTCAATTATTTTAAACCCTTGCCATCTTACCCAGTTCTAAACCTATATTTGCTTCCTCCTGTGTTATTCCCTCTGGGTTCTAACTTTTAGGTCTCTGCCTAAACTTCCTAAGAGTTTCTCTTCTATTTGTAAAAATATCACCAATTGTAACTTTTGAATTTGTATTTATTTGCCTATGAAGATGCATAATGCCTTAAAATAATTCTACCAAGAAGACAAACTGATGAGATTTGACAGGGGAAGGATGCACCATAAAACATATTCCAGAGTCTCTGATAGGGGCAGGAAAGACTTCAAGGTAACAGTTCTACTATGCTTATGGTTTATTATTTGTTCAAAATACAATAATTTTCTCAAGTAACAATTTTCTCAAGGAGACAACCTATTTGACATTTATGCCCATACTATAAGCAACTTTAGTTATCACAGTTAAAAAAAATGTGAATGAAAATTTACTTGATTATGAACAAAAACAGCAGGAGTGGGATGTGTACAACATACTAGCAGATAATATGGAATACTCATGTGTTTTAAGTGATTAGCCAATCAAGGAGGCTTCATTGCTCCTTAGAGAAAAGGATCAGATAACACTGGATATAAAGCTGGTTTCCTTCTAGGGAGGAATCCCAATAGTAACTCAAATGCCAGACTTAAGTATTTCTCAATAAAGACTCTGATGAAATAATTCCTAGCTTTTATTTGCCAATGTTTTGTCCTAATCATATCTGCCTGTGACAGATAAATTCTGGTGTAAAATCATCAATGAAAACAGGTTTTTTTCTCATCCCATATTTAGAAAGACTCTTAATGCTGGCAAATCTCCACACAAATATCTAGAAATGTTTGACTGATTTTTAAAAAGGATTACATATTCCACTGGTAATCGCCAAAGACCGGGCTCACAAGAAAGAAAGGAGAATTCCTGGGTGCCAGCCAGGAAGTGAGTACAGAAAACCAGAGAGGTAGGCATATGACCTAGTGCTGTGGCTGCACAAACGGTGGAAAGGTGAGTTGTTACAGGTCTCAGCAATCCAGAAACTTGAGTTTTAATACCCTGTGAGGATAAACGATGAGGCTGTCAGCTCAAATGAGATGGGCTAGAATTACCACTCTTATATAAACCTTGAAACCAAAGAAAGCTAAACCTCAGTGAAAACAAACTACAGAAAAATAAATTCATCTGCTAGCACTCATTCGTTTCTGTCTAGGCCCTAGCTGAACAAAGTTCCTCCTATGAGCTTAAATGCCTAGGCTTATGCTTCTTAGATTTGAGATCTGAATTTACTCTTCTGCACGGTGTGGGGAAGTAGGAAAATCTGGCCAAACATGGTGACACCCTGGGACACATGATAGAACCAGAGATATTCTCACAACTTAGCCTGCCCAGAATTCCTATAAAGCGCTGATGTCTTGATATTACTAAATAAGTGAACTAGACTCCACAGACACAACAAACTGAAGGATTACTTGAAACAGTAGAAAAATAATCTGTAAATGACCAGCATGTTGTAAAAGATAAAAGACATAAAATAAGACAGCCTGGGCAAGATGGTGAAACCCTGTCTCTACAAAAAAATTAAAAAAAAAAAAAACCTAGCAGGGCATAGTGGCGCATGCCTGTAGTCCCAGCTACTTGGGAGACTGAGCCAAGAGGAATCACCTGAGAGCAGGAGATCGAGGCTGCAGTGAGCCATGATCGCACCACTGCACTCCAGCCTCGGTGATAGAGTGAGACCCTGACTCAAAAAAAAAAAAAAAAAAAAAGAAAAGAAAAGAAGAAAAAGAATCAAATAGAGCTGTGCAAATAAAGAAACGAGGCAATAAAAAAGGCAGACTAAACGTATTAGACACAGCTGAAGAAAGACAGTAAATTAGAGGATACTTTTGCAACATTCTGGATAATCTTCTCAAGACTTAGTAAAATTGCTGGGCATGGTGGCTCACACCTGTAATCCCAGCACTCTGGGAGGCTAAGGTGAGCGGATCACTTGAGGTCAGGAGTTCGAGAACAGCCTGGCCAACATAGCTCAAATCCTGTCTCTACTAAAAATGCATGGTGGCACGTGCCTGTAGTCCCAGCTATTCAGGAGGCTGAGGCAGGAGAACTGCTTGAACCTGGGAGGTGGAGGTTGCAGTGAGCAGAGATCGCACCATTCAACTCCAACCTGGGCCACAGAGTGAGACTCTGTCTCAAAAAAAAAAAACAAAAAAAAAGACTTAGTAAAATTTACTAAAGACTTAGTAAATTTGAGAAAATTATCCAGAATATTGCAAAAGTCCTAAGCAGATTAAATAAAAATATATTCCTGATTGGCCACATTCTATTTCTTCACTTGAGTGGTGGTTACAAGGGTGCTGTCTTATAATAATTCACTGAGCCATACATTTATTTTGTTTTTGAATCTGTTTTACTTTACAATAAAAAGAGAGACATATATATGTATGTGTATATATATATATATTTAAGTGTGTGTGTGTGTGTGTGTGTGTGTGTGTGTACATATCTCACAGGTCCATTCCTAGATCTATTTATACCCAGCAGCTAAGTTATCAGTTAATATGCAGGGCAAAATAAAGCATTTTAAGACAAAGACAGAATTTATTAATCATTGAACCTTGCTAAAAAGAAATCTAACGTATGTATTTCATAAATTAATAAATTGAACTTGAAAGAAAAAACTCAGATGCAAGAAGCAAGAATAAGCAGAGAAAACAAATGTGTAAGTAAATATAAACAAGCACTGAATTTATAAAATAAAAGTAATAACTGCACAGTAATGATTGATTTGTGGAAATTTAGCAGGTAGGACTAAAATACTAAATAATATAAAAATTAGATAAATAACTGAAGTTGAAGCATTCTAACGTTCTTGTAGTGGTCATGATCGTTTGAGAGATAATGGATAATTTCAGACTCTGTTAAGTCAGAGCACAAGTCTAAAATCAGGGTAATATTACAGAAATGCCTTGTGTATAAAAATAGATAAGTAAATAAAATCAGGGTAATAACTACTAAAAGAACAGAAATAGAATATACATGACTTCCAGACCATTAGGCGGACATGAAATCAAAAGATCTTAATCATTTAAATAGAAGACAGGAAAAAGGGAAAACAGAAGCAAAGAGAAACACAAAGCAAGATAAGAGAAATAAATAAAAATATATCAGTAATCATAATATACAGGTATCATAACTCACCAGTTAAAAGACAGAAACTCTCGATCAAAAAATAAAATCCAGCTATATGTTATTTATAAAAGGCACACCTAAAACATAATGACAAAGAAAGATTGAAAGTAAAGAGATGAAAAAAGTTGTATCAGACAGCACTAACCAACAGAAAGCTGGAGTATCTTTATTAATAGGAGGAGAAATGAACTTTAAGGCAAAAGAATTATTAAAATTACGTACATTACAAAATAATAAAAGGAACATTTCACTAGGGAAATAACTCTATTCCAAGCTTGAATATCCTCAAAAATTTGTGAAAAGCTTTAAAAATATATAAAATAAAAATGGAGAGATCTTCAAGGAGAAATGGACAAATCCACAATCATCATGGGTATTTTAACATATGTTTCTTATAACTGACAGATCAAGAAGGAAAAATATTAGTAAAGATATTCAAGATTTGAATGATATTCATGAAAATATACAAAATCCTGTATCCATCAATTAGAGAATACACACATAGTCTTTCAGGCATATGTCTTTTTTCTCTTTCTTTCTTTTCTTTTCTTTTTTTTTTTTTTTTGAGACAAGGTCTCATTCTGTCATCCAGGCTGGAGTGTAGTGGTGTGATCACAGCTCACTGCAGTTTTGACTTCCCAGGCTCAAGTGATCCTCTTGCCTCAGCCTCCCAAGTAGCTGGGCTCTTGCTACCACGCCTGGCTAATTTTTGTACTTTTTGTAGAGAGACGCAGTTTTGCTATGTTGTCCAGGCTCCTGAGCTCAAGTGATTCGCCCGCCTCAGACTCTTAAAGTGCTTGGATATAGGTATGAGCCACCACTCAAAGAAAAAGTGACAATAAATATTACAGTAACAATAAAAATACTATATATAAGAACTTGTGGGATGCAGCTAGAGCTATTTTTAAAAATTCACAGCTTTATTTTAAAAAGATTAAATATTAGTGAGCTGGATGTCCAAATTAAAAGCTTAGAAAAAGAATATGAAAGAAGCTTATAGAAAGTAAAATGCACAAAATAATAAACCTCATCAAAGAAAGAGAAGAAAAATAGAAGGCTTGACAAAAGCTCTTTCTTATAAAAGACTAATAAAATGGACACTTCTAACAAAGGATCAAGAAAAGTAACAAATGAATAATATCAGTAATTTAAAATAAAACATTACTATAGTTACAGAGATTTTTAAAAGTAAGGAAATTCTGAAGAAACTGATGTCAAAGAATTTAAAAAGATAATACCATTTTCTATAAAAATGTTAACATTCAAGAAGAAATAAAAACTCTAAATATACTTGTAAATATTTTAAAAATTAAATCAGTATTTGAAAAGCTACTTGCACTCACTTAAAATGAAAAAAAAAAAAAAAGGAAAAAAACACACTCTGGCAGATTTGAAAGTGAATCCACACAAACCTTTAGAAGAAATGTACTTTATCTTACATAAACCATTCTAAATCCATTTCATGGTGCTAGGACAACCTTGATACTAAAATGTGACAAATGCAATTTTATACAGGAAAATTATAGGTCAACTTAGAAAATAAAATCCTAAGTAAAATATTAGCAAATAAAATCCAGCAATGTATAAAAAATACATATCATGGAAAGTTAAGTTTGTTCCAGGAATTGAAAGATGGTCTAACACTGAAAAAGGAAACAAAAATCTATTCATATAATTCACATCATTATGTGGTTAAAGAGAAAAACCATAAGAATTTACTTATAACAATAAAGATACTAAAAATATAATTTATCTACCAAAAACCTACAGCAAATACCATACTAAATGACTAAAATACATGTTCTTTAATGTAAAAAATACATATACACATAAAACTTGGTAGACAAATCAATAAAACCAAGCCAAACCTAAACAAAATAACCATCCCCAAACACACAGAAACTAAAAGGTATGAGAAATGAAAAGAAACAAAGCCATTATTACTTACAAATAATGGTTCTGACTTTTTTCTTTTTAATGTAGTCATCTATACAAAAATCCAAGTCAATCTATAAATTTGTGCACCTAATAAGAATTCAATGTTTTATGTATAAGGTCAACAGCATTCCTAAGCTCTGGCAAGAAAAACATAAATATTCCAGTTTTTAAAGGTAATTCTTATAATTGAAACAAAATGTATAAATAGAAATAAGTCTAATAATATATGTATAAAATATTACAGATAATAGTACAAAATATTTTTGAAAGACATAAAAAACTAAATAAATGAGAAGATCTGAACATTCACTGATGCAAATTCATTGACTGGAAGGGTCAATATTCAAAAATTGCAGTTCCCTCCAAATTAATTTATATATTCGATTCCACAATTCATGTGGAGGAACACAAAAAGCCAAGAATAGAGAAGACAGTGAAGAGGGAGGACGAAGGTCGGGGGAAAGGAGAGGGAGGTAGGGTGAGGGTGAAGAGGAAAAAGATCTCACCTTTTCAGAATCAAGACTTACTATAAAATGATAGGCTTTTTTTTCTTTTCTTTTTTGAGATAAAGTCTTGCTCTGTTGTCTAGGCTGGAGTGCAGTGGCATGATCGCAGCTCACTGCAACCTCAAATTCCTGGGTTCAAGTGAACCTTCTGCCTCAGCTTCCCGAGCAGCTGGGACTAAAGGCATGCACCAACACACTCAACTAATTTTTTAAATATTTTGTAGAGATGAATTCTTGCTATATTGCCCAGGCTGGTCTTGAACTCTTGGCCTCAAGCGATCCTCCTACCTCAGCTTCCCAAAGTGCTGAGATTACAGGCGTGAGCCACCACGCCCGGCCAGCCAGATGCTTTAAGATATTTTGGTTCTGATACAGAGCGAGGCAAACAGACAAATGGAATTCAATGAAGAGCCTAAAAACAGACTCGTAAGTATGCTTGGGAACTTAGTTATATGACAGAAGTTGCATTTCGAATAAGAAGAGAAAAGATTAACTGACTAGTCAACAAATACTTAAAAGGTAATTGGGTTATTTGTATTAAAAATATAAAATATTTCCACCTGATTTTATACCCTAAATGTAAGACCTAGAACTGTAAAAATCCTGGAAGAAAATACATGGGAAAAGCTTCATGACATTGGATCTGGCAACGATTTCTTAGATATGACACCAAAAGCACAGACAACAAAAGCAAAAATAGACAAATGGGACTATATCAAATTTAAAAACTTCTGAATATCGAAGGAAAGAAACAGAATGAAAGGCAACCTACAGAATGGGAGAAAATATTTGCAAATCATATATCTGATAAGGAGTTAATATCTAGAATATATAAAGAACTCCTAAAAACAACAAAACCCACAAATAACCTGATTTTAAAATGAGCAAAGGACTCTAATAGACATTTCTCCAAAGATAACATACAAATGGTTAACAGCATATGAAAAGATGCTCAACATCACTAATGATTAGAGATAAACGCGAATCAGAATTACAATGAGATTTCACCTTACACTCATTAGGACAGCCACTATAATAACAAAAACACCAACATAACAAGTGTTGG
This sequence comes from Homo sapiens, assembly GCF_000001405.40. Lineage (NCBI taxonomy): Eukaryota > Metazoa > Chordata > Mammalia > Primates > Hominidae > Homo > Homo sapiens. The sequence continues at coordinate 90,930,899 of NC_000014.9, forward strand.
CAAAGATACGGAGAACCTGGAACTTTTTAGCACTGCTGGTGAGAATGTAAAATGGTGCAGCTGCTATGGAAAATAGTATAAATGTTCCTCAAAAAATTAAAAGTAGAACTACCATATGATCTAGCAATCCCCCTTGTGGGTATATATCCAAAAGAATTGAAGGCAGGCCTCTTGAAGAAATATTTGCACAACCACGTTCACTGTATTATTCACAATAGCCAAGAGGTGAGAGCAATCCAAATGTCCATCAACAGATAAACGAATAAACAAAATGTGGCATATAAATACCATGGAATATTATTCAGCCTTAATAAAGAAGGAAATCTTGTCACATGCTACAGCATGCATGAACCTTGAGAACTATGCTAAGTGAAATAGTCACAAAAATAAAATAAATACTGTACAACTCCACTGACATGGGATATCATAAGTAGTCAAACTCACAGAAATAGAAAGTAGAATGGTGGCTGCTGGGGGTTAGGGGACGGGGGAAAAGGTATAGAGTTTTAATTTTGCAAGATGAAAAAGTGCTAGAGATCTGTTACATAACAAAATGAGTATTATTAAAGCTGCTGAACCATATATTCACAAACAGTTAAGATGGCAATTTTTGTTTTGTGTTTTTTTAACCACAATTAAAATTTTTTTAAAATTAAAAAAATAAGCCGTAAAAGAAAAGATTTAGTACATTGGATATTAAAATGTTAAATGGCAAAAAAGATCATTAAACAAAATTAAAAACAAGTTAAAATTTTAGAAAAGAAATTTACAAAACATATAGTTATAAAGGGTTGGTATCTATAATACTTAACGAACTCCAACAAATCAATAACATCAGGGGAAAAAATGCAACACTGTGATAGAGAAAACATAGAAACAACCTAAATGTACCTCAGTAGGAGAAAAGATAGACTGGATAACTAATATAAAGGATTATTACACAACAGTTAAAATAAATGAAACATCCCATTTATCAGCTTGGATAAATTTCAAGAATAGGTCAAATAAAAAACAATTTGCAATAGAATATGTCATGTATGTACATTTAAAAAACATGGTAATAGTATATATTGTTTACGGATATACACACATGAAGTAAGGGTACTAAAACACAATTAAAATTAATCCACCACATACTCTTTACCTGCACCAGTGCAGCTACACATTGTTGGAGAAAACCATATAATCAGGTTGGCCGATTTTATTCAATCATTCAATCATTCATTCATTCATTCATTCATTTGAGACAGGGTCTCATTCTGTCACCCAGGCTGGAGTGCAGTGGCATGATCTTGGCTCACTGCATCCTCTGCCTCCCGGATTCAAGCAATCCTCCCAGCTCAGCCTCCCAAGTAGCTAGGAATACAGGCACGTGCCACCATGCTCGGCTAATTTTTTTATTTTTTTATAGGAATGAGGTCTCACTGTTGCCCAACACTGTTCCCCAGGCTGTTGAGTCTCAAACTCCTGGGCTCAAGTGATCCTCCTACCTCGGCCTCCCAAAGTGCTGGGATTACAGGCATCAGCCCAGGCAATTTCACTTTAAATTCATGATCAGGAATCTCACATGGGTCTTAATAGTACCCAGCAAACACATTCATTTCCCTAATCCGTTCACTCTCCCACATTGTTAGTTGGTTATTTTATATCATCTCCTTTCTCCTAAAACCTCGATGTGTCCACTCCCTTCCTCATACTCAGTGAGAAAACAGAAGACCTTCTATAAGCTGCCAGTACACACCACTTAACCTCCACCCACATGTGTGCCTAGTAACTCAACTTTCTTCAGTTTCTAAGCATGAACTGACCATGCTACTCGTTAAGCACTAGTAGCATGATCACGCACAAACTCACTTGTGCGTTTGACATTATCCTTCTCAAGGACAGTGTTCCAGCAATTTCCCACTTTACCTGCTGTATTATTATAGGAGATAGATATCTGGGTTTGGGTGGTAGATATCAGTGTATCTACCCCACTTCCTTTTGAGGACTATTCTAACTAGTGTATGACATCTGTAATTTCTCCCATCTTAGGGGAAAAAACCCTCTTTTCATCCTCACTTCATCCTCTGCTATGCTCTTCACAGAATTTCACTATTCCTTTTAACAGAAAACCCCAAGTTGTCTACATATGTGGAAGACAATAAGGCTACTGCTATTCTCTTTCCTAAGGTTAAAACTGAGCCAATCAATGCTCAATCTTCAGTCCCCATCTTATTTAACCTAACAATAGCATTTGACACAGTTAATCATTTTCAACCTTGAAACATTTTTTCACTTGTCTTCTGAGACAATCCACCTTGTTTTCCAAATTCCAAATTCATAGATCCAGACCAGACTTCTCTCCCAAATTCCAGACTCATATAGCTCACTGCTTAACATCTCTGCTGTGTGTCTAATAAATGTCTCAAACTTAACCTGTCCAGCTGAACTTCTCCTCTTGTAACCCCAGATAGCTCCCCATCAGCAGCCTACCCCATATTAGTTGATGGAAATTTCATCCTTCCAGCTGTTCTGGCCAAAAACCTTGGGGCCACACTAGATTTCTTCTGAATTCTCATACCCCACATCTAACTCATCAAAAAATTCCATTAGATCTAATGTCAAAATAGTCCTAAAATCTGCTACTCCATAGTCTAGGCCAGTTCCATCTCTTGCTGGGATTACTTCAACAGTTTTCTATCTGGACCTCATGTTTCCACACTTGTCCCACTACAGGATTATCACAGTTATCAACCAGAATTATTCTTCCAAAATAGGAGATCACTACTCTTCTACTCAAAACTCCCCAGTGGCTCCCCATTTTGTGCAGGGAAGAAGCCATAGTCCTTACAATGATCTTCAATGCCCTGAGTAATCTGTACAATCCTTCTTCCATATGATCACCTCCATGTCCTTCTTTCCTACTACTGTAACTCTCACTCATTCTGTATGCCCACAACGGCCTCTAACCCTCACTCATTCCATAACCCCACCTTAAAGGGCCTTAATATTGGCTGATCCCTCTACCTAGAAATCTCCTTCCTGAGATATCTACATGGCTGACTCTCTCACTTCCTTCATGTCTCTACTGCACTATCACCTTGGTGAAGCCTTTCCTGACCACTTGATTTCAAAGTGTAGCCTCTTCTCACCCTATTCCCTATTCCTGTTCCCTACTATACTTGTCTTCTTGCAACTTATTGCTATCTAACATACTACAGAAATACTTATTTCTTATTGTCTGCCTCCCCGTGTAAAGGAAGAATTTGTGTCCATTTTGCTCATTCATTGCAAGATCTCAACACTGAGATAGAACAGTGCCTGGATCACAGGAGACATTCAATGAATATTCACTGAATTAATGGAAAAAATTATAAAATTTTCATAACTGAAAATGTGAAGAGTGGGCACATAAACTCAGTTATATTATTTTCTATTTTTATTGTGCTTTATAGCATAAAAATTTAAAGAGAAATTTGGAAAATATAAACATTTATTATTCACATTTATGAATTCTTATTATTCTAGGATATCTTTTGCCCTTATGGACTTTAAAGTCCCTGACACTCAGCATAGTTCTGAATCATTTTCCTTTCTTTCTTAGAAAATAGATAAAAATAAACTGTGACTGCTAAATATAGTTATCAAGTAAATTTAAAAACACATATTTAACATTATTTGAACAAATGAAATATATACTTGGAAGTTTCTGTGAAAATAATCTCATTTCAAAAGTTGTCCCTGCTTGTTCTGTGTTGTTACTCACACTGAATCTACCTTAAAAAAAATCGTATTATGAATAAACTTTAGTAGATCCAAAAATTTCTGCCATAAGAATAATTATAAAGGGATCTGTGAAGCAGACAGCTGGCAGGCAATCCCTATTTACCCCCCAACCTTTGGAGGGGAATCAAAGGTCTGCTCAGATATCTGGGGGAAAAAAATCTCACTAATGAACGGCTCAAGCTAATGTGTTGGCATCTGAATATTGTGTAATAGTGTTTTAAGAAAGGAAGAACTGGGGCAACAGGGTAACACTTTGGTTTCTAGGTCTCCTATTTTCCCAACACCTCCAACTCAATGTTTACCTTAAAATAACTAAATTATCCTAGAGTCACTGATTTTGGCAAATGACTGATAGAGCTTATTATCAGAGACCTAATAGATTTTCAGGACACATGCAAATAAAAAAAATCATGACTACATGTCAGTACAAATCAATTAGGAAGGGAGACAGAGGTAACTAAAAAGCTGGTTTAGGGTTAGGTTATCTGATTCTCAATGCAAACACGCTCTTTATGGAGCCCGACCCTTACCTACACATCTTGAGATACGTACATTATAACAGCAGAAACTTGAAAGTGGCACTATTAGCTAGGCATTTATTAGAGAAAGATGTAATTTAAAACTACAAAAAAGAAAATAAAGAGAATAATTTTAAATTCTCAATGGTATATTTTAATTTTGCTCACAGTAATCTGAAATGTAAACAGTACTTCTCAGAAATAGAACGGATATAGTGCTTTATACTTTAGAAAGTACTTTCACAAGCATTAATTCATTGTGTCTGTATGATAATTCTATAAATTAGGTATGATAAATATTATTTTACAGATGATGAAATTAAGACTCAGAGAGGTTAATGACGAAGTGACTTGCCTCATGTCCTAAAGCTAAGAAATAGAGAACCAGAAAAAGATCCCCCTAACTAAAATGCCTCTTACATTGTCCAAAGAATTAATCAATAAATAACATTATCTGAATTGAGCAAGGTTAGATTTTTCTACTTCTGGAAAGAGAGAAACAGTCATAAATCCATAGGCTTTTCCCTTTAAGTACAGATACTCTGTACTGTTCAGCCAACATATTATTTTTCTTCTGAACCTTAAAGTTGTATTTATCTACCTGGGGATTCGTGTTAATGATCTGTTTTGAAAATTTTCAAGCACTCACTGTTAAATTATAAAAACAGAATGCATATACCATATTTAAGCATAAACACGTGTCCTTTTTGACATTATTTGCTTATAAATATGAACAGACACAATTTTGAAGCTATCATCACTTTACCAACACTTTTTTTAACTGTCTTTAAAGTTGTCAACATTAAAATCAAATATCCAATAACTACCAGATTCTCTGACTTGAAGTAAGAACTCAACAAATGTTTGTAAAACTGTACTACCAAAAAAATTCTATGGAAGATATATATTAGCCTGAAAATTAGAGATGTTTTGTTATTTTTCAGAATCTCAAGAGCTTGATCGAATTTTCTGGTTGAGAACAGAACAGTAAAAGTAGCAAATTTTTATTATCATAAAATATTTTTAAAGTTTCTAAAATAAATTTACTTTAACCTGTATGTAGTCTAGGCTGCAAACCATTATCCAGAAATAATTATATGGGCTGGGCCTGGTGGCTCATGCCTATAATCCCAGCACTTTGGGAGAGCAAGGCAGGTGGATTTTTTGAGATCAGTCCAAGACCAACCTGGGCAACATGGTGAAACCTAGTCTCTGCAAAAAATACAAAAATTAGCCGGGCATAGTGGCATGTGCCTGGAGTCCCAGCTACTTGGGAGTCTGAGGTGGGAGGATGGCTTGACCCCAGGAGGCAGAAGTTGCAGTGAGCCGATCTTGCCACGCTGGGTGACAGACCAAGACCCCATCTTTTAAAAAAAAAATACAAAAACAAAAAACCCAGAAATAATTATATGAATATTTGACAAATATCTCTAGAATACAGGCTCAGGAGGGTAAGGAATTTGTTATGTTCACCATTATATTTGTAGGGTCTAGTGCAATACCTGGCAATGGTAAGTACTCCAAGATTTTTTGAATTACTAAATTAATATATATACAGAGATAAGTATAATATCATGAGCAGAAACATCAAACATACATAAAAAGTAAATTCCTGAAGATTAAATATATTTCCCAGACCAAATGAGGCCAGAATTTATAATATAAAATTGTGATATACTGACAGAAAGGCAGATTTTGGTGGAAGATTACTTCTGTTTTGAAAATGTTCAGTTTGAGGAGCCTGTGAAAGTGTCAAGTGGAGATAAAACATTCACATATTTGGGTCTTGAGCCCAGAAGAGAAGGTTGGCCAAGAGAAGGCTGGGAATGAGCAGCATGTAAGAAGAGTACAGCATAAAAAAAAGAAGAGTACCTAGGACTGAGCTGAGGGGAACCCTCAGGTAGAAGAGGAAGAGCCAACAAAAGGCAGTGAGAGAGAGAAGGAAAGTCAGGTGGGTGTTGTGTCACAGAGCCAAGCTGAGAGGTGATTTCAAGTTCAGTACTACCAGGCAGTCAAATAAAGTAACTAAAAAGTATTAATATGCACGTCAATGGTAACATTGGCAAGAACAGCCTCAGCAGATGGTGGCGGGGTAGGGGGGCAAGGAGGTACAAGCAGAATTGGAATTGATAAGGGAGTAAGGGACATGTGAGTAAGTAGAGACAAATACTGACAAAGGAGAACAATGAGACAATAGCTAGGCGGGAATATGGTATTCTGAGATTTTTTTTCCTTTTTATTTATCAGTCCATTCATCTCCCCATTTTTAAAATTTTAAGATGGAAAGACTATGTCTACTTAAACAGTGACAGAAATGGTCAAAGAGGAAGAGGTTAAAGAGAAGAGAAGGCAGGCAGAGTGTATCAGTCCATTCTCACACTGCTGATAAATACATATCCGAGACTGGGAAATTCACAAAAGAAAGAGGTTTAATGGGCTCACAGTTCCACGTGGCTGGGGAGGTCTTGCAATCATGGTGGAAGGAAAGGAGGAACAAGTCACATATTACATGGATGGAAGCAGATAAAGAGAGAGAGAACTTGTGCAGGAAAACTCCCGTTTTTTAAACAGTCAGATCTTGCAAGACTTACTCATTATCATGAGAACAGCATGGGAAAAACTTGCCCCCATGATTCAATTACCTCCCACCAGGTCCCTCCCACAACATGCGGGAATTCAAGATGAGATTTGGGTGGGGACACAGCCAAACCATATCATTCCACCCCTGGCATGTCCTCACATTTCAAAGCCAATCATGCCTTCCCATCAGTCCCACAAAGTCTTAACTCATTTCAGCATTAACTCAAAAGTCCATATTCCAAAGTCTCATCTGAGACAAGGCAAGTCTCTTCCACCTATGAGCCTCTAAAATCAAAAGCAAGTTAGTTACTTCTTAGACACAACAGGAGTACAGGCATTGGTTAAATACAGCCACTCCAAATGGGAGAAACTGGCCAAAACAAAGGGACTACAGGTCCCATGCAAGTCCAAAATCCAGCGGGGCAGTCAAATCTTAAAGCTCCAAAATGATCTCCTTTGACTCCATGTCTCACATCCAGGTCACGCTGATGCAAGAGGTAGGCTCCCATAGCCTTGGGCAGCTCCGCCCCTGTGGCTTTGCAGGGTACAGTCCCCCTCCTGGCTGCTTTCACAGACTGGTGTTGAGTGTCTGTGGCTTTTCCAGGTGCACGGTGCGAGCTGTTGGTGGATCTACCATTCTGAGGTTTAAAGGACAGTGGCCCTCTTCTCACAGCTCCACTAGGCAGTGCCCCAGTAGGAACTCTGTGTAGGGGATCCGACGTCACATTTCCCTTCTGCACTGCCCTAGCAGAGGTTCTCCGTGAGGGCCCCATTCCTGCAGCAAACGTCTGCCTGGGCATCCAGGTGTTTCCACACATCCTTTGAAATCTAGGCGGAGGTTCCCAAACCTCAATTCTTGACTTCTGTGTACCCACAGGCTCACTACCACATGGAAGCTGCCAAGGCTTGAGGCTTCCATCCTCTGAAGCAACAGCCTGAGCTGTACCTTGGCTCCTTTTAGTCATGGCTGTAGCAGCTGGGAAGCAGGGCACCAAGTCCCTAGACTGCACACAGCAGAGAGGCCCTGTGCCCGGCCCAGAAAACCATTTTTTCCTCCTAAACCTCCAGGCCTATGATGGGAGGGGCTGCCATAAAGGTCTCTGGCATGCCCTGAGCCATTTTCCCCACTTGTTATAGTGATTAACATCCAGCTCCTTCTTACTTATGCAAATTTCTGCAGCTGGCTTGAATTTCTCTTCAGAAAACAAGATTTTCTTTTCTAGTGCATTGTCAGGCTGCAAATTTTCCGAACTTTTATGCTCTGTTTCTCTTTTAAAACTGAATACCTTTAATAGCACCCAAGTCATCTCTTAAATGCTTTGCTGCTTAGTAATTTCTTCTGCCAGATACCCTAAATCACCTCTCTCAAGTTCAAAGTTCCACAAATCTCTAGGGCAGGGGCAAAATGCCACCAGTCTCTTTGCTAAAACATTACAAGAGTTACCTTTGTTCTACTTCCCACCAAGTTCCTCATTTCCATCTGAGACCACCTCAGGCTGGATTTCATTGTCCATATCATTATCAGCATTTTACTCAAAGCCATTCAACAAGTCTCTAGGAAGGTCCAAACTTTATCACATTTTCCTGTCTTCTTCTGAGCCCTCCAAACTGTTCCAACCTCTGCCTGTTACCCAGTTCCAAAGTCGCTTCCACATTTTCAGCAGCACCCCACTCGTGGTACCAATTTACTGTATTAGTCTGTTTTCATACTGCTGATAAAGATATATCCAAGACTAGGCAATTTACAAAAGAAAGAGGTTTAATGGACTTACAGTTCCATGTGGATGGGGGAGGTCTCACAATCATGGTGGAAGGCAAGAAGGAGCAAGTCATGTCTTACATGGATAGCAGGAGACAAAGAGAGAGAGAACTTGTTGCAGGGAAACTCCCGTTTTTAAAACCATTAGGTCTCGTGAGACTTATTCACTATCACAAGAATAGCATGAGAAAAACCTGCCCCCATGATTCAGTTAACTCCCCACCAGGTCCTTCCCACAACATGTGGGAATTCAAGATGAGATTTGGGTGGGGACACAGCCAAACCATACCATAAAGATACACATTTAACCTGGAAACCAAGGAGGCAGATTAGGGATGGAGCAGAAAGAAACTTGTTCCAAAAAATATGGTATTTTGATATGAGTTGGGGCTGACATGGAAACCAAAAAGGAATGCAAGCTAATCAAAATAGAAATGGTTTCATGGGAATATTTTTAAGGTAAGAAAGGGTCTAGATAGAGAAACTTCCTAAATAGGTGCTGGGTGGAATCAGAGGAGCAAAGAACCATTAGATCAAGTTTCAGAGGACTCAGCAAAGGAAAATTCCTACCTGAGCCCTGAGAGTTAAACCTGAAGCCAAGCATGATAGTATGTCCTCTAGGGCTAACAGGAAGAATGAGCAGACAGTCTAAGGATCAAAGAGATATGCAACCCTTAAAGCTTAATAGTAATGTTAAACTATTAACATAACCTAGAGTGAGGCTGTATTCAGTAAATAAGGGCGCCTACTAATTACTCCTCTACTTCAGCTTGAACTCTCCTATTTCATTTTTGCACCCAGACCACTAAGTGCTCAAAGATGATGGTATTTGACTGGATCTCCATCATCCCCTTGAAGGGTGGCTGTTGACACGACTAGCAGCAAACTCTCCTCTTGTGAAGAGTGACCTGGCTGATTCAGTCACACAGCATTTCTGACTAATGCTTATTACTGTATTAAGACCTAGCAACTCTGGTCAACTTTGATTTTTATTTGTTTGTTTAGTTTTGAGTCCTAACATTTTGCTGTTCCCCAGGGCCAAAGTCTGTTTCTATCTATTGCCAAATGATCTGCCACACACACCTATAAACAGAGGAATTATTAAGTGATTCTTTTAATGAGTGTACTACCAGAACCTAGCCTACCATCTAGCACATGGGCCCCTAACCCCCAGGCCATGGACAAGTACTGGTCTGCGGCCTGTTAGGAACCAGGGCGCACAGCAGGAGGTGAGCAGCAGACAAGCATTGCCACCTGAGCTCTGCCTTCTGTCAGATCAGTGGTGGCATTAGATTCTCCTAGGAGTGCCAACCCTATTGTGAAGTGTGCATGCAAGGGATCTAGGTTGCACATTCCTTATGAGAATCTAATGATAAATGTAATGTGCTTGAATCATCCCAAAACCATACCCCGACCCTCGTCTTTGGGAAAAATGTCTCTCAGGAAACCAGTCCCTAGTGCCAAAAAAGTTGGGGACTGCTGATCTAGCACACAGAAGGCCCTCAACAAATATCAATGGAATGAGCAAATAAAAGTGATCATCAAATCTCTCTATGCAGGGGGAGTTTTACACATTTACAAACCAAGGACCCCTTTGGCAGTCTGTTGAAGCCTGTGGACCCCTTCTCAAAATAATATTTTAAAATAGATAGCATTATAGAGGAAATTAATTATAGTAAAATACAGTCACAAAACTATTTTTTTTAAATGTGGCATCATTACAAACATGCTTCTGTGGCACCGGGTGGGATTGCCAAGCCCCAGGCTTCTCTGTAGAGAGATTTGGCTGGGCCAGTTCAGTGGCAAAATTACTGACAACATCTATGGAGATTTTGTTCTTGGCTTCTCAGAGAAAACTCCTCCAGACTCCTGCCTGGGAAGCCACTGTGCTCAGTGAAGTGCTAGAAAGCCGCCGAGGGAGTTTGCACAGTTCTGTGTGTCCATTTTCACCATACCTGTCATTTTCTGTATGGTATCCTCATCCTTAGCTGTGCCCATTGTCCCTGAATGCACAGACCTTGTCAGTCTTCCCTTAGGGTGAGGAAGGCACAGCTGCCTATGTGAACAGGGGCAGAGATAGGATCTGGGGGTTACCTGTTTCTTACACAGACTTTCAATCAATCCTCCTGGGTCCTGCATCACTTGCATGCCTACTTCGAGGGATACCTGCTGTCTCCAGTTATTGAACCTTTTTAGGGGGTCAGAAGTACAGAGAGCCTGCTTTTAGGCTTCCCATGTTACTGTCATCCATCTTCTAAAATGTAGTTGCTATTTTCTCTTTTCCCTTTGGAGTGCATGTCTATCTTATCCCTTTCCTTTTATCCTTGTGGGATTTATTAAGGAGGCAACGGTAAACAGATTTAATCTGCTACAATTTGCTGAAGTCATCACTAAAATTTTTACAAAGGCATAAAAAGTTTTAAAAATCAAATTTAGAAGTAAACTCAAAATTCATCTATTTTATAACTACGATATTTGTATCAAAGATGATCAATTTACTGTAATAACTTCAGCTTCATGAAGGCAGAGATCATTTTCACTTCATTTATTATTGTATTGTCCAGTACCCAGCATAGTAGAGGGGATAAATAAATATTTATTTTATAAGTAAACTGAATGAATATAGATGCGATTAAAAAATTAGGATCTTTAATTTTTATAATTTCAGCACTTATCTCACTCACCTAGGACTGCTTTAGCAATATACTCCAAAAACCAATCAGAAATAGATATACCTAATTTGGAATCCAAGAATGATGTCTTTTATAACAACAAAGTCCTTCACTACAAAAATTTTAGTATGATTTCATATTCTATACCAACAATTTCCTAGATAGAAACGAAACTAACATTCAAATTTACTTAGTTATCTTGAATAACTAGTAGTGCAGAAATAAATGTAACTTCTATTACAACCATTACATAAACAGTACTTAATTACAACTAATAGATGTACAATTTTAAGTGTCATTAAATGCATTTGTAATATTAAACAAATTCTAATTAATACTGAAAATTAAAGTTCTCCAAATGTAAAATCTGCACATTAGCCACCATATTTTAATTCATGTTGAGCAAAAACCAGCAATATTATTTAAAAATTGGGTCTAGTAGATCTCTGTCATTCTTGTCAAGCGAATTCAAAGGGCCTTCATAGCATGTCCTACTTTGTTACCACAATGTAAACTGTATGTACTTTGCTTTATGATTCTTTATTGGCCACTATCAAAGCCATAATTCTCCTGAAGGGCCAAAAGAGTTATTTGATTTTTCAGTTATATTTTACATATTTTATGGGGAAAGTTAAATGCATAGTGTCTTTTTTCTTTTTTAAATAAATAGGAATTCTGATATACCCATCAAGGTTTACCGCAATTTTAACAGGACGGCTCCATACGAATTTTAAACTAAAAATCTCTACATTTTCCATGGACAAATCTGCACAAAAGTTCAGAATTCACAGGGCAGTTTTCTGCTAAATGTTTATTCTACGGCTAAGTTTTCATCCTTGTTTACATGCTGTTATTACTAACTTCAAATTAAAATATACTCACTTCATCAGCCACAAACTCCTTACTCAGACCAAAATCTGTCAGCACCACATGGCCATTAGAATCAAGTAGAATATTCTCAAGCTTAATATCACGATATATAATCCCCAACTGCAAAAACAAAGAAATATAAATTTTAAAATAATTTACAAAAAAATGAATTAGGGCAGTCTTTCTCGTCTACCTTTATTTATTTATTTTTTTTTTTAAGGCATTTCCCTCCTCAGGATCCTGTAATGGCTCTTGGTGATTGGTCAGGGAAAATGGAAATTCTTTTATCTGCTGCGTTCTCTGGACCTCTCCAACCACGTCTTTGTTCTCCTTGTGCACAGGGTCTACCTTGTTGGGTCAGCTTCTTTAGGGCCTCCCTCTTGACTCGTGCTTCTTCATGTCTCTATTCTTCCTAGTTCACTCTCACTCTAGATGACCTTCAGGTGCCTTCATAGCCAATTCTTGTCCATCACTTCCTAACGGCTTCAGAAGACTCTCCTGACTAACCAGATCCCCTGTCATTTCCTTGTTTTTCATCCTACAACACCTATGTTTACATTGTACTTACCTATACATGACTGATATTTTCTAGCTATTTCCTACTTGTCTTTATATACCTATACTCTAACTCTTTTTTTCACTTTTTATGTATTTATAGGTATTTGTGCAGCACACCATGTATAAAATAGGAAATTTATAAAGAATTGTTGATTAACAGGCTCTTAAACATAAAGGTTGAAGATCATAGGTTAATTTTACTCAAACTTTAGTTGTTTTTTGTTGTTGTTATTGTTGTTGTTGTTTTGAGATAGGGTCTCACTCTGTCACCCAGGCTGGAGTGCAGTGGCGTGGTCCTAGCTCACTGCAACTTCAAACTTCTGGGCTAAAGCCATCCTCCCACCTCAGCCTCCAGAGTAGCTGGGATTACAGGTGTGAGCCACTGCACTAGGCTCAAACTTTAGTTCTAAATAAGCAAAGAAAATCAATTAAGTAACATTTATAGATCCCTCTGTTTTACTTTGCATTTATAAAACTTACTTTTTTGTAAGTTCTATAGCAAAACACTTCAGCTATATAACAAATAATCTATCCAACTCATATAAGAGGTGCTTGATCTGCATGAATTCTGTTTCATGTTTTCAGTTATGTCAGCCTGAATTAAATGTTTCTAAACTTAGAAATATTGTTTTCCTCAATGCTAAGAATATGAGAAAGTTCTTAATAATCTCTTAAAATGGAAATCAAAATTGCATACAGAAAAACACTAGGGGCCAGGCACAGTGGCTCATGTCTGTAACCCTAGACTTTGGAAGGCTGAGGCAGGAGGGTCACTTGAATCTGGGAGTTCAAGACTAGCCTGGGCAACACAGTGAGACCCATCTCTACAAAAAATTTTAAAAATTAGCTGGGCCAGGAGTGGTGGCTAACGCCCGTAATCCCAACATTTTGGGAGGCCGAGGTGGGCAGATCACCTGAGGTCAAGAGTTCGAGACCAGCCTGACCAACATGGAGAAACCCCGACTCTACTAAAAATACAAAATTAGCCGGGCGTGGTGGCACATGCCTGTAATCCCAGCTACTCGGGAGGCTGAGGCAGGAGAATCACTTGAACCCGGGAGGTGGAGGTTACGGTGAGCTGAGATCGTGCCACTGCACTCCAGCCTGGGCAACAAGAGCAAAACTCCATCTCAAAAAAAAAAAAAATTAGCTGGGTGTGGTGGCACACATGTAGTCCTAGAGCTACTCGGGAAGCTGAGGCAGGAGGATCACTTGAGCTCAGGGTGTTTGGGGCCACAGCAACCTATGATAGCATTCCAGCCTGGGCAACAGAGCGAGACCATATGTCTATTTTTAGACCCAATGTCTCTATTTTTTTTTTTTTTAAAAGAACAGAATAAAAAACGGACAAGTGTGGGTGGCCCATGCCTGTAATTCCAGCAGTTTGGGAAGCCAAGATGGGAGGATCATCTGAGCTCAGGAGTTTGAAACTAGCCTGGGCAACATGGCAAAACCCTGTCTCTACAAAAAATACAAAAATTAGCCAGGTGTGGTTGCGCATGCCTGTTGTCCCAGCTACTCAGGAGGCTGAGGTAGGAGGATCACCTCAGTCAAGCAGGTTGAGGCTGCAGTGAGCTGTGATCGTGCCACTGCACTCCAGCCTGGGCAACAGAGTAAGACCCTGTATCAACACAACACAACAGAACACAAAAGTACTAGGCAATTTTCCTTTAAGAGCCCCAGTGTTCTACAAGACAGACAGGAAGGAAAATGTCTAGAGCTTATATTGAACAGACATTGACTTGGAGCATTATATGCATCTAACAACCAGGAGATGCTTTTTCCTAAAAAACAACCTCTTTAGAAAAGATTTTAGAAACAAATAATTTACTATCTGCGTCACCTCATCACTTGCAAGTAAACATCCATTTTTGCCTCTTCCTGTGAAACTCAATGTTAGTAGCTTTATCAAGATTAACATTGCTGGCTTTGCGTTATATTTATCTGTATCTTTTTAGGGTAGTAAGATTAAGAGAAGGTTAACCAAGAGTTCATTTACTATATTACTCTCATTCCATATCAATTGCAGTTATATCCAACATTCATTGTTTTATTTACTTCTGTGTTTGACAATCAGCAAGTTTCACATAAATTAAAAACCGGATTTTCGGACAAGCACAGTGGCTCATGCCTGTAATTTGGGAGGCTGAGGCGGGCAGATTGCTTGAGTCTAGTTCAACACCAACCTAGGCAATATGGCAAAACCTCATCTCTATAAAAAATACAAAACTTAGCCAGGTGTGGTGGCACGTTCCTGTGGTCCCAGCTACTCGGGAGATTGACACGAGAGGATCACCTGAGCCTGGGAAGGTGGAGGCTGCAGTGAGCCAAGATTGCACCACTACACTGGACTTCCTAGCTTACTCACTGGAGCTATTCATTTTGTTTCTTACTCATATTTATGATGATTTCTACCATCATTTTTATATTATAAACTAATTGCCCTAAATCATAAATTTCAAAGGTCTTTCTTTGCAGCATATTCTTGGGTCCAATAGTTTCTTGTATGAAAATGTCTTAACTATCTTATATCCCACAAAAATCATCTTAAAGCTTGTTACCATATCAATAATTCCATGAAAAGAAGTCCAAGTGTCTGTTCTGCTACCTCAGTTTGAGTGCCTACTTGACTGCACCTCGTTCCCCTTCCTCTCCATTGTGCTGCAGCCCTGCCCCTCAACCCCCCCATTACCAAAGGTTTCTTTCCCTGCTTGTTCTCACACGTTTTTCATTCAGTCTCCCTAAGATTCCTACCCTTGAACCATCTCCCTTCACCTGGCAGGTCTGGTTTCTCCTCTGGGCTGGATCTGCCCTTTTCCTGATCTCTTTTTTTCTTACATCTTACCATAATTTATTCTCACGGCCTCACCCACCTGTTACCTCCACCTTGCTGCCTGCCCCTTTAGAAATGTCATCCTTCATCCTTCCTTTTCCCTTCAATTCTCTCCTTTCTTTTCTATGCTCCATAATCAGCATTTCAATCTCTATCTTAAACTAGTGTAGGACCTGAATATAACAGGACAAGGAAGGGTGGCTTCATGATGTACCTGAATTGTCCTAATTTAAAAATTACTTGAGTACTTTCTGTCTCTGAGGAAAAACACAAGCCCAGTCTACATAATGACTGCTTCTACAATGTTTCCTCATTAAGTAAAACAAAAAACCGAGTGAAAATTTCTTGGCTCAAGATTAATGGTTATCTGCAATAACATTTCTTACAGTTTAAACTGATTGTTACAGTTTGCATAGGGTCACAGACATGAATTCCATTTAAAGTTTTTTAGTAAGAGTTCATCCTACCTGGGGACAATGGAGGAGAGAGGGAGTGGGAGCAAGAGACGGTGTCAGGGACAAAACAAATGGAAAAGAAAGCCAGAGTGCGAGTGGGAAATAACTCTTACTCTCCAACCTCATCAGGATACACCCTGAAGATGTACAGGCAGAGTCTGCAATGCAGTAAATTACAATGAAGGAAATACATATTATGACTGATGGTTTCATTTTATTGGTTATTTTAACAATTAAAAGCTTTTATTATAATGATACTTTGTAACAAATAAGCATTAGGATTTTTCAGGATAAAAGCCAAAACCTGCTTAGGTTCTTTTTAATCTCTATCATAGCAAGTACAATTGGAAAGTAGATTTTTTCAAACGGAATTATGAAATTGAGAAAATTGGTAATGTTCTATAAGTATGCTTTCATAATCTCCACTAAGACAATAACATGTAAAAACATTAGCTCTTCCAGCTCCATTATTACCTTAGTTAACAGACTTCAGAAAAGAAACCTGAAAAATGAAGAGTCTTACCTTGTGGAGATGTTCGAGGGCAAGCACAATCTCTCCAACATAAATCTGCACCTCATGCTCTGTGAAACGCTCTCTTTGAGAAAGATGAGTAAAAAGTTCACCACCATTTATATAATCTAAAAATGAAATACATTTTTCTTTCTTAAACATGCATTCATAAATGAAAAGCAGTGTTTCCTTTTAATCACTTTGGATTCACCATAAGGCACTGATTTTAATATATTGCTATATACAATTTAGCATACAGTATCATGTAGATAGAGTTCTAGATTCAGATAGCAATACAGTTTCGCAAAATAATGATTACCTTAAATATAATCAAATGAGTTTGCAAAGAGTATTGCCATTAAAACTATTACTAAAATCTGCATATATTTAAATATGTTTTCTCAAATACAGCATATCAGAAACCTCTGCCATAACCATATAATGCATACTTAACCTACTCTGGAGTACCAAAACATCAGCCACTGCAATAACCAAAACCAAAACAAAACACAAAGTCCCATCCTTTCATTTGTAATAATTGCCAGTCACCTGTAAACAGATACCCTATTTTCCAGAATTGTCTACATGCACTTCCAAAAATCTATATTAGGTAATAGACACCCTTTTATTTAGCCCAATAGTATAAGTATTACAACTTGGTCAAATCAAAGATTCTGAAAGTAGAAGATTACCATTTCCCTGTCAATTTTCTCTATTTATCCCAAGGGGGATAATGAAATAGGTGACCAAAAGGCTACATTAAGACATAAATAGGGGAGCTGGTTAATTTTTTAAAAAACCAAAATAGTTATGTTGATACATGGCTCTAATAAGATATTTCTTCATAAACGCAGAACTTATTTATCATTCATTATTTTAGGTAACAACTATACAAATTAATGTTAGAAACTGCTCAAAATCCTATAGAATAAACTTTTTACCAAATAAGTGTTGCAAAAAAGCTTTAAATTGTAGTTACATCAGAAACACTGAGCCGGGCGCAGTGGCTCACGCCTGTAATCTCAGCACTTTGGGAGGCCGAGGCAGGCGGATCACGAGGTCAGGAGATCGAGACCATCCTGGCTAACACGGTGAAACCCCATCTCTACTAAAAATACAAAAATTAATCGGGCGTGGTGGCAGTTGCCTGTAGTCCCAGCTACTTGAGAGGCTGAGGCAGGAGAATGGCATGAACCTGGGAGGCGGAGGTTGCAGTGAGCGGAGATCGCGCCACCGCACTCCAGCCTGGGCGAAAGAGTGAGACTCTGTCTCAAAAAAAAAAACAAAAAAACCCCAAAAAACACAACAACAAAAAAAACCACTGACACATTAACACACAGGATTTGCGTGTGAGAAACCACTGACAACTAGAAAAGTCACAAATGCAATTTAAAGCTTTTTCTCCTGAAAAATTTGAAAAGCGTATATCCCAAGTATATTCACTTGAGTTTACCACAATTTGATAAAAGAATGAAATTGTTCATGAACTCACAAATTTTTCTTTTACTTTGTCCATTTAACTTTAAATTCCAAAAAGCAGATACAACAGAATTAAAGAACTCTAATAGCTAGTTGTTTTGCAATGCATTTTACAAACCACACGACAGCAAAAAGCATTTCCCTTCTCAGGCTTCTGTATTTTGCCAAGGAGTTTTAATTATACCTGAACACAAAGCTAATTATTAAAAAGGTGTAAAGGAACACAGGATTCCTGCAAACTAATAATGAACTTTTTTCCTACCTTATTTTACTTAAAAACTCAATACTTATGTTTATGCATAAATGCTTTCCATAGTTAGTCATGACACAGAAAGAAGCACGCATATATCAAGTGACAAACTCCTACATAGCCTTGAATGTCCAATTCAATCATCTCTTCTTCTATGGCCACTCCAGTAGAGCTGATTACTTTCTTCTATGTTAGCACTGTTCTTATTTAAGACTTCCAGCACTGCAGTTATCTTGCTATACTGCAATTGTTTATTTGCATACTTACTTTCTCTGCTAAAGTAAGGATTAATATATTCATTACTATTTACTCATCATAGTGCCTGCATGCAGTAAGCACAAAATAGATATTTATGGTATTAACAATTGAACACAAATTCTTAATACTGGAATATATTATAAACAGGGTCTCTGAACAAAACCACTCTGAAACTTAAGAGGCCAGTCTACTATTTAAAAAATCTAATGTACTCCTGTTTCAAATGCAACATGGCATAGTCAAAACAAACAGGGCTTTGTAACTGATGGACCTGAACTAGACAATGGCTCCACAGCTGTCCTTCCTTAAGCAAATTAAGTCTCTCTGAGCTTCAGTTCTTTATAAAGCAGGAATAATAACTACTTATGAATTATTGTTACTTGGGACAAAGTGCTTTATTTTCCATTTACTGGGAGATTGCGAAAAAGTAACTATAAATCTAAGGAGACATACCTAAAATATCAAGTGACCTACTTCCTACTTTTGGGATGGATTGACTTGACAGCCCAAGGTAAAGACTTGACATCATAAAATAAGTTATTTAATTTTGAGGGGGCAGTTATGGGTTGTATACTTTGTAAGTTGTACAGCAAACTCTATGAACTTGGGAATGCATGGATGACGCAGTGGTGAGCATAGCTGCCTTGAATCCACGAACATGGGGGATGGCTTTCCATTTATTTAGGTCTTCTTTCATTCTTTCAGCAATGTTTTGTAGTTTTCAGAGCATACATTTTTGTACTTCTTTTGTTAAATTTATTCCCAAATGTTTTATTCCTGTTGATCCTAAATGGTTTTAACTTCATTTTCAGACTGTTTATTCCAAATGTATAGAAATATATTTGATTTTTGTATGTTGATCTTACATACTGCAATTCTGCTGAACTTATATATTAGTTCGAGTAGTTTCTGAGTAGATTCCTTAGGACTTTCTATTTATAAGATGTCATCTTTAGATAAGAATTTTTCTTCTTCCTTTCCAATCTGAAGGCCTTTTGTTCCTTTTCTTGCCTACAATGTTGAATAAAGTGGGAAAGTGGATATTCTGTCCATGTTCCTGATATTAGGGGGAAAGCATTCAGTCTTTAACCATTAAGCATTATGTTGGCTCTTGGTTTTTCCATAGATGCCTTTATCAGGTTAAGAAGTTCACATCCATTCCTACTTTGTTGAGCGTTATTATGAAGGAGTTGAATTTTGGCAAATACTGTTTTTCTACATCTGTTGGGAGGATCATATGCTTTGTGTTCTTTATCCTGCTGATATGATATATTAAACTGATTGACTTTTGGTTGGTAAACCAATCTTGCACTACTGTGATAGATTCCACTTGGCCATGGCATGTAATTATCTTTATTTGTTACTGGATTTGGTTTGATAGAAAGTTGTTGAGAATTTTGCATTTATATTCATAAGAGATAATGATCTGGGCCTGCCATGGTGTCTCATGCCTGTAATCCCAGCACTTTGGGAGGCTGAGGCAGGCGGATCACTTGACGTCATGGGTTTGAGACTAGCCTGGCCAACACGGTGAAACCCTGTCTCTACTAAAAATACAAAATTAGCCAGGCGTGGTGGTGCACACTTGTAATCCCAGCTACTCGGGAGGCTGAGGCAGGAAAATTGCTTGAACCGGGAGGCAGAGGTTGCAGTTGGCCAAGATCACTGCACTGCACTCCAGCCTGGGCCACAGAGAGAGACTCAGTCTCAAAAAAAAAAAAAAAAAAGAGAGAGAGAGAGAGATAATGGTCTGTAGTTGATACACCATACTTTCAATATAAACTTGTAGGAAGGCTGGGCGCGGTGGCTCACACCTGTAATCCCAGCACTTTGTGAGGCCGAGGCGGGCGGGTCACCAGGTCAGGAGATCGAGACCATCCTGGCTAACATGGTGAAACCCCGTCTCTACTAAAAATACAAAACAAAATTAGCCAGACATGGTGGCAGGTGCCTGTAGTCCCAGTTACTTGGGAGGCTGAGGCAGGAGAATGGTGTGAACCTGGGAGGTGGAGCTTGCAGTGAGCCACTGCACTCCAGCCTGGGCGACAGAGTGAGACTCCATCTCAACAACAAAAAAACAAAAAACAAAAAACCTGTAGGAAAACCATGTCCTAAAAATTTTGAGCGCCCATCTAAAACTTTAATTTGGGAAGACTGTGTTAACTTACATGCAGTAGTATTAAAAAATGACTCGTGGTTTAATAATAGACTGGGCACCAAAGGGCTATTCAAAAAACAATTGCTCCTCTGGCAGAAGGGAATGTCTGGAGGCTACTTATTTTATTTCTTACTGGGAGGACAAGGATCATCATCCTATTTTGCATAGAAGGTTCCGCTCGTTCTTTCCCTTAAAATGGGAAGATAAGGGCATTACCCCCAGAGGCCTTGTATGATATTCCCCATTCTGAGCCCAGAACACCCAGACCTTTGGAAATTGGCTATTGCCATGTCCGGACTGCGAGTATGGGAAGGGGAAACTTTTCTGTCTGTTGTCCCCACTACCACCCCTCACATCCGTGATTCTGACCACCAAGATAAATCCCCTTTGAATCCTTTTCCTCTTTTTGATGCCAATACCCCTTTATGGGACTTCAATTGGCATTATGATAATTCTTCTCAACCCAGGTATGCCCCTCTACTTCTTTGGCATCCCCAGGCACCTTGGATTGCTTCTTTACGGCAGAGAACATCAGGCATTGCCACCGCCGCTCCTCTCCCTATCAATGTACATTCAAACATTATGCTTTGTTTACCTCCAACCTGACTCTTCCTATATAGAGTTGTGTTAAGCCTCCTTACATGCTATTAGTGGGAAATATCAAAATTTGGACAAACAATCAAACTGTCCAATGCATTACCTGTCATTTATACACTTGTATTAACTCCCGTTTTGACTCCAGGAAAAGTACAATGTTGGTTCGAGTTCAAGAAGGAATCTGGATATCGGTAACTTTACCCAGACCTGGGAATCTTCCCCCTCAGTACATTTAATTAATGAAGTGTTACAACGAATTCTCAAAAGATCTAAGAGATTTGTTTTCACTTTAATCACTGTGATCATGGGCCTAATTACAGTCATTACACTGGCCACCACTGCCAGAATGGCATTACATCAATCTATTCAAACAGCTCATTTTGTTAATGATTGGCAAGCCAATTCCACCCAAATGTGGAATTCTCAACAAGGCATTGATCAAAAATTGGCTAATCAAATTAATGATTTAAGACAGTCTGTTATTTGGCTTGGGGATCGGCTAATGAGTCTCAAACATCGCATGCAAATGCAGTGCGATTGGAATACTTCTGATTTCTGTATCACACCATATTCCTACAACAAGACTGATCATTAATGGGAAATGGTCAAAGGACACCTTCTGGGTAGGGAAGATAATTTATCCTTGGACATAACTAAATTAAAGAAACAAATTTTTGAAGGCTCTCAAGCTCATTTATCCATTGTGCCTGGAGCTGAGGCGTTAGATCAGGTGGCACAAAGTCTTTCTGGACTAAACCCCACGACTTGGATTAAGTCTATGGGGAGCTCCACTGTAGTAAATTTTGGAATTATGTTTCTCTGTTTAATCGGCTTGTTTTTAGTGTGCTGGACCAGTCAAAGAATCCTGCGTCAAAACCAAGAAAACGAACAAGCCTTCAGCACCATGGCACATTTATATAAAAAGAAAGGGAGAGATGTTGCGAGAAATCAGGGACCCCGAATGGAGGGACCAGCTGGAGCCGTGGCAGAGGAACATAAACTGTGAAGATTTCATTTTAATATGGACATATATCAGTTCCCAAATAATACTTTTATAATTTCTTACACCTGTTTTTACTTCAATCTCTGAACATAAATTGTGAAGATTTCATGGACATTTATCTGGACATTTATCAGTTTCCAAATAATACTCTTATAATTTCTTATACGTGTCTTAATCTCTTGATCCTGTTATCTTTGTAAGATGAGGATGTACATCACCTCAGGACCACTATGATATTTGTATTAACTGTACAAATTGATTGTAAAACGTGTGTTTGAACAATATGAAATCAGTGCACCTTGAAAAAGAACAGAATAACAGTGATTTTCAAGGAACAAGGGAAGATAACTATAAGGTCTGACTGCCTGCAGGGTTGGGCAAAATAGAGCCATATTTTTCTTCTTGCAGAGAGCCTACAAACGGACGTGCAAGTAGGGACAATATCGCTAAATTCTTTTCCTAGCAAGGAATATTAGTAATTAATACCCTGGGGAAGGAATGCATTCCTGGGGTGAGGTCTATAAATGGCCACTCTGGGAGTGTCTGTCTTATGCAGTTGAGATAAGGACTGAAATACGCCCTGGTCTCCTGCAGTACCCTCAGGCATACTAGGACTGGGAAACTCCACCCTGGTAAATTTGTGGTCAGACCGGTTCTC
This sequence comes from Homo sapiens, assembly GCF_000001405.40. Classification (NCBI taxonomy): domain Eukaryota; kingdom Metazoa; phylum Chordata; class Mammalia; order Primates; family Hominidae; genus Homo; species Homo sapiens. The sequence continues at coordinate 90,953,826 of NC_000014.9, forward strand.
TGCTCTCAAACCCTGTTTTCTTTTGTTTAAGATGTTTATCAAGACAATACATGCACAGCTGAACACAGACCCTTATCAGTAGTTCTGAGTTTGCCCTTGTCCTGTTTCCTCAAAAGCATGTGATCTTTGTTCTCCTTTTTGCCCTTTGAAGCATGTGATCTTTGTGACCTACTCCCTTTTCTAACACCCCCTCCCCTTTTGAAATCCTTAAAACTTGCTGGCTTTAAGGCTCAGGTGGGCATCACGGTCCTACCGATATGTGATGTCACCCCCAGAGGCCCAGCTGTAAAATTCCTCTCTTTGTTCTCTTTCTCTTTATTTCTCAGCCAGTCAACACTTATGGAAAATAGAAAGAGCCTACATTGAAATATTGGGGACAGGTTCCCCCGTTATTCTTGTGATGTTTTTATCTGCAGTTGGTATTGGCATAATACTGGCCTCATAAGATAAGTTAGTGTTTCTTTCTCCTCTATGTTTTGGAAGAGTTTGTGAAGAACTGGTAATTCTTCTTTAAATGTTTGGTAACATTTACTAGTGAAGCCATCTGGGGCTGGGCTTTTCTTTGTGTGTAGTTTTGTTTGTTTTTTGTTTCATTTTGTTTTGTTTGAGAGAAAGTCTCCCTCTGTCACCCAGACTGGAGTGCAGTGGCATGATCTCAGCTCCCTGAAACCTCCGCCTCCCGGGTTCAAGTGATTCTCCTGCCTCAGCATCCCAAGTAGCTGGGCTTACAGGCGCCCATCACCAGGCCCAGTTAATTTTTGTATTTTTAGTAGACAGGAGGTTTCACCATGTTAGCCAGGCTGTTCTTGAACTCCTGACCTCAAGTGATCCAGCTGCCTCAGCCTCCCCAAGTGCTGGGATTGCAGGCATGAGCCACCGTACTAGGCCTGTGGGTAGTGGTGGTGGTGGTGGTAACAGTAGCAATAGTTCAATTTCTTTACTTGTCTATTCAGAAGTTGTATTTCTTGAGTAAGTTCTAGTAGTTTGTGTCTTTCCTGGAATGTCTTTATTTCATATAAGTTATCCAACATGAAATAACATAAATAACAAAACTGTATGTTGGTATACAGTTGTTCATGATGATCCTTTCTAATTCTGTAAGGTCAATAGTAATGTCCTTTCTTTCATTCTTGATTTTGCCAATTTGAGTCTTCTTTTTTCCTGGTCAGTCTACCCAAGGTTTGTCAATTTGTTGATCATCTCAAAAGAATAATCTTTTGGTTTCATTGATTTTCTCTTGTTTTCATATTCCATATTTGACTAATTTCTAATCTTTGTTATGTCCCTCCTTTCTGGTTGCTTTTGGTTGAGTTTGCTTCTTTTTATGTATCTTAAGGTGGAAGACTGGGTTACTGATTTCAAATGTTTCTTGCTTTTTTAATTTTAGCTTCATTCTGTAAGTTTTAGTATGTAGTGTCTTCATTGTCTCTTATTGAAACAATTTTCTTTTTTTAAATCTAGAGACAAGGTCTCACTCTGACACCCAGGCTGCAGTGCAGTGGTGTGATCATAGCTTACTGCAGCTTCTAACTTCTGAGCTCAAGAGATTTTCCTGAGTAGCTAGGATTACAGGTGTGTGCCACCATGCCTGGCTAAAATTATTTTTTTGTGGAGACGGGGTCTCACACTTTGTTGCCCAGGCTGTCAAAAAGTATTTTTTTATTTCTCTTATTTCATCTTTGACATATTGGATATTTAGGAGTACATTGTTTCCTATGGTTGTGAATATCCCAAATTTCTTTTTGTTATTGATTTCTTTTCTCATTCCATTGTGGAGAGGAAACATAATTTTTATGATTTTAATGTTTTAAAATTAATTTCTTTAAAAATGGGCTGGCATATGATCTACCCTAGAGAATGTTGCATCTGTATATATATCCTGCAATTACTATTTAGAGTTCTATAGATGTCTATTATGCCTAGGTGGTTTATTGTGTTGTTTGGGTCTTCTGTTTCCTTGCTGAATCTTTTTGCATTATTGAGAATGGGATATTATTGCTGAATTGTCTATTTCTTCCTCCATTTCTTTCAGTTTTTGCTTTATGTATTTTGGATCTATGTTGTTAGGTACATCCACGTTAGGCTCTATATTGTTAGGCCCTTGATCTCTGTGGGTTCTGCATCCACTGATTCAACCAACCATGGGTCAAAAATATTCAGAAATGTAACAATACAACCATAGAAAATAATGCAAAGAAAAAACCGTTTAACAACTATTTATATACCATTTACACTGTATTAAGTATCAGAAGTAATACAGAGATGACAAAGTATACAGGGGGATGCATATAAGTTACATGCAAATATTATCCCATTTAATATAACAAACTTGAACATCTGAAGTTTTTTTTTATCCGTAGGGTGTCCTGGAACCAATTCCCTGCAGATAATGAGGGATAATGATATATATTTATAACCAATCTTCATGGATTGGCCTTTTTTTATCATTAGGAAGTGTCCTTTTAAATCTCTACTAGCATTTAAAAATATCTGTTTTGTCTGATATTAGCATAATCACTCCAGCTTTCTTGTGGTTGCTGTTTCCACAGTTTATCTTTTTAATCATTTTTCCCTTTAATCTATTTGTACCTTTGATAGTGTATCTTTTGTAAACAGCACATAGTGAGATCTCCCCCAGTCTGACAATCTCTGCCTTTTGATTAAAATGTTTAATCCATTCACATTTATTGTTATTAACATAATATCTGCAATTTTACTTTTTTGTTTTCTATATATCTCATATCTTTTTTGTTCCTCTAGTCTAGTCTTTCTTTATCCTTTTTTTGTTAACTGAATATTTTCTAGTGCAACATTTTAATTCCTTTAATACTTTCTCATTTTACTTTTTTTTTTTACTTATTTTCTTAGTGGTTGCTCTGCAACTTGCCATACAATATTAACTTATCATAACAGCTTTGGGTTTATACCAACTTCTGGTTATATATAGAAACATTAATTCTATATATCTATATTCTCTTCCCCTTTTGTGCTATTATTGTAACATACAGTACAACTACATATGTTGAAAACCTAATATTACTATATATAATTTTGTCTTTCAAAGAAGCTGAGACAAGATAGAAGGGGAAATACATACTTGTAGTTTGTTATATTAGCCTTCCTACTTACTGTTTTTCTGTTTTTTTTTTTTTTTTTTTTTCCCAGTGAATTCGAGTTATAATCTGATTCCAACCCCCTACTTCCATCCCCAACCCTGGTGTTTTGTTTCAGTGTTTTTTGTTTTGTTTTGTTTTTTTGAGACAGAGTCTCACTCTGTCACCCACACTGAAGTACAGTGGCACAAACTCAGCTCACTGCAACCTCCGCCTCCTGGGTTCAAGCGATTCTTGCGCCTCAGCCTTCTCAGTAGCAGGAATTACAGGTGCACACCACCATGCCTGGGTAATTTTTGTATTTTTAGTAGAGACAGGGTTTCGCCATGTTGGCCAGGCTGCTCTCAAACTGCTGGCCTCTCGTGATCTGCCTCCCATGGCCTCCCAAAGTGCTGGGATTACCGTCATGAGCCACTGCACCTAGCCTGTTTTTATAGTTATTTTTTCTTTATTTAATAACTTGGCTTGACTATTTTAGTAAAGTATTTTATCTGCAGTGTGAAGCCTCCAATGTTGCTCCTCAGAGAGCAGAACCTTGGGCATTCGAACAATGGTTCTAGCAGGGCTCTCTTTGCACTTTCTTTCCCTGATCTGTTAGGCTGTCTGCCTCTTGCTGGTATTACACCCAGCTGTTAGGACCCACTAATTGCTGGCTGGTCGCTATTTTGTTTTCAATAATGCTCTGGAGCATAAATTACTCCATGGTCTAGTCCAATAAATTCAGGCCCATTTGCAGGAGTAGCTTTTGAGGACAGTGTTTAAAGTTTGTTCTGACCCCAGGAGGACCCTTCTTAGTTGTCCACATACGACAGAGTTAAGCTTGTTGCTCTAATGGAGCTACTGGCTTCCTCTTAAATTGCTTACCACCAAAATTTCCTTTGTTTTTTTTTTTTCCTTTTTCCAAAAGCACCCTTAGTTTTAGGTCAGGTGTGGTGACTCATGCATGAAATCTCAGCACTTGGAAAGGCCGAGGTAGAAGGATAGCTTGAGGCCAGGAGTTTGAGACAAACCCAGGCAACACAGCCAGACCTCTTCCCTAGAAAAAAAATAAAAATAAAAAATAAAAATAGCCAGGCATGTAGTTCCAGTTACTCAGGAGGCTGAGCCAGGAGGATCGCTTGAGCCCAGGAGGTCAAGGCTGCAGTGAACCATGAACCATGACTGTGCTACTGCACTCCAGCCTGGGCAACAGAGTGAAACCCTGTCTCAAGATAATAATAATAATAATGAATAAAGAATTAGATGGGGCTATTTGAGTTCCTTTATATTTGCATAGGAATTTTACAGTCAGTTTGCCAATCTCTACAAAAAAGTCTGCTTGGATTTTTATTTGGAAAATTTTGCATCCATAGTTCAACTTAGGAGAACTGACATTTTTTAAATATTGCGTTTTCCAACCCATAAATATGGTGTATCTCCAATAATCAGTTTTCTTTCATTTCTCTTAGCAACGCATTATAATCTACAGAATAAGACTCCTACTTCTGGACTACATTTTGATCTCTGATTTTGCATATCCTTAGAAAGGAATATTTTTATCTTTAGAAAGGAAGACTGATGCAGTAGATAAGCACATCTTTGGTGTCAGAAAGTCCAAAAATCTTAGCTATACCTTTTATCAATTGTGTGACTTTGAGCAAGATGTTTAATCTCTCTGAATCTAAATCTGTGTTTTAAAAGAATATATCTTCCTAAGGTTTGTTCATTTTATTCAACAGATATCTGAGCTCTTATTATGCATCAGCCTCTCTTCTAGGCACTGCACACACAGCATTGAAAAAACAGACAAAAATCTCCAACCTAGTGAAGCTTGCATTCCAGTGAGGATCCTAGTGAAGCTTGCATTCCATTCAGGAAAAAAAAATAAGTAAATTAGATATTATTAATGAGTTGGAAGGTCATGATTACTATGGAAAAAGTAGCATAGATACAAAGGTCTAGGGTAGAGATGAGGACTGTGTTTAAATAAGGATGGTTAGTATAGGCCTCAGCGAGGTGACTTTTGAGCAATGACTTTAAAAGGGCAAGAACATGAGCTGAGCACATATTTGAGGAAAGACTGTTCCAAGCAGAAGTAACATCCAGTACAAAGATCCTGAGGCAGTGCAGGCCTGGTGTATTTGAAGGTCATAAAGGAGATCAAGTGGCTAGAACAGAGTGAATGAGGGAGAAGCAGTAGGAGAGTCGAGGTCACAGAAGTAACTGAATTAGGGGGGTGGGGCAGATTGTACAGGGCTTATGGACCTTTACTGGAGCCGTAGTGTACATCATCTACTGCACAACATATTGTCATCTATGTGAACAGTTGCCCTTGCGGCTGTGCAGCACAGAGGCCCTGGCCATCATCTTTTACTGTGAATGAAATGGGAAGACTCTGCAGAGTTCTGAGTAGGATAGTAGTGTGATATGACTTTCATTTTAATAGGAGCAATGACTCTGGCTACTGTATTGAGAATAGAAAGGGTAGAAGTAGGGAGATCACTCGCAATAATAAATAAGGTAATAATGCAAGAGATGACTGGCTAGGAGGAAGGTGACAACAGTAGTAGTGATAAGGACTCAGCATAACTGAGCAACTAAAGAGATGGAGTGGGTGTTACCTGAGATGAGTAAGGATGGGGGAAGAACAGGTTTGGAAGGGGCTATCCAGAGTTCATTTTGGATATGAAGAATGAAGAGTGCCTGACTAATAGTACAAGCTAAATAAATGGTAGTCATCACCACCACCATCTTGTGGCCAGTTGTAGAGCATTAAGAGTAGCTTCCATGAACCATGGTGAAAGCGCTTCGTGCTAATTCCTTGAAATTATGTAAACTGTTTGGGTATATGTAGGCCTACATGCATTCTTCTGAGAAGAGAGAATCCACAGCTTTTGTGAGATTTGCCAAGGAGTTGTTAGCCAAAAATTTAAGGAACATCACCTTAAAGACAGCATTATAAATTTGAATGGAAAGGTTCCTATCAAGTTTATTTACAAACAAACCAGCAAGTACTGACAGCACATGGGAAACCTCTGAGAACAGGTGCCATAGCTCTGCCCTGAGAGCCCACACCACCAACTTGATCATGCCCAGCATGCCCACCAGTGCCACACTCCCTCTCAGCGTTTGGATTAGTTCTCCCTGAATTTTACCCCTGCTTGGCTTAACTATCCTAGAGATTCTTTGTATTCACATTTGGACCAGTGGGGTTCAGAGCTTAAGAAAAGTGAGACGGAGCAAGGGATTTTCATTTCAACAAGAGCTCTGACTACCGAGAATGTGCTAAAACTGCATCTCTGATGTCTTTACGCCTCTTTGTTTATCAAGAGATCTATCAACTCTGTTAGGATAGGGCTCGGGCATGCCCCTGAAAGTAAAAACAACTTAGCCAGGCAGCGAAACAACAAATAAGACAAAATATGTAAAAGACTATCAGGGATATCGTTAAATTTGAGTTGAATTTTCAAATTGTTATTCTCTCAAAAGGAATGTGGCGGATTCTGGGCTAGAGTTAGCAGTGGCATCAAAGTGGTCAGTGATATCATGACCACCCAGATCCTCACTGACATCTGAAAGGAGGAGTCTTCTCAGCTTTATAGCCTAAGGAAAACCTCCAGAGCTTTTAGATCCCCAGCCCCTTTTCAACTGGGCATAAATTACATTTCCTCATATAAAATACATATTAAATAGCTCAGGTAGAATAAAGCACTTGAAAACTGTCTACTGCTAGAATTTACGGTCCAATCTACCTGGTGGACTCTTGATCCATGCCAGCTTATCTACCCTGAATAACTTTTCTGCCAAAATTATGATCCATTAGATTTCTGAAAATTCCTTCTCAAGTCTCTGTCATTTCTTCCACAAAAAATTGTAAGCTTGAGCATTCTTGAATTTTTAAAGCCAATATTGTTTTTCTTCCCTTTATTATAAGAAAACTATCAGAAGATAGCATGAGATTGCTCAATTTTTATTGATACTCCTTCAGCTTTTTGTCTCTGTGGACATACAATGAAAATGGGCTAAGTGGTACTGTTCGTATACACTCCTGGCTACTGACGTTTGTACGGAAGTAGCGTAATAACCAGATAGGCAGGGGAAGTGGGAAAGGGCTCCCGACAGACAAGAATCCGGATGTAAAACAATGACTTGGGTGGCCCTCCTTAAAAGTTTGTATCTGAACACAGCCCACTGCTTCTGAGACCAAAGAATAACAATAGCAACTATAGATTTTAGGCACTTCTTTCATGCCTGTTCTAGTTAGATATGATGAATCTCATCCCAATAAATAATGCTATGAAGTAGGTACTATTAAAATAATCACATAATCCCCAGAGAAAATAGGAATCTCCAGAGAAAAGTAAAACTGAGAGTGGTTAAGTCAATTTTCCAGAGTTGTACATCTTATGAAGGGGGAGAGTAAGGATGATGAACGTGTCTGACTCTGAAGACAGTGGGTTTAGACGTTGTCTTAGAGCTGCTCTTTTCCCCTTTCCAACTTGGCTTTCCCGCTGCTTTTGAGGAGCAGCCTCATCAGGCAGTCGGACTTGATAATTTTTGTCAGAAATATTGCCTTAAGATCAACTATTCTTTGGAAGACAGCTTCCAAGTATTTAAATGACTTAGAACCAATAATTCTATATATCTTATATAATTTTGCAGTCTTACATGCTTTTTCCAGTTAAATTTTGGAGGGCTCATCTGAATGTCACAGTAATCAAAAGTAGACATTCTATGTCTACTGAGATTTTTTTTTTAATGGCTACAGTAAACAATCAGTTTAAATCTTTTTTTAGACTGCCAAGCTAAAATTATCGCTCATAGATTTTATGGCACAGAACTTAAGGACAGCAATTTACATCTTGCAGTAGTGAACCCTGGGCTGTTTTCTCAAAAAAAGTACTGTACCTTGAATGGAGGAATATCTACAACCTTGCAAAAAGTTCCTTAATTTTTCCTAAGAGGTTATCATTTTAACCCACCTGGCTGTTAAGGCAGAGGATCTGAATTTGGCAACATAGAAGAGCTACATTCATGGTTCTTGCCAGAGATTAGAACCTCAAAGTATCTGCAGACCAAATATCATTAAATGTTCAGTTGTTAGAAATAATACATATAAAGGACAATGCATATGATCAATACATCTCTCTTGATACACTATATTATGACTTTGGACCAAGAGCAGCAGAAAGCTATAAACACAGATTACACTGTTTTGGAAAAATTATACTCTCCCCTTGTGTTCCACGGGCTTACATTATGAAGCCTGAAGAGTGGCATGAAACTTCTTATTATTGTTAGTCTAGGAAGTACATAGTGGCTCCTAAATGAAGCCCTATTAAAGAATTTTTTCCTAAGGGTTTTTTTTTACAAAAAACTTATCTTGGCACAGTTTTTTTTTTTTGAGACAGAGTCTCACTCTCTTGCCCAGGCTGGAGTGCAGTGGCACTATCACAGCTCACTGCAGCCTTGACTTCCTGGGCTCAAATGATCCTCCTGCCTCAGCCTCCCAAGTAGCTGGGACTATAGGTGCAAAATTTTGTACTTTTAGTAGAGACAGGGTTTCGCCATGTTAGCCTGGCTGGTCTCGAACTCCTGACTTCAGGTGATCTGCCCTCCTTGGCCTCCCAAAGTGCTGGGATTGCAGGAGTGAGCCACCATGCCCGGCCTAGATTTTTTTTTTTTTTGAGATAGGGTCTCGCTCTGTTGCCTAGGCTGGAGTGCAGTATGAACCCTGGGCGGTTTTCTCGAAAAAAGTACTGTACCTTTAACGTAGTACAAAATTTTGGCACGATTCCAAAATTGTAAGAACAATACAAAGAATCCCTATATGCTCATTATGAAAATTCACTAATTGTTTACATTTTGTTTAATTTGCTTTAGCATTCTTTCTGTTTTCATATATGTGCATATTTTTCCTGAACCAGCTGAGAATACGTTGGAGATATCGTGCTCCTCTACTCCTAAACATTTCAGTGTACATTTCCTAAGAACTAGGACATTCCTGCATATAACCACAGTATAATTGTAAATATCAGAGCCATTAACCACGATAAAAATACCATTTCCTAATTTGCATTCCCTATTCAAATTTGGCCATTTACCCCAATAATGCTCTTTGTGGCTACTTTTTTCCAGTCCAATTTCTAGTTCAATTTCATACAACGCATTAGAAATCACATCTCTTTAGTCTGGAATCCATGGTCTTTCTTTCTTGGTATCTTTGAAGAGGACAGACCTGATATTTTGTGGACTAACTCTGAATCTGGGTTTTATCTTTTGTTTTCTCATGATGCAGGTTATGTATTCTTGGAAGGAATAGCAATAAAATGATGTTACCCTCACTACGACATCTCAGGAAGCACGGATGTTAGTTTACCCAACATTGGTGTTAACTTTGAGAACATCATTAATGTGGAGTCACTAAAGTGGAGTTTGCCACGTTTCTCCACTATGAAGTTACTATGTTTCCCTTTATAATTAACTGGTAAATTTTAGGGAGAGGAATTGAGACTATGTAAAAATCTCCTCCTCCTCATGTCACCCACTCATTTTAGCATCAAGTGATGATTTTCCAACTCCATCATTCCTCTATGTTAGTTGGCATTCTCCCATAAGGAAGAGCTTTCCCTTCGCCCCCAATTTATTGCACTTTCTTACTTTCTAGCATAACAAGATGTTCTAGTTTCATCTTGTACTTTTCAAGGCTTTATTTTAATATCACCACCACTCATGGATCACTATCTGCCAGGGGCGATACGACACACTTTACATAGATCATTCCATTTAAGCCAATCAACTCCAGGTAAATGGGATAGCAGAGTATCAGAGAGATTAGGCGACTTGCCTAGGATCCTGCAGCTAGGATATATTGAAACCCAGCAACCCAGAGTTGAGCCAAGTTACTACTTAAGTGAAACAGAGAAAAATACATGTTCACCGAGGAGTAGATTATTTGGCTTGGCTGGTGCACAGGTATCAGAGCACAGTAGTGGGAGACTGGGAGGGAAAGACAAGCTGAGGCTGGGGTCAGATTGTTTTGAGAGCCTTACAATGGACTTTAGAATATATCCTCTTCAAGTAAATGGAAGTCACTGAGAGACGTCAAGCAGTGGAGTGACCCAATCATGGCTGTGTCGTAGGAAGACTAATCAAATATTAATGTAAAAAACGGACTGGAAAGGATTGAAAGGGGTCAAAAAATAGACATTAGCACTATTTCTAATTTTCTGATAATAAAAATAATGCTGCTTCTCCTGATAAAACAAAGAAGGCAACACATGTGGCTAAGCTGTGTATAGCAATCAAGTCGCATGGCTCCTGCACATACCGGCTATGTAGCCTTGGGCGCCTTTTTTTATTCCCTGAGCCTCAGATACCTCATCTATAAAACAAAGATGATAATCTATTTCTTCAAGGGTTGCTTTCAAAGACTGAAAAAAATAATATATAAAAAAATGCCAAGAGTAGTGTCTGATAACAAATAAGTACTACAAAACATAAATATTACAATAAAAATATTTGCCACCTTCATCTAAAATGCTTTTTGACTGTGAGCACAGAAGTGTAGGATTTTCTGGCCTACAGACAACCTTAGTTTGTACTGACATTCTCATTCTAGTAATAGTGCCACAAGAAACAACCTTGTACATATTTTTTATCTACTTAGGCAGGCATAAATTGGTAGGATGGATTCCTAAAATTTGATTGCTGAGGCTGCATGTGGTGGCTCACATCTGTAATCACAGCACTTTGGGAGACTGAGATGGGAGGATCACTTGAGCCCAGGAGTTCACAACCAGCCTGGGCAACATAGTGAGGCTCTGACTTTGCAAAATACAAAAAAATTTAGCCAGGAGTGGTGGTGTGCACCTATAGTCCCAGCTACTTGGGAGGCTGAGGCAGGAAGATCATTTGAGCCCAGGAAGTCAAGGCTGCAGTGGGCCATGATAGTGCCACTGCACTCCAGCCTTGGCAAGAGAGTGAGACCCTGTCTCAAAAAAAAAAAAAAAAAAAAACCAAAAAACCAAAACAAACAAACAAACAAACAAACTTGGATTGGCAAGTCACAACAAACATACATATTAAATTTTGATAACTGTTGCCAATTTTTGGTAAGTACCTCCAAAAAAAGGCTGAAGCCATTTATATCACCCACCAACAGTGAGTAAATACCTCTTAAAAAGTTCTCGTATCGGCTGGGCGCTGTGGCTCATGCCTGTAATCCCAGCACTTTGTAAGGCAGGCAGATCACGAGGTCAGGTCGAGACCAGCCTGGCCAACAGGGTGAAACCCAGTCTCTACTACAAATACAAAAATCAGCTGGGCGTGGTGATGGGCACCTGTAATCCCAGGTACTCGGGAGGCTGAGGCTTGAACCTGGGAGGTGGAGATTGCAGTGAGCCGAGATCGCACCATGGCACTACAGCCTGAGCGACAGAGCGAGACTCTGTCTCAACAAAAAAAAAGTTCTCATATCAAATACCTTAAATTTTTGCCAATCTGACATACATTTCCAAGATACAGAGGATTTTAAGGTGCAAAAGAAAGGAGAAAGGAAGAAAACTTGAGAGCTTGTAGCAACTGGACCTGATCATCTCAGACAGAGAGGAAGACAGTAATGGGATTGTGGGTTTGAGAAGTAATAAGAGGCTGGGAAAGTTCACATGCAGTTCACGAGAGAGGGGTAAAATGCTCACTAACCTGTGAAGCTCTGCTGAGACTGACAGCATGGGTTTCATGCCAGACCCAGGTGACACATTTTGTTGACACACGAGGAAAGCTTAGCAATCTAGTATTGGGAAGACAAGTTCAGAGAATAATCAAAGTGACTGCAATGTCAGGCAAGGAGGAAGGTGAAGAGGGCAAGCAATGCCAGTGTGCCAGCCAAGGCAGATTCTAGGTTAGTAAGGGTGCAGATGGAACCCAAAGGAAGTAGGAGAATAGGAAAGGCTCAAAAGAAGGTAGGGCTCAGAGGGGATTTAAAAAATGCTCGGGGAGTATGAGAAAGGAAAATGATGGAAGATTATGGTTAAAGACTTTGAGGTCTTAGAGGTGCAACTGGTTTGACTGATAAGGCCTAATGTGCAGCTATACTTGTAAATGAAGCAAAAGAAGTGAAAGAGGTTTGGCATGGTATTGAACTGGTTATCAATACTGGTACTAAAGTTGTAGAAAGTGATGGGAGGAAACTGGAGGAAAGGGAAACTACGTCTGATGAATGTCACTGGAAACGCAGATATGTGTCCTGGGAGTCAATTAGCTACAGAATTGAGGGAAGTGGCTTAGAAAAGCTCTTTGAAAAACAAGACTCTGTTGAGAAATGATTTTTTAAAATGATGTTTAACTATCATCATGTTGTTGAGTACAGGAAGGTGGTCTTCTGTGACAGGGGCTGCTAGAGAAGCAACATCCTCCAAAAACAGAAGGTTTTACTTTAGAGGAAAGGATAAATAAAGCATTTCAGGAGTTTATGCACACAGTTACTCATAGAATACTAACCCTTTCTGTTAGTAGAGGAAGATGAAGAGATGTTTGAGTAGGGGGAAGAACACAAAATTCCTAAAGACATAAAAAATATCTCCAAAGCTTCTAAAATAGTAGGCACATACAAAATTAAGCTTTAGAGAGTACAGTGTACCAACGGAGTCATACCTCTTTATTTACATATTGTACATTTTATTCTAAAAGCTAATTTACATGTATTCTGCCAGAAAGTCAAGTTGGGATCTGGCACCAAAGAGGCAGACTAAAGTCCAAGGACAATTTTCTCTCTGCCAGGCACAGGGTCTAGCCCTATCGAATACAAGGCACTAATACTAGTTGCAAGGAATGAGTAAACATGTAATATTGCAGTAACTAACTGCCGTAGCCACATAAGTATTAAGGTAGATTCTTCATCTTAAGTTTCAGCATTGATAAAGAGTAGAAAGAAATAGAAAAGAAGAGAGAAAGCAAAAGAGAACTGGTAATAACAGTAAGAACATCTTTCTTGATGGGCATGTCTCAAGTTCTGAGCTCTTCCAAGAGATAAATTCAGGATAAGTCTTCAGACTTATTCTGTTTACAACTGAAGAACAAAAGAAAACTATCAATAGTCCATCTTTATGACAATAATTAAAAATAAATAGGTAGGGCTAACTCTAATACATGTTCTCAGAAGCTGTCAGGCAAATTTCATTAATGTGACCCTTCCAAAAAACATTTATCATCCCATTGAAATTGACTTACAGTCCATACAATGGAATACCTTATATGATCCTTGTGCCAATGATTTGTTTCTTGATTAAAAGAAATGTCATGTAAATGATTATATCTTAATTCCTTTGTATTTCTTAAATGGTCTTCTTTATATGTAGGATGACTAATATTCTATAACTGCAAAATATTAATATAAATAATTCTAACTTCCACATAAGATTGTCATGAGGATTAAATGAGCTACTGAGGATTATGAGCCAGGCATACAGTAGGCATTTGTTAAATAATAACTAATAGCTCCTATTATTATTTACAGGCATCAGTTACAATTTATAGACTTGAAAAATACTGTCAAGCTTAATTATAATGACTTAAATATAAAAATCAAATTTATTGTGCCCTGACTTACATACTCAATGTGGTCATAATTTTAAGACTTATGAATGTTTAACATATATTTCCATAAAGTACTACCAGGGTCTAATTACTTAGTATTAAGCTAAAGAGAGATTTTCTTATATAACTGATATTTCAGTGCAATCCTAAGTTTTAAAATTGCAGAGATATCTGGTTTTTATTCAAGTGCAATTAACTTGCTTTTAAAGATTTTTATGTTCTGGTATTTGGAATGCCAGATGAAGCACTCTGATACTGTGTCTCTAAGAAGCATAAAAATAACACAGAAATCACACAAATAATGTGAAAATTCAAAAACATAAAATTTCTCCCATTTTAAAACACACTACCATCCTCCCTAAATCCCACGTGTCCCATCTTGTCTTTCTTCTTTATTTTACTGCCAAACTTCTTTAAAGCGTGGTCTACATGGCTGATGCTCCTTACCCACTGTTCCCTTCATATTGCTGCTATAGGAAGTTACCACAGACTTAGTGGCGTAAACACTATGAATTTATTATTTTATAATTTTGTACACTCGAAGTCTGACATGGACATCACTGGACTAAAATCAAGGTGTCAGCAGGACTGCGTTTCTTCTGGGGCTCCAGGGAAAAATCTGTTTCCTGGCCTTTTCTAGCTTCTAGATACAGGCCACCCACATTCCTTGGCTTCTGGTCCCTTCCCTCATCCTAAAAGGCAGCTATGGCAGCTGAGTCACTTCTCACATTGCATCACCTGACCTTCTCTGTAGACACATCTCCCTCTCACCCTCCTCTCTCCTCCCTCCCTCCCTCTTCCTATTGTGTAAGGACCCTTGTGGTTACATTGGCCCCACACCAGATAATTCAGAATAATCTCTCAATTTTAGAGTCAGCTGATTAGTGGTCTTAATTTCATCTGTAATCTTAATTCTTCTTTACCATGTAGCTCAACATACTGACAGGTCCTGGGGGATTAGAATGTGGGCATCTCTGGGAGGACATTATTCAGTCTACCACAGCCTCTATTCATTCCTTAACATACTACAGTACAACTTCTACCTCCATGATAACACCATAACTTAAAGCTAAAAATAACCTCTTGTTACTAGAGTCAATGAATACTTTTCAGTCCTCATATTACTTAACTTTATGCCCTTTGCAAAGGGCAAAAAGGAAAAGAGTGTTTCAAAGGCAGCAAAATAGCACAAAAACTGCCTCTATGGATCAGCCCAAATTGAGCCCCTCAAAAATGGTTATGTTAACCCACTGAATTTTGGGTTAGTTATGCAGAAAAAGACAACTGATATATTAGCAACTTGTAGATCATGCTTATAACTTAAGTGTCTTGTTCAAGATCACACAGTTAATAACCAAAACAATCTTTTTATTTTAGCAGAATAATAGCCCTTTAATTTAGGTCACACATCTTTCATATTAGGAAAACAATTTATATTTCATTTCAATGACACATAATTTATGCAGATATTTAACAGTAGCAAGTAGATTTCACTTTGTTATTATGAAATAATATTTCCTTCTTGGATTCAGAATAGCAAGCCGTGTGTGTGTATGTGTGTTTGTATGTATATGGAAAGGCAGGTAGAGAATGGAGGAGAGAAAAATAGCCTTTAAACCAGTAAATTTGTTTCTTAAAACAGTAAATTAATTCTGAGAATTTGAACTGAAGATCTCTACAAAATTTCCAAGATTCTTAAGCAACTCATATCATTCTGACAATTAATACCTTATGGAATTAACGTTAGGGTAAAACAGCACGTGCTCTCCATCAAAATTCTGACTTTCTAAGTACATACTGTTGCACAGTTTCAGGCTGCTCGTCTTTGCACATCTGATTTGACTTAACGTTGAACTCAGAAATCTCTCCATTGTTCTGCAGTTCATACACTTTTATTAGCAGATGGAGAAAGTGAAATTCACAGAGACATTGGGTTACATAAGCTTTAAAGTATTACTAAAAACTACAGCCTAAATAGCCCATTTTCCATTTAAGATGCAAAAGGATAACCACAGAAAGGGCTAGCAAGCTTATTTTAAGGCTATGTCTTGCTCGTGCAATTGCATGGAAGTCAGCTTGTAGGAGGGGAAGTCGTAGAGTTAACAGAAATCCTACATCTCCTGCTTTCAAGGAAAGATTCTGTTCTGCTTTCACTCTCCAAACACCCAAACACCTACTTATTTCCAGTAATACTCTGGCTGACCTCTAGACATCTAAGCTTTCTATTTCAAATTCTCCTACTTAGAATTTCTCTCTCTCATATTTCTTCTTAAATGGTGGCACCTTCCAAAGAGCTGTTATTAATTCCCACATGCCCCCTATGATTCAGACCACTTCTCTCTTTTTTTCTCTCTCTCTCTGCACTGTTACTTGGTCTTCTTTTTATTTTTTTTCCTACAAATTTTCCTCTTCCTTCTGATATGCTTCACTTCCATGAACTCCCATACCTCCTGTTCTCATTTCTACCTACTCTTTCTCCTCTGGACCACCCAAATCTCTCTTGATAGCTCCCTTTTCTTATCTTCTATCTAAAATATAGTCTTAACGTGACATGCCACACAAACCTGAAAGTCATTTCTTTTTAATGTCATGCCAAAACCATCTCAGTTTATTTTTGTTTGGTTTTAGCTCAACATTCTAATAGTACACTCTATAAATGCATTTCAGCTTATCAAAATCATTACAAAGTTCTGACTAAGAACATCTTATCAATCTTGTGAATTAGTCATATTTACTTCAAAGCAAGGAAGTGTTTTCAGTTACTGTCTGTTTCGTCATACTAGTGACTGTAATATATCATGAACCATTCTGTTACCATCTCAGCAATTACAATTATTGCTCACCCTTACAATTATTGAGATGAAACCAATACTCAAAAGTGAAACTTTAATTTTTAAATACCTCTTAACTCCATTGAAAGAATGACTCATGATCACAAAACTGTCTACAAGGCTGGGATGGCATTCATTATTGGGAATGATCCTTGGCATTACCTTTACAAACACTTTGGTGATTTGCTTATTTAACATCTTGTGAATTCTGATTAATGTAACAATTTATTACAGTCATAGATCAGCTGGTGTTTCAACAAAATCACCACTAACAGAAACCAGAAAACATCAAAAGAAAAATTATTTTTACAGATTATTTTCCACATAGAATTCCCTCTCAGTGTTAGTTGAAATAAATATGAGTTTTAAGAGAGAGAGAACAGATAAAAATATTTTTATATCTCTTGTTGTAACCATGCACAGGTACAGAAAAAGTTATAAAAGGAGACATGATCTCCACGTTACAAGATTTGGGAAAAGTAAAAGAAATATAAAGGGAAAAATCCACCAAATCCAATATCATTAGCTATAAATCAGAGGCTTAAAAGATATTAATGTTGTTGAATTAAAAAAAAAAACCAGAAATGTGACTTAACAATAGATAACTTTAAAGCAGGGGTCAACAAATTACAGACCAGAGGCCAAATCTGGTCCACCACCATTTTTGTAAATAAAATTTTATTGGAACTTGGGCCAGGCACGGTGGCTCATGCCTGGAATCCCAGCACTTTGGGAGGCCAGGGCGAGCAGATTACCGATGCCAGGAGTTCAAGACCAGCCTGGCCAGCATGGTGAAACCCTGTCCCTACTAAAAATACAGAAATTAGCCAGGTGAGGTGGCACATGCCTGTAAACCCAGCTACTCGGGAGGCTGAGGCAGGAGAATCGCTTGAACCTGGAAGGGAGAGGTTGCAATGAGCCGAGATCACGCCACTGCACTCCAGCCTAGGCGACAGTGAACTCCATCTCAAAAAGAAAAAAAAATTATTGGAACCCTACCATGCCTATTTATTCACTACTGCCTATGGTCAAAGAGACCTTAAGGCTTGCAAAGCCTAAAATATTTACCATCTAGCCCTTCACTGGTCAAAGTCCTGATGCCTGATTTACAAGATGACAGATACAATATAAATAAAGAGAAGGCAACTACCAGTAAATACAGCATATTGTAGGAAACAATCACACATACTCAGTTCAAGTAGAAATGCTAGTCTATTCCGTATCTGGTTACTAAAAGCAAAATGTCACAGGTAAGCAAATGGCAAGATAATACTAACATTGTAATAATCTTATCATTTGGAGAAGCCTGTGCAAACAAGGCGAATTTAATCCCAATGGAACAAGCCCCATCAAGAAGTCTACAGTGAGCCATAAATACTAGTAGGCACATGATGGCAGCCTAGACATGAATCTCCACATCTGCTCCTAAAACATCTTTAAAAACAGCAAGAAAAGCTGTAAACCTCCATGACCTACTCCTTCAGCAAAACTGAGAGAAAGAAAACCCATATACACCAAACAACATGGTTCAGGGCAGGCTAAGAAGGAACTGGGCAAGACATGAGCAATGTGGGAAGGTAGGAAAATGTAGTAAGATAGCAGGATATAGAACTAATATATAAAAGTAATAGCTTTCAGCTAGAAGGTATGGTGGAAGAGAAGACCCCATTTACAAAAGCAACAGATGACAGAATATCTAAGATTCAGTTAAGAAACATGGCTAGGAAGTAAATGCTAAAACACACCTGAAGGTCTTAGAAGGATTTCAACATCAGCAAACATACCATGTTCTTGAATTGGAATAACCAATATCATAAAAATGTCAAGTCTCCCTAAATTAATTTTTTAATTTACAGCAATTCCAGTGAAAATACCTTACGGTTTTTCCCCCCAAAACCAGACAATGTGATTCTAAAGTTCATGCTGAAAAATAAACCAACAGGAAGAGTCCTCCAAAAAGCTCTGAAAAATAAAGGCAATGAAAGATCAGGGGCAGAGGGCAACTAACCTTACCAAGAATTAAAATACATTGTAAAACCTTGATAAATTAAAACAGTATAGTACTGGTACATGACTTAACAAACCAAACAGAAAAAAATCAAATAGACCCAAACATATATGAGAATTTCATAGAGGAAAAAGGAAGCACCTCAACTCAATGTAAATGTGGACTTTTAACTAAACAGTGTTGGGAAAATTAGCTATTTGAAAAAGATTAAGTTGGATCCTTATTTCATGTCATACGCCATCCACATGGATCCAAGTTCTCTATGCAAAAAATAAAACCATGCAAGTACTGGAAGAAGACATCAGTTAATTCCTTTATAAACTCAGTAGAGGAGTAGAGGAGGTCTTCTGACTATGACTCAAAATCACAAGCCATAAAAATAATTTTAAAAATAAATTTTACTATACATAAATTTTTGCATGGTAAATGCATCATAACCAAACTCAAAAAAATACATGGGAAACGGGAAAGTATTTACAATGCCTACCAGAAATGATTAATTACTTTATGAGCTCCTAGAAATTGAGAGGAAAAAAAGAGGCAAAGGGTACAAATAGATAATTCTCAGAAAAAATACATATGGCTTTTTAAGCATGTGAAAAGATGTTCGGCCTCATTCAGTAAAGAAAAAAAGAAAATTAACTCTACAATGAGACACTACTACTCACCTATGAGACAGGCAAATGCCCAGAAGTTTGAGAATACGTTCTGTGGAGAAACAGGCACTCTCAAACAATGCTGATGGGAATGTAAAATGGTACAACTTCTATGGAAGTGTATTTGGCAAAATTAGAGATGGCAAAAAAGGATGGGTGTGGTGGCCCATGCCTGTCATCCCAGCACTTTTGGAGGCCGAGGTGGGCAGATCACTTGAGGTCAGGAGTTGGAGACCAGCCTAGCCAACATGGTGAAACCCTGTCTCTACTGAAAAAATACAAAAATTAGCCAGGTGTGGTGGCATGCATCTGTAGTCCCAGCTACTCAGGAGGCTGAGTCAGGAGAATCACTTGAACCCAGGAGGCAGAGGTTGCAGTGAGCCGAGATCAACATCACTGCGCTCCAGCCTGGGCAACAGAGCGAGACTCCATCTCGAAAAAAAAAAAAGAAGAGATGGTGAAAACACAGACCCAGCAATCTCCCTTCATCAAGCCTACAGGTTTTTTCCCCCAAACAAGTAGAAAATGACATACGTGCAAGTTATCCCTGAAGCATCCTCATAAGAAAAGATAATAAACAATAACCCAAGGATCCCTTCACAGGGAACCAGTTAAGTATACAATGGAATGGAACGAAGGACTGTGCAGGAATAAAAAAAAGAACAAGGAAAAGCTTTATGAATTATATGGTGTTCATATGTTATGTTACATTACAACCACGTTATATTATGTTAAAACCAGTATCAGGGCGGGCGTGGTGGTTCACGCCTGTAATCCCAGCACTTTGGGAGGCCAAGGCGTGCGGATCACCTGAGGGTCAGGAGTTCAAGACCAGCCTGGCCAACACAGTGAAACCCCGTCTCTACTAAAAATACAAAAATTAGCCAGGTGTGGTGGCAGGTGCCTATAATCCCAGCTACTCGGGAGGCTGAGGGAGGAGAATCACTTGAACCCAGGAGGTGGAGGCTGCAGTGGGCCAAGATTGCACCACTGCACTACAGTCAAGGTGACAGAGTGAGACTCCATCTCAAAAAAAAAAAAAAAAAAAAAATAGTGTCCAAACACCACACAGAATATTTTCACTTCTAGGAGAAAAAATATAACCTTATGATGAAGGGATCAGGCTGTCACTATGTAATCTAATCTTAGAATCACTAATTGGGAAAAATCGGATAATAGGTTTCTCCTAACGTGATATAACATGAAATACATAACATCATTTATGGTGTATTCCAGCTCAAAACGTTTAAGTTTAACCTATTGAGACTTTAGATCTAGCTTCCCAATTACTACTAGAATTCAGCAGAGGCAGGAATAAGTTAAAAGATACTATAAGGACACAACCAAGTGAGCATTCCTGGATTGGACAAACAGCTGTAAAGCATAATTATGTTACAATTAGTAAAATATGAAAATGGACTTGTGTGACAAATGGCCATGAATTCTTTCTAGTTCCCCTCTTCAAGAGGTGAAGTCTATTTCTGCATCCCGTGAATCCAGGCTGGTCTTGTGTTGACAGTGAAGCTATGTGAGTTCCAGTGTCCAGGCTCAGGAGGCCCTGCAGCCTCCACTTTTGCCCTCTTGGCAGTAGTTGCTAGCTGCCCTGATACTACCATGCTATGAAAAAGCTGATCTACTGTACTGGAGGATGAGAGGCCATATGGAGGAGAAAAGAGGTGGCCCAGCTAACAGCTAGCACCAATTACCAGACATGAGAATGAAACCATCTTGGACCTCACAGCCCAGCCAACTCTCCATCTGAACACCAGGTGAGTGAGCCCAGGCTAACCATTAGAGAACTGCTCAGCCAACCCATGGGATCATGAGAAAATAAATCATTGTTTAAGCTATGAAATTTTAGGTGGTTTGTTATACAGCAATAAATAACTTGTACAACTGGGTTTTAAATGAAAATTTATTAGCTGGGAAAGGTAGATATCATTAACGGAAAGATCTGCTTACAAATCATATACGGGACAAACTCATTTTGATAAAACACACAGATAGACATACAGACAAAAAGACCTAGAAGAATATATACTGATAACAGAGGGGTATATAATAAGGTTCATGCTGGGTAGTGAAAATAAGTTTTTATTTTCTTATTTTTGCTGTCCTGTATTTTCTGTATGCATATATACTGCCTTTGCAGTAATAAAACTTTAAGAAAACACATATTTAAAAAAAAAAAGATTTATAGTATTTACTTAGTCATCAGACAAACTGTTAGCAAGGTTCCTGAAGAGCTAGACATGTAAGTTCTTGCTAATACCTCACAAAAAGCTGGATAAAGTCAGTCAACCAATAAACCTTTTGGGACTGTTACAGGCTGAACTGTATCTTCCCAAAACTCATTATGTTGAAGTCCTAGCCTCCAGTACCTTAGAATGTGACTGTAAATGGAGTTAAAATGAGGCCCCTAGGGTGGACCCCAAAGCAATCTGACTGGTGTCCTTACAGGAAGAAGAAATTTGGGCACAAAAAGAGATACCAGGGGCACACATGCGTAGGGGGACAACATGTGAAGAGGTGGTAAGACAGTGGCCATCTGCAAGCCAAGGAAAGAGGCCGTGGGAGAAACCAACCCTAGTGGCACATTGATCTTGGACTTCCAGCCTCCAGTACTGTGAGAAAATAAATGTCTATTGTTTAAGCCACCCAGCCCTAGCAAACTAATATAGGGACCAAGTGTATAGCACGATATTTGGGAAACTGACCTAGTGTGCATTAGGGCACTGCAAACAAATAACTGAACCATTAAAACAGTCTATGGTCCTCTTCTAAATTCCTGAAAAGTTTTCATCTTTAAAAGTCAACTGCTGAAACAGGCACAAAGAATAATTGTGTTAAATAAATTAATGTGAACAGAAGATAGAAGGGCATGATTTCTAAATGCAATGCCTCACTCACTGTGGAATGAATATGTTGTCCAGTTCACGTTCCATTCTTGACTTAGCATAAAAAAATGGGTTTTCTTGTTTTGTTTTGGATTTGTTTATTTAGGGCCAATGACAAAGGCCAAAAGTAATGGAGAGCCAATAACGAAAAAGCAACATGATTAAGGACTACTGTTTTCTAGTCTAATACAAAATATTTCACTCTTATCTATTTACTTCTAAATTTAACATGTTTTATAAAAAAATTACAATTTTAAATAATTTTAAAAAGCATATTGAGTATAGTTAAGAGAACAGAAAAAAAAAAAAAAAAAAAAGAGAGGAGACAGAAAGGGCGGGGGCAGGCTAGAGAGTAATGGTGCAGAGTCCAGGAACCTGTTTTCTTACCAGCTTCTGACTCGGACAACCTTAGACACATGATTTAACTTTTATGAGTTTATTGTCAAGGGAGAAACTTGAAAAGATAATCATTTCTCAAACAGTCCTCATGGACTTCCTAAGGCTTTCCTGGAAATTCTAGGGTAAAGAATAGAAATAAACCGGTAGGGCTTGGTACCCTTAGGCCCAGATACAAGCAGAGCTACTCCTTTCCATTTGTTTTCCATTTGAATTTCTGTGTGTTCATTTGAGGGAAGGGTCCTGCACTAAAAATGTTTGAAACCGCTGTATTAGAATGCTCTGTCACCTACAACAGTCTTGTTGTTCATGTGGGTAGATACTGAAGACATATATATCAAAAAAATCAATAACATAGCAGATACACACAGGAGGCAGAATGAAGGGCCAAATTATATTGACTCACTGGAACAATAGGCAAATGATAACATTAATGGGGACTCTTAAGAGGAGAGAAGAGAGTGTGTCCTACATGAATAAAGATTTAGAATTGTTAATTGATGGTAAGCATTGCAAAATGAGCATGAAGTGTAACATCATGGCTCAAAAGGTGAATGCAATCTTAGGTATCATTAATAAAAATATAATTTCTAATATAAAAGCACTCAATAAAATGGCCAAATATATATTAAAAAACCAGTTTGTATTACCAATAATCAAAGAATACAGGCAGCAATTTAGGGAAACAGAAGACAGACATTGGAATGATTCAGACTTGAGCTCCAATCTTCAAGCATACACAAGATACGTAACTTCAGGACATACAGCTTCCAGAATGTGGACATCACTAATGAGGGGATCCTGCAGTGCCTTTGTGTGGGTCAGTGATATTATGGAATACACCTAGTGTAATGGCTGGCATACTGTAGGCACTCAAGAAATAGCTAATACTTGCAAAGCACTATGTGAAATTCTAGCTCATTTAATCCTTACCATAATTCTAGGAGAGAGTTATATCACATACATGCAAATTAAAACAAGCACGGGACCAAAATGGTAACAGATAAAATCTTCAACGATGGTAGAACACTAGAAGCACTGCCATTTCTCTAGTGGGAACAGAAGATGGTGGAACTTTTCTGCAAAGCAGTCTGGGAATGTGTGTGAGGACTTTCCCAAAGATCATATATAAAGGTCCAGCTCTATTTGAGAAAGGAATGGATTCAGAAAGTGCCTAGGGTGGAAATGGGAGTGTAAAGGGCTGACTGATTAGTAGCTAATCAAGTTTTTCACCAGGAATGCAAAGCATCTCTAGGAACAGAAGTCTTTTCTTTCTTTTTTCTTTTTCTCCATTACTGGTTTCCATGAACGTCCGTCCCCTTGTCAGCCTAAACCTGTTCATTCTGAGAACTCCTAAAGCAGAAATTGGCCCACTTCACCAATCAGTTCCTCACATTTGAATGGAAGCATACTGCTCAGGGAGGTAGATACCCCTAACAATTCAAATGTTTCTTAACATTAATAAAGGAAAGGCTGGAAGTGACAGTTCACAGCTGTAATCCCAGCACTTTGGGAGGCCAAGGCGGGCAGATCACTTGAGGTCTGGAGTTCGAGAGCAGGCTGGCCAATATGGCAAAACCCCATCTCTACTTAAAATACAAAAATTAGCTGGGCATGGTGGTGCATGCCTGTAGTCCCAGCTACTCAGGAGGCTGATGAAGGAGAATCACCTGAACCTGGGAGGCGGAGGTTGCAATGAGCTGAGATTGTGCCACTGCACTCCAGCCTGGGTGACAGAGCCAGACTCTGCCTCAAAAAAAGAAAAGAAAAAAAGACTAAGAAAAGAGTGTGGAATAGAAGGAGGTAAATTCTTCCATAATGGCATAATGGGAGGCCTCAAATCCAGAGCAATGCATGATATTCCAGGAGATGCCACCACAAAGAATGAGAATCAAAATATTTCACTTCTTCTAAGTCCATAGTATCTTGCCCTTTAAGTACATTATAACTTAAGACCCAAAGAAAAGTGTTTTCATAAAAAGTCTGATAACAACTGACACTTACCTAAAATGAGATGAAGTTTGGTTTCTGTCTGGAAAGCATAATGTAATGTTACCAAAAATGGCGACTGCCTAATGTGTTCCAGGACTTGTCGTTCTGTCCTTGTATGCTCTGTGGTTTTGGCCTTTTGAACGATTGTTGCCTTTTTCAAAACTTTCATGGCATACAGCTTTCCAGTATCATGGCCACTTATTTTACGAACTAGAAATACTTTTCCATAAGCTGAAAATGAAAAGAAAAAATAAAAAGAATTAAAATGCTACACAGGCAAAATGGTAATTTAGTGCAACTAAATTTATTTAATGCACAAAAAATACACTCTTTAAAGGAAAAAGTACCCTTGGTACCAGTTCAAATAGTTATTTGATAGATTTCTTCAATTTTATACCAAATATATTTCTAGGTCTAACCCTTAATGTTTACATATCTAACCACTGATGACAAAATTATGCTTTTACTCTTTTACTGTTATTCTCTCCGCAATATTTTTAGCTGTAGAAAACTAGCTGTTATTACGGTCAACTAACCACAATCCAATTCTGGAACAACCAGGACATTTTAGACATCAGATAAAACTTCTAGATATATATATATTTATTACTGATGTAGACAAATGAAGGCAGTTCTTAATAAGAATTTCATATATATATAAATCAAATGCCTCAATTATTCCTCTATACTTATAAAAAAAAGCCTAAAGCAACATAAGCTGACATTATATGAACAAAAGAGATCTTCAGACTTAAAACATGAAAAGATCCTAAACTGCATACAATACGACAGAAGCCCTTTTGTATCTCTGGGCAGTAATTTACAGCTTACTAGGTCAACCTTGCCACACTTTTCATAATAAGGACTCTGTTGGGCATGATCCTACGTGTGGTGCCCCTCCTCCAGGTGGAGGAATTGGGGCCATGTGGGCACTGTGCCTGTGGGCAGAGCAGGTCCTCTGCATTTATTTTCTTAGAGAAGTGGGCTAAGGCAGGAAGAAGTGGAAGGAAGAGGGAGGAAGAAGGGAAGACAAAAAAACAAAAACACTTTGGGAATGAAAAGGTGAGTCCCCCACTTCATCCCTACAAGGTGTCAATCCTCTACAGTTAATCTGTTTAAAAAGGCAAATGCTTTCTGGGATGTTTAAGTCCAGTCTCTCTGTTAAATGCTTTAATCAGACCATTATTGAGTTAGTTTGAATTCTGGCCCAGATCAATATTCACACTCTATGGCATTTACCACCTAATTCTATTGTAATCCACCCACTAGAAGAAGGGAGCTTTAAGGGAAGGGCTCTTGTACTCCGTATGTTATTCAGTTCAGTACTCTGGGAACTGGATTAGTACCAACACACAATGTGCAAGAGATCAGTGAAAGACTAATAATCCTGAGAAGGAGCGCCAACATTTATTAAGGACTTGCCGATGCCCGGCTCTGCACTAAACATATCGATTCACTTAATCCTCAAAACAGCCAGTGAAGCTGGTGCTTTTAGCAATTCTACTTCACCCATGAGGAAATGTGTTCAGAATAGTTACAGAACTGGCCCAAAGACTGAGGCAAGAAGCAGCAGAACTGATTCAAATGCAAGGAGTGTGACTCCAGGGACCACACTCTGAACCATAAATGAACAAAAAAGTGATTCCTCACAAGCGCTAGTAATCAGACATTCTGGATCTTAATATAACCAGTACTGTAAACGTACTGAACACATTCCAGGGCACAGAAAAAGTTCACAAAGGTTTGTGTATTAGCTCATCGGAAATCCAATAATTATAGGTTGAGACCTCAGTAAGGCAGAAGTGAATCAACAAGATGAAATGACAACTTTTGGAACCTAACAAATTAGGGTATACAAATAAAAAAATGTTTATCTATTCAGAAGCAACAAAATGAAGCTAGAAAATATTATGCACTACACCTTCCAACAGGGAAAGCCACTATATAAACTCAGGAGAAGGTAAAGTCTTCCACAAGCAGCCCTGAAACTTCTGTGTTCCTTACATACACATGGCACTTACTCTAAATTCTTGTTATCCCAGGTTCCTAACTCCAGAGCACTATGGTTTTTAGAAATTAGGGAATCCATCTATGCTCTCAAAACCAGGAATTCTTTCCACAAGATCACCAAACATGGCTGTTCAGCTTCTTCCTAGTACATCTGTCCGCAACATAGGTGTTGACCATGTGACACACAGGCTGCTGGGTGTTCGAACCTAACATCTGAGTACTTGTCAGGCACTTATGATATAAACTCATTCGATTCTTACAACATTCCTATAAGGAGGTGAGAACTATTATCTCCATTTTATAAATGAAGAAACTGAAGTATAGAAGAGTTGGGTCACTTGTCCTAGATCACACTTGCCATTCAGTCTGACTCCTGGGCCAGTCTTACCTGTGGTCTACCTGCTTCACTTAAGTGAATGACCTCATAGGCAAATAAATAGGGAACCAGAGATTAAATAGAAGTCACAATGCAAGTTAGGTGTTTTAACAGTGAATGGACCCAGTGCTCCCTCTTCCAAGAGGAGGAAGTTTTGCAAAACGGCCCATTTTATTGATGGGAGGCTCTGTTTGAAAATCTTCCTTATATTGCCAGGCGTGGTGGCTCAGGCCTGTAATCCCAGCACTTTGGGAGGCTGAGGCAGGTGGATCACCTGAGGTCAGGAGTTTGAGACCAGCCTGATCAACATGGAGAAACCCTGTCTCTACTGAAAACACAAAATTAGCCGAGCATGGTGGCCTATGCCTGTAATCCCAGCTCCTCGGGAGGCTGAGGCAGGAGAATTGCTTGAACCTGGGAGATGGAGGTTGCAGTGAGCCGAGAGCGTGCCATCGCACTGCAGCCTGGGCAACAAGAGTGAAACTTAGTCTGAAAGAAAATCTTCTTTATATTGACTGGAAGCAGGCCATTTTATAATTTTCATTTGTCCTTCTATATCCTCTGGACTTAAAAAAGAGTATCACTCTTCTTCTATAAGATAATCTTTTAAATATTTAAAAGCACTATCATGTAATCTCCATACTCTTTCCTCCTTAAACCAATCTCAAAGTAAGATGACTCCGAGACCTCTCACCACTAGGAGGTCCCACTGATATGTTGTGTGGGGTTGTAAATATTTTTTTCTTTGATTTCTTTCTGTTACTTTAAAAACTATTGTATTTCACTCAAAATATGCATGAAGTAGCATAGGATGTCAATATATATGATCAAATAATATAAAATCATCCTGATTGCTATGTTACAATCTATATGGTCAAATAATACGCAATCATCCTTGCCATGTGATAACATCAAGAAGTTTCCCAATAATATGAATTAAAGACCACGTACTCTGCCAACGCAATTGTGTTCATCTATCAGACAATGTCAGGGAAAAACTATAATGAAGCTCACAAATATTTTGTTTTTACTTTTATAATTGCCATGATTAACATTTAAGCTACAATGCTTCACCACATGGTAAGTGCCAGTGGATGCTTATTACCAACATTCAAGGAGTGCCTTACGACATTCCAAACAATAAGTATTTCAGATAACGATCTTACTTCTAAGAAGGCTGTGTAACTAAAACATAGTTGCCTCCAAACAGTTTTGTTTTTGAAGCACCCATAAAGCTGTTTATCACATTGCCAAATGGGAAGAAAACACATTCCATACTGGAGAGAACTTAAAGAAGCCACCTTACCTGGTTAAGCTGGTTTATAGCTCAGAGCAGAGAAAGAAAGTAAAGTAGTCCTTCTGTTGAATAATGCTATCTATTCCAGACCACCTTTTTGTTCTCCAATATTTTAAGAGCGGCCATTGAAACTGGAACTGGTGGCAATATTCTTTTCTTTTAGTTTGCAACTGGATGAATGACTGCCTGCAAGTGCAGCCAACTCCTGCCTTTCATTCACTATGTGTGCCCTGACATTATTAGAGTAATCTTATTTTTAAAGTAATTTTAAGAAACTGCAAAGACTACCACAGTGAAAATTCCTTTGGCAAAAAAAAAAAAAAGATAAACAAAATAGGGACTGGGTTCAGTGGCTCATGCCTGTAATGCCAATACTTTGGGGGTCTGAGATAGAAGGATCACTTGAGGCTAGAAGTTTGAGACAGCAGTGAGCCATGATTGCACCACTGCACTACAGCCTGTGTGACAGAGCATGATCCTGTCTCCAAAGGAAGAAAAAAAAGATAAAACAATAGTACTTCCTGCTTGGATGGAGCTGCTTAAAGAAACTACCTTCATGCCTTACTAGGTATGACTCTCTAATTTCTGCATCAACATGCAATGGCATCAAATGCTCAATTAGCAATCCTCACAGAAGTCGTGTCTACCGCTGTTAATCTTATCAACTACATCAGAGCCAAGGTCTTTTCAAGATACTCTGTTAAGAAATATAAGCAAGGGGGCCGGGCGCAGTGGCTCACGCCTCTAATCCCAGCACTTTGGGAGGCCGGAGCGGGCGGATCACCTGAGGTCAGGAATTCGAGATCAGCCTCACCAACATGGTGAAACCCCGTCTCTACTAAAAATACAAAAGTTGGCCAGGCGCGGTGGTTCACGCCTGTAATCCCAGCACTTTGGGAGGCCGAGGCGGGCAGATCATGAGGTCAGGAGATGGAGACCATCCTGGCTAACACAGTGAAACCCCATCTCTACTAAAAATACAAAAAATTAGGCAGGGGTCGTGGTGGGCACCTGTGGTCCCAGCTGCTCGGGAGGCTGACGCAGGAGGATGGCATGAACCCAGGAGGTGGAGCTTGCAGTGAGCCAAGATCGTGCCACTGCACTCCGGCCTGGGCAACAGAGCGAGATTCCATCTCAAAAAAAAAAAAAAATTAGCTGGGCGTGGTGGCGGGTGCCTGGAATCCCAGCTACACAGGAGGCTAAGGCAGGAGAATCGCTTTAACCCAGGAGGCAAAGGTTGCAGTTAGCCAAGGTCGCGCCATTTCACTCCAGCCTGGGGGACAGAGCAGGACTCCATCTCAAAAAAAAAAAAAAAAGAAAGAAAGAAAAAAATATGAGCAAAGTATGGGCACAGTGGCTCATGTTAAAATCTCAGAAATTTGAGAAGCAGAGGCAGGCAAATCACTTGAGCCCAGGAGTTTAAGACAAACCTAGGCAACATAGGGAGACCCCGTCTCTACAAAGAACACAAAAATTATGTGGGTGTGGTGGGGCATGCCTGTGGTCCCAGCTACTTAGGAGGCTTAAGTGGGAGAATTGCTGGAACCCAGGAGGCAGAAGTTGCAGAGAGCTGAGATCGTGCCACTTGCACTCCAGCCTGGGCAACAGGGCAAAACTCTGTCTCAGGGGGAGAAAGAAGAAAGAAGAGAGAGAGAAAGAAAAGGAGAAAGAAAAAGAAAAAGGAAGAAGGAAAGAAAAGGGAAGGGAAGGGGAGGGGAAAGGGGCATCGGGAAAGGGGAATGGGGAAATGAAAAGCAAAAGAGAACATGAAGTTCTAAACACACTTTCTTTCTTTCCTTTCTTTCTTTCTTTCTCTCTCTCTCTCTCTCTCTCTCTCTCTGTCTCTCTCTCTCTCTCTCTCTCTTTCTTTTTTTCTTTCTTTCTTTCTGACCAAGTCTTGCTCTGTCGCCCAGACCGGAGTGCAGTGGCATGATCTTGGCTCACTGCAACCTCTCCCTTTTGGGTTCAAGCGATTCTCCCATCCCAGCCTCCGGATTAGCTGGGACTACAGGTGCCCACGACCACACCCAGCTAATTTTTGTATTTTTAGTAGAGATGGGGGTTTCACCATGTTGGCCAGGCTGGTCTCGAACTCCTGACCTCCGGTGATCCACCCGCCTTGGCTTCCCAAAGTGCTGGGATTACAGGCGTGAGCCACCACACTCGGCCTGAGATCATGAAGTTCACTGGTATTCCAGAGGACTAGTCCTGCAGTGTTTGACTGAACTTGAGGTAGAGGTTCTACTTTTTGAGACTGAGGGAAAGTACATTCTAAGAACAAATGACAGGAAGGATTACTTACTGATTTAGCTTGGCTGATATTTGAGACCAAATGAATGACGTAAATCTTTCAATTCATGGCCCTACAGACACCATTTTGAATGCTGCTGAAAACCTATGTGCTCTTTTAGCTAAACAGCCATTTCAGAAGAGAGAACTGGATCAACTATGTAAATTTTTCCAAAGCTGGATATACATTTCTATAGGTTGGAAGAACACTGCAGACATCTTATGAAGGTCGCTTCTGTTCAAACTGAAATGTGGATTTATAATTCTATTCTACCTGATGTAGACAGCAAAACGTTGACAATCTTTGCTGATAATGATTTCAGTGGCTTGACGATAAGAAATAATATATACTGAACCAAAGGAAGTGTCATAGAAAAATTTCTGGTTCCTTGGAGTAGGTTTCTTTTCAGCTTGCTTTTCCAAATGTGTGGCTCTTATTCCATTTGCCACAATTATTGTGAACCAGGTTTTAAGCACTTATGGCTATAATAAAGAAAAGTTAAAAATGACTGACAGTTTTAAAACAAGAAGACATCCATGCTGCCATGTCAGAAACCACTGCACAATTCCAACTTATTTTTTAAGCCAAGCCAAAGCAGTCTTCTTGAGCATAAACTTATCTTTCATTTTATTTGCAAAATTTGAATTTATTAAACATGTTCATAAGTAGCCTTTAATCTTTTTTTTTTTTTGAGACGGAGTTTTGCTCCTGTTGCCCAGGCTGGAGTGCAATGGCACGATCTTGGCTCACCACAACCTCCACCTTCTGGGTTCAAGCAATTCTCCTACCTCAGCTTCCCAAGTAGCTGGGATTACAACGCATGCGCCACCACGCCCATCTAATTTTTTGTATTTTTAGTAGAAATGGGGTTTTTCCATGTTAGTCAGGCTGGTCTCGAACTACCTACCTCAGGTGATCTGCCCACCTCGGCCTCCCAAAGTGCTGGGATTACAGGTGTGAGCCACTGCGCCCGGCCGCCTTTAATTTTTACATTAAAATGGTATGAGGTTAATTTGTTAGAAAATATTTTTAATTTGTAAAAACAATCAATTTAAAATGTAACATAATTAAATGCATGCAAAATTTTGTGTGTGTACACGTTTACATGCATTATTCTGAAGGGGCAACCACGAGCCAGGAATAAGAGCCATTGTTCAGAGGCCCCTGCTTTACGTCCTTCCTTGTTGTGCTCAACTTGGACATGCTGTTCTCACTAGGACCTGAATGGCTCAACCAAGGTGAGAGCAATGTTTTCTTTCACTCAAACTTTTGTTAATGCAGCTTAAAATTATACCTTGAATAGAATGTTTACTAGCCATGCTGCACTTTGGGTTCATAACAAACTTATTAACTATTGAACTTGAACTACCACTTAAAAAATACAGTAGAAATGCTCTTAAGTGACTTATACTTAGCCAGCTCCTAAGACCAACTTAGTCTTATACTCCCCTTTCCCTCTGAAAACACCCACTGCACACTGACAATCTATGACTAGTTTACATGTGTATTTCTGCACCCATGCAGTTCCATGCCAGTCACTGATACTTGTTGCTTTGCCTATTTCTACTTGTTGTATCTGTTATTCTTATTATGTAAATTCATTAAATATTACATGAACCACTGAAATGTGCATGCCAAAGAGAAAAATGAGGATGAATGCTTTGAAAGGACTAGATAAAAGCAAAACACTTTAAAGAAAGGAACTGCTGAAAAATTAGGTGTGAGTGAAACAACTATAAAAGGCTAGGGGGAGTATTCAGACTACTTAAAATCTGGCTAGTTCTCACTCTAAAGAACCTGAAACTGTTATTTTTAGATGATGGATTCAACCGTGGTTTATGCAAAATAAACTGTTTATTAACCTACATTCAGAGTCCTGTGCTTACATCCAAAGATTCACAAGTGAAGTACTCTTATACATTTTAAGTAAAAAATGTTCAAAAAATATATAATGATTTTTAAATGATTCACACTTGAACCAACTTTTTAAAATTACCTACACATACCAACTGTGTCATACGAGAGAATTTCTACTAACTGAAGAATCATATTAATCACTCCTAAAATTAATCTTTCCAGATTACTGGAATCTTGTGAAATGGTGACTTGGTCATCCACCACACTAGCTATGCCTCCAGGTGTGCTTATTTCAATCTGGTAAACATGATTACCAGAGCATCTTACTAAAAAAAAAAAATACGTTAAAATAAGAATCAAAAGAAGACTAAGATGCATATTCATAAATAATTCTCTATTTATATCTCAAAAGACAAGCTGTTTGCCTAACTAAATAGTGATGTCTTAACTGCTGGAGTTAATGACCACCTGTAGTGGGTGCTGATGGTGTTCTGCCAGGTCCCCTTTACAGGCCGGTGCATCTATTCTCCAGCTGCTGTGAGTGTTGGCTGCTGGAGAAAGGCCTCAGGTAGACAGGGGCCACCACACCTGGAAGGTTACATGCCATCATTCTCTACTCCACCCTCACTCAAGCAGCCTGCAGCCAATGACTAACACAGGTATGAAAGGCCTGCCTCTTTGCTCTTGCTCCAAAACTTCCCATGAGTCCAGGCTGAATCCAGACCACTGCTTAGACCACATGCCTGTTTAGGCTAGTCTCCTGACCACCCTCCTTCCCTCACTCTTGTTCTCCTGAGAGTGCTCCTGCAGTAAATCACATAAATCCAAATCCATGTCCCGGGATCTGCTTCTAGCTAACATGACCTAACATAGTATCAATAATAAATAAAATTGTATTTACACTAGAGAGACAATGTCATTTGACACCTTCATATGGAATCATCTTTTTATTATGGCATAAAACATCACAAACATTTAACCTCTAAGACTTACATAAACATTGTAGGCTTACACTGAAGCATAAGGTATAGTGGGTATACACATACACAAATGCAAAATTATAAATTTTTTGAATGACAATTTTGACAATTTAATGAATACATGCTTTTAAAGGTATTATTTTAATACGGATACTTTCCAAACACTTAAAAGAATAAAATGACAAATGATGACTAAGTCATCATACTTTTTAAAACACTCTTTTAAATGACTCAACCAAAGTATTTTTCCCTCTATCATGTCATCAAAAAGTAGCAATGTCTTTAAGTTGCCTAGTGCAATTTACAGCATCCTCTAGTAACAAATTACCCATGAGAAACAAGTATGTCTCATTTAATAAATGAAATGTGTTACTCTAAATCTGTAGTAAAAAAAAGATTGGAGGGAAAAAAAGCTATCTTATCAGGAATATTCATAGAGTCTGGGACCAATGAGTAAAGAAATATCACAAATTACATTTCAAGATGGCACTGAAGGCTGGGGAAAGCAGCCCAAAGACCGCCTCAACTGGAAAAACAGTATTTCCACAGAGCAAACTTACAAGATCTGCTGTTGATTAGATGACAGCAGCAGCAGCCACAACAACAACAACAACAACAACAACAAAGGATATCCACATAAGGAAAAAGTGAACTTCTTAAAGAGGACACCAGGGACCAAGGTAGACACAAATGGTTACTGCTCATTAGACACTATCATAAGCAAGGCCCTCTGAATTTCTATACTTTGCCAGCACTCACTCCAAGGTTTCATAAACTCACAAATAACTCTGCATTACATGAAGACCAGCTCCATACTATTCCATTTACAAGGTTCTATGTTGTATGGTGTGTGTGTGTGTATAACATATACATACTTAATACTCACTACTCTTATCTCCAGCACCCAGAACAGTGTCTGCCTCTTGGTAAATACAAATGAATGAATGAATCCCAAGACCAACGGGAATGAACTGAAAGGTTTTAAATTGAGAAGCGACATAATCAAATTTGCCCATCAGAAAAATCATTCTGGCTCTAGAATGGAAATAAATGCATCAGCAAGGCCTGAAACCAGGAAGACCTTTGGTGGTTGTTATTTCTCTATTTACTGCAGGACACATTTTAGGCTTTACAAAAAATACTCATTAAGAAATGACATTCACTTATGTATAAAGCTAAGCTGAAAGCTTGGTAATGTATTACATCAGCTCTTTTAGAAGCTGAACTACATTCCCTTTCAGCTTCCCCAATAATAGCTAAAACTGAAAAACAAAATAGCTAAAACTTACATAGCATTTATTATGTGTCAGGCAATCAAAACATTTTATTACTCATATCATGTATATCTTAGGAGAGGAATGTTAACCTATACTACACTAAGATGGTTCAGAATCTAAGATGCTTGAATACATTTGTTTGATACAAATAAGAGGCTGGGCATGGTGGCTCACACCTGTAATCCCAGCACTTTGGGAGGCCGAGGCGGGTGCATCACCTGAGGTCAGGTGAGACCAGCCTGGCCAACTTGGTGAAACGCCGTCTCTACTAAAAATACAAAAATTAGCCAGGCATGGTGGCGGGCGTCTGTAATCCTAGCTACTCAGGAGGCTGAGGCAGGAGCATTGCTTGAATCCGGGAGGCGGAGGTTGCAGTGAGCTGAGATCATGCCACTGCACTCCAGTCTGTGCAACAGAGCAAGACTCCATCTCAAAAAAATAAATAAATAAATAAATAACAAAGAAATATAATCTTTCCATTTGACATGTTATGCTTAAGGTAACATACAAATCAACTTCTTGTAAATGCTAACAAAATTGCAATTAGCAACATCTCATTTATGAGGTATTTTCTCACTTGTTAAATTTTTATTAAAAATATCACTTTAGTTGAAATTACTCCCAGAGATGCTAATAAAGTAAGTGACTATATAAAATAATAAATAAATAATCTCTTCTTATGAGTAAGTCCTAAATAATTTTGTTTTTTCAATTTAGGTTACAGCTTTACAATGGAGTTCCCTGTTCAATAACCATAACCCATGGTTATCTAGTAATTGGCAATTCATATCCATTATCTCATTAAACTTATAACAACATTGTGAGATAGGTATTATTATAATAACTTATGCCAAAGGGACTTGGGCTCACAGAGTTCATATGATTAACTCAAGAAACTCAAGTAAACAACAAGAGTGTCAAGATGCAAACTTGAGTCTTCTACGTCATCCTCGATACTCAAGTACTCTACAACCGTGTGAAAGCACCAAAACCAGAAGAGTGAATCAACTTGGCTGCATCCTTTACTCTTACATGGCAAAATTTTTCTTTTTTCCTTTTTGTCATGGTAAGACAAGACATCAGCTCTTCAAAGTACATGACCATTTATGATAAAAAAAGAAAATTCAGAGAATACTAAAGTCTTTAGCTGAGACCTTCATGCTGCACTTCATTATTAGAATTACTGATAATGCACACCCACAGGTACATTTAAACATTTTCTTCTCCCATACTTGGACAGATATCTCAAAGAAGGCAAAATGGTCAAAAGGAAGGCAGCAGAGAGATTAAAAAAGAAATAAAAATATAATCATTATTCCCCAAAATAACCCAAAATTTCATCATCAAACAAATTCTAAAAGATGAGCCAAAGATATTTCCTGGGCTTTTGGGTATCAATCTGAAGAATAATGCTAAAGACAACAGCATAAATGACATACTTGATAGACTATTATTATACTTCACACAATGCTGGATTATGGGCAGGTAGGGGGACAGGGCAACAGGGTTGGAAAAATATACAGGGATGATCGTAAGAGCTTACAATCCAGAGGAAAGATTGCAGATGTGAAGGAAAATTCAGAGAACAAGTCAGTGCTATGCTCTCTATGGAGGGCTCTCAGTGCAACAATTCAGAGAATAAAGCAATTTGGGCAGGATTTGGACAGGTGGAAAAAAAGATGAGCACTACCAATGGGGGGACAAGATAAGGCAGGGCATCAGAGGGTGGAAAAGTACACATAATTGTAGGCAAGTGAAGGAAAATAAAGTGGACTAGAAAGTAGGCGGACAAATCAACAAGCAAAAAACAAACGATCCCATTAAAAAATGGGCAAAGGATATGAATAGATCCTTCTCAAAAGAAAACATACACATTGCCAACAAGCATATGAAAAAATGTTCAACATCACTAATCATCAGAGAAACGCAAATAAAAACCACAATGAGATACCATCTCACACCAGTCAGAAGGGCTATTATTCAAAAGCCAAAAAATAACAGATACTGGTGAGGTTGTGGAGAAAACAAAATGTTTATACACTGCTAGTGGGAATGTAAATTACATCAGCCACTGTGGAAAGCAGTTGAAATTTTTCAAAGAACTTAAAACAGAAATACCACTCAACCCAGAAATCCCATTACTGGGTATATACACAAAGGAATATAAATCATTCTACCAAAAAGACATATGTACTCATATGTTCATTGCATGTTCACTGCAGCACTATTCAAAATAGCAAAGACATGGAATCAACCTAGACGCCCATCAATGGTGGACTGGATAAAGAAAATATGGTACATGTACACCACAGAATACTATGCAGCCATTTTAAAAAATGAAATCATGTCCTTTGCAGCAACACGGATACAGCTGGAGACCATTTTCCTAAGCAAACTGATGTAGGAAAAGAAAATGATCTCACTTATAAGTGGGAGCTAAATATTGAGTACACATGGAAATAAAAATGGAAAGAATAGATACTAGGGCCTACTTGAGGGGAGAGGGTAGGAGAAGGGTGATGGTTGAAAAACTACATATAGGGTACTATGCTCACTACCTAGGTGACAAAATCATTTTTACACCAAACACCAGCGACAGGCAATTTATTCAGGTAACAAACCTGAACATGTACCCCCAAACCTAAAATAAAAGTTGGGGAAAAAAATAGAAAGTAGGCAGAATATCAGGGTAAGCTGGGCGAAAAAAGACAGGGGAAACTGAAAGCAAGGCAAGAATTTGGGCTTGAATAGTTAAATGGGAAAAAATGCAGTATATGTTCTTAAATAGAAAAACTGCACGAAAATGTTGTATTTTAGCAAGACTGTATATTACGTATAACAGCATATGATATTAAAATGCACAAATGGAAGAGAGCCTACAGAAAGGCAGACAGGTTAAGACACCCCTTGAAAGAATCCATGCATAAGGTAAAATGAGTGATGGCACTTTCCGTTCTTAGGCCCAGAAAAGGTAAATCCAAGGATCACTTTAAGGGGAAAATTATAGGACTTTGTGAGAAAATAGAAGTAAAGAGGCTGGGCTGGGCGCAGCAGCTGATACCTGTAATCCCAACACTTTGGAAGGCCGAGGCAGGTGGGTCACTTGAGGTCAGGAGTTTGAGACCAGCCTGGCTAACATGGTGAAACCCTGTCTCTACTAAAAATACAAAAATTATCCGGGCATGGTGGTGCACATTTGTAATCCCAGTTACTCGGGAGGCTGAGGCAGGAAAATAGCTTGAACTTGGGAGGCAGAGGTTGCAGTGAGCTGAGATCACACCACTGAACTTCAGCCTGGGTGACAGAGTGAGACTCCATCTCAAAAAAAAAAAAAAAAAAAGAAGAGAGATAAAGAGGTCAAAATAGATAGAGAAGAATCCAAAAAGAATCCAAAATTATTTAAAAGTTTCTAGCTCAGAAAACTGATCAAGGTTAGTGATAGGCCAAAGGAAACCAGATAGTTCAAGAGAAGCAAGTCAATCTGAGTAAAAAAGAGTTTTATGCATATTAGATGTATTTAAGTGTCAAAAAGTAAATCTTTGATATTCAAATATTCCACAGTCTTCAAGATATTTGATGAATAGCATTTTTTTCTAGTTTAAATATATAGAAATTAATTCATCAGAAGAGTTTTCAGTTTCATTTCCAAAGAAAACCTTACATGACACATGAAGACATCTGATGAGTCTTTCCTATTATTCTAAGTAGTGCTGAAAAAAATTTATCTTAAAAAGGTAATGAAACTGAAAGATTAGTGGTAAAATTTTTGAATAAAAATTGAGATTTTATTATATTCATTATAAAAGCTTCCACCTACTCCATTTAGTCATCAAAACTGTGATTTTTTAAAGGCAGATATACTTACAATGACATTTCTTAGTTATCCCATCTTCTCATAAGAGACTACACTGTCAGCTGGCAAAAAGGAAAAGCAGTCTCCATGGCTGACAACTGATCCATTATAAAACAGTGCACACACACAAAATGGAAATACAAAGGTAAAACATTACAGGTAAACTGTTTCCTTACCTTTACAGAATTGTCTTCAAGGCCTGTAACCAAACTACTCAGTGCAGATGTATAATAGATAATGAGTCAAAGTATTCAATGTGTTGAAAGAAAATACACACAAGGTTTGACTATATAAATTTGATATTAAAAATTTCACATATATAAAATGGGCTGATAATCTGCCTTCTTTATACTGTCCTAGTGTGTTTTTTGGAATCAAGGTTACACTGGACTCATACAATGAGTTGGAGGAAATAATCCCCCTTTTCCTGTTTTCTGAAAGAGTTTGTGGAAGATCAGAATTATCTATGCCTTGAATGTGTGGCAGAACTCATTCTTAAAACTGTACTGAGTGTCTTCCCAGCAAGAGGATTTTTGCTTACTGACCAATCTCTTTAACAGTTATAGGACTATGTAGGTTTCTCACACCTTTTTTCAATCAGTTTGGTAATTTACACATTTCAAGATTACTGTGCATGTTAAACTTTGAGGAACATTACTTCAGGAAACTAACTCCTGTCACCTCCCAAATTAAATGCTATTTTGTCCAATTTTTCAGTTTTCTTTTTTCAACTCCACAAATGAGACATCGTGACGAGAGCTTTACACAGTCAGTATGCTTTAGACTGTTTGTTCAGTAATTCTTTTTGCATCTCGGAAAATTCTCCAGGGATTATTTTCCTTCTTCCTAAAACTACTTCTTTTAAAATTCTCATAGGGGACCTATTGGTAGAAAACTCACTCAGCTTTTGTATGTTTGAAAATGTTGGCTGGGCGTGGTGGCTCACACCTGTAATCCCAACACTTTGGGAGGCCGAGGTGGGCAGATCATGAGGTCAGGAGTTCGAGATCGGCCTGGCTAATATGGTGAAACCCCATCTCTACTAAAAATACAAAAATTAGCCAGCCATGGTGGCATGAGCCTGTAGTCCCAGCTACTCAGGGGGCTGAGGCAGGAGAATCACTTGAACCCAGGAGGCGGAGGTTACAGTGAGCTAAGATCGTGCCACTGCACTCCAGCCTGGGTGACAGAGCAAGACTCCGTCTCAAAAAAAACAACAAGACAGAGCAAGACTCCGTCTCAAAAAGAACAACAACAACAACAAGTGTCTTTTTGCCACACTTAGGGAAAACAGTTTTGCTGAGTATACAAGTGTAGATTAACAGTTATTTTCTCTGGGCATTTTGAAGATATTATTCCACTTTACATGGCTTCCAGGGTTGCTGTTGTAAAGTCCACTGTTAAACTAATTGTTGTTCCTTTATAAATAAGTCTTTTCTCTTTGACTGCTTTTCAGGTATTTCTCTGTCTCATGTTCATCAGTTTCTCTCTGATGTATCTACATAAGAATTTCTTTATACTTGTATGCAAGTACTTGTATTTGCTCTCTGCAAATTCACGTTTAATCCTGTAAACTCCCAGCTATTATTTCTTTGAACAGTGCCTCTACTCATTCTATAAGCTCCTTCTGAAAGTCTGATTAGAAAAATGTTGTATCTTCTCTATCTATTCTCTATTTTTTTTTTTTTGAGACAACCCAGGCTGGAGTGTAGTGATGTGATCATAACTCACCGTGGCCTTAACCTCCCAGGCTCAGACAACCCTCTCACCTCAGCCTCCTGAATGGCTAGGACTACAGTCATGCATGCACCACCATGCCCAGCTAAGTTAGTTTGTTTTTCTAGAGGCAGGGTCTCACTATGTTGCCCAGACAGATGGGGATTCTCCCACCTCAGCTTCCCAAAGTGCTGGGATTACAGCTGTGAGCCACCACACCCGGCCTATCCTCTATATCTTAATAGTCCTCTCATATGCTATCTCTTTTTTCTCCATTCTATATTCTGCATATTTTCTTCAAATCTATCTTCCAATCCACAATAATTTTCTCTTTAGCTATATCTCATCTACCAGTAAAGCATCCATTAAGTTTATACTTTGAATTGTTTTTTTTTCACTCCTAGAAGGACTACTGGTTCTTTCTCCAATCTGTCTGGTCATTTTTTTAGCATGTATTATTCCGTAATATTACAATCAAATCTCTTCTTAATTAAAAACATACACATTTATATTTTATATCTAATAATTCCAACAGTCTCTTTAGGTCTAATTCTATTATTTGTTGTTTCCACTTCTTTCACTCATAGTGCTTTGCTTCTTGGATGTTTGTGATTTTTTTTTTTTTTTTTTTTTTTTTTTTGAGACTGAGTCTCACTCTGTCGCCCAGGCTGGAGTGCAGTGGTGTGATCTCAGCTCACTGCAAGCTCCGCCTGCTGGGTTCATGCCATTCTCCTGTCTCAGCCTCCCAACTAGCTGGGAGTACAGGTGCCCGCCACCATGCCCGGCTAATTTTTTTTTGTTTTTAGTAGAGACGGGGTTTAACCGTGTTAGCCAGGATGGTCTCGATCTCCTGACCTCATGATCCGCCTGCCTCGGCCTCCCAAAGTGCTGGGATTACAGGCGTGAGCCACCGCACACGGCTGGTGTTTGTAATTTTTGATAGTAAAATCATGTCTGTAAAACTTTCTTTGCTATTTCCTTAAGATCTAAGTAAATCCTCCAGAGAAGATTTACATTTGCTTTGCTAGTGCTGTTGGGAACACTACCAATTCATAAGTAGAATAAACTAAATTCATACTTGCTTGTGTGTGGTTTTTTGTTTTGTTTTGTTTTTAATATAAGACGGAGTCTTGCTCTGTGCAGTGGCTCACTGCAACCTCCACCTCCCAGATTCAAGCAATTCTCCCTGCCTTGGCCTCCACAGTAGGTGGGATTACAGGTGCCCGCCACAACGCCTGGCTAATTTTTGTATTTTTAGTAGAGATGGGGTGTTCCCATGCTGGCCTCAGCCTCCCAAAGTGCTGTGATTACAAGCACGAGCCACCGTGCCTGGCCAGGATTTTTCTTTTTTTAAATCACATAAGTGGATAACAAACTGAAGTTGCAAACCTGTATGATGTTTGGTTTAAGGTTATGACTCACGGAAGGCTTTTACTGCTTATTTGTTTCCTTCACCCGAAGCCAATGCTAAGCCAGAAAAGTTTCCCCTCTATCTCCCTTTGCAGGCTAGATTTTTATTTTCTCATTTACTGTTTTACTGAGCAGTAGCCTTCTCTACCGCTTGAGTGCCTTAGAAGCTGTCTCCTATATATGAAGTATGAAAATGGTAAACCCAAAGAACTAGCTCGGAATTCACTGGTGGATTTCTCCAGCATAACTTCTGCCCTCAGGCAGCTTATTTGCTTCTCTAAATTCCTGCTCCCATTTTATTTTTTCAAGCTTAAGAATTTTCCTTACTTTTGCCAGGTAATCTAAGCAGTTGATAGAAAGACTACTCAACTGCATAGATACCTGGCAAGAGTAAGGAAAATTCCTTATCTAGCACTTTAGAGGTTTAATAATGATTGTGGCTACATGCAGTGACTCATGCCTGTAATCCCAGCACTTTGGGAAGCCAAGGCAGGAGGATTACTTGGGCCCAGGAGTTTGAAGCCAGCCTGGGCAACATAACGAGACCCTGTCTCTACTAAATAAGTAAATAAGCAAGCAAGCTGAGTGTGTTGGCACATGGTTGCAGTCTCAGCTACTCACGAGGTGGAAGTGAAAGGACTGCTTGAGCCCAGAAGTTCAAAACTATAGTGAGACAGGGTCTCGCTCTATCTCCCAGGCTGGAGAGCAATGGCACAATCATGGCTCACTGTAGCCTCAACCTTCCAGACTCAAGAGATATTCCTACCTCAGCATCCCTAGTAGCTGGGACTATAAGCGAGTGTCACAACAGCCCAGGCTAATTTGTTTTTTTTGTTTTTTTTTTTGTTTTTTTTTTCAGTAGAGATGAAGTCTCGCTATGTTGCCCAGGCTAGTCTTGAACTCCTGGGCTCAACTGATCCTCCCACCTCAGCCTCTCAAAGTGCTGAGATTACAGGCATAAGCCATTGCACCAGGCCTGCATGCATTAAATTAACAGATCAATGAATAGGATTAGTCTCATGGTTCTTGTTATGTACTATAAAATTCAATGGTGAAATTAATCATTAATATTACATTTTAATAGTGTCCTTGAAAGTTCTGTAGATGCTATGTCTATTTTGCTATAGAGAAGTTATCTGTTATTACAGATTAAAGTTGTTTAGCTTTGACCATATCTAGAATAAAACATCATCTCAGAGATAACGTTTTCTTTTAAAAACAGCTATAAATCTATTTTTAAAATAAAATAAATAATAATTGGGTTAATCAAAAGTATATAAACAGTAGTTTCATTTGATCAATTGTACTAATATTTTTACTACGTTTTGCTTTTGATAAAAAACATAAAAACTGACATTTCTAAAACTTTAATATGAAAAAAGAATCTCTAAAGCATGGAAAGTCAGGTAAACATTGCAAATAAGAATAGCAATTTGTTTTCAAATTTTCAAGGATCTTTATAGAGATCCCTTATTATATGGAATAAGTATACTCATCCATTCATTCAAAAATATTTGAGAAACTGCTATGCATAAGTTAACCCACTAAGAAAATTTGTTTACCCAAACCCTATTTTTCTGGCAATTTTACATTACTGAATTATAGATGAGTTAGATGGAATTCTGCCATCTAAATAAATGGCAGATGGCAAGAAACATGCCAAGACACTATGAACTCTTCAGGCAATATAGATTATGATTAAAGTATAAGCATATAATATTTTTCTATCACAGACTTCTTCCTGTTTTAAAATTGTTTAACCTAACCTGTAGTAAAAAAGGAAGACGACCATTCAGATTTCTTCCTGTTTTAAAATTATTTAACCTGACCTGTAGTAAAAAAGGAAGAAGATCATTCTCACTTCAAAGATTACTTTAAACAGAACTTGAGAGAATTTATAGAACCTTGTATTCAAAATATTTAAAAGTGTGCATGACTTTTTATAAAGTACCTGAAAATGAAAAAAACATATGTTCATACAAAAACTTGTACATGAATGTTCATAGCAGCATTATATTCATGTATTTGTTTATCTTTTAGAGAGACGGTCTTGCTCTGTTGCCTAGGG
Organism: Homo sapiens; assembly: GCF_000001405.40. Taxonomy (NCBI): domain Eukaryota; kingdom Metazoa; phylum Chordata; class Mammalia; order Primates; family Hominidae; genus Homo; species Homo sapiens. The sequence goes on from NC_000014.9 coordinate 90,997,428, forward strand.
TGGAGTACAGTGGCACAATCATGGCATACTGCAGCCTCAAACTCCTGTTCAAGCAATCCTCCCACCTCAGCCTCCCAAGTAGCTAGGAATACAGGCACATATCACACCATGCCCAACCAATTTTTTAATTTTGGCAAGATGGGGAGTCTCACTATTTTGCCCAGGCTAGTCTCCAAAGCAGCATTATTTATAACAGCCAAAAGATGGAAACAACCCAAATGCCCATCTCCTGATGAACAGAGAAACAAAATGTGGTATATCTGTACAATGAAACAGTAAGTCATAAAAAGTATGAAGTACTGGCCAGGCAGGGTGGCTCACGCCTGTAATTCCAGCACTTTGGGAGGCCAAGGCGGGCAGATCGCCTGAGGTCAGGAGTTCGAGACCAATCTGGCCAACATAGTGAAACCCCGTCTCTATTAAAAATACAAAAAAATTAGCCGAGCGTGGTGGTGTGCGCCTGTAATCTCAGCTACTCCGGAGGCTGAGGCAGGGGAATTACTTGAACCAGGGAGGTGGAGGTTGCTGTGAGATTGCGCCACTGCACTCCAACCTGGGTGGCACAGCGAGACTCTGTCTGAAAAAAAAAAAAAAAAAAAAAAAGTATGAAGTAGTGATGTGTACTACAATATGAATGAACCTAGAAAACATTATGTTAAGTGAAAGAAGCTGGTCACCAGGGACTACACATTTGTATGTTTACCTTTATATGAAATGCCTAGAAGAGGCAAATATATAGATAAAAAAGTCAGTTAGTGGTTGTTTAGGACTGGGGAGGATGGTGAGCTTGCTTGGGCATTAATAGCTAAAGGGTTCAGGGTTTCTTTCTGAAGTAAGGAAAATGTTATAAAACTGACTGTTATAAAATTGCTGCACAACTTTGTGAATATACTAAAACCACTGAATTGCACACTTTAAATGATGGAACAATATGGTACGTGAGTTATATCTCAATAAAGTTGTTACCAAGAAAGCCACATACAGACAAAACAGATAAAAACATGCAGATAAAACAGCTATTATAAAAACAATCTATAATATATATCAACCTTAAGAACTTTTGACCAGATGTCACAAAGCACTATTTTTAAGGGAACTGAGTCACCACAGAACTGTGATCCTCTTTCCCCTTTGAGTAGATATTGCCTTTGAAACAGGAAACAAAGGTAGGAATAAAGGGTATTATTTTGATATTTTGAAAGCATGATTTCTTAGGAATACAGTGGGGTAGAGCTTGGATTTTTAAAAAATACATTTGAACAAATTATTTGAAGGTGGAAATGTACAATAACATCTCCAAGTTGACAGTTACACTAAATTTCTGACAATAACATGCTTAGTTGATGGGAATAAACTATTCATTTTGCTTATTCACTGGTAGCTGTAAAGATTGGGCCTATATGGCATGCTAAACTACTCAGGGAGGTTATAAAGACCTCATACAGCAGGGCCGTAGACATGAAGGCTCATTACTAAATGACCTAAAGACAGCTTACATAAGCGAACTTAGACATGAGGCAGGCCGGGCGTGATGGCTCACGTCTGTAATACCAGCACTTTGGGAGGCTGAGGAGGGTGGATCACGAGGTCAGGAGTTCAAGACCAGCCTAGTCAAAACGGTGAAACCCGAATTAGCTGGGCATGGTGGTGCATGTCTATAATTCCAGCTACTCAGGAGGCTGAGGCAGAAGAATCACTTGAACCCAGGAGGCAGAAGTTGCAGTGAGCCAAGATCGAGTCACTACACTCCAGCCTGGGCGACACAGCTAGGCTTCATCTCAAAAAAACAAAAAAACAAAAAACAAAAAAACAAACAGACATGAAGCTAGGGAAGTGGCTGGTATTGATTACAGAGGCCCCAAGAGAAAGGCTTTCTTTCTTGCTATAATGTTTGGCATTTTGGAAGGGATGGGCAGATACCCTTATATGGACAGGTGTAATCCATCCTGTCAGGCGCTAGAACACTCAGGTCCCTGAGAGTGTGACGCTAAACTGCAGCGGGGAAGAAAAATGGTCTGTCCTCTGATGCTCTCCCTGGTCTTCCAGGAAAAGAGATCTAGGCCTGCTGAGAATGGGGAGGAGGAGGGGGAGGGGAAGAGTTAAAGGCCTCCTTTGTATCTTGACCTGATGGGAGAAAAATGACAGAAGCCAGTTCTCACAGCAGCGGTGGCTGCAGAGCAACACAGTCCAGGACAGGGAGAGAACTGAGTAGGAAACATACACATGACAAGAAGCTGCATAAATGGCAAGGCCTAGTGTAAAATGAAAATGCGGGTGCCTTGTTCATGAATTACTAATAATTTCAGAACAGTGACAGCAGAGCATTACACCAAACATGGGGCTCTTCTACATGCAGGGATCTCTACAACTGCATAGGTCACATCCCCCTTAAGTCAGCCCTGATTTCTGAGCAGCGAAAGCGGTGGTAGCAAAAATTCAGAAGGCAAAGGAAAGTTACAAAGCAGAAAACCAAGATCATGTAAAATCCCGCTACCACTAAGATTTTAGTGTATATAACCATGTACATCCCGGAGAATTTTCTTTATTTTTTGTTGAGATGAGGTCTCACTATGTTTCCCAAGCTGGTCTTGAACTCCTGGCCTCAAGGGCTTCTCCCATCTTGGCCTCCCAAAGTGCCTCCCAAAGTGCTGTGGTGGCATAAGCCACCACGCCCGGGCACCTAGAGATTTTTCTGCATACAAATATACACGCAGATATTTTCCATATCCATATACACATGTAGATATTTATATTTATTCATATAATGTTTTGTATATTGTACATTCTCTTCTGTAGCTTTTTAAAAACTTATTTTGGAGAGCTTTCCAAAATATTAAATAAAAGTAGATCATTTTAATCTATTATATACATTATAGAACATAGAGATCCATGTTCCATTTAACCAAAGCCCTATTGTTGGGTTTCTAAACAGTCCTGGGTTTTTCATTATTACAAATTACGTTCATTGAGTATCAACTGAGTTGAACAAAGATTGAATAAGACAATCAATACAAAGCCCTCCACAGAGTACTTGGCATCTAACAAGCACTCTATCAATGTTAGTGATTTTTTAAAATATTGTGTCCTGGCTGGGCGCAGTGGCTCATGCCTATAATCCCAGCCCTCTGGGAGGCAGAAGAGGGCGGATTACTTGAGGTCAGGAGTTCGAGACCAACCTGGCCTCGAACAACATGGTGAAACCCCGTCTCTACTAAAAATACAAAATTAGCTGGGCGTGGTAGAAGGCGCCTGTAATCCCAGCTACTCAGGAGGCTGAGGCAGGAGAATCGCTTGAACCCAGGAAGCAGAGGTTGCAGTGAGCTGAGATCACGCCACCACACTCCAGCCTGGGCGACAGAGCTAGACTCCGTCTCAAAAAAAATAAAATAAAATAAAATATTGTGTCCTGTGTAAAGGCTGAACTAATTTACATTCCCAACAGCAGGGTAAAAGGGATTGGTTTCCCTAAATCCTTGCCAATTCTTTTTATTTTTGCCTTTTGTGCTTCTATGAATGGTCTGTTCATGTTCTTTGACAGTTCTCCTAATGGATTCCTCATGCTTTTTAAATTTTAATTTCTGTATTGGGGATATCAATCCTTCATCATAGGAATAATAAGTACTTTTTTTTTTCCTTAAATATAATTAACTTAAGACTTACCTCCAGTTCCTAGGACCTTCAGGAGCTCAAAATTTTCTATTCCCACCTTCTCAGCATGTCCTGTCAAATTAGCTAAAAGAAAAAAAGAGGAAAAAAAAAACAAGAGGGTCAGCAATAGAAGGAGGCTCCTGGGGGATTCTTGTGTACCAGCGACGCTCTATTTCTTGACTTGAGTGATTAACCAGGGTTTGCTTTATAATTATTTGTTAAACAGTATAGCATATTTTGCATAAATTTCTGTATGTTATGCATTACAATAAAACTTTTTTTGGAATTTAGGAACTATATATATCATTTGTACCAAATATTAACATAAATTAAAGTGTTTATTAGACTCTCTACTGACCAATATACTCCAAAAATAAATAAAAATTCTAATATGTAGATAGATACATAGTGGGGAAAAAACTGGATGGATTGAGAAGATGTATTTATGATTCGACAAACATTTACTGAGTATCTATTAAATGCCATCCCCAGGTTCTAGGGTAAGTTCTAGTTCCATTTCTGCCACTAAATACCTGGACACGATATAGTATGCATTCGTCACTTCAATACTCTATGTCTCCATTACTACATCTCTGAAATGAAAGTGTTGGTCTCAATGAACTCTAGGATCCCTGTCAGCTCTAAAATTCTAGGACTATGTTTAAAAATATAAACTCTTCAAAGATATATTGTCTTGAATAAATAAAATTAGGATCTCTTATAAATTAGCATTTTCCATAACATATTCCATTGAATTCTAGTCCTATCCTATAATAGGTGTTCTGTTAGGGGGAGATGTGGGGAGCAGAGTGCTTTGGTAGAATAAATGTGGAAATGGTTGGCTTAAACAAAGTTAAACGATTTCTTTACTGCTGAACCTTACAGATCCTGTATTATGAAAATATGCATGTAGATCAAGACAAAGATACTACATTTGTGGATTTAACCACAAAATTACTTTTTAAGGTAGTATCTATTAACATTATGTGAACTAGTACTCTGTAGAAGTGGTTAAGAAAGGCTTGATCCAAATCCTAATTATGCCACTTAAAAGCTGTGTGACCTTGACAAATTACTTGTCTGTGTCTCAGTTCCCAATAATGTAAAATGGGCATAAAAACACCTATCCTCAAAGCATACTGATATCTGTGATTTACTTTGAAATGCATTTTTTAAAATAAGATAAATTTATAAATAAATATAGCTATGAACACATACGTCAAAAGCAAATACAACAAAATATTAATTGCAGAATTTAGGTAGTGAGTATAAGGGTATTCAACATACAATTCTTTCAAATTCTCTGTATATTAGAAAATGGCCATTATAAAATGACAGAAAACAAAATAATACCCACTACATAGAATTTAATGAGGATTAAATGAATCAAATTTATATGGTGCTTGCTGTGTGCCAATAAGCAGTATAAGTGTTTGTAAATAAATTAATGCTTTGGGACTACAACTTTAAGAAAATAAAACTCAACTAACAACTTTTAGAATGAAAAGCTTTGGGGCATAAATAATTTCAATGTCTTTCCAAAGTTTAACTAAACTCATAATTTAAAATTTTTAAAAATTGTGGTCAAAAACACATAACATAAAATTTACCACCTTAACCATTTTTAAGTATACAGTATTGTTAACCATATGTACGTTGTTATGCAACAGATCTTTAGAACCTTTTCATCCTGCAAAATAAACTATATCCATTGAACAACAATTGCCCTCTTCCCTCTTCTCTCAGCCCTGGGAACCACCATTCTATTTTCTATTTTTAAGAGTTTTACTATCAATGTATAATTTTATAGTAAGAACAAGTCAATGTACATGGCCCAGCCTAGAGTTCACATTGACATCAGTATAGATCTAAAATGAATATCAAAAACATAGGTAGTATTCTAAAATAAACGATGGCTTATCTTTAATATGTCAAGTAGATTTTATAAAAAGCCAAACTCATAAGAGACAACCACTTTTGAAACAATGATTTGGCTCTCTTCTAATGTTAAATTCTATTATTTTATTATGTAAAAAAGCTTAAGAGATTATTAAAGAGTCATGTGTCAAAAATAATTACTCCTGGTTCTTACTATTAGGAATCCTTTTTTATTTACTGAGATATGTACAAGCCCAGCTTTCCAAAAGCATTGTTCATATACTAGATTATATCTATATTTATATTTGCTTTATATTTATATATTACTTATCTATATTTGCTGCTACACTAAGAAGATAAGGAATTATTTTTTGATACACAGAATTAACTTTCATAGGAAATTAAAAGAGGTTATAAATTAATTACACTTTCTTTTACAAAGTATAGTACCCAGGAAACCCTAGTCATTCACAAAGGTTGTTCAGATGATCTGTGAAGGGCTGTTTTTGTTCATAATCTACTACCTCTATTATTTTGTTTCTGACATAAATTAACACTTTGGCTGCTACAGGAGCTCAAGTCTTCTCCAACCTCCTATCCCCAGGGCTCCAGATGAAGGGTGCCTTCTGTACTCAGGGTTGAAGGTTTCCAGGTAATGAGAAGCAGCTCAAGGTATGTTCTCTTTGGCTCCTCCTCTCATTAATTTAGCAGCTGAGAATTTCATTTACTCTTTTTATTGCTTTTCCACCAATACTGTTCCCAGGTGGCTGGTAGGTAAGGCAGAGCTCTTCTTTCTCCCATACCTCAAGTCCTAGGTCTTAGGAAAACTCAAGAATGCTGGTCCTGAAAAGAGCTTAGCCCTGGGCTTATGAAGAAAAACCACTCTCTTCCACCTCAAGTTTCTGATAGAGTTTAGATTTCTTGGAATTTTCTTGCTTAAGAATGGCAAGATTCCAGTAAACAATCTTAAAGGGTATCTGCACAGGGCAAAGGGACAAGTAAGTCCTTAAGCAGGTCCATGTGATCCAGCCCAGCTCACCAAGGTCAAGGTTTCAGTTTGGGGTACAGAACCAAAGATCAAGCTTGCTATCATGTATTCCTTTATTTTGTCTTCATTTTCTTGTTTTTTGTTTTGTTTTTTGATTTTTTTGAGACGGAGTTTCGCTCTGTCGCCCAGGCTGGAGTGCAGTGGCGCGATCTCAGCTCACTGCAAGCTCCGCCTCCCGGGTTCACGCCATTCTCCTGCCTCAGCCTCCCGAGGAGCTGGGCCTACAGGCGCCCGCCACCACGCCCGGCTAATTTTTTGTATTTTTAGTAGAGACCGGGTTTCACCGTGTTAGATCTCCTGACCTCGTGATCCACCCGCCTCAGCTTCCCAAAGTGCTGGGATTACAGGCGTGAGCCACCGCGCCTTCACTTTCTTAATCTCACCTGGGAACCATGCAGTTGAAACTATGATAGGGTAGGATACAGAAATCTTAATCCTTACAATAGTCCTCAAAGTTATTGTCTGAGACTGTCAGATAACATTCCTTTGGTTCTTGTCTTTGCTCAAAGGAAAAATTAAAGACATCTGAGCACCAAAAATCTATAGTTAACGTATTTTTAAATTTTACTAAGGTCCAACTTACATACAATAAAATTCACTTATTTAAATGAACAGTTTGATGAATTTTGGTAATTTTACATAGTCATGGAGCCACCACCACAAGCATGATATAAAACAGTTCCAGGCCGGGCGCGGTGGCTCACACCTGTAATCCCAACACTTTGGGAGGCCGAGGCGGGTGGATCACGAGGTCAGGAGATCGAGACCATCCTGGCTAACACAGTGAAACCCCGTCTCTACTAAAAATACAAAAAAATTAGCCGGGCATGGTGGCGGGCGCCTGTAGTCCCAGCTCCTCGGGAGGCTGAGGCAGGAGAATGGCCTGAACCCGGGAGGCGGAGCTTGCAGTGAGCCAAGATCGCGCGCCACTGCACTCCAGCTTGGGCGACAAAGTGAGACTCCGTCTCAAAAAAAAAAACAAAAAAACAAAAAAACAAAAAAACAGTTCCATCACCCTGAAAAGTTTCTGTTCCATTACCCTGAAAAGTTTCTGGATGTCCTTTTGAAGCCAATCACTTCCCTGGTAACTAATAATCTAATTCCAGTCATTACAGTTTTAGCTTTCCTAGAATTTCATATAAATGAAATCATGCAATACATAGTTTCTTGGCTTTCAACTTCATTTACTTGGCCTACAGTCTTTGAGTTTCATCCAGGTTTCTGACAGTCTACTATTTTTCCACCAGAATCTTCACAGTGTGGGCTGTACTTAGCCTTTACTTTACTTCAACTACTGCCATCATAAATTAATCTAAAAGAGTAAAATAAAAATTTAAAAGGTGATATGATATAGGCCCATCTCAGAGCTCTTGAACTTAGCAACCACATGTTTTTGTTGTTGTTGTTTTTTGCCCCTGTTCCTGACTCTGAGTCTTTTCCATTACATCTACTGGCAAAGTAAGTAAACACACATATGAGAGCAAATCAGTAGTAAGTAGTATCATATTTAGGCATGGGGGAGTATTTGTCCATTATAAAGATTTTTTTCACTGTGTTAATGACAAAACACATAAGAAGAAATGGTAAATATCATATTATATAGAATCCTAAGCAATAAAAAACACATATTTGAGCATGTGAGTCTAGGTGTCTAAATAGTTTTCATTCCTATGCTATTATTTTGTCATTGTGATTAAAGCTTTTGTGCATGAAAGTCTAAAAATAAATCACATTTCTCTTAATTGTTAACCTAAGAACAAGAGCTCAAACTTCTCTACAATAATATTAACAGTATTAGAACAAGACTTATAATATTTACACATTTATTTCACCCTACAGGTGAAATAAAACATCAACCAATTGCTGAAATCTGTATGTGTGAGTCATTCACATGCTTTAGTAAAGCCCAAAATATGCTGCTCAGATGATGTGGAGCTACCTGCATGCCTAGATCAGACTGTGCCAGAAACAGACCTGTTAGAATTGTACACTGTCTTTCTTCACACTCAAAAGGAGATGGTACTTTAGTCTAGTTGTGGGAAAAAAGGACTTTTGCTCCTTTTCCTATGCCAGGCATGCCTTTGCCCAACCCCCTTTCTAGTTCTCCCCAAAGGTAAGAAACGTGACTAATTCATTTATTCAAGAGTCCAAAACTCCAGATGGGCACAATTAATAGGTAGACTCACTGTGTTAAAAGATCAGCCTCCCCACAAGGCCTCTTTGGTTTTTTTGCCTCAAATTTCTTCCATGGCCTGACAGATTGGCCATTCTCTTGCACTTCTCCCTTCAACATACATAGTAGTTAGCTAAGCAGATTCAGGGGTTCTCCTGGGACCTGGTTCTATGATCTGAATGTTTGTATCCTCCAAAATTCATATGTTAAAATCCTAATCTCCAAAGTGATGGTATTTAGAGATGGGGCCTTTGGGAGGTAATCAGGTCATTAGGGTGAAACTCTCATGATGGATTCAGTGCCCTACAAGAAGAGACAGGACAGACTATGCTTCCTCTCTCTCTGCTTTCCCTATGCAAGGACACAAGAAGACTGCCATCTGCAAACCAGGAAGTGGGCCCTCACCAGACACTGGAGCTGCCAGCACCTTAATCTTGGAATTCCCAGCCTTCAGAACTGTGAAAAATAAATGTTTGTTGTTTAAACCAGATAGTTTATGGTGTCTTTGTTAAAGAAACCTGAAACTAAGATACCTGGTGTTTCTTCTCCATTCTAACCTTTTTTTTTATTTTTTAGTAGAAACAGGCTTTCACCATGTTGGCCAAGCTGGTCTCGAACTCCTGACCTCAGGTGATCCGCCTGCCTCAGCCTCCCAAAGTGCTGGGATTATGGGCATGAGCCACCGCACCCGGCCCATTCTAACCTTCTAAGTCACACACCTGAACATGCTGGTCTCAAGATTATAATTAGATGTAGTTGGAAGGGAAGTAGGACACCTCACTTAGGCCTTAAACCTAAACTACTGCACCAATGCAGCTTCTACAGAAGAGTTTTACATTGGTGTGTTGGATGTTTGCACAACTCTTATTAAATTTGTTACTCTGATTCCCACCAGCTACTTGTGCCTTGCAGATGGATCACTCATGACTCTGAGGGAAAAGAGGGGCCTGGGAGAGCAGAGTTTGGGCATTTGTGGATGTCTGACTATAACAGCATAGTGGCACCAAAACCTTACCTTCAGCCTCTAAATCCTAACTTAGAAAAATATTAACTCCTTCCCATAGAAAGAATGCCTTATGAAAACTTTTGACAAATATACAAAACAACAAAGAGTATCAACAAACTAAAAACTTAGAATAGAGCTAATCAACTGGTACACAGGAGTACGACCATATCAGTTATTTGTTTCTGGTGTCAATTCTGATGACCACATGAGTTGTTAAATATTAGTAAATTTGGACTAAATCAATAAATATTTTAAATCTTTTCAAGGTCTACTTCAGGCTTATCTCTGTTGTGAATCAGCTTAAACCATGCTCCTCTCAAAAGCTCTTAGAATTTTTTTATATTAATGCCTTAAGTTTAATCATTTAGGGAAAAAGAGGTGTAAATAGTTTTAATGCTCTCACAAAGCAATTTTAACCATTTTTTCCATGAATTTTGTGAAATCCCCTCACAGGTACCTTTTCACATTCCCATCAACAGTGCAAGAGGGTTCCAATTTCTCCACATTCTGTCCAATACTTACTATTTTGTTTTTTTTTTTGGTAGTAGCCATCCTAGTAGATATGAGGTGGTGATTGATGTAATTTTAAAAACAGTAAACTTAAGGATAAAAGGAAAATTGTCTTTTCCTTCAGATTTAAATAACTTTGTTGTTGTTTTCTTCATAAAATTATCCAGGTTCACTGTTTTTTGAAAAAATAGGCCTAAAGCAGACCTTAAAAATCTCCCATAATCCCAACACTCAAAGGTAACTATTGTTAACCCTTGGCATGGTCTTCCAGGATTTCAGCCACAAACCTATGATTGATAAATGGCTTCCTAACTTTCTAAGCAATGCTATTGTAAGTATAATTTGTATAATAATTTTTTAAAGTTGTGAGATGTTTAACTTGGAACTTCCCACTCCTATGGAGGAAAATGATCGGTAAAAATGCATTTTTCACTCTGTTGCCATAGTTTCAGCTAAGCTGCACAAATGTAATTGCACAGAGCATGTGCTGAAATCATTTGATTAGATCCAATGATTCACTTATGTTAAAGGCTTAATTTAAAAGCACTTTTACAATTAAGGTAGAAATAAAGAGAACAATAATGCTTTTGAAGCCATTTCAAATACATTTCACAGTATATGCTAAGGCACTCATATGCCAGATTTTATTCAATGAATTAATCATTTATTAAACTTGAAATAAGATATGAGAAATGTAAGTTAATAAACAGGCCTGTGGAGTATGTGGACATGAAGGAGAATATCATGTGAAGCTGGTTAGAAAAGCTCATTGAGAATACAGGTCCCCATTTACTCAACAGTCAAGAGTGCCTACTAAAGGCCAACGTTCTGGGCTACGTGTTAGGTCTTTAGCTAAGAAGTACAGGATTTGTACTGGCAAAAAAATGAGAGGATGGCTGGGAAATTCTGTACTGGAAGAACAGCTGGGGCAAAGGTATAAGTAGAAATAACTATGTTACTACGAGAGAATAATAAAAAGACTGTTCTAACTAGCTATAATGAATTTATGTGAGAAAAACATAACATAAAATAGGTATATGGAACTAGCTGGCTCAAAACCTGGAATGCCAGACTAACTAGTTTTAATTGAATCCGTAAGTAATAATGGCTCTTCACTACATAAAAGTAATGTTTTAGAAAAATTCTCCTGGCAGTAATGTACAATGTGCATAGAAGCAAGGAAAAATGATTGCTAAAAAACAATGAGGTATTGCAGTAAAAAAGATGTGTACTAATGAGGGTCTGGTCTGAGTAAAAACTAGAGGAAAGAGTGAACCCAAGAATCACTGTAATGCTCAGTTTAAGAAACATTCATTGAATACCTGTCTTGGGTGCTGAAACTACAAAAGGCACAGGACAGGGTCCTCACTTTCAAAGATAAATTAACTCAATTTCTGTTCCATTTTTTTCCCTATTGGCCCCTGCTATGGTGTGAATGTTTCTCCTCAAAATTGTATGTTGAAATCTAATCCCCAGTGTGTTGACATTAAGAGGTGGGGCCACTGGAAAGTGATTAGGTCACTAGGGCAGAGCCCTCATGGATGGGATTAGTGCTCTTATAAAAGAGGCTAGAGCGAGCCTGCTGGCCCCTTCCACCATGTGAGGACACAGCTAGAAAACATCATCTATGAAGCAGAGAGCCCTCACCAGACACTGAACCTCCTGGTGCCTAGAACTGTGAAAAATAAATTTCTGTTGTTTATAAATTACCTAATCCAAGGTTGCTGGGCTTTTTCTTTTAATAGAGACCGAGTCTCACTATGTTGCCCAAGCTGGTCTCAAACTCCTGGCTCATGCAACCCTCCCTCCTTGGCTTCCTAAAGTGCTGGAATTACAGGCATGATGCCTGGCCATGTCTAAGGTATTTTAATTATTGTAGCCTGAACAGACTAAGACAGCCCTATATCTAAAGCATAAGAAATGCAAGTCTGGTGAATGGCAGTGTTACCAACAGAATAAGGAAGTCAAAAGGGGAAGTTTTTTGGTTTCAACACTGATTTTGAAGAATGGCAGAAAAAAACCCCAAAAGAGCTTTCATGTAGGCAGCTCTAGACAAGGAACTAAAGTTCTGCAGAGACATCATGCACAGAGTTACTAGGAGAAAGGCAATGGCTAAAGCTTTAAGACGAACGCCCTTCAAGAGACCACAGGAAAGGAAAGGCAAGTCTTGATGATTACCTAGAGTTATGAGGCAAGAAGAAAAAGAGCCAGAGAAGTGGTTCAACTAACCATGTATGAAATTCAAAGAAAGAACATCAAAAAAGAAGTATCAATGCAGTCAAATGCAGCAAGAAGGTGGAAGTGCATGAAGACTGAGACACTCTAATTTGGTTAGGTCAACAGCGATTTTTTTTTTTTTTTAAGAACCATTAATAGGGGAAGAATGAGAAAAAAAGCCAGATTTCAAAAAGCATAATGAAGGAAGTGAATTTTTACTACATTTTTTACTAAATTTTTGAAAGTTTACTAAACTTTACTAAATTTTTTAAAGTTTAAAAGGAGGAGATATTATTTTTAAAAATAAAACAGTCAAAACAGAATGCAGATTATTTGTATGATGACCTACCTTGACATACCATGACATGACTGTTAAATAGGATAGTGACCACAGAAATGACCCCCTTTGAACTATAAAGTCAAACAGCACTGGCTGGACTCTAACCATTCAGGCCGTAAGCTGGGGAGCTAGAAAATTCTTCCCAGAATAAAAACAAGCTAGCTCCAAGAACCATGGAGATTTCATAGAGCCATAATATCCCGGATCATCAAATTGTTCAATAACATTGCAAGTCACATCTAACCTTTTAAGGATGGTTTGAAACCCCTAATGTCAATGTCAAAATGGGCATCTAACAGCCCAAATAAAAATCCAAGCCTCAGCATAAAAGTATGTGAATAGAAAAGCTTAAGCCTAAAATTTACACAGGAAGGTTGCATTATAGGGGTGTGGATGGAAAAACAAAACAATAACAATTCTGTTCAAGGAATGAGGGTATAATGAAAAGGAATACAGGGGAAATGGGAAAGAATCATATGAAACTTTTTTCCAACTTAAGACAGATGACAGAGAAAACCCATGGGAAAATGGAATGTAGGAAAGGCTAGAAAAAGTAGAGATGGGAGGGTGGTTCCTAAGGGAGCAGGTTCTTCACGCAGTGATAAATAATGGGATCCGGGACAGAAGAGACTCAAGAATTCAAGAACAGAGAGAAGGATATGTTAAGGTGTCAAGGGCAGGAAAAAAACAAACCATAGGCTTTCTCACCAACACAAATGGTCTCTGAAGGAAGTACCAGAGAAGCAGTACCCTGGAGCAACAATAGAATGCCTCAGCAGTCAGCTTGGCCAAAAACACACCTCAGAAGATGAAATGAGATCTATGCAAAGTCACCTTACGAAATACAAATCACTGTATGCAGATCAGAAGAACTTGAACTTTCCTAATCAAAAGAACAAAAATGTATAAAAGAATGGACAACAAAAGATAGACTGGACAAAATGGAAACTAAAAAACAGGCCAGGCACGGTGGCTCATGCCTGTAATCCAAGCACTTTGGGAGGCCGAGGCGGGTGGATCACGAGGTCAAGAGATCGAGACCATCCTGGCCAACATGGTGAAACCCCGTCTCTACTAAAAACACAAAAATTAGTCAGGTGTGGTGGCAGGCGCCTGTAGTCCCAGCTACTCAGGGGGCTGAGGCAGAAGAATCGCTTGAACCTGGGAGGCAGAGGTTGCACTGAGCTGAGATCGCGCCACTGCACTCCAGCTTGAAGACAGAGTAAAACTCTGTCCCAAAAAAAAAGAAAAGAAAACTAAAAAACAGAATTCTAAATTGGGCAATGTGTTTCTAGCACTATCCATGGGACAATCTAACCTGTCAATTCAAACATCAGGTTCCCTATCATGGAAATTGCTGTATCATGCTCTCAAGCTTTACTGTCTTATTAGACCACTTGACCAATTCCTTTTTTCTAATTCCATTCTCACCATGGAAAGGTACCAATTGAGTCCTTCCGTCCTTTGCTTATAACTATAGCTGTAAGCATGAAATCAAAATATGAAAAGACGAATAGCATAATGATCCAGTGTTGAATGACTCCTATTTGCCACTATCAAGGCACATTTAATTAACAGCAATATATACATAATACTGCAGTAAGTAAACCATGGCCTACTCAATTATTTTCTAATTTTTTTATTTCAGAAAAAAAGGAGAACAATTATAAAAAGTAACATTGTAAGATTTAGTAGTGAATGCAACAGAAAGGATAGAAACGTATCGTTTGTTGCAGCTAAACTTAAATAAGCCATAATTTATTATAAATGATCTACAGAACATCAATTTCTAAAACTTAAATTTTGTTCAAAACCTTATCCAATTTTCAGTTACTTGACAGATTTTTTTTTCTTTGAGACATCAGTTCATCAATTAAAACAAAAAAGAGGGAAACAAAGCCTAATATGTTAGTAAGAAAGTTCCTACTTTTGGCAAAGAAAGGAGTTTCAGTCCTAGCCCTTATTCCCTATTCCTCAATAAACAGTTTCACTTTCTCCGTTCCAACACTTTTGGTATTAATGAAATCTCAATACTAACCTCTAATTTTCAAGTTCTGGTATGAATAAGATCATGACACTGTATTGCACATATTTTTGTCTTTTTAAAACTGTTCCTATGTTATGAACTATGACAAAGAAAGTCTTCAGGGGAAAAAAACAACTATATATGGTAATCCTATCTTCCGAACACTAGCTACTCTCATTTTTATATGTTCAATTCCAGTCTTTTCTTGTTGTATGTGTACTCTAGTTGTTACATTGGGCTTACCAGCCCCTTATAATCTACACTCAATACTCAAATCTGCAGTGCCAAGGCCTGTGCAAGTCCAAAGCCTCCCCTGTCTGCCCAGGTTTCCCTCAATTACTGGGAGAGCTGACCTTCTCAGAACTCTTAGAGCTACTTGGTCACCAACGCTTTTATGCACTGCAATAATCCAGTGAGGACACAGCTCACCAACTTCTACACAAGATAAACAAAAACCAAACATGTTCAAAAAGCATTCCTTAGCATACCAGACTTCAGTGAAGATTTCTGAAGCTAGGCAAAAGAGTGGTACACCAGGCAACAGTTAAAACAACCCCCTCAAAAGGAGCTGGAGGAAGGAACCTTCTCAATCTGTCTTTCCATCATCCAACCGTGGGGAAGGGGATCTTTATCTCACCTATCCCTGACCTTACATCACTTTTCTGACTTGTTTTCTCTCTCCTCTTCCCTATTAGGAATAAGACCAGCAATCCCATCCCCTTGTTTGCTCTACTTCTTCTGACCTCTCAGACCCTGTGAACATCCATCCTCACAGGACTCCCTATCCTTAAGTGAGCTTGATGTCAAGGCAATGCCCCCAGTGTACCTCCCTTCATATAAGGAATTCTGGTGTCCACTGATGCCATAAGACATTTTTCTTCTCTTTCCCTATTTCATAGGTTTCACGTAGTCACCAGACTCTACATGTAAGCTATAGTATATTAATTGAACAAACATCTTGAATGCTTACTTATATCCAACATTGTGCAAAGCACTGACAAGACTGGAACAGACATACTCCCTGACCCCAAGCAGCTCAGGGTCCAGAGGGGACACTCAGGCAGGTGACCAAGTCCAAGGAACAAGCACTATTAAAGAGAAATGAGGTAAATAGTACCAGAAGAGCATAAGAGAGCATCTCAGCCCATCTGAAGGTTTGGAGAAGTTAGGCAGCTAAGGAACAGCAGGGTAAAAAAAAAAGCTGTGAGTAGGAAGGAAAAGCATACAGAAAACCACCAAAACAACAGAGAACATGGCATATCTGAGAATCTGCAATTAGTGCAGACAGGCAGATGCATGGGAAGGAAAGGGAAAAAAGGCACTGCAAGACACCAGGCAGGAGCCAGCTCACAAAAGAATCTGTGTTTGATATGAAAAAGTAGTATTTTATTTCTTCCCATCTAAAGAAGGCAAAGGAGAGGCAATAAAAGATTTTAAGGAGAAGATTATCAGTTCTGCATCTTAGAAAGACCAGCAGCAGCAGCAGCGTGGAAAACAAACTAGAAAGGAATTGAGATGGAAAACAGTGAAGCCAATGTACAGGTTGAAACAACAGTCAAGGCCAAAATTCATAAAGGCTACACTAAGCCACTGAAGGTAGGGAAAGGGAGGAAGACGTAAATTCCTCAATATGTATTCACTAATTCTACTCAGCACAAAGAGAAAACATTGGAAAGTACTAAAATTAATCTATTCTGAATAGTTGCAGTGCAATCATTAAAGTTCACAATGATAATCCTGGTGACCACGACGTCATAAAGTACTAGGGATAAAAAATAAGATCAACTTTCCAAATGTTGTGCATGAACTGTTAGCATCTGTTAAAACTCACAGAACCATATGCCAAAAAGAGTGAACTTTATTGCATGCAAATTATAACTCAAAAGAAAAAATTAGGGCTTTAAAGTAAAAAACATGAATGTATTTTTAAAACATGAGTATTATAAGGCCGGGGTACGGTGGCTCACGCCTGTAATCACAGCACTTTGGGAGGCCAAGGCAGCCGGATCACGAGGTCAAGAGGTCGAGACCATCCTAGCCAACACGGTGAAACCCTGGTCTCTATTTAAAATACAAAAATTAGCTGGGCATGGTGGCGTGCACCTGTAGTCCCAGCTACTCGGGAGGCTGAGGCAGGAGAATCGCTTGAACCCGGGAGGCAGAGGTTGCAGTGAGCCGAGATCACACCACTGCACTCCAGCCTGGGGAATTGAGATAGACTCCATCTCAAAAAAAAAAAAAACAAAAAACAAAAAAAATGAGTATTATAAAGAAATTTTCAGACTCAATCAGGATTTTCTTAATGTTTATTTGGTTATAATTTTGCAAGCATATTATTTACTTATCAAAGTTAATCCTTACTTATTAGAAAAACTGCTTATTTCTAAATAGCGATATAAAGTTCCTAAGGCTTATTTTTCTAAACGCACATATTTTTGATACATCTTATACTACATCCTCTAAAAAAATCCCTTATTTTTATAAAAAACATGTATTAATGCACTATTGTTAAATATTTCAAGTTTTTACATATTTGCTTTAATAATGTGATTTAATAGCACATTATTTTTTCATATGCAGCTTTATAGTTTATATTTGATGACCATAAACTTTATAAAATGTTTTAAAAGTATATGAAGTATCTATGGGATTTCCAAATGAAGATGCCAAGGAACACTAATTTGTTGTAGTCAAATTATTTGAAAATGTACTATTATTATAAAACAAATAGTTTAATTAAAAGAATGGTTAATTCAAATACTTCATTTCCTGACCATGTCGTATGTCTGAACTTAATATACACAAAAATGTGAAGAAAAAGATTTAGGGAGCAACAGAGTAAATCAAAAGGATTGCACAGAGGTTTTTAAGATTTACTTTCAAAAGCTAGTTCCCTCAAGTGTTAGTTTATAAACCATTAACTATTTGACAGGTTGGAGACAATCACACCTGGAACCCGAATCTAGACATATAAAGAACAGATACATTCTATCTACACTCAGCACAGCATTCCTTATCCTCAAATTAAGGTATACCTTCATTTACAATAGAAGTCTTGCTTCAGTATTTTTGCAAGCAAAAATTTGATAACTTGTGAATGATTAAAAAAAAAATTAAACCATTACAGCAAGGCAAACATTCCAGCTTCCAAAGTGCTACCAAATTTATTTTGTTTATTATGTTTTGAATTACACTTTTCATACAAGATATAGTTTCTTATAGTCCAAAGTACTATTTCCAAGGATAAGATTTCAATTTGATGTAAGAAAATATAGCAGCACTTTGTTCCTCCTAAGTCATAACCTCATTTTTCCACTGCAGTTCTACTGTCACTTCTACACGTAATTCTATTGTGAGAAAGTACTTTATCAACACCTTTTCCTTTTTCTGTTTTCCAGACTACATGCTGCTAACAGTGCCAATTTGGTTTCTATTAGCACAGAAATGTGGCAGCCTTACATCAAATAACAGTTTGTAATAACTTGTTCTTACAGCAATAAACTTTCATAGGACTACAGCCAACTCATTTTTCAAGAATAATCCTACTTTTTAAAAAAATGTTAACTCAGTGAGCTATATAATCTAATACTATGAAAACTGGTGACCAAAGAAACTAGATTCACCTTGTCTTGTCCCAGCCTTCATTCAGCTTTCCTTTCTTACCTCATTCTAACTGTTTAATCAACCACAACTGCCCTCCAACCCCAATTCTGAATGTAGAAGAAAAAAGTCCAGGGGTGCTGTGGTGGGACTTAGAGGCACTAGAGAGCTAGAGCAGTGTGCAGCCCTGGTGTCCCCTCCTGCTCTCATTTCAAACATGAAGTGTGTAACCCACTCCCCTGAAACGAAGTTAAGCAATTAATGCTTCTAATTTTATGGCAAGGGTATCAGCACAATTATGTTGTCATATAAAAGTCAGACATTTAGTGCCTATAAACACAACTACAGTGCTCACTGGTAAACTAATTTTTTTTTTCTTTTCTTTAGAGACGGGGTCTTACTACATTGCCCACGCTGGCCTTGAACTCCTGGGCTCAAGAGATCCTCCTGCCTCAGCCTCCCAAGTGGTCAATTAATTTTTTTAATTTTATTTTTAAATGATTTAAAATGCAAAGTTGCCAAAATAAGACAACTGTCATATTCATAATCTTTTTGCTTATTCAAAATAACCCTTTGTTCATAATCACCAATTTTTAACATTCTGTCATATTTTTCTATCTTATTAATACACTCATACATACTACATACTACTTTTTTGGTTCTAGGGTACCCAGATATTTAGTTATGTGTGTGTTGTGTGTTTCTGTGAGTTTTTTTGGATAAGATCAATATTTAAATCACTGGGCTTTAGGCAGACTCCCTCGATAAAGTGAGGGATGCACAGCAGCATTCCACCATCAAATGAAAGTGGTATACACTCGGTTCTTCGCTTTGCTTGAAGGAAAAACGACCAGACATCGGATTACATATCAACTTATGGACTATCACCAATAGTTTGGTTGGATGGTCAGGGACTTAGAAGGAACATGATTGGAAAATCGATGACAAGAAAGTGTAAGGAAGAGGTATTTGGCTAGAGCTCTCTAAACAGGCAAAAAAAAAAAAAAAAAACTGAAGGTATTTGTATTCTCCTATGTCAATGCCCACCAAAGGATGACCTCAGCAGAGAAGGATATTAATAATCAAGTAGATAGGATGACCTGTTCTGTGGATACCAGCCAGTCTCTTTCCCACCTGTCATCCTATCTACTGTCATCACCCAGTGGGCTCATGAACAAAGTGGCCATGGTAGCAGAGATGGTGGTTACGCATGGGCTCAGCAACATGGACTTCTACTCACCAAGGCTGATCTGGCTACAGCTGATGCTGAGTGCCAATCTGCCAGCAGCAGAGACCAATACTAGGTCTCGATATATGGCATCATTGCTGACAATAGTAAGCCAAGCTACCATGCCAGGTTGATAACACTGAACTGCTTTTATCATGGAAGGGGCAGTGTTTTGTTCTTGCTGTAACAGACACTTACTCTGGATACAGATTTGCCTTCCCTGCACACAATATTTCTGTCACAACTACCATCCATGGTATTACAAAAAGCCTTATTCACTGTAATGATATTCCACACAGCATTGCCTGTGATCAAGGAGCTAACTTCACAGCAAATGAAGTGTGACAGTAGGCCCACACTCATGGAATTCACTGGTCTTACCATGTTCTCCACCATCCTGAAGCAGGTGGCTTGATGGAATGGCCTCTGGAAGACTCAGGTACAGCACCAGATGGATGCCAATTCCTTGCAGGGCTGGGGCAAGGTTCTCCAAGAAGCTGTACATGCTCTGAATCAGCATCCAGTAAATAGTGCCACTTCTCCCATAGCCAGAGTTAATGGATTCAGGAATCAAGGGGTGGAAATTTGAGTGGCACCACTCACTATTAACCCTAGTAGCCCACTAGCAAAATGTATGCTTCCTGTTCCCACAACTGTATACTCTGCTGGCTTAGAAGTCTTAGTTCCAAGGGCAAGATGTTTCCACCAGGAGACACAACAATGATTCCACTGAACTGGAAGTTAAGACTGCCACATGGCCACTTTGGGCTCCTTATGCCTTTGTATCACCAGGCAAAGGAGGGAGTTACAGTGTTGGCTCAGGTGACTGATCCTGAACTGCTACTCCACAATAAAGGTAAGGAAGAGTATGCTTAAAATACAGGCAATCTCCTTTGGATGTCTCTTGGTATTACCATGCCTTGTGATTAAAGTCAACAGAAAACTACAACAACGCAATTCAGGCAGCAATACTAATGGCCCAGAACCTTCAGGAATAAAGGTTTGGGTCACCTCCCAGGTAAAAAACCACAAACATCTCAGGTGCTGGCTGAAGGCAAAGGCATACAGAATGAGTAATGGAAGGAGATAGTTATAAATACCAGCTAGGACACAGAAATGGGGACTATGGTTGTCATGAATATTTCCTTATTTTGTTTAAAAAATATTTGTGTCTATATATTAATATATGTACTAATCAAGTCTTTGTTCTCTACTGTGATGGTTAATAGCAGGTGTCAACTTGATTGGATTGAAGGCTGCCTAGATAGCCAGCAACATATTATTTCTGGGTATGTCTGTGAGGGTGTTGCCAGAGGAGACTGATATTTGAGTCAGTGGACTGAGAGAAGAAGACCTACCCTCAATGTGGGTGGGCACCACCATCCAATCGGCTGCCAGCATGGCTAGAACAAAAGCAGGCTGAATTAGGTGGCGTAAGCTGACTTGCTGAATCTTCTGGCTTTCATCTTTCTCCTATGCTGGATTCTTCCTTCTGTTCCTCCTGCCTTTGGACATCAAGGCTCCAGGTTCTTTGGTCTTTGGACTCTTGGACTTACACCAGTGGTTTGCCGGGGGCTCTCAGGCCTTCAGCCACAGACTGAAGGCTGCACAGTCAGCTTCCCTGCTTTTGAGGCTTTTGGACTTGGACTGAACTACTACTGGCTTCTTTCTTCCCCAGCTTGCAAGACGGCCTATCGTGGGACTTCACCTTGTGATTGTGTGTGCCAGTTCTCCCTAATGAACTCCCTATCATGTATACATATAGCCTATTAGTTCTGTTCCTCTGGAGAACCCTGACTTATAACACATCTACCCTCTCTTTTCCTCTTAACATGAAACATAAGATGTATTAACTAGATATCATAGCATATAAATTACAAGATATCAAGCAGAAGAATACACATTATCCAAAGGTTTTGCACCCTCTTCTAGGGAAAAGGTCAGTGCATTTTTGTACACAGGATAGCTGTATCATGTTAGGCAGATTTATGTCGGTGTTTTCACTTTATTTGGAAATTAAGCAAGGCCTAAGGAGATGTGTAAGGGTACCGAGCTGAAAAGGGGTAGACTTGTGGGAGTTAATTTTATGTGTCAATTTGACTGGGCCATGAGGTACCCAGATATTTGGTCAAACAAACACTATCCTGGGTGTTTCTGTGGGGAGATTGTTGGATGAGATTAACATTTAAATCAGTGGACTTTGAGTAAAGCAGATTGCCCTCTATAATGTGGGTGAGTGTCATCCAATCAGTTGAAGGCCTTAACAGAACAAAAAGACTGTCCTCTCCTGAGCAAGAAAGAATTCTTCAGCACAGTCTTCAGACTTTATATGCAACACTAGCTCTTCCTGATTCTACAGTAGAAGGTCTCCAGACTCAAATGGGACCACTAACTTTCCTGGGTCTCCACCCTGCCTGGCCACCATGCAGAGTTTGGACCTGCCAGTCTCCATAATCACAGGAGCCAATTCCTTATAATAAATCTTTTTATATTTATACACACACACATAGTCCTTTACTTACAATGATTCTATTTACAGTTTTTTTTACTTCATAACACTGCAAAAGTAATACACATACAGTAGAAACGGTACTTCTCTCACAATGCTTGGCAGTAGCGGTAAGCCATAGCTCCCACTCAGCCAGACATTTTCATCTTAGGATATTTTCAACTTATAATGGTGTTATCGGAACATAACCTCATTGTAAGTCAAGTAGCATCTGTACATACAGTCATGCATCACTTAACAATGGAGATATTGTCTGAGAAATGCATCATTAAGCAACTCTGTCATTGTATGAACACCATAGAATGTGCTTACTCAAACCTAGATGGTACAGCCTACTATACACCTAGGCTAGATGATCTAGCCTATTGCTCCTGGGCTACAACCCTGTACAGCATATGACTGTAAGGAATACTATAGGCAACTGGAGCACAATGGCAAGTATTTGTCTAATTAAACACATCTAAACATAGAAAAGTTACAGTAACAACACCGTATTATAATCTAATGGGACCACTGTTGTATAGCAGTCCATCACTGACTGAAATGTCACTGTGGCACATGACCATTTGTGTTTATGTGGGTGTGTGTGTGTGTGTGTGCATGTACACGTGTGTGTGTATGGCCCTCCATGTCCATGGGTTCCAAATCTGTGAATTCAACCAATTATAGATTTAAAATATTCAAAAAAAGTGATGAAACATAATGATACAACAATAAGAAATAATACAGTATAACAATAATTTACATACAATTTACATTGTATTAGGTATTTAAAGTAATGTAGAGATGATTTAAGGTATGTAGGAGGATGTATAGATTATATGCAAATACTATGCCAATTTATATAAGGGACTTGAGCATCCACAGATTTTGGTATCTATAGGGGATCCTGAAACCAATCTCCTATGGATGCTAAGGAATGACTGTGTGTGTGTGTGTGTGTGTGTGTGTGTGTGTGTGTGTGTGTGTGTGTTTATATGTGTATGTGTATGTATATATCCTATTGTGTGTGTGTGTGTGTGTGTGTGTGTGTGTGTGTGTTTATATGTGTATGTGTATGTATATATCCTATTGGTCCTGGTCTCTGGAGAAGCCTAATACATTATTACAGCACTTTTTCCTTGAGTATAAAATCCAGTATATAATCAAGTATATAATCAGATATTGCCTTTATTTTGTCATGTCTCTTAGGTCTCATTTCATCTGGAAGTTTCTCAATTTCTGTCTTTTAGGACTGACTTTGTTGAGGAATATTGTTTTTTATTTAAATATAATTTTTTGTTTCACTGGCACTTCATCATCATTCAGGTTATGCATGTTCAATACTTAGGTGATGTGTGCTTTGCAGGTATCCAAACCCGAAGCATACAACATCAGTCTGTCCCTCATTAATGACATTAGATTTATCATCCAGTTAAAGTGATGTCCAGTTTATCCACTGTATAGGTGGATAAAGCAATAGGGAAATAAAGCAATCCATAGGGACACATTTTAGGGCATGAAAAATACGCTGTTCTTCATCAAAATGTCCTATCTAGATTGAGCATTCACTGACAATTCTTGCCTGAACTAATCCTTACTATAATGGTTACAATGGAGTAACTTTCTGACTCTTCCACTTCTTCCAAGTTTATCAGTCAGCATTGCACCACAGAGAAGAGACCTCCCTTATTCCTGCTTAGATATCTACCTATCTATTAGGCTACTCATGAATCACCATTTTTTTCAATGCTTTAATACTCATTCTTGGTCAGGCACAATGACTCACACCTGAAATCCCAGCACTTTGGGAGGCTGAAGCAGGAGGATTGCTTGAGCCCAGGAGTTCAAGACCAGGCTGGGCAACACAGTAAGATCCGTCTCTATTTCAATTTAAAAAAATAAGCCAGGCATGGTGGTTCTCGCGATTCTCCTGCCTCAGCCTCCTGAGTAGCTGGGATTACAGACACATGCCACCATGCCTGGTTAATTTTTGTATTTTTAGTAGAGACAGGGATTCATCATACTGGTCAGGCTGGTCTCTAACTCCTGACCTCAGGTGATCCGCCCACCTCAGCCTCCCAAAGTGCTGGGATTACAGGCATGAGCCACCACACCCAGCCTTTCCCTAATCATTTTAATGCACAAGTTGTCCCAGATTTGGTCACTGGAAGCACTTTCAAAAGCCGGCTCTGTGTCCTGACATGCCCCCTTTCTTTACTTTTCTTTTTCTTTCTCTCTTTCTATTTTTGAGAACTTCATTTGTTCTCTTACAAGTAGCCTTGATTCCTTTTAATGGGAAATAAGATCTTATGGAATCTTAATAGAAACCAAGATCTGGGCATCAGGTATGCTGCTTGCTACTGAGGTACCTTGCCTTCTAGGCTCTTTCATGAACAGAGCTAGGACATACATATTTAGATCATATATTTATGCATATTTAGGTCATTTTATATACATTTAAATCTGGTGCACAAATATTTATGCTGTACATGAACTTATATTGTATACATATGTGGTATGCGTGTTTCATAATATTATAAGGAATGCCTTATTCAGTTGACTTGTAACCATTTGCTTTTAATTTCCTCATGCAGGAAACTATTTGAATGTGAAACTGACTTTAAACTTGTTTACTGATTGAAGTCATCCCAAATGAACCAAAAAGCATATAGCCAACTTACTCAGAACAAGAATATGATGTACAAGAATAATGATCAAATTGAATGGTGAAACCCAAATATTATAATGGGGATCCAATGGAATGTGAAGTATATCAATAATGTCCATGTCTCTACCTAGTATGAAAGCCTGGTCTGCTACCCATCACTAAACCACTTATGAAACAACCTGTCTGCTCACTTCTCTGTGTCTTTCCAATAAATATCAGAGTGGCAGCAACTAGAGGATGGTTGGTGGCAGTTAAAGCAGAAAAAAAAGGTTGAGCATCTAAGAATTCAGGTCCTACCTCAGTTTCCTACCACATTTTTAGACTGGAAATAAATGCCTGAATTTGAAAATGTTTACATGGTTTGCATGGTTTCTGATTCTGTTTCTGTGTGTTACATTTCAAGGAACTAGATGTTTGCTATGACTTCAAGTGAAATTGAAATTGAAACTAAAATCGGGAACAAGTATGCACATGTACTTATGCTCTTGCATACTTATGTAATTACAAATATATATTCAATATAATTTAAGATTTGTGTACTACTGTCCGGGCGTGGTTGCTCACACATGTAATCCCAGCACTTTGGGAGGCCGAGGCAGGCAGATCACCAGGTCAGGAGTTCGAGACCAGCTTAGCCAGCATGGTGAAACCCCATCTCTACTAAAAATGTAAAAATTAGCTGGGCATGG
Source organism: Homo sapiens (assembly GCF_000001405.40). Classification (NCBI taxonomy): domain Eukaryota; kingdom Metazoa; phylum Chordata; class Mammalia; order Primates; family Hominidae; genus Homo; species Homo sapiens. The sequence continues at coordinate 91,022,950 of NC_000014.9, forward strand.
TGGCGCACGCCTGTAATCCCAGCTACTCAGGAGGCTGGGGCAGGAGAATCACTTGAACCGAGGAGGCGGAGGTTGTAGTGAGGTGAGATCACGCCACTGCACTCCAGCCTGGCAACAGAGTAAAACTCTATCTAAAAAAAAAAAAAAAAAAAAGATTTGTGTACTACTCTTCTACCTATGGGCCCATCCTTGTTCCTTAGTCTCAGCTCTACAAATAAGTATATTAAGTGCTCACCATCAGGTTGTTTTCTCAATCTGTTTGGATGAAATTCATTGTCTAGTAGATCCTCAGGGAGACTACCTGTGTAGGGTATTCTCTGAGCTCTTGAGTGCTCAAATTTTTTCTTTTTTTTTTTGGAGACAGAGTCTCACTCTGTTGCCCAGGCTGGACTGCAATGGTGTGATCTCCTCACTGCAACCTCTGCCTCCTGGGTTCAAGCGATTCTCCTGCCTCAGCCTCCCAAGTAGCTAGGACTACAGGCGTGCACCACCATGCCTGGCTAATTTTTGTATTTTTAGTAGAGATGGGGTTTCACCACGTTGGCCAGGCTGGTCTTGAACTTCTGACCTCATGATCCACCCACCTCGGCCTCCCAAAGTGCTGGGATTACCGGCATGAGCCACCGTGCCCAACCTCAAACTTTGTTTTATAGCCTTAATCTTGAAGGCAGTTAGTTGGATATAACTCTTGCTTTGTACTTTCTTTCCCTAAGTTTCTTTAAAAAAAAACCACCAACACAAAGTTGCTCCAGTGCTGCCTTGCTTTGTATGTCACTTTTAAGAAGTTGGATGCCAACCTAACTATCCTTCCGTTTATAATTTATTTTATCTTTTTGCCTAAAGCCCTGAGGATTTTTTAAAATATTAAAATCTAACAATATCACTCAATATTGAAGTCTAATAGTATTAATAGGATATATCTCAGAGCTGTTTGTTATGAGAACTGATAATTGTATCATTATCAATTTTCCCCAGTACCTAGTAAGCCATTTCAATGTGTATACTCAAGTCTTCTTTTATTCTCAGAATTACATTTGCTGAATAATTTTTCTTCTTTAAGGACTCCAGTTCTACATGTTACATTTTCTTTGCCTGTTCTCCATTTCAGCCACTTTTTCTCTGACATTTTTTCTTTCTGTATTTAATTAAGTGTTCCCCTGCTTTTCTTCAATGCCCTTATTAAATTTGTATTTAAATCTATTCTTCCTTGGAGAACTTGTAAATATATTCATCATTTCTGATACAATTCTGTCTTTTCCTTTTTTTTCCCAGAATCAATTGTCATTGTCATTTTTTTTCCAGAATCCATTTCCTCCCTTTTCTTGTCCATTTCTTTCTTCGTTTTTAATACCTGATTCCAGGTGTTATGTTTCTCTTTTTATATCATCTAATGCTTGTCTCAGGACATTTATTCAGTTTGGAGTATTATATTCCTGTTTTTTTTCTACATAATGGTTGGATTTGGAGGAATATTTTTATTTGCATTTTCTGTTTTCCTTTTACAGTAGTTTTGTAGTAATTTGTTCTATTTCTAGGCATTTATTACACAGCATTCTAAGTATAAAAAGTCACTAACAGTTTAGTGAGGTTCACTTTGTTTAATGAATGATAGAGAAAAACTAGTAATTTTTCCTGTTTCTGCAAAAATGTATAATTTTCTCTTTCTCTTCACTGGTCACATCTCCAAGGTACCAACCCCTTTTCTATTTATCTGATTCCCCTCTAAATGCAAGGCTTCTCAGAGGCTGCCCCTTCTGGTTCTGCTCACTTTAACACCCTTTTCCTTAGCCACAGGTGTAAACTAACAAGTCCCAGACCAGGGTTCTGTATTTTGGCACATATTGCTGACATTTTCTCTTTCTGAGAATGATTTCTGTATGTGTTTTGTCTAAAGTTTTGGGGACTCTCGCCTTTTTTTCATAGAGCCAATTTTTTTTTTAAATTTTTTTTGAGACCAAGTCTCGCTCTGTCACCCAGGCTGGAGTGCAGTGGTGTGATCTCAGCTCACTGCAACCTCTGCCTCCTGGGTTGAAGTGATTCTCCTGCCTCAGCTTCCCAATAGCTGGGACTACAGATGTGCATCACCATGCCAGTCTAACTTTTTTTTTTAGGGGGGATGGAGTCTCATTCAGTCGCCCAGGCTGGAGTGCAGTGGTACGATCTCGGCTCACTGCAACCTCAGCCCCCAGGGTTCAAGCAATTCTCCTGTCTCAGCCCCCCGAGTAGCTGGGACTACAGGCGCCTGCCACCATGCTCGGCTAATTTTTGTATTTTTAGTAGAGACAGGTTTTACCTTGTTGGTCAGGCTGGTCTTGAACTCCTGACCTCAGGTGATCTGCCGGCCTCAGCCTCCCAAAGTGCTGGGATTATAGGCGTGAGCCACCACGCCCAGTCTCCTTTTTTTCATTGAGTCTCTTAAGTTTCCCTTTCTCCACTATTCCATACCCAACAAGACTACTGCAGAAGAGCCCTATGAAATTTGGTACTGTTTTCCTTTCCCTAATTACATGTAATCTGAAGATTATCATACTCCCTATCTCTGAGCAATGCTGAAAGCATGGGTCATGTGTGGTTTTCAGCTTGTTAATATTATTTTGCGGAGGAGGCAGGAAAGATGTACATGAAAATTTGGAATCAGGTGACTGACATTATCCTCCAGACCTACAATATCTGTCCTTGCTCACTGTTAAAGTATCATTTCTGAAGTTCTAAAAAAAAAAAGCAAACAAATCGTCAAGGCAAATGAGAAGTTTCCAGGTTGGTCTGAGAGTCTCTCAGAGGTGTTCTAAAGATTTAAAACCTCCCAACTCCATCTCCATCTGCCCTCAGTGGAAAGCTAAATGCTAATGTCCTTTTTCTCTTAAAAAAAAAAAAAAAAGATGAATTTATATAATGTGAAATTTTATTTTAGATTCAGGGGGTACCTGTGTGGGTTCGTTATGAGTTATACAGTGTAATGCTGAGATGTGGCGTACAAATGATTCCGTCACCCAGGTAGTGACCATAGTATCCAACAGGTAGTTTTTCAGCCTTTTCCCTCTTCTTTCTCTCTACTGTCTATCAGTATCTATTGTTCCCACCTTTATGTCCCTGTGTACCAATGTTTAGCTCCCACTTACAAGTAAGAACTTCATATAGGTTTAGATGTTAATTCTGTTCCGGAATTAAATTCTCTTCTAGTATAATGGCATCCAACTGCATCCATGTTGCTGCAAAGGACATGATTTTGTTATTTTTTATAGCCGCATATTCCATGGTGTATACGTACCACATTTTTATTTTGTTCTCTGTTGCCCTGGATTTTTTGTTCTCACTCTGTTGCCCAGGTTGGAGTGCAGTGGCATGATCACGGCTCACTGCAGCCTCCGTCTCCTGGGCTCAAGCGATCCTCTCACCTCAGCTTCCCTAGGAGCTGGGGCAATGGCTGTATACCACCATACCTAGCTAATTTTTTTTTTCCCAGTAGAGACGAGGTCTCACAACATTGCTTAGGCTAGAATCCAACTCCTGAGCTCAAGCAATCCTTCCTCTTTAGCCTCCCAAATGTTGGGATTACAGGCATGAGCCACCATGCCCAACATACGTACATTTTCTTTATCTAATCCACCAATGACGGGCACCCACACTAATTCCATGTCTTTGCTATCGTGAATAGTACTGTGATGAACATACAAGTGCATGTGTCTATTGTGATATTCATTTAGGCACATACTCAGTAATGGGATTGCTAGATCAAATGGTAGTTCTAAGTTTTTTCAGCTTTCCACAGTGGCTGAACTAATTTACATTCTCATCAATAGTGTGTAAGTGTTCCCTTTTCTGTACAGCCTCACCAGCATCTGTTATTTTTTTACTTTCTAATAAAAGCCATTCTGACTGGTGTGAGATGGCATCTGTGGTTTTGATTTGCCTTTCTCTGATGATTAGCGATGTTGAGCATTTTTTCATGTTTGTTGGCCACTTGCATGTCTTCCTTTGAGAAGCGTCTGTTCATGTGTTTTCCGCACTTTTTAATAGGGTTATTTGTTGTTTGCTTGTTGAATTGTTTAAGTCCTTTATAGATTCTGGATATTAGGCCTTTGTCAGATACATAGTTGCGAATATTTTCTCCCATTGAGTATGCTGTTTATTCTGCTGGTAGTTTCTTCTGCTGTGCAGAAATTCTGTAGTTTAATTAGATCCCATTTGTCAATTTTTGTTTTTCTTGCAATTGCTTTTTCAGGACTTAGGAATTCTTTCCAAAGTCCGAGGTATTTCCTAGGTTTTCTTCTAGGATTTTTATAGTTTGAGGTCTTACATTTAAATCTTTAATCCATCTTGAGTTAACTTTTATATATGGTGAAAGGTAGGGGTCCAGTTTCATGCTTCTGCATATGGCTAGCCAGTTATCCCAGCACCATTTCTTGAATAGGAAGATCTTTCCCCACTGCTTGGTTTTTTTTCCACTTTGCCAAAGATCAGATGGCTGTAGGTGTGAGGCTGTATTTCTGGGTTCTCTATGCTGTTCTATTGGTTTATGTGTCTGTTTTTGTAAAAATGGTAGATTATTTGCAGCTCCACAGTCTTAAAAAAATTCTGAGAGGCTTCATACCAGACTTTCTACACAGGAGGTTTTATCACTCATAATTATCTACATTATATTACAGTAACATATTAGCCCAAAATTTCTGTGGCTTAATATAATAGTTCACTTCTCCCTCATTCTGCATGTCCAGTGTGGCTTGTCTAGGGTTCTGTTACATGTCTTCTTCACTACAGAACCTATGTTTAAAGAGAAGCTGACATCTAGAGTACTGCCAGTTGATGAAGTAGTGGAAATAAAGCTTTTAAAGGAGTTACACTGACAGTTAAATACACCAGCCCTGAAGTCTTACATGTAACCTCTGCTCAATTTCATTGGCAAGAACTGATCACCTAACCACAAATGGGCCTATCTTGTGTCAGATGGAGAGCCAGAATCTCCACCATAGAAGCTGTATCTCAAACCTAAAATATTCCTAAACATTTCTGTTAGCTGCAGTAATGTACTTAGCATATAAAAGCATATAAAAACTACAATGACTTAACATTAAAATCAAACATATCAAGTTCTAATGAAATTCAAACGACATGCAGTAAGACCTGTCAAATAAATGTAATATTTTATTTGGCCAAATGATGAAGACTAAAATGCTTTAATTAGAGTTCCCAGAAAACAAAGTTAGCTATTGCCAAAGCGAGCTATTGCCAACTTTAAATTATGAAAGATGACTGTATCCATAACACCCTTACAAAGAAAATTTACATGATTTTTTTTTTTAGACAGAGTCTTGCACTGGAGTGTAAAGGCACAATCAGGGCTCACTGCCACCTCGACCTCCCAGGCTCAAGCAACCCTTTCACCTCAGCCTGCAGAGTAGCTGAGACTACAGGCTTGAGCCACCACACCTGGATAATTTTTTATTATTTGTAGAGGCAAGGTCTTCCTACGTTGCCCAGGCTGGTCTCAAATCCTAGGCTCAAGCACTCCTCCTACCTCAGCCTCCCAAAGTGTTGGGATTACAGGCATGAGCCACCATGCCCAGCCTTAAATGATTTTTTTTTTTTTGAGACAAAGTCTCACTCTGTCGCCCAGGCTGGAGTGCAGAGGTGTGATCTCAGCTCACTGTAAGCTCTGCCTCCCAGGTTCACACCATTCTCCTGCCTCAGCCTTCCAAGCAACTGGGACTACAGGTGCCCACCACCGCGCCCTGCTAATTTTTTGTATTTTTAGTAGAGATAGGGTTTCATCATGTTATCCAGGATGGTCTCGATCTCCTGACCTCGTGATCTGCCCGCCTCTGCCTCCCAAAGTGCTGGGATTACAGGCATGAGCCACTGCGCCCAGCCTATTTTTAATAAAGAGAATCACTAATATACACGCACATGGGTTTACTTTATATACATAGAGGTATTTATCTTCATATAGGCCTAGATATCATTAATTACCTGTTTACTTAGCACAAATACATCTGAAGTAATATATCTGAAGGGGTAGTAAACACAAAGAAAAATATCTATTTAATTTTTTATTTATAGTAGTTATTATTTTGGGTCACACTTCTGGAAGTAAAAAGGCAAGTTTTAAAGTATCTATAATATCTGGATGATAGCACGTTGATAAACATAAACATTAAAAAATTCAAGGACATCCATAAAGACAACGAACCACAGAAAATGACTTATTCTTTCTTTGTTGTGTGCCCATAAAAGGGAATTTTAAACTCACTAAAAATGACATATAAATTCAATGTTACTTTCCCACTATTTGCTTTATTATTGTCTTCCATTTTCTAAAACTTTTTAAAAATGTGAGTGAAAACATACTACCTTTTAAAAAGCTTACACTTTACTAAACTGTCCTTATTTATGATATTAAAATTGACTGAAAATAATGGAAGAATAAAAAGCAAATAAGCAATAGCTAACCAAAGGACATATCTACAAAGATATCTTAATTAAAAAAATAAAACCAAGTATACTTTAAAATTTTCATTCTACAAATATTTAACAAGTTCACATTGCATGTAGGCACTGTGCAGAGAGCTATCTAAAACAGTAGTGGCTTAGAGTCTCATTGCATAGGACCCATTTACTAGCTATAATGTATACATTCTCAAGCAAGTTACTTAACCTCTGTGCCTCTCTGTACCCTCATCTGTAAAATAAGACTGCTAATGGTACTGGCCTTATAGGATTTGTTGTGGAGATAAGAAGACTTAAAATACAATTTAAAAATCTTAGGGAAGTAAATGCCTGACACAAACCAGACATTGTAAGGATTAAATAAGATAATAAATGTACACCACTTAGAATGGTGCCAAGTATATAGTAATTATACAATATATGTACATTATATTGCTATAATTCATTAAAAGGAAGTCACTTATTGACTTCCAATTTTAACATGGTAAAAACATTTCCATACCCCCAAACATAAAGGTAAACAAGAAACAGAAACACATTCAATAACCCACAAAGACATTTATAACCCTAAGCTAAAATGCATGAGGATGGAAAACATTTGAAAGAAAGGTAAATGACTCAGCAGAATGGGAAAAGGTCAAGTTAAAATGCCTGCAGAGGAAACTGTTCATGTGAGCAAGCTAAATCACCCCCAGAGAACCCCAAAAGGCTCCAAATTATAGAAGCACCTGTAATCACCAAAGGCAGAGGACTGGGGAGGGCAAGATAAAGAATGCAAACAGGGGAAATGTCTGAAACGGATTTAAGGAGTTTTATTCCCCAAGTCCTCACACTCGTAACACTTAGGATTAATAATTTCCTGGGAGAAGAACCAGATTTGGGGTCACTGGGTATAGAGAGAAGCAAGGATGAGGTAAGAACGGAAAATGCAGAATAATATATAAGTCTACACACGCGCTGTTGGTTTCAGAAAGCAGAGAGCCAGGCTAATGTTCCCCAAGAAGTCCAGAGGATCCTTTTATGGAAAAATGAACAAACTTGGGTAAAAGTTGTTGATATTGACATATGGAGCTCCCGGTGAAAAACTATACCATGTAAGCCTCCAGCCAGCAAGACAGAGTTTCTAACCAGCATTTTGGTGTCTTATTCACATTAACAGTCAAGGATCACCAGACAATTGAGAGAAATCCCTAACATGCAAGACACCAAAATAAACAGAAAAAAAAAAAAAAAAAAAAAAAAAAAAGGAAGTTCAGAAGAAAGAGAGGCAACCCAGGGTACTAGGAAAATAACTTCATAAAAAGTATAATTATCCTTAAGGAGGTATATAGTTCAACCATAAAATAGAAAAAGAGAGCAATTAAGAAGAAATAAAACAAAAAATCAAGCTCTTAGAAAACTTTTAAATCTGTATAGGGGGAGCCTATTAAAGGTCTAGATAATAAAGTTAAAGAAAGAGACCAAATGTAAAGTAAAGATGCAAGGAGATAAACAACAGGAGATTAAAAAAATTTAAAAACACAGAATAATCTTGGAAATCCAGTATCTAAGAGAATTTTAGAAAAAGTGAACAGAAGAACCCAGAGGAGGACTAATTCAAAAAATATCCCCAGAACTAAAGGAGTTTTAATGGGCATACTCAGTGCTTAGCAAATAAATTTTAAAATATAAATGTAAAATTCCAAAATTCCAAACCAGGGATAAAGAGAGGATCCTAAAACCTTCCAGAGATTTTAAAAAATAGGTCACATACAAACCACTGGAAATAAGAATGGTATCAAACTTCTCATCAGCATCATTAGAAGCTAGAAGACAATGGGATAATGCCTTCAAAATCCCAAGTAACAATTCAATCTACAACTTTAAACCAAGCAAACCTGTCACAAATATGAGAACATAATGAAGACATTTTAATATCTGAAAAAGCTTTTCCAAAAAAAAATCTCCTATGCAAGCTTTCTCAGCAATCTACTGGAGGATGCGCCACAGATATAATACTAAAAAAGAGGACAGCCATTGGATCCAGGAAACAGGATTAAGCACATAATTCCCAGGATGATAGTGAAGGAAAATCCCATTATGACAGTTACACAAAGTTGAGAAAGAAACCAATCCAGAATGGAAGAGACGGAACAGAGTTCCACAAAGGACTGTCTTTAAGAAAAAAAGAACTCATGGGTTATCTAACCTATAGAAAATCATAATGAAAAGTATTTTATAAAGCTGTTAAAACATGTAGAAACACTTAGAGACTCAAAGAAAGCTAAGTGAATGAAAAGACTGGGGTAATTTAACTCCAGGAAAAACAACCAAAAAAAACTTATTTAAGGAAGGAAAAAAAACATAAAACACTTGGCCCCACAATGAATATTTATATAGCCATTAAAAACTGAATGTGGATTCAACCAAAATTATAATATAACTTCATTAAGTAGACAGGCAGGGAAATAAAACAGGTCTAAAATTGATGACTCAAGAGTTTTAAAATGCCACTTGAAATTGGTAGAAAATATTAGAAAAGAGTAGAAACTGGGAATAAAATCCCTCTTGTACTATTTGACTAAGTATTTATATGGATCGTTTTAATAAAAATTTTAAAATTAAACAAAGAATATTTATTGAGTACTCTTTGCGGGCGACATTATAGGCAGGTCCACTTAAACACCGTTCTCACCATTCTCAACTACCTTCTCCCCTTGGGAAGCTCAATATCTGATTTCATAGCCTCCCTTGCAGAATGATGACCATGTGATACCATGTGACCAAAAATTCAACATACAGAAAAGTCTAGTAAAGAGGATTTCAAAACCTACATTAGAAACTGTTTTCCTCTTCTCCCATATTCTTTTGTGAATGTGAATAATCAATGAGGGCAAAAGCTAAAACACATTTAAGCCTGCCAGAGCAGAAAGAGTCTAGATTCTTAGGGGCTTGGGCTTCCTGGCTCCAGACTCCCTGTTATGCAAGGATTTTAAAAATCCTTTTTAGTTAAGCCACTGTAGTTGAGTTTTCTTACTTGCAGCTAAACACGCACAGTTACTATGACAGACACTGGGAAACAAAGATGATGAAACAGTTCCTCCCCACAAAGCACACTATCTGCTAGAGTGAACGGAATCAATTAAAAAAAAACTATAATACCTAACTATGCACTACAGCCAAAATGTGGTGCTGCATGAATTCCAAAGAGGCAGGGGCAACACATCTAGTTGGAACATCAGAGATAGCTTCATGCTTGACGGCTATGGGTCCTGAAGAACTGAGTGAGTTTTAACAGGAATATATAGTCCACATCAAAGAAACAACATAAGCAAACATGCACGGGAAAGACAGAACACTTTCAAGAAAAGCAAGACTTCTGAGTTGCCAAAGAACTGCTACACAGAATTCATAGAAAAAAAAAAAGAAAAACATACAACAGAAAAATAGGAAAAAGACATAAGCACTTCACAAAAGAAATCTAAACAGCCAATAAACATATGAAAAATGGTCAACCTTGGCTGGGCGAGGTGGCTCACACCTGTAATCCCAGTACTTTGGGAGGCTGAGGTGGGCAGATCGAGGTCAGGAGATCGAGACCAGGAGATTGAGACCATCCTGGCTAATACGGTGAAACTCCGTCTCTACTAAAAATACAAAAACAATTAGCTGGACGTGGTGGTGGGCATCTGTAGACCCAGCTACTCGGGAGGCTGAGGCAGGAGAATGGCATGAACCTGGGAGGTGGAGCTTGCAGTGAGCCGACATTGGGGCGCCACTGCACTCCAGCCTGGCAGACAGAGTGAGACTCTGTCTCAAAAAAAAAAAAGAAAAAAGAAAAATGTTCAACCTCACTAATAATAAGGAAAATGTAAATTTAAAATCACAATAAGATGACAGTAAGATTCATCCCTATCAGATTGGAAAAGATTTTTTTTAACGTGACAATAGAAACTGTTGGGCCGGGCACTGTGGCTCACACCTGGCTCAGGCCGAGGTGGGCAGATCACTTGAGGTCAGGAGTTCAAGACCAGCCTGGCCAACATGGCAAAACCCTGCCTCTACTAAAAATACAAAAAATTAGCTGGGTGTGGTGGTGCATGCCTGTAATCCCAGCTACTCGGGAGGCTGAGGCAGGAGAATCACTTGAAACCGGGAGGCAGAGTTTGCAATGAGCCGAGATCACGCCACTGCACTCCAGCCTGGGCAACAGAGCAAGACTCTGTCTCAAAAATAAAATAAAAATAAAAACTGTTGGACAGAATGAAGAACAACCAGATTACTTACACAGTACTGTTAAGAGTATAAATTAATAAAACTATTTTGAGATAAAATCAGAATTATCTAGTACAGGTGAAGATGTGTATACCTCCATGACCACTAGAGTATTTAACTTGTAGGCATGTATCTGAGAGAAACTCTTATACATTTGTACCAGGAGAGATGAAACAAAAAACGTTTACAGCAATATTGTTTTTAATAGGGAAAAAGAAAACTCAAATGTTCATTGACAGTAAAGTAGATAAATTATAGTCTTCATACACATAAGTTTAAATCTATGAAAATGAATACAATACACCTAACACACAACAATGTAGATAAATCCAAGAACATAAGGCTATGCTGTATGCAGCATAAAGAATTCTTTTTAGGCCAGGCGCAGTGGTTCATGCCTGTATTCTCAACACTTTTGAGAGGCTGAGGCAGGCAAATCACCTGAGCCACAGCATTAGAGACCAGCCTGGGCAACACAGCAAAACCCTTACATAAAAATACAAAAAAATTTGCTGGGCATGGTGATATACACCTGTAGTCCCAGCTACTTGGGAGGCTGAGGCAAGAGAATAGCTTGAACCCGGGAGGCAGAGGTTGCAGTGAGCCAGGATCACACCATTGCACTCCAGCCTGGGAGACAGAAGTAAAAACCCTGTCTCAAAAAAAAAAAAAAAAGATAAATTTGATCCCAAAATATTCATATTATTCATAGCTGTCTGAGGTGATGAGAGGTGAAGCCAGCTGGACTTCCTGGGTCGAGTGGGGTCTAGCTAGAGGATTATAAACGCACCAATCAGTGCTCTGTGTCTAGCTAAAGGACTGTAAATGCACCAATCAACACTCTGTAAAAACGCACCAATCAGCGCTCTGTGTCTAGCTAAAGGATTGTAAACGCACCAATCAGCACTCTGTAAAATGGACCAATCGGTACTCTGTAAAATGGACCAATCAGCATGACATGGGCAGCAACAAATAAGGGAATAAAAGCCAGCCACCCCAGCCAGCAGCAGCAACCTGCTCGGGTCCCCTTTCACGCTGTGGAAGCCTTGTTCTTTCACTCTTCACAATAAATCTTGCTGCGGTGCACTCTTTGGGTATGCACCACCTTTAAGAGGTGTAACACTCACCACGAGGTGCATGGCTTCATTCTTGAAGTCAGCGAGACCAAGAACCCACCAGCAGGAATAAATTTCGGACACAGTGACATTCATTAAGTGTTCCTCTATTCTGCTTTAAGTCAATCCATTTAGTGGGCACATAGTATGTACCACAAAAAAGAAAAAAAAAACAGTTTGCTGGTTTAGAGGTGTTCACAATTTGATGGGGGGAGGGGAGACAAATATATAATTACAATGCAATATAACAAATGTAATTAGGGAGAGGTAAGGTAGTTAGAACACAAGGAAACAGAATATCTGAGCATGGAAACTGGAAAGCTATATGGAAAGACTTCAAAGGAAAGATGATAATTTGAGCTAAGCCTTTAAAAGTACACAGAAACTTCTGGATGTGGGCATCAATGAAGTCTGCCTGATTTCACATCTCCCCACTCACCCTTAAAAAAAAAAAAAGACCATAAAACCAACAAGTAAAACTGCATATGAACCACGCTGTACTAGTACTAGGAGACAGAGTATTACAACCTTCAAATTACCTGTCATAGAAAAATAGACCAAATTCCAACAGAGCTGCTGCTACAGCAAGACTAAGGAAGGGAGGCTTATGGGACACTAAAAATGAGTAGGGGGGCATGGACTTAGACAAAGCAAGACAAAATCATCCCCCAGAAAGAGTCCAGCCATAAAAGCCAAAATATTATACATAAGTCAGGACGTGGGTGCTTTAAAGCACCAGCCAGGAAACAGGTGTGATGGTTAGCCTTGGAGAAGCACAGCTTGTGAGGGCAAACCAGATAGAAGGGTAGGTACATTTGGAAACACTGCAGTAAAGGGAAAGAAAGAAACAAGAGGAAAAACAGAAAGGATCCAACAGAAATGAAGGAGAAACAAGATATACCAAACCCATCTCCTCCCCCAACATCATCTATAAAAGCTACTGCACAGGAGGGGGCTATGGAATGTTTTAAGTAGAAAATGAAGAGATATACCCAAAAAAGCCAAACAGAGACACAGAAAACTGTTTAAAAAGAAAATCAGAAGATGCTAATCAAAGCATTTCAGCTGATGAAACCCTCACCTTCAAAAAAAAAAAAAAAAAAAAAAAAAAAAAAAAAACCCCAAAGCTGAAGAATATGGTAATACAACACTCCAAACTGAATTAGGTATCTTCAAGCAAGCACTTAGGGTATGAAAAAAAAAAAATCCTGAAGCAGAAATACAAAAACTAAGAACAGAAATGAGCAAACAAACAAAAAAGAAAGAAACGAAATGAGTTGACAGGACTCAAAAAAGAAACAGAAAAGAGTACACAGACATTTTCAAAATAGACTGTGGGGGGTGCAACTCCCCACAGTGAAGCACAGGAAAAGGAAAAGAATTTATTGACAAATGGATGGGCATGTGCATGGCCCAACTTGTATACTGGTGAACTATAACCAACCTGTATGGACAGTTAAGAAGCTCCAGACCACTGAGGACTTGGAAAGACAAGCTAACTAAGGCCTACTGATTTCATCTTCAAAGGTCGGAAGACAGTATAATGAAGGAAGAAGAGAGTATGTTTTGATTCAGTTGAACTCAGTTTAGAACTAAACTCTACCATTTACTAAAGCTGTGCTGATCAAGTATTTTTACCACTCTAAGTCCTTTATTTGTAACAGGATGGATGGATGGGTGGGTGGGTGGATGAATAGGCAGATTAGCTAGGAAGGCAGGTAGACAAACAGATCCATGCACACAAATAACAAATGTACTTGTATGAGCCTGGGTTCTTCCCCAAAGCAGCACATCAGAAAAGGACATTTACATGCAGATAATTTAGCTGGAAGGTGAAGTAAAGGACCAAGGAACATGAAACTGGAAAGGAGCATATGCCAATAAAAAGCTACCTTTATCGAGGTCACTGCTGTGGGTAACTGGAGCTCAATTTTGCCAGGATTCCCTAAGGAACCATTAGAGTGCTCTCAGAATTGTCAATTGTCTGTGCAAGGACAAGGAAAAGAATTTCTCTACTGGCTCCTGCCCCCTCTAGTTCAGGGTTGCCCAAGGGGAGCATTAACTTCCTAGCACTTCCAGGCTGCACATGCCTGTATGCTCTCTCACCTGTACCTTCTGCTGGGTGGACAGTGGAGACGCCTTGGAGCAGAAAGGAAAAGATGCACAGTGAGCATGCTCAAGACAAGACACTGTTGGGATAACATGAGTCAAAGCTTGCATGAGGGAGTTTGAAGATGACGTCAAATGGTGCTTAAGAGAGAGCTAACAGAATACAGCTTGAATCCCCTCCTGCCTTTGGTCACTGAGTCTTCAAGGAGAAACTACTACCTAATGGGGACAGGAAAGAACTTATCTTGAACTCAAGGGATATAGTGGAATGTTTTTTATTGCTTCCATGCCTGCTGAATAATTCTAAACAGGCACTGGAAGCAACCACAGCCCAACAACAGCAAGGCAAGAGAAGATCCCCCAGAGATGAAGGTCTGAATCATACAAGTCAACTAACATCCTAGTTGGCTGTCATCTTTCTTGCCCCATGACCTATCCTAGTCACTGCCCCAAATCTCTGTGGATAAAGACACCCTGAATGCCACTGTGGCCCATTATGGTAATTACATCCACCCTAGCCCTAATGGTATCACCATCTGGCCTATGCCATTCCAAAATCCTATCATTGCTATGGATACTAGGGAACATAGCTCCATGGAAGCATCTCCTATCAACTCCAGCCTGTGTCCCCTCACCAGTGCATTCTTAATTACCTTGGTGAATGAAGTGTTTTCTTTGGACCTTCCTAAGAAGTATGGTCAGATAGTGTGTTCTCCAGTCTCATATAGTAAATCCATTCTAAAACTCTCTCTTCTCTGTGAGTTCTGATCTCAATATACTCTGCCAAAGAAGTTCTTGCATATTTATCTAATGTACTATAGGTCATACTCATGTCCAAGCTTCAAGAAACCATCCCACCAGTGTATCCTAGGACCAAGTTATTAGGATGTCAAATCCTGAGTTACGAATAGCGTTCCCATGTTAATAAATTCTCCCTTATTCATCCTTATTATTCCGCCAGCCCACTCCAGGCAAGACCTGCAAGATCCACCTCCCTAAATGTTCCTTCTGTTCCTACTGGTACATATTAGCCAGGTCCTGGGATTACGTGCTTGAGTATTTACTCCCAGAATAAGAAAAACATCCCTGATTAGGCTATGCTGAGATTGTGTCTAGCTATTGTTCTGGAGGAAATAGGGGTGAGAGATGGGACAGAGCTTAAGGAGAACAAGTATCACCTTGTAAGAAATCCATCTCTATGTGATCTCTGCCTGGTTTCCAAACAAGGAAAAGTTATTCTCTCTAACAAGGTGTTGATCCTGCCTATCCAGAGGACTCAGGAAAATTAAGGAGTTCAAGATTCTCAGGTCATCCACTTAGAAGTCTCCTTCTGAGATTTCATCAGGGTCCTACTCTTCCCATGTTAGGGTCAGACTTTGGCCCTGAACACCTGTCAAGGGTGTATGAGAGGTAGGACCACTATGAATTATACAATAAGAGACTTATATAGGAGTTTGGCCTCACACAGGTGTGGGAGTTGGTTAAAGAGTCTGTATAAGACTGCTTCCACATCTGGAGTTGTAAAGGAAAGAGTAATACAAAATAGAAAAAAGTAAGAATAGACTGGAATCCCAAAGACAATCTGGAACCCATGAGGACAAACAAGAGTCCATGTCTGTCTCTCACCACCTTCAGGCTTCCAAACTCAATGATTCAGATAACCTGCAGAAAAGCTGTACACACTGGCCCAGAATTGCCAGAAGCTGATGGCAGTGATGCAACAAGAGCTGAAGGAGCCGCAGACCTGGCTACTGCTCCAAACCAACAATATGACACAGCAGCTTAGCAATCATGTGTGGGAGTTACAACAGTGCCTAGTACCAGCACCAATCTTTAGCCATAAAATATATCCAGCTGCTGCTGCTTCACTTCTGTCTTCCAAATCTCACTCAAAATGTCTCATGGCCAGTGCTAATCTAGAGCCTAGAAGGGAGTTCTGGGAAACATAATTCCAGTTTAGCCCAGTTGACACAGTACAAACCCACCACAGAAGGTATACAGCTCTTTCACCCTTATGATTAAATCTTCAGCCTGATTTTTGGCATAATCTGTCCTATAGTCACAAGCAATGGGGATCTTTCCAAATGCTGCCATAGGCCCTCTTTTCACAGTGTACCCTGCATTGATAACTGGCTGATCTCTTGTCCTCAAGATTTCAAAAGCTAAAAGAGGTCCATTAACTCCAAATCCTTATTGATTTCCACCATCCCCATACCATTCAAGTCCTAGAGCTATCAATTAACCCAACTCTTCACCTTCCATTCAATTCTAGTCCCAATCCCCTGAAGGTAAGAGTCTTATTAACTGTGCTGTGATGCATGCAGGGGGCTATTAGTACCCACTACCACCAGCAATGGGGTCCTTGTTGCAGTCTCACCAGTAAGTCATCCACTCTGAGATCCCAGTGGATATTGTCAATTTCTAGAACCATGGTAGATAATAAATGTCTTAGCCTGGATTCATGAAAGCGATTTGGAAGGTAATCCCAATCAGAAGTGAGGAGGAATTGAGAGTGAAATCGAGAATAAAGAAAAACCAATACAAAAATGCATTACCAACTCAATCTGATCTGGATCTTTTGAGGAACATATGGAATGCCCCTCAGAATTTTCTACTCTCAGATCAATACAAATAAGCATTTATTTTCAGCTCTCATACTCCATTAGTTGAAGGTTGCCCCAGTGGGACATCAAGGTCCTTATGTTTCTGAGATGCACATTTATGCTTCCTGAGCCAGTTCCCACCAGAGAACTAAGCCTTGGAGGAGTCAAAAGCCTGGGACGGAAAGTAAACAATGTGCAGCAATATGTGCTTAAAACCAGGTGCCATCACCTTGAAGTGAGCTGAAGCCCAAACAGAACTGTTTGTCACAGCCCACAGCCACAGCTTGACTCCAGAGTAAGGCAGATAGAAGGATGAGGTTGCGCACCACAGGTGTCAAATACAGTACCCATCACATAGGTGTGCTGTGAAAATTAAGTAAGATAGGCAAAATCTTGGAAGAGGCCTGACACATAAAGCTAAATAAATGATAGCTATTATCATTAGATTAGACACTGAACTTAGACTATGGTAATGGCAATGATGAGCAAGAAACAAATAAAGGAGGTATTAATATTTCAGAGTTATAACTGACACAACTAGGAGAGTAAGTTGGTGGGTGGGGAGAATGTGAGAGAGAGGAAGAAGTCTGGATGTTTCTAACTAGAGTCCTGGCAGAATAGTGAATGGCATGCCACTAAATAAAACATGGGGCCAGGTGAGGTGGCTCACGCCTGTAATCCCAACACTTTGGGAGGCTGAGGCGGGCAGATCACTTGAGGTCGAGAGTTTGAGACCAGCCTAGAACCAATATGGAGAAACCCCATCTTTACTAAAAATACAAAAATTAGTGGGTGTGGTGGCGCATGCCTGTAATCCCAGCTACTTGGGAGGCTGAGGCCGGAGAATCGCTTGAACCCGAGAGGTGGAGGTTCCAGTGAGCCGAGATCATGCCACTGCACTCCAGCCTGGGCAACAAGAGCGAAAGTCCGCCTCTTAAATTAAATTAAATTGAATTAAATTAAAAAATAAAACATGGAAAGCTGGAAGAAAAAGTATTATTAACCTCAGAGTCTAAGGTGCCTGTGGACTATCCAAATGTTTTGTGTTTAGTGGGCTGCTAGAAGTGATAAGAAACTCAAGAAAGGGTCTTGAAAACCTGAAAGAGATGTAGGCTGAAAATAGGGCCTGGATACTAGTTCAAGCAATGATAACATTTGCTTTCCCAGGAAGAATGCATACAGTTACAAGAAAACAGGGCTGACAATGGAGTACCAATATTTAAGGCACAAGCAGAGATAGCAGCTAATGTAAGGAGATGAGGCAGTCACCGATTGAGAAGAACCAGGTAGAAGAGCACAGTTTGTCACTGGGCAAGGGGAGGAAAGTACCAATATCCAAGCACTGAGTGCTCTACAGAAATTAGGTTAGATTCAAACTGAGACATTTCCACCAGATTAGGAACAGGGAGACATTAGTAACTTTAGTGAAAGCAGTTTCAGTGGAGTGCTTGAGATGGAAGCTTGATCTTCCAGCAGATCCAGTGAATGGGGCATAAAGAAGTAGAAACAGCTGGTATCAACTGCTCTTGCAAAAACTAGTGGAAGGAGGGATAATAGAAATAACTAGAGGGCGACAGAGAATTTTTTTTTTCTTTTTTCTTTTTACAAAAAGACTCAAATGTGTTTGTGGGAAGGAGAACCTGAGGATCAGGAAAAGGGGAGAACAACATGGAGTAAAGTCTCTGAGGAAGCAGAAGATTTCAAAAACAGGTGCAAAGCACAATCTGACTCAATCATCCTTATTTAATAGGCTTGGATTCGCTTTCAATATGCCAACTAGGAAATATGTATTTAGTCTCTCATTTACTGGGACAACAACTTTTTTTCATTTCCCTTGTCTTTTTTACTCAACATCACAAAACATAAGCTTCTTAGACTAATTTAGCTTCAGTCAAAAGGTGACAATTGTATGCAGAGAGAAAAAAATCTTTTTCTGCTATTTGAGATTATTTTTTTCTTTTTGTCAGGCGGAAATAAATTATTTATAAAGCAATTTACCAGATAAGCTCTAATTTAGTGGTTGCCCAGTATAGTATTGACAACACATACATAACTCTGAAATCTAAAATCTTTAACTCCTGTCTACAGGGTCCAATTAGCCCAAGTCTAGGGCATACATAAGAACTTAAAAATAAGCTAAATAGCTAGCACATTCAAGTCCTTTTAACTGCCAGGTGCTAAGCTATTCTGAAGCTGTTTAGATTTGTGGTTGGGCCTCAAACCGTGTCTCTGGACAGCATTCTGCTGGAGGCAGAACCAAGTTATATTTAATATCTGTGTACTTTAAAACAATGCTGCCCACTTTGCTCTTATTGTCAGGTCACTTACCTTGAAGACTTACTGTACTTCTGGTGTATAAAACGGCAGTGTTTACATATCCAACCGATTTTGGAATTACATGATTGAGCCAGTATGAAAGCTGAGTCAATAAGAAAACAAATGCTTATAAAGCAGTAACAAACAGGCTTTTTTTTCCCAATACATGTACCAAATAAATTTAACTTAGAAGAACTAAACTAAATATAAAACACTTCAAAAAGGAGAAAGAGAACATTAAGCTTACTAAGAATTCTGGCATGATCCAGAGAACACGTTCAGGGAAATGACCTCTGTGGAAAGTACAGAAGCATTTCAATGGTTATGCCTGAAAACCTCTTTCAGTAAGTTGTTCTATAACATTCTATAAACTTTCATCTTATAGCATATACATTTTGTGTCAACTTTCTGTGTTTTTCCATATCTAAGAATTTTTTTGGCTGGGCACAGTGGCTCACACCTGTTATCCCAGCACTTTGGGAGGCCGAGGTGGGTGGATCACGAGGTCAGGAGTTCAAGACCAGCCTGGCCAGATGCTGAAACCTCTTTTCTACTAAAAATACAAAAAAAAATTAGCTGGGCTTGGTGGCACGCGCCTGTAATCCCAGCTATTCCGGAGGCTGAGGCAGAGAATTTCTTAAACCTGGGAGGCAGAGGTTGCAGTGAGCTGAGATCGCACCACCGCACTCCAGCCTGGGCACAGAGTGAGACTCCATCTCAAAAAAAAGAATTTTTTTGAAGACCAGAATCACAATTTTTAAAAAACAATGATGCTATTTTTCTCTTTTTGGATAAAGAATTGCCTTTTCTTCATAATTTGAGAAGAAAAAGAATCATGCTCGAAACTCAAAACTCCCATATCTTCCTGCCACCAAATCTGCAAATGGACCTGTATCCTCTACCTCTTCCTTCCCATTAAATAATAAAAGCAAGTCTTTTATCGGACCTCCTAACCCCCCAGGTGCACAACATCCCATCCCCCTTCTCAGGACCATGACACCATCGTCTATCCCATCTTGTACAGTTTTAATAGCTATGAAACTGTAGTACTAGGCTAGGTCCAGCCTAGTAATACTTAAGCACGCTCTACCATCACTCATCTTAAAACAAGGACACAACAAATAAACCCTTCCTGAACCCCATATAGCTCTCTGGCTAAGTCCCTCTCTTTAATATCCTCCAGAACCAAGTCTCTCAAAAGTTATCTTCACCTGCATTCACTCCTCAATCCATTCCAATCCGGCTTCTCCCACCAAATCTCCACCAAAATTGTTCTTGATGAGGCCATTAGGTAGTCAGTCAAATTGATCCCCTGCCACCCCCTAAAGCATCTTTTCTCCTTAGCTTCCAAACACCACAACTTTCCTAGGTTTTCTCCTGGTTTTTCTTCTGGCTGTTCCTCCTCTGTATCATTTCTTAGCAACTCTTTTTCTATCGATTCCTTTAATTTTGGGAGTTTTTCAGGACTCAATTCTGAGTCTTCTTCCTCTCCACTCTAAAATCTCTCCTAAGATGATCTAACCTACTACCTTGGCTTTAAATGTCATCTAATGGTCAATGATGCTAGGATTTTAATCTGCAACCCAGACCTCTTTTACAAGCTCCTGACCCATATCCTACTGATCCCACTAAGCACAGTGCTTTAGATGGGCCTTGTGGCCAAACTGCTTCAGTTTCACAACCGATTCTTCTACTTACTTCTTGAGTAACCCTGAACAAGCCGGTGAGCACACTAAGACTCAGTTTTCCTATACGTAGATTGGAAGAAGAATAATAATAATTCTCACTTCACTGGGTTGCTGTTTAGGTTAAATGAGTTGATGAAAGCACCTACTATCTAGCACATTATCTATGATTACTTATACCATAGATGTCCATCAGAATATGTCAAAGGCATCTCAAACTTACTTTGATAGGTACAAAACTGGATCCTATCTTTTCTGCCCACCCCGATACGCATTTCCCCTGGTTCACTATCTTCTGTGACTTCTAAGGAGGAATTCTTAGATGACCCCAATGACCCTAGCCTTTGTATAATCTCCTCCCCTTGAGTGAGTGAATATCACGAAATCACACACTTGTGATAAAGGGATTTTGCAGATGTAATTATGGTCCTAAATCAACTGACCTTACGATAAGAAAATTATCCAAGTAGGCAGGACGCAGTGGCTCACGCCTGTAATACCAGCACTTTTGGCGGCCAAGGAGGGTGGATCACCTGAGGTCAGGAGTTCAAGATCAGCCTGGCCAATATGGTGAAACCCTATCTCTACTAAAAATACAAAAATTAGCTGGGCATGGTGGTGGGCACTTGTAATCCCAGCTACTTGGGAGGCTCAGGCAGGAGAATCGCTTGAACCCAGGAGGTGGAGGCTGCAGTGAGTCGAGATCGCGCCATTGCACTCTGGCCTGGGCAACAAGAGTAAAACGAAAGAGAGAAAGAGATGGGGGAGAGAGGGGGAGAGAGAGAGGGAGAGAGAGAGAAAGAAAGAGAGAGAGAGAGAAAGAGAGAGAAAGAGAGAGAGAGAAAGAGAGAGAGAAAGATAGACAAAGAAAGAAAGAAAGAAAGAAAGAGAAAGAAAGAAGGAAAGAAAGAAAGAAGGAAAGAAAGAAAGAAAGAAAGAAAGAAAGAAAGAAAGAAAGAAAGAAAGAAAGAAAATTACCCAAGTAGGCCTAACCTAATTACATGAGTCCCTTTAAATCCGTACCTAGAGGTCAGACAGAAGGGGGTTTAGAAGTCAGAAAGTTAAAGTATGGAAAGGATTTGACACACTTTTACTGGATTAAAGATTGAAGACCCAGGCTGGGTGCGGTGGCTCACGCCTGTAATTCCAGCACTTTTGGAGGCCGAGGCGGGTGAATCACGAGGTCAGCAGTTCGAACCAGCCTGGCCAACATGGTGAAACCCCGTCTGTACTAAAACTATAAAAATTAGCCAGGTGTGGTGGCAGGCACCTGTAATCCCAGCTACTCGGGAAGCTGAGGCAGGAGAATCGCTTGAACTCAGGAGGCAGAGGTTGCAGTGAGCCGAGACCGCACCATTGCACTCCAGCCTGGGCAACAGAGCGAGACGTGTCAAAAAAAAAAAAAAGAAAAAAAAAGGTGGAAGAGACAAATGAGAAGAATGAAGATAACCCCCAGCTAACAGCCAGCAAGGAAACTGGAACCTTGGGGAACAAATACAGGAACTGAATTCTACCAACAAAAATGAGTTTGGAAGTAGATTTTTACCCACAGCCTCCAGACAAGAACTCAGTCTGGCTAACACAATAATTTAGGTCTCATAAGGATTTATAATCTACTAAACTGAGAGCTAATAAATGGATGCTATTACAAGCCACTACATTTGTGGTAATTTGTTATGCAGCAATAGAAAATAATTACATCATTTCAATAAACAGCATCTTCAAACACACATTTGTTCCAGCCACAAAACCCCATGTCAATACAATACCAAGTTCTGCTGATTCTTTTTTTTTTTTTTTTTTGAGATGGAGTCTTGCTCAGTCACCCAGGCTGGAGTGCAATCAACGGCGTGATCTTGGCTCACTGCAACCTCTGTGTCCCAGGTTCAAGCAATTCTCCCACTCAGCCTCCTGAGTAACTGGGATTACAGGCACCTGCCATCATGCCTGGCTAATTTTTGTATTTTTAGTAGAGATGGGGTTTCGCCGTGTTGGCCAGGCTGGTCTCGAATCTCTGACCTCAGGTGATCTGCCTGCCTTGGCCTCCCAAAGTGCTGGGATTGCAGGCATGAGCCACCGCGCCTGGCCTTTGCTGATTCTTATTTCCTAAGTGAATCTCAAACACATTCACAATTGTTAATCTCAATTGTTACCTATTCTAAACCTTTATATTCCATTTGAATTTCCACAGTAGTTTCCTACCTGGTTTCCCTTCATATAATCTCTATACCCACTCTCCTCACAGAAATAGGAGTCATCTTGTTACAAAGCAAAACTAATCTCATCATTCTTCAACTGGAAATCTTTCAATGGCTTCACATGACACTCAATGTCTAAACTCTAGAAACCCCTGCATGAAATGGCCCTGGCTCCCTTCTCAGCCCCATTTCCTGTGACTCTCCTGCTTGAATGTCACACTCAAGCCAGACACCTTCCTTCCAGTAACTCCAGTGTGCCAAGCCATTTCCCATTGTGTTGGAAGACCATCTGTGTTGCTTCCTTTGATAGAAAGGCTTTGTTTCCCCGCTCTTCACCCCACAACAACCAGGGCCTCAGCTTCAACACGACTGCTTCCCAGAAGCTTGCCATCATCCCTTTTGGGTTCTCTCACAGAACTGTGTATTTCTTAACTGAGTTCATCATAATCGCAATCATAGGGTTAGTTATTTAGTGATTATGTATTTAAGGTCTCTCTCTTAGGTATTATACAATAAGCGTGGCAGCCAGGTCTAATATGCTCCCTACTAAAACCCAGCATCTAGTGCAGTGCCAGACACACAGTAGGAATTCAATAAACCCTTATGGGTGAATAAAACTGGCTGTTTTGCCCAACTTATACAAGACAAAATTAGGTCAAAGTTATGAGTTTGATTTGCATATGGCCCCATTATGTTTGTTCTATTTTAGCCCTAATTATGATGCTTCAATACACACAAGTAACATTAGTATAAAGGTAAAAAACATAGGTAAAATCATGGGAGTGGGCTAGTGCAAATCTACCGCTAAGACTCTGTTCATGCTGTCTTCATGCAGCATCATATTTAGATAGAAAGTGTGACACTATCCTTATTACACATCTTAAATATTTCCTTTAAAAAAATACATAATCTCACTTCAGATTATTATGATGTGATTAGAGGACAGAGTGCTTCAGTTGACTGAATTTTCCAGGTAATGATGGAGAATTCTACTTATATAGAAAACCGCATCGTACAAAGACAGACCTGTGTATGATTCTCCACCCTTTTACCTCTAGCATTCTTTTAAGTATGCCCCCATTTTATTGTTTATCATTACGTATTTTCTAAAATTAAAAGTGCTTCTAATTAATCAGAGACCTTACTACTTCTCTTTTTCAAAGAAATATAAAAATAGCATGAACACCATATGACAAAGATTTTATTTAAGAAGCAAAACAGGCCCGGCATGGTGGCTTACGCCTGTAATCGCAGCACTTCTCTGGGAGGCCGAGGCAGGTGGATCACTTGAGCTCAGGAGGTCATTGAGGCTGTAGTGAGCTGTGATCACATCACTGCACTACAGCCTGGGCAACAGAACAAGACCCTGTCTCCAAAAAAAAAAAAAAAAGAAGAAGAAGCAAAACACTGGACATAAAGTCAAATATCTTCCCATATTTTCCCTACTACTTATGTTTATATATAAATGTACTTATTTAATTATATGTTTACCTAATCCTTGCCTTGGTCCAGAAAAGATGTAAGGCAAATTACCAGCATTAATTAAACCATAAGAAAATAAGAAGAAAGAACAAGGGCACAAAACACTGCCAGGATAAGACTCAATATGCATGCCAAACCATACTTCTAAGTGGTGTAGGCCTGAGATTTGACACTTTCTAACCACCAACTTGGTAAGAGGTCTGCTCAGCCACCCACTTCAGAGCACTCCTATGAAAAACAGAACAGCTGGTCAAAAGCAGCACAGCTAGCCTTGGTGCTAAGATCAGAAAGGAATGTCTCCCTGCAGATTCATTAGAGAAGACACCATTCTACTTCTACAAAGAATGACACGTGTTACCATTTTCTGGCAAAACAGTTGTTTAAATAACTGACTGCTTCACATTCTGTTATCACCCTTAGTCACCCATATCTTGGGGCAAAATTATCTCCTGGTTAATCCAATCTTAGTAAGTTGTATTAGTTTCCTGTAACTGCGGTAGAAAATTAACATAAACCTCACGGCTTACTAACACCACAAATTCGTTTTCTTATAGTTCTGGAGATCAAAAGTCTGAAACTGGATCTCATGGAGCTAAAATCAAGGTGACAGCAGAGATGTGTTCCTTTTGGATATTCTAGGTGAAAATCTGTTCCCCTGCTTCTAGAGGCTGTCTGCATTCCTTAGCTCATGGCCTCCCTTCCAGCAATGGCATCACTGATCTGTTTCCTCATATCTCCTCCTCTTTTTCTCTGCTTCATCTTCACATCACCTTCTCTGACTCTGGCCCTCCTGTCTCCCTCTTACAAGAACTCTTGTGATTTCATTGAGCCCACATGGATTACCCAAAATAATCTCCCCATCTCAGGATACTTAATCACATCTGCAAGGTCTCTTTTGCCATGTAAGACAACATGTTTGCGGGTTCCAGGGATTAGGATGTGGGTATCTTGGGGGAGTGGTCATTATTCAGCCTACCACACAAGCCTTCATCATGTATTTGCTTGAAGCTACCTAAATTGTAAGAATAGTACTAGGAAAATCTACATAACAGTAAGAGCCACAAGTGGAAAACTTAAAACATTTTTAAAATACAAGAATTAATGATATAATTATTTTAAGTACCAAATTCACTTTCTATATTCCAGAAAATAGGATATACAAAAATATTATTTACGCAGTTTTTGCCAAAAACACACTGACTATATAAAAAGAAGCACACCTACACAAAAACTTGAGTGTGAAATAAAATAACTGCAATACCCCAAGCACTATACTAAAAATCAGGAACTTTACTTCCTCATTCTCCCTGCAGTCACAGGGGAGGATGCCTACTGAATACTTTTTTAAAAAAGAAAGAAAGAAAAAAGTGAGACAGCCAGCTCACTCACAACTTTAGGAGTATATAAAATAGAACTTCTGTGATTTTTGGAGGAATAGCTAGCTACACTTGAACCGAGAGGGACACTGCTAGAAACAAACATAATGAGGCCAAGGTTCTATTTTAGACCCTATTCATCTTCCCTGAAAAACAAGATGAATGTAGGAGTGATCATACCTTTGAGGTGCACAGAGAGATCTGTAAATCATGATGGGAGCTCAAAGGAGATAACTGTGACAACCCCTCCCTCCCACAGCACTTTAGGATTGACATCTCTCAACAGTGTATTTAATTGTGAAGCTTCAACTAACACATGATGTTATTATGTTAGATTTTCCCTAGAGCAGTTTTCACCAAGAATCAGCTTCTTTTTCACAGGGAAGAATTCAATCCTGTTCATCAAACCACTTGTGTCTCCAGGAAGCTGAGGCTTCAGAATATTTCCTTGCTTTGGAGCAGAGGTTAATGTTGGGTCTGATACAGTATTAGACTTAACATCTGAGGCTTTTCCCCGCTACAGACTACAAATACAAACTATACCTGAATCCCCCTTGACAGAAGGGATAAGATGTCACCTTCTTTGACCCATTAGATCATTTTCTTAATCTCTAAAATTCATGGTAGAAAGTTAAGAAGGGATTTTCTTTTAAGGTCTAGGCACTAGGGAACCAAATTAGAGTACTGTTAATAATCTATTCGTATTTTAACCATCCCAATGTATCCTATAAACAAAAGATAGAGCACAAGTTCTTCCTACTCTTCTCAAAGTGAGGAAAATGTGAAAAAAAGAGACAAGTCGGCCGGGCGCGGTGGCTCACGCCTGTAATCCCACCACTTTGGGAGGCTGAGGTGGGTGGATCACAAGGTCAGGAGATTGAGACCATCCTGGCTAACACGGTGAAACCCCATCTCTACTAAAAAATACAAAAAATTAGCTAGGCATGGTGGCGGGCGCCTGTAGTCCCAGCTACTCGGGAGGCTGAGGCAGGAGAATGGCGTGAACCAAGGAAGCGGAGCTTGCCGTGAGCTGAGAGCTCGCCACTGTATTCCAGCCTGGGCGACAGAGCAAGACTCTGTCTCAAAAAAAAAGAAAAAAGAAAAAAGAGACAAGTACTACAAAAAAAGTACAAACACACAACACACACATATTCAGTATGCGTTGCTTAACAATGAGAACATGTTCTGAGAAACATCATTAGGTGATTTCATGGTTGCACAAACACCATAGAGTTTACTTACACAAACCTAGATGGTATAGGTTACTACACACCTGGTATATGGTATATAGCCTATTGTTCCAAGGCTATAAGCCTGTACAGCATGCTACTGTACTGAATACCATAGGCAACTGTAAAACAATTTTAAGTATTTGTGTATCTAACCAGAGAAAGAGTAGAGTAAAAATACAGTAACGCAATTTCATTGACCACAATCTACATGCAGTCTGCCATTGACCAAAATGTCATTATGCAGCTCATGAATATATACATTTACATATGTATAGTATAAAAAGGAGAGCTGCACTGTACTCATACATAACTACAACTGTCACTGAAATCTTTCAAAGTTTCTTACTGGGCTGCCTATAATCTCAGCACTTTGGGAGGCTGAGGCAGGAGGATTGCTTGAGGCCAGAAGTTCAAGGCCAGCCTGGGCAACATAGCAAGACCCTATCTCTACAAAAAATAAAAAGAAAATTAGCCAGGCATGGTGGTATGTGCCTACAGTCCTAGCTACTTGGGAGGCTGAGGCAGAAGGTTCACTTGAGCCCAAGAGTTTGAAGCTGCGGTGAACTATTATCACCACTGTATTCCAGCCTGGGCAACAGAGAAGACCTTATCTTCAAAAATAACAAAAACAAAAACAAAAACAAAGCATCTTATTGGCTTGTTTTTTGTTTGTTTGTTTGTTTTTGGCACAGTCTGACTCTGTCCCTCAGGCTGGAGTGCAGTGGCACAATCTCGGCTCACTGCAACTTCCGCCTCCCAGGTTCAAGCAATTCTCTTGCCTAAGCCTCCCAAGTAGCTGGGATTATAGGCATCTGCCACCATGGCTGGCTAATTTTTGTATTTTTAGTAGAGACAGGGTTTCACCATGTTGGCCAGGCTGGTCTCAAACTCCCGACCCCAGGTGATACACCCGCCTCAGCCTCCCAAAGTGCTGGGATTACAGGCGTGAGCCACCGCGCCCAGCCGGCTTGCTTTTGTAAGCTATGTTTGTTTAAAAAAATAAAAATAAAAAAAAAGCAAGTATCTTATTGGAACTAATAGTTATGTTTCTTAAAAGCTAATTACAAATCAAATCATTATTAATGGAACCACATTCAAAAAGCAGCAGGGAACTGTTGTTTTTCAACAGATCCAACATGAATCCTTTGGTAAAACAGGATGATCTTTTAAAGTAAATCATAGGGTCAGGTGTGGTGGCTCATGTCTGTAATTCCAGCCATTTGGGAGGTCGAGGCAGGTGGAGCACGTGAGGTCAGGAGTTCCAGACCAGCCTGGCCAACATAGCGAAACCCCACCTCTACCAAAAAATACAAAAATAAGCTAAGCGTGGCGGTGTGTGGTGGCACACACTTGTAGTCCCAGCTACTTGGGAGGCTGAGGTGGGAGGATCACTTGAACCCAGGAGGCAGTGGTTGCAGTGAGCTGAGATCACGCCATTGCACTCCAGCCTGAGCGACAGAGTGGGACCCTGTCTAAATAAAAATAAATAAATAAATAAATAAATAAATAAATAAATAAATAAAGTAAATCACTAGCCGGGAATGGTGGCTCATACCTGTAATCTCCACACTTTGGGAGGCAGAGATGGGAAGACTGCTTGAGCCCAGGAGTTCAAGACCAGCCTGGGCAACATAGTGAGATTCTGTCTCAATAAAATGAAATTTTAAAATACAACAACAATAAAGTAAATCACCACTCTGGACTTTTTATCATGAAACATCCTTTTATTTTTTTATTTTTTTGAGACAGAGTTTTGCTGTTGTTGCCCAGGCTGGAATGCAATGGTGCGATCGCAGCTCACTGCAACCTCCGCCTCCCAGGTTCAAGCAATTCTCCTGCCTCAGCTTCCAAGTAGCTGGGATTACAGGTGCCCGCCACCGTGCCCAGCTAAGTTTTTGTATTTTTACTAGAGATGGGGTTTCACCATGTTGGCCAGGCTGGTCTCGAACTCCTGACCTCAGGTGATCCACCTGCCTCGGCCTCCCAAAGTGCTGGGATTACAGGCATGAGCCACCATGTCTGGCCGAAAGATTTAAAAAAAAAAGAAAAAGCTCACCCAAACCAACTAGGAATAGAAGAGAACTTTGTCAACCTGAGAAAGAACATCTATGAAAAACTCACAGCTAACTTCATACTCAGTGGTAGAAGACTAAAGCCTTCCCCCTAGGATCGGGAAAAGACAAGGAACTAACTTTGTCTATACCAGAATTTCCATGGAAATGCCACAGAAGAGCTTTAATGCTCGTAAATACTTTGATTATAACTCAGTCCATCACCTTTACTTTATGAATCAAAAAACTTGGGCTCAGAAAGGCAAAATGACTTATCCCAGGTCATATAGCAAATTAGGGGCTGACTTAGAACTACAGTCCACTCCCTACCTCTGTTAAATCTTTACTTAAGGCCAGATGCAGTGGCTCATGCCTGTAATCCCAGCACTTTGGGAGGCCCAGGCAGATGGATCATCTGAGGTAAGGAGTTCAAGACCAGCCTGGCCAACATGGCAAAACCCCATCTCTACTAAAAAAAAAAAAAAAAAAAAAAAAAAAAAAAAATTACCTGGGTATGGTAGTGGGTGCCTGTAATCCCAGCCACTTGGGAGGCTGAGGCAGGAGAATCACTTGAACCCAGGAGGCGGAGGTTATAGTGAGCCGAGATCAGCACCACACTCCAGCCTGGGCAACAGAGTAGACTCGTCTCTTAAAAAAAAAAAAAAAAAAACAGATTTACTTAAGAGATTGTAAATATGGATACCACTAATCAAATAGATAAGATCTTTAGGCAAGCGCGGTGGCTCAAGCCTGTAATCCCAGTACTTTGGGAGGCCAAGGCGGATGGATCATGAGGTCAGGAGATCGAGACCGTCCTGGCTAACACGATGAAACCCCGTCTCTACTAAAAGTACAAAAAAAAAAAAAAGTTAGCTGGGCGTGGTGGCAGGTGCCTGTAGTCCCAGCTACTTGGGAGGCTGAGGCAGGAGAAATGGCGTGAACCCAGGAGGCAGAGCTGGCAGTGAGCAGAGTTCGCGTCACTGTACTCCAGCCTGGGAACAGAGCGAGACTCCATCTCCAAAAAAAAAAAAAAAAAAAAAGCTCTTTAGTTGGTGACAGAACTCAATCAAGAATATTTTGGGGAGACTAGACAGAGGTATCACCAAAAAAGAACACTACAAAGATTTCTTATGGATATAGATACAAATCCTTAATAAAATACAAGCAAACTGAATCCAGCAACAAAGAAAAAGGATTATATACCATGACAAACAAGATTTATCCCAGGAATACAAGGTTGGCTTAACATTCAAAAGTTAATTAATGTAATACACCATATGAACAGAACAAAAAAAATGGTCATCTTAATAGATGCAGAAAAAAGCATCTGACAAAATCCAGCACTCTTTCATGATTTAAAAAAACACCCAAACTAGGAGGAGAAGTGAAATTCTTCAATTTGATAAAATACATCTATGAAAAACCCATAGCTAACCCCATACTCAGTGGTAGAAGACTAAAGCTTTCACCCTAGGATCAGGAATAAGACAAGGATGTCTGCTCTTGCAAGTTCTATTGAACCATAGTGAAGGTTCTGGCCAAGGCAATTAAGCAGGAAATTGAAACAAAAGATATCTGGATTGGAAAGAAAGAAGTAAAATTATCTCTATCCATGGCTAACACAATCTTATAAATAGAAAATCCTAAGGTGTCCACTAAACTATTAGAACCAATAAACTAGTTCACCAAGGTTGCAGGACACAAGGTAAAAACTGTACCTCTATACTCTTGGAATGAACAATCCAAAAATAAAAGTAAGAAACTAGTTCCTTTTACTATAGCATCAAAAAATAAATAAATAATAAAATACTTAGAAATAAATTTAACAAAAGTGCAAATTTATACTCCTTAAACGGAAAAACGTTGTTGAAAGTAATTGAAGACAACCTAAATAAATGGAAAGACATCTCATGTTCATAGATCAGACGACTTAACATTGCTAAGATGGCAACACTGCCAAAGTTTAACTAAAAATTCAATGAGATCCCTATCAGAATGCCACTGAGTTGGCTTCTTTGCAGACACTAACAAGCTGATCCTAGAATCCATATGGAAATACAAGGAATCCAGAATAACCAAAACAATGTTGAAGAATAAGACTCACACTTCTCAATTTCAAAACTTACTAAAAAACTGTAGTAGTCAAGACAGCATGGTACTGCTATAAGGAGAGACATATAGATCACTGGAAGAGAACTGAGAGTATAAAATAAATAAACCCATACATCTATAGTCAACTGATTTTCAATAAGGGTGCCAAGACATTAAAATGGAGAAAAAAATAGTCTTTTCAGCTAATGGTGCTGGAACAATTGGATATTTACATGCAGAAGAATGAGTCTGAATCACTACCTCACATGATATCCAGCAATTACCTTAAAATGGATCAATGATCTAAATGTAACAGCTAAAGCCATAAACTCTTAGAAGAAAACAGAGACATCAATCTTCATAATCTTGAATTAGTCAATGATTTCTTAGACACAAGAATAAAATGAAAAAGAAAAAAAAAAGGTTTCATCAACATTAAAGACTTTTAGGGCCAGGAGCGGTGGCTCACACCTGTAATCCCAACACTTTGGGAGGCTGAGGCAGGTGGATCCCTTGAGGACAGGAGTTCAAGATCAGCCTGGCCAACATGGTGAAACCTCGTCTCTATTGAAAATACAAAAATTAGCCAGGCATGGTGGCACTCGCCTGTAATCCTAGCTACTCAGGGGGCTGAAGCATGAGAATTGCTGGAACCCAGGAGGCAGAGGTTGCAGTGAGGCAAGATCATGCCACTGCATTCCACCTGGGCAACACAGCAAGACTCTGTCTCAGAAAAAAAAAAAAAAAAAATTAAAGACTTTTAGGCCAGGCACAGTGGCTCACACCTACAATCCCAACACTTTGGGAGGCCGAGGAGGGAGAATCACTTAAGCCCAGGAGTTCGAGACCAGCCTGGGCAACATAGCAGGAACCCATCTCTATTATTTAAAAAAAAAAATTTTTTTTTAATTAAAGACTTTTGTGCTCCTAAGGAAACCATCAAAAAAGTGAAAAGACAGCTCATTTATGGAGGAAAATATATGCAAATCCATATTCCTGATAAGAGACATGTACCTAAAATACATAAAGAACTCTCATATCTCAATAATAAAAAAAGACAAACTAGCCAATTTTAAACTGGGCAAAGGATCTGAATCAAATTTCTCCAAAGGTATACAAATGGCCAATAAGCACATGAAAAGATGCTTGTCATTAGGCATTAGGGAAATGGAAAATCACTTCACACTCCCTATGATAAGCAAAAAGACAGACAATGTTGGTTAGGCTGTGAAGGAACTGGAGGCCTCATAAATTGCTGATGGGAATATAAAATGATACAGCCACTCTGGACAACAGTTTGGCAGTTTCTTACAAAGGTAAACCCAGACTTTGTTTAGCTTTGTTTTAACAAGTGATCCAGCAGTTTTACTGCTGTTACATACCCAAGAGAAATAAACATAGGTCCACACAAAAACTTGTCCACAAATGTGCAAAGCAGCATTATTTACAATAGCCAAAAGGTGGAAACAACCCAAATTTCAAACAAGTGGTGAATGCATAAACAAAACTTGGTATATCTATACAATGGAACACAATTTATCAACAACAACAACAAAATGAAGTACTGATGCATGCTACAAATGGATTAATTTTGCCGGGCAGGTTGGCTCACACCCGTAATCTCAGTACTTTGGGAGGCCCAGGTGGGATGATCTCTTGAGCCCAGGAGTTGGAGACCAGTGTGAGCATAATGAGATCCTGTCTCTACAAAAAAATAATAAATTAGCCAGGTGTGGTGGTGCATGCCCGTAGTCCCAGAGTTACTCAGGAGGCTGAGGCAGGAGGATCTCTTGAGCCTAGGAGTTTGAAATTATAGTGAGCCATGATCGCACCACTGCACTCCAGCCTGGATAGATTCCGTCTCCAAAAAAACAAAACAACAACAAAAGACATGGCATGGTAGGTTCCACCTCGCTGTCTCTCAGATCACTTGTTTTTGGGGAAACCAGCTGCCTGTCATGAGAATGCTCAAGCCACGCTATGGAGAGGCCCACATGGCAAGGAACCTGCCAACATGTGAGTAAGCCATCTCGGAAGGGGAATCACTAGACCCAGACAAGTCTTCAGGTGACTGCAGTCCTGGCCAACACCTTGACTTCAACTTCATGAGGGTCCCTGAGTTAGAATCAAGAAGCTTCCTGTGTTAATTCACTTAGGATTAAAAAAAAGAACCAATAAGCTAAGCCACTCCTAAATTCCTGACCCACACAAATCATGTTGTTTAAGCCACTAAGGTTTGGAATAATTTGTTACACCACAATACATAAACTTCCTCGACCTTCTCCTCAATGTTAGGCTCTCTCTCCTAATAACAGGCATCTAAGTAAATGTCTTCCCAGCAACTCCTCCTCTTCTTAGAGTTTAGTTTTATCCCTATCCATGTTTACAGAAATTGCTGCCATGTTACAAAAACATGATCCCATCCCCTGGCTTTAGGTGAATGATCCAAAAGTGGATACCTCACCAAAGGCAGGCCAAAAAAGTCCTTCCCTGAGATCTTTATAACTGAAGCTGAGAAGGCGGCGGTGTCTTTTCAGTAGTGGAAGCTGTAGGATGTAAAACTTGCAGTCTATCAACAGCATGATCTTTCCCATGTGGGAAAAGTGGCACAGTAGTGGGGAAGAATAAAGCCATCACATAGTGACAAGCAGAGATTCAAGGTGGACAAAATACAGACAATGCTAAGTTTCTGCTTCCAATGGTTCCTGATGCAACCCAGTTCTTCCAGTGGACAGACCATACATGTCCTATCATCCAAGCATCTAAAATCGCACCCAGTATGTAAGAGGAAATAAAATACTTACTAAATAAGTGGGTAAGATAACCCAATCTCCTTCCAATAATATCCTTTTTGTTATTGTTGTTGAAGATTTGATTATTTGAAAGCTAAAAGTCCTAACCCATTCTTTGCTAACTTTATACTTGAATATCCCTTTACTGTTATACTTAAGGCAGTATTATCTTTTTTTTTTTTTTTTTTTTTTTTTTTTTGGAGATGGGAGTCTTGCTCTGTTGTCAGGCTGGCGTGCAATGGCATGATCTCGGCTCACTGCAACCTCCGCCTCCTGGGTTCAAGAGAACCTCCTGCCTCAGCCTCCCGAGTAGCTGGGACTACAGGTACGTGCCACCATGCCCAGCTAATTTTTTGTATTTTTAGTAGAGATGGGGTTTCACCAGGTTGTCCAGGATGGTCTCCATCTCTTGACCTCGTGATCCACCCGCCTCAGCCTCCCAAGGCAGTATTATCTTAATTACTGGTTTATATGGCCTCCTCCCCTACTACTAGAGGGCGGGACATTTTCTTAGACATACATTCAAGAAATGTATGTTTAAGTGATCTGTTCAATCCTATACTCTGCATTCTTCAGCTTTTACAGTCACTGTCATCCACTTATCAACCACCTAACATCTGCAAGGCACTGGTAATACAATAAACTTACTAGACTTGCTCCTGGATTCTCATGCATTCAGTGAATCCATTCAACAAATATTAAGTACCTACTATATGCCAGGGGCTGCAAATAAACAAAGGACATGGTGTCTGCCTGCCTGCCTGCCCTCAAGGACCTTACAGTCTAATCTGTATTAGACTGTAATACAAGTAAATGGACTATTATAGTACCGTGTGTTAACTGTTACTGAAGAGATCCACACAGGCTGCTGAGCAGCCGCAAAGATTATGGCGAATTTACACTCTACATGAGAAGACTGGACATATACAGAAAAAGATAACAGCCAGGCAATGTGACATAGGCTAAACACTAAATGAGTGATTTGTTTCCCAAATTACACTGGATTAATTCACACACTTCAAGATAAGATACTATTATGGAATGATTTTTATATATACATTCAACCAACATTTCCTAAGGGCCCACTATATGCCAAGCAACCCGCTTAGCACTTTTCCAACAGTGTCTCATTCAATTCTCACATTTTATAGATTAAAGATGTGAATCTGAAAGGGTGAAGTGACTTGCCGATGTCTACATATTAAGCTGCAGAGACGGGATTTAGAATCATGTCTTCCAACTCCATGTCCTTTCATGGGACGTTTTTTGCTTTTTCATTCATCCTATGGAATACAATAAAGTGTTCTGCACAAATGAGCCACCACCAACTGCCAGCCTGATATAACTAGATGCTTATCTACATTCTGAGACGGGACCATATCAGATCAAATTACTCTGGTGCCTATTATAGATCATGTGCTGAAAGAAGTGCAGTTGGCTGAAGATGAGCAACTCTTTCAAGTTATATTTTAACAGTGTTTTTGACCACTATATCCGGTCAGTTGTTCCAGTGTTCAGTAATAAATCAAAATGATTGTTCGTTTCCTTTGACAGTTAACAGTACTAATGAATTCAGTATAATCTCACCATCCATCAGAAAAATTTCTAAAATGCGAACTTGAAGCTGATGATTCACACAGTTAGAAGAGAGGGGGAAATAAAGCAGTACTCATTGTTTTCTACAAAACTAGCATTGTTTGCAAAATCCAGAAACCAAGCAGTTGGTTAACTACTAATAACAAGCAGGTTGCTCCTTGGTCATTTAGCAAAAAGCTGCTTGTTGCACCACAGTCGATGGCTGAGAAGCATATGACTTCAAGTAGCTTTTGCTGTACAGTAGGATTCCATACATATAAATCAGTGGATCGTTATGTAAGACAAGAAAAAAATTCAAAATCTTCACACCAGAAAGCACCTGACACTGAGTGTGGCACAAATCCGAATAAATGTATACTGAGTAAACCATGTCAGGGTCTTTTGAAAATATCAGTTGTCTATGAAATTGAGAGAAGAAAAACCAAATCACCTGAATTCATACAGGTTATGTTAGGAACTCAAAAATATGGAACAGCTGGCTCAAGATGTATAACAGATTCACAATGACCAAAAAAACAATGTTTACAAATGTTGAATTAAGAAGCATGAATTTGACATCTCTCTTGAATTAAGTCACCACACTGGCACCCAATGGAATGCTTATAGGCAATCTCAGTAGAAATAACAAAAACTGAAAGAACTGACGGACAGAGCTAACTTTCCAATCTGTTCAAAACAGAAACAAGATGTACTAGTGGACACCTGAATCCTGCCGTTTAAGCTTTTGTGCCTTCACAATTAAATAATAACCCGGCCGGGCACGGTGGCTCACGCCTGTAATCCCAGCACTTTGGGAGGCCGAGGCGGGCGGATCACTTGAGGTCGGGAGTTCGCGACCAGCCTGACCAACGTGGAGAGGACCGCCCCCCCCACCCCGCCCCCACAAAAAATACAAAATTAGCCGGGCATGGTGGCGCATGCCTGTAATCCTAGCTACTCCGGAGGCTGAGGCAGGAGAATCGCTTGAACCCGGGAGGCGGAGGCTGCGGTGAGCCGAGATCATGCCACTGCACTCCAGCCTGAGCAACAAGAGCGAAACTCTGTCTGAAAAAAAAAAAAAAAAATCCCAATATGCCAAAGCAGCTCTGTCAAAAACCTTCAACGCTCACAAACATATCTAGTAATAACGAACGACTCATTAAAATGTACTATCTGTTCAGAGAAAAAAGTATTAATATATCTACAATACGAGACTGGGCTCCAAGAATATAAATCCAAATTGTACTGATTGGTCTGAATAAGCATTTTCCAAAATGAACAACCTGAACCTACACCACGAATACATTTAATTAGTTATAAAGCTTAGGACAACGCTAGTGATCTCAAACATTAGAACGTAAGCGCTGAAGCCTGCTCGTTAGTTCCTTTTACCTGGAGCTTTAAATTTCTAAAGCCATCATCTCCAGGGACCTCTGAAGGAAATTCAAGGCCAAGTATAGTATTTCATGATAAGTGAGAATAAAGGCACTCAATCCCTGGAGCCGGCGATTCCTGTTCCTGTCTCTAGACTGGACTCGGTAAAAGCCCGAGGCGAAACCTCCCGTTTATCTCCTACAGGACCCCAGCACCTTAGGGGATGGCTCCACAGAGCCCCACCGGGACCCCCCATCGCGGGGACCAGAGGGGCGGAGGAGGGAGACACTCTCCAAAACAAAGCGCCGCTCGCCCCACGCGGAGGCAGGCGCACCTTTCGCCCTGACAGGACGCAGACACACGTGTGTCACCTGTGCGGGAAGGGGGAGCAGCGACATCCTCGGAGGTGCGTGCCACGGGCAGCGGTCGGCGGCTGCGCTGGCCCCGATGCCTGGTGCCCGCCGCTCATTCCCGGGCTGGGGAAAACTTTCGGCCGCCTCCCCCAAGGCGCGCCCCCACCTCCCGGGACCCCCGGGGCACGCGCCCCGACCGCGACGCCCCGCCCCAGGCCCGCCCCTCCGCGCCCACGGCTGCGGCCCCGCGCCCCCAGCCCCGCGCGGGCACCCGCGTGCCCTCAGGCGCGCCCCCGCGCCGGGCCCGGCCGGCAGAGGGCGGGGTCGCTCACCAGTCCGCAGCTCGTGCTTGACAGTGAGGAGCTGCTCTCCTCCGTCGCCGCCGTCCGCGCTGGTCCCCGCGGCGCCGCCGCTGCTGCCACCCTCCTCCTCCATCTTCTCCTTTTTTTCCGATCCCGCGGGTCGCTACGAGGGGAACCCAGGAGACAGCGGACGCCCGTCCCCTCGCAGCCGCTGCCGCGGCCCCAGGAGTCGGGGTGCGGCGGCTCCAGAACTCGGACGCAAAGACGAGTCTCTTTCCCGCTCTGGCCGCACGGCTCGCTCCTCGCCTCCTCCCCCTTCGGCGGGCACCGCTAGTACCGCGCAACCAAACCGCCCCCTGCTCCACCGCCGCCTCCTCAGGCCGCTCCGCCCACAGCCAGCAAGGTAAGGGAGCCATTCGAGCCGCCTTCGCTGATTGGACACAGGGCGCGCGCGTCTGCCAACGCCGGTTCCCATTGGGCAGTACGCTGTGACGTTTCACGAGCCTCCCCGCCTCGCTCCTCGAATTGTTGTTGCTTGGCGGGGAGGCAGGAGAGGGAGGAGCGCCGCCACTC
The DNA here is from genome assembly GCF_000001405.40 of Homo sapiens. Taxonomy (NCBI): domain Eukaryota; kingdom Metazoa; phylum Chordata; class Mammalia; order Primates; family Hominidae; genus Homo; species Homo sapiens. The sequence goes on from NC_000014.9 coordinate 91,060,875, forward strand.
CGATTGGTGAGACCCAAAGCTCTGCCCCGCCCATTTCCTCTGGTGCGCACTCGCAGTCAAGACCTTCCCTTCCCTGACCTCCCCAGAACGGTCACACCCCTTATTCCCCAGCTTCGATCTGTTAGTAAACAGTGTCTAGTAGTCAGGAGGCGCTCGGGGTCTCTGATTGGCTACTGCCGAAAGAGGCGGGGAGGGATGATTGGAACGTTTGGTCCGCCAATCACCGTGGACAGAGGAGGGGCCTGGAGGGTAGCGCTTATCACCCACGTGTTTGCAGACAAACCTAAGGGTCCCGGCAGCGATCCATGCGTGTGTGACAACCAGCGAGACGGCGTGCCCTAAAAAGGTCTTACTCGCTCTAGTGAACCCTAAACAAGTTAAGCAGAGTGTTTGTTCTTAAATAACAGATAGTTCTTAAACGTTACAAAAATTCACAGTCCCAGCTCCCGATGAGGAATTTTACGAAGGAGAGACATTTCTGTTTCGTACAAGACTCTTACTAGGCGCCGAAAGGATGCAGAGATTAACAAAATAGAATACAATTCCTCCCCTAAGCAGCTTTCAATAGAACGTGAGAAACAATCTGTGTGTGTACACAAAAGAACTATAAAGCAGAATTTGAAATAAAGCAGTCGTACAAAGCGTTAGAGAATCTCGCACGGATGGCAATAATTATTCCCAGACGAGGAACTGGGGAAAGCTTTTAGGGCAAGGAGGCATTTGAGATAACCAACGTAAAGGATGGATAAGAGAGAAATACCAGCAATAGACATTCCACACAGAGAGAGTAACTGTGAGCATTGGCCTACAGCAGAGAAGGCAAGGGTGGGTTAAGTGATTGATAAGGTTAGATGAAAGTATGATGTAAGAGATACAGCTGACAAGGTGAGGTGTGGTAAGATAATGGGGAACTAGGGATGCTGTGCTGAAGAGTGCAGATTTTTTTTAGTACACAGTGATGAACTGAAAAGAGGAGAGAGATAGCAGGGCAGGAATCCTGCTGCAAGGATAGAACTAAAGGGAACCTGATTTCTAGTAGCAGACACGAGAATGGGAAAAAGCAGAAACTTAAAGATGTACAGTTGGACGTAATTCAGATAGATGTGATCTTTTAAACTAAGCATGGATTGGATCAGGAGTCAGCACACTTTTTTCTATTAAGGGCCAGATAGTAAATATTTTAGGATTTGCAAGCTGTATGACCTTTTTCACAACTACTCAGCTCTGCCATTGTAGCGCAAAAGCAGTCATAGACAATAAATAAAAGAAGTAGCTGTGTTCCAATAGAATATTTTTTATGGACATTGAAATTTGAATTTCACATAGTTTTCATGTATCGTAATATATTCTTCTTTTAATTATTTTTGAATCACTTAAAAATATAAAAACAGGTCAGGCGCAGTGGTTCACACCTGTAAGCCCAGCACTGTGGGAGGCTGAGGCAGATGGATCACCTGAGGTCAGGAGTTCAAGACCAGCCTGGCCAACATGGCAAAACCCTGAATCTACTAAAAATACAAAAAATTAGCCAGGCATGGTGGTGGGCGCCTGTAATCCCAGCTACTCAGGAAGCTGAGGCAGGAGAATTGCTTGAATCTGGCAGGCGGAGGTTGCAGTAAGCCGAGATCACACCATTGCACTTCAGCCTGGGCAACAGAGCGAGACTCTGTCTAAAAAAAAAAAAATATATATATATATATATATATATATATATATATATATATATATATATATATAAACAATCCTTAGCTCAAGGGCAGTTAAAAAACAGGCAATGAGCCAGATTTGGCCTACAGGCCATAGTTTGCAGACTCCTGGATTCGACTGCTGTGAAAGACAAAACACAGAAGCCTTGCAAGTTCCTTCAGGTTGCTTTCACAGCTCCCTGGGCTTACCTGCCTGGAACATTTATCATCACACTAAACCATGACTGCCTACTTACTTGTCTTTCTCCTGCAAAAGTCATGTGCTATTTGGAGCCAGGCAATGACTGTGTGCAACTGTTCATTTGTTCACTCGAAAACTTTTATACCAGTTATATACCAAGTACTGTAATAGGTGCTAGAGACACAGTGGGAGCAAAACAGATGCAGTCCTTGCTCCTATAGAGCCTACAGTCTAGCAACAGATATAAATATTAATCACATAAAGAAATATAAACTTTCCATTGTGATCATGCTGTAAAGGAAAATTACAGGGTGCTACAATAGAATGTATCAGGGATGCCTAATTTAAGTTGGAGGAGCTGGAAGACCTTTGTAAGTAAGTATTATTTAAGCTGAGACTTTAAAAATGAGTAGGTTTTAACCAGGATGTGGCAAAAAGTAGCCTGATGTTCACCAATCTCATTTCCTCTTCCTAGACACACAGGAAGACTTTTTTTTTTTTTTTCTTACCTCCTTTGCAGTTAGGTTAGGGTCATATGACTATGATCTGGCCAATGGGGTATGGGCAGATCCTATTGGTATGATATATAACATTTTCAGGCCTGACCAGAAAACTCCTTGCATAATCACTCACACTCTTCTCTTTCAACTGCTGTAACAAAGGCCACATTTTTAATGTGGGTATGCCACAGACTGGGAGGACTCTGAACCCCTGAGTTTCCACTTAATTCTTTAAGGAGCCACCTGACCTATGTCAGACTGTGATGTGAGCAATACATACACCGTTTTAGGCATAAGCTAGTTAGATGGGATTATTTGCTACCAAAGCATAATCTAGCCTTATACTACTTCATATGTGTAATATGGAGGGATCAAAATTTTAGGAAGATGTCCTGAGGCAGGCAAAGAGCCTATTCGGTTGAGAGATTGAGAAAGGCAGTGGAGCCTTAATGCAGTAAGCAAGGGATGAGGTTCAGGAGGTGGGCAGAGGCCCGGTCAGGAAGTATGTGGTTGCTCTTATTAATATTTTTGGACTTTATCCTGTGTGAAGTGGGAAGCAGTAGAAGGAATTTAAACACAGGAATGATATAATCGTGGTAGTATTTTCAGAAGGTCACTGAAGTTAGTGTTTGGAGACTGCGCTGGAGAAGGCAAAATGGGATACAAGGAGACCAGTTAGGAGGCTATCACTGTAATCTGGGCAAAAGATGAGAGTGGGTGCAGTAGAGATGGAGAGAAATGGAACATTTCTATGTTTATATTTTGAACTTGAAGGATTAGACTTGGTTAGTGAGAAAAATGGAAATATCTGAAATGACACCAGTGTTTCTAGCGTGAGCAGCTAGTGGCTGGAAGAGGATGGCAGTACCATTTAATAATGAAAGGGACAAATTAAAGGAAGAGCACATATGAGAGAGAACATCAAGAGTTTAATTTTGAGACATCCAGGGCCAAAATTAAGTAGCTATGTGGATATATGAGTCTAGAGCTCTGAAGAGAGGTCTAGCATAGGGATGTAAGCTTAGGAATCACTGGCACATAGATGACATTTGAGGCCAGAGGTACGAATGAGATTACCTAGGGAGAAGCCTGGGTGCGGTGGATCATGCCTGTAATCTCAGCACTTTGGGACGCTGAGATGGGCAGATCGCTTGAATTCAAGACCAGCCTGGTCAACAAGGTGAAACCCTATCTCTACTAAAAATACAAAAATTAGCTGGGCATGGTGGTGCATGCCTATAATCCAAGCTACTCGGGAGGCTGAGGCAGGAAAATCACTGGAACCCAGGAGGCAGAGGTTGCAGTGAGCTGAGATCGCATCACTGCACTCCAGCCTGGGTGACACAGTCAGACTCTGTCTCAAAAAAAAAAAAAAAAAAAAAGAAAAGAAAAGTTGGAATAAGAAGGTGGAGCTAGAGGTAGAAAAGGAAAACCTGGAGAGTTTTGTATCTTGGAAGCCAAAGTATTTCCAGAAGAAGGGAATGGTCAGCTGTATCAGATACCCTAAGATGTCATATAACATGAGGTCTAGAAAGATCCACTGAATTTGTCAACTTGGGTACCACTGATGACAATATCCAGAGCAGTTTTGGCAAGGCAAATGGAAGGTGAGGAAGTAGTAACCATGTGTGGGGACATATTTTTCTCCAAAGGAAAATAGAGAACAAAGATCCTAGCTGGAGGGATCCAGGGAGTTTTTCGGTTTTTTGGCTTTTAATCTTATTTTCAAATAATTTTAAAATTGCAGAAGAGTTGCAAAACTTAGTAAACTTAGTAAAGCAGAAGCACGCCATATGATCACTTAAATGTGCACACATGTAGGAAGAGTTTCTTCCACAGACTTAAGCACTGTGCTGAGTGATAGGAGGGAGGGGAGGGCATGGGTTAGGGATCTGAGGAGAGTGGAAACAGGTTGGAACAGCCACTATGAGAAATAGATCTATCCAGGCAGCTTGTATAAACGCTGATTAGCACAGGGCTCCAGTGGAGTTAGAAAGCCTGAATCAGGATAGTGAAGTGTCTTTCTCTAGCAACTTACATATCCCCTCTGGGTGGGAGATGAGCGGTTGGGCAACAACCTGGTTAAAGTGAATGACCCTGGGGCCTAAGCTGGGTGAGAAGGCAATGAAGCCAGGATAAGCTGCTAGCCTGGAAGAATAGGATGGAGTCCAAGGAGTTGGCGCTAGTATGGATGAGTTCTCAACCTTGGCTGAACATCGGGATCACCTGGGATACTGAAAAATAACAACAAAACAAAACAAAAATCTCCACCACTCCTACCCCTAAAGAATGTGACTTAAATTGGTCTGGGGTTGGGCCTGGACTTTGGGATTTTTTTTAAAGCTCCCCACATCATTAACCTAATGTACAACCAAGTTTGTAATGCACAACTCTTGCACAACTATTAGAGCAGACAGTGGTAAATAAGAGCAAATTGGAGTTTTGGAAAAAACAGCAACTTTTCAGAGGTAGTGATGACACTAGAGAAAATAGGAGGGAAAATTATAAATGAGTAGCTGAAAACACCAAATTAAATGGGTGCGGGGCTTGAGTGATTAGTGATGTGACCAGACAGCTTGGAGTCAAATGAGGAAAAGTTGTTGAACTGGGGTGAGATAATGGACTATGGCCTGGAGGATGCAGCAGCTGGAAGTGAGGAAAAAGTCACTGCTCCCTCCTGCCCTGAGAGATGGAGAAGTAGAGAGGGTGGGGTCCGTGAAAAGGCTGAGACAGAGAGGTTGTCCAGCAAAAGGTCAGATTTCTGCTATGGCCAGAAGAGTAATCAAGAAAAGACCTTGAAAATATGTTTCTTCCTCTCAGAAACTGACTTTATCCACTGGGCGTGGTGGCTCACGCCTGTAATCCCAGCACTTTGGGAGGCCAAGGCAGGAGGATCACCTGAGGTCAGGAGTTTGAGACCAGCCTGGCCAACATGGTGAAACCCTGTCTCTACTAAAAATAGAAAAATTAGCCGGGCCTGGTGGCACATGCCTGTAATCCCAGCCACCAGGGAGGCTGAGGCAGGAGAATCACTTGAACCCGGGAGGCAGAGGTTGCAGTGAGCTGAGATTGCGCCATTGCACTCCAGGCTGGGTACCAGAGTGAAACCCCATCTGAAAAAAAAAAGAAAAAAAAAAAAAAAAAGAAGGAAAGAAAAGAAACTGACTTTATCCAGGCTGGCTTGGTACCTGCTGCCAGAACGGGGTCCGTGCTCACCCCCTTTTGTTGTAAGCCTATGTCTGTGGCACCATTCTATGTGGTCTCACCTATCCTTAGCTTTATACCTCTTCACTGAGAAGCGGAGAGGATCACTTGAGCCCAGGAGTTCTTGAATCCAGCCCGGGCACATAGCATGACCCCATCTCTAAACCAAAGGAAAAAGAAAAACCACTATCACTTGCCATAAACAGGAAGCAGGAAGTAAATATTAAAATAAATACAATGAAAACAAAATGATAGTAAGTTCTAGCTAGATACAGTTGTCTGCTGGTAGCTGAGTCTGAGGTCTATACTTTCCTTGCTAGAAAGAGTTATTTCGGCCGGGCGCGGTGGCTCACGCCTGTAATCCCAGCACTCTGGGAGGCCGAGGCGGGTGGATCACGAGGTCAGGAGATCGAGACCATCCTGGCTAACACGGTGAAACCCCGTCTCTACTAAAAAAAAAAAAAAATTAGCCGTGCATGGTGGCGGGCGCCAGTAGTCCCAGCTACTTGGGAGGCTGAGACAGCAGAATGGTGTGAACCTGGGAGGTGGAGCTTGCAGTGAGCCCAGATTGCACCACTGCACTCCAGCCTGGGTGACAGAGCGAGACTCCATCTCAAAAAAAAAAAAAAAAAAAGAAAGAGTTATTTCATGTTGAGTAGATTGAGGAAGAACAAAAAAAAGAAGAGTGATTGGTAAAAATTAGAGAAAAGCTAAAGACTACTGGCACCAAACCCAGGCTTGCTTCTTGGTATAATCACAAATGAAAGGGAACCAAAAAAAAAAACACTTTTTCATTAGGAGAGATGAGAAGTTTAGGTGGTACATGGACAGTCATTTAGTTATATAAGTAAGCAAGGGGGGAGAGGGCCTCACTTGGCGTAAGCCACTAGGACTTGATTAATCTTACCATTTAGGCAATGTGAGCAGGAAGTTCCTCACCTTTGCATTTATAGGAAGTAGGAAACACCCAAGGCCCACCACATCATACTTTCCTTTAACTGGCTCTATCAAAACACTTCAAAGTATACATAGATAAGAAAGAAAATCTTTCAAAAAGTCAAAAACTACATTACCAATATCTTTTTTTTTTTCTTTTTTTTTGAGACAAGGCCTTACTCTGTTCCACAGACCAGAGTGTAATGGCACGATCTCGGCTCACTGCAACTTCTGCCTCCTGGGCTCAAACAATCCTCCTACCTCAGTCTCCCAAGTAGTTGGGACTACAGGCACATGCCACCACACCCAGCTAATTCTTGTATTTTTTTGTAGAGATGGGATTTCACCTTGTTGCCCAGGCTGGTCTCGAACTCCTGGGTCCAAGCAATCCACCCACCTCGGCCTCCCAAAATGCTGGGATTACAGGCCTGAGCCACTGCACCTGGCCCATTATCAATATCTTAATACTATTTTTGACCCTGTCAGTACCTTTGCCATGTGATATAGAGCCAGTAAGTTGAAGAGACTGCAAGATACAAAGACCAACACAGTTAGGGGGTGGTGTGAAGTTCACACTTACTGAAGACACCCACCACTGCTGAAGTTGACATGTCACCACAGTTACAAAGTGAGAAGGTTGGGAATGTACTGGCGCGTGCACACACACACACGCGCACGCACACACACACACACACACACACACACACACACACACCCCTTGCATTCACAGAGAGACAGTCTTGCGAAGGGGGCAGCAGCAAGTAAGCAGTGTCCTCACCTTACCTTTTGATGCACCAGATACTACCTTTCTAGCTTAGCAACCTTCCTAGCATTGCAGATGAGGAACACTAGGACGAAAGGGAAGATTCAAGTTTAAGATGTTCCACCTCCGTTTCAACCTGTGCCAACCAGCACACAGCTGTGAGAGATTTCAGAGGGATGCGCATCACATATATATCCAATTAAAAGATATAAAGATATTGGGGGCCGGGCACGGTGGCTCCCACCTGTAATCCCAACACTTTGGGAGGCTGAGGAGGGTGGATCACCTGAGGTTGGGAGTTTGAGATCAGCCTGACCAACATGGAGAAATCCCGTCTGTACTAAAAATACAAAATTAGCCAGGCGTGGTGGGGCATGCCTTGTGATCCCAGCTACTCAGGAGGCTGAGGCAGGAGAATCACTTGAACCCGGGAGGTGGAGGTTACAGTGAGCTGAGATCGTGCCATTGCACTCCAGCCTGGGCAACAAGAGCGAAACTCCACCTCAAAAAAAATAAAATAAAACAAAATAAAGATATTTGGACTCCCTCTCTCCTCCCTTGGAATCTTCTGGACGGAATACAAAAAGAAAGCAAAGCAAAAACATAGAAAAGGTCCCATTTTTAATGAAACAAGGAAACTCTCAGAACCTCAAACCACAAACCATGAGGTATGCCTGCCAAATACTGCAAAGTCTGTACTAAAATTGATGAAATGCTAAGAGTCAATGTACAGTGCCTACATCCATGAGCAGGCAATATGTTTCCTTAGAGGCACCAAATCATTGATCCTTGGATTGGAGGGGTGTTTCCCAAAGGGGAAAGGAGACTTGTGTTATTAGGGAAGAGTGAAGTAAGTTTAGGTGGTACATGAAGAGTCATTGAGTTATATTAAATAACCTAATGAAAAAGTGATTCTTTTTTTTAGTTCCCTTTCATTTGTGATTATATCAAGAAGAAAGCCTTGGTTTGGTGCCAGTAGTCTTTAACTTTTCTCTAATTTGTCCTAATCATTCTTTCTAACAAGGAAAATGCAGACCTCAGACTCAGCTCCCAGCAGACAACTGTATCTGGCTAGAACTTACTAAAGTTTTGTTTTCGTTGCACTTATTTATTGTTTATTTTCTATTTTGGGACGGAGTCTTGCTCTGTCACCCAGGCTGGAGTGCAGTGGCGTGATCTCAGCTCACTGCAACCTCCACCTTCCGGGTTCAAGCGATTCTCCTGCCTCAGCCTCCCAAGTAGCTGGGATTACAGGCGCCCACCACCATGCCCAGCTAAATTTTTTTTGTATTTTTAGTAGAGACAGGGTTTCACCATGTTGGCCAGGCTGGTCTCGAACTCCTGACCTCAGGTGATCCGCCCACCTCAGCCTCCCAAAGTGCTGGGATTACAGGCGTGAGCCACCGCACCCAGCCTCATTGCATTTATTTTAATATTTACTTTCTATTTATGGCAAGTGATACTTTCTTTACTTTTCCTTCTTTTTTTTTAAGAAATGTGCCCAGGCTGGGTTACAGAACACATGGGCTGAAGCCATCCTCCCACCTCAGCCTTCCAAGTAGCTGGAACTACAGCTATTGTGTAGTTCCATTGTGCCCAGCTTGATATTTTTCACTTATGATAATGATATGCCTCTTTTTTTTTTTTTTTTTGTCACCCAGGCTGGAGTGCAGTTGTGCAATCTTGGCTCACTGCAACCTCCCCCTCCAGGGTTCAAGTGATTCTCCTGCCTCAGCCTCCCAAGTAGCTGGGATTACAGGTGCCTGCCACCACACCCAGCTAATTTTTGAATATACCTCCTTTTTAAATAAGAAGGCATTTAGTTGAAAAAACTGGGAATTAATTTAAAGAAAAAAAATCGACTTTAGTATAGGTGATCTACAGATAAGGCAAAAATTGTGGAAGTGGTACTCAAATGACTGAAATTTATATTTGACTTACAAGACCCAGGAAAAACTGGTAGTGTTCCTTTGAAGAACCAGTATGATAGTAGGGAGGGTCAAAATTAGGGAGAAGCTGGAGGATGGTTATTTATTTCTATTTTTTGTGACCTGCCCTCCAAGCCAAAAGAGTCTCTTGGAGATGAGGGGGTGAAGGGGGTAGAGAAATAATTTCTAGATTAGAACCCAGAGAGCCTAGAGTGACAGGGCTTTGCTGGGGGCCTTGGCACCTCCTGAGAGCCAAAACCTGAGAATCTCAGAGACATTCTCTCATGGAGAGGAAATACTGTCAACAGATTTGGAAACACACTAAAGTGAAGCAGCCGATTGCCTCAAAGTCCTTCTTCTTCCTCTACCCATGCTATTTAACAAATAATTCTCCATCACATCAGAGAAATTACAAAGTTATCTCTTTTTAAAATAAAAAAAATACTCAAAGGTGAGGTTCAGAAGTAAAAGTAAGGAATTATAGAACAACAAAAGAGGAAAAAACTGAGTGGCAAATCTCAAGAAAAGAAAGACAGGAAAGCCACTTTGGAATCAACCAAAAGAGAATGAACAAGAGGGAAAACAATGGAACAATATGGAAAAGAACAAAGAAATAAACATAATCATAAACATTTGATAGTTATGGAAAATAAGCAATAGAGATCCAATAGATGCATAATTGGCATTCCTGAAGACCAAGTCAGAACAAATGAAACAATAGAATAATGGAGGAAACTTAACCAAAATGAAGACTTGAGTCAGCAGGTAGAAAGCACACACTGTGTCAAGGTAAAATGAGTACAGAGTGATCAATAACAAAGTACATCAGATTTTTAAAAACCAAGAGCAACACAATGTTAAAGGACAATGAAGCAAGGTTTATAAAACTTAAGGGCATGAAGCTGTGACTCATGAATTTTATATTTTGCCAAATTGTCCCTTAAGAAGTCTAAAGGCTGACCAGGTGTGGTGGCTCACACCTATAATCCCAGTACTTTGGGAGGCTGAGGCTGGCAGATCACAAGGTCAGGAGATAGAGACCATCCTGGCAAACACGGTGAAACCCCGTCTCTACTAAAAATACAAAAAAAAAAATTAGCAAGGTGTGGTGGCACGCGCCTGTATTCCCAGCTACTCAAGAGGCTGAGGCAGGAGAATGGTGTGAACTCAGGAGGCAGAGGTTGCAGTAAGCTGAGATTGCACCACTGCACTCCATCCTGGGCAACAGAGCGAGATTCCACCAAAAAAAAAAAAAAAAAAGAAGTCTAAAGGCTGTTGGCAGTCATTCTTGAGCATGAATTAACTCAAGAGTTTCCACATTCTTGAAAAAAAAGTTTTTTACGTTGAAATTATTCAACCAAGAGATTAATCAAAATAAAGAAATCAAGGAAGGAATTGAGGATTAAAAAAAATACTGAAGATGAGTTTTGAATTGTTTTAAATACAGAACCAAGAATAAATAGCTGTGGAATTTATGGTTAAAGAACAAAATGTAGGCTAGGCGTGGTGGCTCACGCCTATAATCCCAGCACTTTGGGAGGCCAAGGCGGGTGGATCACGAGGTCAGGAGTTTGAGACCAGCCTGGCCAATATGGTGAAACCCCGTCTCTACTGAAAACGCAAAAATTAGTTGGGCGTGGTGGTGGGTGCCTGTAGTCCCAGCTACTCAGGAGGCTGAGGCAGAAGAATCGCTTGAACCCAGGAGGCAGAGGTTGCAGTCAGCCAAGATCGCGCCACTGCACTCCAGCCTGGTAACAGAGTGAGACTCCATCTCAAAAAAAAAAAAAAGAACAAAATGTAAACATTCCAAACTCTTATACTGTGAACATAATTATACACCTAACAAAAATGGGGAAGTGAGGGGAAAGGGCAGTTGGAAGATTTCTAAGCATGTAAATTTACTCATCTTTAATGGCTGGAAAATAATCCAGTCTAAAAAATGAACTCCAGCCAGGCGTTGGGGCTCATGCCTACAATCCCAGCACTTTAGGAGGCCCAGGCAGGAGGATCGCTTGAGCCCACGAGTTCAAGATCAGCCTGGGCAACCTGGGGAAACCCCTTATCTACTAAAAATACAAAAAACTAACCAGGCATAGTGGCATGCACCTGTAATCCCAGCTACTCGGGAGGCTGAGGCACGAGAATCTCTTGAATGTGGGAGTTGGAGGTTGCAGTGAGCTGAGATCACACCACTGCACTCCAGCGTGAGCAACAGAATGAGACTCTGTCTCAAAAAAAAAAAAAAGAACTCCATGAACTGCAGCTTTTTAAAACAGACACGATTCTAATTTCTTGATGATTTTTGTGTTCGTTTTTTCTTATCTTTAAGGGGATTATTTTAGGAATTTTTGTGGTTTACAAACATTTAGCTGAAGTTCAGCAATTATTTCTATTTTACTTAATTTCTGTTTTCTGTAAAATTAAACTTAATTTTACTTAAAAATAATTTGCAGAATAAAATTCCATTGTTATCTATTGATCTTTTTGCTCTGCATGCCCAAATTCAGATGACATATACCAAATATTGATGGCTGTTTCCAGAAAGTGAGATTTGAGACACCAAAAAAAAAAACAAAAAACAAAACTTCCTCATGGTGCTTTCTAAAGCTTTTTAGAAAAGCTCATTCTATATAAAACTAACAGTCATTGCCAGGTGCGGTGGCTCATGCCTGTAATCCCAGCACTTTGGGAGGCCGAGGCGGGCAGATCACGAGGTCAGGAGATCAAGACCATGGTGAAACCCTGTCTCTACTAAAAATACAAAAAATTAGCTGGGCACGGTGGCGGGCGCCTGTCGTCCCAGCTACTCGGGAGGCTGAGGCATGAGAATGGCATGAACCCGGCAGGCAGAGCTTGCAGTGAGCCAAGATCATGCCACTGCACTCCAGCCTGGGTGACAGCAAAAAAAATAAAAAACATAAAATAAAAATAACAGTCATTTTTCTTGAGTAGTGTGGAATAGAAGGATAAGATGGAAGATGGCTCCCATGCCTTTTGTCACCAGGTGTTACACCCATGATTATGTGATTTATGTGGTGAAAAGGATTTTGCAGATGTCATAAAAGTTAATTACAGGCCAGGTGCAGTGGTTCATGCCTAGCACTTTGAGAGGCTGAGGCGGATGGATTGCCTGAGCTCAGGAGTTCGAGACCAGCCTGGGCAACATGGATAAACCCCATCTCTACTAAAAGTTCAAAAATTAGCCAGGTGTGATGGCACACGCCTGTAGTCCCAGCTACTCAGGAGGATGAGGCACGAGAATTGCTTAAACCTGGGAGGCAGAGGTTGGAGTGAGCCAAGATCGTGCCACTATACTCCAGCCTGGGCGACAGAGTGAGATTCCATCTCAAAAAAATTTTTTAAAAATTAACTCTGTCATCCAGGCTAATGTTTGTGTTTTTAGTAGAGATTTTTGTATTTTTAGTAGAGACAGGGTTTTGCCATATTGGCCAGGCTGGCCTCAAACTCCTGACCTCAAGTGATCCATCCCCGTCGGGATTACAGGTGTGAGCCACCGCTCCTGGCTGCATGAAAAATCTTTAATGCAAAAGGGTTATCTGGTTGCTGGCTTTGAAAATGGAGGGGACCAAGTGGAAAGGCCCTGAGGAGCAGCCTCTAGGAGTTAAGAGCCGCTCCCTTGCCAACAACCAACAAGGAAACAAGGACCTCAGCCCTACACCTTCAAGAACCTGCAAGGCAGAAGGATCACTTGAACCCAGGAGTTCGAGGCTGCAGTGAGCTATGACCGTCTTACTGCATAAGATAAATTGAAGATAAATGAAGTTAGCAAGGCCAAGGTGGGAGAATCGTGTGAGGCCAGGAGTTTAAGACCAGCCCGGGCAATATAGCAAACCCCCATCTCTACAAAAAAATTTAAAAATTGCCTGGCACGGTGGCTCACACCTATAATCCCAGCACCTTGGGAAGTAGAGGTGGGCAGATTGCTTGATCCCAGGAGTTTGAGACCAGGCTGGGCAACATAATGAGACCTCATCTCTACCAAAAAAAAAAAATATATATATATATACACACACACACACACACACACACACACACACACACACACACAGTCAAGCACCTGTATTCCCAGCTACTTGGGAGGCTGAGGTGGGAAGATCACATGAGCCTAGGAGGCCAAGTCTGCAGTGAGCTGTGATTGTGCCATGCACTCCAGCCTGGGCAACTGAGCGATACCCTGTCTCAAAAAAAAAAAAAAAAAAATATATATATATATATATAAACCGAGTGTGATGGCATGTACCTATAGTCCTAGCTACTTAGAAGGCTGAGGTGGGAGGATCACTTGAACCCAGGAGTTCGAGGCTGCAGTGAGCTATGATGTGGTCTCATTGGACTCTAGCCTGGGTGACAGAGTGAGAACCTGACTCAAAAAAACAAAAAAAGAATGAAGGTAACAGCATCTTTGTTCTTCAGACAGATTCTCTCTGACATCTACCTCCCAATTTCTGCCCCATATAATTTTATGGCTAAAAAACATTTACCTTCTATTCTTAACCATAATTAAGTATTCCACAGACTGACCGTAAAACATGAAAATCACTTAAACAGCATTTATTAGGTTGGTGCAAAAGTAATTGTCATTTTTGCCATTGAAAGTAATGGCAAAAACCATATTGCAGTATTCTCTAATATTATTTTCTCTGAAGAGGCAAAATGTTTATAAGAATTGCTCTTCTTGGCTGGACATGGTGGCTCATGCCTGTAATCCCAGCACTTTGGGAGGCTGAGGCTGGCAGATCACCTGAGTTCAGGAGTTCAAGACCAGCCTGACCAACATGGAGAAACCCCATCTCTACTAAAAATACAAAATTAGCCGGGTGTGGTGGCGCATGCCTGTAATCCCAGCTATTCAGGAGGCTGAGGCAGGAGAATTGCTTGAACCCAGGAGGTGGAAGTTGCAGTGAGCCAAGATCGTGCCATTGCACTCCAGCGTGGGCAACAAGAGAGAAACTCCGTCTCAAAAAAAAAAAAAAAAGAAGAATTGCTCTTCTTTTTATCGTACAAACTTCTTTCCCCTTGGATCTTCTATTTGCCTTTCTTGCATTTTTTCTTTATCATGGTTCATTTTACCCTAGTTTCTTTATCCAATTAGGTATTTTGCTGAGTTTTTAAGGCCTCCTCTCTGAGGCTCATCATCCTCCTCCTACAGGGTTGTCACAGTAGCATTTACTTTCATGGCTTTCCAGGGCCAATTGTCTTTTGTATTTAGGGTAGAGACAAGGTTACACCATGTTGGCCAGGCTGGTCTCGAACCCCTGGCCTCAAGTGATCTCCCCACCTCAGCCTCCCAAAGTGCTGGGATGGCAGGCATGAGCCACCGCACCCTACCTAGAGTCATGTTTTTAATTAATAAGAGCCCTTGTTTGTCCTTTGTTGGGCATCCTATCTTTCTGAATATATTGTATTGGAGCTTTTTAGTTTGCTTTGATTTGGGTTCTCTTCCTCAAAATAAGTGCGTCCTCCAGGGTTGTTGTTTTATTTTCCTGCTTGCTTTAGTCTTTCTAACTGGCTGACTGTGGGAAAGGACAAGAGGAAATGGAGTAAGGGCTGCTCCTTCCTCTTGACCAAATGCGTCTTATAATACCTGAAGTCAATGTTTGCTACCACCAAAGAAGCAATCAGCACTAGCCCGGGTGGTTCATTTCCTTATTTATTCAGCATCTTTACTGGACCCTTTCTGTGTGCCAGTGCTACAGAGGTTATAAAGATGGATAACAGGCCGGGAGCAATGGCTCATGCCTGTAATCCCAACACTTTGGGAGGCCCAGGTGGGCAGATCACCTGAGGTTGGGAGTTCGAGACCAGCCAGGCCAACATGGTGAAACCCCATCTCTACTACAAATACAAAAATTAGCTGGGCGTGGTGGTGGGTGCCTGTAATCCCAGCTACTTGGGAGACTGAGGCAAGAGAATTGCTTGAACCTGGGAGGTGGAGGCTGCAGTGAGCCAAGATTGTGCCACTGCACTCCAGCCTGGGTGACAGAGTGAGACTCTGTCTCAAAAAAAAAAAAAAAGATGGAAAACAGTGCCTGCCCTTAAGAAGCTCATAGCTAGGTAAGAGAAGACAGACATAGAAACAAGTACAGTCTCCCTCAGTATCTGTGGGGGATTAATTCCAGGATCCCCAAGGATACTAATATCCATGGATACTCAAGTTCGTAGCATCTGTAGATGCTCATTTTACTCTATGTATGAAATATAATATTTGCATGTAACCTGTGCACATCCTCTCATGTACTTTATAATCTCTAGGCTACTTATAATACCTAATACAGTGTAAATGCTAGGTAAGCAGTTGTTACACTGTATGGGTTTTTTATTTGTATTTTTTATTGTTTTTTTCTTCCTGAATCTTTTCCATCCAAGGTTGTCTGCAGATGTAGAGTCTGCAGATGTAGAAGCCATAGATAGGAAGGGCCACTGTGTGTGCAATAGTGTCTTGAGTGTTCCAATAGGAACCTGTTTAGGACCCGGTGGAGGTGGAAAAGGGCAAGTGCTCAAAGCTACTGGGAAGGATCTGGGAAACTCCACAGGGATGGTGATACTTGGGTCAGGATTGAAAGATGAGTGGGCATGGGTGAGGGATGGAGTAGGAATCCAGGATTCTAGGCAGAGGGGGCAGTGAGAGCAAAAACAAAAAAGCAAGACACCGTCCCAGGAGTGCTGGGGACTGCAAATTCCCAGAACCCCAGAGCAATGAGGCTGCATGAGGGAGGGAGTTACGGGCTAGACCACGGTGTCCTGTGTTCCGGGTCACAGTGCCAGCACGACTCCACAGGAATGGGAAGTACTAACAGCCTGGACACAGGGCAGTGCCATGATCAGATTTTTGTTTCAGAAAGTTCCAGTAGGCTGGCACAGTTGCTCATGCTTGTAATCCCAGGCCTCTGGGAGGCCAAGGTGGAAGGATCACTTGAGCCCAGGAGTAAGATCAACCTGAGCAACATCGTGAGAGCCTGTCTCTACAAAAAATGAATAAAATTAGCCAGGTGTGGTGGTGTGTGTGCCTGTGGTCCCAGCTATTCAGGAGGCTGAGGTGTGAGGATCACTTGAGCCAAGGAGGTGAAGGTCGCAGTGAGCCGTGATCGTGCCACTGCAGTCTGGGTGTCAGAGCAAGGCAAGCAAGCAAGCAAAGAGTGGGGAGAGAGAGAAAGAGAGAGAGAGAGAGAGAAACAAAGAGGAAAGAAGAAAGCGAGGGAGGAAGGAAGGAGAGAGAGAGGCAGAGAAAAAAAGAAAGGGAGAAGGAAGGGAGGGAGGAAGGAAGGAAAGGAAGGAAGGAAGGAGAGAAAGAAAAGAAAGAAAGAAGGAGGGAGGGAGGAAGGAAGGAAGAGAGAGAGAACAAAGAAAAAACAAAAAGAGGCTGGGCACGGTGGCTCACACCTGTAATCCCAGCACTTTGGGAGGTCGAGGTGGGAGGATCACAAGGTCAATAGATCGAGACCATCCTGGCCAACATGGTGAAACCCCGTCTCTATTAAAAATACAAAAATTAGCTGGGTATAGTGGCATGCGCCTGTAGTCCCAGCTACTCAGGAGGCTGAGGCAGGCGAATCGCTTGAACCCGGGAGGCGGAGGTTGCAGTGAGCCAAGATCTTGCCGCTGCTCTCCAGCCTGGTGACAGAGCGAGACTCTGTCTCAAAAAAAAAAAAAGAGAGAGAGAAAGAGAGGAAGGGAAGGAGGAAGGAAAGAAGAAAGGAGAGAGAGAAAGAAAGAGAAAGAGGAAAGGAAGAAAGAGAGGAATGAAGGAAGAAAGGAAGGAAGGGAAGGAAGGAAGGAAGGAAGTTAGTTCCAATCATATTAACTAACTGAAATAATTTTCTTTTCATAGCAAACTATCCCCACAAACAGACTCTGCTTGTAGTGTCTTTCTGGTGCAGTAAACATTAACAGGCCTTAAAATACTAAGCTATTTTGTTTTTATTGTTATTATTATTTTTGAGACAGCTGCTCTGTCGCCCAGGCTGGAGTACAGGGACTCAATCTCAGCTCACTGCAACCTCCGCCTCCAGGGTTCAAGTGATTCTCCTGCCTCAGCCTCCCGAGTAGCTGGAATTACAGATGCCCACCACCACGCCTGGCTCCTTTTTGTATTTTTAGTAGAGACGGGGTTTCGCCATGTTGGCCAGGCTGATCTTGAACTGTTTCCATTATTTTTAAAAGGCAGTATGAATCAGTGTTAATAAAAGCTACTTTGAATGGTATGCTAATGAGCAATTAGATTGAGTTTCCCTGAAAAACTGGATTTAATAACCTTGGCCTACATTTACTTTCAAGGAACTTGGTTGTCTGCTTTGATCCTGAAAATGAAAACTTGTGGTTTTAGAAGCTACTATTTGATGGGGAGGTTGCAGTGAGGAAGAATTTTCCCCTGCAGCGGGTCTCCTTTGAGTTCTTTCCTCCCTCCATCCCCCCACGCCTTCATTCACTGTCTTTCTGTGAACCAGCATGTGCCTCATTTTGAAAACACTAGCGTGACCTCAACAACTAAGATTAAAGTAGCAGTTGTTAGAAAATAGCGTAGTCTTGTACCCTAGAGGATGTGGTAGCCCTAAATAAGCAAGAACTGTGCCACATTGAAGTTTTGGGGTTTTGGTTTTTGGTCTTCAAAGTAATTCATTTTCTCTGAAGAAAGCTGGAGAGTCAGGAAACTAAGAAAGAAATGGAGCAAAATGATCTTTAACTGTCCAGGGACAACCTCTGGTAATACTGTGGAATATTTTCTTCCAATATTTCTATTTTGTGTCTGTTTATTTATTTTTAATTTTTATTTATTTATTTATTTATTTATTTATTTATTTATTTATTTTTGAGACAGAATCTCACTCGGTCACCCAGGCTGGAATGCAGTGGCATGATCTCAGCTCACTGCAACCTCCACCTCCAGGATTCAAGCGATTCTCCTGCCTCAGCCTCCCGAGTAGCTGGAACTACAGGCACCCGCCACCATGCCTGGCTCATTTTTGTATTTTTAGTAGAGACGGTGTTTCACCATATTGGCCAGGCTGGTCTCAAACTCCTGACCTCAAGTGATCTGCCCGCCTTGGTCTCCCAAAGTGCAGGGATTACAGGCACAAGCCACCACGCCCAGCCTTATTTTGTGTTTTTTCAAAAATTTTTAACACTTGGGAATCATTCTGAGCGCAATATTATACGCTGCCCTTTTTGGCTTAACATGATATTATCAGAATTTCCCTACATCAGTAAAATGTCTTCATAAACATTGTTTCTTTCTTTTCTTTTCTTTTCTTTTTTTTTTTTTTAAGGCAGAGTCTTGCTCTGTCGCCAGGCTGGAGTGCCGTGGTGCAGTCTCGCTCACTGCAACCTCCGCCTCCCAGGTTCAAGCAATTCTCCTGCCTCAGCCTCCCAAGTAGCTGGGACTACAGGTGCCTGCCACCCCACCCGGCTAGTTTTTGTATTTTTAGTAGAGACGGGGTTTCGCCATATGGGCCGGGCTGGTCACAAACATAAACATGATTTCTAATGACTGCCTGATAGTCCATAATTTGGATTACACTAATTTCCTAACAAATCACCTACTAACAAACTTTTAAGTTCTTTAGAATATTTTATGATTATAAACAACACTGTGATGAAGAGCTTTATGCAGAAAATAATTGCTCACATATCAAATTGTTGTACTAGAAAAGATTCAGAAAAAAAGGTTTGAATGCTTTTATGGCTGTTAAAAAATTATGGTAAATATATATAACATGATATATATCATTTTAGCCATTTGTAAATGTACTATTCAGTAGCATTAAATGCATTTAAAATGTTGTATCACCATCACCCTATCTACACCCAAAACATTCTGTCATCCTCCGGACCCATTAAACAATAATACCCCCATTTTTCCCTTCCCCCAGGTAACCTGTATTCCACTTTCTGTCCTTATGAGTTTGCCTATTATAGGGACTTCATAGAAGTGGAATCATACAATATTCTTCCTTCTGTGTCTGGCTTATTTCACTTAGCATCATGTTTTCAAGATTCATCCATGTTGTAGCATATATCAAATTTTCATTCCTTTTTATGGCTTGTGTATATATACCATACATTCTGCTTGTCTATTCATCTGTGGATGGACATTGCGATTGTTTCTACCTTTTGACTGTTGTGAATAATGTTGTGATAAACACTGGTGTACAAGTATCTGTTTGAGTCTCTGCTTTCAATTCTTGTGGGTATACACCTAGAAGTAGGACTGCCGAATCATACAGTAAGTCTGTGTTTAACTTTTTGCGGAAACTGACACTATTTATTTTTTCTTTTTTTTGAGACGGAGTCTCGCACTGTTGCCAGGCTGGAGTGAAATGGCACGATCTCAGCTCACTGCAACTTCCACCTCCCAGGTTCAAGCGATTCTCCTGCCTCAGCCTCTTGAGTAGCTGGGATTACAGGTGCCCGCCACCACGCCCAGCCAATTTTTGTATTTTTAGGAGAGACGGGGTTTCACCATGTTGGTCAGGCTGTTCTCGAACTCCTGATCTTGGGATCTGCCCACCTTGGCTTCCCAAAGTGCTGGGATTACAGGCATGAGCCACCACACGCAGCCCCAGAACATGTAATTTTTAATGGTTTCCCATTTTAACCAACCATCCCAAACTCATCATATAAGAGAGCTTCAACTATCTATATGAAACCAGGGGAAAAGTGGAGTCCTAGTAAGAGTGCTTTACACTTTAGGAAAATCTTCAACAAATATGAGTGCCTTTTGTGTGCATTGTGCAACATCCAGTCCTTTGAGAAAAAGCAAGGAAGTCTAGAAAAAGAGCTCCTCTTCATTCATTTATTCAAAAGCATGTATTGGCCGGGCACGGTGGCTCACACCTGTAATCCCAGCACTTTGGGAGGCCGAGGCCGGTGGTCACCTGAGGTCAGGAGTTCGAGACCACCTGGCCAACGTGACGAAACCCTGTCTCTACTAAAAATACAAAAAATTAGCTGGGCATGGCGGCATGCGCCTGTAGTCCCAGCTGCTGGGGAGGCTGAGGCAGGAGAATGGTGTGAACCCGGGAGGCGGAGCTTGCAGTGAGCCAAGATCGCGCCACTGCACTCCAGCCTGGGCGACAGAGTGAGACTCCGTCTCAAAAAAAAAACAAAAAAAAAAGCATGTATTAAGAGAATAATAATGAGTAAGCCCTATCTGTGTTCTACACAAACAAGTACAAGTGCCATGTTAACTAAGCTGAGAGAAATGTTCAAGAAAAAACAGGAGGCACATCCCACAGCAATACGGTACTAAATTTCAAATGACTTCATCATAAGTAATAGGGATTCATAGACGGGAACAAACCTTGAGGGCCATAGGCCAGGGCCAGCATGACCTTTCCAAAGGGTGATATTTTAGCAGGTATATTAGTTTCCTACTGCTGTTGCAAATAAATTACTACAAGTGGCTTAAGACATCTTATAGTTCTGGAAGTCAGAAGTCCAAAATGGGTCTTATGGGCTAAGATCGAGGCATCGGTAGGGCTGTGTTCCTATTTGGAAGCTCTAGGGGAGACTGCTTCCTTGCCCTTTTCATATTCCAAAGGCTGTCTGCACTCCTTGCCTTGTGGCTCCTTTCTCTATCTTCAAAGGCCATCTCTCCAGCCTCTGTTTCTTTATTTTTATTTTATTTTATTTATTTATTATTATTTTTCTCAGACAGAGTCTCACTCCGTCACCCAGGCTGGAGTGCAGTGGCACCATCTCAGCCCATGCAACCTCCACCTCCCATGTTCAAGCGATTCTCCTGCCTTGGCCTCCCGAGTAGCTGGGATCACAGGTGCGTGCCACCACTCCTGGCCTCTCCAGCCTCTGTTTCTGTTGTCACATCTCCTCTCTCCTCTTTGACCCTCCTGTCGTCCCACTCATAAGGACCTTCATGATTACATTGGGCCCACCCAGAAAATCGAAGATAATAAAGCCACCTCAAGGTCCTCAATTTCATCACGTAAAGTAACATATTCACAGGCTCTGGGGATTAGGATGTGGACATCTTTTGGAGTTGGAGATTGGGGGCATATTATTCAGCCTGCTATAGCTGGGTAACATTTGGAAAAGCAAAGAAAAAGGAAATTGTGATAGAGCATGTAGAGGGTATTTGTCAGTTTGACTGCATGCAACACCCTTTCTTATTTGGGAGGAATTCCAAGATAAAAAGTGAGCCACACTCCCCCCTTCCCATGAAAGAGGTACCTGACCCAAGTGTAGCCAGTATGATGTTCTGACCATCATTTTAACCAAATGTCTTCGCTTTGACTCTGTTGTTCTTGGGCTTGTGTTTGGAGGCCTTATCGAAACAGCCACGTGAAGCTTATTATTGTGATTACTTCAGGAACATTGTTGAGAACAAAGTCCACCTCATCTCAATACCAGGAATACCAGCAATTCTTATGAGTACATGGCTTGCTCTCAACTTACAGAGGTGGTGATTCTTATAATTGGACATTTCCCAATCCTTATCATGTTCTGTAAGGTTGAAGCCAGCTGTTAGAAGTTTGAAGATGACAATTAATTGCAAGCCTCTTCCTTTCAGTGTTGGAAAATGATTAAAGGCAGGCTGAAGGATCCTCATGAAGTTCCTGTTGGTATCAGCTTCATTATCACAGGCCTTTGGTGAATGTGTTAGATATGTAGGTTGCACATCTTTTTTTGTTTTGTTTTGTTTTTTGAGACAAGGCCTTGCTCTGTCACCCAGGTTGGAGTACAGTGGTATGATCACAACTCACTGCAGCCTCGACCTCCTGGGCTCAAGCAATCCTCCTGCCTCAGCCTCCTGAGTAGCTGGGATTACAGTCATGCGCAACTATGCTTGGTTGATTTGTAAAATTTTTTTGGTAGAGATGGGGGTCTCACTATGTTGCCCAGGTGGGTCTCAAACTCCTGAGCTCAAGTGATCCTCCTGCGTTGGCCTCCAAAAAGGCTGAGGTTACAGGTATAAGCCATCATGACCATCAGAGTTTACATCTCAGAAAGATCTACAGGCATTGCATGCCCTGCCCCAACTTGCAACCCTATGCCTACATGTTGGGAATAGTGCAGGGAAAAGAGCCACATTTGTGGCCTGCCCTAAGCACACTTATATCTCCACCACATCGGAGGTAGTGGTCTGCCTCCCACTTAAAGAACAAAGAGAGAAGGCCGGGCGCAGTGGCTCACGTCTGTAATCCCAGCACTTTGGGAGGCCAAGGCAAGTGGATCACCTGAGGTCAGGAGTTCGAGACCGGCCTGGCCAACATGGTGAAACACCATTTATACTAAAAATGCTAAAATTAGCTGGGCATGATGGTGCATGCCTGTAATCCCAGCTACTTGGGAGGCTGAGGTGGGAGAATTGCTGGAACCTGGGAGGCAGGGTTTGCAGTGAGCTGAGATCGTGCCACTCCACTCCAAGCCTGGGTGACAGAGAGAGATTCCGTCTCAAAAAAAAAAAAAAAAAACAGAGAGAACGATCCGTAAAAGAGCGAGTCTCCACGCCTGACCCAGATGTCCTACTGTCAGCAAGCAAGAGAAGCAGCAGCAAGAGAATACATTCCTTGAAGTTCCTTCCTAGGGGATGGAGGCATTTGTTGCTTTTGTGTCAACTTGAGAACAGAGATGCCAGCAATGTTTTTCTGGTTTTTTTTTAATAATGTGTCAGAAATATGTGTTTCCACCTCGGGGCCTCTAGATCTTCCATGGCTCATTGCTAAAGCACCATTCAGGGTTCAGCTTGGCTGTCACTTCTTGGAGTCACTTTCATGGCCCCCAATCTAATGTAGCTTCCCTCTGTCCACCCCACCCCTATTACTCTTCATCTCATCTCCATTCTCTGCTTTAATGGCTTCATAGCATAGACCACTATCCAAAATGATCTTGTTCATCTGTGTATTTTCTTCTTTGCTGCTGCTGGTGGTCTTCCTCCTTTGGGAAGTAGGGAGTTTCTCTGTCCTGTTCTTGCTGTGTCCTCAGTGCTTAGCATAGTTTCCGGCACACAGTAGGGCTGGCAATACATGTTGTTGAATGAATGAGGGGTGCTGCCTGGGCCAAGGCCTGAGCTCCTGGATGCCCCCCATCTATTCGATTCCAAGCATTAGCAGTTCTCTCCACCATCATCTGTCTCTCTTTTTTTTTTTTTTTTTGAGATGGAGTCTTGCTCTGTCACCCGGGCTGGATTGCAGTGGCCCAATCTCGGCTCACTGCAACCTCCACCTCCTGGGTTCAAGAGATTTTCGTGCCTCAGCCTCCCGAGTAGCTGGAACTACAGGCACCCACCACCATGCTCGGCTAATTTTTTATATTTTTGGTAGAGATGGGGTTTCACCATGTTGGTCAAGCTGGTCTTGATCTCCTGACCTCAAGTGACCCACCCATCTTGGCCACCCAAAGTGCTGGGATTACAGGGATGAGCCACCACGCCCAGCCCATCTGTCTCTCATGCATCTCTTCTCCTCCATCCCTCCCACCCCCTAGCACTAACGTTCAAGCCCTAAAGCAATTACAGTGGTGGTAACTGCTCAGTCTGCACCAATCTCTAGCCCACCCTGTCACCAAATGTTCCTCCTGAATCTCACCAGGGTGCTTTCCTCTCTATAATCCTTAGCTTTGGTCTGCTCCACTCCAACCAGTGGAATGACTTCCAGCATGGAGGAGGAGAGAGGCACCCCTGGGGAGATACATTGGACTTGAAGTGGGTGTGAGGATGTGCAGATTGGAAGCAAAGCAATGCCTTCTCCTGCCTGCACTTCCGTTTTGTACTCATGATGCTTATTTTTGTGTGTCACAATTGTTAAAGGAGAGCCTGAGATTTTGTGTTTATCAAGGGAGGGTGGTGGTGGTGTGATTTTTCAAAGTTAAAAGAGGGTGGGCATGGTGGCTTGTGCCTGTAATCCCACACTTTGGAAGGGCAAAACAGTAATACAGTCTGAGTCCAGGAGTTCAAGACCAGCCTGGGCAACAGGGCAAGACCCCATCTCTACAAAAATGTTTGAAATTAGCCTAGCATGGTGGTGTGCACTTGTCGTTCCTGCTACTCTGGAGGCTGAGGTAGGAGGATTGCTTGAACCCAGGAGGTTGAGGCTTCAGTGAGCCATGTTCACACCACTGTACTCTAGCCTGGGTGACAGAGCAAAACCCTGTCTCAAAAAAAAAAAAAAAAAAAAGTTAACAGAGCTGTTGATTGCTCTCTCCGCTAAACAAGTAAACCTCATCCCTTAGTGCCTTTGCCCATGTGGGTCCTCAGTCCTGACCTCTGCCTGGGAAACTCCTGCTCTCTTCAAGGGCCAACTCAAAGGCCCCTCCTGGGCTGTGCCACGTTCTCCATACCCCCCACATCTTTTTCCCCTCCCCTAGGTCCCACAGCACTGTGTCCATAGCTCTTATGAGTCGGTACAGTTGTCCCTCAGTATCCATGGAAGATTGGTGCCAGGACCCCTTGCAGATACCAAAATCCATGAATGCTCAAGTTCCTTTGTTTTTTTTTTGTTTTTTTTTTTTTTTAGTATGTGTGTGACGGAGTCTCACTCTATTCCCCAGGCTGGAGTGCAATGGCACGATCTCAGCTCACTGCAACCTCCACCTCCTGGGTTCAAGCGATTCTCCTGCCTCAGCCTCCCAGGTAGCTGGGATCACAGGCGTGCACCACCATACCTGGCTAATTTTGTATTTTTAGTAGAGCTGGGGTTTCACCATGTTGCCCAGGCTGGTCTCGAACTCCTGACCTTAGGTGATCCACCTGCCTTAGCCTCCCAAAGTGCTGGGATTACAGGCATGAGCCACCATGCCTGGCCCTGCTCAAGTCCCTTATAACAGGGGTTCCCAACCCCCAGGCCATGTACCAGTACTGGTACCAGTTTGTGGCCTCTTAGGAACTGGGCTGCACAACAGGAGGTGAGCAGCAAGCAATCTGTGTTTACAGTCGCTCCCCATCACCTGAGCTCTGCCTCCTGTCAGCCCCAGTGGTGGCATTCGATTCTCAGGGGAGCATGAACCCTATTGTGAACTGCGCATGTGAGGGATCTAGGTTTTGTGCTCCTTATGAGAATCTAATGCCTGATGATCTGTCACTTTCTCCCATCACCCCCAGATGGAACTGTCTAGTTGCAGGAAAGCAAGGTCAGGGCTCCCACTGATTCTATATTATGGTGAGTATAATCATTTCATTATATATTACAATGTGATAATAATAGAAATAAAGTGCACAATAAATATAATGCACTTCAATTATCCCCAAACCATCCCCGACCCCCTGCCTGGTCCATGGAAAAATGGTCTTCCGTGAAACTTGTCCCTGGTGCCAAAAAAATTGGGGACTGCTGCCTTACAAGATATGGTGTAGTATTTGTATGTGACCTATGCATATCCCACTGTATACTTTAAGTCATTTCTAGATTACTTATAATATCAAATACAATGTAAATGCTATATAGACCATTGTTACACTGTATCATTTAGGGAATAATGACAAGAAAAAAAGCCTGTACATGTTCAGTAAAGACACAACCTTTCATTTTTTTTTCTGAATAATTTAGCTCCACAGTTGGTTGAATCCACAGAGGTGGAACCCACAGATATAGAGGGCTGACTGTATTTTATACCTGTTCAGATTCTCTATCAGATCAGGTGAGCTTTGAGGGCTAGACACTCAATAAACACTTTTTATGTTTTATTTTTTAATTTAATTAATTAATTTTGAGACAGAGTTTCACTCTGTCACCCAGGCTAGAGTGCAATGGCTCGATCTCAGCTCACTGCAACCTCCACCTCCGAGGCTTAAGCCATTCTCCTGCCTCATCCTCCCAAGTTTGAAACCACAGGTGCGCACCACCACACCTGGCTAATTTTTTGTATTTTTGGTAGAGATGGGGTTTCACCATGTTGCCCAGGCTGTAGACTTCCCTAAATTCCCCCAGGACAAGGACAGGACTGACCGCAGGGTCCAAATCAGGGCTGCACATGCAGGTGGCTGCAGTTCATGGGACCCACCTTTGAAAGTCAGAGGTGAACAGAGTCTAGAAGTTTGCCACAAGATTGATGTCAGCTGGTCTTGTTCCCTGGTCTCCACAGACTAAAAAAGCCGAGCCCCCCAAAAGTTCAAAGGACTCAACCAATATCTTATTCATCTTCTCTGTGCCTAGAATCGAATCAGACATTGCTTACAAAATCATCTTTGTCCATTCAAAAAATATTTATTGATCACCTATTGCATGCCAGGAATTGTGTTGCCCTACAGAACCCCCCCTGTCTGATGGGTGTATAAAGTGAAGTAGAGGTTCCTCTTCAAAGACTTTCCTCCCCATCTAATTAGAAATAAATAGTAACTTCTCTTAGAAGCAAAATTTATTCAAAGACCTGTGCTAACATTCTTAAGTATTTGCTAGCCGTAATAAAGAAATCAATGTACTTTATGTTCTTAGCTCCTACAATTTAGCTTAAATATTTGCCCTGGCATGCTTATACTGGTCCAAGCAAGCATTAGGTCATAGCCTGTTCCTCTTCCTTATTTGAAGGTGTTTTTACCTTTCTCAACATTGCACAAGTTACTTCCTCCTTCCTTTGTTCTCCTCTGCCTTTGCCTTTTTAAAAAAATTCTACGTTGTTAGCCAATCCGGACAGATACAGAATGTGAGGTCCCATTCCAGCCAATGGAAACTGGGCACAGCAGTAGGGTGGACGCGTCAGGTTATAAATGACCCTGTCTCCTTTGTTCAGTGTACTCTCGTGACAAAACTACTGGCAAGTGTACCCCTTCTGCAGAAAGTAAAAATGTCCTTGCTAAGGAAATTAAATTTATGTTCAAGTGCTATTTCTTTACCGCACCAGGGAACAAGAAATGCTTTTCTAACACGGGAAAGACAGACCTGTAGCCAGCTACAATGAGACAGCCCAGGGATGGAGCCTCTAACCCAGCAGTAGGTCAGAGGAGGCATCTTGGGGAGGTGAAAGCAGAGGGGAGTCTCCAAGGAGGAGGAGGAGCTGGGCAGGCAAAGGGTCAGAGGAAGATGTTCCAGGCAGAGAAGGTGAGCTGGGAGCCAGGGAGAAGAGGACCCCATTGGAAATTGCAAGTAAATGTAGAGAAGTCAGTATATGTGCAAAGTGCTTTGTCCAGTTTTGGAGCGCCAAGGAATTAGAAAACAGTGACCCTGACCTCAAGGAATTTACAGTAAAAGATATGTGAAAAGGGAAATAAATAGTGATATAAAGCATCATGTTTTGCTTCACCTCCCTGGGGGTTACATAATAAGACAGTTTGAATGTGATTCGGAGCTTCCACCCCACGATTATAAGAATACTTTTCTTTCCTTCCTGGAAAGAAGTCTTCCATGATAAGTTCCACAACCACAGGGTTCTACTCAGTCACTAGGACAGTCCTAGAGCTTCTACCTATTAGAGATAAAAAAATCAGAGAAGCCGATGAGTCCCCCTCAGTGTCTTGTTCTCTGCTGTTATTATTGCTGTTGCTGTCAGCAGTGCCTCTGATGAGATTTCAGAGCCAGGGCAGAGCTTGTCCAAGGAAGAAAGTGCTTTCAGGACAGAGATAGGGGTTGTGGTCAGGGAGAGAGGGGAGAAGAGGACCCTTTTCCATAGGGTTCCCCTAAGCAGGGGTTGCTGCAGGCCACGGTGACCTCAACTCCCAGTGCCTTGGCCTACTGGCCCAGAGCCATTTCAGATCCTGTGAACACAGACATGTGTACATACCCAGAGTCACCCCCAGGGACGGGAGGCTGCCAACCTGAAGCCACATGTATTCTGGGAAGCAGCATCTATCTTTCCTTGGGGACCCCGCCCTCCCAAGCAAGGAAGTTCCTTTCTTCTGTTCCAAGGCCAGCTCTGTCCCCAGGATGAATGGCATCTCTCTGTGGAAACTAAAGGGGAATAGACTTCGGTCTGGTACACATTTAACAAGCTAGTGGTTAGATCAATGCCACAGGGCCCACTCAATAAATACTTGATGCTGATTGTACCAGACACTGAAGGAATTGTCCATTCCGCACCAGTTGCCCCTTCTAAAAACTGCCTCTTCCTCCATTCTCATCATGGTTCCCTAGACAGCTGCAAGATTCTGGAAACATCTTGCCCTCCTGCCCACCATGGGACAGTAAGTTTCTTCCTGGGTATTTTTGGTGGATTGCATCTGAGAAAGTCAGGGTTCTTTTGATGATGGAAACTGCCAAATGTCCAACTCAGGAGCCGGTGGCAGCTCTGTCAGGAAGAAAAGGGTGACTGTGCAGAGAGAAAAGGCAACTAGAGCCACAGGGCAGAAAGAAGCAGGAGAGACGGTGAGGGACCCCTCAGGGGAGTCTCTGGTTCTCATCATGTCTGACTTTCCTGTAGTTCTGGCAATAAAACCCTCTCTTGGCTTAAGCAGCTTTGCGTGCTTTATGTAAGTCTGTCGCCTTATAAACTAGGGTGACCAAGCAATTTATTGTCGAAACTAAGACATTTTAAGAATGAAAGGGGTGGCCGGGCACAGTAGCTTGCACCTGTAATCCCAGCACTTTGGGAGGCCGAGGCGAGCGGAACACTTGAGATCAGGAGTTTGAGACCAGCCTGGCCAACATGTGAAATCCCATCTCTACTAAAAATACAAAAATTAACCAGGCATAGTGGCGCATGCCTATAATCCCAGCTACTTGGGAGGCTGATACAGGAGAATCACTTGAACCCTGGAGGCAGAGCTTGCAGTGAGCCGAGATCACGCCACTACACTCCAGCATGGGTGACAGAGTGAGACTCTGTCTCAAAAAAAAAAAAAGCATGAAAAGGGTCATCTACTATGTACCCACAAAAATTAAAAATAAAATTTTTATAAAGAAAATAATGAAAAGGGACGTTATTAGTAATTACTCTGGGACAACAGATGTAACCCGGAATGGTCTCATACAAGCCAAAACCTCTATGCACCCTACATACAACCCACTGATCCAATCATGGGACAATCTGTCCACCTCTACTGAGGTGCACAAGTGGGGCCCTGACGAAGGAGGAAACATCTGACTGTGCAGGTATCTGGCTGGCGGCTGCAGAAACACCTGCCCTAAAACCCATTCCCCTCTCCTCACTGGCTGAGCACGCTTTCATTGCACCGCCACAGGGAGGAAAACACCTTGTTCCAGACAGGGTCTGAAATTACATCAGGTTCTTATGGGGGAACCCCCACAGATGAGGAAGTAAACTGGCTTCCATCCCAGTCATGGATCTCGGTGAGGACCACTTACTCTCCCTGGACCTCAGCCAGAAAAAGGAGCGGTGAGGGTACCTGTTGAATGACAGTGAATTTGCCTCCACATGCTCTGTTTCTTTTTTTTTGTTTTAGATGCCACTGCCCCACAAGCTACATCCTCTGTGAGTTTTTAAAACCTTCTCCCAGCCTCCTGCATGACTTTGGCCATAAGCATCCTTCCTCATCTGGGCTGAAAACAACAGGGAGTTCCTGAGGGTTGGGCAGCGTTTGGTCATGAAGGTCAGGGATGCTCTGCCTCCTGCCATGGCTCTAGGGGAGCTCTGTCCTGGTTAGCAAACTAAGAGCCACTAGCAGGAGCTTGTTGATGTCAGGAAAGTCCACTGGTGGCCTTGGGGTACATGATCCAGCTCCCCTCTGACCCTATTTGGTCACAGATAGGTTCTCCAGGACTGATGGGAAGAAGGAGACACTGAGGAAGATGCCTAAGACATCTGGTGGAGCCTTGGCTGTTCCATCTCCACTGTCCCTGTCAAACTCCCAGCAAATGTGCACAGGGAGGGTGGGGATGGCTCCATCTTCCAGGGTGACTGTGGGTGAGCATCCTACAGCTCAGAGGCTGCATCCTGCAGGGCGAATCCACCCATTTCCCTGGCTTCTCCAAACACCTCAGCCTCTTGGTCTTCTACCCTTTGCCCTCTGCAAGAGAGGGAGGAAGGTGTGGTCAGCATGGACTTTACCCCTGAAGGGCTATTGCTTTAAGGAGTGTTGAGGATTGGGAAGACATCTGTTAAGCCAGCTTGGCAAATTCCCTGTCCAGTGTTACAACTCTTTTACAATTTGTCTAGAAGGTTTTCTGGTCTTTACTGAAAAGCCCCAAATAAAAATACAATACAATACCATACAATACAATATATAATACAATACATTCCTCTCCATAAATTCCTCTTCTGGAAAGCCCCCCTCAAAAAAAAATTCCGGCCGGACGCAGTGGCTCACGCCTGTAATCTCAGCACTTTGGGAGGCCGAGGTGGGTGGGTCACTTGAGCTCTGGAGTTCAAGACAAGCCTGGGCAACATGGTAAAACCCCGTCTTTACTAAAAACTACAAAACTTAGCCAGGCGCGGTGGCAGGTGCCTGTAATCCCAGCTACTTGGGAGGCTGAGGCAGGAGAATCGCTTGAACCTGGGTGGCAGAGGTTGCAGTGAGCCTAGATCACGCCACTACACTCCAGCCTGGGCGACAAAAATAAATAAATAAATAAATGAAATAAAAATAAAATGAAAAATAAAAACTTCTGTCCATTTGTCTGTTCTCAGAGGGCATATGCCTTTTCCTGAACGTGGAAATAATGCAAAAAGTTCTGACAACTGGACAAAGGTCCATAGCCTGTCTGGACAATTCACATGTGCATGTTTGGGGCAGAAGATAGTTGGTATAGAGGGCAAAGACGCCCAGGTGCTGTCGTAAGAGATCAGTCTAAGTACAGAGACCCCTGTTCCATCCCTTATGGAGTCCCTTTAATGACTGTATCCGGGAATGAACATACCCAAGTCCCCTGAACACAGACTCTCCTGCCTCAGCCAGGCTGAGCATTTTGGGACACGGCCTTCCTTCAACTCTCCTCTGCTCTAAAACATCAGTGGCTTTTGACTGCCCCTCAGTCATCCTTGCACCTCTAGGGCTCTGTCCTCTGATGTCCTACTCACGGAAATTGACCATGTCTTCCAAATCAAACCCTTGACTCCAGGCAGGCCAATATCTATACTCTAAGATTCCTTTCTCATTCCTGCCTCTACCTACCTGGAGCTCCCTGCCCCTTTAAAAACATGCCTATGCTTCAAGCCAGACTCTTCCTTGGAGCCTTTCCTGATGACTTCAGCCCATGTTAATTTCATGTATTAGCCATAGTACTAATTTAACGCTTGATCTTATGCTGACACATTCTTGACTACTGTACTGGCCTACGGCTGCTCTTCCCAATTACAGAGTGTGCAGGACAGAAACTATCTTCTGCATATTCATATCCACACTCCCCCACCATGGTGCTTAGAATAGTACCAAACTTGTAGTAGGTGTTCAATAAACTCTTGTTAATCATTTGATTTCCATACTGAGTTGAATCGTTTTGGTTTCTTTTAGTGTTGCTGTATGCTAGTGGGTTCTAATCTTCTCAAATATGAAGATCTCCCTATGAGAAAAGTGGCATCTTGAGTATTGGTTAGATTGAGAAGACACTTGATGATAAAAGGATTTTATATGACTTATCTTTTATTCATTCTCAACAGAGACTGCACACATTTGAGAAACAGTAGTGCCTGTATGTGTAGGAGAGAAAGGGTAGCCACTGAGTGCTAGAAAATGCTTGCTGCAGTTGTGGTTCATGAACTCCTTGCTGTAACGGTATAATAGAGATCTCATGGCTTCATGGCCCCAGATTGGGAACCAAAGGAGTATGCAATTCAACATAATCCTTGCAAGTACCTAATCCAGACATCTCTCTGCGGCTATCCAACCATAATTGCATTTAAGATATTTTGTGGGCCAAGTGCAGTGCCTCACACCTGTAATCTCACCATTTTGGGAGGCCGAGGCAGGTGGATCACCTGAGGTCAGGAGTTCAAGACCAGCCTGGCCAACATGGTGAAACCCTGTCTCTACTAAAAATACAAAAATTAGCCGAGCATGGTGGCAGGCGCCTATGGTCCCAGCTACTCGGGAGGCTGAGGCAGGAGACTCACTTGAATCCGGGAGACAAAGGTTGCAGTGAGCCAAGATCGTGCCACTGCACTCCAGCCTGGGCCACAGAGTGAAACTCAGTCTCAAAAAAAAAAAAAAAAAGATAATTTGTGAAACAAATGAATAGATACAACAGAAAACAAGAGGTTGGAGGAATTTATATGATCATAATGATTGCATAATGACTATAATGATGATATAATAATTAATAATATATTATTGAGCACTAGTTGCTAGGTGCTTTTGGTCGCTTTACATGTTGTGTATTATTTAACCCTTACAGGATGTGATGAAGTATCATTATCCCCATGAGGAAACTGTGAGCAGGGATTGTTGTGGAAATGGAAATGCAAGTTTTGTATTTGGGTAGATGAGGTACAAAACAGCACCAGCAGAGAAGCGAAATGTGGTAGATCCATGAAATGGAATATTATCTAGCTATAAAAAGGAATTGAAGACTGATCCATGCAGCAATATGAATGAACCTCAAAACATTATGCTACCTGGGCATGGTGGTTCATGCCTGTAATCCCAGCACTTTGGGAAGCCAAAGTGGGTGGATTGCTTGAGGCCAAGGTGGGTGGATTGCTTGAGACCAGGAGTTTGAGACCAGCTGGCCAACATGGCAAAACCCTATCTCTACTAAAAATACAAAAGTGAACCAATTGTGTTGGTGCATGCCTGTAATCCCAGCTTCTTGGGAGGCTGAGGCATGAGAATTCCTTGAACCCAGGAGACGGAGGTCACGGTGAACTGAGATGGAGCCACTGCACTCTAGCCTGGGTGACAGAGCAACAAAACAAACAAACAAACAAACAAACAGAAGACCATTATGCCAAGTGAGAGAAGCCAGTCACAAAAGGTCACATCTTGTATGGTTCCATTTACATGAAATGTTCCAAACAGGTGACGCCATAGAGGGAGGAGGCAGATCAGTGGTTGCAGGGACTGGATCTGTGGAATGAGAAGTGACTGCTTAACAGGTATAGGGTTTCCATGTGGGGTGATGAAAAGTTCTGGAACTAGATAATGCTGATAGTTGCCCAACACTATGCAGATACTTAATACCACTAAATTGTACGCTTGAAAACGAGTGCATCTTATGTTATGTGCATTTTACCACAATTTACAACAAAAGTCAAAAAGAGCAACTACAGGCTGGGCACGGTAGCTCACGCCTATAATCCCAGCACTTTGGGAGGCTGAGGTGGGTGAATCATGAGGTCAGGAGTTCGAGACCAGCCTAGCCAATATGGTGAAACCCTGTCTCTACTAAAAATAGAAAAATTAGCCGGGTGCGGTGGCAGGTGCCTGTAATCCCAGCTACTCAGGAGGCTGAGGCAGGATAATCGCTTGAACCCGGGAGGTGGAGGTTGCAGTGAGCCAAGATCATGCCACTGCACTCTAGCCTGGGCGACCGAGCGAGACTCTGTCCCCAAAAAAAAAAAAGCAACTACAGCCCATGTGGAAACAGGATCCCAGAGGCAGAGGTGACCATGCAGACAGAAGCTGGGAGCCTGTAGACATGGGTGGGAGTGCTTCAGAATGTCTTCAGGCCTGGGTCAGGCGCAATGGCTCACTCCTATAATCCCAGCACTTTGGGAGGCTGAGGTCAGGAGTTCGAGACCAGTCTGGCCAACATGGTGAAACCCCATCTCTACTAAAAATACAGAAATTAGCTGGGTGTGGTGATGGGCACCTGTAATCCCAGCTACTCGGGAGGCTGAGGCAGGAGAATCACTTGAACCTGGGAAGTAGAGGTTGCAGTGAGCCAAGATCTCGCCATTGCACCCTAGCCTGGGTGACAAGAGCAAAACTCTCTCTCAAAAAAAAAAAAAAGTCTTCAGGCCTCGAGTGAGAACTCAAGCCATGATCTCATGAGACAGGGCTGTCATCAGCCTGTGGACATCTATATTAAGGATATACCACTTTGTAAAAGGATCCAACACAAGCTGTGATGAATGGAACCTGCTCGCTCTGGGTCCAGGCATGGGTGATCTAAAGCAGCAGCTGCCCTCCAGCAGCTGGTCACCTCTCCTAGCCACACAAAACTCTAGCCGTCTCCTCTGGTCATGAGACAGCACCCATGAGAAATTCCCCCTGCCCCCCCAGTTCATTTGCCCCTGAAAGCAGACCATGTGCCCACTTGCTTTTCTTCTTAGCAGCAGCAGAGCAGATGTCCATCCTCGGCGGTCCTGCCTTCTAGAACCGCTTTCCTTCATATCACAAAAACAGTGACTATTGCTGAGAAATTAGTCCACCTGTTCCTGAAGAACTTCTAGGAGTCATGGTTGGGATATGCTGATTCCTAGGGGCACCAGGAGGGAGGAGGAGGCTGGTTCTCAGGGTCGGCAGAGGCTGCCACTCTGCCTGTGCCCTGTCCTTGCCTGGCTCGCTTCCTGCCACAAGGCCAGTGGCTAAGAATAAGGGTGCTTGTCACCGCATCTTTACACGTGAAGGCAAGTGGCTATGACGTGCACTCCATGTTCTTTCTTTGGTAAGGGAGCTTTTTTTTCCTGGTAGAGTCAAGCCTCTTAAAAAGAATACACCATAGTTCAATCTGTTTCTTTTGTGGATTTCAAAAGAGATGCTTTATTCGGTTCAGAAATGTGGCAACAGCTGGAGAAGCTATTCCCAAGGCAAAGAACAAAGACTTGCAATTATTTATAGTGTGGGATGGGAAGAGAGAAAGATGGAGTGGAAGAAGACTCTGCAAATGGGGGGAGAAAAATGGCAGCTCTCCTTTATACACCTCTTCAGTGGTACTCTCCGTTGGCCCACCCCTCCCTCCCCAGCTTTCCGTCTGGGCCCACCTTTCCCCAAAACACATCTTCTATATCTTTGTCATCTAGACCATCACTGCCTCAATCCAAAGCTCACATCTTCAGTGTCCCACCGCATGCAGAGTCCAGCCCCTGCTTTCCAAGGTAAAGTCTTGCTGACCTGAGCCAGGTGCTAGTGCCCTTCCACCCACTTCCAATCCCCTATAACAAGAATTTCACTCATGGCCTCTGGGGATAATGGTATAACTCAAAGGAATGACAAGGATTTCAGATGCTAGTATTTGGTAGTGGGAATGTTTTGAGATAGGTGGGGGTCTTTGTCATCTCCTCACTTTGTATTGCACAAGTGGCCAATTGAACCAGTAGGGAGGCTGGGCGCGGTGGCACTTTGGGAGGCTGAGGCAGGCAGATCACCTGAGGTCAGGAGTTCGAGACCAACCTGGCCAACATGGCAAAACCCCGTTTCTACTAAAAATACAAAAATTAGCCAGGTGTGGTGATGCGCACCTATAATCCCAGCTACTTGGGAGGCTGAGGCAGGAGAATCGCTTGATTGCTTGAAGCTGGGAGGCGGAGGTTGCAGTGAGCCAAGATTGTGCCACTGCACTCCAGCCTGGGTGACAGAGCGAGACTCCATCTCAGGGCCGGGGGTGGGAAGGAAGAACCAGCAGGGAGATGCATTATTGAAAATTGGGGAGTGCGACCCTCTCACTGGTGACTCCTCCTGGGGCCAAGTCAGTAACGGATGGAGGAGTTTGTACAGCTATACAGGTTGTGACTTTTCTTGAAATTGCCTGGGGACTGACCACAGCACAGTTCTCCAGAGAGGCTTGTCTGCCCTTAGAGTGTCGGGGTCCACTCTCGCACTTAGGCCCATGTTCAGCTGAGTGCCTTCCCCTGCCCACCCCCCTGGCTTGTTCCTCCGACTTCTGCACCTACCAAGGTTTCAGCGTGTACATTCAGCCTGAGGCTGACCACTCAGCTCACCTGTAGGAATTTTTCTCCCTTGATCCTTCCCAGGGTAGGGAACAAGTTGGCCCACTGAGAGGGAGTGGGTCAGCTGTAGTCAAGAGGCAATTTTACTGAGCTCGCACTGGGAAAATTGGAGAAATTGCTGGGTTGGCACAGGGCATGCTGCCCATGAAACACTCTCCAAGATTAACTCATACAATTTCAGATTTCTGTGTCAGCTTAAAAAAATAGCCTTAAATCTATAGAAGCAAAAAATAGACTGGTGGTGGTTGCCTTGGGCTGGAGAAAAAAGAGATTGGCGTAAATGGGGAGTGACTGCTAACAGGTCTGGGAGTTTCTTTTGGGGTGATGAAAAGTTTTAGGCTGGGGGCAGTGGCTCACGCCTGTAATCCCAGCACTTTAGGAGTTCAAAGCAGGAAGACTGCTTGAGTCCAAGAGTTCAAGACCAGCCTGGGCAATATGGTGAAACCCTGTCTATACCGAAAAAATACAAAAATTAGCTGGGTGTGACACGTGCCTGTGGTCCCAGCTACTTGGGAGGCTGAGGTGAGAGGGTTGCTTGAGGCCAGGAGGTGGAGGTTGCAGTGAACTGTGATTGCCTCACTGGACTCCAGCTTGGGTGACAGAGCGAGACACTGTCTCAAAAAAAACAAAAACAAAAAAAGCAAAGAAAATGTTTTAAAATTGTGGTGAGGTTGCAAAGTTCCATGAATATGCAAAAAATTATTGAGTTATACACTTTAGGTGAATGTGTATGTTTGAGAAATAAATCTCAATAAAGCTATTTGTTAAGCCTCATGTTTCCCTCCAAAAACAGTTCAACACAGACAGTCCCCACAAGGCAGGCTTGTAGACAGCTTGCCCACCCTCACCTTGACCCCATGTCTCTCTCTACTTGGCGATCAAGGACCCCCTCCCCTCCCTTTTTTTTTTTTTTGAGACGGAGTTTCGCTCTTGTTGCCCAGGCTGGAGTGCAATGGCGTGATCTTGGCTCACTGCAACCTCCATCTCCTGGGTTCAAGCAATTCTTCTGCTTCAGCCTCCCTGGTAGCTGGGATTACAGGCGTGTGCCACCACGCCCAGCTAATTTTGCCTCCTCCTCCAAATGTTAATTACTCATTTGACTCCTCCTACCTTGTATGATGTCACTTGTATCCAGTGGTGTTTTAGTAAATGTTTAACAACCAGCTTTCTGGAAGAAAAAGAGAAAAAAATCCTAGTTTGTAGCATTTGCCAATGTTCATAATATAAATATTCCCCACTACAGCCAATGCCAAGCTGTTAGCCTGATGGCACTGAATGCAGAGCTAGGAAATGCCCCACAGGCCACCATTATGTAGCATTTCTACCATATAGATGTAAAGGACCCTAACAGCAGAGATGATAGTAAAACATCAGAAAATAATTAGGAAGTGGCTGGGAACCATAGTTCATAGCTCATGCCTATAATCCCAGCACTTCAGAAGGCTGAGGCAGGAGGATCACTTGAGCCCAGGAGTTAGAGACCAGCCTGGGCAACATGGTGGGACCTTATCTCTAAAACAAAACCAAAAATCAGCCAAGCATGATGGTGCGCATCTGTAAGTCCCAGCTACTCAGGAGGCTGAGGCAGGAGGATTGCTTGAGCTTGAGGTCAAGGCTGTAGTGAGCTGTGTTGGCACCACTGCACTCCCAGCCTGGGTGACAGAGTAAGACTCTGTCTCAAAAATAAAAAATAAAATAATTAGGTGATGAGCTTTGAGTGTGTATTACCTTTGCTTTTTAATATAACTTATTAAATTATGTTTATATGATTTAATTTCTAATAATGGCTGTATTTAACAACTGGCTCACAAACTTCCCAAAAATTTAACACTCAGCTCCCACAAGCTTGTGTGAGCCACCTCCAGCCTCAGGATGAGTACCTGCCTCATCCTGACCACTGCTGCAGGCCTGTCCTCTTGCCAAAAAGATGTCATTTCTTAGAAGGCAGACTCGATACTCTATGAGGACAGGGATTGTGTTACCTTGTTGATCATTGAATAACCCATGTGGCCCATGGCCAGCACATCCTCGGTACACTCAGTACATATTTATGGAATGAGAGTAAGGGACTTTCCTTGTAAGCGCAGCAACAGTTAATGAATGCTTAGCAAGTAATAGGCTCCTATAAATATTGGCTGATTGAATAGTGGAAAATAATGGAATAAAAGAAAATTTAATGCATGTAGGTCTTTAGCTTATTTATCTTGATGAGTTAAGTAAAGGTAAAAGATGTCTGTTCTGCTCTAGGCACAGAGCAAGCTCTCTCTGCATTTGGGATACAGTGTAAGGAGAATGAGAGAAGATGAAGAGCCGAAGAAAGGAGGCTGCTTGATGCAGGAGGTAGCTTTAGAAGAATTAAGGCCAACAAATGGGACTACTTCCTAACCTACTGAAGAGAACAGCAGTTTAAGAAAGGAGGTCACATGGTGTGGGGTCAGAGTTTCCAAACACTTTTAAACAAATGCCCTTCACTGGCCAGGCACGGTGACTCATGCCTATAATCCCAATACTTTGGGAGGCCGAGGCAGGCAGATCACTTGAGGTCAGGAGCTCGAGACCAGCCTGGCCAACATGGTGAAACCCCGTCTCTACAAAAAATACAAAAATTAGCCAGGCATGGGAGCATAAACATGTA
The DNA here is from genome assembly GCF_000001405.40 of Homo sapiens. Classification (NCBI taxonomy): domain Eukaryota; kingdom Metazoa; phylum Chordata; class Mammalia; order Primates; family Hominidae; genus Homo; species Homo sapiens. The sequence continues at coordinate 91,099,413 of NC_000014.9, forward strand.
GTCCCAGCTACTGGAGAGGCCGAAGTGGGAGGATTGTTTGAGCCCAGAAGGTTGAGGCTGCAGTGAGCTGCGATCGCACCACTGTACTCCAGCCTAGGCGACAGAGACCCAATCTCAAAAAAAAAAAAAAAAATGCCCTTCGCTGATAAGCATAAAAATCTCCCTTTTTTTCTTAGAGATTCTGATCTGTTCCCTTAGGTGAATATCACCATAGAATGAGAATTATTCCCACTCAGTTCTGGGTATCCCCACCAACCCAGGGGATCTGCAGTTTTATTTAGGAAAGCATAGCATTTTGGGTCAGTTGGGCTGAGAATCAGGCTGTGAAAGTCTGAGCCAGGGCCAGCAGGCAGCACACATGGTTTCCAGTTCTGCCCTTGCCCTTGGACTTGCTGTGCCACCTTGGGCAAGTTGCTACCCCTCCCTAGGTCTCAGTTTCCTCACCTTCGACATCCTCACCTTTAACTAGAAAATTAGATGGTTTCTACAAAATTAGCCGGGCATGGTGGCACATGCCTGTAATCCCAGCTACTCAGAAAGCTGAGGCGGGAGAATTGCTTGAACCCGGGAGGCAATAGGTTGCGGTGAGCCAAGATCACGCCATTACACTCCAGCCTGGGCAACAAGAGTGAAACTCTGTCTCAAAAAAAAAAAAAAAAAAAAGAAGAAGAAGAAAAGAAAAGAAAATTAGATGGTTTCGAAGTTTCCTTTCAGCTTTAACATTTGATGAGCCCAAGTTCAATATTCATCCTGACCCAGATTTCAAAGATAATGTACTTAAAATATTACAGAATTTGAAAGTGATCAGTTATCTCCTCCGCTTAGAAATGTCATCGCTGGCAGTGCATTGGTGGGTGTTAGGGGCTATTTTGGTGCCTGGGTGTTCAGAAGAGGAGGAAGAGAGGGTGGAGAGATTACCAATTCAGTAACCTCCTCACGACTTTTGAGGCTAAGTCAATGCTTGTCTTGAATGCCTAATCCAAACAGCTGTGAGTTGTGGAGGTGTGTTAAAATGGTGACAAAAATAGCAACTGCTTTCTTTTACTGGGCACCTACTTAGGACCTTGGACTTAACGTGACTTCTCTCTGATTTCCAAAACAACTTCTCAAGGTGTACCATACTCTGATTCCATTTTACAGGTGAGCATTGACATCACTTGCTCAAGCTTGCAAAGCTGGATGAGGCTGGAATTCAAACTCCAACCTGACAGCATCCCATCTTCTTCCACTGTGGTAATAAGGTGTGGTCCCCAGACCAGCAGCACCAGCCTCCTGGGGAGCTGAGAAATGCTAATTTTGGGACCTTACCCACAGTATCTAGGAATCTGTGTTTTAACAAGCTCTCCAGTGAATTCTTTTTTTACAAATTTTATTTTGGCCAGGCACAGTGGCTCACGCCTGTAATCCCAGCACTTTGGGAAGCCGAGGCAGGTGGATCACTTGAGCCCAGGAGTTCAAGACCAGCCTGGCCAACATGGTAAAACCCTGTCTCTACTAAAAATACAAAAATTAGCTGGGCATGGTGGCGCACACCTATGGTCCCAGCTGCTCGGGAGGCTGAAGCAGGAGACTCTCTTGAACTCGTGAGGCAGAGGTTGCAGTGAGCCGAGATCATGCTGCTCCACCCCAGCCTGGGCAACAGAGCGAGACTCCATCTCCAAAAAAAAAAAAATTATTTTATTGTGGTAAGAACATTTAACATGAGATCTATCCTCTTAACAAAGTTTTATGGGTGTCAATAAAGATATTTGATAGATCAGTGGGGTAACTATGTTAACATCATTGTTGGCTATAGGTACAACGCTGGGCAGAAGATTCTATAGCTTATTCATCTTGCTTAACTGAAACTTCATGCTCCTTGGTTAGGAGCCCACTCTTCACCCTTAGCCCCCTCCCCGACCCCTAGCAACCATCAATCTACTACTGGATTATCTAAATTTGACTCTTTTAGAAACCTTATGTAAGTGGAATCATGCGCTATTTGTCTTTTTCACTTCATTTGAGAGCCCCTGTGTGAGGTTAGGCCACCTCTTGGCGATAGCCTGGCCAGCTGCCACACTGTGGAGATGCTCAGAAAGCAGGCATCCCTGATGCCCTTACAATGATATGACATTTCCACCAGGACGTTGGAAGTCGTGCACTCCTTTGCTGCTGGTCACACCCTAACACTTCAGGGATGTTCCAAATGCCACACAAATCATAAAATTGGCTTATGGACGCATTCTTGAGTTGAGTCAAAGTAAGTCATCAGATATTTGATAGATCAATGGGGTAACTATACTAACATCAATCTATTGTACATGTCTTTCTGGGGAGGACAGGATCTTGCTCTGTTACCCAGGCTGGAATGCAGTGGCATGATCACAGTTCACTGCAGCTTCAAGCGATCCTCCCATTTCAGCCTCTCAAGTGGCTGGAACCACAGATGTGTGCCACCATGTCCAGCTAATTTTTTATTTTTTTAGAGATGGGGTCTTACTATGTTGCTCAGGCTGGTCTGAAACTCCTGGGCTCAAGCAATCCTCCCACCTTGGCCTCCCAAAGTGTTGAAATTAGAGGCGTGAACCACTATGCCTGGCCTTAGTGTAGATCTCAAAAGAGCCAGAAGAGAATAATTCAAATGTTCCTGGCATAAAGAAGAGATAAATATTTAAAGTGGTAGATATCTCAGTTACCTTGATTTGACTATATGAATGTATCAAATTATCACATATGCCTCGAAAATATGTATATCTACTATGTATCAATAAATTAAAAACCATAAAAATATTAAATAAGTGAATATAGTTTTAAAAAATAAATCACCAGAGATTTTCTAATTTGACTTTCAGGCTCCAATGAAGTGATCAGTGTTCAAGGCTTCTGGAATGTCTTACTCCTAAGTTCTCTGTGAGGCGATGGATGAAGTCCAGTATTAGGGTGAATTTAAATCCTTCTCGAGAAAGTGTCCTTTTGTCTCATGTCCAATAGTGAACTTCCCTCATTTTAAGACAAGCAGATCATAATGTCTAGAATTTTCCATGTTGATTTCCACCTGGTCTCATTGCTCATACCTGCTGCCACCCCCTCCTCCTCCGGCCCCGGGACTGTCGATGGGAGCCAAAAGGAAAGTGGCATTGAGGGTAGAGGCAGATGTGAATGGCAGAGGAGCAGTGGTGTCCACGGAGAGACTGTGGAATGTCAGCAAACTTTGGTTTTCTTCTTGGTAGGGTAAAATAGGGGCTCACAGGCTCTACAGGGCATGGATATGGGGAATTGCATGTGCTCTAGCAGATTTGTGCATCTGCTTCTGGGGATTGGAGGATGCTGCTGGGACCCCTTCCAGTGTGTATGTGTGTGTGTGTGTGTGTGTGTGTGTGTGTGTGTGTGTGTGTTTGAGACTGAGTCTCGCTCTATCACCCAGCAGTGGCGTGATCTCGGTTCACTGCAACCTTCGCCTCCCAGGTACAAGCAATTCTCCTGCCTCAGCCTCCCAAGTAGCTGGGATTGCAGGTACCCCCCATCATGACTGGCTAATTTTTGTATTTTTAGTAGAGATGGGATTTCACCATGTTGGCAAGGCTGGTCTCGAACTCCTGACCTCAAATGATCCGCCTGTCTCAGCCTCCCAATGTGCTGGGATTACAGGTGTGAGCCACCGTGCCCGGCACCCCCTCCGTTCTTGATCTTGAAAGTGCAAAGATACCCCCATGTTTCTCTCAGGCCCAAGGGAGAGCAACTTAATGATTGGTCCTTAATGAGGACCCTGCTCCCGTAGGCTGCCTGGGGAGCTGCTGCCAGTCACCGAGGCTTCATCCACGCACTCCATGCTGCTCCCAGAGCAGATGAAGTTGCCAGAGAAAATTCTCACACCACATGGGCTGGCCTCATTTCAAATTCCTGGCCTCAGACTGCAAATGGGCTATCAACACGGCCTAGCAATCCTTCCCCCTTCTCCTTTTAGCCTGCTTTGCTGCACTCCAAGATAAGAATTCTGTGCCTTTTCCTCCCTCCTCCTCCGTCTCCATCCCAGCTCTGCCGATGACCCTGTCGCAGGCTTGGCTGGGAAAATAGAAGCCAACAGATGGGAGCTCCCTCCTCTCCCCATCACCAAATACACACGCCTTCCTACATCTACTTCTGCATAGGGCCTCTCTTCCTTCTCTTATACCAGAGCAAATGTCTCTACTCCTGCAAAGGCAAATCGCGCAACTTGTAGTCTGGATCCCATTTCTTGTTGCCTACCCCAGAAATTCACACCTGCTGTTTCTGTCTTTCTCTCTTTATATATCTCTCTCCTTCATCAGCAAATCAGCAAACGTTCACTCTCTCCTGTGTCATTGCCATCAACCTACAGTCCTTCTCTGCTATCTCTTATCATATATATAAACACACACGCACACACAAACACATATATGAAACACACACACACACACATATATATACACACACATACATGAAAGTTTTAGAACAACATTCCCTTGTCCCCGCCCCCACCTCCAGCTCCCACTTCTGCGCATGTCTGTGGAAGCTTTCTCCTCTCCCTTGCCTCCCATTCCCTCCTCTGCCTACTCCAATTTGGCTTCCGCCCACCACTCTGCAGAGCAGTAGTGCTCAACCTAGGATGATTTTGTACCTGGGGACATCTAGGGCAGTGTTTGAAAACATTCTTTTTTTTTTTTTTTTTTTGAGACAGAGTCTTGCTCTGTTGCCCAGGCTGGAGTGCAGTGGTGCGATCTCGGCTCACTGCAAGCTCCGCCTCCCGGGTTCACACCATTCTCCTGCCTCAGCCTCCTGAGTAGCTGGGACTACAGGCACCCGCCACCACGCCCGGCTAATTTTTTGTATTTTTAGTAGAGACGGGGTTTCACCGTGTTAGCCAGGATAGTCTCGATCTCCTGACCTCGTGATCCGCCCTCCTCGGCCTCCCAAAGTGCTGGGATTACAGGCGTGAGCCACCGCGCCCGGCCGAGAACATTCTTTATTGTTGCAACTGGGGAAGGGTGTTGCTACCAGCATCAAGTGAGCAGAGGCCAGGGATACTGCTGAACATCTACAATGCATAGGACAGCCCCCCACAACATGGAATTATCTGGCCCCAAATGTCAGTAGTGTCACAGTTGAGAAACCTGGATGTAGGGGCTGCTCTTGTCAAGGTTACCAAGAGCGTCCTTGATGCCAAGTTTGAGAAACGACTTTCCACACTCATCACACCTAGCTCATCTCTCTTGGTTTCCATGAAACACTTCTCTCTTCTGGTTTTCCTCCTGTCCAGTGGCCATTCCTTTGCAGGTTCCTCCTCTGCCTGACTCCGTCCTGGGCTCTCGGATTTCTCTTTCCTTTGTCTTCCAAATTGGCCTGTCCAGTGGCTTCAGATCATTTCTAAGCTGGCTCTGGAGTCTGACTACCTGGTTGGAGTCCCAGCTCTCAGCTTCCCTGCTGTTGTCTATAGCCACAATTTCTCCTTTGTGATCTGGCAGCCTCAGTTTTTTCTTTGGTGAAATGGGGGTATAACAGCACTTACTGCATAGAGTTGTGATAACTGAATGAGGAAATCCAAGTGCATCTTATGACGCAGAGTTTAATTCATATTAGCTGTTATTTTTATTTATAACTTCTATTACATAAAAATTGCATTACTGGCTGGGCATTGTAGCTCACGCCTATAATCCCAGCACTTTGGGAAGCTGAGTTGGGAGGATCACACGAGGTCAAGAGTTTGAGACCAGCCTGGCCAACATGTTGAAACCCTGTCTCTACTAAAAATACAAAAATTAGCTGGACATGGTGGTGCATGCCTGTAATCCCCACTACTTAGGAGGCTGAGACAGGAGAACTGCTTGAACCTAGGAGGTGAACGTTGCAGTGAGCCAAAATCTCACCACTGCACTCCAGCCTGGGTGACAGAGTGAGACTCCATCTCACACAAAAAAAGAAAAAAAAATGCATTATCATTTTACTTTTCACCAGACAACTCAAGAACAGGTGCTGAGGACTCACCAGATCACATCGAGACAGGTGTTTAATTCTATTTCATTGAAATGACAGCAAGAACAAACCACTAGCTGACCATGAGCCCTGTGCCAGGCCTGGTACTAAGTTTTTTTCCTGACGTGCAAAGCAGGATTTCTGCTCCAGAGAGCTTGCCTATGGTGAATAAACAGGAGAGCAACATAGAGGAATATGTGGAAAAGTCAGGCAGCTATAATAGGTGCCCAATTATTAAGAGACCAGTAGTTGCCAAATAGCATGCTATGAAACTCATTCTTCAGAGACACTTCAAGGGGCGTCCTCAAACTTTTGAATTCCAATTTCTGTTTTAAAGTATGTTTTAAACTACAGTCAGACTCCTGACTTAACAATAAGGATAAGTTCTGAGAAAGGCATGATTAGGAAATTTCATCATTGTGTAAACGTCATAGACTGTGCTTACACAAACCTGGGTGGCATAGGCTACGACACATCTAGGCTATATGATATGGTCTATTACTCCTGGGCCACAAACCTGTACAGCATGTGACTGTGTTACAGTTGCTACTGTAAGCAATTGTAACACAGTGATAAGCATTTGTGTACCTAAACATATCTAAACCTAGAAAAGCTACAGTAAAAATACGGCATTATAACCTTATGGGGCCAGGTGTGATGGCTCATGCCTGTAATCCCAGCACTTTGGGAGGCTGAGGCGGATGGATCACCTGAGGTCAGGAGTTTGAGACCAGCCTGGCCAACATGGTGAAAGCCCGTTTCTACTAAAAATATAAAAATTAGCCCGGCATGGTGACGTGCGCCTGTAATCCCAGCTGCTGGGGAGGCTGAGGCAGGAGAATCGCTCGAACCCGGGAGGTGGAGGTTACAGTGAGCCAAGATCTGCCATTGCACTGCAGCCTGGGCAACAAGAGAGAAACTCCATTCCCTACCCCCCCCCAAAAAACTTATGGACCACTGTTGTATATACAGTCTGTCATTAACTGAATTGTCATTATATGGCACATGACTGTATTTTAAAACTGTAGTTTAAAAAACTAAGTTTGGCCAGGCACAGTAGCTCATGCCTATAATCTCAGCCCTTTGGGAGGCCGAGGCGGGCAGATCATCTGAGGTCAGAAGTTTGCGACCAGCCTGGCCAACATAGTGAAACCCCGTCTCTACTAAAAATACAAAAATTAGCCAGGCATGGTGATGTGCACCTGTAATCCCAGCTACGCGGGAGGCTGAGGCATGAGAATCCCTTGAACCTGGGAAGTGGAGGTTGCAGTGAGCCCAGATTGCTCCACTGCACTCCAGCCTGGGCAACAAAGCGAGACTCTGTCTCAAAAAAAAAAAAAAACTCACTTATGAATGTATTGAAGGCGAAATTTCAAAACAGTGGAGATCATCAACACATTAAGTTCTGTTTCAGGTTAATAGATTTTTGTCCAGGCTGTAATGAAGTGTCTGCTTCCCTCTCTGTTTAATAAAGGAAAATCTTGATTCACCCAGATAAAAGTTGCAAGAGAAACTATTTTTTGACAGCTTTATTGAGATATAATCCACATCCCATACAATTCATCCATTTAAAGTTTTGGTTTTTAAACAGTTACAGTTTGCAATTGCTTATTTGAGTGAATCAAGATTCTCTTGAGTTTGTGCAAAGAAAAATGCAAATTTAGAGTGAAATGAGGATGCTAGGAGATGGTGCCTGATGTCCACAAATGTCCATAGCATCAATTTTCAAATTTTTATGTACAAGCGAGCTAAAACATTTCATTTGGCTGCCTTTCTAAGTAATCATATACATTTGAACATGTAATGTTCTTATATGTTCTCATGTCTTATTTCACACTAACTAAAAACCCTTCATTTCGCTAGGTGTGGTGGCTCACACCTGTAATCCCGGCACTTTGGCAAGCTGAGGCGGGTGGATCATCTGAGGTCGGGAGTTCGAGACCAGCCTGGCCAACGTGGTGAAACCCTGTCTCTACTAAAAATACAAAAATTTGCCGGGGTGGTGGCTCACACCTGTAATCCCAGCTACTTGGGAGGCTGAGGCAGGAGAATCGCTTGAACCCAGGAGGCAGAGGTTGCAGTGAGCTGAGATCGCGCCACTGCACTCCAGCCTGGGCAACAGAGTGAGACTCCATCTCAAAAAAAAATAAAAAAATAAAAACCCTTCATTTATCTGCTTGATATATTGAGATTGCAGCTAAGAGTGAGTGTGAAGAGATTCTGTTTGACACATGTTTACTGACTCTATGCCATGTGTCAGGCTCTGTTGGAAGCTCTGGAACTCAGCCATGAACAGGCAGACATGAAGACCTGCTCTTGTGAAGCTTAGATTCCAGAGCAGGGAGATGGAGAATAGCTAGAGAGAAAACAATGGAATGGTATATCAGATGGCGATAAGTGCTGTGAAAACTAAAGCAGGTCCAGAGGGATGAGGAGCTGGCGGGGGTGGGAGACACGAGACAGGGAGCTACTTTATGGAGGGTGCCAGGCCAGGCCTCACTGAGGATGCGGCCTTGGAGCAAAGATGTGGAGATCAGGGAGTGAGCTTTGTGCTTGCCAGGTGCTGCTGCCAAGGAAGCCTGAAGCCCTTGAAAGGCAATAAGAATGAGAGGAGCTCAGAGAAGCGAGAGCAAAGGGAAGGGTTTGTGACGCAGATGAGAGCAGGAAGAGAAAAAGGCTCTGGTGAGCAGAGGAGCGGGGTTGGTCTTCTGTGGGGTGCCGGGGGAGAAGGCAGTTGGAGCAAATGTGTGCAGGTGGAAGTGTCTTCGTGGTTCTGGAAACAAGGAGTCGACTGGCTGATTAGCTCAGTGAGGAAGCAATAGGGCCAGGTGGGAGTCGAGCGTACAAGTGTAGGGTCAGTCCCTGTCCTCGTTTAAAATTTTGGTACTGGGTTCATCATGGAATTTTTGTGGTAACTTTGATTTTAAAAAAATTAGCACTCATATTGGTTACTGAGTTGTTTGGTGCTCCCTTAAACTTTGCACTAGTTTCACCCTAGTTTCTGCCCTTGGAGCAGAGTCTGTGTCAGTAAGTTCACAGTCCCTAGAGGAGGGCCGTCTAAGTCTTTAGACTTGACTCTGTGGTCACTGGAAAGGCCCTTGAAGAATTTGTGTGTGTGTGTGTGTGTGTGTGTGTGTGTGTGTGTGTGAGAGAGAGAGAGAGAGAGAGAGAGAGAGAGAGACAGAGTTTTGCTCTGTCACCCAGGCTGGAGTGCAGTGGCATGATCTTGGCTCACTGCAACTTCACATCTCAGGTTCAAGGCATCCTCCTGCCTCAGCCTCCCTGGTAGTTGGGACTACAGGCATGTGCCACCATGCCCGGCTAATTTTTGTATTTTCAGTAGAGATGAGGTTTCACCATGTTGGCCAGACTGGTCTTGAACTCCTGACCTCAGGGGATCTACCAACCTCGGCTTCCCAAAGTGCTGGGATTACAGGCATGAGCCACCGTTCCCAGCCCCTTGAAGGATCTTGAACAAATAAATGATGTAACCAAAATATTGGGGACGATTGGTCTAGAAGCAATGTGGAGGATGAAGAAAGGGACCGGAGAGCAAGGACCTGTCAGGAAATGGATTGTGATGCCCCAGGCCCATGGTATAGGAACAGGGGGTATGGGAAGGAAAGCTGGCTGCTCCTTGCCTTTCATGGGTCTTTGCCTGTCTCTAAACCACCCCCAGAATTCATCATTTCCCAAACAACTGAAAAGACACAATGAATGCGGGCCTCGTGCCTCTTTCTGTTTTTATTATGACTGATTTTTGCAAAACAGGAAGTGCTGCCGTGACAATGGTATTATTTGTGGCTGAGAAATATACTTTTGAAAACTCTGCAAACCCTGGAACCCTTGCACTGAAGCCTAGTTGTGCTTCTGGAGACTCCCTGTTGGGTGGGCTCCATTCCAACAGGCACCATGACTTTCCTCTGCTCCAACAGCAGCGTGGACTCAAGAGCCGCTGTGTTCCTAGGACTGGGGACAAGTTGCTTCACCTTTCAAGAAAGGTAGTGAGGGCCTGGCACTGTCAAGGAGAGTGGCTGGCTGGGTGCCACCAGGCACCATGAAGACAGTATGATTTATGAGAAAGGTCACAGGAAACCCTCCCTGCCCCAGGCTTTGGTCCTAGATCAACATTTTCATCAGCGGTAGTTAGTGGCTACAGGCTGCAGGGAACACGGAGGTAATTCCCTGAGGCAGAAGTGGGTCAGAACATATGGTGGTTGGGTTCTGATGAGGTTCCTCTTCCTGGCTCCCAGATGGCCACCTTATCACTATGTGCTCACAGGGCAGAGAAAGAGAGAAAGGAAGCTCTCTGGGGTCTCTAAAGGTACTGATCCCATCAGACCAGGGCCTCACGCTCATGAGCTCATGTAACCCTAACTACCTCCCAAAAACCCATCTCCAGAACCCATCACATTGTGGGTTAGAGCTTCAACACAGGAATTTGGAGGGGATATAAACATTCAGTCCATAATATTCCCCATTGTCAGAGCCGACCATGTCTGGAGGCTTTCATATCTAATTCAGGTTGAGGAACCTCTTTGGGAAAAACATCTTGAGTTCCTGTTTCTGTTGGCTCACTGAATCCCTTCAATTGCCTTCTCTTTTTGAACTTTTAAATAGCTACGATTACTTGGCATACAATAGTTACCTAGGTTTAATTTCTTTTCTTTTTTTCCCCTGGAGGGGGCCTCATTTCAGCTAAGCAATTGCAAACAATAGCTTGATTATACTTCTACATTCTTTTGACACAAGCAATTGCTTCTCTTCCCAAGCACACTGTGACACCAGCTGAATATTGTAATATTTCTCTTCCTGAGCAATTTTGCCTGGATCTCACCCACTGAAGAAACCAACTGTAAATATTAATATTTGACATTCCTTGCACCTCTGGCCATACACACAGTTTAACCTTCTGAGGCTCTGCATCTCATCTTTAAGCCTTAAGAAAAAATGGAAAAGGAAAAGCTAGGGCATGTTGCAAGCCCTGCTTGGTGTCAAGGAATCCTTCAAGCTCTGCTTGGTTTGTTTTTCTTTCTTTCTTTCTTTCTTTCTTTTTTTTTTTTTTTTTTTGGAGTCAGTCTCGCTCTGTCACCCAGGCTTGAGTGCAGTGGTGCAATCTCAGTTCACTGCAACCTCCGCCTCCAGGGTTCGAGAGATTCTCATGCCTCAGCCTCCCTGGTAGCTGGGACTACAGGCGCCCGCCACCATGCCTGGATAATTTTTGTATTTTTAGTAGAGACAAGGGTACTCCATGTTGGCCAGGCTGGTCTCGAACTCCTGATCTGACCTCAAGCAATCTGCCTGCCTCAACCTCCCAAAGTTTTGAGATTACAGGTGTGAACCACTGTGCCCGGCCAATAGTTTGGGTTTCTAATCAAGTTTTTTCATTGTAGTAAAATATGCATAACATAAAATTGAATCATTTTTAAGTGTAAAATTTGGTGGCATTAAGTACATTCACAATGGTATGCCACCATCATCACTAACCATCTCCAGAACTTCTTCATTTCAGTAACTCCTCGTTCTCCTTCTGCCACCCTTTGGTAGCTGCTGTTCTACTTTTGTCTCTGTGAATTTGCCTAACTCCAGGTACTTCATATAAGCGAGATCGTATAATATTTTTTTGTGTGTCTGGCTGATTTCAGTTGGCTTAACGTTTTTGTCTCAGTCTGTTAAGGCTGCTAGAACAAAATACCATTAATAGGGTGGCTTATAAACAACAGAAATTTATTTCTCACTGTTCCGGAGATTGGGAAGTCCAGGATCAAGGTGCCAGTAGATAATATGTTTGGCGAGGGCCCCTTTTCTTTTTATTTATATATATGTGTGTGTGTGTGTGTGTGTGTGTGTGTGTGTGTGTGTGTGTGTGTATATATCTATATATCTATATCTATCTATATATATATATATATTTTTTTTTGAGATGGAGTCTCACTCGGTGGCCAGGCTGGAGTGCAGTGGCACCATCTCGGCTCACTGCAACCTCTCTGCCTTCCAGATTCAAGCGATTTTCCTGCCTCATCCTCCCAAGTAGCTGGGATTACAAGCGCACACTACCACACCCAGCTAATTTTTGTATTTTTAGTAGAGACCTGGTTTCACCATGTTGACCAGGATGGTCTCAATCTCCTGACCTTGTGATCCACCCACCTTGGCCTCCCAAAGTACTGGGATTACAGGCATGAGTCACTGTGCCCAGCCTTTATTTATATTTTTAAAAACTTACTAGGCTATCACTCTCAGATCTTAGCGAGGGCCTACTTTCTGATTCATAGATGGTGCCTTCTGGCTGTGTCCTCACAAGGTGGAAGAAACAAGGCAGTTCTTTGGGGCCTCAATGCCATCATTAGGGCTCAACATACAAATGTCAATGCATGAATTTTGGAGGAATACAAACATTCAGACCATACAGCCTTCAAGTTTCATCCATGTTGTAGCATGTATAGGAATTTCATTCCTTTTTGTGGCTGAATTGTATTCTACTGTGTGTATGTATCACATGTTGTTTACCTACTCATCTGTTGATAGACACAATTTGTTTCCACCTTTTGGCTCTTGTCTAATAAAGCTTAACATGGCCTGGCACCGTGGCTCACGCCTGTAATCCCAGCACTTGGGGAGGCTGAGGCAGGCGGATCACCTGAGGTCGGGAGTTCGAGACCAGCCTGACCAGCGTGGAGCAACCCCGTCTCTACTACTAAAAAAAAAAAAAATACAAAATTAGCTGAGTGTGGTGGCACATGCCTGTAATCTCAGCTACTCGGGAGGCTGAGGCAGGAGAATCAGTTGAACCCAGGAGGCGAAGATTGCGGTGAGCCAACACCGCACCATTACACTCCAGCCTGGGCAACAAGAGCAAAACTCTGTCTCAAAAAAAAAAAAAAAAGAGTTTAACATAACAGGTGGCAGATGGGATCTCTCTCCTTTGTGAGCCTGGCCTCAATTTAACAACTACCTTTTGATTAATTCTATTTCATTCTCTGGAAACATGACACCATGACACCAAACAGAGCAACTTAGACAGCAGGGCTCTGCAGGAAAGCTGGGGCTGGAGAACACACGTGATGGGTAGCTGTGGTCATTATGGACCTTCGCAGAGCGTTGCCTGAGGGTCCAGCAGGTCAGAGATGGCACCCTGGGTGGGTGAGGCTGCATGACATGGGGTTTTTGATTCTATAATAAAAGAGATCTTTCACTTTTCACTTTAACCCTTTCATTTATTCATTCACTCACTCATTCCAACATTATTGAATACTTCCAAAAAAAGAAAAAAAAGGAACAAGATGCATGATAACAAAAGAGAAAAAGAAGCAAAAACAAAAAACCAAAACCAAAATGAACAAATTAAAAAAAAAATAGGCTGGGAGCGGTGGCTGACACCTGTAATCCCAGCACTTTGGGAGGCCGAGGCGGGCAGATCACGAGGTCAGGAGATTGACACCATCCTGGCTAACACGGTGAAACCCTGTTTCTACTAAAAATACAAAAAATTAGCCAGGCGTGGTGGCACTCAGGAGGCTGAGGCAGGAGAATGGCGTGAACCCAGGAGGCGGAGATTGCAGTGAGCCAAGATCGCACCACTGCTCCCAGCCTGGGCAACAGAGTGAGACTACATCTAAAAAAAAAAAAAAAAAAAAAAAGGCCAGGTGCGATAGCTCATGCCTGTAATCCCAGCACTTTGGGAGGCTGAGGCAGGCGGATCACAAGGGCAGGCGCTCGAGACCAGCCCAGCCAGCATGGTGAAACCCCATCTCTACTAAAAATACAAAAATTAGCTGGGCGTGGTGGCGCACACCTGTATTCCCAGCTACTGGGGAGGCTGAGGCAGAAGAATCGCTCGAACCTGGGAGGCAGAGGTTGCAGTGAGCGGAGATCGTGCCACTGCACTCCGGCCTGGGTGACAGAGCAAGACTCTGTCTCAAAATAACAACAACAATAAAAGTTATACAAGAATTTTCGACTGCACGAGGTTCAGTGCTCCACGTTGTCCAAGGGTCAATTGTATGGGGTCCAAAGGTAAGTCCTGATGGCTTTGAAGCAGATCAGGAGAAAATCATGGTCATAGTTACTATCTTTTGAGCACTTTCTAAGTGCTGATACTGTTCTAGTGCATAATGCTTATTATCTCAGTCAATCGTCAGAGCAGCCAAGCAAGATAAGTGAGGAGGAAACAGGCCTAAAAACTTACCAAGACCTCTAAATGTGGGTGGCAGAATGCAGATCCAAGCTCAAAACATCACCCTTGCTATTCACAGTGTGGCCCACGGACCAGCAGCTGCATCTTGTGGGAGCTTTTTAGAAATGCAGAATCTCTGCCTGACCCTAGATCTTCTGGATCAAGCCTGCACTTTCACAGGATCCCCTAGTGATCCCAGTGCACACTGAAGTTTGTACAGCACAGATGGCGATTCACCAGATCGGCTGCACATTGGAATCACTTGAGGGATTTCAAAAATCCTTAGTGCCCAGGCCATACACCCCTAGATCAATTACATCTGCATTTCTGGGTCTGTCACCCAGGCATCAGGATTTTTCAAAATTACCCCTCTGTTGAGCCGGGGAGAGCAGGTTAACTCTTGCAGGGAGAACTGGGCTTGCAGGGTCCAGCCAGCTGCCAGCAGCTCTGCAGCTTTAAGAACTGGGGCGGGCTAGCTGCCGAGGAGACCACGCTGCTGCATGGGCCACGTGAGCTCAGGCTGTGGGAGCGGATGGAGCTGCTACAGTCAGCGCTTGGGGCTGGCCTCAGCTTGTAGACCCGAGCCCTGCAGAACAACCCCCCGTGGCGCAGGAGAGCAGAAGAAAGGGGGCCTTTATGCCCTTTTGAGGGAAGCACACATTCTGCAAGGCCGTGGAAACAAAGGGAGGAACTGTTTGTAGCCCTCGTCCAGACGCCCCAAACAAACAGTAAGTCAGAAGGGAACAGAGCACAGCACAGTCCCTCCCTCCGCCCCAGGCAGTATCCACCTTGCCCCGCCCCACCTAAGGAGCCCAAGGGTATTCTGGGAGCCCACCCCAGGACAATGGCAGGGCAAAACCAGTGAGCAAGGCAGAAAATTCCTGAAATTCTCCACTGAGGCCCAGCTGTTCCTCTCCTTGAAAAGTCAAGGCTTGGTTCAAGCCAGATAGCACCTGAGGACAGAACATATCAGGTATTGGTAGTGTTTCTCCTCTGTTCTCTCTCCTGCAAGGCCCTTTCAGTCCTTGTCACTGCCCTTGAGAACTCCCAGGTCACATGAAGGCAAAGAAAGTAAAACTGAAACTGCCTTTGAGCCACAGGCTTGCTGGGGATGAGGTGACAAAGCTAATCGAGGTGGCAATTGGGGAAGGGGTTCTGGGCTGCCGCAGGCACACAGGCCAGAGCTTCGTGGATACCTGCAGGGCCCAAAGGTCCCTCCCTGTTTTGAAGAGTGAGTGATGGCTATGAGGTAGCGGCCAGGCTGATCACCCCTGCGTTGGCTGGAGGCAGAATTCTGTAAATCCTCGCCAAGTCTTTCTCCAGGCCACTGGTTAGCTCATCTCAGCCTCCTCTGGGAGCATCAACACCAACATGGCACAGGGGACTGCAGTGGTGTGCTTTGGACCTGTGTACCCACCCAAGGCTAAAGGCAGAGCCAGGTGACTTTGCGGGGGTCTCTTCTCTAGGATTATCTGTACTTCCCCTCTGTCCTCTTTTACTACGGGAGATCGAGCTAGCTATAACCCACCTTCTTTCATGAGAACCACACTAAATTGCAAAAATTATCCCAGTGCTGGAGGAGGGCAGCAGGTTGAGATTATGTTGGCAGGAAGAATGTTGGCATTGATTGGCACGCAGGGGACGAGAGCTGCTTTGTGCTTTAAAGGTAACTGAGTATGAGCTAAAAAGAAGGAAAGGAGAGGCCGAGAGTAGGAAGAAGAAAGAAAGCTGACTTGGCTGGAGGGGTGGAGTGAAGCTGAGGAAGCAGGAAGGGGAAGGAGGTGATGGGTGGGAAGGGCAGGGCAGGGTGGAGTTAACTGAAAGAAGGCTAAACTGTGGCTTGTACATAATTATGAGGAAGCACCTTTTTTTCCCCCCTTCATTTTGAGACGGAGTCTTGCTGTGTCGCCCAGGCTGGAGTGCAGTGGTGTGATCTCAGCTCACTGCAACCTCCATCTCCTGGGTTCAGGCTATTCTCCTGCCTCAGCCTCCCAAGTAGCAGGGACTACAGGCACATGCCACCAGGTCTGGCTAATTTTTGTAGTTTTAGCAGAGACAGGGTTTTGCCATGTTAGCCAGGCTGAGCTCAAGCCATCCATCCGGCCTGGCCTCCCAAAGTGCTGGGATTATAGGCGTGAGCCACCACACCTAGCCAGGAAGCATCTTAAAAGAGTCAGATGTCACTTCCAGCTGAGGGCTAGATCCCCGGAGGCCAACTGGTGGCCCCTGACATGTTTTATTTGTAAGAGTGAGGACTCTTGGAAATTTGGAAAATTTCACGCGTTGTGAAAGAATGGGCTCACGTTTCCGCAGCTCGGCTGGCGCTGTAGCTGCTGGTTTGCCAAAGTCCCCACCTCTCCTGCACTGAGCTTTGCATTCCTTGACCCACCCCAAAACTTCTGTACCTGCCTGGTTCCTGTGGGCAATGCAGATTGCTGCTCCTTCTGGTTTGATAATAATGATTCTCGTCCAAGTGCACAGGTATATGCTCTTTCAATTAATTTCAATTAATATCTCCCTTTTTCAGTGGAGCATGGCAGATACACAAAACCAACCCTCTCCTTGACAGATTTCTCAGCCTTTCCAGGCGATCTGCCAAGTTGCTAGAGGGTATTTGCATTAAAAAAAAAAGTTTATTTTCTTATTTTGGGTTTAAGGATTTTCCAACCTGCCTTAAGGCAATATTTCATTTATGCCACACTTTACAGCTTTCAAAGCATTTCTTAAACAGACTTGAATTTGTTTTATCCTTCCAGAAGCTCCATGAAGTCTGTAATTTGGATCTCCTCATGCTGTCTTGGAGGAAACAGAATTGTAGAGAAACTAAATGACTGCCCTTGGTCCTTCAGTAATGTTGAGGTTCACATTCAGGCACAGCTCTCTGGAAGACCAAGCTGTGTCTTTTTGACTGTGTGAAATTGTAAAAAGTTATGCTTTGAAAAGCATAGTGACTGAAAGTATGATCTCAATCCAGAATACTTGTGTTACCAGAAAGGGGCCTCAAACCAGACCCCGAGAGTGTTCTTGGACCTTGTGCAAGAAGCAACTGGGGGCAAGTTCATAGCAAAGTGGAAGTGAAAGCAAGTTTATTAAGAAAGTAAAGGAATAGGCCGGGCGTGGTGGCTCATGCCTGAAATCCCAGCACTTTGGGAGGCCAAGGCAGACAGATCACAAGGTTAGGAGATCAAGACCATCCTGGCCAACATAGTGAAACCCCATCTCTATTAAAAATACAAAAATTAGCTGGGTGTGGTGGTATGCACCTGTAATCCCAGCTATTTGGGAGGCTGAGGCAGGAGAATTGCTTGAACCCAGGAGGCAGAGGTTGCAGTGAGCCGAAATCGCCCCACTGCACTCCAGCCTGGCGACAGAGTGAGAGTCTGTCTCAAAAAAAAAAAAAGAACGGCTACTCCATAGGTAGAGCAGTGGCATGGGCTGCTCGACTGAGTATACTTAACGGTTATTTATTGATTATGTGCTAAACAAGGGATGGATTATTCATGAGTGTTCCAGGAAACGGGTGGGCAATTCCTGGAACTGAGGGTTTCTCTCCTCTTTACACAAAATAAGGTAATTTCCAGACATTGTCATGGCATTTGTAAACTGTCATGGTGCTGGTGGGAGTGTCTTTTGCATGCTAATGCATTATGGTTAGTGTATAATAAGCAGTGAGGACGACCAGAGGTCACTTTCATTGCTATCTTGGTTTTGGCTGGTTTCTTTACCACAAAGTGTTTTATCAGCAGGGTCTTTGTGACCTGTATCTTGTGCCTACCTCCTATCTCATCCTGTGACTAGGAATGCCTAAGTTCCTGGGAATGCAGCCCAGTAAGTCTCAGCCTTATTTTACCCAGCCCCTGTTCGAGATGGAGTGGCTCTGGTTTGAAAGCCTCTGACACTTGGGCTTGACTGCTGGTTTGGCCACTCAATACCTATGAGTCTTTAGGCAAAGTACTGAATCATCCTGTGCTTCCTTTTCTGTAAAATAGGGATAACAGCCCTCATCTAGGGAGTGTTGTATGGATTAAATGACATAGTACATGAAAAGTGTTTAGAACAATGCCTGGCACAGAGTAAGCTTTTGTTCACATACACACACACACACATACACACACACACACACACACACACGCCAAACTGTAAAATATTTGAAGAGACTTATTCTGAGGCAAACATGAGGACCCTGGAGGTCCTGAGAACATGTGCCTGACATGGTTGGGATACAGCTTGGTTTTATGCAGTTTAGGAAGACATAGACATCAATCAATACATGTGAAGTACACATTGGTTTGATTGATTCAGTCCAGAATTGAGGTATTCAGGTCATAGGTAGATTCAAAGATTTCCCAATTGGTAATTAGTTAAATGAGTTAAGCTTTGCCTAAAGTTGAAGTTAGCAGGAAGAAATGCTTGGATTCAAGATAAAAGGGGTTGTGGAAGCCAAGGGCCAAGGTTCTTGTTATGTAGATGAAGCTTCCAGGTAGCAGACTTCAGAGAGAATGGATGGTAAATTCTCCCCGCCCCCCCCCCCCCTTTTTTTTTTTAGACGGAGTCTCACTCTGTTGTCCAGGCTAGAGTACAGTGGGATGATCTTGGCTCACTGCACCCTCCACCTCCTGGGTTCAAGCGATTCACCTCCTTCAGCCTCCCAAGTAGCTGGGATTACAGGCACCACCACCCCCACCACGCCTGGCTAATTTTTGTATTTTTAGATTTTTAGTAGAGCCAGGGTTTCACCATGTTGGCCACATTGGTCTTGAACTCCTGACCTCCAAGTGATCCACCTGCCTCGGCCTCCTGAAGTGCTGGGGTTACAGGTGAATCTCTCTTATCAGGCCTTAAAAGGTGCCAGACTCTTCATAACTCTCTTCAAGGTGGGAGGACTTGGAAGGGGAAAGAGCTAGTTAATAGATTTACAGATACAAAAAGCAGTTTCAAAATATGGTGAAGAAACATATTTGGGGGTAAGATATTTTGATTTCCTTCTTTATCTGTCATTTGATAGAGTCAGGTTGGAATTTGGTATCTTATGGCTACAAAGAGTCTCTTTTATCTGTCTTAAGATCTCTGTTTTAATGTTAATGCTGGTCAGTTGTATCTAAACTCCCAAGTGGTGGGGGATAATGAGGCATGTTCAGCCATTCACCTCCCATCATGGCCTGGACTAGTATTTCAGGTTTCTTTGGAATGCCCTTGGCTGAAAGGGGGTCCATTCAATTGGTTGAAGGGCTTAGAATTTTACTTTTGGTTTATACTTTCAAGAAATATTCCTATCAGTGGGGCCAGGCACGGTGGCTCATGCCTGTAATCCCAGCACTTTGTGAGGCCAAGGAAGGAGGATTGCTTGAACTTGGGAGTTCGAAACCAGCCTGGGCAACATAGTGAGACCCTAAAAAGTCTACCTAAAAAGTTAAAAAAAATTTTTTTAAATTATACTACTACTACTAAAATTATTATTATCTGTGCCTTTGGGAGATACTCTGTATTAGTTAGGGTACAGGCTAAATTGTAAAAAAGATCCCAAAATACATTTGCTCAAAAAGGGTAGAAGATTTTTCCTCTTTCACATAATAGCTAAGAGGTAAATGGTCAGTCCAGGACAGGCAAACAACTCTGCTCCACAGGGTCATTCAGGAACCCAGCTTCCTCCATCTTGTTGCTCCCTTTTCTGCATAGTCAAAAGTGACTCAACATCACCTTCACCTTCTGTTCCTGCCTGTAGTGCGAAGAGGGGAGGAATTAGAGGGCAAACAGCTCCCTTCTAAATGATATACCTCAGAGTTGTACATATCCTTTCACTCATATTCCCTGACCCACTCTGTTTCCCTGACCAAATTTCCCAGGCTTTTCTACCTTGATCTGACCTTGTCTTTCTGGACCTTTGGTACCACTGTGCTCCCATACCTGAAGACTCTTTCTCACTGCAGTGCTACTCTTTCTAAGTTCCCACCCTACTTTGCTAGACATTTTTTTTCCATTTCCTTCAAAGAGACCTCCTGTTCCACTCACTCCCTAAATATCCTCTGGGTCTCTGTGTTCCACCCACAGCCCTTCCTGCCTTTTGCCCTCTCCCTCGGTGTGATGGCTTAATGTTGAGTGTCAACTGGATTGGATTGAAGGATGTAAAGTCTTGTTCCTGTGAGGGTGTTGCCAAAAGGAGATTAACATTTGAGTCAGTGAACTGGGAGAGGCAGACCCGCCCTCAGTCTGGGTGGGCACCATATAATCAGCTGCCAGCTCATCTAGGACAAAAGCAGGCAGAGGAACATGGAAGGACTAGACTGGCTGAGTCTTTCAGTCTTCATCTTTCTCCCGTGCTGGATGCTTCCTGCCCTCAAACATCTGACTCCAAGTTCTTCAGCTTTGGACTCTTGGACTTACACCAGTGGTTTGCCAGGGGCTCTCAGGGCTTTGGCCTGAGACTGAAGGCTGCATTGTTGGCTTCCCTACTTTTGAGGTTTTGGGACTTGGATTGGCTTCCCTGCTCCTCGGCTTGCAGACAGCCTATTGTGGGACTTAACCTTGTGATGGTGTGAGTCAATACTCCTTAATAAACTCCTCGTCATGTTAGTCCTGTCCCATCTAGAGAACCCTGACTAATACACTTAGTGTCCTCAGCCACGCAAAAGCTGATGACTCGCAGCTCTCCCTCCTCCGGGCAGGTGTCCTTCCTGACTTCTGGTGCTGAATGTCCACCCTGTCATGGACCTCTGCCTGGGGCTGTCTCACAGGCTCCTCCTACTTAGCATTCTAAAACCAAATTCCTCATCAGTCTCTTCTTGTATTTATTTTCATGAATGGCACAGTTAGCTAGTTGCCCATCCCAGGAAAAAGAAATCTGATAATTATTATTATTATTGTTTTTTGAGATGGAGTTTCACTCTTGTCACCCAGGCTGCAGTGCAATCACGCTATCTCAGCTCACTGCAACCTGCAGCCTCTACCTCCTGGGTCCAAGCCATTCTCCTGCCTCAGCCTCCTGAGTAGCAGGGATTACAGGCACCCACCACCGCGCCTGGCTAATTTTTGTATTTTTAGTAGAGACAGCATTTCACCATGTTGGCCAGGCTGGTCTTGAACTCTGTCCTCAGGTGAGCCACCTGCCTCAGCCTCCCAAAGTGCTGGGATTACAGGCATGAGCCACCCCACCTGGCCCTGATAATTATTTGTGATTCCTTTCTTTCGTTGCACCTTTTGCATACATTCAATCAGGTATCAGGTTCTGGCAAGTCTACCTCTTCCAGTTCCTCAAATCAGCCCTTCCTCTCATTCTCTCACTTTGGGGAAAGCCTGGATTGCTTCTCAAATACTTACGACAGAGGGTCTCTGAGGGATGTTCTTCTTCACATTCATCCTCCACCAAGTGCTGCCTGTTCAGGGGATCCTCCTACCCTTAGTGCTCCTGGGGCTCTTAGATGAAGCTCATACTCCTTCAGGTTATGCACATGCTCCCTCCCAAGCATCTCTTTGTCTATCTTCCCAGCCCCTCTCCCTCTTTACCCCAGGTGTGCCAACCACTCACACTGTCACCTACAGAGACTTCTTCAGCCTTTCTCCTAGTGCTGATTTCCAGCTGTCTGTCAAAGCTCATGCAATGTCTCCCAGGCCATACCTGCCTGACACTGTCAACACAGTTTTCCTTGCCTCTTCCTCATTAGCAGCTCCAGTGCTTAAGCACATTTCCCGACACACAGAAAGTGCTCTGTAAATGGCAAAAGAGTGAACTGTATGGCTCTTTCCATGTCCTACTCCACCTCCAATCATGCTACCTGCTCTGTACCTAAGCTTCTGAGAAGACCCTCCTCTCCTGTGGGGATGTCTGTAACTCTTTCTTCAAGAAATAATATTTTTGGCTGGGCGCAGTGGCTCACGCCTGTAATCTCAGCACGTTGGGAGGCCGAGGTGGGTGGATCACCTGAAATCAGGAGTTCGAGACCAGCCTGGCCAACATGGTGAAACCCTATCTCTACTAAAAATACAAAAATTAGCCAGATGTGGTGGCGATCGCGCCACTGCACTCCAGCCTGGGTGACAGAGTGAGACTCCATCTCAAAAATAATAATAATAATAATAATAATAATAATAATAATAATAATAATTTCAAGAACAAACTCAACTAATGTCTTCAGTGAAGGCTTCTCCTACTTCCCCAGCCAGATTTTCATTATTTATCTATCATCAAGTATTTTTAAAATGCCTATAGTGTGCCAGGCACTGTTCAGTATACTGGGGATAGAGCAGGGGGAAAAAAATGACAAAAACCCCTACCCTTAAGAGGTTCACAGTATAGCATGGGGAATTAGAAGTAAGCATCTGTCTCTTCTCTGGTCTTTAAGCACCTCACAGGCACTGGCCATGTCTGCTCATCTGTTTATTCCCATCATCTAACAGAGTGCTCAACACATTTGCTTGATGAATACGTTTTGAGCACTGGGAGATGATCACAGAAGAGCTAAGAAGTGATAGCAGTTGTATTTAGTGGAGAACAGTATTCACACCTTGTTGTCTAGATTGCCTTGAAATCAGGCTCTGTATGATATCTTTTTTTTTTCTCTTAGAAAAAACTGTTAACCTATTTAGAGTAATTTTATTAAGGAGCTTTTTATTTTTTTATTTTTTTTTTTGAGACAGGGTCCCACCCTGTTCCCCAGGCTGGAGTGCAGTGGTTCAACAACCACAGCTCACTTCAGCCTTGACCTCCCGGGCTCCCACCTCAGTCTCCTGAGTAGCTGGGAACACAGGTACGTGCCACCCTGCCCAGCTAATTTTTTATTTTTTGTAGAGATGGGGTTCCACTGTGTTGCACAGGCTGGTCTCAAACTTCTGGGCTCAGTCAATCCTCCCGCCTTGGCCTCCCAAAGTGTTAGGATTACAGGCGTGAGCCATTGTACCTTTAAAAGAAAAAAAGAAAGATTTTTTTTATTTTAAATTAAAAATTATGACATTGCATATCACTGTGAGTGTATTTAATGTTACTGAATTGTACACTTTAAAATGATTAAGATGGTCAATGTTATGTGTATTTTAACTATAATAAAAGAAAAAAGTTTTTTTTTTTTTTTTTTGAGATAGAGTCTCACTCTGTCGCCCAGACTGGAGTGAAGTGGCTCGATCTCGGCTTACTGCAACCTCCACCTCCCGGGTTCAAGTGATTCTCCTGCCTCAGCCTCCTGAGTAGGAGTAGCTGGGACTGTAGGCGCCTGCCACCATGTCTGGCTAATTTTTGTATTTTTAGTAGAGACAAAGTTTCACTATATTGGCCAGGCTGGTCTCAAACTCCTGACCTTGTGATCCACCTGCCTCAGCCTCCCAAAGTGCTGGGATTACAGGCGTGAGCCACGGTGCTTGGCTAGTTCTTTCTTTTCTTAAGGCTGCATTTCATTCAGCAAAGAGGCACTCACTATGTAGCCGGCACTACTCTGGGTTTGTGGGCCATAAAGACAGATAAGACACAGTCCCTGTCTTTCGAGGACTTAGGCTTAGCAGGAGACAGGCACCTGAGCCACAGAGACAATCAAGAGTTGCTCGCTGTGCTCAGGGAGAACTCTGTTCGGCCCACACCACCTTAGTTACTAGTGACGGCCACCAGACTTGAAGTATCATGAGTACCTGGATCATCACAGAGGAGTCAATCCATTTTTATAGGTCTAACTTGGGTGTTTCCAAAAATGTCAAGTAACGAACACACAACAGAACATTTATAAGAGCAGGATTCCAAGGTATCAGTTAGACAGTAAACGGAGGGGCCCAGCCAAGCATATTCCCATGCTGCAAAGCCACTTGATATTAGCGCACATCTTGAAGCAATAAACGCTGCCCTGGCAGGCCCTGGCAAATGGCACTTGTGAATATTTAGAAACGGAGCAGCCCTGTTTGGGAAAACTGTCATACTGACGCGCTAGGTTGGGAGAGATGAGGTGGAGACAGTTAAAAAAAAAAAGAATGAACTGTATGCTTCCAGAAACGTTAAACTCTCACTCATGGAGCCTAGTGCATCAAGTTTAGGTCCATTGTAACAGCACTTTAGGTTGTTTCTGATTATTTTTTTCAAGACAGGGTCTCACTTTGTCCCTCAGGCTAGAGTGCAGTGGCACAGTCATGGCTCACTGCAACCTCAACCCCCTGGGTGTAGATGATCCTCTGACCTCAGCTTCCCAGGTAGCTGAGACTACAGGTGTGCACCGCCACAGCCAGCTGATTTTTTGTAGAGACAGGGTTTCGCCATGTTGCTAGGCTAGTCTTGAACTTCTGGGCTCAAACAGTTCGCCTGCCTTGGCCTGCCAAAGTGCTGGGATTACACGCATGAGCCACTGCATCCAGCCTGTTTTTTTCAATGTTTTAACAGCGCATCTTTTGGCTTTAATAATCAGACTTTTTTTTTTTTTTTTTTGAGATGGAGTCTCACTCTGTCACCCAGGCTGGAGTGCAGTGGTGCAATCTTGGCTTACTGCAACCTCTGCCTCCCGGGTTCAAGCGATTTTCCTACCTCAACTTCCTGAGTAGCTGGGACTACAGTCGCACGCCATCATGCCCGGCTAATTTTTGTATTTTTAGTAGTGACGGGGTTTCACCATGTTGGCTGGGATGGTCTCGATCTCCTGACCTCGTGATCCACCCACCTCGGCCTCCCAAAGTGCTGGGATTACAGGCGTGAGCCACCACACCCTGCCAATAGTCAGACTTTTAAAAGCAGCAGACCCAGCTAACTGGGAGTGAAGCAGCTGCTCCTCACTAATTTGCTGTCAAGGAGCTGAGCAGATGGAAGCACCATCCTCCCTCCTCCTGATGCCTCCTCTTCTCTCTGGGGTTTCCACATTTATTGTATTACTGCATTTGGTCTATGGGGTTGACAGTTCAGCAGGACTTCAGGCTGGAGGTAGGAAACAGGTCCACTGTGGGCATAGCTGCTTGTTAATTCATGGCAGATTAGGCTTTCTGTGAATGGCATGGCTTTTTTCAACCACGAGTTCTCTGAGGCCTGAAGAAAGTGCTGGTGGAAGGCCGTGTTGCCCGGGCCAAGGAAAGTGTCCTGTTACACAGGGGTTGGTTGTAACTCACTCTGATTCTGTGGTTAATCAGAAACAAATCAGCCTGTTTCATAGAAGCCTTTGTTGTTTGTTCTGATGAGATTTTTACCTGCTGTACTTGAGACATCAGTAAAAAGTGAAGTAGAGGTTCCTCTTCAGAGACTTTCCTTCCCATCTAATTAGGAATAAATAGTAACTTCTCTTAGAAGCAAAATTTATTCAAAGACCTGTGCTAACATTCTTAAATATCTGCTATCCATAATAAAGAAATCAATGTACTTTAATGTTCTTAGCTCCCACAATTTAGCCTGAATATTTGCCCTGGCATGCTTATACTGGTCCAAGCAAGTATTAGGTCATAGCCTGTTCCTCTTCCTTATTTGAAGGTGTTTTTACCTTTCTCAACATTGCACAAGTTACTTCCTCCTTCCTTTGTTCTCCTCTGCCTTTGCCTCTTTTAAAAGGTTCTAAGTTGCCAGCCAATTGGGACAAATACAGGATCTGAGGTCCCATTCCAGCCAATGGAAACTGGACACAGCAGTAGGGTGGACGAGTCAGGTTATAAATGACCCTGTCTCCTTTGTTCTATATACTCATGGGGCACAACTACTGGCGAGTGTACCCTTTCTGCAGAAAGTGTAAAAATGGCCTTGCTGAGGAAATTAAATTTATGTTCAAGTACTATTTCTTTACGGCACCGGGGAACAAGCATTTCAAACACGTACTTGCTGCAGACTCTGCCCTCTGGAATGGCTGCGATCCTGTCTCAAATGGATTTGAGCAGAAAAGGGGAAGTGACTGGCAGAAAAGCCCAGAGATAGATCTGTGTTTAGGTAAGGTTGTTTGTCCAGAGATAGAACTGTGTTTAGATAGGGTTGCTTGTAGGGCCAGGGATGACAGCGTCAAGCCCTGCCTCTTTTTACTCTTGGCTCTCTGCTTTCTTCTCTGTTGGCTTCCTTCTCGAGCCAGCTCTCTCTGTGGGGTGACAAATGACCACTGGCAGCCTATGCTCACATTGTCCCTGTGTCTAGCAGTTTCAGAGGTAAGAAATACTTCTTTCCCGACAGCTATACAAATACAAAGGTTAAGGTTGGGCACAGTGGCTCACTCCTGTAATCCCAACACTTTGGGAGACCAAGGCAGGCGGATCACCTGAGGTCAGGAGTTCAAGATCAGCCTGGCCAAAATGGTGAAATCCTGTCTCTACTAAAAATACAAAAATTAGCCGAGCCTGGGCTACTCAGGAGGCTGAGTCAGGAGAATTGCTTGAACCGAGGAGATAGAGGCTGCAGTGAGCCGAGATCTTGCCACTGTACTCTAGCCTGGGTGACAGAGCAGGACACAGTCTCTAAAAAACAAAACAAAACAAAACAAATTCAAAGGATAACTCTGGTTGGCTAGCTGGGGTCATGTGACCATCCTCAACCCAAGCATTGTGCTAAGGAGGATGGGCTATTTTGATTGTCACCTAGGTCTGAGATAGTGACTGACAGCCCCACTGGGTACTGGGGGACACTTTTCCAATTTGCTGGGCACGTAATGGTTTCTTAGGGCTGCCACAACAAATCCCAACTTACTTGGTGGCTAAAAGCAACAGAAATCTCTTATCTCACAGCTCTGGGGGGTAGGAGTTCTACGTCAATGTATTAGGGGGACTATATTCCCTCTGATGCCTCTAGGGAATGATCCTTCCTTGCCTCTTGCAGCTTCTGTGGCCCCAGGAAATCCTTGGAGTTCCTTGGACTGTAGCTGCGTCACTCCAATCTCTGCCTCCATCTTCACAGGATGGCCCCTTCTGTGTTTCTCCTGTCATGTCTGTGCCTTCTTATAATTACATGTGTTGGGGTGTGCTCAGAGCAGGGGGCCCGAAGAATGCCTCCTCTGTTTACAACACACCCAATAGGAATCTGGGGTCATTGTGACAAGGGACACAGAGCTTGTGACCTCCCTACAAACAAATGCCCTACACATTGAAAAAACAAAAAACGTGTCAGACCAGGTGCGGTGGCTCAGGCCTGTTATCTCAGCACTTTGGGAGGCCAAGGTGGGAGAACTGCTTGAGCCCAGGAGTTTGAGACAAGCCTGGGCAATATAGCAAGACCCCATCTCCACCACACACAAAAAAATATGTTACTGGTTTTAGGGTCCACTCAATTAATCCATAATAATCTCATCTCAAGATCTTTCACTTAATTGCATCTACAAAGACCCGTTTTCCAAATAAAGTCATATTCACAGGTATGGGGTGAGGGTTGGGACTTGGATTTATCTCTTTGGGGGCCACATTCCACCCCCTGTAGGGCAGAAATAAATAGCCACTGCACTCCACCCCTTGACTGCCTGGCATCCATCCATGGCCTTTTCCACATAAACAATTCCAGAAATGCAACACCCCAGTGTGGTACAGGCTGCCCACATCCAAGCAAAGCTGGCCGATGTACATTCTTCTCAGTCAGGCCTTGATGATACTCTTTTTTTTTTTTTTTTTTTTTGAGATAGAATTTCCCTCTGTCACCCAGGCTGAAGTGCAGTGGCACAAGTATGGCTCACTACAGCCTCAACCTCCCAATCTCAAGCCATCCTCCCACCTCAGCCTCCCAAGTAGCTAGAACCACAGGCATGTGCCACCATGCCTGGGTATTTTTTAAATATTTTGTAGAGACAGGATCTTGCTGTGTTGCCCAGGCTGGTCTTGAACTCCTGGCCTCAAGCAGTCCTGCCTCACCCTTCCAAAGTGCTGGGATTACAGGCGTAAGCCACCATGCCAGGACCTTAGTCCATTTTCTGATAACTCTGTGAGCTGCCAACTGGAGCTAGAAACTCAAGTCAAGTCATGCTGTAGAATCTGGACCTTGTCCTCGCTGCACCTGCCCCCTCTACACCCCGTTCTCCCTGAGTCTTCCTTCAGACTGCAGCCTTCTGGCCTCTGCCCCAACACACTGGGCCTGGGCCAGAGGGATGAGGCCGGGCTGTCTGGCCCTTGCCTTCAGGCTGTTTGCGGTTTGGCCAGGCAGGGAACGCCGGGCAGAAGTGGCTGGCAGGGAGCCAGGGGAAACTGCTTCTTCCGGTTTCTGTCCCCTCTCACACTGTGTCGTCCTTCTCCCAGCCTTTACCTGTGCTCCTAGCCTGGGGCAGGGAATCTGACTTTTGCAATCCTGAAATATGATTTTCTGGTTCTCAGCTCAGCTGAATTACTTGCCCCAGGCAGAAAGAGAAACTCATGGCTTTCTTTTCTCCTTCCCTGCTTTCAGAAAGGTCAACTGGGACTAAAGTGCATCTTTTTCTCACCGAGCTTACTGAAGGCTGAAGAAGGGGCAGCACACCCCAGGCACCTGGCTTTTTTTTTTTTTTTTTAACAAGTCCTACCAATTTCCAGCCTCATTGAGCATGTGGTCTGACTCACTGGGCTCAACAGGAGAGGCTTTGGCTACCTTGCACCACTTGAGAGGTGTTGCTCACCCCGAGTCAGGAAGGGAGACCCCACCTTACACCCACCTCAACACAGCAAATTCCAGATATTAGGGTCTGTCATTTGCAAAACCCTGCTCCTGGTACAGAATTCTGAGTTACTTAGGACACTTGATTGCAATTGATGTTAAGAAAGATCCAGGCCGGTACGGTGGCTCACACCTATAATCCCAGCACTTTGGGAGGCTGAGGCAGGTGGACTGCTTGAGCCGAGGAGTTCAAGACCAGCCTGGGCAACATGGAGAAACCCCATCTCTACAAAAAAAAAAAAAAAAAACCCACAAGAATATTAGCCGGGCATGGGGGTGGTGGCATGTGCCTGTAGTCTTAGCTATTGGAGAGGCTGAAGTGGGAGGATCACTTGAGCGCAGGCATGGAGGTCACAATGAGCCATGATCACACCACTGCACTCCCACCTGTGTGACAGAGCGAGACTCTGTCTCAAACCAAAAAAATAAAATAAAACAAAAAATAAAAGAAAGATCCAGAAAGGGGATTGTATTAGCCTATATAACTGGGAAGCAGGAAAGGCTGGATCCAGATACCTAAATGACAGGATAAGGACTTTGTTTCTCACCCCCCCTTTGTCCCCTGTTACTCTCCAGCCCTTCTCTCTGCTTGTCTTTCTACTGGTTTTAATGGGATTTCAGGCTGATTTTCATGGAGCTCTAGGCTCACAGTGCATTTATGTCTAGCAATCCTCTTAGATTCTGAGTTGTTCCAACAGAAGACACAGGAAGGGCTCTGAATGGACTCGCTTGGGACCTCTGCTCACCCCCTGTATTAAATAACCACCGAGGCCAGATGAGTGGAAATACCCTGGTTAGTTGGCCTGAGTCACATGGCACTATTGATGGGACAGGTAAGGCCCCATGATTGGCAGCCCTTCTGGGTTGGGGGAAAGACAGTTTCTGAAAGAAAAAAAATGCTAGGGAGACAAAATCAAATGTTAAGGGGCTGGGCTCTCAGCACATTCTTGGTTTGCATTCTCCAGTGGGTCAGAAGCCTGACAATCCGCCTAGCCTCTGCTTTGAGCGTCAGGGGACCCAGTTCTATTCCTGCATCCTTAGCCATCATCTACACACTTTTTATCTTTTCTTTTAAATTTTTAAAAATTGTGAAATCTATATACATATAAGCCATATGTTCAACTTAAAGAATAGTAAACAACTGTGTCCCTAGGATCCAAGTTAAGAAATAGATCAGAGTCAGTTTCTTAGAAGCTTCTATATGTGCTTCTCCCCAGTCATGTGCTCTCCTGTCTCTACCTGAGGGAAATTACAGATTTCATGCTTTTCTTTATAGTTTTCCTTTACACACATACCCTTAAGCCTCTAAGTACTATATGGTTCGGTTTTGCAAAGCCCAGAAGCCTATTTTAATGCTGTATATAAGAATATGCTAGCCGGGTATGGTGACTCATACCTGTAATCCCAGCACTTTCAGAGGCTGTGGCAGGAGGGTTGCTGAAGCCTAGGAATTCAAGACCAGCCTGGGCAATATAGGGAGACCCCTTCACTACAAAATTAAAAATTAAAAAAAAAAAAAGAATGTACTATATTGCTGTGACTTTTATTCAACATGATGTTTTTTGTTTTTTGTTTTTTTTTTCTGAGACGGAGTTTCACTCTTGTTGCCCAGGCTGGAGTGCAATGGCGCAATCTCGGCTCACCACAACCTCTGCCTTCCGGGTTCAAGCGATTCTCCTGCCTCAGCCTCCCTAGTAGCTGGGATTACAGACATGTGCCACCACGCCTGGCTAATTTTGTATTTTTAGTAGAGATGGGAGTTTCTCCATATTGGTCAGGCTAGTCTTGAACTCCCGACCTCAGGTGATCCACCCGCCTTGGCCTCCCAAAGTGCTGGGATTACAGGCATGAGCTACCGTGCCCAGCCTCAACATGATGTTTTTGAGCTTCGTTTGTGTTGATGCAGGTAGCTGTAGTTTATTTTTCACCACTGCATAGTGTTACATTGTATGATTTTCCCACATTGCATGTACTGTTTAGAGTGTATAACTAAGAATGGATTGCTAGGTTTAAAGGTGCTTCCACTCTATGGGATAATGCTAATTTTTTTCCCTAAAGTGGTTTATAACAATCAACCCTTGCACTACAAGTCAGTAATGGTGTTTCAGTTGACTTCATTCTTGTCGATTTTAATTTTTGTCAACCCCACAAGTGTGGCCTGTGTCTCATTATAGTTATAATTTGCATGTATTTAATTACTCTTGAAGTGAAGAATCTTTTCTTTTCTTTTTTTTTTTTTTTAGACAGAGTCTTGCTCTGTCAGGAGGCTGGAGTGCAGTGGCATGATCTCAGCAACCAGCAACCTGCAACCTCCGCCTCCTGGGTTCAAGCCATTCTCCTGCCTCAGCCTCCCGAGTAGCTGGGACTACAGGCACAAGCCGCCATGCCCAGCTAATTTTTGTATTTTTAGTAGAGACAGGGTTTCACCATATGGGCCAGGATGGTCTCGATCTCTTGACCTTGTGATCCGCCCTCCTTGGCCTCCCAAATTGCTGGGATTACAGGTGTGAGCCACCACACCTGGCCAAGAATCTTTTCTTATTTATTTATTTTTATTTGAGACAAGGTCTTATTCTGTCACCCAGGCTGGAGTGCAGTCGTGCAGTCACAGCTCACACAGCCTCAACCTCCTAGGCTCAAGCGATCTTACCACCTCAGCCTCCCAAGTAGTTGGGACCACAGATGTGCACCACCACACCCAGCTAACAGTGCATAATCTTTTCATAGTTATAAACCAACTGTTTTTTCTGTACTGTAAATGCCTGTTTATATCTTTCTCCCCATTTTTTTAATGAAGGGGTGGTCTTTTTCTTATTGATTAATGAGAGTTCTTTATATATTCTGGATGGTAATTATTCCATATCAGTTTTATGTTTTTTTCTTTTTGTGACAGGGTCTCGCTTTGTTGCTCAGGCTGGAGTGCAGGGGCAAGAACATGACTTACTGCAGCCTCAACCTCCCCGGCTCAAGCAAGCCTCCTGCCTCTCACCCTCCCAAGTAGCTGGGATTACAGCCACGTACTACCACGCCCGGCTAAGTTTGGTATTTTTAGTAGAGACGAGGTTTTACCATGTTGGCCAGGCTGGTCTGGAACTCCTGGCCTCAAGTGATCTTCCTGTCTTGGCCTTCCAAAATGCTAGGATTATAGACACGGAATATCATGCCTCAGTGTTATATGCTTGTATATCTACTTGCAGTTTGGGAATGCTTTTGCATTTTATTTATGGTGACTTTTGGACAGAAGTTCTTAATTTTGATGTCAAATTTATCTTCTCTAGGAAACCTTTCCCAACTTGAGATATTCTCTTTTTTTTTTGTCTTTTTATGGGCAATTTTATTCCATTTACATTCATTGTCATTACTGATATAGTTGGTTATAAGCCTAACGTCTTTTTTTTTTCTTATACTTCAAGTTGTAGGGTACATGTGCACAACGTGCAGGTTTGTTACATATGTATACATGTGCCATGTTGGTGTGCTGCACCCATTAACTCGTCATTTGCATTAGGTATATCTCCTATGCTATCCCTCCCCTCTTCCCCCACCCCACCACAGGCCCCGGTGTGTGATGTTCCCCTTCCTGTGTCCACCAACTTGAGATATTCTTTCCTGTTATAAAAGTTTCTAATTTCATCCTTCATATTTCGTACTTCATATTTAAGTATTTGATCTACCTGGATTTGATTTTTGTTACTGATAATTAGCTTCCAGTTTTACTTTTATTTATTTATTTTCAGACGGAGTTTCGCTCTTGTTGCCCAGGCTGGAGTGCAATGGCACAATCTCAGCTCACTGCAACCTCTGCCTGGGTTCAAGTAATTCTCTTGCATCAGCCTCCCAAGTAGCTGGGATTACAAGAGTGTGCCACCACACCCAGCTAATTTTGTATTTTTAGTAGAGACAGGGTTTCTCCATGTTCGTCAGGCTGATCTTAAACTCCTGACCTCAGGTGATCTGCCCACCTTGGCCTCCCAAAGTGTTGGGATTTCAGGCGTGCGCCACTGTACCTGGCCCCAATTTTACTTTTGTACCCACTTGTCTGCAATTACTCTGTGTCAGAAATCAAGTTTCCAGACATGGCTATGGGTTTTATTTTGTCTTGTTTTCCCTGAGCTCTCAAATTTCCTGTGTTGAACTTCATTTTTTTCCAAAATTCATTGTAGACCAATATTTTTGTAAGTACAATAAATATTAATTACTATGGGCAGGGTGTGGTACCTCACTCCTATAATTCCAGCACATTGGAAAGTAAAGGTGGGAGGATCACTTGAGCCTAGGAGTTCAAGACCAGGCAGGGCAACATAGTGAGATCCCATCTCTACCAAAAAATAAAACAATTAGCTTAGCATGGTGGTGCATGCCTGTAGTCCAAGATACTTGGGAGACCCATAACTTTTTCTTTTTTTTTTTTTTTCTTGAGACACAGTCTTGCTCTGTCACCCAGGCTGGAGTGCAGTGGCACGATCTTGGCTCACCGCAACCTCCACCTCCTGAGTTCAAACGATTCTCCTGCCTCAGCCTCTCAAGTAGCTGGGATTACAGGCGCCCGCCACTGCGCCCGGCTAATTTTTGTGTTTTAGTAGAAATGGGGTTTTGCCATGTTGTCCAGGGTGGTCTCGAACTCCTGACCTCAGGTAATCTGCCAGCCTCGGCCTCCCAAAGTGCTGGGATTACAGGCGTGAGCCACTGCGCCCAGCCAGAACTTTTTCATCTTCCCAAACTGCAACTCCTCAGTCATCCCTCCCTTCCCCCAGCCCCTGGCAACTACCATTTTACTTTCCATCTTTATGAATTTGACCATTCCAGGTCCCTCATATCAGTGGAATCATATAATATTAGTCCTTTTGTGTCTAGTTTCTTTTACTTATAATGTCTTTCATGTCTCCAAGGTACACCCATGTTATGGCATATATCAGAATTTCATTCTTTTTTGGCTGGGCGCGGTAGCTCACGCCTGTAATCCCAGCACTTTGGAAGGCTGAGGTGGGCGGATCACTGGAGGTCAGGAGTTTGAGACCAGCCTGGCCAACATGGTGAAACCCCTGTCTCTACTAAAAATACAAAAATTAGCCGGGCGTGGTAGCAGGCGTCTGTAATCTCAGCTACTTGGGGGGCTGAGGCAGGAGAATTGCTTGAACCCGGGAGGTGGAGGTTGCAGTGAGCCGAGATCTTGCCACTGCACTCCAGCCTGGGTGACAACAGCAAGACTCCGTCTCAACAACAACAACAACAACAACAAAGAATTTCATTCTTTTTAAAGGCTGAATAATATTCCATTGTCTGTATATACCAAATTTGTTTATCTATTCATCCATCAGTGGACATTGGCTTCCACCTTTTGGCTATTGTGGATAATACTGCTATGAATATTGGTATACAAATATCTGTTCGAATCTCTGCTTCCCATTCTTTTGGGTATATACCAGAAGTGGAATTACTGGATTACATGGTAGTTCAATGTTTAATTTTTAAAAATTATATATATTTTTTCTAGAGATGGGGTCTTACTATGTTTCCTAGGATAGTCTTATACTCCTGGCCTCAAGCAATTCTCCCGTCTCAATCTCCCAAAGTGCTGGGATTACAGGCATGAGCCACCGCCTGTAGCCCAATGTTAATTTTCTGAGGAACAGCCATACTGTTTTCACAGAGGGCTACACCATTTTACCATCACACCAGCAATGTACAAGGGTTCCAGTTACTCCGTGTCCTCACCGATACTTCTTTTCTAATTTTGCTTTTGTCTTTGATAATAGCCATCCTAATGTATGTCAAGTGGTATCTCACTGTGGTTTTGATTTGCAGTTCTGTAATGAGGTTGAGTATCTTTTCATGTGCTCAGTGGCCATTTGTATAGCTTCTTTGGAGAAAGGGCCATTCGAGTCCTTTGCCCATTTAATTGGACTATTCATTTGTTTTTTGAGTTGAGTTGTGGGAGCCCTTTCACTCCATCTTAATTACCATAGTTTTCTGTGTCTTAATATCTGGTAGAGGACAAGCCCCCAACCCCAACACACACCTGTCTGTTGCTCTTGTTTAAAAGCGATTTGTTATTTTTTGGCCCTTGACCCTTCCCTGTAAGTTTTGGAATCAGCGTGTTCAGTTCCTTTTTAAAAACCTGTTAGGATTTTGATTGGAATTGCCTAGAATATACAATTTAGGGAGAACAGATATATTTACAACATTGCGTCTTTCTGTCGTGAACATGCTGTCTCTCCATTTATTAGTTCTTCTTTAATGTCTTTAAGTAAAGTTTTACCATATTTTCCATAAACGATTTCACATATTTTGTTAGATTTATTCCTGGGTAATTGATATTTATTCATGCTATTATAGATGGTATCATTCAAAATTACATTTCTTTTTTTTTTTTTCTGGGATAGAGTCTCCATCTGTCACCCAGGCTGGAGTGCAGTGGCACCCTCTCAGCTCACTGCAACCTTGGCTTCCCAGGTTCAAGCGATTCTCTTGCCTCAGCCTCCCGAGTAGCTGGGACTACAGGCCTGTGCCATCACGTTCGGCTAATTTTTGTATTTTTAGTAGAGACAGGGTTTCGCCATGTTGCCCAGGCTGCTCTCAAGCTCCTGACCTCAGATGATCCACCTGCCTTGGCCACCCAAAGTGCTGGGATTACAGGCATGAGCCACCGTGCCCGGCCTCACAATTACATTTCTAACTGTTACTGGTGTATAGAAGTGCAGTTGACTTTTACATATTGATTTTATATACAGAAACCTTCCTGAACTCACTTACTAATTTTAATAATTTATTTGTAGATAATGTTGGGTTTTCCACGCAATCATAATATCTGCACGTTTTTTCTTCCTTCCCAAGCCTTTACACATTTTTTTCTTTTTCTTTTTGTGACAGGATCTCACTCTGTAGCCCAGGCTGGAGTGCATTGGTGTGATCTCTGCTCATTGCAACCTCCCCCTCCCAGGCTCAAGCAATCCTCCCACTAGCCTCCCGAAGTAGCTGGGACTACAGCCGCACACCACCATGCCCAGCTAATTTTTTAATTTTTTGTAGAGACAGGGTTTCTCTATATTTTCTAGGCTGGTCTTGAGAACTCCTGAGATCAAGCAATCCTCCTGCCTCATCCTCCCAAAGTGCTGGGATTACAGGCATGAGTCACTGTGCCCTGCTGCCTTACACATTTTTATTTGCTTTCTTATTCTTGTTCTACTACACAGGCTGGTATAATATGATGGTATTGGGAGTTCTTAGGCCTTGCTCCTGATCTTCACGGGGATGCTTTCAACATTCACCATTAAGTATGGTATAGGCAGGCCAGGCACGGTGGCTCACGCCTATAATCCCAGAACTTTGGGAGGCCAAAGCGGGCGGATCACCTGAGGTCTGGAGTTTGAGGCCAGCCTGGCCAATATGGTGAAACCCCGTCTCTACTAAAAATACAAAAATTAGCCAGGCATGGTGGCGCATGCCTATAATCCCAGCTACTCGGGAGGCTGAGGCAGGAGAATCACTTGAACCTGGGAGGCAGAGGTTGCAGCGAGCCGAGATCGAGCCACTGCACTCTAGCCTGGGCAACAAGAGTGAAACTCTGCCTCATTAAAAAAAAAAAAAAAAAAAAACAAGTATGGTATAGGCTTTTGCTGTTTTTGTTTTTAACCTTGCTAGATGTTCTTTATCAACTTCTAGTTCAAATTAGTTGAGTTTTTATTATTGACAGACATTAAATGCTACTAATTTTTTTTCTGCATTTATTGAGATAGTATCTTTTTGCCTTTAACATGGTAATATGATGAATTACATGAATCACTTTTGTAATAGTAAACCAATCTTGGATTCTTGGGGTAATTCCAACTTGGCTAGGATACATTAGCTTTTTTTTTTTTTTTTTTTTTTTTTTGAGATAGAGTCTGGCTCTGTCGCCCAGGCTGGAGTGCAGTGCTGCAATCTCGGCTCACTGCAGGCTCCGCCTCCCAGGTTCACGCCATTCTCCTGCCTCAGCCTCCCGAGTAGCTGGGACTACAGGGGCCCGCCACTATGCCCGGCTAATTTTTGTATTTTTAGTAGAGACGGGGTTTCATCATGTTAGCCAGGTTGGTCTCGATTTCCTGACCTCGTGATCCACCTGCCTCGGCCTCCCAAAGTGCTGGGATTACAGGCTTGAGCCACCGAGCCCGGCCACATTAGCATTTTTTATACTACAGGGGTAAAAGAAAAGGTGTGATACCTTTCCTTCCCATCAAAGCCAATACTCCTAAAACAAAAGACAAGTTAACAAGAGAAAAGCATAACAGATTTTCTTAATGAAAGTTTTATGTGACACGAGAGCCTTTAGAAATTCAGACCCAGGCCAGGCGCTATGGCTCACACCTGTAACCCCAGCACTTTGGGAGGCCAAGGCAGGCAGATCACTTGAGGTCAGGAGTTCAAGACCAGCCTGGCCAACATGGTGAAAACCCCTTGTCTACTAAAAATACAAAAATTAACCAGGCATGGTGGTAGGAGCCTGTAATCCCAGCCACTCGGGAGTCTGAGGCAGGAGAATTGCTTGAATCTGGGAGGAAGCGGTTGCAGTGAGCTGAGACATACCACTGCCCTATAGCCTGGGTGACAGAGCAAGACTCTGTCTCAAAAAAAAAGGCACGGTGGCTCGCGCCTGTAATCCCAGCACTTTGGGAGGCTGAGGCAGGTGGATTACCTGAAGTCAGGAGTTTGAGACCAGCCTGGCCAACATGGAGAAACTCCATCTCTAACTAAAAATACAAAATTAGTCAGGCGTGGTGGTACATGCCTGTAATCCCAGCTACTGGGGAGGCTGAGGCAGGAGAATTGCTTGAACCCGGGAGGTGGAGGTTGCGGTGAGCCGATATTGTGCCATTACACTCTAGCCTGGGCAACAAAAGCGAAACTTTGTCTCAAAAAAAAAAAATGCAGACCCCCAAGCCTCAGGGAAAACTCTATTTTTATGCTTAGGTTCGCTGAAAAATGGCCAGCTGTGTAGAAATATGGTTGGACAGAAGAGAGTGATCTAATGCTCATAGAGTGATGGGAGGCAAAGGCCCAGCAGAACGTGTCTGTTCAGGTTTTTTTTTTTTTTTCCCGTAGAGACATGGTCTCCCTATGTTGTCCAGGCTGGTCTCCAACTCCTGGCCTCAAGGGGTCCTCCCACCCCAGGTTCCCAAATTGCTAGGATTACAGGCATGAGCTACCATGCCCAGCCCTGTTCAGATTCTTCTTGGTCTCTCTGTGTCTCGTTCTTTTACCTGGAGTGTAGAATGTGACCTCTTTTGGAATAAGGGTCTTATGGCCTACTATCAGAAAAGGTAGAGAATTTCTTTTCTTTTTTTTTTTTGAGACGGAGTCTTTCTCTGTTGCCAGGCTGGAATGCAGAGGTGTGATCTCTGCTCACTGCAACCTCCACCTTCCAGGTTCAAGCGATTACCCTGCCTCAGCCTCCTGAGTGGCTGGGACTACAGGCGTGCGCCACCACGCCTGGCTAATTTTTTTTTTTTTTTTTGTATTTTAGTACAGACGGGGTTTCACCATGTTGGCCAGGATGGTCTTGATCTCCTGACCTCATGATCCGCCCGCCTTAGCCTCCCAAAGTGCTGGGATCATAGGCGTGAGACACCGTACTTGGCCTGAGAATTTCTCTATGGCTAGCTCTTACACAGAAAGGCAAGGGAAGGTTAGAGTAATATTTCTAGGTTTTATGGCTGGCTTTGAGAGAGAGGGTTTCTAGTTTCTATCACCTGCCTTAGGGAAGAGGAATTCTAGTTTCTATGGCCTGCCTTGGGAGAGAGGGGAGCAGGAGAGATGGAGACAGGAAAAGGTCAGTAACATCTTGCTTCTGAGCCCCCCAATGTCCTTCAGTTCAAACTACTCAGCATGACAAAGCACCAAACTTTGGGATATCATTTTCTGAGCCCCAAAAAGACACTGCGTGATTCAGTTTGCTAATACTCTGTTTAGAGTTTTTATATCTATACTCATTAGTTACATTGACCTGACACTTTCCTCTTTGGTCCTGCCTTTGTCTTCTGGTCCTGAGGGTTTTTGTTGATCCAGATAAATGTTCTGGGCACTAAGGTAGTGTCCCCTGCCTATCTAGACCATGGGGTATCAGACCATTCTCACACTGCTATAAAGAAATACGCAGCTGGGCGCGGTGGCTCACACCTGTAATCCCAGCACTTTGGGAGGTGAAGGTGGGTGGATCACCTGAGGTCGGGAGTTCGAAACCAGCCTGACCAACATGGAGAAACCCCATCTCTACTAAAACTACAAAATTAGCCGGGTGTGGTGGCTCATGCCTGTAATCCCAGCTACTCAGGAAGCTGAAGCAGGAGAATCGCTTGAACCCAGGAGGCGGAGGTTGCGGTGGGCCAAGATTGCGCCATTGCACTCCAGCCTGGGCAACAAGAGTGAAATTTTGTCTAGAAAAAAGAAAAAGAAAAAAAGAAATATTCGAGACTGGGTAACTTATAAAGGAAAGAGGTCTAATCCCCAGTTCCACATGGCTGGGGAGGCCTCAGGAAACTTAAATTCATTGCAGAAGGCAAAGGAGATTTAAGCACCTCCACAAGGTGGCAGGAGAGAGTGAGCAAGAGGGAGGGGGGAAATGTCACAATTTTAAGCCATCAAATCTCGTGAGAATTCACTCACTGTCATGAGAACAGGGAAACTACCCCCATGGCCCAGTCATCTCACACATGGTCCCTTCCTCATCATGAGGATGATGATGATTACAATTTGAGATGAGATTTGGATGGGGACACAGAGCCAGACCATATCAGATGGGGCATGAATCTAAGTTATATTGGCCTTCGAGACCATGAGCTCAATCAAAAGTCAGCTCCTGAGCAGGAGCTCAACAAACTTTTAGGTAAAGAACCAGATATTTTAAATATTTTAGGCTTCCACGACACATGCATCTCTGTTTCTATTAGTCATTGTTCTCCAGAGAAACAGAACCAATAGGAGATACAGATATAGACAAACAGATTTAGTATAAAGAATTGGCTCACAGGATTATGGAGGCTGAAAAGTTCCACTATCTGCCATCTGCAAGCTGGAGATAAGGACTAAATTCCAGTCTGAGTCCAAAGGCCTGAGGACCAGGAGCACTGATGGGGCAAATCCCAGTACAGGGACAGGAAAAGGCCCAGCTCAGTCAGCCAGGCAGAGAGCAAATGCTCCCTTCCTCCTCCTCCTTGTTCTCTTCGAGTCCTCCGTAGACTGCATGATGACCACTGCCATTGGTAAGGATGGGATCCTCCTTACTCAGTCTACTGATTCAAATGCTAATTTCACCCCAAAACACCCTCACAGATGTACCCAGAAATAACCAGACCGGGCGTGTTGGCTCATACCTGTAATCCCAGCACTTTGGGAAGCCAAGGCAGGTGGATCACTTGAGGTCAGGAGTTTGAAACCTGCCTGGCCAACATGGTGAAACCCCGTCTCTACTAAAAATACAAAAATGAGCTGGATGTGGTGGCTTGTGCCTATAATCCCAGCTACTTGGGAGGCTGAGGCAGTAGAATAGCTTGAACTCGGGAGGCAGAGGTTGCAGTGCGCCGAGATCGTGCCACTGCACTCCAGCCTGGGCAACAGAGTTGAGGCTTTGTCTCAAAAAAAATGAAGTTTAACCAAATGTCTGTGCACCCTGTGATACAATCAA
The DNA here is from genome assembly GCF_000001405.40 of Homo sapiens. Taxonomy (NCBI): domain Eukaryota; kingdom Metazoa; phylum Chordata; class Mammalia; order Primates; family Hominidae; genus Homo; species Homo sapiens. Next base: position 91,139,736 of record NC_000014.9, read on the forward strand.
GGTGACACATAAAATTGACCATCACACTGTAAACCAAAAAGTACCTGAGACAGTTCTCAATCAATTTAGAAGTTTATTTTGCCAAGGTTAAGGACAAGCCCAGGAGATGGGTCTGTGCCTTTCTCCAAAGATGATTTTGAGGACTTCAGGATTTAAAAGGGGAGAAAGCAGGATGGAGGGGGAAGAGGGAGGCTGTGGTCACATGACTGAATCCCCATGTTGCAAGAGAAAGGGAGCAGGTAGGGGAATAGTAAGTCAGCACTCTCTGTAAGATAAGGTGAACATAGAGTAACTACCTGCAGAGATCTTTAACCTTTTATGTGTAGCTATCTGCTTAGGAACAAAAGGAAAGACAGATTCTTGCATGACTCAGCTTTCAGCTTCATTTTCTTCCTTCTGGCAGAGTGAACCAGGGTTCAAGTTTTTGTTTTTCCTTCACAATACTGTTGTTTCTCCTCTTCCCTTTCCTCCTCCTCCTTCTTCTCCTTCTTCACAACTCCTAAAAATGTAAAACCTATTCTTAGCTCACAAACCTTACAAAAAAGTTTGCCAGTTTGATTTAAACTGTCTCCCAAAATCTATGTCTCAATGACATGTTGTTGTTTCCTACAATATAGTGATGCTTGAGTGATTATCTAAAGAAAATAATTTATGGGTCGGGTGCGGTGGCTCAAGCCTGTAACCCCAGCACTTTGGGAGGCTGAGGCTGGCGGATCACCTGAAGTCAGGAGTTCAAGAGCAGCCTGGCCAACATGGTGAAACCCCATCTCTACTAAAATACAAACATTAGCCAGGCATGATGGCACATGCCTGTAATCCCAGCTACTGGAGAGGCTGAGGTGGGAGAATCTCTTGAACCTGGGAGGCGGAGGTTGGAGTGAGCCTAGATCACGCCATTGCACTCCAGCATGGATGACAGAGTGAGACCCCTTTCCAAAACAAACAAACAAGAAAATAATTTATGAAAGTCAAGAGCCTGATAAACAGTCACCACCCATTCGTAATCTGTGCTGCCACACCTCTAGCCAGCAGATCTGCCATCTTTTGAAATGAGTATCAACCTGGACATTCCCAAGTAAAGTGCCCACAACACCTAGGGGTTGTGATTCAAACAGCAATGGTTAGACTCAGGCTCTCTCTTGCTGCCCTCTCCTGGCTGGTCTATTGTTGAGGATCAGATGTGAATCCTGTAGGATTTCATGAGACTCAGGAAACCTTCAGGTCTGATTGCTGACCTGTAGACTTGTCAAAATTTCTACCAGTGGATAGTTCTTAAGGCTGGTCATGATGGCCGAGTTTGTCTGTTATTTCTTGTAGGGTGCTCCGACTTTCTTGAGTGTAAGTGTTATAGAAAAAGAATAGTTATCAGGCTGGGCACAGTGGCTCACACCTATAATCCCAGCACTTTGGGAGGCTGAGGCACGTGGATCACTTGAGGCCAGGAGTTCAAGACCAGCCTGGCCAACATGGTGAATCCCTGTCTCTACTAAAAATACAAAAATTAGCTGGGTGTGGTAGTTCCAGCTACTCAGGAGGCTAAGGCAGGAGAATCGGTTGAACCTGGGAGGCAGAGGTTGCAGTGAGCTGAGATTGCACCACTTCACTCCAGCCTGGGTGACAAAGCGAGACGCCATCTAAAAAAAAAAAAAGAAAAGGAAAAAAAGGAGTTATCGTATATTGAACATTTACTATGTGCCAAACACTGCTAAACAAATATTATTCCATTTCATCCTTAGAACGATCACATGAGATCCATATCCCTTGACTGTTCAGCATTACCTTCACACAGGTGATACAATGGATACTCAGAGAGGTTAATTTTTTTTTTTTTTTTTGAAGCGGAGTCTCACTCTGTCGCCAGGCTGGAGTGCAATGGCGCAATTTTGGCTCACTGCAACCTCCGCCTCCTGGGTTCAAGTGATTATCCTGCCTCAGCCTCACCAGTAGCTGGGATTACAGGCATGCACCACTGCACCCAGCTAACTTTGTAATTTTAGTAGAGATGGGCTTTCACCACGTTGGTCAGGCTGGTCTTGAACTCCCGACCTCAGGTGATTCGCCCGCCTCAGCCTCCCAAAGTACGGGGATTACAGGCGTGAGTCACTGCGCCCGGCCTTTTTTTTTTTTTCAGACAGAGTCTTGCTCTGTCGCCTAGGCTGGAGTGCAGTGGCGTGATCTCGGCCCACTGCAACCTCTGCCTCCCAGGTTCAAGCGATTCTCCTGCCTCAGCCTCTTCAGTAGCTGGGACTAGAGGTACGTAGCATCACGTCTGGCTAATTTTTGTATTCTTAGTAGAGACGAGGTTTCATCATGTTGACCAGGCAGGTCTTGAACTCCTGACCTCAGGTGATCCATCTGCCTCTGCCTCCCAAAGTGCTGGGATTACAGGCGTGAGCCATCGTGCCCGGCCAGAGAGGTTAATTAACCTGCTCAAGGATCACAGGTGGTAGAGCTGGAGCTTGGCATTCAGTCTATATTTATCTGACTCTAGAACTTGTGGTCTGAATTGCTACCCAAGGTTTACAATCATTTATGCAGAGTCTAATTCAGTAGGAATAGTGTGGTGCCAGAAATTTGCATTTTTGACAAGCACTCCAGGGTCCTGGAGAGCTACACTTTGAGAACACTTCCTGTCACAAATAGAAACTGCACGGCTTCCATTAGAAAGATGAAACTCTTTAGTAACAGAAGACTTATTCTGGGGTGGACCAAATGCTGGGCTTTCCCTCCTTCTTTGAGTAGAAGAGGAAGTTAGAAGAGGGTAATAAGATGCAAAGATTTCTTATCTCTTCCTGTCCCTCAGGCCTCCCTGCCCCCACCTAAGCCCCAGAAAAGTGCACCTCAAATGAATTTGCCTGAAGAGGTATAACATTGCCCTTTGCTGACAAACCCCTGAGCAAACATGTACTGGTTATTTGGTAACACTCAAAAGTCTAATCGTAGCTGGCCACGGTGGCTTATGCCTGTAATCCCAGCACTTTGGGTTGGGAGGCTGAGGTGGGCAGATCACCTGAAGTCAGGAGTTCGAGACCAGTCTGGGCAACATGGTGACACCCCATCTCTACTAAACACACACACACACACACAACACACCATCTCTACTAAACACACACACACACACACACACACACACACACACACACACACTAGCCGGCGTGGTGGTGCATGCCTGTAGTCCCAACTACTCAGGAGGCTGATGCAGGAGAATCACTTGAAATGGAAAGGCGGAAGTTGCAGTGAGCCGAGATCGTGCTACTGCACTCCAGCCTGGGTGACACAGCGAGACTCCCTCTCAAAAAAAAAAAAAAAAAAAAGGATCTAATGGCAGTTTTGGCAGTTCTTTTTTTGTTTTGTTTTGTTTTTGTTTTTGTTTTTTTTGAGACGGAGTCTTGCTCTGTCGCCCAGGCTGGAGTGCAGTGGCGCAATCTCGGCTCACTGCAAGCTCTGCCTCCCGGGTTCATGCCATTCTCCTGCCTCAGCCTCCCAAGTAGCTGGGACTACAGGCGCCCTCCACCACGCCCGGCTAATTTTTTGTATTTTTAGTAGAGACGGGGTTTCAATGTGTTAGCCAGGATGGTCTTCATCTCCTGACCTCGTGATCTGCCCGCCTCTGCCTCCCAAAGTGCTGGGATTACAGGCATGAGCCACCGCGCCTGGCAGCAGTTCTGAGGAACAGTTTGCTCAGGCTGTCAGATCTGGAAGTGTTCGTGGCTTGCTGAGCAGAGACAAGAGGACAAAGCCTTAGGTGTAATCTAAATACAACGGATTTGCAATGAAACAAGTGGCCTGGTCTCCAACCGTTTCTCCACACGCTCTGCCTTTCTGACAGCAAATCTATGTTTGGCAAGGAATGGGATGGAGACTTCTTCCCACCTGGTGGCCAATGTTTTCTTGAACCTCTATATCACCCTTCAGCTCCTGGGTGGGGTTGATGGTCATCCACAGAGAATGGGGGGACAATATACCTGTGAGGGCCCAGCCACTGGTCAGTGTTCAGCAGAGGAGAAATACAGTAGAGAAAGAGCAAGACTATGCCAGACATTGTGCTGGGTATTTGACTAACATGATTTAATCTTCCAATAACCCAGAGAAGTGTAGGGATTCCATCTTCATTTGCCACATGAAAAAACGGAGACACAAATATGCAAAGTAACTTGCCCAAGATCATCCACGTAATAAGTAGAGTCAATTATTAAACCTAAAGGCCTTGTCCTTTCCATCCAGCTCTGTGCCACCGCGAAGGGCCACCGCTCTCTGCATTAGTTCCTCTGTGTAAGATCTCCTCTTCCAATCCAAACAGGCTCCACTCACAAGCCTTGGAAAAACGCCACCAGCCCTTGGGTCCAAGAATAACATAAATGCAATGAGCCATTTTCTGAAAATGAGATGACATATGTCAAGCATTCAGCCCAGAGCCTGGTACTTTTCAGACTGCTCAGCCGGGGTGGGAGGGTCCCTGGGACAGGGTGTTTCTGGTTTCAGGAGATTCTACTGGCCGTTTGGTAACAAACATTTATCAGGTAACTATATAAATGGTCAAAACAGGAAGAGCAGGGCTGGGCACAGTGGCTCCCAGGACTTTGGGAGGCTGAGGCAGGTGGATCACCTTAGGTCAGGAGTTTGAGACCGGCCTGACCAATATGGTGAAACCTTGTCTCTACTAAAGATACAGAAATTAGCTGGGCATGGTGGAGGGTGCCTGTAGTCCCAGCTACTAAGGAGGCTGAGACAAGAGAATTGCTTGAACCTGGGAGGCAGAGGTTGCAGTGAGCTGAGATGACACTACTGCACTCCAGCCTTAGCAACAGAGCAAGACTGCGTATCACAAAAAAAGGAGTCATGGGAGTCATCCTGATTGGACCAGCTTAGATCTCAGGAATCCATCCCTGCCTGCCAGGGGGATGGAATGAGCTGACTGGCTTAGCTTAAGTGGCATGCTCTGTCCTTGGAAGCACATGGACCCTCAAATGAAAATTGGGAGCTCTCGTGGGAAGTGGGGTTTGTCAGGGAGACAGCCACAAAGATCACAACAGGAAAGTTGCTTTTGTGAAATAAAAAGGCAGGAAGGCACAAGCAGTATATGATTGTAGCCCACAGATTTGTTTGGCTAGAGCAGAGCATTCTTTGTTCTTGAAAGTGAGTTGTGAGAAATGGAGCATTTGGGAGGGAGTTGGGGGTGCTGGAAGGGGCCTTGTGGGGAGCCTGCGGGGCCTCAGGCTTTGTGTGAGTCTGGGAGTTTTAGTGCAGCATTTACCGGATTACTAGCAAATTCAGGAAATGAGCCTGTTTCCTCCTATTATAGAGCCTAATCCTTTATTCATTAAATGGAGTATTTACTCAGCCTTAAAATGTTCAGCGTGGGGGGTTAGAAAAGAAGGGAGCCCACAGCTGCTGAGAGCCCACTGTGTGCTGACACTAGGCTGGAGGCTTCTCCTACGTTTTCTCTTTTAATGCTCCCAACCTCCCTCTCTGCCCCATTTCACAGATGGAGAAGGAAAGGCAAGTGACTTGTCCAGAGCCACTCTGTCAAAAGGGGACTTGAGTCCTCAGGGCTGTTGACTCCAAAGCTGACAAGCAGGTAACCACATTGGGGTTTTCTCCAGGACATGAGAATTCCTTTGTCCTGTGTATCACATCGAGCACCTGGGCTGATGACCCTTCTGCATGGTGTACCCACCTCACAGCCTGAGCTTATCCTCAGCTACATCCACTATGCCCAGAGACACTGATGAATGCATCTGGGAGTCTGGAGGGAGGGGTCCACTTGTGAGTTGAGGCCCCATTTGTACCCGCTCCACCAGGACTGAGGACAGGAAGTCACGCCTAGGAGAACCAAGACGGGGTTGACACCAATGGTACCCACAGAGCATCCTTGTCCCAACTGTCACCACCATCCCCCTCCTCCTCCTCACACCTGCATCTCCAGCAGTTATTGAGCGCTTGCAACATACCCGGTGCTCTCTCAGCACTTTACATACATCATCTCCTGGAACTATCCCAAAGCTTTTTTGAAGCAGGTGCCATTATCCTCCCCATTTTGTAGATGGGAAAGCTAAGAAATGACCATGGAGGCCGAGGTCACAGCAAGGGGCTTGTCCCTGTAAGGTCTATACACTCATCCCCATTTCCTTTTCCCTCTTTAATTTTCTTTTTTATTTTTGGAGACAGGCTCTCACCCTGTTGCCCAGGCTGGAGTGCGGTGACGTGATCATGGCTCACAGCAGCCTTGACCTCTGAGGCTGAAGCAATCCTCCCGCATCAGTCTCCCGAGTAGCTGGGACCACAGCTACCATGCCTAGCTAATTTTTGTATATTTTTGTAGAGACAGGGTCTCACCATGTTGCTCAGGCTTGTCTCAAACTCCTGAGCTCAAGCCATCCACCCTCCTCAGCCTCCCAAAGTGCTGGAATTAAGGCGTGTACCACCATGCCTGGCCCATGCCCCATTTTAAAAATGAGTAAATTTAACCTTCGAGAGGTTGCCCACTAATCTCACATGGCTGGCAAGTGGCTGAGTTGGGATCTGAACTCAAGTTCTGTCTGACTACCATGGATGGGCTGAGCACTGCTGTGAAGGATAATTGTTGAGTTAAAGAAAACCTTTGGAGAAGTGATTTGGCCTTGTGGATCTTTCCCTGAGCACAATTTCCAGCATGTTCCTGAGAAAGCTTAGGATCCTCTTTGTTGGAATAAGCGCAGGTCCTTCCTCGGGGCATCTATGCCCACTAACGTCACAGTCATCCTCCACTCCCACTTTTTCCCCTTTCCCGAAAACATCTCATATGGGGCTCCGAGCAAGCCCTGGGAGGAGCTGCTTCCTGGGTGACTGTGTCCCCCGGAGGAATGTACACCTGCAGCAAGACGAGTGGGACATTTTTGAAGCCTCAGGCCACACACATTGTCCCCAAGACAAGGCTGATGCGGCTAGTAAGCCTCTTGTTTTTGAAGGTCACAAACAACAAAAACATGGAAACTCAGAATGGAAGGGGGCCCATGAGAGCAATCTTGAGGCATAACAACAGCTGCAGAAGGTGACTGCAGGGAAGCGGACTGTGCTCCTATTCTTTATGTTCTGTTTTTAGCTGTGTTTTTCAGAGCAAGTAGGTACCATGGTGATAGGTACCATAGAAATAGATGGAGCGCACCACCCAGCACGGGGCTGCCAAGCTGTTCCCCTGGAAATGCACCGAGAGCTGCCAGGGAGAGCCCAGGGACTCTGCTTCCTGGGGCCTGTCAGCTGCACGGCCAGGGAAGAAGTCCCCTGTAGAATGGTCCCCAGAGGCTTCTCACTGTCTTGCTGTCATTGTCCAAGGTCCCTGATGGTGCATCCTCCTCCTGGAGCACCTGTGGCCTTCCTCTCTGAGTCCTCAGGAAACTCACTTAAGGGGGTTTGCCTTTGCCTAGTGAAGCAATTATCTTGGCCAACAGTGACCTCAAAAGTAGCACTGCCAGCATTCCTGTCTCCATAGTTAGGAGTGCGTGGTCCTCATCCTGCCTGGATGTGGCACTGTCACTGGTTTTATGCAATGTCATAAAGAATTTGTGGGGCAGGAGCTGAGTTCTGAACATTTGGTAATCAGGAATACTCATAAAATGAAATTTCAGAGGATCTAACCCAGAAAGCCGAGCAAGGTAGGGCATAACCACGTCTGATATGGTGGTTTTCAGTTTGTGAAGCCACAGGCAGTACAGAATAGGGCCCAGCCTCAACTATTTTTGGATGCAGCTTGAATGGACTGAAAGACCCTTTGAAACAAGTGCTGGAACCATCCCGTAGCACTTACATAACCATCTCTGCAAGGCTGTTGATAGATGAATGTAAATGAACCTAGGCAGAGCTTAGCTCATTTTTATTTAGATTTAGACCAATTTCATGTCTTCTGAAACGTAACCCATATATACACACACTAAATCTAACTCTTTTATTTTAGGCCTAGCATGAGAGGATCAAGTTGAAAGGGCATCTGTTATTATATCTGTCCCATCATATCTGCTTCTGTGATGGCTTTATTATGTACATTTCTTTCTATACATTTGTGCTCTCAGGTGGCATTCTTCTTCAGAGCAGGGCAAGTGTAATTCTGGACCAATGTGTGATTCTGAGACCAGACCAACCAACTGAAGGTAATTTTATTCTCAATTAAAGAAACACAGACGGGGCGCAGTGGCGCACGTGAGCCTGTAGTCCCAGCACTTTGGGAGGCTGAGGCAGGTGGATCACTTAAGGTCAGGAGTTCAAGACCAGCCTGGCCAACATAGTGAAACCCCATTTCTACTAAAAATACAAAAATTAGCCAGGTGCAGTGGCACGCACCTGTAATCCCAGCTACTTGGGAGGGTGAGGCAGGAGAATCGCTTGAACTAAGTAGGTGGAGGTTACAGTGAGCCAAGATTGCACCGCTGCACTCCAGCCTGGATGGCAGAGTAAATCTCTGTCTCAAAAAAGAAAGATACACACATCTCTAACAAAGGATTTTTTTTTTTTCTTGAGACAGGATCTCTCTCCATCACCCAGGCTGGAGTGCAGTGGCTCCATCTCGGCTCACTGCAACCTCCACCCCCAAGGCTCAAGCGATATTCCTACCTCAGCCTCCCAAGTAGCTGGGACCACAGGTGTGTACCACCATGCCTGGCTATTTTTTTGTATTTTTAGTAAAGACAGGGTCTCACCATTTTGCTCAGGCTGGTCTCGAACTCCTGAGCTCAAGCGATCCACCCACCTTGGCCTCTCAAAGTGCTGGGATTATAGGCATGAGCCACTGTGCCTGGCTAGGAATTTATTTTAACAACCAAAAACTTAAAACTCAATAACATCATTAACTCATAAATTATTGTTTAGTTACAGATTACGAAAATGATAGAACCAGAAGGTGCTAACAAAATGTCTGTCCTGCATGTGTGGCATTTGACATGAAGAAACTGAGGCCCTTGCTGGGCGCAGTGGCTCATGCCTGTAACCCCAGCACTTTGGGAGGCCAAGGCAGGAGGATCACTTGAGCTCAAGAGTTCAAGACCAGCCTTGGACAAGATAGTGAAACCTTGTCTCTACCAAAAAAATACAGAAGTTAGCCAGGCATGGTGCAGTGTACCTGTAGTAGCAGCTACTGAGGAAGCTGAGGTAGGAGGATCGCTTGATCCCAGGAGGTCAAGGCTGCAGTAAGCCGTGATTGTGCCACTGCACCCCAGCCTGGGCGACAGAGTGAGACCCTGTCTCAAAAAAAGAAAAGTAAAGGCTACGCGCGGTGGCTCATACCTGTAATTTCAGCACTTTGGGAGGCCGAGGCGGGTGGATCACCTGAGGTGGGGAGTTTGAGATCAGCCTGACCAACATGGAGAAACCCCGTCTCTACTAAAAATACAAAATTAGCCAGGCGTGGTGGCGCATGCCTGTAATCCCAGCTACTCGGGAGGCTGAGGCAGGAGAATCACTTGAACCCGTGCGGCGGAGGTTGCTGTGAGCCGAGATGGTGCCATTGCACCCCAGCCTGGGCAACAAGAGCGAAACTCTATCTCAAAAAAAAAAAAAAGAAAAGAAAAGAAAAGAAAGAAACTGAGGCCCAAAGAGTTTGCATACTTTGCTATTAGTTCAGCCTGTCTTCTGTGTATGCAGGTGGTGTCTCTAGGTCGTTATCACTCTGGCAAATTCTCTCCCAGTGATGGAGATGTGTGGAGCCCCCAGTCTCTCCAACCAGGGAGTGGTGCTCATGGTGACCCTGAAGTAGGCTTGTGGGTCAGGCCGTTGGTTGAGCTGTGCAGTGCCAGAAGTAGCTAAACATCCTTAAAGGAACTGCCTAGTTTATCATTAGGACTAACCATGGAACCGATGACTCAGCGTTTACTGTTGGCAGTATCATACACTCAACCTGCATGTAGATTTCGTGCATCATATTTTGTGGTTACAGGAATTTGGCCTGATGGACCCGTTGCAGAAACTCTGTACTAAATAAGCAAACACGTGTGCTCTAGTTTTACAGGCCAAGCAAACTGTGAAACAGAAGGGTTGGCCTTTCTTGCCCTTAGCAGTCATACCTTGGACTTTTGCCACTTGGTTGGGTTGCTTTATTTGGCTAAGTAACTAAAAGCAGATTTACTTTGAAGAATGAGGTTCTCAAATATTCTAGAACTCTCTAAGAATGGACATTCACAGTCATGCTGGGCAGACAGAGTTATTCCCAAATTTTCAGAGTCATAAAGCTTATGTTTGGGCTGGGTGCGGTGGCTCACACCTGTAATCCCAGCACTTTGGGTGGCCGAGGCGGGCGTATCACAAGGTCAGGAGTTTGAGACCAGCCTGGCCAATATGGTGAAACCCTGCCTCTACTAAAAATACAAAAATTAGCCAGGCATGGTGGTAGGCACCGGTAGTCCCAGCTACTCAGGAGGCTGTGGCAGGAGAATTGCTTGAACCCAGTAGGTGGAAGTTGCAGTGAGTGGAGATTGCGCCGCTGCACTCCAGCCTGGGTGACAGAGTGAGACTCCATCTCAAAAAAAAAAAAAAAAAAAAAAAATCCAGTTTGGCCTGTGTGAAGCACCCACACAAAACCTTCCTTTCCCAATATTAGCGCCTTCCTGTGGAGCTGGAACAGGGGCCCCGGGGCTAGAATATTTGATATTCAAGACACACACTGAGTCTGGTGTGGTGCTTTTCAGCAACACATTGAAAAATTGTTGCTTTTCACACCAACAATTTGAAACTAAACATTTAATGTGAATGTTTCTTTTTTTTTGAGAGAATGTCTCACTGTCCCCCAGGCTGGAGTGCAGTGGTGCAATCGTGGCTCACAGCAGTCTTGACCTCCTGGGCTCAAGCAATCCTCCTGCCTCAGCCTCCTGAGTAGCTGGGATTACAGGTGCACGCCACCATGCCAGCTAATTTTTTTAGTTTTTGTTTTTTGTAGAGATGGGGGTCTCGCACTCCTGGACTCAAGGGATCCTACCGCCTCAGCGTCCCAAAGTGCTGAGATTCCAGGCATGAGCCACCACACCTGGCCTTAATCCGAATGTTTTTTAACAATCACAACTTGATTTTTAACATTTTAATTTAAAATTTTTATTATGGTTAAAAATATACAACATACAGTTTACCATTTTAATCATTTTTAAGTGTACAGTTCTGTGGCATTAAGTACATTCACATTGTTGTGCAACCATCACCACTCTCCATTTCCAGAACTCTCTTCATCTTCCCAAACTGAAACTCTCTGCCCATTACACGGTAACTCCCCATTCCCCACCCCATCTCCTGGACCCAGCCTGTGGTCACCACCATTCAGCTTTCCATGTCTGTCCATCTGTCTGTTGTGGGTGTCTTATAGAAATGGAATCATACAATATTTGTCACTTATGTCTGACTTATTTCAGTTTGCATAACGTGCTCAGGGTTCACCCATGTTGTAGCATGCATCAGAATTTCCTTCCTTTTTAAGGCTGAAGAATATTCTACTGTATGTATATACCACATTTTGTTTATCCATAATTTTTCTATAGTTTCTTATTTCTTTGTTGTTGTTGTTTTGTTTTTTTGAGACGGAGTCTCGCTCTGTCGCCCAGGCTGGTGTGCAGTGGCGTGATCTCGGCTCACTGCAAGCTCTGCCTCCGGGGTTCACGCCATTCTCCTAACTCAGCCTCCCAAGTAGCTGGGACTACAGGCGCCCACCACCACACCCGGCTAATTTTTTTTTATTATTTAGTAGAGACAGGGTTTCACCATGCTAGCCAGGATGGTCTCGTCTCGATCTCCTGACCTCATGATCCACCTGCCTTGGCCTCCCAAAGTGCTGGGAGTACAGGCGTGAGCCACCATGCCTGGCCTATTTTTTTTATTTTAAAATAATTGCAAAGTGACAAAACATTTCAAGAATGGTACTAAAGAAAATCTTTTTTATATCTCATTATTCATCTTTTTTATTTTTTCTTTTCTTTTCTTTTTTTTTTTTTTGAGATGCAGTCTTGCTCTGTCACCCAGGCTGGAGTGCAGTGGTGCGATCTTGGCTCACTGCAACCTCCGCCTCCTGAGTTCAAGAGATTCTCCTGTCTCAGCCTCCTGAGTAGCTGGAATTACAGGCGTGCGCCTCCACACCTGGCTAATTTTTGTATTTTTAGTAGAGACGGGGTTTTGCCATGTTGGCCAGACTGGTCTTGAACTCCTGGCCTCGGCCTCCCAAAGTGCTGGGATTACAGGCGTGAGCCACCCCACCCAGCCCTTCTTTTTTCTTTATAGACAGGGTCTCATGTCATAAGAGACCCTACCCGCCATTCCCCACCACGGAGTCCTACCTTACTCAGCTCCACCTTGTGGCTTTAGGACTGGATTGTTTAGAAAGGGGAGGAGAAGGGACCACCATTTGCTTTCATTGAAAATATTTGTTTTGGCCAGGTGTTGTGGCTCATGCCTGTAATCCCAACACTTTGGGAGTCCAAGGCAGGAGGATCGCTTGAGCCCAGGAGTTCAGAAAATACAGCCTGGGTAGCATAGTGAGACCCCCATCTTTACAAAAAAATAACAGAAATTAGCTGGGCACAGTGGTGCATGCCTGTGGTGGTCCCAAGCTACTCAGGAGGCTTAGGTGGGAGGATGGCTTGAGCCTGAGAGGTTGTGGCTGCAGTGAGCCATCATTGCACTACCTGCACTCCAGCCTGATGACAGAGCAAGACCCTGTCTCAAGAAAAAAAATAAAGAAAGAAAATACTTGTTTCATTAACAATTCTTTGCATGTGGGGAGCCCTTGTATTTAACCTATTAAATAAACAAATCTTAATTATGACTACCAGCATTTCCCCAATCTTGTCTCTGCTATTATAATACCATTTTTTAAATAAAATGATTATACAGTTAGGATGCCTTCTTCCTTGCAGCAACACTTATTTTGCAAATTTGCAGTTGTATTTAGGCTACCACCAGCAACTCTCTTGGCAAACATTGAGCAACTCCTACCACAAAAATTAATGAGTAGAGAGACAAGGTCTGCACACCTACTCATTTTGTTCTTCCATTATCAAGTTGTGGGACTCTGGGGAAGTGATCCAGGGGACATCTACAGAAACCAAAAATGGAGTTTTGTAACACTGTGAGTTGTTTATTCTTGTAAATAATAGGATCTTCTTGACTGGACTGGAAGCTTCAAGGAAGCTGTGTCTTCTGTTTTTCGTGTGCATCCTTCGTGGTTCTAAATATGATGCTACATGAATATAAGGTGTTTCCTGTCGTTGTGGGCTGGTGGAGCTGTGAGGGCTTCAGTGGGATAAACTGGAAGAAGGAGCCTGGGTTATGAAGTTCAGTGGATGCTTCTTGGGTTTTCTCTTCCTTGACCTCCCCGGACCGTAAATTCCTCCTTGAAATACTTGCTTCTGAATCACAAAGTTTCTCTCCTGCCTCCCTGGCCGCCTTTTCTCAGCTGCCTTTGTGTGAGCCACATGCTCTGCCCATCCCTCCTGACAGTGAGCTTTATTTACTTATTTATTTATTATAGACACAGTCTCGCTCTGTCGCCCAGGCTGGAGTGCAGTGGCGAAATCTCGGCTCACTGCAACCTCTGCCTCCCTGGTTCAAGCGAGTCTCGTGCCTCAGCCTCCCCAGTAACTGGGATTATAGACATGCGCCACCACACCTGGCTAATTTTTGTATTTTTAGTAGAGACAGGGTTTCACCATGTTGGCCAGGCTGATCTCAAACTCCTGTCCTCAAGTGATCCGCCCACCTCGGCCTCTCAAAGTGCTGGGATTGCAGGCGTGAGGCACCGCACCCGGCTGACAGTGAACATTTATTGGGCACCTCCCGTGTGCCAGGCACTGTTGATGCTGCACATCCAGCAGTGAGTACAACAGATGGAAAGGCTTGTCTTCTCTGAACTGAAAGGAAAAGAGGAAAACCCCCTCCCTTGGGTGTGAGCCTGCTTGCTTGTTTCTGCGTCACGGGAACAACCTCAGCTGTTCCCCATGGTGTGATGAGCACTGCCTGCTCATGCAGGCCTTGCCGGGCCCATGAAGGATGAAGGCAGCCTCTCCCCTGCAAGGTTCTTTCCTATGTGAACCCAAAAGTATCTAAGACAGAGCTCAATCAACTTAGAAAGTTTATTTTGCCAAAGTTAAGGATACAGCGTTAACATACAGCCTCAGGCGGTCCTGAGGACATGCACCCAAGGTGGTCGGGGTACAGGTTTTTATTATTTTTGTTTGTTTGTTTGTTTTTTGAGACAGGGTCTCACTCTGTCACCCAGGCTGGAGTGCAGTGGTGCGATCTCGACTCACTGCAGCCTCTGCCTCCCGGGTTCAAGCAGTTCTCCTGCCTCAGCCTCCCAAGTAGCTGGAATTACGGGTGTGCACCACTATGCCCAGCTAATTTTTGTATATTTAGTAAAGACAGGATTTTGCCATGTTGGCCAGGCTGGTCTTGAGCTCCTGACCTCAGGTGATCTGCCCAACTTGGCCTCCCAAAGTGCTGGGATTACAGGCGTGAACCACCATGCCTGGCCACAGCTTGGTTTTATACATTTTAGGGAGACCTGAGAAATCAATCTATGTGTGAGATTGATCAGCCTTTCACTGAATACACAATTTCCATGTGAGAGGAGGGTAGAGGAGTAGTCACTTATGCCTTAGTCTGGCTCAGTGAATCTACATTTTTACATAAACAATAGGGCAGAGGAAGCAATCAGATATGCATTTGTCTCAGGTGAGCCTCAGAGGGATGACTTTGGGTTCTGTCTATTCTTTGTCGGGCACCCATGAAAATAAGCTGTCAATTTACATTGCCAGGGTGAAATTCAATAGAACTGTTTTAGGGTAAAGATGTTGAAGCCCACAAGGAATTCATCTTTTAGCGATCTTATTTAGGAACAAAATGAGAGGCAGGCTTGCGCAGTTCCCAGCTTGACTTTTCCCTTTGGCTTAGTGATTTTGGGGTCTCAAGATTTATTTTCCTTTCACACCTGCGAGAGAGACTTTCTGATGCTCCTTCTCTGCCCTGCGCTCCCATCTCATCTGCCAACTTTGCGCTTTGGCTGCCCTGCTGTCCGTCCCCGACCTGCAGCCCTACTAGCTTCCTAAAAGGCAAGTTTCACAAATCACTCACTGCTCAGTACCTTCTGTGATTTCCTGAGGCTCCGGGATAAATCCAAATTTCTTCACATGACAGGTGGGTCCCCATGAGCCAGCCGCTGCTTTCCTTTCCAGACCCAGCTCCCGCCACCTCCTGCCTTGTGTCAGGCTCTGCAGCACGGACAGCTGGTCCCCCCAGTACCTCCCTGCCTTGCTCCTGCTGGCCCCTGGGCCTAGAGGGCCTTCTCCCTCCCCAGCCTGCTTCTAGTCTGACCCCTACTCTCCTTTTAGACTCAGCCCCTTCTCCTCCACCCTGAGTCCACAGGCCCCGGAGCGCTAAGCACATGGTGTTATAGTTAACTATTTACTTTTCTATCTTTTCCTGGAAGACAGACACGATGGTAGATGGTAATTATGCGTTTAATGTCTGTCTCCTGGGACGGTAAACCCCTGTGAGTGTGGGCTGTGACTGTCTTATTCACCACTGTGTTTTTGGCACGGGGCCCAGAGTAATAAACATGGGTAACACTTCCACAGCGCTAACTGTGAACCGGCCAGAAGTGTCCTGAGAGCCTTACATGAGTTTACAACTTTAACCCTTACCACCACTCAGTGAGGTACTGTGATATTATGAGATATGTATTTGGTCTTCCTCTGGTTTCCTGGCATACAACTTCTAAAATCCTTGGAATCTCCAAAGAGATAAACGTGTTTTTATAGGCTAGAGAGTTGACTGATGGCCAGGCGTGGTGGCTTTGGCCTTGCACGGCGGCTCACTCCTATAATCCTGGCACTTTGAGAGGCCAAGGCTGACTGATCATTTGAGCCCAGGAGTTTAAGACCAGCCCCGTCTCTACAAAAAGAAAAATTTAAAAATTAGATGGGCGTGGTGGTGCTCACCTGTAGTCCCAGCTACTCAGGGGACTGAGGTGGGAGGATTGCTTGAGCCCAGGAGGTTTGAGGCTGCAGTGAATTGTGATTGTACCACTGCACTCTAGCCTGGGCAAGAGAGCAAGACCCTGTTTCCAAAAAAAAAAAAAAAAGGACAGAAAAGACAAAAGAGCAGAAAGCCTCTCTTCCATCAGGGCCACCCCAAGGCACAACTCCAGAGGGCGCCATTCACATAAAATGTAGTGCGACAGCCACTCCTGCTCAGGCCCCAGTCTCCCACTTTCCCCTCTGAGGGCACCACTGATACCAAGCTCTTCTCCATCCTTCCACAGATGTCTATGTGGATGTGAACAGAACATGGGCATGTCGGTTAATAGAGAATTCTCCACCTTGCCTTGTTAATTTTGCATCATTGGGAGATTATTTCAGATAAGGTGTGTAGGGTAGCCTCATTCTTTTTTTTTTTTTTTGAGATGGAGTCTCGCTCTGTTGCCCAGACTGGAGTGCAGTAGCGTGATCTCGGCTCACTGCAACCTCCGCCTCCCAGGTTCAAGTGATTCTCCTGCCTCAGCCTCCCGGGTAGCTGGGATTACAGGCATGCACCACCACACCTGGCTAATTTTTGTATTTTTTGTAGAGATAGGGTTTTGTCATGTTGCCTAGGCTGGTCTCAAACTGCTGGGGTCCAGCGATCCTCCCACCTTGGCCTCCCGAAGTGCCGGGATTACAGCCATGAGCCACTGTGCCCGGCCTGTTTCTAAATCATTTCTTTTACAAACAGTGCTGCTGTGTACTCAGTCACTGTTTGAGCACATCTGTAGGATACAGTCCTAGGATTGGATTGCTTGGGTAAACAGAGAAATTACTTTCTAAAGGTGGAATTTCAGAAATCTGTGACAAGCATACATGAGATATTTTTACACTGAAGTTTGGGGCTTGTCAGATCTGGCTAGGGGTTGACTGTCTGTGGGGCTCCTCTCTGATATATTTGATGTTAGGGAATGATGTTTCTGGGTTTGATAGTTTGTTCTCTAAAGAGAAAAGAGAGAGCTCAGAGCAGAAAGGTAGCTTTTTGGATTCTAGCCAGGGCTCACTGATTGGATCTCATCTCACCTCACTTCTAGAGGAAGACCACTCCGGAAAACAAGATACCTGGGCCATGCAGCAGTGGGTTCCCCAGTGCCCTGATAGAAAGTCTGAGAAGTTCAGGATTCAGTCCCTAAAAGCATATGGGCTGAAGAGGCTCTGGCCCTAAAATCACCTTGTTGGGGATAGTGGGAAGGTCCCTGTTATTTTTAAAATATACTGAGGATGTGATTCCTAACACCACAAAATGGGTGGGTGGGTGAATGGATGAATGGCTGGGTGAATGGATAGATGGATGAATGAATGGGTGAGTGGGTGGATGGATGGATGGATGGATGGATGGATGAATGGGTGGATGGATGGATGGATGGGTGGATGGATGGATGGATGGATGGATGGATGGATGGATGAATGGGTGGATGGATAGATGGATGGATGGGTGGATAGATGGATGGATGAATGAATGGGTGGATGGATGGATGGGTGGATGGATGGATGGATGGATGGATGAATGAATGGGTGGATGGATGGATGGGTGGGTGGATAGATGGATGGATGAATGGGTGGATGGATGGATGGATGGATACATACATAGATTCATACATATAGAAAGGTAAATAGTGATCAAACAAACATGAACTTAGACCTGCTTTATTATTAGGTAACTTCTTTGAGCTCGTTGGACCTCAGTTTCTGTCTGTAATAGGATTAACAATGCCTTTTTTGTGTGTGGGACTATAGTGACAAACTAACAGATGATGTACGTAAACGCCCTAGCATGGTCCTGGCACACTGTGGGTCACCATATATGGTGGTAGTTGCTATCATTTACTGTGAGTGGGCATTCTCTGATTGGTGTATATTGAAGGCATTTTTTTTTTGACTTTGCAGGAGCCAAGTTACACCCTGTTTAACCCTGCCTTCAAAGGGACGACTCTGTAAGGTAGGGGCTCTCAGCCTTCTTTTCCTCCCAGCATGCACGGTGGGTGACACTGGGGTGCCTGGCACACTCCCAGCATGCATTTCACAGGGCAGGATTTCTGGCAACACTCATTTCTCTCCAGGCCAGGAAAGCAACCTAGAAATCAACTTACATTTACATTAAAACAGTACATAAATAAAGGAAAGAGAAGGCAATAACCCTCAGACTTTGGTCTCCTGGCTAAAATGTATTTGCAAAACAGCACACAGCTTGCACCTGCTGCCCTCTAGGGTAATAATGAGGGTGGGTGGAGGTACCTGTGGGGTGGCCCATTCCAGTGGGTTTGGGCAAATGAGGACGGTTATCAGAGGAGTGGCTGCTATTCCCCACAAGGTTATGGAAAGCTTCTCTCTTTGGCCTTTGCTGTGTGCCAGGCAGAGGTGCTAGGTCCTCTCTGCAGTGTGCAGTGACCCTGGGGAACCACAGACATTCAGGACCCTGGCTGGTAGCTCAGTTGCTTGGCTAAGGTGGTCAGGCTTGCCAGGCCCAGGCGTTAGGCAAGCCCAGGCCTGACCTGCCAAAGCAGCTGCTTTAAGCCTCAGAATCTTCACTGGGCAATGGAATCCTACCTCACCTGACTCCTCCCAGCACCCCCTCCCACTAGCCTGCGGGGACTAAGTGTTCTCTCCCCTGTGTCCCCACAGCACTTTGTTCCCACAGCTATTAAAGTACTCACTGTTGGCTCTAAGTACATCTCTCCTCCTTCCAAAGCAATATTCTTTTTGTTTTGTTTGCTAGAGATTTCATGTAATCTCAAATTCTTTGTTAAAATGGCCCTGGGGTTTACATTATTTTCTATCTAGGAGATTAGAGTTGAAAACATAAATTGGTGGTTTGGAATTCCACTGAGTTCTTCTCTTTAGATAGAATTGTGGAAAGTCAGGCTTGTCCAGAACCCTCACTATGGGCACTGTCCTTGAATCCTGCTCTCATTCATTCTGCAGTCAGCTAGTCATCCAACAAACACTTACTGAACTCCCACCTTTGTGCCACTATGCTAGGCACTGGGTATATTTGGATGAAAAGGACCTTGGCTATGCTTTAGAGACCAACACAATGTGGTTATCTAGCTCTAGATTTTGTTGACATACTAAAACCTATCTTTTTTTTTTTTTTTTTGAGACAGGTCTCACTCTGTTGCCCAGGCTGGAGTGCAGTGGCGTGATCTTGATTCACCGCAGCCTTGACCTCCTGGGATCAAGTGGTCCTTCCACCTCAACCTCCCAAGTAGCTAGGACTACAGGCATGCAATACCATGCCTGGCTTTTTTTTTTTTTTTTTGGTAGACATGGGTTTTTGCCATGTTGCCTGGGCATGTCTTGAACTCCTGGCCTCAAGCAATCCTCCTGCCTCAGCCTCTCAAAGTGCTGGGATTACAGGCGTGAGCCACCACACCTGGCTAAAACCTCTTTTTTTAATAGCATAAGTCAATTTAGGCCAGGTGTGGTGGCTCACGCCTGTAATCCCAGCACTTTGAGAAGCCAAGGTGGGCTGATCACTTGAGGCCAAGAGTTTGAGACCAGCCTGGTCAACAAGGTGAAACCTCGCCTCTACTAAAAATACAAAAACAAGCCAGGTGTCGTGGCACATACCTGTAATCCCAGATATTCAGGTGGCTGAGGCATGAGAATCTCTTGAAGCCAGGAGGCGGAAGTTGCACTGAGCTGAGATTGCGCCACTGTACTCCAGCCTGGGAGACAGAGTGGCGAGACTCTGCCTCAAGAAAAACAAACAAACAAAAAAGAAGTCAACTTACAGGATTCCTTTCTGAGCACAATTTCCTAGAGATTTGAGACCACCTCTATTTTTTAAAAATCATATTTTTTAGCTTTTAATTGTGATTTAAAAAACACATTCTACTTTTAAAAATCTACAATATCTATTTACTCACCAAAGATTGTATAAGGCACTGTGCCTAGAGTGGGGTTAGGGGAAGGACAAAGAAGAAAACACAAAGTCCCTATACCTTCTAGAAACCTAAATCTAAATAAGGGAAGTCACATGTCGACAGAAACTCGGCCTCTTATTTCACTTGCGATTGCGGTGGTATTCATTCGTCTGTTCATTCAACTGTGTGTATTTTGGGCACGTGCTATGTGCATAGGCTGTGATGGGTGCTCTGGAGCCTGTGGAAGAAGTCTCACATGTGTCCCTGCCCTCGAGGCCCTAGGGAGAGAAGGGAGTTCAGAGTCAAGTAGAATAATAGGCCACGGTGCCTCCTGGCCAAGGAGCCCAGCACCAGCCTTTTGGAGAAGACTCTGCAGCTCCCGAGGAATGGAAAGCTGTTAGGGAAGGGAAGGGGGACGTTCCAGGCCAAGGGAGGGGCACAGGGAAGTTTGCGTTAGGAATTTCTCATCAGAAAAGGAGATGTGACGGGGGAGAATGGATTCCAAACAATGCCCACCACAAGGCAGGCCCAGGAACAGGGCCAGGAAAGGGTAGGATGTGATGTGGTATGTGAAGCTATGTGAGGCTGAATCTGCTGCCTTCAGGGGGCCACACTTTCTAATTTGTTCCCTTTCCTTCCCTCACCCAGATTCTCTGCTACTTATTCAAGTTGACACGATGCCCTTCACACTCCACCTGAGGTCCCGCCTTCCCTCTGCCATAAGGAGTTTGATTCTACAAAAGAAACCAAACATCAGAAATACATCCAGCATGGCTGGAGGTAAGTGGTGCCAGATAGTTAAAAAAAAAAAAAAAAAAAAAAAAGAAAGTTCCTGGGAATTACCAGCTGTGTAGGGCCCACAAACTCCTAAGACTTCTAGATTCTGCATAGGAAACAGAAAGTAAGAGCAGAATGATATTAGCTCTGGTCACTATTTAACTGCTCAGAAGAAACTGGAACCTTGGATTAGACTCAAGGTATGGAAACCCATCAGATGGGTCTAATGACACCCAGTTCTGCTTGGTCACCTCAGCCCCATATGGAGAACCACCAGTGGGCTCAGGTGATGAAAAGGGTTGTCCCTTCTGGGAAAAGTGCCCCCAGGTTACACTGCAGTTTAACCAGATTTTGATTCAGACCAATTCTTCCTACCCTTGACTGGTCTTATTCTCTGGTGGCACCCATTTCCCTACTGTCTCCTGGGAGTGATACTGAAGGCTCTAAAAGGTCCTGCAAGAGAAAACAGATACCAAATTTGTCATTGACCTAAGTCCAAGCAAAATTTCACATTAAAAAAGACTCGTCTGGTTATGGTATAAGTGCCCAAGGAAAAACCATCAGCACCATCTAAAGTACTAGAGCAAGACCATTTTCCTTTAGTTTATTAATATGTCTGGCCTCTGTTGCTCTATATGGGCTAACAGAGTTAACTGTTGTATAACAAGGCACTCTTTTTTGTTGTTGTTGAGACGTAGTCTCGCTCTGTCGCCCAGGCTGGAGTGCAGTGATGCGATCTGGGCTCACTGCAAGCTCCGCCTCCCAGATTTGGGTTCATGCCATTCTCCTGCCTCAGCTTCCCAGTAGCTGGGACTACAGGCGCCCGCCACCATGCCCAGCTAATTTTTTGTATTTTTAGTAGAGACGGGGTTTCACCGTGTTAGCCAGGATGGTCTCCATCTCCTGACCTCGTGATCCGCTCACCTTGGCCTCCCAAAGTGCTGGAGTTACAGGTGTGAGCCACCGCACCAGGCCCAACAAAGCACTCTTAAACTTAGTGGCTTAAAACCATTAATCTCACAATTCTGCAATCAAGGTTGGTCTTAGCAGGGCGCTTCTTCTGTTCCATGTGGTGTCTGTTGGGGATAGACCATCCAAGATGGCTTCTTCCTGACATGTCTGGCATCCAGTGGGACATCTGAGACTGGCTGAACATTTCTTCTCCATGAAGCCTCTTCAATAGTGGTCGCCAAACTTCTTTACATGGGACGCCATGAGACAGATTCCAAGAGAATAAGTCCTAATGCCCAAACGCATACCAAGCTTCTGCTTGCATCACACTTACTAATGTCCCATTGGCGAAAGCAAATCACAGGGCCAAGGCCAGAGTCAATAGGGAAGGGGCTACAATGGGGTGTGAATACTGGGGAGCATAGTTTATATAAATTGGTGCAAAAGTAATTGCGATTTTTGCCATTTTTTTTTTTTTTTTTTTAAATAAAAGTAATGGCAAAAACTGCAATTACTTTTGCACTACCTAATATATACAGAGAGAGCCACCAAGGTATTAGTCTACAGCAACCTGTTATATACGAGCAGCGAACACCAGCTTAACCCCAGGTTGACGACTGCTTGCTAGGACCCTGGGAGGCAACAGAGCAGAGCAGCCAGGGTCTTGGAGCCTGGAGGGAGACAGCCTGAGTATGAGTCCCAGCTTCGCTCTTTACTAGCAAACTGTGACCTTTCTAAGCCTCACCTACACAATGAAAGTAGCAGCAGAACCTTCCCAGTGGGACTGTCGGGAGGGGCACCTGAGCTGTTCCCCGCTGCCGTGAAATGCTCCTCAAGGAGAGAAGCTCATTTTACCAAACAGCTGGGAAACTCCAGCTTGGAGCTGTCTTCTGGGGGCTTTCAATCAAATTAGAAATGTTAAAGGGTGTTTTTTCCTCTCTCTTGTCATTAAGTTAAAAAAAATGATTTTGAGGTAAAAGGACTCAGAGAAATCACTCAGTTTATCTACAAAGAAAAGTGTTACTGCCTTCCATGGAGCCCAAGGCAGCTGGGGGATGCACAAATCACATTAGACCATAAAGTATCCTCCAAAAAGGTGAGGCCTCCAGAGTCCACCATCCTCTCCAGAAAGAGACCATGAAGGCTTCTATTCTGTGTCCTGTTACTAATGGGGACAACTTGGGGACTTTTCTGTTCATCTCCAGCTGTGGAGATGAACAAAACCAAAACAAAACCTGCAAAGTTCATTTAATTAAAAAGGAAACAAAGGGCCGGGCACGGTGGCGCACGCCTGTAATCCCAGCACTTTGAGATGCCAAGGCAAGTGGATCACCTGAGGTCAGGCATTCAAGACCAGCCCGGCCAACATGGAGAAATCCCATCTATACTAAAAATATAAAAATTAGCTGAGCATGGTGGTGTGCACCTGTAGTCCCAGTTACTTGGGATGCTGAGGCAGGAGAAGCACTTGAACCCAGAAGGCGGAGGTTGCAGTGAGCCGAGATCGCACCATTGCACTCCAGCCTGGGCGACAAGAGCGAAACTCTGTCTCAAGAAAAAAAAAAAAAAAGGAAACAAAGAAGCTTTGTGCACATACCATCCTGATTTATTGTATTAAAGATACAATTTGTGCTGGGCATGACGGCTCACACCTGTAATCCCAGCACTTTGGGAGGCCGAGGCCAGCGGACTGCCTGAGGTCAGGAGTTCAAGATCAGTCTGCCCAACATGGTGAAACCCTGTCTCTACTAAAGATACAAAAGAATTAGCCAGGTGTGGGGGCATGCGCCTCTAATCCCAGCTACTCGGGAGGCTGAGGCAGGGGAATTGCTTGAACCCTGGAGGTGGAGCTTGCAGTGAGCCAAGATTGCGCCACTGCACTCCAGCCTGGGCGACAGAGTGAGACTCCGTCTCAAAAAAAAGAAAAAAAAAAATCCAGTTTGTTCTCACAAGGGGCTTTGGCAGTAAGAAGCGGGTGAGTAGGGAGTGGGAGGCCTCTAAGCCAGCCAAATCCCCTCCCACCTCGCTCCAGATAACTTTTGGAGCCGTGCTGGGCTTGCTTGAGACTGGCATCAGGTTCCTTGGGCTTTCGGCAGCTGGGGGTGTCTCACGTGTCCTCATTTGGAAAGTCTGCTTGTAGCATTGGCAGGCACTGTAGCGACTGTGATAATGAGCTCCGGGCCCTGCGATTTGAGCAGGAGCTGGTCCTGGACATTCCCA
The DNA here is from genome assembly GCF_000001405.40 of Homo sapiens. Classification (NCBI taxonomy): domain Eukaryota; kingdom Metazoa; phylum Chordata; class Mammalia; order Primates; family Hominidae; genus Homo; species Homo sapiens. Next base: position 91,163,566 of record NC_000014.9, read on the forward strand.
GCGGATGGTTGCATCTGTTTCACTCCCCAGTCCCCATGGAGGACGGCGCTCCCCTCCTAGGGAAACCCAGTGCCTGCAGCCCAGCAGAGGCCACTCCGTGATGAAATGAGGCAAGCTCGCGGGCACCCCTTCCAGGTTTAAATGCTGGCTGTGCCGTGCAGCAGCTGTGTGACCCTGGGAAAGTCATTTCATCTCTCTGAGCCTCGTTCCCCTCATCTATAAAATATAATTACTTGTGCAAATGACTTGGCATGGGGAGCCCGGCACATAAAAAGCACTCAGTAAATATTAGCCCACAAGATTATTGTAGGAGAGAAAGGGACATGGGTTGATAGAGCAAATCTGACAGGGCAATTGTCCTCAAGGGTATTCTCCAATAGAGCATAATAATTATTATTTTTTGAGACAGATTCTTGCTCTGTCACCCAGGCTGGAGTGCAGTGGCGCGATCTCGGCTCACTGCAGCCTCCATCTCCCAGGTTCAAGCGATTCTCCTGTCTCAGCCTCCCAAGTAGCTGGGATTACAGGCACGTGCCACCATGCCTGGCTAATTTTTGTATTTTTAGTAGAGATGGGGTTTCACCATGTTGGCCAGGCTGGTCTCGAACTCCTGACCTCAAGTGATCTGCCAACCTCGGCCTCCCAAAGTGCTGGGATTACAGGTGTGAGCCACCACGCCCGGCCCAATAGAACATAATTATGTTTTTCTTTGGTATGGTCTTAATTTTAGAATATTGAGAAAAGCACAGAGAAGCAAATGACAAGTATGCACAGCTCTGTCACCTGGAGACAACCGTGATTAACTTGTAATGTCCTTACTGGTTCTAGTAGATGTTCTTTGGTGTCTGCACATTCAAGGGTTAGATATTTATTGTAGTCTTTGCTATCTGGGCTTATTTGTAGTCCTCTGTTTTGGGAAGGCTTTCCAGTTATTTGAAAGGATTTGGGTGTTGTGATCTAAGCTGTTTCTGCTTTAGGGGGCACCTCAAGCCCAGTAACGCCGTCATTCTTGCAGACTTAGTACAGGTATGGGTTTGATGGTCTTGGAGAAGATCTAGGAGCATTCTCTGGTTTACCAGGCAGAGACCCTTGTTCTCTTCCCTTACTTTCTCCCAAAGAGTCTCTCTCTCTCTCTGTCTCTGTTTGGAACCACCTAAAGCTGGGGGTGGAATGACACAATCACCCCTGTAGCCACCACCACTGTGACTGTGCTGGGCCAGACCTGAAGCCAGCACAGCACTGGGTCTTGCCCAAGTCCTGCTGTAACCACTCCCTGGCAACTGCCTATGTTTGCTCAAGGCCATGGGGCTCTGCAATTAGCTGGTAGCAAAACCAGCCAGGCCTGTGTCCTTCCCTGCAGGGTGGTGAGTTCCCCCAGGCCCTGGGTGAGTCCAGAAGAGCCGTCTGGGAGTCAGGGACTACAGCCAAAAACCTTAGATGCCTACCTGGTGTTCTGTTGTATTGTGGCTGAGCTGGCACTCAAATTACAAGACACAGTCCTTTCCACTCTTCCCTCCCCTTTCCTTCTAGTTCTTTCACTCACTGACTTTATAAAAAGGAGAATATGTCCAACACATTGTTTCATTACCTAGTATAGTTCCTTTAATGACACATAACAAACATCTTTTAACATAACCGTTACGTGTTTCTTCTGTAACCGTAATTTTAAACATCTACACAGGATTTCATTGAACAGTAACTTTAGTCCCTGCTTCCTGAACACCGAGGTGCTCAATAACTTACATACATTACCTCCCTGAGGTCTCTTGGAGGTAGGTATGGTTGCTGCCATCTTATAGATGGGGAAGCTGAGGCTGAGACATGCAAAGCCACAGCCTGGGTTCACACAGCTGGTCAGAGACAGGATCAGGATTCAAGCCCAGGTGTGTTTACCACCAAAGCCAAAGGACTTCCATTGCGGAGGAAGGCTGGCTGCCCCAGAGGAGGCTACAGCATGTAATAGGAGGTCTTCTCCTGTAGCTCTGTGAACACTGTGAGCCAGCTCAGGCAAGAATCTGCCCCCCAAAAAGATACCCAAATGGCCAATAGGACATATGAAAAGGCAGTCAGCCACACTAGCAGTCTAGACAATGCAAATTAGAACCACAAGGTGATGGATACCACTACCCACCCACAAGAATGGCTAAAAGGAAAAAGACAGGTAATATGAAGTATTGGAGATGCTCACATACCACTGGTGCAAGTGTCAATTGGCACAACCACTTTGGAAAACTGCTTGGCAGTATCTATTAAAGTTGCACATGTGTATAACTTACCACCCCAGAAATGCACATTTATGTACTCCAAAATGCATGTTTGTGGCATTAAAATGTTCATGGCAGCACCATTTGTCATAACCCCAAATTGGAAACTACTCAGATGTCCATTAGCAATAGGATTGGGTAAATCCTCATTGCATGAATATACTAGGCAGCAGTGAGAATGAACTATTGTTGAATGCAACAATATGAATGAATCTCAAAATATATTGAGTGAGAGAAGCTAGACTTAAAAGACACATAGTGTATGATTTTATTATATGGAGTCTAAGAACAGGCAAAAGTCGTATGTGGTGCTAGAAGTCAGGATGGTTGGCTCTTGTTCCTTGATCTGGATGCTGGTTACATGGGTGCATTCATTTCATGGCAATTCATCAAGCTGTAGGTTCGTATGTTTTTGATTGAAGCATTACCTACACTTTTTTGAGTGGGGCTCTGCAATTAGCAGGTAGCAAAACCAGCCAGGCCTGTGTCCTTCCCTGCAGGGTGGTGTACACTTTTTTGAGTGTAGGTAATGCTTCAATCAAAATTTACATTAGGCCAGTTGCGGTGGCTCACGCCTGTAAGCCCAGCACTTTGGGAGGCCAAGACAGGCAGATCACTTGAGCCCAGGTGTTTGAGACCAACCTGGCCACCATAGTGAAACCCCATCCCTACTAAAAATACAAAAATTAGCTGGGCACAGTGATGCACACCTATAGTCCCAGCTACTTGGGAGGCTGAGGCATGAGAATCACTTGAACCCAGGAGGCACAGGTTGCAGTGAGCCAAGATCAAGCCAGTGCACTCCAGCCTGGGTGACAAAGCGAGACTCTGTCTCAAAAAAAAAAAAATTACATTAGAAGTTGGGTATGGTAGTGTGCACCTGTAGTTCCAGCTACTTGGCAGGCTGAAGCCGGAGGGTCACTTGAGTCCAGGAATTCAAGGCCAGCCTGGAATAGCAAGACCTTGCCACTTTAAAAAAATCACAGAGGGGCTGGGCGCAATGGCTCATGCCTGTAACCCAGCACTTTGGGAGGCCGAGGCGGGTGGATCACCTGAGGTCAGGAGTTCAAGACCAGCCTGTCCAACATGGAACAGTTGGCCCAACATGGGCCAATAAATATCCCATGTATATTTTTAGTCTCTACTAAAAATACAAACAATTAGCTAGGCGTGGTGGCAGACGCCTGTGATCCCAGCTACTCGGGGGGCTGAGGCAGGAGAATTGCTTGAACCCAGGAGGCGGAGGTTGCAGTGAGCCAAGATTGTGCCATTGCACTCCAGCATGGGCTACAAGAGCGAAACTCCGCCTCAAAAAAAAAAAAAAGAAAGAAAATCAGTAAGTGTCTGCCAAGAAACCGCTGACTATACATTTTTCCCTTCTCCCACCATACCCAGAGCTCCGACCAGCCAGCCTGGTGGTCCTGCCCAGGTCCCTTGCTCCAGCTTTTGAAAGATTCTGCCAGGTCAACACTGGTCCTCTACCCCTGCTGGGCCAGAGTGAGCCAGAAAAGTGGATGCTGCCCCCTCAAGGTGCTATCTCAGAGACCAGGTAAAAAGCTTGGGTTACTGTGGGTTGAAGCTTGGGAGTGTCCAGGTGCTGTAGCCAGGTGTCTCTGTCATCCGGGACCTCTCTGTCCAGCCTCAGGGACCTTCACAGTGCCTGGCACAGAACCTCACTCATGACTGTTGCTCAGGAACGAGCTGCCCTCCCCACTGTTCTGACTCCTTCCCCTATCACCTGGCGCCTGTCCTGGCTGAGATCTTTGAGATCATGGAGAAAGTCCAGCCCTGGAGAAATCCCACTGGCTCTGCCATCTGTCCACTCCATCGCCCAAGCCAGAAACCCGCCTGTACAGGATTAAGAAGAAAATAAAAAACACTTGCATTACCAACACCCAGAGACAGAGATATTGTGTCTGTTCTCCCAGGCTTTTAAACTAGAACCTATCTAGTAAATGGCCCTACTGATGCTGGGTCGGTGTACCTCTCCCACGAGTCTACCTTTCCTATGGCACCAGCACAGACTGGCATCTTCCCTGGCCTAGCCCTAGTCTCATCCTTTCTTCCCCAACCCTGTCATCATCTGCTTTCCCAGCAGAGTGACTTTCTAATGCTAAACCCGATCATGTGGCTCTCCTCTTAAAACTCCTTCAGACTGGGTGCTGTGGTTCATGCCTGTAATCCCAGTACTTCGGGAGGCTGAGGCAGGAGGATGGCTTGAGCCCAGGAGTTTGAGACCAGCCTGGGCAACATAGGGAAGACCTGGTCTCTACAAATTTTTTTTTTAAAAATTAACTGGGCATAGCGGTGCACACCTGTGGTCCCAGCTACTCGGGAGGCTGAGGAGGATTGCTTGAGACCAGGAGGTTGAGGCTGCGGTGAGCCGAGATCATGTCACTGCACTCCAGCCTGGGCAACAGGGCAAGACCCTGTCTAAAATATATATATATAAAATAAAATAAAATTCTTCAGCATCTTCTTATGGCTTGGACCTCAGCCTGATCTCAAGCCCATGGTGACCTGGCCCCAGCTCAGTTTCTCCCCTGACCCCTGACACTCCAGTCATCCCCAGCCAGTTCCCGAGACAGAAAACCCCCCAGGAACATTCTGTCATGATCATTTTAGGACGGGAAGGTCCTTTGGAGACCCCATCTGGGCCCATGATTGTACCTTTACATTTTTCCCCGGTGCCTCCTGTGCTGCCAACTTGGAAACTCCTGGAGCCCATCCCCCAGTGGGCTTTCCACGTGCTGCTTCCTCTGCCTGGGTATGCCTTCTTCCTTGCCCAACTGGCAAACTCCTATTCATGCCTCAAGACCCAGCACCAAACTCCTCTGTGGAAGAGAATTGATTTCTTCCTTCTCTGTGTCACTCTACCTAGACGGTTGACATTCCTTGCTGTGTATTGCCAGTATGTGTTTTCAGTGAAGTCTCACCTATCAATTAGGGTTACGAGCTCTTTAAATGCTGGGATGGGATGGGCGCGGTGGCTCACGCCTGTAATCCCAGCACTTTGGGAGGCCAAGGAGAGCAGATCACCTGAGATCAGGAATTCGAGACCAGCCTGGCCAACGCGGTGAAACGCTGTCTCTACTAAAAATACAGAAATTAGCCGGGCATGGTGGTTCGGGCCTATGATCTCAGCTATTTGGGAGGCTGAGGTGGGAGAATCACTTGAACCTGGGAGGCAGAGGTTGCAGTGAGCCGAGGTTGCACCACTGCACTCCAGGCTGGGCAACAGAGCAAGACTCTGTCTCAAAAAAAAAATAAATAAATAAAAAACATTAAAAAAAGAAAAAAAGACTGGGACAGTGTCCTCTCCATTACTCTAGCCCCATCGCCCAGCATGTGCCCGGCATGAAGGCATGGCTCAGTAAAAGAGTTTGGAGTGGGTAAAGAATAAGCTTGTAACCAAAGAAGTCTTTCAACCCTACAGAAGAGTTTCCTTTAAGGGAAGAGAAAGGCCTCACCCACTACTGGCACTGAGAGGTTCCCCAAGACACATATTCTCTGTCCCCTTTGGGCTACTGGTCCTACCTCTATAGCAGAGAGGCCACCATTTACTTTTCTTCTTCTTCTTTTTTTTTTTTTTTCTTTGAGGCAGTCTCACTCTGTTGCCCAGGCTGGAGTAGTGCAGTGGCACGATCTCGGCTCACTACAACCTCCACCTCCCAGGTTCAAGCGATTCTCCTGCTTCAGCCTCCTGAGTAGCTGAGATTACAGCTGTGTACCACCATGCCTGGCTAGTTTTTGTATTTTTAGTATAGACGGGGTTTCACCTTGTTGCCCAGGCTTGTCTTGAACTCCGGAGTTCAAGTGATCTGCCCGCCTCGGCCTCCCAAAGTGCTGGGATTACAGTCATGAGCCACCGTGCCTGGCCACCATTTACTTTTCTCGGTGGTTTGGCTTGTTTTGGCTTGCGGGTATAGGAGACACACTGGGTGGGAGGTGGGGGTACGTTCTATACGTGCTGATTTAATCGTTTCCGATCTGGGGACATTTGAAGGATGCCAGCAAGGCCCCCTGCTGAAAACTATGCTCCCTACCCTGGTGCCAGGGCTGAAAATTTCAGCACTAGACATCCTCTTCTCTCTCCGCAGTCCTTCTATAATGTATTATCAGGGGCCACAGTGAGAGTCTGGGGCCCTCCCAGCTTTCCCCTTATGTCCCCAGGATGGGCCATCCCCAGTTCTGGAAATACGAGTTCGGTGCCTGCACCGGCAGCCTGGCTTCGCTGGAGCAGTACTCGGAGCAGCTGAAGGACATGGTGGCCTTCTTCCTGGGCTGCAGCTTCTCCCTGGAGGAGGCCTTGGAGAAAGCGGGGCTCCCCAGAAGAGACCCAGCAGGTCACAGCCAGGCGGGTGCATACAAGGTAGGGACACAGCCCACAGCCCACAAGGGCAGAATGGCCTGAAGATGCAGATCAACTTACATATTCCTGGGGTGGGGAGAACATGGGCACGGGAGGTGGAAAACCTAAGCTCCAGCCCCAGCTCAGCCATTTCTAGCTGTGCAACCCAGGAGAAATGATCAATCTCTCTGAGCCAGCCTCGGTCCCACTCACCTCTGGGACCACTGTGAGCACCCAGTGTGGCCCTTCTTCATGGTTCAGTGCTGTAAACCAAACCTGCTTGGGATTTCTCTGGCTCCTTTAACTTCAGGCACCTCAGCGAGATTTTTAAAAATCCTCCCTGGCTCCGGTGAGCCTCAGCCAGGGGGAATGAGCCTGGCTCTCTCAATACCCAGGGATTTGTGGCAGAGCCTCGGCCAGGCAGTAGCTCCTGGGTCAGGTCTCTGTCCAGAAAGCTGGGTCATGTTCTTGGCCGGAGGTGGCCTCTGGCAGTCACAAACACAGCACAGCCGGCGTCTCTGGGACGTGCCTGCTGTGCCTCTCCCAGCCCCTACTTGTCAAGGTGAGTGCACTCGATTCCCTGGTTCCACAGACCCTTCCTGGACATCTGTTGGTAAAGTCTGAGAGTTCACTCTGCTCCATCAGTGGTCAGCCAGCATAAACAGCCAGGCTCCAGGTTTCTTTATTTATGGAGGACTTGGATCAGAGATTTTGTCTTGGACTCTGGGACATTTATTAAAATGTCTTGGTTTGGGCTCCTGCCAGAGAGGCCCCAGCTGCCTCTGATCAGCAACAAAGCTGCCCATAGTCTGTGCTGCCTTCATGGGTGAAGTGTGCCCGAGCGGTTCTCTTGAAGCTAGGGAAGGGTGGGGATGGGACCCCAGCCACTGGCAGGCACCCATGGCAGTCTCTGGCTCTGGAACACAGCACCCTTTGTAGGAGGTGGGAGCTGAGAGGGCCCCATGGCTCGTCACATGCAGATTCTCATTTTAGATGAGGAAACCGAGGTCTAAAGAGAGAAAAGGACTTGCCCAAGTCCCAAAGCCAGATGGGAACCTGGAACCCCTGGCTCCCATCTGTACAATGTCAATAACAGAGATGTGACAATTAAATGATGCTTTGCAGTCACAGGGTCTGCTGATATGGCAACTGTTTGTTGCCTACAAAGGTGCAAGTAAGTGTCCACAGTAAGTGCTCAACAGGGCTTCACTGACCCCGATGCTTATCAAATAGCTTTCAGTCTAATATCGACACCTCTGCCCCTGGGCTCCAGGGAGAGATGGCCAGACAGCCATCTGGGATTCCATTGGCCACCCCCAGACGGGATGTGTCTCAGCCTTGGGGAGGGCTGCCTGGCTCTGCCAGTGGCTCCAGCATGTCCCCTCTCCTGGGTGCTATTATGCAGACACTGCTGGCAGCCACACCGAGGTTCCATCCTGCTGCCGCCAGGGTGGTGATAGCAAGCTCTTTAGGTGGTGGCCAAGACTGTCACAGTGGATTATAGTCCTGGCCATGTCCTAAATCTTTCATAAGCTCTATTGCAGGCACCAGAAACCATTCAGGAGGTGGGGTGGGGGAGCGAAACACCAATAAAAGTCACACAGATCAAACCGGGCAACATCTGTTAAGGCAGGAGGCACCAGGCCGTGCTCCATGGGGTCTGGGGACAGGCTTGTTGCTTGTGTGGATTCAGGAGGCAGAGTGAACACCAGCTCCTCCTGTGATGTTCTCCCTTGCCTCCCTCTGCCCGTGATTCACCAGAGGCTGTTTACCTTTGGTCCATGGCCCTTGCAGTCCCTAGAGAAATTCAGAGGCTCCATGATATTGGATGGGAAAAAAAGTACGTTTTTCTTTTCCCTTCTTCCCTCCCTCCCTTCTTTATTTTATTTTATTTTTATTTTTATTTTTGACAGTTCTTGCTCAGTTGCCCAGGCTGGAGTGGTGCAGTGGCACAGTCACAGCTCACTGCAGCCTCAACCTCCTGGGTTCAAGAGATCCTCCCATCTCAGCCTCCCGAGTAGCTGGGACCATAGGCATGTGCCAGCACACCCAGCTAATTTATGGTTTTGGTTTTTTTTGGTAGAGACAGGGTTTCGCTGTATTGCCCAGGCTGGTCTTGAACTTCTGGGCTCAAGCGATCCAACCTTCTTGGCCTCCCAAAGTGCTGGTATTACAGGCATGAACCACTGTGCCCAGCCTCAATTTTATTTTCATAACCTCAACTCACATTTAGCATTTCCTTCAATTATGAATGTAGGCAGCAAATGGCTGTCATATCAGCAGACCCTGTGACTTCATGGCTGGCAACAGAAATCACAGATATCTTCATATCACGTTAGAGTTCTTCCTGATGTCTCAAAAATATCCTATATGCTGATCACTACTTCAAAGTTACAATGATAGTAGAACTGGCATCTTGTTTCTTAGGCTGCTACTGAGGAAGCATGCATATTGTCTCACATTTTTCCTTTTTTTTTTTTCTTTGAGATGGAGTCTTGCTCTGTCACCCAGGCCGGAGTGCAATGGTGTGATTTCGGCTCACTGCAATCTCCGCCTCCTGGGTTCAAGCCGTTCTCCTGCCTCAGCCTCCCGAGTAGCTGGGACTAGAGGCGCGTGCCACCATGCCCGGCGAACTTTTGTATTTTTAATAGAGATGGGGTTTCACCATGCTGGCCAGGCTGGTCTCGAACTCCTGACCTCGTGATCCGCCCACCTCGGCCTCCCAAGTGCTGGGATTACAGGTGTGAGCCATCGTGTCTGGCCACATTTTTCTATTATTTGATAACTGTGCTTGCAGGATAATTGGTTTCCTTTGGAATCCTGTGCATTTTCTTGTATGCAGTTAAAGGCATTACTTTGACCAGGGGTCCACAGCTGTACTAGTCTACCAAAGGGGTCCGTGGCACACAAAAAGTTAAGATTCCCTATTTTAAACCAGTAATTAACAGCAAACTCCCTCTCTCTATGTCACATAAAAATAGAAGCTAATTTCTATAACAGCTACTCCTCCTTCATTTAGCTGCCTTGAACTCTTGGTGCTCAGAGCTTGGATCTGTGCTAATTCCATTTTTTAACATTTTCACTTGATTTTTTTTTTTTTTTGGTCAGACAACAGTGCCTTGTGTTACCCATGCTGGCTTCTGCTGCCCTCTGGTGGTCACGATGAGGCCCATTCCCAAGGACAAGCTGGAAGGGCTGGTGCGGGCCTGCTGCTCCCTCGGAGGTGAGCAGGGGCAACCTGTTCACATGGGCGACCCAGGTCAGTGTCTCTCGCTCCTGCCCATGATCTTCCTGTTCACATGGGCAACCCAGGTCAGTGTCTCTCGCTCCTGCCCATGATCCCCCTGTTCACATCGGCGACCCAGGTCAGTGTCTCTCGCTCCTGCCCATGATCCTGACAGCCTCTCTTGGAGTTGGGCCTAAGAAGCAGACAGGAGTTTGCCACGTTCCTAAGCTCCCATGGCTTGTCTTTGTTTTTACCAGGGGTCTCCAGGGGCAAAGGCCCTGAACAAGGCTCAAAGGCTCTGGCAGCTGTATCAGGGCTGGGCTTACAGATGCCCCTCAGGTTTAAAGGTGCCACCCTTGGCAGAATAGCCAGTCTCACTGTGATGTAAGTTTATATATATCACATCCTTTTGGGTTTTTACCGAGGCTTAATAATACATACATAGGAAAAAATATATATATATATAATGAATATATATATTGGGTTTTGTCCACAATTCCTGGCTCATAACTCCTAAAATTCTTGGAACCTCCAAAATGCTGTATTTTGTCTGATAGGTTCAGGGTGGGGCTGGTCACCAGAAAGACTAAGGTAGGATTAGAGGGTTGGGACTTTCAGCTCCACCCCTCCCCGCAACCTCCAGGGAGGAAAGAGGGGCTAAAGGTCAAGCTGATTACCCACGGCTGATGGTTTAATCAATCATGCTCATGTAATGAAGCCTCCGTAAAACCCCAAGAGGATAGGCTTCAGTGAGCTTCTACATAGCTGAACACATGTAGGTTCCTAGAGGGTGGTGCCTAAGGAGGGCATGGAAGCTCCGCACCCCTTCCCCCACACCTTGCCCTGGGCATCTCTATCTGTATCCTTTGCAATATCCTTTATTTAATTTAATTAAATTAATTAATTTATTTATTTTTGAGACACAGTTTCCCTCTGTCGCCCAGGCTGGAGTGCAGCGTTGCAATCTCAGCTCACTGCAACCTCCATCTCCTGGGTTCAAGCGATTCTCCTGCCTCAGCCTCCCAAGTAGCTGGGATTACAGGTGCCCAACACCATGCCCAGCTAATTTTTGTATTTTTAGTAGAGATGGGGTTTTGCCATGTTGGCCAGGCTGGTCTTGAACGCCTGGCCTCAAGTGGTCTGCCCGTCTTGGCCTCCCAAAGTGCTGGGATTACAGGTATGAGCCACCGCACCCGGTCTGCAATATTTTTTATGATAAACTGGTATACATAAGTAAATGTTTCCTCAAGGTCTGTGAGCTGCTCCAGGAAATTAATCAAACTCAAAGAGTTTGGGTATAATCAAACCCAAAGAGGGTTAATCAAACTGGAAGCCAGTTGGTCAGAAGTTCTGGAGGCCCAGACTTGCAACTGGTGTCTGTAGGGGGGTGGCCTTGGGGACTGAGCCCTCAACCCGTGGGTTCTGATGCTATCTCCAGGTGGAATGGAATTGGAGGGCACCCAGCTGGTGCCTCCTGCTTGATGGTGGGGAGAAACCCCTACAAATTTGGTCACAGGAGTCTTCTGTGTGGATGACTGTTACTGCGGTGTGAGAGCAGAGGAAACACACCATTTAGGTAGAGTTTTTTTCTCTACACGCTCACCCACTGGGGATCTTTGATAAATGTAAAGCTCCTATGAACTTCCAATGAATCTGGGGTTGGAGGAAGCCAAGGGTTGCAGCAGGGCTCTTTGTCCGGAGATTTGAGCTCGAAGCAACGTCTAATCTGGGCTGCTATTCTTTGGTATATTTGGGTAGGAGATGGCTTTGTTCCATATGTTAATTTGAGCTGAAATCCATTGATCCCCAGCGTATTCACTCAATCTGAGAGTGAGTGAACAGATCCAAGATGAAGAGCCAATATCAAGAAGCTGTGCAGGCCTCTTAGAAGGCCTGATGAGAGTTTGAGACTGGGCCTTGGTTGAGGGTCCAAGTTTGGTATACCTAAACTTGCTCAACTGCATAACCGACAACATTAGACAGAACCTAGCCTTTTGTGAAAATGCAGTCAGTACTTGCTAGCTTCATCACATGAGGATGATTCAGGGCCACCCACCAGGATGGTGTCTGCTGAGGAGTTTTATCATTAGCGGGGATGGATTGGGCCCAGCACATCCATCTTTGCTGTCTTCGGGATTAGGTTGCTGCTGGTAGTCAAGCAGCTGAGGTTAGGTGCATGAGATGTGACCCAGCCTGGACCAAGGTCAACCCCCCAAGGCTGGCTTTGGTAGCAATCTGCACAATGAGAGTACTAGGCTCAATGCACCCAAGGATCCTTCCAGAAATCACGCCACACAGTTTGAGATTCTGTTTTCTGAAACCACCATGCCACATGGACTGTAAATTATGGAGTAGCCTGAGTTGTCAAAGCCTTAATCCCTATTCTCCTTCACCTCTTCCTCAAATACCATTTACAATAATCCTGCAATTTGAGTTTCTGTTTTAGAGAAAGAACCATAAACTACTCAACCAGTTCTAATTGGATGCTCCCTGCTGAGGAAATTACATTTTCCTTTTCCATCTGCAGAACTGTTGGGAATCAAAGAGCTTTCCAAACCTGCCTACGGGGATGCCATGGTGTGTCCCCCAGGGGAGGTTCCAGTGTTCTGGCCTTCTCCGCTGACCAGTCTCGGAGCTGTCAGCAGCTGTGGTACGTTGGGGGATAATGGGACAATCGATCTGCCCTAGGATGGAGCCCAGTGGGGTCTAGTTCTTGAAAGCATATTCTCGTAGTACAATGATTTAAAAATAAAGCCATGAAACAAAACACAAAACAGAGGCCTACAGCTACAGTGAATCTCTCTCTGGTTTCCTTCTTTTATTTATTTATTTTTTTTTGAGACAGGGTCTCACTCTGTTGCCAGGCTAGAGTGCTGTGGTGCAATCTCGGTTCACTGCAACCTCCAGCTCCCTGGTTCAAGCGATTTTTCAGTCTCAGCCTCCTGAGTAGCTGGGATTACAGGCATGTGCCACCATGCCCAGCTAATTTTTGTATTTTTAGTAGAGACGGGGTTTCACCATGTTGGCCAGGATGGTCTCAATCTCCTGACCTCGTGGTCTGCCCACCTTTGCCTCCCACAGTGCTGGGATTACAGGCGTGAGTCATCGCGCCTGGCCTGGTTTCCTTCTTTTAATCCCAGGGCTGGATCTCCTTACCAGAGCACTTTGTCTTACAACTCAATTTTTTTGTCGTTGGTTTTTTGGTTTTGTTGAGACACAGTCTCACTCTGTCGCCCAGGCTGGAGTGCAGTGGCACGATCTCGGCTCACTGCAAGCTCCGCCTCCTGGGCTCCAGCGAGGGAGGTGTGCCTCAGCCTCCCAAGTAGCTGGAATTACAGGTGCATGCCACCACACCTGGCTAATTTTTGTATTTTTAGTAGAGACGAGGTTTTGCCATGTTGGCCACGCTGGTCTTGAACTCCTGGCCTCAAGTGATCCTCCCACCTCAGCCTCCCAAAGTGCTTGGATTGCAGGCATGAGCCACCGTGTCCAGCCTCAAATATGTTTTGATTAAATATATTTCCTTCCTTCCTTCCCTTCTTCTTTCTTCTTTCTCTCTCTCTCCCTTCCTTCTTGTCTTGTCTTTCTTTCTTTCTCTTTCTTTCTTTCTTTCACAGAGTCTCACTCTATTGCCAAGGCTTGAGTTCAGTGGCATCATCATAGCTCACTGCAGCCTCAAACCTCTGGGGTCAAGTGATCCTCCCATCTCAGCTTCCCAGGTAGCTGGGACTACAGGCATACGCCGCCATACCAAACCAATTTTTAGAAATTTTTTGTAGAGATGGGGTCTTGTTACAATGTCCAGGCTGGTCTCAAAGTTCTGGGCTCAAGTGATTCTCCTGCCCCAGCCTCCTGAGTCATAGGGATAACAGCATGAGCCATTGCTTCAGCCGTTTTGATTAAATATATATTTTTATCTGCTGAAGCATCCCAGCCCATTCTAGCAGGAGGACTAACCTTTAGCTTGGCTTTTTGAGACATTTTGGAGATTGATGGGGCCTTGAAAACAAAGGTGAAGCCAAGAAATATAACTAAACAAGTCATTTCCTGTGGTATTTGCAAGGTGATTATAAACAAGGCCAGCAGCAGTACATTTTTTCCAAGGCCTAGGTGATATTACAATGAAGAGACACACGAGGGCGCCCTCGCTAGCTCTCAGTAAGATAGGAAGGTGACAGAAACATGAAAAATAACAGCTATTGCAGACCATGGTCATGGACACTGGAAAATTCTGGCCAGGCCAGCCACACTTGCGCTGTAAGCACATACTGTAGTGTTACTTTAATTTATTTTGAAAGCATTCGTGAGAGTTCAGCTATCAGAATGGCCTCATGCGAGGGAAAGATCATCCCTAATGTGGTGATGAGGCGTGGCTGCCAAGATCCACAGGATTCCATTTGTTCATTTATTTAAGTGCATGTGTTGAGAACCTGCTATGTGCCAGGCATGCACCCAGGCCTCAGGAGTACAGTGCTCCATGGGACAGGATGGAGTCCTCTGGGCGCTCATGGTCTTGTCTGAGTGTGTGTGTGGGCATGTGTGTAGACACACCCACCCACGTGCAGTAAACGTCCCCCAGCCCAGTGGCCTCACCGCTTTCCCACCATCGGTCGTGGCAGGTGCCCTGCAGAGGAGATCTCACTGCTGTGGGCACCCCAGCATGGCATGTTCCAGTCCTTTAGTTCTGACAGCGATAGCACAATTGATCGTAGATGAGAACAAATGACATCAGAGAGGGACAATCTTGAATCATTCTCAAATTCCCTTTTTTTTTTTTTGAGACAAGGTCTCGCTCTGTCACCCAGGCTGAGTGCAGTGGCACGATCACAGCTCACTGTAGCCTTGACCTCCTAGGCTCAAGCAATCCTCCCACCTGAGCCTCTGGAGTAGCTGGACTACAGGTATGCACCATCATGTCCAGCTAATTTTTAAATTTTTGTGGAGATGGGGTCTCACTATGTTGCCCAAGCTGGTCTTGAACTCCTGGGCTCAAGCGATCCTCCCACCTCAGCCTCCCAAAGTGCTGGGATTATAGTCGTGAGCCACCATGCCTACCTTGAACTTCAATATTTAAACTTCTATTAGCAATAGATTATGTGCAACAGACCTCACAACTGATGGGGGCAAAACCCCGTGTCATGCTCTGAGCTGACTGTTCTGACATCTACCTGGTTTTGGAGTGACCAGTTTTAGGTGCCATCCAAAACACAGACAAGCGATAATTAAATTCATCATCAGATTCAAGACTTTTTCCCCTTACACATCAAATCTAAAAGTTATGTATCTATTAGATTTTTATTTTGAAGTGCTGGCTGACTCTTTCTATTAAATATGAAACTTTAAGCCAAGTGTGGTGGCTTACGCCTGTAATCCCAGCACTTTGGGAGGCTGAGGTGGTCGGATCACTTGAGGTCAGGAGTTCAAGACCATCTTGGCCAACATGGTAAAACCCTGTCTCTACTAAAAATACAAAAATTAGCCAGGCGTGATGGCACACACCTATAATCCCAGCTACTTGGGAGGCTGAGAATTGCTTGAACCCCAGAGGCGGAGGTTGCAGCGAGCTGAGATCTCACCACTGCACTCCAGCCTGGGTGATAGAGCGAGACTCTGTCTCAAAAAAAAAAGAAACTTTATTGTTTCTGTGAAATCCAAGATTTATTTACTCAATT
Source organism: Homo sapiens (assembly GCF_000001405.40). Lineage (NCBI taxonomy): Eukaryota > Metazoa > Chordata > Mammalia > Primates > Hominidae > Homo > Homo sapiens. The sequence goes on from NC_000014.9 coordinate 91,179,079, forward strand.
CACATCTGCATTTGTTGAACACCTATTATGCGCAAGGCCCTCTGTGGGATCCTGAGATGAATGAGCAATGGTCGCTCTTCTCCAGGAGCATACAACTGAGTAGAGATGAATACTCAAAGATAGTAATGACACTGAGGAAGGCAGAAGAGGTAAATAGTATGGTATTAAGCACTTAATGAGCTAGGCATAAGGAACTAAGAATGAGTAAGATACTACGTGGTTCAGGCCAGGCTCTGTGGCTCATGCCTGTAATCCCAGCACTGTGGTAGGCTGAGGCAGGAGGATTGCTTGAGCCCAGGAGTTTGAGGCCGCAGTGAGCTGTGTTGCACCACTGTACTCCAGCCTGGGCAACAGAGCAAGGCCTTATCTCTTTAAAAATATATATAGATGAGGCTGGGTGCGGTGGCTCACGCCTGTAATCCCAGCACTCTGGGAGGCTGAGACAGGAGGATCACCTGAGGTCAGGAGTTCGAGCCAGCCTAGCCAACATGGCAAAACCCTGTCTCTACTAAAAATACAAAAATTAGCCGGGTGTAGTGGTGCACGCCTATAATCCCAGCTACTCAGGAGGCTGAGACAGGAGAATTTCTTGAACCCGGGAGGCAGAGGTTGCAGTGAGCCGAGATCGCACCACTGCACTCCAACCTGGGCGACAGAGCAAGGTTCCGTCTCCAAAAAAAAAAAAATATATGCTTGTTCAATTAAGCAAACCATCGAGGGCTTACTCTGAAACAAGCACTTTGCTGAACACTTTCTTAAAAATTTATTTTTTTTTTTTACATTTTTAAACCACGAGTATGCTAAACACTTTTTTTTTTTTTTTTTTTTTTTGAGATAAGGTCTTGCTCTGTTGCCTAGGCTGGAGTGCAGTGACGTGTTCTCAGCTCACTGCAGCCTCTGCCTCCCAGGTTCAAGCAATTCTCCCACCTCAGCCTCCCAAGTAGCTGGGATTACAGGCGCACCACCAAGCTGGGCTAATTTTTGTATTTTTAATAGAGACAGGGTTTCACTATGTTGCCCAGGCTGGTCTTGAACTCCTGACCTCAGGTGATCCACCCTCCTTGGCCTCCCAAAGTATTGGGATTACAGCCGTGAGCCACTGCGCCCTGCCTGCTAAACACTTTTATGTACGTTTTCCAGTTTCGTTCTGACAATAGCCATATGAGGCATTATCATTACAGTCAAAGAAACAGGTTTAAAGAATAAAGTCGGGCTGGGCGTGGTGGCTCACACCTGTAATCCCAGCACTTTGGGAGGTCAAGAGGGGAAGATCACCTGAGGTCAGGAGTTTGAGACCAGCCTGGATAACATGGTAAAACACTGTCTCTACTAAAAATACTAAAATTAGCCAGGCGTGGTGGCGGGTGCCTGTAATCCCAGCTACTCAGGAGGCTGAGGCGGGAGAGTCGCTTGAACCCAGGAGGCAGAGGTTGCAGTGAGCCAAGATCATACCACTGCACTCCAGCCTGGGTGACACAACAAGACTCCATCTCAAAAAAAAAAAAAAAAAGAATAAAGTCAATAAAGTCACATCTCAAATTCCAGTATATTCACAATGCTAAAACCAGTTCTTAATAACTATGCTAGAGTGTTTCACATTGCCTGAAATCTAACAAAGGAGAGTCTTTAAAGAATAAAATTAACATAAATCAAAGCAAAATGTAAGTGCCATAAGGAAAAATAGAAACGATGCCATAAGGAAAAATAGAAATGATGCTCACAGAGGGTTCCAAACCTAACATTTGCTGGAAAGCAAAGCAAGATGGCTTCATGAGTTTTAAGAATCCAGTAAACACTTCCTGATATCCATGGGTTAAATTGATGGAATCGCCTAGAGCTCTAGCTATAGCTGTGGCTGTATCTCACTTCTTTTCAACCCATATTCAACTCATCTTTACTTTCCTAGAGATTAGAGGCAACTGTTTAAATGGAACTTGATGTAGCTATAAACCAGCTTATTCTGACCTTGGTGCCAGCAGGTGGTATAGGGAGTGCTTAGGCTGAGTTGATGGCCAGGTGCCATCTTGCCTATCAACAGTGGGCTAGATGAGGGTAGGCTGGACTTGATGAAGTGGCTGGGCTCAGACCCTCCTGCTGTGTGTTTTAGAGACCCCACTGGCTTTTGCCAGCATCCCAGGCTGCACAGTTATGACTGACCTGAAGGATGCAAAGGCTCCACCTGGTTGTCTCACCCCAGAGAGAATTCCAGAGGTCCATCACATTTCCCAAGATCCTCTGCACTACAGCATCGCGTCAGTCTCTGCTTCTCAGAAGATCAGAGAACTAGAGTCTATGATCGGCATAGACCCAGGTAAGAAACAACACATTTGCTCGGCATAGACCCAGGTAAGAAACAACACATTTGCACCTGGAGAAAATCACCTTTTCAGTGAAAAAGGTGGGATGCAAAATGTATCCACAGGATGATTTTTTAAATGTTGATACTGCATATAAATCTCAAAAAGACTAGAATTAAATACACCAAAATACTGACATTGATGGTCTCTAGGTAGTGGTATTGTGAGTGATTTTTGCTTACTTTCTTTTTCTTTCTTTCTTTCTCTTTCTTTCTTTTGTTTTCTTTCTTTTCTTTCTTTTTTTTCTTTTTTTTTTGAGACAGAGTCTTACTCTATTGCCCAGGCTGGAACAATGGCGTGATCTTGGCTCAAGTGATTCTCCTGTCTCAGCCTCCTGAGTAGCTGGGATTACAGGCACGCTCCACCACACCTGGCTAATTTTTGTATTTTTAGCAGAGACAGGATTTCACCATGTTGGCCAGGCTGGTCTTAAACTGCTGACCTCATGATCCGCCCACCTTGGCCTCCCAAAGTGCTGGGTTTACAAGCGTGAGCCACCATGCCCAGCCTTGCTTTCTTCTTTATGGCTTTTTATTTATTTATTTATTTATTTATTTATTTTTGAGATGGAGTCTCACTCTGTTGCCCAGGCTGGAGTGTGGTGGTGCAATCTCAATTCACTGCAACCTCCATCTCCCGGGTTCAAGTGATTCTCCTGCCTCAGCCTCCTGAGTAGCTAGGACTATAGGCATGTGCCACCCCACCCAGCTAATTTTTGTATTTTTAGTAGAGTCGAGGTTTCACCATGTTGGCCAGGCTGGTCTCGAACTCCTGACATCAGGTAATCCACCCATCTCGGCCTCCCGAAGTGCTGGGATTGCAGGTGTAAGCCACCATGTCCAGTAGTTTTTGGCTTTTTCTTGTTGTTCTAAACTTTAACACTAAACGTGAGGAAGTTCGTTGAGTTTATTTGCTGGGCATGTTGCCAGCCAGAAGCAGATGGGGTTAGGTAGTAAGAAAAAAAGAGAGAATGGTTTCTAGGTAGGCAACTGCCACCATTAAAAAAAAGTTATTTATGTAGTTTATTATTATTATTTAGAGATGGGGGCGTGGTGTCTCACTATGTTGCCCAGGTTGGTCTTGAACTCCTGGGCTCAAGTGATTTTCCCGCCTCGGCCTCCCAAAGTGCTGGGACTGCAGGCATAAGCCACCTAGCCTGTCCTCTATGGATTTAGTGATGTCCCTAATCTCCCCCTTTAGTGCCATTGCCCTGGGGTTGGGCATGGAATAGATTAGTTGTATACTGGATAGCAGGGATAGTGATGGGGTAGGATTACTTCTCCGGGGATCCCAGTGGGGCAGGACCCTACAGCCACAGCCTCACAACAGTTTGCAGTCAACTTGTATATTGTATAACGCATCTCAGGGGAAGGATAGCCCTTCTGTGGCTTTGGAGCCACTGGCCTTCTGTACATGGGAGAGGGCTGGTGGGATCCCCTAGGGGACCTGCTGATTCCAATTAGTTATTTTATTTTATTTTATTTTATTTTTTATTTTATTTTATTTTATATTTTTATTTATTTTTATTTTTTTATTTTAGTTTAGTTTATTTATTTTATTTTATTTTATTTTTTGAGACAAGATCTCACTCTGTTGCCCAGGCTGGAGTGCAGTGATGCGATCTTGGCTCACTGTAACCTCCACCTCCTAGGCTCAAGCAATCCTCCCACCTCAGCCTCCTGAGTAGCTGAGACTACAGGCCGGCACCACCATACCTGGCTAATTTGTTGTTGTATTTTTAGTAGAGACGGGGTTTTGCCATGTTACCCAGGCTGGTCTCAAACTCCTGAGCTCAAGTGGTCTGCCCACCTCAGCCTCCCAAAGTGCTGGGATTACAGGCATGAGCCACCATGCCTGGCCCTGCTGATTCCAATTAGAAAGAGGTTTGCTAAAAGCTGGTTGAGGGGCTTTTAACTTCCTGCTATGTCTTCATTTAAGGGCTGAATTTCTAATCCCAGGTGGCCAGCAGGGACTGCAGTTTCACCTGCCATTGTGTGTGGTAAATCCCTTTGTTGGCAAACACTCATGAGAGAATTACGGTGTAGCCCATACCTCAGTTTCTTCATCAGCGTAACAGGAGTGATGACAATTATGCCTGCCTCTCTGGGTTGTGATGCATGATAAGGATAATGGTGTCACCTACCAAGTTATACTGTGCCAGGCAACAGGCTGCAAGCATTTATGCGTTTCATCTTATTAAATTCTCCCAGTGACTCTACGTGGAGGCAGCTATGATTAACTTCATTTAACAGGTGAGGAAACTGAGGCAGATAAGGTACAAAGACTTTCCAAAATCCACATACCTAGTAGGTGGTCAGGGCAGAACTTGAACCCATGTCTGCTGACTTCAAGCCTATGATTTATACCTGTCAGCTAAATTAGAATCTCAATGGAAACGGTAAGTCACAGTCTTGCCTGGGCAGTTGAAAGAGTGCTCTAGCGACTCCTGGTTCACACCCCAGTCCCTCTTCTGGACCTTCTCATGGGCCGTGCTCCTAAACCTGGGGTACAAACCGCCCTTGGCACCTGGAATGACTGGAGAGGAGAAGGCATATGTGGCCTCCCCACCGGCCCACCTGACTCTCATTCCCCAGAGTCAGGTGGGCCAGTGGGAAGATCTAGGTAGCTACCTGCATCAATGGTGGCCGACCTCCGTGGAGAGCTGAGGGGTGAGGCCAGCCTGCAAAGCAGCAGTCAGCAATCTGGGCCAGACTCCCAGGGCCCAGACAGGACTGATTCCAGCACCAGTTTAAAGCCTACAGCAGCTGGGTAGAACCCCAAAACAGACAGGCTGGGACCTTCCCCTGCTGGCCAGCACTGTCACGAATCTGACAGTGCAGACCAGCCCTAGAAATACCTAATTCTTGGGAGGCCGAGGTGGGAGGATCACTTGAGGTCAGGAGTTGAAGACCAGCCTGGCCAATGTAGAGAGATCCTATCTCTAGAAAAAACAATAATAATAAAAATTAGCTAGGTGTGGTGGTGTCAAACGCCTGTGGTCCCAGCTACTGGGGAGGCTGAGGTGTGCAGATCGCTTGAGTTCAGGAATTTGAAGCTGCAGTGAGCCATGATTGCAGCACTGCACTCCAGCCTGGGCAATAGAGCAATACCCTGTGAAAGAAAGAAAGAAAGAAAGAAAGTTGGGGGGGGGGAGGGAGGGAGGGAGGGAGTCTGATTCTGGAAGGAAGGAAGGAAGGAAGGGAGGGAGGGAGGGAGGGAGGGAAGGAGGGAGGGAGGGAGGGAAGGAAGGAAATGTCTGATTCTCTCCCCTGGGCCTAGGAGCAAAAGTTGTCTTCCAATGACAGGGGCATCTGTAGTAACTAAATTTCTTGCTGAACCACTGGACATAGCTCTTTGCCTGTTTGTCTTCTGTTAGGTTGTTCATTCATTAGTTCATTCTGTAGAGAATGTGGTTTCCTTTACATATAATCCTATAGTAAATTAAGGATATAAACCCACCACAGATACACCTCATAGGTTATGCTCATGACTGTGTATACATAAAGTATCTTACATAGTTGATCCCCTGGGTGGATTTTTTTTTTCTTTTGAGACACAGTCTCACTCTGTTGCCCAGGCTGGAGTGCAGTGGTGTGATCTTGGCTCATTGCAACCGCCACCTCCTGGGTTCAAGCAGTTCTTGTGCCTCAGCTTCTCAACGTAGCTGGGATTACAGGCATGTGCCACCATGTCTGGCTAATTTTTGTAATTTTAGTAGAGCTGGGGTTTCACCATGTTGGCCAGGCTTGTCTCGAACTCCTGGCCTCATGCAATCTGCCCACCTCGGCCTCCCAAAGTGCTGGGATTACAGGTGTGAGCCACCGTGCCCAGCCGGATTTTTTTTTTTTTTTTTTTTTTTTTTTTTGAGACAGGTTCTTGTTCTGTCCTCCAGGCTGGAGTACAGTGATGCAATCATAGGTCACTGCAGCCTCACTCTCCAGGGCTCAAGGTACCCTCCCACCTCAGCCTCCCGAGTACCTGGCACTACAGGTGCGCACCACCATGCTGGGCTAATTTTTAATTTTTTTTTGTAGAGATGGGGTCTCCCTGTGTTGAACCCCTGGGTTCAAACAATCCTCCCTCCTCAGTCTCCCAAAGTGTTGAGATTACAGGCATGAGCCACCGCTCCTGGTGCTCTGGGTGGGTATATTTTTTAAAATTTCTGCCATACCTTCTCCTTCACAAACATTCTTACCCAAGCTGATGGCTCTCCATTTAGCACAGAGTCATGAGGGAAGATGAATTATTAACTCTACCATTAGCTCAGATTAAAAAAAAAAAAAGTAATTGGGAAGTAAATTTATTGCAGATGTGGTGCACCCATTGCTTAATAAAACAAGCTAAGAGGTCAGCCACAAACACCACCCATCAATGCTGTGCAGACTGCAAGACAAAGCTTGAAGGATGAGGCTGGGGGAGGCAGATTTACAGCTGTTGGATGTGTTGATGTCATCTGTTAAGGACCATCTTTAATCCTCAAGAACAACAGATGCTTTTGATCCCCACTATATTAAATAAGCAGATAGAAGATTCATAACAGCATCTTGAGCGTTACTCACTGGACATAATAATAGACCCACTTAGTCATTTTTGAGAGGATGTTGGCTTGCATTTGAGGTGCCTGGGGAATATGAAGGGATATAGGGTTTATAGTAATGATTTTTGCACTGATGATAAAATCATCATAAATGTATTTACCAATTTACAGTTGACCAAGTTCTCACTCTCCTCTTCTCCCTTTGGAGCTCACCATGCCCTAGGAAGTAGGTTACATCCCAATTTTTTTATTTAAAAATGTTGTTATTCTTCTCCTCGCCCCCCCTTTTTTTGAGACAGAGTCTTGCTCTGTCACCCAGGCTGGAGTGCAGTGGTGCGATCTCAGCTCACTGCAGCCTCCGCCTCCCAAGTTCAAGTGATTCTCCTGCCTCAGCCTCCTGAGTAACTGGGATTACAGGTGCACACCACCATGCCCGGCTAATTTTTGTATTTTTATTAGAGACGGGGTTTCACCATGTTGGCCAGGCTGGTCTCAAGCTCCTGACCATGGATCAGGTGATGGATCAGGTGATCCATCTGCCTCAGCCTCCCAAAGTGCTGGGATTACAGATGTGAGTCACTGTGCCTGACCTAAAATTTCATTTTACAAATGTTCCACTATTTTATTAATATGCTGTTATTTAATACCATAAACAATGCTGTAATGAACATCCTTATGACTAAGTTTGTGAACATGCCCATGATGACTTTGTTAGGAACAGTGGGCACGAGAAGTGACTCGCTGGCTCCAGTGGAATGCACAAATCTAAGACAGAAATCACCCTCCAGACAGCACTGCTCCAGTGTCCACTCCTCCCAGCACACTATGTGATGGGCCATGTCCCTGTGACCCTCCTACATCTGGACTACCTCCCATTCTCCATGTGGGAAAACTGAGGCTCAGAGAGGTCAAAGGATGAGGCCAGGTCACACAGCTACGATATGCCAGCATCTGGACTGGAATGCAAGTTTCCTGGTTCTAAATCAGGAACTGTTCCTCCATAACAGAAATCCAAACCCCATGTCTTCTTCTTCTTTTTTTTTTTGAGACAGAGTCTTGCTCTGTCACCCAGGTTGGAGTGCAGTGGTGCGATCTCGGCTCACTGCAACCTCCACCTCCCGAGTTGAAGCGATTCTCCTGCCTCAGCCTCCTGAGTAGCTGGGATTACAGGCACCCACCACCATGCCTGGCTAATTTTTGTATTTTTAGTAGAGACGGGGTTTCACTTTGTTGACCAGGCTGGTCTTGAACTCCTGACCTCGTGATCCACCCACCTCAGGCTCCCAAAGTGCTGGGATTACAGGCGTGAGCCACCCCGCCCAGCCAACCCCGTGTCTTTCATATTCTCCAGGCACCTCAACTATAAGCCAGCGTCCTCTCACGTCCCTTCAGTCCACTGCTGATTTCAGCCACCGCCAGAGTAGAAGTTCTGTGTCCCACACACTGCCTTCGCGTGCACTGTTTTGCTCTGAGATGACCTGAATGTAGACAAAGGCACAATGGGACCTCATGAGGGCGGCTGCCTGGCTTGGTGGCCACTGGTGGGCACCTGTAGCACACACCGCAGCTTCCCCACTCGTATCCTCTGGGCTGCCTGGGTTCACCTGCATAGAATTATGGGCGGCTCCCAGCACGACAGCCTCTTACCATAGGCTCAGGTCTCTGCTCCATCTGAGGATGCCCTCTGTCCCTCCAGAGTCTCCCTCATCACAGCAGGCACAGCTTGGTAGTGCAGAGGACTCAACGCCCTAATAGGCAGGTGAGTAAATGCCCAGTCTCCTGTCCTCCGAGGACCCCACAGTTTCTTAGAGAATCTCAAGCTGTGCTGAGCCCCAGTTGCCTTTGAAGTTAACTTGCTCACTCACAATCCTTTACTGTTTTTTTTTCCGCTTTCCCCATCTTCTCACTTGCATTTCCTGGGATCACCTCCCACTGAAATACTTGTGCCCAGGTCCTTGTGTCAGGGTCTTCTTTGAGGGAATCCCCAGCTAATGGTGCTGTCTGTACCATTTCCCTTCCCTCTTATGTTTTCCCTGTATTAGTTAGGGTTTGCTAGAGTGCTGTAACCTAGAAGCCCCGGGATGCTTTGCTCAAATACAGCAGAAGTGTGTTCCTCTCTCACACAGCAGGCCAGGGTGGGTCTTCCAGGGTGAGTGTCCTGGGTCAGCAGAAGGGGATCTGCTCCACTCAGTCACTCAGGGACCCTGCAGGTCTGCCGTTACATCCTGTGACCCCCAGGAGGTTCTGGCTGTCAATACTCCAGCTGCCAGGAAAAGGGAACGAGCTTGGAGGTGTGTGTTGGAGGTGCATGCCAGGCCCAGAGGTGGCATGCGTCACTTCCATCACGATCCAATACAGAGAACCCAATCTCGCGGCCACACCAGACTGAAGGGAGGCTCCTCAGCCATTTACCCCTCTGTCCTTCACTGCTGGGGTCAGGGGGCGGGGGTAGAATACACTGTGGCAAGCAATTTGCAGTCTCTGCCACAGCCCTCAAAAAAACAAAGCAAATGAACTAAAAACCCAAACTACTCTTACTGTAAAGTTTCTACTTTAAAAATAATCACTTTTGGCTGGGTGTGGTGGCTCACGCCTGTAATCCCAGCACTTTGGGAGGCCAAGGTGGGAAGATTGCTTGAGCCCGGGAGTTTGAGACCAGCCTGGGCAACATAGCAAGGTCCTATCTTTTTAAAAAATGCCAAAAAAAATTAGCGGGCTGTGGTGGCGCGTGCCTGTAGCCCAGTTGTTCAGGAGGGTGAGGCGGGAGGATCACGTGAGCCCAGGAGTTTGAGGCTGCAGTGAGCTGTGATCACGCCACTGCCTTCCAGCCTGGATGACAGAGCAAAACCCTATCATAAGTAAATAAATACATACATACATACATACAAATAATTTTAAAAATATAGTTACTTTTACATTCTATTTTTGTCATTTCAGGGAACCGGGGGATTGGGCACCTGCTCTGTAAAGATGAGCTGCTGAAGGCCTCTCTCTCGCTGTCCCATGCCCGCTCAGTGCTCATCACCACTGGGTTCCCCACACATTTCAATCATGAGCCTCCAGAAGAGACAGATGGCCCACCAGGAGCTGTTGCTCTGGTTGCCTTCCTGCAGGCCTTGGAGAAGGAGGTCGCCATAATCGTTGACCAGAGAGCCTGGAACTTGCACCAGAAGATTGTTGAAGATGCTGTTGAGCAAGGTAAGCAGTGAGATGGGCTTGGTCCATTTCCCCAAACGGGCTTTGTGGACGGAGGCTGGAGGGAATCAGCATCTGCAGTACAGAGCATTCTCCTTCCAGCTCAGAACAACTCCGTTGTAAGCTGCATAGCTTGATTTCATAGACGAAGAGACTGAGGCTCTGAGAGATCCAGGGGATTTTCCCAGGTGGAAATGGTGAGCTGGAATTTGAACTTGGGTCCACCAGGCTCCAAAGCATGGGATCCTTCCTGCACACCTGCTGCTGTCCCTTTGCAGTGTGGGGAATGACCTGCCGAGTATTCTTAGCAATCCGGGGCAGCCCTGGACCACCAGAGCTGGGGAGAGTAGTGGAGTATGAAGTGGCTGAAAGGCTCAGACAGCAGTCCCACCTGGTCGTGATGGGCAGGGCTGCACCTGGAGCACCCAGGTGGGCGTTATTGCTGTAGGTGTTGGAGACGCGAGGCTGTAATTCCACTATCCGTGTAGCCAGATCAGCGTCGGGCTCAATGTGAACAACCGCTGCTCACCTCACCTCCATCCTGCAGGAAGTGTTATCAGGCATGAGCTGGAAGCCTGGTGAATCTCACCTGCCTCCCGCTACCGATCGCTCTGTGTCCCTCAAAATGCATTCTTCAGAGGTATGTTTTTTCCTTTTAGCATTCAAAAAGGGCTTTAAACTCAGTAAGGCATACCCTAAAGCACCCATTATGTCAGAAGTTTCCAAAAGCCTGTGTCTGTACGTGTAGAATCCACTTCATGCAACAAATGTGTGTTGAGCTCGAGTATGTGCCAGGCACTCTGTTAGGTTCTTTTTTTTTTTTTTTTTTTTTTTTTTTGAGACGGAGTCTCGCTCTGTCGCCCAGGCTGGAGTGCAGTGGCGCGATCTCGGCTCACTGCAAGCTCCGCCTCCCGGGTTCACGCCATTCCCCTGCCTCAGCCTCCCGAGTAGCTGGGACTACAGGCGCCCGCTACCACGCCCGGCTAATTTTTTGTATTTTTAGTAGAGACGGGGTTTCACCGTGTTAGCCAGGATGGTCTCGATCTCCTGACCTCGTGATCCGCCCGCCTCGGCCTCCCAAAGTGCTGGGATTACAGGCGTGAGCCACCGCGCCCGGCCTCTGTTAGGTTCTTGAGATCCACCCGTGAGCAAAACTGACAACAGTCCTGCCCCCACGGAGAGTATCTTCCAGTGGAGTGTGACAGACAAGAAACAACTTGTAAGATGAATGCACAGTGTGTTCGAGTGATGATGCCATGGGGAAAATGGACCAGGATGAGGAGACTGGAGAGTGAGGGGCTGGGCGGTGGCAGCAGTGGGGGGCAGCTGTCACTTTACACAGAATGGCCAGGAAGACCTCCTGGAGGAGGTGGCCTTTGAGTCCAGAATTCAGGTTGATGATGAGGGCGTGAGGCTTGGGCTGGCTGAGGGAAGGGCATCCTGGACTGTGGCAGTGGCTGGGGCAGAGGTCATTAGGTGGAGTGGGGGCCCAGTGGGTTTAAGAGAGGATGGCATGCTGGCTGACTGGCCTGGAGTGAATGAGGAAAAGAGAAGTGGGACGAGGGACAGAGAGGTAACAGGGACCAGATGGGACAGGGCCTCGCAGGACCCTGTGGGCAGCTGGGCTTTTGTTCTGGGTGAGATGGGGAGCCTGGGATTTCTCTGAGTCAGGGACAGCCATGTTCTGTGTGGGTTGTAAGCAATCACTGGGGTGCAGAGACAAGGGTGGAAACGGGAGACTGGTGAGTTATGGAAGGTGGGAGAGGAGGACGGTTTGGAGTGGGGGTGCCTCATGGCACATCCCTTCAGCCGCACTTCTGATTTCAGCTGCCACTGCGGTGGATGTTCTGAGTCACACTGACCCGATGGGACCCCGCCACAAGCTAGGGCCCTGCAGGGCCTCTCCAAAGCCATGTGGAATCACTGGCTGATGGCTTCAGGGCACCCTCAACCCCTGGGGGACAGGACCTGAGGTGTAAGTGACACATGCTACAACTTGGATGACCCTCGAGGACATCTTGAGAAGTAGATTAAGCCAGTCATATTGTATGACTCCACGCATATGACGTGCCTAGAGTAGGCAAACTCACAGGGCAGAAAGTAGAATGGTGGTTGCCAGTGGCTGGGAGGAGAGGGGAATGGGGAGAGTTGTTTATAGGTACAGGGGTTCAGTTTGGGATGATGAGAAAGTTCTGGAGATGAATGGGGGTGATGGTTGCACAACAATGTGAAATATTTTATGCTACTGAACGATACACTTGAAAATGGCTAAAACAGGCCGGGCACAGTGACTGTCTTTTGGACAGTTCCCTGTCTTTTGGAGACACATAGGTCCTGGTGGAACTGACGCCCCACTCCCTAGAGCAGCAACCTTGAAGGTGCACGTTCCCTCCTTCCCAGCCTCATTCTCCCTGTTCCCTCCCACATGCTTCGTGGCACCATCTCCCAAGAGACCATCTGCACCCAAGTCTCAAGTTCTGGTTTCAAAGAAACCCAAAGAGACAAAAAGTACAGATACAGAGGGCAGGGGGTATTGTGAGAAGTAGCCAGATGTTGTATCTATTTTGCAGGTACAGTCAACATGATTTCCAGATGGATTGGGTGTGGGTGTGAGGAGAAGGATCAGGGCTTGCTCTAAGGTTTTTGTCCTGGTAACTGAAAGGATGGAGTTGCTGTGAACTGAGATGGGGAAGACTGGCAGGTTTAGGGGTAAATCAAGAGTCCAGGTTTGACATTTGCGCCCTGATGGAAGGATTGTAAAATGGTGCAGATGCTATGAAAAACAGATGGCAGTGGCTCAAACAATTAAAAACAGCAAATACCATATGGTCTAGCAATTCCACTTCCAGGCATATACCCCAGAAAAAGGAAAGCAGGGACTCAAGAGGTATTTGTTCCCTAATGCTCATAGCACTTTATTTGCGACAGTCATGAGGTGGAACCAAACCAAGTGCCCATCAATGGATGAACAGATAGATAAAATGTGGTATATAATTATTACTCAGCCTTAAAAAGGCAGGAAGTTCCGACACATGCTACAACATGGATGACCCTCGAGGACATCTTGAGAAGTGGATTAAGCCAATCGTATTGTATGACTCCACGCATATGACATGCCTAGAGTAGGCAAACTCATAGGGCAGAAAGTAGAGTGGTGGTTGCCAGTGGCTGGGAGGAGAGGGGAATGGGGAGTTGTTTATAGGTACAGGGGTTCAGTTTGGGGTGATGAGAAAGTTCTGGAGATGAATGGGGGTGATGGTTGCACAACAATGTGAAATACTTTATGCTACTGAACTATACACTTGAAAATGGCTAAAACAGGCCGGGCACAGTGACTCACGCCTGTAATCCCAGCGCTTTGGGAGACCGAGACAGGCAGATCGCTTGAGGTCAGGAGTTCAAGACCAGCCTGTCCAAAACCCCGTTTCCACCAGGACCTGTGTGTCTCATAACAAAACCCCATTTCTACTAAAAATACAAAAATTAGCCAGGCGTGGTGGCTGGTGCACACCTGTAATCCCAGCTACCTGGAAGGCTGAGACACAAGAATCGCTTGAACCCTGACAGTGGAGGTTGCAGTTAGCCAAGATCGCACCAATGCACTCCAGCCTGGGTGACAGAGTAAAACTGTGTCTCAAAATAAATAAATAAAAAGGCTAAAATGGTGAATTTTGTGTTGCACGTATTTTACCATAATTTTTAAAAGAATGCAGGTTTGACCCTGTTAGGTATGAGGTGCGTCTATTAGACACACAGTGGAGAAGTCAAGGAGGCAGTTAGTGATATATAAAGAGTTCAGGAGAGCAGCGTGGGCAAGGAGAAATTGGGAGGCTGTTGGCGTGTTGGTGGGCTCTCAAGTCAAACTACTGGGTGAGAGCACTGTGGAAATAAATGGAGGCAGAGCAAAGGACCCAGGATTGCGTCCTGGGTCTCCCTGTGTTAAGAGGATGAGGAGAAGGGCAGAACAGCCAGCGAGGGAGACGAGAAGGAGCAGCGCTGAGGCCAGAGGAAAGGCAAGGGGCCGTGTTTCCGTAGGGCAGAGAAAGGCCTCGGGAGGAAGGGCTGCCGACGGCGTAGAGCACCATTCACAGGCCAACCTCATTTCCATCTGACAACGGTGTTGCTGGGTATTTTCAGCTGCCCCCTTCCCAGAAGTCACTCTGCCCTCTCTGCTCACCTGACAGCCTGGCTTGGAGACGCCTGCCAGACTCCACTCAGAGCTGGGTCTTGTCTCTTGTCCTCATGGGAGCTCAGAGGGTAGAATTTGCTATATTGGATTTTACAGAACTTACATTACATTTGCATGAAGAAAGTAAAAGCAATTTGGCCTTTTAATGAAAATTATTTCAGCTCCGTTTTTAATAACCAAAGCCTAGGAAAAGTTTTAAAGAGGCTGAGTGCAGTGGCTCACCCCTGTAATCCCAGCACTTTGGAAGGCCAAGGCAGGCAGATCACCTGAGCTCAGGAATTTGAGACCAGCCTGGCCAACATGGTGAAACCCCGTCTCTACCAAAAAATACAAAAATTAGCTGCGTGTGGTGGCACGCGCCTGTAGTCCTAGCTACTAGGGAGGCTGAGGCAGGAGAACCGCTTGAACCTGGGAAGTGGAGGTTGCAGTGAGCTGAAATTGTACCACTGCACTCCAGCCTGGGCGACAGAGTGATATTCCATCTTAGAAAAAAAAAAAAAAAAAAGGAGTTTTAAAGCTGACTAGGCATTGTCATTTCTTTCCTGTCTTGAGCATAGACAGACCATAGCTCTTTCTTCATAGCTCAGAAGTGGGAACCTCATCTTGCCCAGACCCTCCTTTTTGGGGATTCTCCTGTGTCCTTTCTCGTGTGTTCCCCACTTTGGGATACATTATGTTCCCTGCCTTCCTGGACTCCCTGGTATTTTTTACTAGTATCCTATATCCTTGATCCAATTTTGAGGCAGTAAGAAAGAAACATCCTTTACTTAGCACTGACCGTGTGCACGACGGCCAGCCAGGTAGTTAGCACACAGCATGTCATTGCCCTGTCGCGGTAGTCCTGGGAGGTGGGTGTTACCCCATTTTGTAGAGGAGGTAACCAATGGCTGACATAGCTTGCCCAAGGTCACATAGCAAGGGAATGATGTGACGTTCCCACCGAGGGCTGTTTGGCTCTAAGTTCAGCCCCCTTTCCAGATTGGCAGGCTGCCCCTCACAGCACAGGGAAGGGCTGGGTCATTCCCCTTTGTTGTGACTGTCCCCCAACCCCAAATTGCCAGCTTATGGCTTCACATGTAGAATGTGTTCTGTGAGCATCACGATGACTAACAGCTACTTGCCTTCCCCACTTAGATGTGGGCTGAGGTTAGGGAGGGGGGATGGGGAAGGAGCCACAGTGAGGGATCCTTTTTTTTTTTTTTTGAGACAGGGTTTTGCCTTGTTGCCAGGCTGGAGTGCAGTGGCGCGATCTTGGCTCACTGCAACCTCCGACTCCCGGGTTCAAGTGATTCTCCTGCCTCAGCCTCCTGAGTAGCTGGGATTACAGGCGCCCGCCACCACGCCCAGCTAATTTTTCTATTTTTAGTAGAGACAGGGTTTCACCACATTGGCCAGGATGATCTCAATCTCCTGACCTCGTGATCTGCCCGCCTCAGACTCCCAGAGTGCTGAGATTACAGGTGTGAGCTACGTGCCCGGCCAGTGAGGGATTCTTTAAGATTTCTGACAATGATTCTTGTTCCTCATGCCAACTTGCCCCATTGACCCACTGGGGTGGCAGTGGCAGCTCCCAAAGAGCTCAGGGGCAGCAGCATGGCGGAGTAGCTGAGGGTGGGAGCCGCTGTCTGGAAGCTGCATTTGCAGTACAAGCATGCAGTTTTAACATGGGTACGGTGCCTCCTTGGGCTGGCTCTACGTGAGGGGTGTGAGGGGCTGATGATGGAGATTGAGGAGCTGGCTGAAGCTCCTCCAAGGCTACCTTGGCAGCCATCCTGGGCTACAGAGCAGTCTGGGAGCTCCTGCAGGACCAGCTAGACCATAACAGTGGGTCCAAGACACCCTGCTCCTGGCTCCCTGCCGTCTTAAGCTCTGTGTGAAGACTTTATCTTTGGCCAGTGACTATGCTGGGATTCTATCCCAACCTGCTGTGAGATAGATCGGTTAATGAAAACCAAGTTCATTTTATCTTATTTTGGGATTTTTGTGTATTTCCCACATATTCTACAACAATACGTGTTCTTTTTGTCATTAGAAAAGGTCCTATTTTTAAGAATCAAATTCACTTTGATTCACTTTTGGAAATCACTCCAATATAAGTAAGTATCCCAAGGCACAGACTCTGGGAATTTCCTTCAGTTGTTCTTGACCTTCCCTGAAGGTATGCAGGGAGGTAGGGAGTGGGTGAGAATTTGGGGTGAGAATTGGAGCCATGAAACTGACATATATACATGGCCTTGCCCAAGTTGTTTGGCATCTCTGAGCCTCAGTTTTCCTCATCTTTAAAATCGCGATAATGATGGTTTTTTGGGTTTTGTTTTTTTTTTTTTTTTTTGAGATGCATTCTCACTCTGTTGCCCAGGCTGGAGTGCAGTGGCGTGATCTCGGCTCACTGCAACCTCTGCCTCCCAGGTTCAAGCAATTCTCCTGCCTCAGCCTCCCGAGTAGCTGGAACTATAGGCGCTTGCCATCACGCCGGGCTAATTTTTTGTATTTTTAGTGGAGACAGGGTTTCACCATGTTAGCCGGGATGGTCTCAATCTCCTGACCTCGTGATCCGCCCACCTTGGCCTCCCAAAGTGCTGGAATTACAGGCATGAGGCACCCGTGCCCAGCCCATGATGGTTTTTATCACATGGAATTGTTGTAAAAATTAAATCACAGTGGCTGGCGCACTGTCACCGAGGGCACATAAATGTATGCTCAGCCCTCGTGATGGCAGTGGGCCAGAACAGGCCGCTGTTCCCATGGTATTATGGGCATCTTACATGCAGCATATTTGTTAGGCTGTGTTAGCCCGATTCTGCCCTCCACCCCCGTCAACCCTAGAGTTTACCCAGGACCAAAAGTAAACTTAAATATCCTCTGTGTCATGGCCTCGGCTTACCTAACATGTTCTACAGATAGATGTTGTTCAACAACAGTAATGATACCCTTCAAAGAAGCTTTTGAAAAGCCAACGTGAATTTCCAAAAGCCAACACTAGAGCTGATGTGTGCCCTGCTTGCCTTTATTTTCAAGGTGTTCTGAAGACGCAGATCCCGATATTAACTTACCAAGGTGGATCAGTGGAAGCTGCTCAGGCATTCCTGTGCAAAAATGGGGACCCGCAGACACCTAGGTACGTATGTCGCATCCCAGTTTAAGTGGCGGATGGTGGAAACGCCCATATGCTCTTCACTTAGCCAACAAAGTGTCTGCACACCCAAGCCCTTCAGAGGGAGCGAAGCCATGAGCCAAGGAAGATGGGTTCTCATGGACCAGACTAACAAATGAGGCTGGGGGGTTTCAAGGTATCCTGGGGGCCTCACAGAACATCTCTGGAAGTAACAGGTCCCTGGGCAGCAGAGAGAGACAGCATATCTTCCTGATAGAGGGGAGACATAGCACTAAAAAAAAAAAAAAAAAAAAAAAAGTTTCTCAGTCTCAAACTGTGGGTCATGACATGTTAGAGAATAGTGAAATCATTTCAGTTAGGGTATCCAGCACCTTTGGAAAATGAAATAGAAATACAGCATCATTGTATATCTTGTATAGTAATGGCAAGTACTCCCTCATAAGACTGTGTACATGCAAGTGTGTGTATTTCTTACTGTGTGTTATGGTCAAACTTTTTTTCTTTTAGGGGGTGGGGATGGAGTCTTTATCTGTTGCCTAGGCTGGGGTGCAGTGGCGCGATCTCTGCTCACTACAACCTCCGCCTCCCAGGTGCCAGTGATTCTCCTGCCTCAGCCTCCCAAGTAGCTGGGATTACAGGCACGCACCATCACACCCAGCTAATTTTTCTATTTTTAGTAGAGATGGGGTTTCACCATGTTGGCCAGGCTGGTCTGAAACTCCTGACCTCAAGTGATCCACCCACCTTGGCCTCCCAAAGTGCCAGGATTACAGGCATGAGCCACCGCGCCTGGCCGCTAATTTTTTTATTTTTAGTAGGGACGGGGTTTCGCCATGTTGGCCAGGCTGGTCTTGAACTCCTAACCTCAGGTGATCCACCTGTCTCAGCCTCCCAAAGTGCTGGGATTACAGGTGTGAGCCACTGTACCTGGCCTCTCTGAACTGTTTTTTAAGCTTACACTTCAGTGGCGTAAAACTACACTCACATTGCTGTACAGCCATCATCACCATCCATCTGCAGACCTCTTTTCATCTTGCAAAACTGAAAGTCTGTGCTCCATTCAAAGATAATTCTCCATCTCCTCCTCAACCCAGCCTCTGGCAACCACAATTCTACTTTCTGTCTTTATGAGTTTGACTATTCGAGGCACCTTGTGTAAGTGGAATCATCCAATATTTGTCCTTTTGTGACTGCTTATTTCACTTAGCATAATGTCCTCAATGTTCATTCATGTCACAGCATGTGCCAGAATGTCCTGCCTTTTTAAGGCTGAATAACATTCCCTTGTGTGTATAGACCACATTATGTTTTTGCATTCATCTGTCAGTGGGCACTGGGTTTGCTTCCTGCTCTTGGCTATGCTGAATACTGCTGCTATGAGCATGGGTGGACAAATAACTCCTTGAGTCTTTCACTTCTCCTGGACATACACATAGAAGTGAAATTGCTGGATCATATGGTATGTTCTATTTTTAATTTTTTGAGGAATGGCCATACTATTTTATATAGCAGAGTTGAGATTTTTGAAAAACACTGTCTTGGAAGGATTGAGAGAGATGTAAAAGTACAATATGCATATTCTTTTTTTTGAGACAGAATCTTGCTCTGTCGCCCAGTCTATAGTGCAGTGGCACAATCTTGGCTCACTGCAGCCTCTGCCTCCCGGGTTCAAGTGATTCTCGTGCCTCAGCCTCCCAAGAAGCTGGGATTACAGGCACCCGCCACCATACCTGGCTAATTTTTTATATTTTTAGTAGAGACTGGGTTTCACCATGTTGACCAGGCTGGTCTCGAACTCCTGGCCTCAGGTGATCCACCTGCCTCAGCCTCCTGAAGTGCTGAGATTGCAGACATGAGCCACTGTGCCCAGCCTTTTTTTTTTTTCCCCCTTGAGACGGGGTCTCACTCTGTCACCCAGGCTGGAGTGCAATGGTGTGATCTTGGCTCACTGCAACCTCTGCCTCCTGGGCCCAGGCGATTCTCCCACCTCAGCCTCCCAAGCATAGCTGGGACTACAGGCACTCGCCACCACACCTGGCTAATTTCTGTATTTTTAGTGGAGACAAGGTTTCACCATGTTGCCCAGGCTGGTCTCAAACTCCTGGGCTCAAGTGATCTGCCTGCCTCGGCCTCCCAAATGGCTAGGATTACCGGTATGAGCCACTGCGCCCAGCCTGCATGTTCTTAAATTGGATTGTCAAAACAGTAGTCCTGCTAGTAATCATAGCAACAATAATCACTGTAACCAACACTGACTGAGCACTGAGTAGGTTCAGGGCTTCATGACAAGCGCCTCCTGTGCATTTTCTCATGTTTCCCTTTGAACACTGTGTGAGGTACACAGTGTGGTCATGTCACCCTACAGATGCAGAAAATGAAGGTTAGGGAGGTTAAGCAATTTGCCCAAGGCCCGTGGCAGGAGGACCTGGAATCAGAACCCAGATGATCTGCTGCCACAGCCCACATTCTGACCACTATACCATCTGTGCCCCTTATTTCTCTGTTTCTATCTAAAGAAGTTTATCTTTGTGTTAGACTCACTCCTTTTGTATTTTGAGCCCTTTTCCTTCTGTTTTGTGTCTGTAAACTGAACAAGATCCTGGAAGGGGCCAGCAGCAGGCCAATAGCAGCCAATACTCTCAGCCTCTTGGCCTGGCTATCCCTGCTGGACAAAGGGGATCTGAGTGGGCACCAGCAATGTTCCCATCCCCATAGCAACCCTGACCATTGGCCTCCTGCTTTTATAGCCTCTGACCCTACTAAAGAAATTGCTGAGGATTCCAATGCTGGATTTTTTTTTTTTTTCAAGACAGAGTCTTACTCTGTCGCCCAGGCTGGAGTGCAGTGGTGCGATCTCAGCTCACTGCAACCTCTGCCTCCCGGGTTCAAGTGATTCTTCTGCATCAGCCTCCCGAGTAGCTGGGACTACAAGCACCCACCACCACGCCCAGCTAATTTTTTAGTAGAGATGAGGTTTCACCATGTTGGCCGGGCTGTTCTCGAACTCCTGACCTCAAGTGATCCACCTGCTTCGGCCTCCCAAACTGCTGGGATTATAGGCATGAACCACCATGCCCAGCCCCAATGCTATATCTTAAACTGACTTAATAGACTAGTCTCCAGCACAGGTCCTGGCCCAGAGTAGATGTGCCACCAAGTTCTGCAGGAATGAAGGAATCAAAGAAAAAAAGAAGCGTCTTTCGCGCAAACACAAGAAGGCATGACCCAGCAAAGCAGCCACCTCTCCATAGGACCCTCTGACCTCTGACCTTTGCTTCCCGGCAGATTTGACCACCTGGTGGCCATAGAGCGTGCCGGAAGAGCTGCTGATGGCAATTACTACAATGCAAGGAAGATGAACATCAAGCACTTGGTTGACCCCATTGACGATCTTTTTCTTGCTGCGAAGAAGATTCCTGGAATCTCATCAACTGGTAAGTATGGAGTACTG
Organism: Homo sapiens; assembly: GCF_000001405.40. Taxonomy (NCBI): domain Eukaryota; kingdom Metazoa; phylum Chordata; class Mammalia; order Primates; family Hominidae; genus Homo; species Homo sapiens. The sequence goes on from NC_000014.9 coordinate 91,199,923, forward strand.
GGGATGCACCAAGAACGTGGCCCCATGAAGTGTCTTTTGTTGTTGTTGTTGTTATGGAGTCTTGCTCTGTCACCCAGGCTGGAGTGCAGTGGCACGATCTTGGCTCACTGCAACCTCTGCCTCCTGGGTTCGAGCAATTCTTCTGCCTCAGCCTCCCAAGTAGCTGGAATTACAGGCATGCACCACCACGCCTGGCTAATTTTTGTATGTTTGGTAGAGACGAGGTTTCACCATGTTGGCCAGGCTGGTCTGGAACTCCTGACGTCAAGTGATCTACCCACCTCAGCCTCCCAAAGTGCTAGGATTACAGGCGTGAGCCACTGTGCTCAGCCTAAGTGTGTTTTTATTGACTATTGAACACACGACCAGAAAGAGTTATGTGGGGACCATCATTTTCCACTGCAAAGACGGTCTTTGTTCATTACGGTTGGTATAGACACTAATGACACCACCATTTAGAAATCCAACATCCTCACAAGCAAGGGAGGGAAAGCATATTCTATTTGCCTGACTCTAAAGTAATAAAACTAATATTAAAGTAATATCAATAGTAAAATTGAGGCATGGCATATTATTTTGGTCATATAGGACAGAATGTACCATATATTATTTTGTGAAGCATGTTAATTTAAAAATTATCTAATATATGATTAATATTTCAATTTTTTTTTTGAGACAGAGTCTCACTCTGTTGCCCAGGCTGGAGTGCAGTGGTACAATCTCAGCTCACTGCAGCCTCCACCTCCTGGGCTCAAGCAATCCTCCCATCTCAGCCTCCCAAGTAGCTGGGACTACAGGGTGTGCTACCATGCTTGGGTAATGTCACGTGCGTCTGTGTGAAGAGAGTCCACAAACAGGCTTTGTGTGAGCAACAGGCTGTTTATTTCACCTGGGTGCAGGCAGGCTGAGTCCGAAAAAGGAGTCAGCGAAGGGTCGTGGGATTATCATTAGTTCTTATAGGTTTGGGATAGGTGGTGGAGTTAGGAGCAATTTTTTGCGGGCAGGGGGTGGATCTCACAAAGTACATTCTCAAGGGTGGGGGAGGATATTACAAAGTACCTTCTTCAGGGTGGGGGAGGATATTACAAAGTACCTTCTCAAGGGTGGGGAGGGTGTATCTTACAAAGTACATTCACAAGGGCAGGGGAATATCACAAAGTACATTATGGCAAGGGCGGGGAGGGTGTATTGTCACAAAGTCAATTGATCAGTTAGGGTAGGGCAGGAACAAATCACGATGGTGGAGTGTCATCAGTTAAGGCAGGAACTGGCATTTTCACTTCTTTTGTGGATCTTCAGTTGCTTCAGCCCATCTAGATGTATACGTGCAGGTCACAGGGGATATGATGGCTTAGCTTGGGCTCAGAGGCCTGACAGGTAACTTTTTTTTTTTTTGAGATGGAGTCTCACTCTGTTACCTGTCTCAAATGCAGTGGCGCAATCTCGGCTCACTGCAACCTCCGCCTCCCAGGTTTAAGCAATTCCCCTGCCTCAGCTTCCCGAGTAGCTAGGACTATAGGCGCATGCCACCACGCCCAGCTAATTTTTGTATTTTTAGTAGACATGGGGTTTCACTATGTTGGCCAGGATGGTCTCGATTTCTTGACCTCGTGATCCGCCTGCCTCTGCCTTCCAAAGTGCTGGGATTACAGGTGTAAGCCACCATGCCCGGCTGCTTGGCTAACTTTTAAACATTTTTTTGGTAGAGATGAGGTCTCACTATATTGCTCAGCCTGGTCTCGAACTCCTGAGCTCAAGCTATCTTCCCACCTCAGCCTCCCAAACTGTTTCAATTACAGGCATGAGCCACTGAGCCTGGCCTTCAGTCGTTAATAATATAATAATATGGTCTGGGCGTGGTGGCTCACACCTGTAATTCCAGCACTTTGGGAGGCTGAGGCAGGTGGATCACCTGAGCTCAGGAGTTCCAGACCAGCCTGGCCAACATGGCACAACCCCGTCTCTATTAAATATATAAAAAAATTAACCAGGCATGGTGGTGGGCTCCTGTGATTCCAGCTCCTCAGGAGGCTGAGGCAGGAGAATTGCTTGAACCCAGGAGGTGGAAGTTACAGTGAGCCAAGATCGCGCCACTGCACTCCAGCCTGGGCGACAAGAGCAAGACTCTGTCTCAAAAATAATAATAATAATAATAATAATAATGTGATAATTTGTGTTTGCACAAAACTTTGTACTTTTCCAAGAGGCTTCACATTCATTGTAGTGTTTAAGCTTCTGTGAAAACCCTGTGAGGCAGGTAAGGTGAGTCCCAGGAGGTTTTCCCAGATGGCGCAGCTAATTAGTGTTGCTGGTAGCATTAGGAGTAGACTGCAGACTCCTGGGGCCCCAGCCCTTTATCAGGGAATCATGCCTTTATGAATTGCGGAAAGGCTTAGTGTAAGCCCCAAGGAGAACCTTTCTTCCCTCTGGGTGGGTCTCAGGCCCTGGGGTAATGAAGACTTGTTTGTCATTGCATGTTTCCAAGTGTTTCCCAGACTCATTAGTCTCCTTTGGCTTTTGAGGTTTTGATGAGACAGTGAGAGCCTTCTGCGCTGATTAGAACGTTTCTGCAAATCGCCCTGGCTTTTCCCAGAAGAGGCTGTGGGTGTGGTGCACACAGTGCGGTTGGCTTCCAGCTTCCTGTTGGCTTCCAGCTTCCTGTTGGCTTCCAGCTTCCTGTCCCTCCGGCTGGGCAGGCAGAGGACCTCAGCCTGTGGGGGAGGGGTTCTCAGAGTGGAGAAAAAAGAGATCTCTGTGGCTACAGGGGCAAACAGGGTCTGAGGGAGCTGCTAGAGCAATCCCGTCCTCCCACACCCGCAATGGGACCCCCATCTGTGCTGTGACGACCCTGAGATCCCAGAGGAGGCAGGTGGAGCTGGCCGTTCATGGCTTCGAACCGCCCCCTTTGTAGACCCTTGGGCCCTTCTCACGGCCTCAGGAGCCCAGTCTCCTCCTGTGGCCCCCGCCGCCCCAGACCCTCCTGCCCAGCAAGGCTACCTCCTGAATTTTCCTTTTTCTCTTCTTCTTCCTCAAAACCCCTGTTCCTCAGGTTCCATGGGCAACTGCCATGTCATGGGCATAGTGCTCAATTGAGAATCAAGTCACCTGGGTTTAAGTCTCCACCTTCCACTGACTGCCCAGGTACTGCCCCCATCAGGGACTGCCAGCTCTATACAGTGAGGATCATGATACCCATGACAGGATGGATGTGAAGCCCAAAAGAGATGGAATTCATAAGATGCTAAAAAGAGACAGCTATAGACCAGATACCAGTGTTACATGTTGGGTGTTATTCTCCTCATTCAGTGGGCTGTCATAGATCTAGAGAAGTGTTCTGAGAAAAACCATCAGGATATAAATCTAAGGTGTTTGGTCCTTCACAATTGTGTCATTCTTTTGGCCAAATTCACTCCCTGATGTTTGAGATGGATCAGCTCTAGATCCCACAAAGAACACTAGCCTCTGACAGAATTCTTCCGCATCTTCCAAGCCTTTATAGAAGCAGACACAAAAACAATGATGTACCTGTTCCATAGGCTTGGAGAGTCCAGCCCTCTGGCCTTGAGAGACTCAGACAGGTGCATTGCATGAAAGGTTATTGAGACAGCTGTAACCCTCTTCTAGAGGTGGATTCAGCTGAACATCTAGTTTACAGACTCCTCTATAAATACCTGGACACAGGAGCTGTGTCCCCCAGATCTACAGCACCACCTCAAAGGGTACATGCTTCAGGGCTTGATAGGTTTTTTTGTGTGTTTTTTTTTTTTTTTTTTAGATGGAGTCTTGCTCTGTTGCCCAGTCTGGAGTGCAGTGATGTGATCTCAGCTCCCTATAACCTCTGCCTCCCAGTTTCAAGTGATTCTCCTGGCTCAGCCTCCACAGTAGCTGGGACTACAGGCATGTGCCACCATGTCTGGGTAATTTTTGTATTTTTAGTAGAGGCAAGGTTTTGCCATATTGGCCAGACTGGTCTCGAACTCCTGATCTCAAGTGATCTCCCTGCCTTGGCCTCCCAAAGTGCTGGGATTACAGGCATGAGCCACTGCACCCAGACTAGATTTTTAAATCTTATCCATACAAGGGTAGAGGTATCTGCTAGTTATTTTTAGCCAATCCACCTATCTTGAACACCATTCATTTCACCAATGAATTAAATCATTTTTAATATGTATTTATTCTAGCATTCATTTATTACACTAATTAACAAATTCTCTGATGCAGACTATCAGATGGGCCTCAAGACTATGTAGCCTCTTTCAAATGCTTACTAACCACACTTGGAGTGTGTATTCCTGATTAGGATATTTCAGATGTTAACCAGGTACCCCTGTGGTATAGATTAAAATGAACTAAAACACATACATTTCACATTCTTTCAGCAGAAGCCTTTAAAGTAAGTTCTAGAACTGACTTTGCACCAGATCCCCCGGGGGGCTCAGTGAGCGGGAGCCACTGGAAGGGAGGTCCTGAGTGTCACCATACCCACATCTCCCATGGGCCTGGCACCAAGAGCATAGAACGTGCTCCATCTTTGCTGGAGAATGTGACCCAAAAGGAGACATGCCCACACTGTAGTGTGTTCCAAACGTGGACTCATTTTTAACTAAAGAAGTTTCTAGAAGGCCTAAGGGGAAGTACCACAACTCCTGGTTGTCTGAAAATATATCCAGAGCCAACCTTTTTGCCCTCCCAAAGGCAACAAGCACATGTAGGGCTGCCTTGCTTCAGGCCTCCCCCATTTTGCCCTGGTCCCGTGCACTGACTCAGCTCCCCTTCCCTTCAGGAGTCGGTGATGGAGGCAACGAGCTTGGGATGGGTAAAGTCAAGGAGGCTGTGAGGAGGCACATACGGCACGGGGATGTCATCGCCTGCGACGTGGAGGCTGACTTTGCCGTCATTGCTGGTGAGCACTCGGATGGCCGCCCAGTCCGGCCGGCTACCCAGGGTGAGCGACCTGGCTTGGAGCCTGACCAGGCCAGAAGCTCTTCTTCTCTGCAGTCAGTCCATAGGGCACCAGGGCAGGGAGGGGAGGTGGTGCTCAGCCTATGACCTTTCATTCAGTCATTCAACAAACATTTACAGTGTGCCAGGCAGTGTTCTGAGCACTGGGGTTATAGCTGCAATGACCCTGCTCCACAGAGCTCCCATTCTAGGACTGGGAGATAGAGAATGAGCCCTGACAAATAAACACATCAGATGATTCTAAAGAGTAATAAGAGCTTTGGGGGCGATAGTACAGGTCGCTGAGAGAGGGTGATGGGAGGGCCCCTTCAGATCAGTGGTCAGGAAGGCTTTTCTGAAGAGAGTGATCTGTGCTTTTATCTGCATGAACAGTAAGAAAACTATCTGGTAAGTGTTTGGAGGATGCGAGAAGCTTTCTACCTTTCCTTTCACCTACTTCTGCCTTGGGCTGCCCTGTGCCTCCCTACTGTTGCTCCTCTCCCGCAGGACCCACCTTTCCTGTGTCCAGGTCCGTCTAGGTGTGGCCTCCTCCTTTGACCTCACCACACATTTCAAGAAAATTGGGAGATCCCTGAAAAAGGCTCTCTCCCACTTCATGATCATAGCCTGGAAAGGAATGGAACCTCGTGGGAACCAGTGCTAGGGTGGGAAAACCTGATTCGTAATTGAGAAATGGCTGGAGGCTCAGTATGGGCAAGTATGAGAGTTTAAAACTCCAGGCGACCCAGTGGTCTGGGGGCCCTCGTGCTCTTGTGAGTTTTGCCTCTGGGCGTTCAACCAAGTTCTCACAATGGATATTAGAAAAAAATCCCCTCGTGCTTGCATCATTGGAGGGAAAAATGAGTCATTTTCAAGTAGGCCAGGGCATTCTCTTCTTCTTCTTCTTCTTCTTCTTCTTCTTCTTCTTCTTCTCCGTCTCCTTCTCCTCCTCCTCCTCCTCCTCCCTTTCTTCTTCTTCTTTTTTTTTTTTTTTTTTTTTTTGAGCGTGCTTTGTTGCCCAGGCTGGAGTGCAGTAGTGCCATCTTGGTCGCTGCAACCTCCGCCTCCCGGGTTAAAGCGATTCTCCTGCCTCAGCCTCCCGAGTAGCTGGGATTACAGGTACATGCCACCACACCTGGATAATTTTTGTATTTTTAGTAGAGATAGGGTTTCACCATATTGGCCAGGCTGGTCTCGAACTCCTGCCTTCAAGTGATTTGCCCACCTTGGCCTCCCAAAGTGCTGGGATTACAGGCCTTAAATCTCCCTGGGGAAAGCGAAATACCCAACCCCACCTTTCTTCAGCCTTCCACGTGGGAGAGGGACATACCCAATTCCAGCTCCCTCTAGCAATCTGTGCCACGTAAGGGGGAGAGGACAAAACTGAGAAGCAGTAGTGAAGTTCACAGTCCAGGGCACAGGCTTACTAAAAGGCAGAGACCTAATCATAGGACTGCAGAGCCCTTCCCCTCCCCGACACATCTTACCACCATCACTAAAGGTCCATTTGCTACAGTTTCTTTTTTTTTTCTTTTCTGAGACAGAGTCTCACTCTATCACCCAGGCTGGAGTGCAGTGGCACGATCTCAGCTCACTGCAACTTCTGCCTCCCGGGTTCAAACTATTCTTATGCCTCAGCCTCCTGAGTAGCTGGAATTACAGGTGCGCACTACCATGCCTGGATAATTTTTGTGTTTTTGGTAGAGACGGGGTTTCGCCATGTTGACCAGAGTGGTCTCGAACTCCTGACCTCAGGTGATCCACCCACCTCAGCCTCCCAAAGTGCTGGGATTACAGGCATGAGCCACTGCGCCTGGCCCAGCTGCAGTTCCTTTTACCAAGTAAATTATGTCCACCTTTCAACAACAAAAAAAATTTACAAGAAACACCGATAAGCAAAAACACAATTTGAAGAGAAGTTACAAACAGAGTCAGACATGTCAGAAATGACGGGATTATCAGACCTGGAATTCTTTTAAAAGTATGATTAATATAATAAAGTCTTCACTGCAAAAAATAGGCAACATGCAAGAAGAGATGGATAATGCAAGCAGAGACATGAAAATTTTAAGAAAGAATAAATAAGAAGTGGTAGATCAGCCTGGGCAACATGGCAAGATACCATCTCTGTAAACAATTTAAAAATTAGCCAGGTGTCGTGGTGCATACCTATAGTCCTGGCTACGTGGGGGGGCTGAGGTGGGAGGAGAACTTGAGCCCAGGAAGATGAGGCTGCAGTGAGCTGTGATTGAGCCATTGTACTCCAGCCTGGATGACAGAGCAAGACACTGTCTCAGGAAAAAAAAAAAAAAAAGAGGAAGTAGATAGAGATCAATAACTCTGTAACAGAAATGCAGAATGCCTTTGATGGGCTTATTAGTAGACCGGACATGGCTATGGAAAGAATCTCTGAGCTTCAAGATATCTCAACAAAAGCTGCCAAAACTGAAAAAAAAGCAAAGAGAAAAAGTGCTGGGGGAAAAAAAAACCCACAACAGATCAGAATATCTAAGAACTGTGGGACAACTACAAAAGGTATAACCTAGACTAATGGGAATACTAGAAGGAGAAGAAAGAGAGCGATAAATAGTAGCATTTGAAGCAATAGCAAATGAGAATTTCCCCCATATTAATGTCAGACACCAAACCATAGATCCGGGAAGCTGAGAGAACACTAAAGAGGATAAATGCCAAAAAGCTACATCTAGACATATCATATTCAAACTTCAGAAAACCAAAGATAAAGGAAGAATTCTGAAAGAAGCCAGAGGCAGGTGGGGAAAACCCTTTACCTATACAGGAACAAAGGTAAAAATTACATTCATTTGACTTCTCTACAGAAAACATATAAGCATGAAGAGACTGGACTATTTTTATTTTTTTCTTTTTTCTTTTTTTTTGAGATGGAGTTTCACTCTTGTTGCCGAGGCTGGAGTGCAATGGCGCAATCTCGGCTCGCCACAGCCTCCTCCTCCCAAGTTCAAGCGATTCTCCTGCCTCAGCCTCCCGAGTAGCTGGGATTACAGGCATGCGCTACCACGCCCTGCTAATTTTGTATTTTTTTAGTAGAGACGGAGTTTCTCCATGTTGGTCAGGCTGGTCTCAAACTCTCGACCTCAGGTGATTCGTCTGCCTTGGCCTCCCAAAGTGCTGGGATTACAGGAGAGAGCCACCACGCCCGGCCACCTTTAATCTTTACATTACTGAACTATTTAAAGTATTGAGAGGTAGCAACCAATGCAGAATTCTGTGCCCTGCAAAATTTGCTTCAAAAATAAAGGAGAAATAAAGACTATGAAGCAAATAAAAATTGAGAGAATTTGTTGCCACAACTGCCTTGCAAGAAATGTTAGAAGAAATTCTTCAGAGAGAAGGAAAATTATATCTGTCAGAGACTTGAATCTACATAAAGAAAGGAAGAGTATCAGTGAATAAAATAAGTGAGGGTAAAATAAAAACTTTTGTATTTATTTTTGACCTTACATATCAGTTTGCTCAAAATAATAATAACAGCACAAAATAATAATAACAGTGCATTCCATTATGTATGCCATATGTATATATATGCTTATGTATGTTTGTGTAGAAGTGACCCAAATGACAGGCCAGGCACGGTGGCTCACGCCTGTAATCGTAGCACTTTGGGAGGCCGAGGCGGGCAGATCACTTGAGCCTAGGAATTTGATACCAGCCTGGGCAACATGGGGAAACCCCATCTCTACAAAAAATAGAAGAATTAGCTGAGTATGGTGGTGGACGCCTATAGTCCTAGCTACTTGGGAGGCTGAGGTAGGCAGATCACCTGAGCCTGGGAGGTTGAGGCTGCGGTGAGCCATGATTGTGCCACTATACTACAGCCTGGGTGACAGAGTCAGACCCTGTCTCAAAAAAAATAGAATAAGTGACACAAATGACAGCAATGGTACATGGAATGAGAGGGAAGAATTAGCAATGTTTTGTTATAAGTTGCTTGTGCTACCCATGAAGTGGTATACTGTTATTTCAAAGCAGACTTTGTTGTAAATGTATGTTGCAAACTCTAGGGCATCCACTAAAAAATTAATTTTAAAAGTAGAATTTACATGCTAAGAAAGGAGAGAAAATAGAATCATATAAAATACTCAGTTAAAACCACAAAAGGCAGAAAAAGTGTAGAAGACAAAAATGGGGCCAGGCGCAGTGGCTCACACCTGTAATCCCAGCACTTTGGGAGGCCGAGGTGGGTGGATCACCTGAGGTCAGGAGTTCGAGACCAGCCTTGCCAACATGGTGAACTCCCATCTCTACTAAAATACAAAAGTTAGCAGGAGAATCACTTGAACCTAGGAGGCAGAGGTTGCAGTAAGCCGAGATAATGCCACTGCACTCCAACCTGGGGAACAGAGTGAGATTCGGTCTCAAAACAACAACAACGACGACAAAACAAAAGAACAAAACAAAAAAATGGAATAAAGAACAAAGGCAATAAAGAAAACAGCAGCAAATATGGTAGCTATTAATCCAACTATATCAATAATCACCATAAATGTCAATGCCACAGTGAACTTAAAAAATCAAGATTGAGGCCGCGTGCGGTGGCTCACGCCTGTAATCCCAGCACTTTGGGAGGCCGAGGCTGGGTGGATCACGAGGTCAGGAGATCGAGACCATCCTGGCTAACACAGTGAAACCCCGTCTCTACTAAAAATCAAAAAATTAGCTGGGCGTGGTGGCGGGCACCTGTAGTCCCAGCTACTCAGCAGGCTGAGGCAGGAGAATCGCTTTAACCCGGGAGGCGGAGCTTGTAGTGAGCCAAGATCACGCCACTGCACTCCAGCCTGGGTGAAAGAGCGAGACTCCATCTCAAAAAACAAAAAAGAAAATAAAACAGAAAGCAAAAAACAAACCAAGATTGAGCTATATATTGTCTGCAAGAAATTCACTTTAACTGTAAAGACACTATATGTGTCTTTATATTTAAACAGATTAGCAATAAAGAGATAGAGAAAGATATGCCATGTTAACACTAATAAAAAGAAAGCAGAAGTAGCTACATTAATTTCAGACATAGCAGACTTCAGAACAGGGAAAGTTATCAGGATAAAGAGGGGGATTACATAATGATAAAGGGGCCAGTATTCAAATAAGACATAATACGCCAGGCACAATGGTGCACACCTGTAATCCCAGCACATTGAGAGGCTGAGGCAGGTGGATTGCTTTAGCCTAGACATTCAAGACCAGCCTGGACAACATGGTGAAACCCCATCTCTACAAAAACCCCATCTCTACAGGCAAATGCCTGTAGTCCCAGCTGTTCAGGAGGCTGAGGTGGGAGGATCACTTGAGGAGGCAGAGGTTGCAGTGAGCCAAGATTGCCCCAAAAAAAGTTGATGGGGGGGAGCATAACTGATAAAACTGCAAGGAAAAATAGACAAATTCACTATTACAGTTGGAGACTTCAACACCCCTGTATCAGAAATGGGCAGATCAGCCTGGGCAACATAACAAGACCATATCTCTACAAAAACAGCAAAAAATTAGCTGAGCATGGTGGTGTGCACTTGTAGACCTAGCCTCTCAGGAGGCTGAGGCAGGAGGATTGCTTGAGTTTAGGAGTTGGAGGCTGCAGTCTGCTGGGTTGTACCACTGCACTCCAGCCTTGGCAACAGAGTGAGACTCTGTCTCTCAAAAATAAAAATAAAATAATTTTTTAATAAAAAATAAAAATCAAGTAATGTAATCCATTACGTCAATAGGCTAAGGAAGAAAAATCACATGTTCATGTCAATAGATACAGAAAAAGCATTTGACAAAAGCAACACCCATTCATGATAAAAACTTTCAGCAAACTAGAAATAGAGGGGAACTTCCTGAACTCGATAAAGAACATCTACAAAAAACCTACAGCTAACATCGTAATTAATGGTGAGAAACTAGTTTTTCCACTAAGATTAGGAAAAAGGCAATGATGTTCCCTCTTACCACTATTTTCAACATTGTATTGGAAGTGCTGCCTAATGCCGTAAGACAAGAAAAAGAAATATAATGTAAACAGATTGGGAAGGAATAAATAAAATTGTCTTTGCTTGCAGATGGCATGATTGTCTGTGTAGAAAATTCAAAAGAATCAACAAAATCTCCCAGAGCTAATAAGTGATTATAGTATGGTTGCAAGATACAAAGTTAAATACTTTAATTGTATATGTCAGCAATGAACAAGTGGAATTTAAAATTAAAAACACATTACCATTTACATTAATTCCCTAAAATGAAATACTTAGGAATAAATCTAAAAATATGAAGGAAAATACAAAACATTGATGAAAGGTATCAAAAAAGAACTATATCAATGGAGAGATATTCCATGTTCATGGATAAGAAGACTCGATATTGTCAAGATGTCAGTTCTCCCAACTTGATCAATAAATTTGATATAGTCCCAGTCAAAATCCCAGTAAGTTATTTTGTGGATATCAACAACCTGATTCTAAAGTTTATATGAAGAGGCAAAAGATACAGAATAACAAACTGAATATTGAAAAAGAACGAGATCAGAGGACTGACACTACCTGACTTTAAGACTTACTATAAAGCTACAGTAATCAAGGCAGTGTGGTATTGGTGAAAGAACAGATAAATAGATCAATGGAACAGAATAGACAGCCCAGAAGTAGACCCACACAAATAGGGCCACACAATGTTTGACAAAGGAGCAAAGGCAATGCAATGGAGCAAAGGTAGTCTTTTCAACAAATGGTGCTGGAACTGGAACTACTGGACATCCACATGAGAAAAAATCAATCTAGACATATAGACGTTACATCCTTTACAATAATAAACTCAAAATGGATTATGAACTTAAACATAAAACACAAAACTATAAAACTCCTGTAAGGTAACATAGGAGAATATTTGGATGAGCATGAGTATGATTATGACTTCTTTTTATTTTAATTTGATTGATTGATTGATTGAGACTGTGTCTTGCTTTGTCACCCAGGCTGGAGTGCAGTGGCATGAACTCAGCTCACTGCAACCTCCACCTCCTGGGTTCAAGTGATTCTCCTGCCTCAGCCTCCCCAGTAGCTGGGATTACAGGCACACGCCAACATGCCTGGCTAATTTTTGTATTTTTTTAATAGAGACGGGGTTTCACCATGTTGGCCACACTGGTCTCGAACTCCTGACCTCGAGTGATCCACCTGCCTCGGCCTCTGAAAGTGCTGGGATTACAGGCATGAGCCACCACATCTGGCTGATTATGACTTTTTAGATAACAACACCAAAGGCATTATCCGTGAAAGAAACAGTTGATAAGCTGGACTTCACTAAAGTTTCAAACTTCTGCCCTGCAAACGACAATGTTAAGAGAAGGAGAAGGCTGGGTGCAGTGGCTCATACCTATAACCCTAACACTTTGGGAGACCAAGGCAGGAGGACCATTTGACACTAGGAATTTGAGACCAGCCTGGGCAATGTAGCGAGAACTTGTCTCTACAAAAAAATTTTAAAATATTAGCTGGGCTTAGTGGCATCTCTGTGTCTGTTTCCCAGTTTTCAAATGGAGATAATAATAGTACTTACACCTCACAAGCTTGTTGTAAGGACTCCAGGAGCTACTCTATGTAAGGCATTTACAACAGTGCCACATGTTGTAAATATTCAATCAAAGAAGATACTCTGTTCATTGAATATAAGATGTCATTGATGGCCAGGCATAGTGGCTCATGCCTGTAATCCCAGCACTTTGGGAAGCCAAGGCAGGAGGATCACTTGAGTCCAAGAGTTCCAGGTTACAGTGAGCTATGATTGCGCCACTGCACTCCAGCCTGGGTGACAGAGTGAGACCCTGTCTTTATTAAAAAATGAAGAAAAGGCTGGGCGCAGTGGCTCACACCTGTAATCCCAGCACTTTGGGAAGCTGAGGCAGGCAGATCACGAGGTTAGGAGATCGAGACCATCCTGGCTAACATGGTGAAACCCCATCTCTACTAAAAATACAAAAATTAGCTCGGCATGGTGGCAGGTGCCTATAGTCCCAGCTACTCAGGAGGCTGAGGCAGGAGAATGGCGTGAACCCAAGAGGCGGAGCCTGCAGTGAGCCGAGATCATGCCACTGCACTCCAGCCCGGGTGACAGAGTAAGACTCCGTCTCTAAAAAAAAAAAAAAATCCCACCACTTTGGGAAGCCAAGGCAGGAGGATCATTTCAGTCCAAGAGTTCCAGGTTACAGTGAGCTATGATTGTGCCACTGCACTCCAGCCTAGGTGACAGAGTGAGACCCTGTCTTTATTAAAAAATGAAAAAAGCCAGGCACGGTGACTCACACCTATAATCCCAGCACTTTGGGAGGCCAAGACGGGTTGGTCGTTTGAAGCCAGGAGTTCAGGGCCAGCCTGGCCAACGCAGTAAAACTCCATCTCTACTAAAAATACAAAACTAAGCCAGGCGTGTTGGCATGCACCTGTAGTCCCAGCTACTCGGGAGGCTGAGGGAGGAGAATTGCTTGAACCCAGGAAGCAGAGGTTGCAGTGGGCTGAGATCATAACACTGCACTCCAGCATGGGCAACAGAGCAAGACTTGCTCTCAAAAAAAAAAATAATAATTATTGATGACAAGAATTAACAATAATTTACATACTACTAAGAAAGGAAAATACAACCAATTGTAACTGTAAGATACTATTAATTATAAGATACATCTCAATTTCAGAGATGTAAGTGTAACAAAAGTACATCTTAAAATCAGTAGAATACAGTATTATTTTTATCGTATGGTCTTTACCTGCCACGTTTTGATATATGGCTTGTATTTTCATGCCACATGCCTTTGTATTCACTGAAGATTGTTTGTTTGTTTGTTTGTTTGTTTGTTACGGAGTCTTGGTCTGTTGCCCAGACTGGAGTGCCATGGCATGATCTTGGCTCACTGCAACCTCCACCTCCCGGGTTCAAGTGGTTTTCCTGCCTCAGCCTCCTGAGTAGCTAGGATTACAGGCACCCTCCACCACGCCCTGCTGATTTTTGTATTTTTAGTAGAGATGGGGTTTCACCATGTTGGCCAGGCTGGTCTCGAACTCCTAACCTCAGGTGATCTGCCCATTTCAACCTCCCAAATTGCTAGGATTACAGGCTTGAGCCACCGTGCCCGGCCAAGGGAGTTTTTGTTTGTTATTTTTTTTGTTTGTTTTTCTTTTTTTTTTTTAACTGGAATTGCTCCCATTCCTCCACCCCTCTTCTGGCAAAATTTTACTCAACCTACAAGGCCCATATTAAATGACCCCTTTTCTATGAATCTTTCCTAAACCAGTCAGAATGAGTGCCCCCTCTCCATGCTCCCATAATTCTGCGTGAACATCTCAGTCATAGTGGCCCGTGGCTGGCCGTGTGCACAGTCCCTCCTCTCCTGAGCAGAATTGACCTCTCTTTCGTGGTGCTCTAGCACTTATTGCTTACCAGGCCCTTCATCAATTCTTCTTCAACTGCATGGAGAACTCAAGCAGGTTTCAGGGAAGAGCCAAGGAGATGGTCCCAAAACTGGGAAATAAGCCCTTTGGGCATGTGATGGAAAAGGAAGGGAAGTCTGAGGCTGATTTGGGAGTGATCTTTGAGCACATGAAGAGGTCATGCGATCCAGCGCGACGGGGCTGTTTCCTGCCCTCTGAGGGTGGGCTTCCACGTGGCACAGGGGATTCAGCTCAGCCAGAGGGGAGAGTTTCTTCATGTTGAGTGTTTTGGAATGGGTTTCTACGGTTATTGCCTAAACCTTTTTTTCTGATGGTCATTAGCAGTGGATTAAGTAGTTTAGAGCAAGGGTTTTCAAACTTTGGCTTGGATCAGACTCACATAGAGGATTTATCAAAACTCAGCCAGGTGCACCTATAATCCCAGCTACTTGGGAGACTGAGGCAGGGGGATCACTTGAGCCCAGGAGTTTAAGCCTCCACCCCAATGAGCTATGGTCGTGCTAGCCTGGGGGACAGAGGGAGACCCCATCACTAAAAAAAATTAAAAATAAAAATAGGCCAGGTGCAGTGGCTCATGCCTGTAATCCCAGAACTTTGGGAGGCCGAGATGGGTGGATCACAAGATCAGGAGTTCAAGACCAACCTGGCCAATATGGTGAAACCCCGTCCCTTCTAAAAATATAAAAATTAGCTGGGCATGGTGGCACACACCTGTAGTCCCAGCTGCTCAGGAGGCTGAGGCAGGAGAATCGCTTGAACCCAGGAGGCAGAGGTTGCAGTGAGCCGAGATCGCACCACTACACTCCAGCCTGGGCAACAGAGCAAGACTTTGTCTCAAAAAATAATAATAATAAATAAATAAATACAAATAAAGAAAATTCAGCTTGTTCCTTTCCTCTCCTCTCCTGCTGAGCTTTTTATTCAGTAGTTCTTGGCTGGGGCCAAAGAATTTGTGTTTCTAGCAAGCTCCCAGATGATACTGGTGCTACGGGACCGTGGACCAGTCCTGCAGATAGTTCTGCTTCCTAGAGGCAGGCTGACAGACACATGACTTTTCCAACTCCATGATGGAATCTTGTTTTGCTGTTCTAGGTGTTTCTAACTGGGGAGGCTATGCCCTGGCCTGCGCACTCTACATCCTGTACTCATGTGCTGTCCACAGTCAGTACCTGAGGAAAGCAGTCGGACCCTCCAGGGCACCTGGAGATCAGGCCTGGACTCAGGCCCTCCCGTCGGTCATTAAGGTAACAAACCCCAGCCAGCCGCTCGCCTGGAAGCAGCTTTTACCCTGGATGAGCAGCAGGCCTGAGGTCCCAAGCCGTAAGCCGAGGGCTGGCACCCTGCTGCCCCTCAAAAGCCAGAGGCAGAGCCAGCCTTGAAGCAGAGGTCTCCTGGATTGGGTGCCCTTTAAGCTACTCGCAGTTCTGAATCGTGTGGCAGGCCTGATCCAAGTGACCATTTTCCTTCTAGTTTGACTTTGGGTGAGTTGCTTAGCTTCTCTGAGCCTCATTTTCTTCATCTGTAAAATGGGGGTGGTCAGCATTGTTGTTGGAGGAACCGAATGCCTCACCCATGGTGGGTACTTCATACTGTTAGTGGTGGGCAGGTGTCCTGTCAGCCCCCTCCAAGGAATTCACCACCCAGCGAGGCCACTAAAACCTCCAGAGTAAGTCAATCAGCCATACTAAGGAAAGTGCTAAGGGGGACAGACAAGGTGAGAAGAGAATCCTGTGGGCTGGAGGCTGCAAGGAATAAGCCAAGTAGAAGGAGAGGAATCCCAGCGGGAGGAATGGGGGGAGCAGGGGCTTGGGAGATGAGGACAGGCTTAGTGATGGTTTGTGGGAGACAGCTCTTGAGGTGGAGAGCAGGAGGTAGGGGGTGAGACAAAAGTAGAAGAGGGCTTCAGACCGCAGGCCCACAAGGAGGAGGTCCATGAGCCCCTGAAGCTGTTTGCACAATTGTTCCTGTACATGTATTTTTCTGCGCAAGACTCTGTGGTTTCATCAGATTCTTCAAGTAGTCTGGGGCCATTAAGAATCCCTGGTCCAGCTGGGTACGGTGACTCATGCCTATAATCTCAGCACTTTGGGAGGCCAAGGCAGGAGGATCACCTGAGCCCAGAAGTTTGAGACCAGCCTGGACAACATGGTGAAACCTCATCTCTAGAAAAAAAATTTTAAAATTAGCTGGGCCTGGTGGCATGCACCTGTGGTCCCAGCTACCTGGGAGGCTGAAGTGGGAGGATCGCTTGAGCCCAGGAATCCAAGGCTGCAGTGAGCTATGTTCACTTCACTGCACTCCAGCCTTGGAGACAGAGTGGGAGACCCTGTCTCAAAAAAAAAAAAAAAGAATCCCTGGGAAGGGACAGATCATGTTAGCTGGACCCAAGGACACTGTGACTTTCTCCCTGAGGACTCTCCCTGAGAGGCAGCAGCAGGTAACTTTTGTCTGAGCTCCTCCGACTGCAGACCCCATGCTCCGAAGTGTTGTTTGCAGTTCTAGGTACACTCTGTAGCCCAGTGCAGAGGAAGGGCATCAACGTGTGCCCGTCTAACTTATGTGAACTCACACATGCATATGGGGAAAATGCAAAAGAGAGGTGGCCAGCGCGCAGCACCCAAGCCTGAGCAGCGAGGTGGCAGCGGGACTGGCCCTTCCTTCCTTGGGCCTCAATTTCCATGGCCCTCTTAGAGCAAGCTCCGCCCCCAACACCAATTCCAGGCTCTAACCCGCCTCCTCTGGGGCTCCTCAAGGAGATGGGACCTGCCCCTCTTGGAGGAGAAGCTGGTGGACCAGACTTGCGGGACATTCACAATGCCTCAGTGCTTAACGGGACACCTACTTGGGGAATATTCCCAGGTAATTTGGACTTTGGGAAAACGGGGCCAAAGCTCTGACTTTACATCTAAATCCTGGGTCAGATGTGACTTCACCTGTGAGCAGACAGCAGCCTGAGGGATTAGAGGTGGGTGCCGAAGGTTGTGGGAGAGGGCGTGGAAGGTCTGGGGAGATGGGAAAGCAAATCCAAGAGGCCGGAGGGTCCTGAGCACTGAGCCTGCAGAAGAGCCCGAGATTGGGTGGGTGGTCGCTACAAGTCCCCTGCCAGTGGGCAGGCCCGATAGCCTCCCAACGTCTGCAACCAGACGTCCGCATTGCTGCCCCTTTTCTGTCTTTTTTTTTTTTTTTTTTGAGACAGAGTTTTGCTCTTGTCACCCAGGCTGGAGTATAGTGGCACGATCTCGGCTCACCGCAACCTCCACCCCCCAAGTTCAAGCAACTCTCCTGCCTTAGCCTCTCGAGTAGCTGGGATTACAGGTGCCTGCCACCATGCCCAGCTAATTTTTTTTGTATTTTTAGTAGAGACAGGATTTCTCCAAGTTGGCGAGGCTGGTCTTGAACTCCTGACCTCAGGTGATCCACCTGCCTCAGCCTCCCAAAGTGCTGGGATTCCAGGCGTGAGCCACCACGCCCGGCCTCTTTTCTGTCTTTCTTTCCTGTTTTCTTACACCCTGTCTCTTCCCTTTTTCCTTCTGTCTGTCTCTCCCTCTCTGTTTCTCTGTGTCTTTCTCCTTCCTGCCCCTGGCCTCTGTTTCTCTCCAGCACCTGCCTGGATTGGTGGTGTCATTCCCATTTTACAGACGAGAGACCTGGGGCTCTGAGAAGCCGATGGCTTGCCTGAGACCACCCAGCTGAGAGGCAGAGCTGGGATCCGAGTCTAGGTCTCTGTGACTCCATTCTCTGTGCTTTTCCCAATTCCGCTCAGAAGTGTCCCAGGTAGTGCCAGGGAAGAGAGATGGGGGAGGGGGAGCTCAGGCAGCTGTGGTGACATTTTCAGAGGGAAATGGTCTGCCCTAGAGGGGCCCAGAGGGCCTTTTGTGCTTTCTTTATACTTCCTGGATCTGAACTGGAAAAAAACATGCAAGGGCTGCTTCACACATGATTCCTGATTCACGCAGACACAAAAGAACGAACCCAGCCAAACAAATCACACAGCCCAACACACAGATGGAAGCTTTTCCTTCTGCATTTCTACCTAGTCCTTCATAAATCAATTAATAATGTACCACCCTTATAAAGAACATAAAATGGGGATTTTTTTTTTTTTTCTTGAGATGGAGTCTCACTCTGTTACCAGGCTGGAGTGCAGTGGAGAAATCTCAGCTCACTGCAACCTCCGCCTCCCAGGTTTGAGTGATTCTCCTGCCTCAGCCTGCCAAGTAGCTGGGATTACAGGCGCGCACCACCACACCCGGCTAATTTTTGTATTTTTAATGGTGACGGGGTTTCACCATGTTGGCCAGGCTGGTCTTGAACTCCTGACTTCAAGTGATCCGCCTGCCTCAGCCTCCCAAAGTGCTGAGATTACAGGCGTGAGCCACCACACCTGGCCTAAAATGGGGATTTTTTAAAAGCAAAAGTACAAACACATGTTTGTTGAGCCCCGCCCCTGGGCCAGGCCCAGGCTTGCTCTAGGGGACAATGAGGAGTCACCCTGGGTGGGGGACTCAGGGTCCACTGGGGAGACGACACATGACAGGCAATTTCAGGAGCCAAGATGGAATGTGCACAGTAAGCTTCAGTGAGAGGCCGGGCATGGTGGCTCTCACCTGTATTCCCAGAACTTTGGGAGGCTGAGGCGGGCAGATCACTTGAGGCCAGGAGTTCGAGACCAGCCTGGCCAATATGGTGAAACCCCATCTCTACTGAAAATACAAAAATTAGCCAGGCGTGGTGGCGGGCGCCTGTAGTCCCAGCTGTTCGAGAGGCTGAGACATGAGAATCACTTAAACTCGGGAGGCGGAGGTTGCAGTGAGCCATGATGACACCACTGCACTCCAGCCTGGGTGACAGAGTGAGGCTCTGTCTCAAAAAAAAAAGAAAAAAAAATTTTGAAAAAAGCTTCTGTGGGAGCACAGAAAACAGTGCTTAGCTCAGCAAGTTCAGTGAAGGCTGCCTGGAGGAGGTGGCACTGGCACTGAGCTGTCTTGAGGAGTGAGTAGGATATAAGTAGCCAGGTAAGGAAGGGTGGAAAAGGCCTTCTAGGCCGCAGAACCCACATAAGCAAAGGTACAGGGACATGAAGCCGTACAGTGTGCAGAGGAAATAGCTAGAATCGTCACACTAGAGTTCTGCAGGTCACTACGTGGGGGTCCTTGAGTCATCCAGAGATGCTGGGCAGAGCTGTGGCCTGAGCTAGTGGAAAAGCTTGATTGGTTGGGGCAGAGAAATGTCCCACAGCTCTGCTCAGTGAGTTGCATCTGGGGACAGGGGTTCTTAAGGATCTCACTGTGAGTGTGGTAGAAGCAGGCACTATGCTGAGGAGGCCAGATAAGGTGGACATCACTACCTGGGCACACCCTGCCCACTCTGGCCCTTGGCCCAGGGGCACCTTAAAGTGAGGGAGAGGCCCTTGGGTTGTACTTGAGGGCAAGCATTCCTAAGACGTCATCAAGGGCCAAGAGCCACTTGATGACACTTTACAGGGGTACCTGCAAGGTCTGATAAGGAGGACTTGGAGCTCAGGAGGTGGAGAACTTGGTCTTCCTCAGCTTGGGGGCCAAGGTGCTGCAATTTGGCAGGGTGACAGAGCTCTGGGCAGGGGGTGGGTCCCTAGGAGGGACTGAAGGCCTCCAAGGATGAGGCCTCGGGAAGCCCCCTCATGGCATCTTCCCCTCAGCCCGATGGAGGCCTCAGACAGCAGCCAGCCAGGCCGGCTGTGCCTGGATGCTGGTCTGGGTTAGGGCCACTCTCTTCCCTGTATTTCTGTAGTTTGTGGACTTCTCTGTTTCCTAGGACCAAGTCCTTTGTAAAAACATCGGGCCTGCCTTGGGTGAGTGAAGTGGGTGGTTAGGAAGGTCGCAGGCCCTGGCCGGCTGCCTGGTTCAAGCCCTGGCTCCGCCCACTTCAGCCTGGAGCAAGTCTCCGACCTCAGCATTCCTCGGTCTCCTCGAGTGGGGCCGTAACAGATCTACTTTTTGGGTGATTGGAAGATGGAATGAGTCCCTTTGTGTAAAGCACCTGGCATAGTATCTGGCATGGATTAATAGCAAGTGTTCAATAAATGCCAACCGTCATTATCATCATCATCATCATCCTTCTTATCATGACAAGGTCCTTTCTTTACTTTCAGTCAGGCTGGGGCAGGTGTCAGGGTGTCCCTGAGCCAGGCTTGATGGTGGCAGCAGGTGGCCTATGCCAAGGAGAGCTCCCACAGCCAGAGCAGAAGGAGGTGAAGGCCAAGACAGAGCTGGGGCCTCCAGATGCCATGTGGCGTCATGTGGGACTGTCTGTCTTTCCCCGTGTGGCTGGGAGGCAGATGGAGCCGTTTCTCCCGCTGCCACACTCCCCAGCCCGGTCCAGGCAGCCAGCTCTCCCCTGCCTATTGCAAGATGAGACCATGATTATACCAGCCCCATCTTGCTCTACGGGAAGCCTCAGCACCATGTTCCCGCCTGCCTCGTCATTGCCTGTGCCAGAGCCCAGGGCCAAGGGAGTGCCTTGTCTCACATCCCAGCCCATTTCATGCCAGCCCTTTACAAGAGATCACAAAGAAGAGGCACTCCCTGGGAGTGGGCAAGCCAATGCCAGGAAGCTGATGCCTGGGCAGGAAAGAGGCTAAGGAAACGTGGGGCTCATGGTATAAACAAACACCAGGAAAGGTTTCCTGGACTTCCCCCACCTCAACCCAGTACTTGGGGAAGAGGAACACAGCAGCTGGGCCTGTTTTGCATCACTGCCTTGAAGTGGAGGCTGGAGGGAGCTGCCTGAGGGCTCTGGCCAGGCTCCCAGCCCCTCTCTGCTCCATCTCTGCTCCAGGGCAGGTACTGAGCACCCATGGTGACATGGATGTGGAATATGCCATCAGCCCAGGGCATAGCAGCCATGTGGTTTGGGGAAACAGAAGAGGACCCTGTTATTCACATGCCCAGTGGTAGGTAGGGAGTGAGGGGCCAAAGAGTGAGAGCTCTTGGAGGAACAAATGATGACTTATTTGTCCCTACTTCAGAGCCTGGCCCAGGGAAGGCACTCAGGAAATGTTGGATGGAGAGATGATGGATGCATGGATGGATGGATAGATGGATGGGTGGATGGAGGGATGGATGGATAATAGATGGATGGATGCATGGATGGATGGGTGATGGATGTATGGGTGGATGGAGGGATGCGTGGATAATGGATGGATGCATGGATGGATGGATAGTGGATGGATAGATGGTTGGGTAGGTGGGTGGATGGAGGGATGGAGGGATGGATGGATAATAGATGGATGCATAGATGGATGCATGCATGGATGGATGGATAGATGGGTGAGCAGATGGAAGGATGAATGCTTTGATGGATGGGTGATGCAGAGAGGCAGGAACAGCCTCGGGCCTCATTCTGGGCTCCCATTCTCTTTCAGCACTTTCATTCACCCTACTATTCTTTATAACTTATTTTTGTTAAAGTATAATTAACATACAATAAAGTGTGTACACCTTAAGTGTACAGTTGGATGAATTTTTACATAAGTATACACCCTTGCAACCACCACCAAGATTAAGACACAAAACAGTTCCAACTTCCCAGAAGGCACCCCACTTTGAGCGGCATCATCACCTCCCATAAATACCTGCCCACCGTGCTCCCAGTGTGACTTAATAGCAAGCACCCATACACTCAGCCTCTACACACTCAGCATCCACACACTCAGCCACCCTGGGGCCTCTGTCCCCATCCAAGCCCTGTCTACTCTCCCTCACTTGGGTCCTCCATTCCTCCTCTCCTGCCCTGTTGTCTCAGCCTGGACTGGTGCAGTGGCCTTCAGGCGCCCTGCCCTCCAGCTGCTCCCTGGTAATTCTCTGCCACTGTTACCACCTCTGCCTCTTAGAAGATGGCATGGTCATTCCGTGATTCTTGGAAATTTGCAGGGAGTAGCTGTTGGCCCAGCTGGTCCCTGTGTCTCTTGGAGGCTGGGTGCCAGTCAGCTCGAAACCTGTTGGCTGATTGCGTGCACCCTGAGGACCCCACAGCCCTTCCTGGGGCCCAGAAGGATGAGAATGGTGAGGGAAACAGTGTGCTGTGAGGAAATGGCCCCAGGAGTCCCAGAAACATTCCCCCATAAAGAGAGGATATGACCAGTGGAGAAGAGAAGCGAGAGGAAGAAGCCCAAACAAAGGGCGGGAAATGCCATTCTGAGTGGGTAGCTCCTGAGAAGGAGCTGTTGGACAAAGGACACATGTGAAAGTGGAAACAATTTAGGGCCTCCCTCCTACAGAGGAACATCCTTCTTGGCCCCCAGGGCAGAACAGAAATGCAGGCTCTCAGGCCAGCTGTGAAGAGACAGTTTGCAGTTAACATTTGCCAATGCTTTCTCTATTACTTAGAAAAAGTTAGTGAGTGACCCTCCAGGGCTCTCAGCTGGCTCATTTTTATTCTTTCATCACCTCTGATCCTAGTTGCCCCTTGTCGTAGCTCAAGCTGCTATTTTAAAAAACAACTATAGACTAGGTGGCTTGAACAACAGAAATTTAGTTCTCACAGTTCTAGAGATTGGGAAGTCCAACATCAAGGTGCCAGTAGTTTTGATTCACTGGTGGGGACTCTCTTCCTGGCTTACAGATGGCCGCCTTCTTGCTGAGTCCGCATGTGGTGGAGAGAGCGAGAGCTCTGGTTTCTCTTTTTCTTATAAGAGCACTTCACATCCTGACCCTCACTCATGACCTCATCTCAATCTTATTACCTCCCAAAGACCCCACTTTCAAATTCCAACAATTGAGGATTAGGTTCAACATACAAAATTTGAGGGTACATATTGAGTCCATAACACCCTGCCTCCAGAAAATGTTCCCTGAACCATGCCAATAAGCTGGGTTGGGTGCCCCTGCTCTGTGCTGTGACATCCTGTACTATGACTACCTGATTACTCATCTAGACTGTGAACCCCATGGGGGCAGGAACCATGTCACATTCACCACTGTATCCCTGGTTCAGGGCCTGACACATACTTAGCAGGTGTTCAATAAACCTTTGATCAATGGTGGGATGAATGAGCAAATGCCTGAGCAGGGAGAGAGCCTTCTTATAGCCGCCCTAATGTCCTATTCTAGATTCCTTAGGTCCCCTCCTCTCACCTCCTGCCTTTGTTGTGGAGGAGGAAGAAGACAGGGAGAAGGAAGAGGAGGAGGAGGAAGAAGAAGAAGAGGGAAGGATGTGTTTGAGTTGCTTTATGCCTTCACTTAAGGCTCACTGTCCTTAGGGGAACCTGAGCTGTTCACTAGGGACAGACACATTAGTGGCTTGGGCAAGTGGTGCTTTGGGATTTTATTTTTGGAAGGAGGGGGGATGGAGGAGGATCAAACCACTTTTTTTTTTTTTAACCAGCAGGAGAGCAAAGGGAGAAAGCTCTAGGCTAAAGGCCAGAAGACCTAGCCCTGCCAATAAAATCAACCTCATTTTGTGAATGCCTGTTGTGTGCCAAGGACCCTGCTAAGTGCTTTGCTTGTACGTAATCCTCAGAACAACCCTCTAAAGGAGGCATGATGAGTACTTTTATCATCACCCTCCCCATTTTACAGATAAGCACACTAAGGCACAGAACAGTTAAAATTCCTGCCAGGAAAGACTCAAGTCAGACCTTTCTGATCCCCAAACCACTCTGCCTGCTAGGCCCCGGGCTGCGGCTTCAGGATGGGGGCTTGTATTCTCTGTGACTCTGCTACACCTAGATGCTCCCACTCCCACAGTCACCCTGGTCATTTCTAGAAGGCAACAGCAGCAGGATTTGACACATGCCCCACATTAGGCTAAGAGGTCTCAGGAGAAATGGGGGCCTTTGGCACAAAGACTATTGGCAGATAATCCAGGGCTGGGAGGAACTTATTGGCAGGAAATAGCCTGCACTGCACCTGCAGGAGGAGTGAATCTTCAGTGTTGGTTAAGGAAATGCAGGCTGGCCGGGCACAGTGATGTGCACCTATAGTCCCAGCTAGTCAGGAGACTGAGACAGAAGAATCACTTGAGGCCAGGAGTTCAATACCAGTCTGGGCAACATAGCAAGACCCCATCTCTAAAAACGGACAATCAAACTAAGAAACTATGTTTCCATTAAAGCATATTATTTAGTTACATAACAGTAACTACCAAAAGAAGCAGCCCAAACTATTCCCGTGATTGTTTCTGGGGAGTAGATTTGGGGGCCAATGAGCTGTGATGGAGGACACTTACTTTTCATGACTTTTCCAATGGTATTAGTACTTTAAACCAAAATTTTACTTTTTTAAAAAGCAAGTATGTCAAGGCAAAGGATCCTTCTCACTTATAAATGTGTATAAAAGAAATTTCTTTTTCCTCCCCCTCCACTCCTTCTATTTCTGCCCTATTTTTTTCCAGGAAGAAAAAATGCTGGGCATCTTGGTGCAGCACAAAGTCCGGAGTGGCGTCTCGGGCATCGTGGGCATGGAGGTGGATGGGCTGCCCTTCCACAACACCCACGCCGAGATGATCCAGAAGCTGGTGGACGTCACCACGGCACAGGTGTAACCGTCCATGTTCCGTGTGAGCAGAGTCCCTACCAACGGGCAGGTCTGCATCCGGGGAGAATGCAGCTGCTTCTGGCGACAATCCTGCTAGTAAACACTGGTCTTCGGTGAGCAACGAACACTCGCCTGGCCTGGGAAACTGCATGCCCACTTTCTGGGAGGGGTTAGTGCAGGTGCTGTGGACAAAGGACAACATTTCTCTGGGGCTTTTTAACTTTTATTCCTAAGACTCTAAAGGCGTTGATTTCAACCCTCCTTCACTCTGGCTTCTTCAGGCAACCCACGTGGTCTCCTGTGAGAATCTTCTCGACAGTTACTTATGGGGACACTTGTGAACAATTAACTGCCAGGCAGAGCATGAGAACAAACATTCCCAGGCCATGTAGGATAGGATACTCCAGACTCCAGTCATCCTCCCCCATCCATGGTTTCTGTTACTCATGGTTTCAGTTACTCATAGCCAACTGCAGACCGAAAATACTAAATGAAAAATTTCAGAAATAAACAACTCTTAAGTTTTAAATTGTGTACTCTTCGGAATATCGTGATGAAATCTCACACCATCCTGCTCCATCCTACCTAGGACGTGAATCCTCCCTTTGTCCAGGGTACCCGTGCTGTCTACACCACCCGCCTGCCAGTCACCCAGCAGGTGATCAGATCGACTGTCATGGTATTGCAGTGCTTATATTCAAGAACCTCTTATGTGACTCAGTAATGTCCTCAAAGTGCAAGAGCAGAGATGCTGGCAATTTGGATATGCCAAAAAGAGGCCATAAAGGGCTTCCTTTAAGTGAAAAGGTGAAAGTCTTTTTTTTTGTTTGTTTGTTTTTGCAGTTGCAAGATTTAATAGAGTGAAAACTGAGCTCCCATACAAAGGGAGGGGACCCAAAGAGGGTAGCCATTGCTGGCTCGAATGCCTGGGTTTATATCCCGATCATTGTCCCTCCTGCTGTGCTCTCAGGCGATAGATGATTGGCTATTTCTTTACCTCCTGTTTTTGCCTAATTAGCATTTTAGTGAGCTCTCTGATTGGTCGGGTGTGAGCTAAGTTGCAAGCCCTGTGTTTAAAGGTGGATGTGGTCACCTTCCCAGCTAGGCTTAGGGATTCTTAGTTGGCCTAGGAAATCCAGCTAGTCCTGTCTCTCAGTACCCCCTCTCAACAGGAAAACCCAAGTGCTGTTGGGGAGGTTGGCTGACAACTGCTCTAACTGCTTCCTGCTGAATTGGGGCGTAGTAGGGGTTGTGCAGTTGAGATTTCCTCGGGAGGGGTGCCTTCGATGTCATCAACATCGGAGCATGGGCTAGCAGGCCGGTCCAGGGGTCCATGGTAGATCTTAGTCATGGACTGCATCTGGGGCTCCATTTGAAGAACTATTTGTAGTTTTACAGCTTTGATTCTGGAAGAGACAAACTTAACAAGGAGGTTAAAGATAAAGGGATTGAAATGTATGGGCTGCAGTGCAGGGGATTATTTCTTTGGCACACTTCACAGGCCTTGACTATCTGCTTGATAGTTTTGAAAAGGCCTGGTCTAGTAAATAATAATTTGACCATCTGATGGGTGCTATTAATGCCTAAGAGAAAGATATGGTGAAGGGTTTTAAGTAATTTCCATTGGTTAGCTGCAGGCATAAGTATTTTTCCTTCTTCGGTGGCTGGCCATTCTGAGGGGAGGAAACTATGTCCTCGTGAGGTTCCCCATTCTATTTCTTCTGAGTACTGGGGCTTGGTTTCCTGGAGGGGATTACCCTATACTAGGGCTCCTTCTATAAGCATTTCTAATGGAGGGTCCTGCCTTGTGGCTCTTTTGGCTTCAATATCCGCTTGGTGGTTCCTTTCTATTTCCCTTTCCTTTCCTTTCTGGTGACCCCGGCAGTGTAAGACTGCCACCTCTTTAGGTTTCTGTACAGCCAATAATAATCTCCTAATGGCTTCCTGATGTTTGATAGGTGTTCCCTCGGAAGTTAGGAATTCCCTTCCTCTCCATATTGCTGCACGGGCATGGAGGACTAGGTAAGCATACTGTATATATATTTACCCGAAAAGGTGAAAGTTCTTGACTTAATAAAGAACAAGTTCATATATTGAGGCTACTAAGCTCTATGGTAAGAATGAATTTTCTATCCATGAAATTGAGAAGGAGGCTGGGCATGGTGGCTCATGCCTATAAGTATTCCCAGCACTTTGGGAGGCCGAGGAGGGCAGATCACTTGAGCTCAGGAGTTTAAGACTGGCCTGGGCAACATGGCAAAACCCCGTCTCTACCAAAAATAGAAAAAATTAGCCGGGCGTGGTAGTGGGCGTCTATAATCCAGCTACTCGGGAGACTGAGGTGGGAGAATCGCTTGAAACTGGGAGATGGAGGTTGCAGTAAGCCCAGATTGCGCCACTGCACTCCAGCCTGGGTGACAGAGCGAGTCTCTGTCTCAAAACAAAAAAGAAAAAAAAAAGAATTGAGAAGGAAAAAGAGATATGTGCTAGTTTTGTTGTCAAACCTCAAGCTGCAAAAGTTCTGGCCACAATGTGTGGTAAGTGATCAGTTAAGATGGAAAAGGCATTACATGTGTGGGTGGAAGACGTGAACAGAAACGTGTTCCAACTGACAGCAGTCGAGTTCAGTACTATCCACTGGGGATCTTGGAACATACTCCACGTGGATGAGGGGGTACTGTTATCATTAGGGCATAGTCAGGCAGCCGTGCATGGTGGCTCACACCTGTGATCTCAACACTTTGGGAGGCCAAGGCAGGAGGATCCCTTGAGCCCAGAAGTTTGAGACCAGCTTGGACAACATAGTGAAATCCCATCTCTACAAAAAAAGTTTTTAAAATTTGCCAGGCATGGTGGTATGCTCCGGTAGTCCCAGCTACTCATGGGGCTAAGGTGGGAGGATCACTGGAGCCTGGGAGTTCGAGGCTGCAGTGAGCTGTGATCACACCACTGCACTCCAGCATGGGTGACAGAGCAAGAGCTAGTCTCAAAAAAGGAAAAAAAGAAAATGGTAAAATGTGCAAATGTGGAATATATATTTACAAAGTTCTTGGGTTTTACAGAAGATTTACTCCTACCACCACCAAAATATTTATACCTTTGAAATGCTTTTTTTTCCAAACAGCATTTTGTTTACTAAGGCAAAAGAACAGCATTTTGTTTACTAAGGCAAAAGGTCCTTTGAAGAGCCTAACATTTATCACCATTGCTGCCCCTCACCTCACCCCTAACACTATTCCACCTCCTCTCTGTCTGCTCCCCTGCACCCCCTGAGCCCAGACCCTTTAACCTCTTGCATAGGAGGGCAGCCTCACCCTGTGGGTGGGTCAGGCCTCTCCAGTGCTCAGGCGGCTCAGAGTCCTCCTGAACAACTCCAGTCACTTGCCCTTATCTCTTTCACAAGCTCCCACTGCACAGTGCCCAACAACATTAGAAACTGAGTCACTGACCGTGTCCCATTACACTCTTACAATATCCTGTGCTGGTTGCACTGCTGAGTGACGGCTGACTCACCCAGATCAGGGGAGTCCAGCTTCGCAGCCATGGCCCCAAATGTTTGTTGAACCTGCTTAATTTTCATTCATTTCCTTAAACAGGTCTAGTTTCATTCTTTAAGGAGCAACAGTTGTGAGAATAGAACACAGAGGGTAGAAATGAACCCCGCATTGTACACACAGCAGTTAAGCGTGAGGATGTAGCACAGTGGTTCTGGGACTGACTTCAGTTCTCCCTATGCAGGGGCATGATGCAGCCCTGGGCGGAAGTTGCTGGGGCTGGGGCTCTCCAGGTCTCCCTTTGTCATTCTAGGGGAGTTCCCACAGGCAGGGGCTGTGCTCAGTGCTGGTGCGGCAGCAGGGCTGACACCTCCAGCATCCTGAGAACTCAGCCACATGGGGATCTGCGGCATCTCACGGCTCAGTGAAGCCACCTCAGCTCTGCAGCCTCCCTGACCACATGTCCTCCAATTAGGATTTTTGTCCCTGATTTGGGACTGCAGAGTTCCATGTAGCGAGGGCCTCTGATTGAGATTGTACCCCGACGTTTCTGCAATCTTGATGGCTAGAAGAGAGAAGCCCTCACCATGGTAAAGCTGCCAGCACGCTTCTGACTCATGTTTTGGGGGAAGACACAAATGGGTCTTTGGTTTTGCAGTAGTAACAGCAGGGTTCTCTTCTGGCATGGAGGAGTCTGAGGCATAACCATGTAATGGGTTGTCTTCACTGTGGGCAGAAATTCATGGGGAGAGGATTTCAGTTGTTTGGTAAAGAGGCTGACACCAGGTTGAGCCCAGAGAAAGCTGAGAATAAGGGTCCTAGACTCAGTGACACATCCAAACCCCTGACCCCGCTACAGGGAGAGGCAGGCCTGTGGTCCAACATCAGGGGCTCTGATGCAAGGGAGAAGACCCCTTAGCAGGGCCCAGCCCAAGGACCACAGGAGCTCTGCATTCCAGGATCCAGTTTTGATGCTTGTCCATTCCACTGTAGGATTCCTGCTCAGACCTTTAGTAGTTTTGCTCAGCTTTCCTCTTTTATCCTAGCCTTGACTGTGCTTTGAGGAAGCACCTGTATCCATGGGGTGGCCATGGTGAGTGTGGCTGCAGCCTGCAGAAGCTAGTTACAGGGAGATAGGAGATGACATGCAGGGAATGATGGGGTGATTTAAGGCGAGATATGGGCCTGGTGCCAACCAGAATGGATTTGTGGGACATAGGAGCATCACTGGGCATTTCCAAGAACATTGAGGGGAGGTAATCCTGGTGAACAGTGCATAGGATGCTCCATGGATAACAAGGGCAGGCTGGAGACCTTGGCACCTTGAGGGGAGAATGAGCCACACAGACCCTGCAGGAGATGGATCAAAGACAAGTGAGCCAGCTAAGCAGGTCAGGGCTCCTTAGTCCCCTGGAGGTCCTCTGGCCCCTCCGTCACTCAGCAGGGAAAGGCATTCCTCTGAGGTTGTTCCTTGCCCCTCATTGCACGGGCTTTGCTGACCACCAGCCCCGACTTGGTCCAGCCCACTGCATTCTGCTACATCCTGCCCACTCCCTGTGGCTTCCACTGGCTGCACGATGAGGTCTAACTCAGATTCGAAAAACCACTTCCTCTAGGCAAGGTGGAGAGGAGGATGTGGCTTACCAGCAATTCACATAAACTCAATGTGTGTCAGCAATAAGATTTCTCACCAGAAGTAAAGAAGCAGAGAGGAAAATGGGCCTGTTCTCCATGGGGCAGGTCAGACAGACTTGCTCTCACTTCACATTCCAGGCATCGCATTTGAAGAAGTGGATTTTGTTTAGAGGAAGGTACAGAGGGGTGGGTGCTTAAAACCTCTTAAGTTTAGGGCTGGATGTGGTGGCTTATGCCTGTAATCCTGGGGAGGCCAAGGCAGGTGGATCACTTGAGGCCAGGAGTTTGAGACCAGCCTGGCCAACATGGTGAAACCCTCTTCTCTACTAAAAATACGAAAATTAGCTGGCTGTGGTGGCACACGCCTGTAATCCCAGCTACTTGGGAGGCTGAGGCAGGAGAATTGGTTGAACTTGAGAAGCAGAGGTTGCAATGAGCCAAGACTGTGCCACTGCACTCCAGCCTGGGTGACAGAGCAAGGCTCTGTTTCAAAACAAAACAAAAAACCTGTTAAGTTGAGGTGGCTTGAAGAGCTGCCTGTCAGAGACTGGCCAGATACTCACCAATTCTGCCTCTCTTTCCTGCATCCATAGGAAAACTACCTTTCCCAGCCTCCCTTGCAGTTAGGTTGAGGCCACATGCCTGGGATCTGACCAATGGAATGTAAGTAGCAGGGATATCCGCCATTTCCACACTTGGCCAAAAACCCCTGTGAGATTCTCTTTTTGCTGCATCCCCTTACCTGTGTGGGTGAAAAGGGAAGACCCCAAGATGATGGACTCTGGTGATGGGAGGATCCTGAATCACTGCCATCACTTTGGGAAAGACTTGCCAGAAAGCAGCCTCTCGTTGGACTTTGCATGAAATTTTCTGCCCGACCCTGAAATTAGTCATCTTGAGTAGTAGTGAGTTGTCATTGGTGGTGTTTGTTTGTAGACAGACTGGACTATCGTTTTTGGGGAATGCAGAGGGGAGACTTCATGGAGAGGGAACTGAATATTATGACCTCTCTGGTATATGCCAGCACTAATATCTAACATGTAATTTAGCAGTATTCTTCTGAAAGTTGTTGAATTAAAGCAAATGGGATTGAAATCCCAACATTTCCCCAGAGTACTGGGCACCATTATAACCTCAGGATTAAGGCCATCTGTCTTAGCCCATTTTCTATGGCTATAACAGAATACCACGGACTAGGTTATTTATAAAGAACAGACATTTCTTTGGCTTATGGGTCTAGAGACTGGGAAGTCCAAGAGCATGGTGCCAGCATCTGGCAGGGTCATCTCCTGGCAGAAAGCAGAAAAGCAAGCAAGTTCTGAAGAGAGGAAAAAAGGGGGCTGAACTCCCCCAATAACAAACTCTCTCCCACCATAACAGCATTAACCCATGACCTAATACCTCTTAAAGGTCCCACCTCTTCGCATAGTTACAATGGCAATTAAATTTCAGCATGCGTTTTGGAGGGGACATTCAAATCATAGTATCATCAGAGACTACTGTCTTGCCAGATGAATTCCAGGGATGGAGGCTTCAGGATCACCAGCTACAAGAAGTGGCTTTTTCAGAAAAGCAACGAGCCAAGAGGGTCAGAGTTTGGCTCTCTTTTGGTTGGACCAGCCAGAGGAAAGCAGCAGATGGGGATGTATTTCGTGCCGAAAATTTCTCCCACTCTTGTCTGGCCAACCCACAGACCAGTGTGTGTAACAGGAAGATGAGCCCTGTGTGTAAACAGGAAGATGAGCCCTCATCTGACTAAACAACTCTGGTGAATAAGAAATAAATCCTAATGGCTTCTGTCACCTTCCAAACCAGATGGACTTTTTCTTCCACCCATCCTCTCAGGAGAGAAAGGAGTCATAATCCCCAATATTGTCCTTACTTAATCTGTTTAGAAGAAGGATCTACTCTTCTGGAACACTCCAGGACTCTAGGAGCCTGACCCAGAGAGGGATTAAGTGACCAAGATCAAATTTACATTTTAATATGATGCAGTTAATCCTCAGTGATAAACATGGCATATGCCACTGTTGAGAAGATGCTCCAGCCTAAAGAGGCAGGTCAGCAAATGTGGGCCTCTCCAAACAAAGCCCCGTCACTGAGGACAGCCCCACAGAGATGAATGCAACAGGCCCTTCTTCTCTAGTGAGGAGGGGGTGGTCTGATGGAGCCCTCCCTCACTGTGGGGAGCAGCTACCCAGCAGGTACAAGGGGTTATGTGGCCAAGGACAGAGTGGGTGATATTCTCCAAACCACATGACTGGGCTCTGTCCTCAAAAGGGAGTTAGCCAAGTTAAACCACAGAGCGAATTTGCAACACCACACTGAAGAACTGGGTGGCACTTCATGAATCTCAAGTGGAGGGAGAGAAGGCTCTACTTCACTCAAGGGCTGTGTCTTTCTTGACCATTTGCTGGGTAATCAAGTGCAAATCCCCTAATCGCTCTGCTTGAGTTTGCCCTGAGAAGGTCAACCTCTGCCCTTTCCTGACTCCTTTGGTTCTTCAAGGGCCCTCAAGACCCCCTGGTGTTGAAGACTCCCTTACCCCATAAGGACTGCAGCATACTCCCAAGGTGTCCAGTTACTTTGCTTTATTTGCAGACTGAAGTGGGCTACATAAATCCATTACAGAGTCAACACATGTAGACTTGGCAAAAAGGACAATACAAAAATACAACTCTTGACAGTAAATGAGACTGCCCTCAGCTCATCCCAGTCTGTATCAGTGGGAAGCCAGTGTTTAAGGTCAACATAGGAGGAAGTGCTGTGGAATGAGGAGGCATGAAGGCTTCCACCAATGTCACTGACCCAGTAAAATCCTGGACTGAGTTGCATGGGCTCTTCTTGGCTGTGTGGCCATTTCTGCCGCCTTCAAACTTGGTCACTTCCTCCTCTAGGAAGGGGAAGAGAACCTCCCCAAGTCATCGGACACCCTCCACAAGGATCTGAGCAGGGGCTGTGCAGTCAAAGCCAAGTGTAGCCCTGGGACCACTGTGAGCACCCTTCCCTGGGGCACCTCCAGCCTGGGCTGTTGCCTCTGGGCATCCCCGATGAAAGGGCTAAGAGACACAGCACAAAGGATCAACCTCTTCAAGGCTGGGGGGAAGAGGGGAAGGGAGACTGAGGAAGGGGTTCTGCCTGGGCCTCCCTTTGGTAGATTCCAGAAATGTTTGCTGATGCCAACTTCTGCTTCTAGCCCCTGGTCCCTTCTTGGAGGAAGCCCAGTTAGCCTCTTGGTTCTGAAGAACTCGAGTCCCAGGCCATGGAAGGCATCCTTAGTCAGAGCTGGTCCCAGTTCACTGACCAGAAGGTCTGAAGGGCTAGCATTTCTGTGGAGGTGGGCAGGTCTTCTGGAGCAGCAGGCGGCTCTCCCAGTTCTTATGGCTGGAGCTAGGATCCTCCTCTGCCTATAACTCCCTCAATTCTCCCAACCCAACACCCCCTACCTTCCTTCTTTCCTCCTCCCTTCCTTCTCCCCTTCCTCCTTTCCTTCCCCCCTCTTTCTTTCCTTCCCCCTCTTTCTTCCTTCCCCCTCCTGCCTTCCTTCCCCCTCCAGTCTTCCCTTCCCACCCTGTTGTGGGCGGGCTGCAGTGCTGATCCCACCGGGACGTTTGGACAGGCATTGTCTGTGACAACGGTGGCATTGGAAGGCCCTGGCAGCTGAACGCCCAGCCTCCCACCCTCCATGTCCTCACACTCCCCATGCACAAACTCTGCAGGAAGCAGGCCAGGGAACGCAGTTCACTGTCTTCCCCCGACCAGCAGCCCCAGCCTGGCCACATCGCAGCCGCGGCAGAGGACACGGCTTATTCCCACGAGCCAACCGGGGCTTATTCCCACCCTCGGCGGTCCCAGCGGGCTCAGCAAGCGAGAGCAGGCTTCCGGAGTTACAGGGGCTTCCCTGCCTCCGCAGCGAGGGAAGCAGGAGGCGGCAGGCCCTGAGGCCCGTGGGCTGAAGGCTCAGGCCTCACGTGGAGCCACCCGCGGAGGACCCAGGCTAGGCCAACCTGCCCGTGGGGAACCCGCCCGACCCTGGCGAGTTAGGGGTCTGGAAGGCCGGGTGGAGCTTGGTCAACAGCTCGGGCTCCTCACCCTGGGCCCCGCTTTTCCCGGAGGCCTCGGGGGCACCCAGCGGGTAGGCCTCCCTGGCCCGGCCGGTCCTGGAGCAGGTGAGGAAGGCCAGGCAGGCCCCGCGGAGGCGGGCCAGGTCCCGGTGGGTGGTCTCGCTGACGAAGCAGTAGAGCACGGGGTCGGCGACGCAGTTGAAGCTGGTGAGCAGGAGGGAGAAGTGGTAGGCGTTGAAAACGCCCTTGGCGAAGTCGCAGCTGGCCTCCCAGACGCTGCGCACCAGCAGCAACACGTGGTAGGGCAGGAAGCAGGCCAGGAAGATGACCACGGTGCTGAGCACCAGCCGCTGGATCTGGTCCTTGCGGCTCTTCTGGGTGCCGTGGCTCCGGCGCACGGCGCGCAGGATGCCCTGGTAGGACGCCAGCAGCAGGCAGATGGGGAAGAGGAAGCCCACCAGGAAGCGGTAGTAGTTGATGGCGCGCTGCCATGCCTGGATGGGGTAGTGCTCAAAGCACACGCGGTGCTGGTTCTCGTCCTCGATGACCTCCTCGTGCATCAGGAAGTAGATGCTGGTCAGCAGCTCCTTGGCCCAGATGACCACGCTGACGCCGACGGCCGCCTTCAGGGTCCGGAACTGGTGGAAGCGGAAGGGATGGGCCACAGCCAGGTAGCGGTCCACGGAGATGCAGCAGAGGAAGCCCACGCTGATGTAGATGTTCTCGTACAGGAGGATGCCGCACACCTGGCAGGACAGGTCGCCGTGAGACCAGTTGTCGTGCTGCAGCACGTACTGCAGCCAGAAGGGCAGCGAGCAGATGTAGAAGAGGTCGGCCACCGTCAGGTTGCACAGGTACACGCCCAGCTCGTTCCGGGCCTTGATCTGCAGGTAGCCGAAGTAGAGGGACAGGCAGTTGGCCGGGAAGCCCACCACCAGCACGGTAACATAGACCACCGGGGCCAGCGTCTGGTGGATGGTATGGTCGATGGTACAGCTCATCGAGGAGTTGTCTGCAGTGATGTTCCCCATCTTTGGGCCTGAAGGGGCCACACTCCTCATGGGCTCAGGGACTGGGCCTGTCTCTCCACCGCCATCCTGTTTATAGAAGGTGGTTCAAGCTCTACCAAGGGCTGGGCATCGCTGGTGGTGGGCAAGACCCTGAAAGTCAGAGGCAGGAAAGGTTTATAATAGTAGCTAACATGAATGTAGCACCTACTGTGTGTCAGGCACCATTCTAAATCCTTTACTCATTTAATTTAGAAGGTGTACTAGCCCACCAACTCCAATTCAACTAGAATATCTGAACGGCTGGACATGATGGCTTACACCTGTAAGCCCAGCACTTTGGGAGGTGGGGATCGCTCGAGCTCAAGAGTTCAAGACCAGCCTGGGTAACATGGCAAGCCCTTGTCTCTATAAATAAATAAATAAATAAATAAATAAATAAATAAATAAATAAATAACAAGAAGAATAGATCTGAATGGGAGCCCCAGGCGAGGTGGCTCACACCTGTATTCCCAGCACTTTGGGAGGCCAAGGTGGGCAGATCACTTGAGGTCAGGAGTTCGAGACCATCCTGGCCAACATGGCAAAACCCTGTCTCTACTAAAAATACAAAAATTAGCTGGGCATGGTGGCATGCACCTGTAATCCCAGCTACTCGGGAGGCTGAAGCAGGAGATTCATTTGAACCTGGGAGGCGGAGGTTGCAGTGACCCAAGATCGTGCCACTCTACTCCAGCCTGAGTGACGGGGAGACTCTGTGTCAATAGAAAAAAAAAAAAAAAAGAATATATCCGAATGGGTCACATACCAAGATGCTGCAGGGTAGCTTACGTCTCCCCTTCCCATTCCCTGGCTTTGCCTATTTATTGCCTATCCTTTATATATTTTCCTGCTCCCTTGGTGTAGCAAGTAAGGCTAGAGGTTCTTATGAGCATGTGCCTACCCTGAGCCTGCTCTCCCAGGGAGACTTGGGGCAAAGATCAGTTCTAACCCACACGTGACAGCACCGGCCACCTTCATCCACAGCAATAGGCGGCATTCACATTTGTCCTACTTGCTCACAGGAATGTACTACTTAAGTCCATTTACACTGAGGCCACTGCCCCCCATGGGGACCTCTCCAGATAGCATCAGAAGAGGCCCAACCTTGTCCACATTTTACCGCGTTCTGGCAAGAAACAAAAACCCAGTTTCCCGCAAGCACAGCCTGGACTCCTGGGTGTTCATCCAGCTACCTCTCCTCTCCTCCATGGAGCTCCGGGAATGCTCTGGACCAAGGCTCCAGGACATGAGCGCCAAGCCAGGGCCAGCCACATACAGACTGCAAGTCACTTACCTTGTCTCAGCCTAGGTTTCCTCACCTGTCAAATGGAGATAAAAACACCTGCCCTTGGGGATCAGTGTCAGGGCCAGATCAAATGATGGGTATGCAAACACAGGGCATTGTTTTTCCAGAAGCAAAGAGGAGGAGTAGGAGATTATAATCTTACTGGAATTAGTGAAAAGTTCCTATTTATTGGCTGGGTGCAGTGGCTCACACCCATAATCCCAGCATTTTGGGAGGCTGAGGTGGGCAGATCACTTAAGGTCAGGAGTTTGAGACCACCCTGGCCAATGTGGCAAAACTCTGTCTCTACTGAAAATTAGCTGGGCATGCTGGCGGGCTCCTGTAATCCCAGCTTACTCGGGAGGCTAAGGCATGAGAATCACTTGAACCTGGGAGGCAGAGCTTGCGGTAAGCCGAGATCGCAGCACTGCACTCCAACCTGGGCGACAGAGTGAGACTCCATCTCAAAAAAAAGAAGTTCTTATTGAGAATTTAACAAAGAAGATTCCAGATATATGAATAAGTTTGAGCAAGATACAATACAATGTTTTGGTTGGGCGCAGTGGCTCACACCTGTAATCCCAGCACTTTGGGAGGAAGAGGCAGGTGGATCACCTGAGGTCAGGAGTTCGAGACCAGCCTGGCCAACATGATGAAACCCCGTCTCTACTAAAAATTCAAAAATTAGCCAGGTTTTATGGCGGGCACCTGTAGTCCCAGCTACTCAGGAGGCTGAGGCATGAGAATCACTTGAACCTGGGAGGCAGAGGTTGCAGTGAGCTGAGATCATGCCACTGCACCCCGGCCTGAGTAACAGAGCAAGACTCCGTCTCAAAAACAAAAAAGAACTTCTTGGATGAATAGGTGAACGACACTTCCCACCTTCCAGGTGAGGAAACTATGGTTCTAAAGGGCAAGTGACTTGCCTGAAGCCAGCCTGAGGTTGGAAGCGTTGCTGCTAGAATCCAGGTCTCCTTGCTCCACATCCCTGCCACGTACAGTCTCTGCCTGAGACTCAGCTCTCAACCTCTCAGTTCCCAGAAAACAGGGACTCCCAGTCTCTGACTCACCTCTTCCATCCTCTTCAGGGCACTGGCCTAGAATTCCAGTGGTGGTGGTGGAGGGAGTTGCTTCTTGTTTTCGTTGTGGTAAAACACACATAAAGTAACATTTACCATTTTAGCCACTTTTTTTTTTTTAGATGGAGTTTTACTCTTGTTACCCAGGCTAGAGTGCAGTGGCGCAATCTCGGCTCACCGCAACCTCCGCCTCCCAAGTTCAAGCGAGTCTCCTGCCTCAGCCTCCTGAGTAGTTGGATTACAGGCATGTGCCACCATGCCCGGCTAATTTTGTATTTTTAGTAGAGACGGGGTTTCTCCATGTTGGTCAGGCTGGCCTCGAACTCCCCATCTCAGGTGATCCACTCACCTCGGCCTCCCAAGGTGCTGGGATTAGAGGCATGAGCCACCGCACCCGGCCCATTTTAGCCACTTTCAAATGCATTAAGTATATCAACACTGTTGTGCAACCATCACCACCCTCCATCTCCAGAACTCTTTTCATCTTGCAAAATTAATAACTCCCCAGCCCCCAGCAACCACCATTTCTGTCTCTATGAACTTGACTATTCTAGGTACCTCATATAAATGGAATCAGACCGTATTTGTCCTTTTGTGTCTGGCTTATTTGACTTAGTATAATGTCTTCAAGATTCATCTATGTTGTAGCACATGTCAGAATTTCCTGCCTTTTTAAGGCTGAATAATAGTCCACGGTATGCACAGCCCACATTTGGTTTATCCATGCATTGATGGACATTGGGATTGTTTTTATCTTTTGGCTATTGTGAATGAAGCTGCTAAGAACATGAGTGAACAAAGATCTGTTCAAGTTCCCACTTTCAGTTCTTTTGGGTATATACTCAGAATTGGAACTGCTGGATCATATGTTAGTTCTATTTTTAATTTTTTGAGGAACCACCCTACCGTTTTCCATAGTGGCTGCACCATCTTACATTTCCACCAGCAATACACAACGGTGGGTTTGGGGTTTGTTTGTTTGTTTGTTTGTTTTCATTTGTATGTTTTGGTGGTGAGAAAAAGGGGAGAAGGAACAGCTGAAGTCCGTGATCCCAAAACTCTTCCCACAGCCCAATGAATCAGAATTCAGCCCTAGTCACCCTCCTCTTGCCAGCCCTCCTGTCCCTGAATTGCAAGCTCACACCTGTGGGGCCAAATCCTTTGCCAGGCTTACATATGAGGAAATCCACTGCAGCTCGTGTCCCCAAATGGTCCCCTATCCAGGGCCGTTCCGTTTTCCGAATTTACTTCAGATTCTCCACAGTCCACACAAAATCTGCCCGCAGGAAGATAAAATCCATTCATAAAAGCACAGGCCCCCAGGCTCCCCCCAAATGGCAAATGAAGCCCCCATGAAAACACAACCAGTCATCTTGGAAATTCACTGAGCGTCATCAGGCTATAGTTTACGAGTGGTGGGTGTATATACATGTAGGGTGGTGCTTCCTCTTCCCTAGGCCAACAATAAGCTAATTCTGGCAACTAAAGTCAGAAACATTCAAGCCTAAAGAACAAAAAAGAAACATTTACTCCGTTTAGATGAAAGCACCTCCTACGTTCATTTTGGAGAGAAAAGAGGGTTTTGGTATTCTAATGCTGCAGTGCTTGAACTTAGGTGCTTCAGAATCCCCTGGGGAATTTGTTATGACAGATCGCTAAGCCTCACCTCCAGAGTTTCAGACTCAGTGAGTCTGGGCTGGGGCTCAGGAATTTTACATTTCAAACAAGCTGCCAGGTGATGCGGATGCTGCCAGCCCATGGACCACACTTTGAGTAGCAAGGTGCTAGGAGAGTCTGGAAGGTCCAGGGTTCAGCTCCTGAGTGCATGCCCTACAAGAGCTCCCAAGGCAGGGAAACAGAGGAAGCTGGCAGGGGAATGTGATCCAGCAGGACCTTGTGGGCACAACCAGGTCGCAGCCCTTGGGATGTCTCCCGGCTGATTCGAGGCCCCAAGAAAAAGCGATTAAACCTGAGCACTTACACCTTTTATTTGCAAAATACTTTACAGTTTACAGAGCTTTTCACTTCTGTTCTCTTGTCCAATTTTAAAAACAGCCATTTAGAGATGTGTCCATTTTAGAGATGAGAAAACCAAGGTCAGACAGATGAAGCAGCTTGAACTATCCAGTACCCTGGCTTTCACTGCACAAGTGTGTGTAGAGCATCTCGGATGTTCACAGCACCAAGCTAGACATGGAGGACCTAGAGGTCAACAAGAAATGGGCCGGGTGTGATGGCTCACGCCTGTAATCTCAGCACTAGCTGAGGCGAGAGGATCGCTTGAGCCCAGGGGTTCAAGTATCAGGGGAATCACCCCCGATAATTTAACGTAATTTCACATAGGTTCTTTTCTATTTCCCTAAGTGTTGGCCAGTCTGAGAAATAAAGGGAAAGAGTACAAAAGAGAGAAATTTTAAAGCTGGGTGTCCAGGGGAGACATCACATGTCGGCAGGTTCCATGATGCCCCTCAAGCCACAAAACCAGCAAGTTTTTATTAGTGATTTTCAAAGGGGAGGGAGTGTATGAATAGGGTGTGGGTCACAGAGATCACATGCTTTACAAGGTAATAAAATATCACAAGGCAAATGGAGGCAGGGCAAAATCACAGGACCGAGGCGAAATTAAAAATGCTAATGAAGTTTCATGTCCCACTGGGCACATATTGTCATTGATAACATCTTATCAGGAGACAGAGTTTGAGAGCAGACAACCAGTCTGATCAAAATTTATTAGGCGGGAATTTCCTCATCCTAATCAGCCTGGGAGCGCTATGGGAGACTGGGGCTTATTTCATCTCTTATCTGCAACTGTATAAGACAGACATTCCCAGAGCAGCCATTTTAGACACCTACCCCTGGGAATGCATTCTCTTTCTCAGGGCTGTTCCTTGCTGAGAAAAAGAATTCAGCGATATTTCTCCTATACACTTTTGAAAGAAGAGAAATATGGCTCTGTTCCACCCAGCTCTCAGGCAGCCAGACCTAATGGTTACCTCCCTTGTTCCCTGAACATCGCTTTATCCTGTTCTTCTTTCAAGGTGCCCAGATTTCATATTGTTTAAACACACATGCTTTACGAACAATTTGTGCAGTTAACGCAATTATCACAGGGTCCGGAGGCAACATACATCCTCAGCTTACGAAGATGATGGGATTAAGAGATTAAAGACAGGCATTGGAAATCATAAGAGTATTGATGAGGGAAGTGATAAATGTCCATGATTATCTTCACAATTTATGTTCAGAGATTGCAGTAAAGACAGGCATAAGAAATTATAAAAGTATTAATTTGGGGAACTAATAAATGTCCATGAAATCTTCACAATTTATGTTCTTCTGCCATGGCTTCAGCCGGTCCCTCCATTCAGGGTCCCTGACTTCCCGCAACATTCAAGACCAGCCTGGGCAACACAGCAAGACTCTGTCTCTACATAAAATTTAAAAATTAGCAAAGCATGGTGGTGCACACCTATAGTCCCAGCTAATCAGAAGGCTGAAGTGGGAGGATCGCTTGAGCCCAGGAGGTCAAGGCCGCAGTGAGCCATGTTCGTGCCACTGTACTCCAGCCTGGGTGACAGAGTGAGACCCCCCATCTCAAAACAAACAAAATGCAAGAAATGGCTGCCAGTCTCAAGGAACCTCCAAGCTCGAAAGACAGGAATGTCCCATGCACAAATCACTATCATGCAAGGCAGTGTATGGTGGGTGCAGTGGGCCTCTCTGCCACACACATTAAACACTGGTTTGCCCTTTTTATTCCCTGTGCACTCCCTGTGGGATGGCTGCTTCTCCGTGGTTTCAACCCCATCTACACTCTGATGACTCCCAGGTCTTTCCCAGGATGAAGGCATAACCAGCTTCCTGCCACTCACAGGACACGCTCAGTGAGGCCCACGCTGGGTCCATCATTTTCTCCACTGCCCTGTTCTTGGAAGGGGCCTCCTCACCTGCCCAATCATTCATGTCAATGGCTGGCCTTCAGCTTTCACCCACATCTTCATCCACAGCGTCCAGTTAATTTCCAAGTTCTACCATTTTCAACTCTAAGTATTTCCTACATCCATCTCCTCCTCTTCAGCTCTCTTGCCAGCACCCTAGATGGGCTTGGTCAAGAGCTCCTTCCCAGAGTCAGTGCAACAGCCTCCTCCTGGGCTGCTTCCTGTCTCCATCTTACTATCCTCAAAGCCATCCTCTAAACAGAAATCTAACCCAGTCACACCCTGCTGCAAATGCTTCCATGGTTCTCCAATCATCCACCCATCCATCCATCTGTTCATCCATC
Source organism: Homo sapiens (assembly GCF_000001405.40). Classification (NCBI taxonomy): domain Eukaryota; kingdom Metazoa; phylum Chordata; class Mammalia; order Primates; family Hominidae; genus Homo; species Homo sapiens. The sequence goes on from NC_000014.9 coordinate 91,241,716, forward strand.
CATTCAAACATCCATCATCCATTCATCCATCCGTCCACCCAAGTATTCATTCATACAGCAAATACTCACCGAGTGTCTATTATATGGAAGGCACAACACTAGACACTGGCCCCTAGTAACAAGTGGTTTTTAGTCCTAAGGCGGAGGAGAGAAGATAAGTGAAACAAGCTCACAAAGAGAGCGCAGGGTTTTGTGAGGATTCACGGGTGGGGGCCTCACCCTGTCAGGAAAGGCCTTCCTGAGCATCGGCAGTTACAGTAAGATCAGAAGAAAGAGGAAGTGCTGCCGAAGCAGAGGAGAGTTTCTACCTGTGGAAAATGTGTGGAAACAGACGAAATGCAAGAGGAAGAGAAGGGGCAGCTCTGCGGAACTGAAAGTAGGTTGGTGTGACTGGATCTAAATAAGAGGTAGGCAGGGCGAGAGAGGAAACAGTGTGAAGCTGTAGAACTGGCAAGTAATTACAAGGGAGGTGGGGAACAACCAGGGGCAAATTGGAGATTTTTCTTGGTGCCTGGTCCTTATAGCCTCCCCAGAATTATTTGTTGGATGGATGGTGGAGAGGTGGGAGGGTGAATGAGTAAATGGAGGGATAGGGGTAGCCAGATAGATGGATGACTGGATGGCTGGATAGATGGATATATGGGCAGCTGGAGAGGTGAGTGGATAGATGGGTGGGTGGATGGATAAGTGGATGGGTGAATGTGTAAATGGATGCATGGGTGAGGGGTAGAGGGATAGAGGGATGAGTGAATGGGTGGACAGACGGACGTATGGGTGGGTGGATAGGTGAGCTGATGGAAGGGTGGGTGGGTGGGTGGGTGGGTGGCTAAGTGGATGGGTGAATGTGTAAATGGATGCACAGGTGAGGGGAAGATGGATAGATGGATGAGGGAATGGGTGGCAGATGGATTATGGGTGGGTGGATAGGTGAGTAGGTGAGTAGGTGAGTGAGTGGATAGGTAAGTGGTGGGGGGTTGAGGCTGGGTGCTGGGACAGTGAGGATATCATTAATAGAAACAGGAAAGTGAGGAGGAGGAATCACCGTGGTCCCCTCTCTGCTCAGCCTGCCTGAGCTGGTCTGAGGGTCCTGATTTTTCACCAGTGCCTTCCCTTCTACTGTTCCCTGAGGACAGGCACCCCCAGATGGAAACTCTGACTTGCCCTCTACCTCATCTCCACAGGAACCTTCCTCCTCAAAAATCAAAGAACACAGTGGATGCGAAAATATTCCATAAATGGAAAAACGTAGATGTAGAGAAGAACTAAGCCACATCTGTCGAGGGCCCTGCACTTGCCAGGCAAGTTTCTGAATGTCTGTTCTCTCTTTCAACACCACTCTCATCAGCTCCCACTTTACAGATAAAGAAACTGAGGCTCAGAGAGATGAACCAACCTGCTGAAGTCTCTGCAGTTGAGATGCGGCAGGCCAGGTCTGGAACTCGGACTGGTCCATACTTTCCTTCATGCTGTGCTGACTATCATGATCATCCCAGAACCACCACCCTCAAGCCCCCAGCTCAGCCAAGCTCCAGTCCTCACAGATGCTGCAGCAATGGCCACCAGGCTTGGTCCTGGCCTGGCCCCTTCACCTGGACTATGCTTTAGCAGGTCAACCATGTTTTCAACGCCCACTGAGGAAAACCAGCCACGTGGCCAGTCCGTAGTTTGGGAAGGCATTGGAGAAAAGAATCAAAATAACACTTTATTACCCAGCTAAAAAATTGAGAAAAACTATAGAGTGACTCAACGCCTGAAAGCAAATCTTTAGCAAATGCAAATCAGCATAGAGGTCTCTGAGGACTTTAATGACCAAGAGAAATTAAGCTCCCAACAGGAAGGAAAGGCCTCTCTGACTAAGCTAGGAGTCTCTTGCATGTCCCAAGTCAGAAGGCGGAGGTGCCTAAATGCTGGATTCCAGCTGGCACATAAATAGTGATCTAACTCGCCCCCCCTTTCGTGCAGCACACACCGGCACGCACACAGACAGTTACTCATGGTGCCAGGGCTGCTCACGGAACCCCAAACCCACAAGAGCTGGGGAGTTTCCCCAGGGCCCAGCTTCCTTTTCCTTCAGTTGGCCAAACCTCTGCATGCTTTAAGCAAGGCTGTTTCATTTTCTGAAAGTGCTTTATTTTTCCCTCTGAGGAGAGGGGAAACATCAGGATGCATTTTTCCTTAGTCCCCATTTTCCCCCCAGATCGCCTCACTCCAGCAACAACGTGGACCATAGCATCTCACTTCTAGAACCCTTGTCACTGTTTCAAAGGTCAGTCCCATCTGGGCCCACGAAGTCCCTGTGAGTCAGGTGGGCTGGCATTGCTAAGCCATTTCTCAGAACCTGAAGCCCAGAGAGGCTAATGCAGGGAGGCTCAAACTCACACAGTCAGTTGGGGTGGATCTGAATCCAGAACCCACGTGTCTAGGCACCAACTTGCTGCCTTTGAGCTTTTTGGATCACAAGCAATAGCAAGAAATACACCTGACATCGCGACCCAGAACACAGACACACACACACACACACACACACACACACACACACACATCTGTACAAAGCAACAAACTTCCCCAAAGCAATACTTACCCTACTTCTTGCCACGCACTCTGATCATTTCTATTCTATTTCAATTTTTTAAATGCAGGTCATGAGCTATGAAGTTGATTTACTGACCCATGAATGGGTCACAACCCGCAGTTTGGAAACAGCTGGATGGACCCCCACCTGTGCTTTCCAGCTTCTCCTAGAGCCTCAGGGCCCCAGGAAGGCAGTGTGGTCTCTGCAACCAGGTGAGGAGCAGGCAGCTGCTGAAATCAGGATGGAGGGAGTCCTCTGAGGGGGGACTCTGAAACGAGTCCTCTCTGACTCTGCCTGCCCCAGCTAGGCTCTGCCTTCAAACCTCAAACAGCTGGGCTTCCTGCAGAGGCTCTGCAGGAGCCTGGGCACCCTTGCAGCCACGATCCCAGCTCTCCCTCCAGCGACTTCCCGCAGCCTGAACCTCCCAGCTCCGGCTAGAAAATCCCCAGCTGGAGGCTGCCCATTCCCGAGCTGAGGCAGAATCATGTGAACTCCAATCTGGTGTCAGGCTGGGCGGTTGCCGAGGAACCACTCGCCAGCCAGAGGCTGAGGGCGGCGGAATGGCTCTCTCCACGCATCTTCCTCTGCTCTCCATGCAACCCAGAGTCAGTGAGCAGCCTCGCTGGGAATGTGAAAGCCTGAGCTAGGGGCAGGTGCCCTCAGGACTGTGGTGGGGGGATACAGGAGGAGGGGGTGGGCTAATTCTAGCCACCTTTCAGCACCTACAGGATACCGGGATCCAGGCAAGGGTGGGGGAAGCCGCCAACATCTGGGTCACTGGGGCTCAACCCTGGCCATGTGCATGAGAACATACCTGGGAGCCTACAAAAAAAATACCAATGCCCGGGCCCCACCCGGGGCTGGTTAAATCATGTTTCCTGGAAGTGACGTGCCAGCATCAGTGGCTCTAAAGCTCCCTGGACTGTTCTAAAGTGCAGTGAAGGTGGGCAGCCACGGATGTGGTGAAGCAGGTAGGATCCTGTTTGGCAGAGCAGCAGAGCGAAGGCAGTGGAGCTAAGGCTCTGGGCATCAGTAAGGATAGGGCGGGCATCAATGTTTTCAACTGTGTCGGTCCCCAGAGAAGGAATCAAGCCCAGGGCTCTGGCCCCGGGGGCCCTTCTGGCTCTCAGGAGCACTTACTAAACTCCCTCCCTCACACACATAACACGGAGGATGGAAAGGCCCAGCATTTTGGCGTAACCACCTCCCTCCAAGGCAGACTCCTTGGAAGCTGATTATAAGCTACGTTGCCAGAGCCAGGAAGCCAACAGATACGGTGCATGGGGCCACTGGGGGTGCGAGTCCTTCCTGCTGGAAGTGGCCAGAGCCCTGTGCTTGGTCCCTGCTCTGGGGACCAACACAGTTTAAAACACTGATGCCCATCTTATTCATGCCAAGAGCCTTGGCTCCACTGCCCTCACTCTGTTGGTAGGGGGTCTAAGGAAATCCCCTTCAGTGGGGCCTGGGCCCTCCAAGCAAATGCTACCACATAGCAGGCCTTTTAAAAACTATTTCCGGCCAGGTGCGGTGGCTCACGCCTGGAATCCTAGCACTTTGGGAAGCCGAGGCGGGTGGATCACCTGAGGTCAGGAGTTGGAGACCGGCCTGGTCAACATGGTGAAACCCCATCTCTATTAAAAATACAAAAATTTGCTGGGGGTGGTGGCGCATGCCTGTAATCCTAGCTACTCGGGAAGCTGAGGCAGGAGAATCACTTGAACCTGGGAGGCAGAGGTTGCGGTGAGCTGAGATCATGCCATTGCACTCCAGACTGGGCGACAAAAGCGAAACTCCGTCTCAAAAAAAAAAAAGTTTCCTACGTCAGTTGCTTCTTGCAGGCCTTATGTTACGAGCAAAGGCTTCAGCTTGTTGTGGTGCAGTAGCGTGCATTTAGACACACGTGCTACTTCTGAGTTGCGGAAGTGTGGCTGGCTTTCCCTGATGTCATATAGGAGGACGCGGGGTTAGGAGCACAGAACTGACTTAGCAGTGACTGCCTGGCTTACCCCTAGGACACAACCTGCCAGAGAGAGCACCTCTGGCCCTCTACGGGGTGGCCTGTCCTAACAGGGTGTGCACACACCGGCCGTCTACACCATCATCGTCTATACCTGCAGGAACCACTAATGGCATGGTGTCCCCTCCCGCCTCCAGCCCTGCCAGGGGCTGGCAAGCTGCCCCAGCCCCTCTGCTGGCAGCATGTGCCCTACTGCACCTGGAGTAAGGACCATGCCTTTGGGATGAAGGAGGGGTGAAACTTTCTTTGGTTTTACTCAAATTGGCTGAGCCCAGGTCTTTGTGAAATGCTAGCTCAGTAAGAGAAAAAAGAGCCCATGCTCTCTCATGTGCTTGGCCCTCAAGGAGTTAGAAAATAGCCTGGAGTGGCTCAGTGCCAAGAGCTCCCTTTACCATTTCCTGAGCATTTGCTTTGCACCAGGTGCTGTGCCCATCCTTTGTTTAATCCTTATATCAACTCTGTGTGGCAGGGATTATCCTGTTGCCCAGGCTGGAGTGCAGTGGTACCACCTCCACTCACTGCAACCTCCACCTCCTGGGTTCAAGCAATTTTCCTGCCTCAGCCTCCCAAGGAGCTAGGATTACAGGCATGCGCCACCACACCAGGCTAACTTTTTTTTTTTTTTTTTTTTTTTGAGATTCGCTCTTGTTGCCCAGTCTGGAGTGCAATGGCGTGATCTCGGCTCACGGCAACTTCCACCTGCCAGGTTCAAGCTATTCTCCTGCCTCAGCCTCCTGAGTAGCTGGGATTACAGGCATGTGTCACTATGCCTGGCTAATTTTGTATTTTTAGTAGAGATGGGATTTCTCCATGTTGGTCAGGCTGGTCTTGAACTCTCGACCTCAGGTGATCCGCCCACCTCGGCTTCCCAAAGTGCTGGGATTACAGGCGTGAGCCACCACACCTGGCCCTAATTTTTGTATTTTTAGTAGCGATGGGGTTTTGCCATGTTGGCCAGGCTGGTCTCAAACTACTGGCCTCAAGTGATCCACCTGTCTTGGCTTCCCAGAGTACTCAGATTACAGGCGTGAGCCACCGTGGCTGGCTGAAACAACATCGATTTCTTATCTTGCAGTTTTGGAGGTCAAAAGCATGACATCGATCTTACTGGCTAAAATCAAAACTGCAGTCTGCAGGGCCGCATTCTTTCTTGAGGCTCTAAAATCCATTTCCTTGTCTTTCCAGCTTCTAGAGACTTCTAGCATACTTTGGCTTGTGGCATCTTCCATCTTCAAAGCCTACAGCAGTCAACTGAGTCCTTCTCACATCACATCTCCTCTTCTGACTCTCATGTTCCCTCTTCCACTTCAAAGGGTCCTTGCTTGTGACAATGCTGGATCACTCCTTACTTTAAGGTCAGCTGATTAGGAGTCTTAATTCCACCTGCTGCCTTAATCTCCCTTTGCCACGTAAGGTAACGCAGTGGCAGGTTCTGGGGATTAAGAACTGGGCCTCTTTAGAGAGGGCATTATTCTGCCTCCCACACCCACCTTGTGATACTTACTTAAAACCCTGTATAGTGCTGGCTGGGTGAGGTGACTCATGCCTATAATCCCAGTACTTTCGGAGGCTGAGACGGGTGGATTGCTTGACTCAGGGTTTGAGACCAATCTGGGCAACATGGTGAAACCCCGTCTCTACAAAAAATACAAAAAATTGGTGGGTGCAGTGGCATGTGCCTGTAGTCCCAGCTACTCAGGGGGCTGAGGCTGGGGAATTGCTTGAGCCCAGAAGGTGGAGGTTGCAGTGAGCCGAGATCACACTTGGGCGACTAGAGTGAAACCATGTGTCAAGCAAAACAAAACAAAACAAAAACCCTGTACAGCGCTGCTTCTCGAATGTTAGTGTGCATGTATTATACATCTCCCAGGAATCTTGTTAGTGTATCTTCTGGTTCAGTTCAGTAGGTCTGGGGTAGGGCCCGAGATTCTTCCCTTCTTTTTTTTTTGAGATGGAGTCTCGCTCTGTCACCCAGGCTGGAGTGCAGTGGCGCAATCTCAGCTCACTGCAAGCTCCGCCTCCCGAGTTCACGCCATTCTCCTGCCTCAGCCTCCTGAGCAGCTGGGACTACAGGCGCCCGCCACCACGCCTGGCTAATTTTTTGTATTTTTAGTAGAGATGGGATTTCACCGTGTTAGCCAGGATGGTCTTGATCTCCTGACCTCGTGATCTGCCCTCCTCAGACTCCCAAAGTGCTGGGATTACAGGTGTGAGCCACCACGCCCGGCCTGATTCTGCCCTTCTAACATGAACTGAGGACCACCTTTATCTCTTGTATCCCCATGGCAATTGCTATAATGCTGCACAAGTGTTTGGACTAAATAAATACTTGATAATGGAAAGGGCCAGGCATGGTGGCTCACAGCTGTAATTCTAGCACTTTGGGAGGCCAAGGCAGGAGGATCAATTGCTTGAAGCCAGGAGTTTGAGACCAGCCTGGGCAAAAAAGTGAGACCTTGTCTGTACAAAAATTTAAAATATTAGCTGGTTGTGGTGGCCCGCACCTGTAGTCCCAGCTAGTTGGGAGGCCAAGAAGGGAGGATCCCTTGAGCCTGAAAGTTTGAGGCTGTAGTGTCCAGCCTGGGTAACAGAGAAAGACCCAAAGGAAGGAAGGGAGGAAAGGAGGGAGGGGAGGGGAGGAAGGAAGGAAGGAAAGAAGGAAGAGAAAAGGAGGGAGGGAAGGAAGGAAAAATTGAGCTCTGAGTGTTTTTATCACTGTGGTACAAGGGAGCTGGGACAAGGGCTCCTCACACATGCTTCACACAGAAAGAAGGTGGCCTGAGGTTCTAAATGACAAACGGGTGCTGAGCAAGGGGATGCAGGGTGGGTGCTCACCTGCTTTGAGCTCCCAGTATAAGCAAGGCATTGAGCTTTCCATAGGCTGCCTTGATGCCTCACAGCAACCCACCAGGTAAATATCATCCCAGCTTTATCACTGAAAGCTCAGGGCTATCCAAGACCAAGGGTCACACAGCTGGCAAGCAAGCAGCAGTGCTGGTATTCAATTCAAGGTCTGAATTCACTGTGTTTTCATTTTTAATTAATTAATTAATTTTTAGAGATGGGGTCCCTGTTCTGTCACCCAGGCTGGAGTGTAATGGTGCGATCATAGCTCACTGCAGCCTCGAAAGTCTGGGTTCAAGCAATCCTGCCGCCTCAGCCTCCCCAGTAGCTGGGACTCAGGTATGGGCCATCACGCCCAGCTCACTGTATTTTTAAAAAAATTTTTTAGTATATGCAAGGGATTGGTTCCATCATTGTATTTATTTATTTTTATTTTTATTTATTTATTTTTTTGAAACAAGTCTCCCGTCTGTTGCCCAGGCTGGAGTGCAGTGGCACGATCTTGGCTCACTGCAACCTCCACCTCCCGAGTTCAAGCGATTCTTGTGCCTCAGCCTCCCAAGTAGCTGGGATTACAGGGTCATGCCACCATGCCTGGCTGATTTTTGTATTTTTAGTAGAGACAAGGTCTCACCATGTGGCTTACGCTGGTCTCAAATTTCTGAGCTGAAGCCATCTGCCCACCTTGGCCTCCCAAAGTGCTAGGATTATAGGCATGAGCCACCGCACCTGGTCCATCATTGTATTTTAATATTCACCAATGTAATGCATGGAAATATGTGTGACTATTGGTTAATGCCTATCTTCCCCTTTACACAGGAAGCTGCCTGGGGAAGGAGGAGCTGGGTCTATTTTGTTCTTTGCTAGGCACCGTGCACACCAAAAACATGCCGAACGTTTGGGTGAATAAATGAATCTAAATTCTGCTTCTTCCTGTAGCCTGCTGGGAAGGCCAGCGTGGCTAAAATTGAAGTCAGAAACTAACAATCTGGTGGAAACAGTCAGGATATAGGATGAGGCAACAAGAAGAGGCTTGGTTTGGACTCTCAGGGTGTGAGTGAGTGGCCTTACGTGGAAGTGCATTTCCTGGTGCTGAACCGGGGACTTGCAGCCAGGAGAGTCTGTGGTCTGAGAAGGTCTGAGCTGCCTGGGGCATCTCTCCTGTCTGCAGCCGCAGCACAGACCACAGACCTGGAGGTTGCCATGGCAACCCCTGTGGCCTACTGCCCCCACTGCCTGCAGAGTGCTCCAGCCCATCAATTAATAACCTAATAATGTATGACAACAGTCACTCCAAACACACAGGAAGCAGCCCTCTTGAAAAACAAACAGACTTCTCCAGCGACTTGAGAGCTTCAAATATGCTCATTACACTCAACCCCGGGCCACCTGCCCAAACCTATTTTCTTGAATCCAAATTGCTCTCTTGTTGGCTTCTCCCTCTTGTTTGTCCCCAGGGTTGACAAAGCTGGGGATTGAAGCCTCAGAGGTTCCAGGGAAAATGATGCTAGAGAGGCCACTGGGTAGGATGCTTGCTCCCTTAGCCCTGTGTCAGGCCCAGAGATACTGATTCTGACCAAAATGGACTGTGATAAGGCCCATGTCTGTCTCTGCAGGTCCTTCTCCTGGGAGAAACACTTCAACTTTTGCAAAAGATTCATTAATTCATCACCATGGCACCCAGAAAAAAAAAATGCAGAAGAGAAGACTCAAGTTGTGGCCGACCCAAGGTGGCTGCAAACTGTTTGAGATTTTCCTCGTTGAGAAGTGGGGGTCTAAGTTCCCTCCCTTGAACCTAGGCAGGCCCTCTGACTGCCTAACCAACAGAAATAGCATGGAAGCGACACTGTACCGGTTTTTGAGGCTAAGCCTGAAGAGACTGGCAGTTCCCACTTCCTGTCATCTGGGAATAATTGTTCTTGAAACCTAAGTGCTATGCTGTGAGGAAGCCAAGCAGCCTCGATGACAGGCCCACATGGAGCGGAACCAAACCCTGGCCAGCAGCCCCTGCTGCACCCCTAGCTGACAGCCAGGTTCGACTTGTCTTGCATACCAGTATGTCATCCTGGATGAGGATCCCCTAGTAGGGCCATCTCAGCTGATGCTCCAAGGAGCAGAGATGAGCCATCCCCACCAAGCCCTGCAAGAAAGACTGCCAACTAATCAGGAGGAAGACTTGCAAGTTGGGTTGGGTATACTGAAGTGTAAACACGTAGCCGCTACTCTTTTTTTTTTTTTTTTTTGAGACGGAGTCTTGCTCTGTCACCCAGGCTGGAGTGCAGTGGCACGATCTCTGCTCACTGCACGCTCCTCCTCCCGGGTTCACGCCATTCCCCTGCCTCAGCCTCCCGAGTAGCTGGGACTACAGGCGCCTGCCACCATGCCCGGCTAATTTTTGTATTTTTAGTAGAGATGGGGTTTCATCGTGATAGCCAGGATGGTCTCGATCTCCTGACCTCGTGATCTGCCCGCCTCAGCCTCCCAAAGTGCTGGGATTACAGGCGTGAGCCACTGCGCCCGGTCTAAGTTAATATCTTTAAATGTGGTTTGTTATGCAGCAATAGATAACAGGAACATAAATTATTTGTCTCCCCAAATCACTTTAGGGCCTATCATGTGCTGGATTCATTCATATAATTATTTGATTTCAATTTTTATAACAATTCCTTGAGGTGTAGGTATTATCATCTCCACTCTCCCTATGAGATAGTGAGACTCAGAAAGTTAAAATATCTTGTTTGAGGCCAACCAGCTAGGAAAGATGAAACAGGAATTCTGATGCTAAAGCTCATTCCTCTACCACCATCATCATCATCCTCACCGTGGCTGGTGCCAAGTGCTCCTCCTTCCCTCAGGGGTCTTCAGTCACCAGCCCCTCTTTGGGTCCACCCACTGAAGTCCACCAACCTCTGGACACCTTCACACTTTACATTTGCTGCCTTGAACCTGTTTTCCACTTTGTTTCCTGTTAGCTGAGTCTTCTCTTCTGACAGTGTGCACCTTACCCAGAAGCGTGTGGTATGACAGTAATAATAAAAGTGGGCGGAGCTGACATTCAGAGGACATTGCAAGGCTTTCAAGGTCGGATTTCACCTGTGCAATCCCATAACCGCCCTACTATGTTGCCCATTTCACAGAAAACTCAGAGGCTTAGAAAGAGACAACATAGGCTGGGCGTGGTGGCTCACGCCTGTAATCCCAGCACTTTGGGAGGCCGAGGCAGGCGGATCACTTGAGGTCAGGAGTTCGAGACCAGCCTGACCAACATGGTGAAACCCCGTCTCTACTAAAAATACAAAAATTAGCCAGGCATGGCGGTGGGCGCCTGTAGTCCCAGTTACTTGGGAGGCTGAGGCAGGGGAATCGCTTGAACCCAGGAGGTCAAGGTTGCAATGAGCCAAGATTGCACCACTGCACTCCAGCCTGGGTGACAAAGCAAGACTCCATCTCAAAAAAAAAAAAAAAAAAAAGCGACTTGCCCAGTAATAGCTCTAAAATATGGAAGAGCTGGGATTGGACTTAGACTATCTGGTTCTGGAACTGGGCTGGCAAGTGAAAAGCCCACAGTCCACAGCATCCTCACTGTCCAGCCCCACTTCCACTGTTGAGCTCAGGAATTTGTTTCCCTGCCTCCTTTTGGAAGCGATCCTGTGTGTGCAGGTAGGGGCAGAGGGAGTAAAGCCAAACGTAACTATAGCATCTCAGATTTGCAGACTCTCAAACCAGCCTCACACCTCAGTGAGGTGACAATGGCTAACATTTTCATCTCAGTTTTACAGAAGCCCAGCCACAGCAGGTGACCTGCGCAAAGCTACACAGCCTCTGGCTCCAAGGCAGGGCTCTCTCCCCTGCCTGTGCCCTCTCGCCACCGCAGCCCCTGTTCTCCAGCTGGGGGACCACCCAGAGGACCACCTGGACCCTGCTGCCTCCGTTGGGCCATTTGCTTGGCGGAGTAGTTGGGGGGTGGGGGGCCTGCAACCTAGGACCCCACCTGGCGCTGCCCCAGCCCACCGAGCAGTGAGCCAGCTCTCCCCTCATCGGTGGCAGGGGGAGCTGTCGGGATCTCAGGGCTGCCCTGAGGGGCCGCGCAGATCTGGGGGATGTAAAGGCCCAAACGGACTCGGAATGGCCGGTGCGGCCGGGCTCTGGGAAATGAAGGGCTCGCGGTGTCTCGCACTTTTTGTGGGGGCGGGAGTAATTACCAGGTGGCCGCGGAGCCAGCCGAGGGGGCGGCTGCTAACCCGGGCGGCGACCGCAGGCGGAGACGCCCCGCCCGGGACAGGGACCGGGCCGCGCCGGCGCTCGCGGACAGACACCCGCGGTCCCGGCCGCTGCCGCGTCTCCCGCCCCCGCCACGCCCCGGCGGCCTCGCTTGGGGCGCGCCCCCGCCTCGCACGCGCACGCGCCTGCACCCGCACTGGCCCGCCCGGTTCCCCCGCGCTCGCGGGGCCGCTCCGGGGGAGGTGCCGAGACCCGGCCTTGGCCCGCGCGCGGTTTCCGGGGTCCGGCGCGCCGGGGACCCACAGGCGAGGCGAGAGAAAGGGGTTGGCTCGCGGGGACACCTACCTGCGCGGCGCGGGGCTGTGGCGCCGGCCACCATTACCCCGCGCCCCTCCTCTTGCCAGCGCGCACGCAGATGGCGGGGTGGCCTGGGGAGGTCTTCGGGTCCCTTCCTGGGAACGCAGGGCCAAGTTGTGCTCCGATTCCACGCCCCCCCCACCCACGTCGGGCACACGCAGCCCTGAGTGAGGGTCCATGCCCTGCCTTTCACGCTGACCACAGCCCCTAGGCTTGGCGCCTGCCGGGAAGGGCCGCAATGGCTCAGGGACCCCTGCCCCCACTACCATCCTGCCCTGGGGGGACAGGCTCTAGAACACTGCGTGGGGCTCAGAGTGGGCCTAGCTGTAAAAGGACAGGGGTCCTTCTCCAGCCACGCCCACTCCCGGGTGCCCTGGCTGTCAGCAGCCTCTCACCACAACCGCAGGGTGAGAAGCCCAGAGAACAGTCCAGGAGTAGCCCTTCTGTCCTTTACCACGTCCGTGTGCCCAGCACGGGCAAATCAGTAGCCACGCAATAAATGAAGTGCGGTGTTGCAGCTCTGGGCCTCTCTGCACCTGCCCTGACCTCAGCCTGTCCAGCCCAGCCTGGGGATCTGCACTTAGGTTTGCAGCCTCCTGGGTCCCTGCCCGGTGCTCCTCAGAGCCGGAGCCTGTCTGCCGCAGGGATGGCTTAGAGGACCTCCTACTGACCTTCTTGATAATTCAAGGAGGCCTTAGGCCCCTCTGCCCCACATCCTCACAGATAATAGTAATAATAGTCCCAGCCCGCATCTATTGAGCACAGCTGTGTGCTGGGCTCTGTTGTTAAGTACTTAATTACATTAACTCATTTGATGTTCAGGGCTCTATGATGTAGACAGTATTGTTATTCCCATCTTATACATAGGGGAATGAGGCACAGAGAGGGCAAACAACTTGCCCAAGGTCACACAGGTGGTACGTAGAGGCCTCGGGATTCAAATCCAGGCAGTTGGGTACAGAAGCCCTCCTCCTACCCACATCCTGTCCCAAGCCACCCTTGGCTGTTTCCTTCTGCTCTTTCACAATTGCATACCTTGGCTCCTGTGGCCCTCCCCACTCTATAGACCTCCTGTTTCCCACCTCCTGAACTCCTGCCCCCATCTTAAGACCCCAAGTCACTTCCCCTAGGGAGCATTCTTGGTTGCCCCAGGTAATGTGTGCTGAACCCTGCTGTGTGCCCTTAGCCCCTTTCCCAGCATTGCACTGCCGCTGGGGTCGCTGGCACACAGCTGTCTCTCTACAGGGCCCTTGCTCTCAGCCCAGTTATCCTGCTCAAAGCAGGGTGCCCCCATTCCTATTTGTGAAATGAATGTCTGGAACTGTCACGGCAAGAGTCTGCAGAAGGTTGGGCGGTTGTCAGGACAGATGGTTGCAGGTTAGGGATGAAGGGTGATTGGAACTGCAGGCAGGGGAGGTAGAAGGAGAAAGAGAGCAAACATCTCACCTTCTGCTAACCCCTCTAGGTGGCTCAGTGCTCCACACGGTGTGACTTAGCCTCTAGGTGAATCTCCAGAAGGATGGACAGTGGGTAAGAGGACAGAAGGTGCCCTAGCGGGGGAAGGCCGGGGAGCAGGAGGAGGCAGAGAGAGGCACAGGGAGTGTGGAGGCGGGAGGATTTGCTTTTCTCACTGGGCACTACCCCAGCAACATCCCAGCAGGCTAAGAGGCTGGATAAGCCTCCTCTGCTGGTCTTCATTTTGAAATTCCTCCTTAGAAAGTCCTCACAAGTGGAATTTTCTGGGTTGACTATGCCATAAAAATTCACATCTGCTTTCTAAAAGTTGCCAAACTGAATGTAGTTGTGAAGAGTTTGGCGTTGAAAGCCAGTGTCAGCATTTGAATTCCAGTTGTACTACGCGCTAGTAGGGTGACCCTGGACAAGTCTTTTAACCTCTCTGTGCCTGTTTCCATCTGTGAAATGGAGACACATCTTCAAATGAGGGCTAAGATGATTACATGAGTTAAACCAAGTAAAGCCCTTAGCTCAAGGCCCAGCACACATGAGGGTTCAATAGATGTTAGCTGTTATTATCACTGTCATTGGACATTCCAAATATCCTCTTATTTGCAGCTCTTATCATTTATTATTTATTTATTTATTTTTGAAACAGGGTCTCACTTTGTCGTCCCCCAGAGTACAGTGGAGTACAGTGGCGGCTCACTGCAGGCTCAATTGCTCTTATCTTGTAAATGCTTCCTGTGTCCTTAGTGCCTGTGCATGATCTCTTTTCATCTCCAAAACAAGTAGTTTTATTCTCTCCATTTCACAGATCAGGAAACTGAGGTTTCATAAATTGCCTGAGGCCACTCAATTCCCAAGTGACTGAGCCAGGACTTGACAGGAGTTCTGACTCTGAAGCTGTTTCTTCCAATGATTCTGTTCTGCCTCGTCTTATCTCTCTAGGAAAGAGGTGGGCTGTTTTAAAGCTCATTGTCAGTTGCCAGATCGAGGACTCTGACTATCAGGAGTACAGAGCATGCCCTGTAGAAAATGTATTACAGAATGAATCCTGCCAGGGCTACCACACTGCACAACCTCAAGGGTGCCGTGCATGCTGCAATCTATCAGTTGGTGGTCCCTGGAGTTGGCACAGTGTGCCAGTACTTGGTGGCCCTGTCTCCTGCCTCTCTTTTTCTTTTCTTTTGTTGAGACAGAGTCTCCCTCTGTCACCCAGGCTGGAGTGCAGTGGCATGATCTTGGCTCACTGCAATCTCGGCCTCCTGGGTTCAAGCAATGTTCATGCCTCAGCCTCCTAAGTAGCTGGGATTACAGACGTGTGCCACCACACCCAGCTAATTTTTAGTATTTTTAGTAGAGACGGGGTTTTACCGTGTTGGCCAGGCTGGTCTCAAACTCCTGGCCTCAAGTGATCTGCCTGCTTCAGCCTCCCAAAGTGCTGGGATTACAGGCGTGAGCCATCGCACCCAGCTATGCCTCTCTTTTTTCACCCCACATTCTCCGTTTACAGGTGCCTAAACATATCCAGTGCCTTTCACAGTCTCAATGCTGTTAAATTAAAACAAAGTCACTTTTGATTCATGCTTCACTTTTTAGAGACAGACAGCATGGCTCTTATTATAGTTACTTAAAGATCTGGAACTGGCCAGTGGAGTCTGAGAAGCTTGGGCTGTTGCCAAAATACAGACTTGGGCATTTCTGGCCATGCTTTCCCTAAGAAAATGCTGGAGCTGGAGAACCATATAGAAATTCATCATACTGCTTGCAAAGTCACTTTTGACTGGATTTTGCTATGTTTCTTGGTGTCAAGATGTCCAGTCCTTGGCAGAGACAGCAGAATTTGTTGTTTTGTAAATAAAACCTGGCTTTACAAGCAACAAAACAGCTCACTAATGGTAAATTAAGCACATATTGTCTTCCAGAACCTTCCTGAGCCTAGAGAATGTAAATTATGACCTACGCTTTTGAAATGCTGATTGGAAATGCTGCACTAATAACTATCTGTCTCGCCCACAGAAATTATCTCCCACATTGGGCTGGGCTCCAGAGACATGGTCTGAAATTCACCACCCCCAGTGCCAGTGATGTTTGCATCCATTTCTTCTTTTCCAGTCACTTGTGGGATTTTCTTTTTATCCTGGCATCTGTAAAGGCAGAATCTCTACACAGAGCCTGAGGACAGCTCATTCACTGCATTTCCCCAGTGTCAAACCCAGAGTGACACACTGCAGGTGTCCAGAAAATGGCAGCCAAAGGAATGTGTGAAAGAGGCTCCTGCACCAGCAATGTGCTGCATACTTTCTATCCACCTATCCAGATCCAGTCTCCATCCCCCTACTCTAAGGATGATGTCACCCGGCACCCTGCCTTCCAGCGTCTGTTAGATTTGGGTGATAGGAAGCACTAACTGGAGATCAGAGGATGGGAGGAGAGTGAAGACCCGGCAGTATTTATCCACTCTGCCAGGGTCACTTCAGGTTGGCTGCCTCCCTCGGCTGAAGATGTCAGCTCAGTTCCTGTTGGAGTCCCTGTCCTGCACTTGTCTCTTCCTTCTTCCTGCAAGCCTAGGGCTAGTAACAGCTCCTGAGGCATGGCCGTCCCACCGTGTGGCACCATCCCTTAACCCTGTCCACACCTTTGTGTTAAACTCTCATCAGTTACCCTGCTTGAGGGTGCCATCTGCTTCCTGCTGAGTCTGACTGATACAGAAACGGATGCATCAGATACATCCTCACTGCAAACTCATACTAATGGAAAAATGTGCATATATTTCAGAATGTGCACAGATGATCTACTTTTGAAAATCACTGTTTTTCCACTTCGTTCTTCCAATTAGCACAGCTGGCTAGCCTTCGCGGAAATCTCTCTTTATCCCCTAAACAACAGAATGAGTCCCTACTTCCTCCCTCGGTTCTAGCGCCAGCTCATCTCAGTCTCTGCTCAGGCCCAAGCCTTCTCTTGCTGATCCACCCCTGTCCTGTGCTTCCCGTCACCATGAGCTTTCTAGAGCGGAGCACGCGGCTGCCGAATCAGGTCGGTAACTTTCCTTCTGGGAAATAATTGCCGATGCTGAGTCAAGCACCTCTCAGGACAGTTTCAGGCAGAAAGAGGCTGGTTTTCTTTCCTAAGAGTTATTGTTTCTGGCAACGACCACACTCCAGCAGGCTCAGGCCTGAGCTGATGAATGGGACAACCTGATGACCACCACAAAGTTGCGTCTGCTCCCATCCAGCTAATCCGAGGGCTCTCAGACAGACTGTGACTAATGGGGACATCTGAGGGCAGAACGTTCGAAGGCCAAGGAGGAACAAGTCCAGACAAAGTGTGAGCACACACATCTGGAGGGCTGGGGAGCCCATGTCACATTCCTGGCTGGACTTTGGACTCCAGGAGGAAGGCTTCAGGTTGGGCTTGCTCAGGCTGAGGCAGTTTGGGAGAGTGGGAGTGCAGGGAACTTGGGCATCTGAATGCCCGGGTTTGAATTCCACATCTGTTGCTTTTTGGCTCTGAGAGCTCTGGCAAGTTATGTAGCCTCCCTGGGCCTTGGTTTCTGCTTCTTTAAAATGGGGTTAACAATGAAGATTGGTGTAAGAATCACATATAAAGGTGCTGTCAAGAAATCTGGTTGAAGGCTGGACATGATGGCTCATGCCTGTAATCTCAGCACCTTGGGAGGTTGAGGTGGGAGGATCACTTGAGGCCGGGGCTTCAAGAAGAGCTTGGGTAAGACTGTAGCCATAGCCATAGCAAGAATCTGTCTCTATTTAAAAAAGAAGAAGAAGAAAAAAGGAATGGAAATAAATTAATTAAATGGAAGTGTGGTTGACATAGAAACCAGGAAACCAGCCTTGCCAGGTCCAAAAACAACAGGTTATGCTGGGAAGGCACAAGAGGGGGCTTTGTTGACGGAAGTAGCATGACCCAGGCTGGGGCTATTCAGCTCTGGTCAGCCTCTGCCTTGGTTCCCTGCTTAGGGAGAACGGCCCCAATCCTGGCTCCTCCACTTACTGGTTATGTGACCATCAACAAGTGACATTCTCTCTGTGCCTTAGTTTCCTGATATGTAAAATGGGAATAATACTGAGTATTATTATAATAATAAGTACTGAGTATAATAATAATAAGTACTGGGCCAGGCACGATGGCTCATGCTTGTAATCCCAGCACACTGGGAGGCTGAGGCGGGCAGATCACTTGAGGCCAGGAGTTCAAGACCAGCCTGGCCAACATGGTGAAACCCTGTCTCTACTAAAAATACAAAACTTAGCCAGGCATGGTGGTGGCCGCTTGTAATCTCAGCTACTCAGGAGGCTGAGGCAGGACAATTGCTGAACCCAGGAGGTGGAGGTTGCAGTGAGCCGAGATCCTGCCACTGCACTCCAGCCTGGGCAACAGAGCAAGACTCTGTCTCAAAAACAAAAACAAAACAAAACAACAACAACAACAAAACAGTACTGCACAGGGTTGTTGTATTAACTGAGTTAGTAAGTATAAAACGCTTAGAACTGTGCCTGACCCTAGTAATGCTCAATTAATAAATGTTAAGCCATCCCTTCTTCCCCCGATGCCCATGGAAGGCGTATGTGTTCCAATCTCATTTAAGGGTGCAGGCTTCTTTGTGGCAGTGAGCTGGGTAAATGGTGATTACTTTTCTTTGATTTGCTACATAAGATTTGCCTCCTGTGGGGCTCACGTGACTTGGTGTGCGGGTGCTGGGGGAGGACAGGGATGGATGTGAGTGGTATTTGGCACACAGAAACTTTTCCAGCCTTAACTGCCTGGGACCCCTGAAGAAAACCATTGGCAGTTCTCCCTCCAGCCCTCTTGGATCACGGCTTAGGTGCCTATAATAGAGTGTGGATGGTGTGGGAGGGTGAGAAAGGGCTGAAATGAGAGATCACTGGCAGAGAATTTGTAGCCTAAACAGGGGCCTTACCTAGAAAACCTTGGAGAAAATTCTCCTCCTGAGCTGGGCTTCAGATCTTCTTGGCCTGTTCCAGGCATCTTGAGGGCAATAATGGTGCCAGAGAGGCAGTGTAGCCAAGAGGCCAGGAAGGTGCACCCTGGAGCCCCACTGCCTAGGTTCAAATCCCAGCTCTGCCACATGCCAAGTTATTTAACCTCTGTTCCTTATCTGTAAAATGACAATGATGGCACCTAACTCATGGAGTGTCATGTAATGTGCCTGGAGCAGTAAATGTCAGCTACTAGGAATATTCCACCAGCCAGTGTGTCCTGTGACTACAAGGGACAGCTACTACTGTGGTAGGCAGAACAACAGCCCTCAAAGATGAATGTGGCCTTGGCTGGACGCGGTGGCTTACACCCGTAATCTCAGCACTTTGGGAGGCCGAGACGCACGGATCACTTGAGACCAGCCTGGCCAACATGGCAAAATCCTGTCTCTACTAAAAAAAAAAAAAAAAAAAAAAATTAGCTGGGCGTGGGGGTGCATGCCTGTAGTCCCAGCTACTTGGGAGGTTGAGGCATGAGAATCGCTTGAACCCGGGAGGCAGAGGTTGCAGTGAGCCGAGATCGTGTCACTGTACTCCAGTCTGGGCAACAGAGCAAGACTCTGTCTGTTAAAAAAAAAAAAAAAAAAAGATGACTGGATTCTAATCCCTGGTACCTGTGAACATGTTACCTTACACATTAAATGGACTTTGCAAATGTGATAGAGATTTTGAGATGGGGAGATGATCCTGGGTTATCAAAGTGGACCCAGTGTCATCACAAGGGTGGAAACAGGAGGCAGAAGAGAAACTTTGAGTGATGTAGAGAGGGAAGGGCTCCGCCATCCACTGTCAGCTTTAAAGATGGGAGGGGCCGCAAGCCAAGAAATGCAGGCAGGCCTGAGACGCTGAAAAAGGCAAGGAAATGGAGTCTCCCCTGGACCTCCACAAAGGACCTGGCTGGCCCTGCCAACACCTTAGTTTTAGCCCCGTGAGACTCTATTCTGTCCTCTAGAATTCTAAAATAATGAATGTGTGTTGTTTTAAGATACTAAGTTAGTTGGTGGTAATTTGTTCCATAGCAACAGGAAACTAACACAGCTGTTGAGACCCAACACAGCTCTGTACTTGGAGGCTGGACCATGTGGAGTCACTCCTCAGTGTTTCCTGAGCACCTGTGGTTTAAGTGTCACCCACAGCCCCTGCCCTCTGGAGGTGTGGGGAACACACCAGACCATGGAACTGAATGTGCCCTGGGTATGCGTATTGCCAGCGATGGAATATTCTGGGGCAAGAGGGCTTAGGGTGGATCCGTTGGTTTAAAAAGGCCTCTGGAGAAGCCGGACCCCTGGCAGGGCCTTGAAGGATGGAGGGTTTGGATAAGGACAGGGAGGAGGGCAGGGAGAAGGAAAGAAAGGCATAATTGGAAGTCAGGGAGGCTCACTCAGTTATTCATTCATTATTCGTTCATCAGCTCATTTAACACCTGTGCTCTAGGCTGTGGGGCCAGGGTGGAGCCGGTGCCAGGACAGTGAGGTGAACAAGATAGACCTAGTGGTTGTTCTTTTTTTTTTTTTTTTTTTGGGGATAGAGTTTTGCTCTTGTTGCCCAGGCTGGAGTGCAATGGCATGATCTTGGCTCACCGCAACCTCTGCCTCCCAGGTTCAATCAATTCTCCTGCCTCAGCCTCCCAAGTAGCTGGATTACAGGCATGTGCCACCACGCCCAGCTAATTTTGTATTTTTAGTAGGGACGGGGTTTCACCATGTTGGTCAGGCTGGTCTTGAACTCCTGACCTCAGGTGATCCGCCCGCCTCAGCCTCCCAAAGTGCTGGGATTACAGGCGTGAGCCACCGCAACTGGCTCTAGTGGTTGTTCTTATGAAATTTATACTCAGGAGTGGAAGACAATATGCCATTGCAATGAAACATGGCAAGCGTTACAGCAGGAGAGGTTTAGCTTGTGAAGGGGCACATCAGGGTGGACTTCCTGGAAGAAGTAGCCCTTTAGTTGATAACAAGATTAACTGAAGGTTTGTTTTATATCACTCCAGGCACTGCTGGGCTCTCTGCACTCAGCAGGTGCTGACTGAAGGAGTCAGTGATTATTTTTGTTATTCCCGTCAGAGCCGTTTTTTTTTTTTTTTTTTGAGATGGAGTTTTGCTCTGTCACCCAGGCTGGAGTGCAGTGACGCAATCTCTGCTCACTACAACCTCTGCCTCCTGGGTTCAAGCAATTCTCCTGCCTCATCTCTAGAGTAGCTGGGATTACAGACGTGCACCACCATGCCCGGCTAACTTTTGTATTTTCAGTAGAGACGGGGGTTTCACCGTGTTTGGCCAGGCTGGTCTCGAACTCCTGACCTCAAGTGATCCACTCCCAAAGCTGGGATTACAGGCGTGAGCCACCACACCCGGTCCCAATCCTTTCTTAATCTGTCTTATTACACTAAGGAGAAAGCCTCACATGGGTGCTTTAACACCACTCTCATTCTTGCTCATCTCCTTTTTTAGCCTAGAGAGCAGGCCTCAGGTATGTTCACAGGTGCTAAAGTTTAATAACACTTCTGCCTAGTCCCTCACTTTTATTTGTTTAATTACCTTCTTTTTGTGGCAAGGGGTACTGATTTTCTATTTCTGGAAGTAGATTGTAATTTCTTTTTAAAAAATAATATATTTGTGTAATAGAACCAAGAGTGGGATTTTCCCCCTTGCCTTGGAATTGACCACTGGGTCTAGGTCCTCTTTAGTGGTGGGGCCTGACTCCACTCCCTAATCAGGACTTCCACCAACAGCAGCCCCCTCCACCTTGCAATCTCCACCCCCCAACACACACTGTCAGTACGGGGCAGCGGGGAGGGGCGGGGCGGGGAGTAGAACTGGGGTTAGAGGGAGAGCATTTGGAGGCTGAGAGTCTTCGAGAGCTGGAAGTGGAGCTACTTTCTTTAGAAGGTGGGTTACTATCTGCTCTCTCTCCTCAGTCAGGAGCCCCAGGGGTCAATCAGAGGTAACAGAATTTGTACCACAGGGGCCTGGAAATGATGAACTCTGCCCAGGAAATTGAGGAGCACAGACGGAATCTGAAAATAGTGATGGTAAGACATAAGTTTCGAGTTTCCATTTTTTGAGTGGAGGTCCTGCGGTAATCCAGCTCCCAAGGTAAAATATTCAAATAAAAACATGATGTATATACTAGACATGGAACTTGAGGGGGCTGAGATTTTTTGAAACTGGTTAGAAGGGAAAACCAGGATGAATACAGCAAGAACAACATTCTGATAACAGCTATGATTGGAGGATAATGGGCAGGGAGGAGCCACGCCTCAGGAGCCAAAGTAAAAAGCACCTGGTCTGGAGGGCGGGAAGTCAGGGAAGCCTTCCTGGAAGAGGTGATTCTGAACTGAAACCCAAAAGTGACTAAGAGGTATCCTAGGACTTCTCTCAGTGACTGGTGTGTGTGATGCTGTGGATACAGAAGGGGCCCTTGAATGTTGATGGTGGGGGCTCACTGGCCCAGGAGTGTATTGCTGGGGGCCACTTAGTTTGATTTTGATCATCTTGGGCAAGAAGGAGAAGCAGTGCAGACCTCCCATCGGTAACTCTGAATTATAGTCTGTCTCCCATGTAGCGTGCGGTCGCTCTGAATTACAGTCTGTCTCCCATGTAAAGTGTGAATTACATGGGCAGTGACCAGCTCCCTCCAGCTCAGGCCAAAGCCCAGCAGAGTGCCCGTTTTGCTGAATAAATGAATGAGGGAAGATGGAAGGATAAAACGAGGCAGTTAAATAATGTGTGAGAAGTACCTGGCACCAGGCGGGCATTCAGTAAATATTAGTGTGCCCCTCCCTCCTCCTTTCGCCTCTCTCCTCTCTCTGGGCCCGGGTGGAATAGCATTTCCCCAGCTTTAAGAGTTGCCACGGAGCCCAGACCTCCCGCCTGGGCCCGGGTCCTTGGACTCCTCCCGTAGTGTTCCTCTCGGTGCCTCAGCTGCAGCTGACCTGTGAAAGGTCATGTCCTCATTGGGTCTGGACAGTGCTGGACTTTTGAGATCTGCCCCCACTCCAGGAACCCTGGGCAAGGGAGCCCCTCTGGCCTGCCGTCCCCCTAGACGCCACTCCATGACACCCTCAGGGTGGGAAGTCCCTGGGCCCCAAGAGCCCCATCCATTTGTATCCTATCCTAGCACAGAGACCTACCCCAGTCCTTCTCCTGCTCCACTTCCCCCGAAGGCCTTTATTCCACAGATTGGATTTGAATTTTCCGCCCCGGTAGCTGGCGGGGAGCCGGCCTCGCTGAAGGTCAGCCGTTCCCGGGTGCGTCCCCGCGCTGGCGCCGCCGTCAACCCTCGCCCCGGCCGCCCGGCGCACTCACCTCTGTCGGGTCCCGGGTGCAGGAAGCGCGGCCGCGGTTCGGCTGGGCCCGCGGGAGGGAGTGGCCGCGGGGACGGCGCCTGCGGGGCGTGGCGGGACCGGCGCGGAGCTCGCCGTGCGGGGTCCTCGGGCGGGAGGCGGAGGCTCCGCCGCCCACCCCGCCACGGGGACAGAGTCCAGGCCCCGCCGGACACCAGGGCACCTGCACCCCCACCGGCCTGGGGAGGGTGCGGCTGCCAGGACAGCTCCTAGGGCACCTCCCTCCCCCCGGGGCTCGAGGGGCCCAGGTTTCCCTCCCTGCGGCCGGGCTGGCTGGATCCCTGCCCCTATCTATTTGTGGTCTCTTTGTGGGAAGGGAGATGGGGAGCAGGTAGCTGGTTCTGCCTCTGCTCTCAGATGTGACACGATGAACCCAACTTCGTGGGGCTGGGCCAAAAGGCCGGAGCTTGGAGAGGGGACATTTCTGCGCTTGACTTCGGGCTATGGACTCTGCCCGGTGGAGACCATTGTACCCCATACGGATGGAGAGGTGACGGGCTTGCCCCCGGGCCTGGGGTCTGTCATTCCCCTGGCGGACTCTTTCTGCTGTCTCTGGAGAAGGGCAAGGAGGGAGGGTGGAAGGTGAGAGAGAAGCCGGGACAGAGTTTCCCAGCCTCCAGACAAGCCCGAGTGGCCATTCTCTGTGCCTTGTGCGGGAAAACCACGTCTCTCAAACCTAGGCTCTTCCAGGGCTGAGTTTGGGGCCAGCTGAGTCTGAGGCGGCTGGGTTGTTCTGCTCTGAGCCTGCTACTGGGCCTGCCTCAGCAGACCTTTGGAATCGGATCCCTGTGGCCATCCTGCACACCTGGTACCCCTCTCCCTGAGGCCTTTCATGGGGCTGGGAGGGCAGAAATGAGAGGGAAATGGCCTAGGAGACAGCCAGCGGCTGGCATAGCTGCGTACACCTTAGGACGGTCAGCTCCGCAAAGCCCCTAGCTTCTCTTCTCTTCTCGTTCCTTCTTCACCTTTGGTTATTTCTGCTCAATCATTCAGACTCTTCCCCTGCAGCCCATCCCTAAGAGGTGGTGCTCCCTGTGCCAAGCCGACCTGTGCTGGCTTGTGAAAGCACATCTGTGAATTTCCAGGAATTTTGCAAGCCAGTTGTTCAGCACAGCCATTATTAACAATTAACTTATGTAAACCTACCATCGAGTAACTTACATGAAAAGCAAAGGTAACACTCAAGACTCCCCACTTCCTAATTATTTTACTTTTGCCCATGCTTTCAGGTTACACCTATTGTATCTGTATGGTGGTGATATTATACCATGAGGTGCATCTCTTTCTGGTGAAGGAAATCCCAAAATATTTCACCCCAAAATATGGCTCCCTGGTATAGTGAGTATTTTGAATTCAACACCCTTAGAGATCAATAAACTGGAAGAAACTTTCCCCCTTCTACAAAAAGAAAGGACTGAATCACCAAGGAGAACAGTTGTTCTTGTTCGCCCGTTATCTCATTACCCTTCACAGCAAAGAAGACCCAGAATGTAACCACATCTGAACAGACTCTTTCAAGACAGTGACTGTTGCCAAGGATCATATAAATTCCAAAGAATTTTACAAGTTACTTTCTGTTCCCCATCCAATCGTTCTCCCTAGTAATCATTTATAATCCCTCAATAGAATTCTTCTCCCTCTCCCATAAGCCCCCATTCTGTCTGTAACCTCGAGGTAGTATATAAGTTTCTGGACTTCACTGGAGGGGGTCTAGTCTTTATTCTGAAGGCTGTCATGTATACCTGTTAAGAATGATAGAGAAGATGTCTTGGGTGAATATTATGATATATAAATTATATCTCGATTTTTAAAAAATTGAGGCCAGGCACAGTGGCTCACAACTGTACAGTCTCGGCACTTTGGGAGGCCGGGGCGGGTGGATCATGAGGTCAGGAGTTCAAGACCAGCCTGGCCAAGATGGTGAAACCCCGTCTCTACTAAAAACAGAAAAATTAGCCCGGCGTAGTGGCGGGCGCCTGTAATCCCAGCTATTCAGGAGGCTGAGGCAGAGAATTGCTTGAACCCAGGAGGCGGAGGTTGCAATGAGCCGAGATCGTGCCACTGTACTCCCGCCTGGGCGACGAGTGAGACTCCATCTCAAAAAAATAAATAATAAAAACTGAGATTTTTTAATCTCAAAGATTGAGATCAGTTCCGTGTTAAGTGATGTGTTCAGTGCTGGCAGCTTGATGTTGGCCATGGTGAGAGTACTTATAGCACAGAAATTGGTAAATGTTATAAACTTGGGCTTGATTTATATATTTTTTCATTGTCTAGTGTCTCTAGACTTAAAAAAAATAGAGAAGATGCCTTGGGTCAATATTATGGTATGTAAATTATATCTCAATTTTTAAAAAAGTGTGTTGCATCTGTAGCCATTATAATAGGAATAGTACAAAAAATTGAGGAAATATTTGTTCAGCATTCAGAAACTACCACTTGATTAAACAAAGTTACTCATGTTTTCAGTGAAGTTCTGACATACATCTTTGACTTGTTTCCCTTTCATCTTACATGTTAACGTGAAAGAAATTATCAACCACATTTGTGTTGAAGCTATGCTCATTTGTCAGTTGCAAGCCTAGGTTGGCTACAAATACACCAGCAAAAAAATCAATGAGCTTTCTGCAAGAATCAATTGGTTGTATGGATTTTACAATAATTGTTATTGTATGTTTTATTATTTATAAATTGTTACTGATGATAAAGAGTCAAACTCTGGCCAGGTGTGGTGGCTGACACCTGCAATCCTGACACTTTGGGAGGCCAAGGTCGAGGGATCACTTGAGGTCAGGAGTTTGAGACCAGCCTGGGCAATGTAGCAAGACCCCGTCTCTACAAAAAATAAAAAATTAGCCAGGTGTGGTGGCATGTGCCTGTAGTCCCAGCTACTCAGGAGGCTGAGGCAGGAGGATCACTTGAGGTTGCAGTGAGCCATAGTCATACTACTGTACTCCAGCCTGAGGGACAGCGTAAGACCCTGTCTCAGAAGGAAAAAAAAGCATATCCAGCTGCAACTTGGGTATTTCCCAGCCACCAGGTCACACACCACACCAACGCAGAGGGTGGGGCCCTGGAACTCAGGAGGGGGCGTGATCCAGGGTGCTCTCTTAGCCACAGGATCCCATGGTACTGCTGAAGGGGGCTGTGGCTTGGGATTGGCTGTGGAGGTGAGCAGGGTCTTAGCGTTGAAAGCAGCTGATGGAGTAACAGGACCACGGGGGAGAGTGAGGGGAAGGCCAGCATCCTCCGGATGTGTATGGGGCAGGTGTTGGGGGTGGGAATACAAAGAGGCCTCGCTTTGGAGGGGGAGGATGGTGAGCTGTGTTGGGCATGTTGAATTTGAGGTGCGTTTGGGACATGCAAGTTGGAAATCCAGATCTGGGGTTTTGGAGGAGAGGTGGGGGCTGGAGATACAAGTTTGGGCCTTCTGGGAATAGGTGGTAATTAAAGTTGTGGGTATGCCTGGGCTTGATGAAGTATGATCAGGGGCTGGGTGTGCCTTGAGGGGAGCCTGTAGAGAGGACCTAGTCTGCAAAGGGCTGGGTATGGGTGTAGAGCACCTTCGACATAAGTAACTCCATCTTAGAAAAAGACTCCATCTTACATTTAATATGGCACTTCGCCAACAGGGACCGCATGTTTTACCTGATCAATAAAGACTCATCCAACCAGATAAGGACATAAACAAACACACTCTCCACTATCAGTCCTCACCAGAAGACTCTGTGACTATAAAAGGAGCAAGACTTCAGCAGCTTGAAACGGCCGTCTCAACTGACACCATCTTGCTGTCACTTGTGATCAGCACCCAGCATCTCCCACCGAAGGCTCTGCCCACATCAGTGACTCTACTATTTACAACAGCCAAGATGCGGAAGCAACCAAAGTGTCCATCAACAAATGAATGAAGAAAATATTGCATATATACACAACGGAGAACTACTCAGCTGTAAAAAAGAATGAGATGCTGTCATCTGCAACATGGATGGAACTGGAGCTCATTATGTTAAGTGAAATAAGCCAGGCACAGAGAGAGAAACTTCACCTGTCGTTACTTATTTGAGGGAGCTAACAATGAAAACAACTAAACTCATGGAGGTTGAGAGTAGAAGGATGGTTACCAGAGGCTGGGCAGGGTAATGGGGTGGGAGGGGAGTGAGGATGGTTAATGGGAACAAACATATAGTTAGATACAATAAGACCTAGTATTTGATAGCACAAGAGGATGACTACAGTCAAAAATAACTTATTGTACATGTAAAAATAAGTAAAAGAGGCCGGGCGTGGTGGCTCACGCCTGTAATCCTAGCACTTTGGGAGGCCGAGGTGGGCAGATCACCTGAAGTCAGGAGTTTGAGACCATCCTGGCCAACATGGTGAAACCCCGTCTCTACTAAAAATACAAAAATTAGCCGGGCGTGGTGGTGGGCACCTGTAATCCCAGCTACTCAGGAGGCTGAGGCAGGAGAATCGCTTGAACCCAGGAGGCAGAGGATGCAGTGAGCTGAGACTGTGCCATTGCACTCCAGCCTGGGCAACAAAAGTGAAACTCTGTCTCAAAAAAAAAAAAAGAAAGAAAGAAAGAAACGAAACAGCGTCAATAAAAGTCTGACCTTGTGGAAAGACACACGTGTGTGGACCTGGTTATGCCTGACCTCGCGCTGCTCACAAGTGTGGCCAATGTGGAGGGGAGTGTTCTAAATAGGAAGGTCCCTGAGTCAGGGCACCTCCTGAGAAGTGACGAGGGCTGAGAAGTTGCCTCTGGATTAGCGACCTTGACAGGAGCTCTCCCGCAGGACCAGTGGGACCAAAAGCCGGCTGGAGTGGATGGAAGAGTAGGGGGAGAGCCTGAGGCAGCGGGACCAGTCGGCGGGAGGGTGTGAACTAGGGCAGAGACAGCTGGCAGAGGGGAGCGGCCCAGATTCCCACCCCACCCTCAGGTCCAGGATGTGACGTGTGATATGTGGGATGTGAGGAAAGGAGGGGTCCAGCTCGAATCTCAGGCTCCTGAGGCTGCAGAGATGGTCCTGGGAACAGGGGAGCTGGGTTGATGAGGGCAGCAGTCCTGGCCTGAAGGTCAGGAGACGCTGGGCTGGAGGTCACCTCCACAAGCGCTCCCTTTGTAGGGAGGGTGGGGTCAGGCCTGCAGGGGGAATGCACGACAGGAGAGTGGTGGAGGCAGAATCCAGGGCTCTGCCCGCAGCCCTGATGTCCCCGGGAGGGATGAATGAAGGGACGAAGGAGCAGGCAGCACAGAGCTGTCCCAGAGGGACAAAGAAGCGTGCAGCAGAGGCTAAGGGTGCCAAGAAGTGCCTGGCCAGCTGTCAAGTATTGCAAAGGCCACACAGGATGAAGACTGCGGGTGGCCACCGCTCAGTCTGGCTCAAAACAGCATGGATGGCAGTTTCTGTGGAGTGGCCAGATACAAGGACAGATTGCAGAGCCTCGGGGAGAACGGGCAAGGAGGTGAGAGGAGAGAGCCAAAAAATAGGCTTGGTGAGAAGGAAGGAGACACTGAGGCAGCAGCTGGACAGAAAAACATCAGAAGAACCTTGGTCAGGCATGGCCATTTTCATGCCTCCTCCTTCCCTCTCTTCCTCCTCTCCACCATGCATCCGATTTCAGTATCTTCGGCCCCTAAGGTCCAAATTCCAGATCCAGCATTTACTGGTTGAGTAGCCTTGGGAAAATCATAAGGAGCCCCTTCAGGCTGAGCTCCTGTCACGACATGAGATGAACGCCATAGCAAAATGGGGTTCTTCAATTATTTTTGAGATGGGGTCTTGCTGTGTCGCCCAGGCTGGAGTGCAGAGGCACAAGTCCTGGTTCACTGAAGCCTCGACTGCTGGGGCTCAAGTGATCCTCCCGCCTCAGCCTCCATAGTGGCTGGGACTACAGGTGCAAACCACCATACCCCGCTATTTTATTTTTTGTTTGAGACAGGGCCTCACTCTGTCTCCCAGGCTAGAGTGCAGTGGCACCATCACTGCTCACTGCAGCCTCAACATCCCTGGGCTTAAGGGATCCTCTGTCTTCAGCCTCCCGAGTAGCTGGGACTGCAGGTATACACCACCACGCCTGGCTAATTTTTCTATCTTTTGTAGACAATGTCTTGCTATGTTGCCCAGACTGGTCTCCAGCCCATTGCATGCCCCCTGTGGTGGTGGTGACCCATTAGAAAAACAAATAAAATAGGATTCAATTGATGCCAACTTAAACACACCTGAGGAGGGGTGGAAAGCTGTCACCGTACAGGAAATCTTTGTCCTTCACATCTGTCTCTGGTTGCACGTGTAACAGCTTCCCCCACCTAGTGGCAAGGAAAGTGGTGGATTCCAACTGTGGAGGAAGGGTCGCCGGCATGCAGAGGGAGGGGTGCAGGGGGAGGGGTGCAGAGGGAGGGGCACAGAGGGAGGGGTGGAGGGGCGCAGAGGGAGGGGCGCAGAGGGAGGGGTGGAGGGGCGCAGAGGGAGGGGCACAGAGGGAGCGGTGCAGAGGGAGGGGTGCAGAGGGAGGGGCGCAGAGGGGGGGTGGAGGGGCGCAGGGGGGTGGAGGGGCGCAGGGGGGTGGAGGGGCGCAGGGGTAGGGGTGCAGAGGGAGGGGCACAGGGAGGGGCGCAGAGGGAGGGGTGGAGGGGCGCAGAGGGAGGGGTGCAGGGGCACAGAGGAAGGGGAGCAGAGGGAGGGGTGCATAAGGAGGGGCGCAGGGAGCCCCAAGTCCCCAGGGGCCCACCCGATGCTAACAATGTGCAGTGAGGAAAGCCAGAACGCACTTCGGTTCCATTCCATTTTATTACAGTCCTGTCCTTGAGTTCCAGAATGAATGGCTATTTAATACACAACCCCAAACACTCCTAAAATGGATCTTGTTAACATTCAAAAGTCTCCCATTTCTTTCTCAGTATATTAAATCAAAAGGAAAAAAAAATCTTAAAAAAAAAAAATCAATAGGTTTAGTTCACCCCAGGAAAAGCACCTTTACAACAGGAAACTAAATTGTCAGGAATCTGACCAAAGACACAAAGCAGCAGATAAGATTCCCGACAGAAGAGAGTGACTCCCACTGGAACATAAATAGATCCCCCCAAAGTATACATATTTCACATGAGTGTGTACATATACATGTCATATATTAAAAAAAATTGGTTTCTATACCCAAAAAGTTATTCAGAAATAAATCAACACCCCGAGACCGGGGATGTCGGGTGCCGCAGCCAGGTTACACATCGAGCTTGCACCTCGCTCTGTGCGGATGACCCCTCGGTGCACTGTGCACACTGGCCTGGAGGGGGCTGGATGGGGGCCTCTTTCCTGCCCCCCAATCCCCAGGCCTGGCAGATCCAGTGTTTGCAGAAAAGTGAGCCAGGGAAATCTAGGAAGGCAGGTGCCTGTGTGGTCCCCAAACCCCCTGGTGCAGAGCTCAGGAGCCAGCTGGAGGCTGGGGGCAAATGGCCAAGGCCACCGCCAGCTGCCCTGCAGGCTGCCCTGGGTCCTGGGGTAAAGGGAAGTGCTTGGGACCCCAGGAATGGAACAGCAGCACTCTCACTTTTTAACAGCAGGCCTGACTCTGGGGTCTGCCAGGCCCTGGAGACCTTTGTAGTATCGCCAGTCTGGGCTTCTCCTGGGATCCAGTGGCCTTGGGAGAGGGAGTGGGCTTTCTGACCCGCCAGGCCTGAGCCTCGTAAGCCTGTTGTGTGAGTGTGTGTGTGCTTAACGGAGCTCAACACATTGCAAATGAGTGTTCTACTGGGACATACTGGAGTAGTGTCTGCTTTGGGGGAAGTCAGTTTGTCATTGCATCCTAATTGGTCCCCATGCTGACGTGGATTATTTGTTCCAAAGATATCAGCTGCTGGAAGCGGCAGACACAGAAAACACGTTACACACCTGGAAGCGTAATCCTCTTGGGGCTTGGCACAGTGTTTCCATTCACAGAACAAACAGCAGAAATGCGTGGGAACCCCTTTCCTCATTCCAAACCCTCTCCTGGCACCGCAGGCAAGCAAGAGAAAAGGCCGTGAGAGTCGGAAGGCGCGTCAGTAGTTTTCAGGTTTGCGAGCTCAACCACGAGACAGTCACACACAGCCGTACTCATACCACACGGTCTGCGGATCCCCGCCGGGCTCCGGGGAGGCCGGACTGCTCTTTGAGACGCTCCCTCGACTGCAGTCCTCCAGGGCCCGGCCGAGGTGGGGAGCCAAATCGGGAGACCGACCTGGGCTCTTGGCCGGAAGCCCCTCACTGCAGCCCTGCCCCGGGACCCCGTCTCCCTCTGAGAGGCTGAGCCCTGCCCGGACAGGGGTGATGGTGGCCACCTCCCCTGAGCGTGGGGGCGCCTTGGGCTTGGTCCTGGCAGCCGGGGCTGCAGCAGGTGAGAAGTGCAGGAGCTGGGAGTTGCTGCCACTGCCAGCAGCAGCAGCACCAGCACCTGCAGTGGCAATGGCGGGGGCTGTGGCAGACTGATGCAGGGGGGCCAGCCTCTCCTCCTTTGGGGGAGCCAGGGAGAAGCGCCTCGTGTCCAGCGGCCGGCTGCGGGGACCTGGGCCCTGACAGGAGCTGCCAGCCTTTCCCACAAGTGGGGTCCGCTCCCGGGCCAGGCTATGGGAGCTGGGGGGTGCGGGGCTTTGCAGGGTGTGGCTGCCTGTCTCTCTGCCCCCTAAGGCCTCAGGAGCCCCCAGCTTCTGAGGGGACTCCTGTTTGCAGGCCTCTGGCCCGCTGGCCCGGAGAAGGTCAGCTGAGGCCAGGCTGAAGGCCCGGCTCAAGGAGGCACTGCGGCTGGCAGGTGCATGGGAAGCTGGGGGCACCGGAGCCTGCCGGGGTCTGCCCAGAGACAGGCTCTGGGGAGGCTGGGCCTGTCTCGGGGCCACGCTGGGTGGGGCCTCGGCCTCAGTCAGTCTGAAGTTTGGCTTTACGTACTGCCCGGGCTTCAGCGGCCTCCCCTCCGAGGTGGGGGCGGCCATTTTGACGGTGGGGGCCACAAAGTTGGTGGGCATCTTGGCCCCTTCTTTCTTGGCAGGTGGTCCTGGTTGGCCTCCGATGGCTGGGGGATCGCTGGCCTTTCGGAAGTAGTCACTCAGCAGGTCATCCCGGCAACTGGGAGTGTCCTACGGAGAAGAGAGTGAAGGTTGGAGGTGGGCATGAGGGTTGGGTGGGTCCTTGGAGCCGCCTCCTGCGCGGGACGCCCCCGAGCAGCCCACGTGGCTGGGACCGCAGTTCCTGCCTGCCTTCTCCGAGGCACATGTGCCGCCTCCACCACACACACCAGCCCTGGGCAGGATGGTGAGGGTGGCTAAGGCAGCATGGGACCACCAGGAAAGAACCCCAGATTCCCCCCAGGCAACCCCCTAACTTTACAGATAAGGAAACAGACCCAGAGAGGGAAATGACTTCCTACAAAGTGAGTAAGTTTCCCAGAAACCTCGACTATAGCCGACTGCTTCGGTCTGTCTGGTTTCCACCAAGCACAGCAGGAACTAGAATGCTGGCGGATATGAGCAGGGCCTTCCTTCCCCGGTCACCCCGGGACATCATAAGGACTTCACCTTGCGCCACCGAGAGCAAGAGGAACAAGAGCAGCTCTTGAAACGCCGGAACCTTCACTGCCACTCAGACCTCTCTCTGGGCCCGAGAAAGAGAAGAGAGAGGCAGAATGGGGATGGGAGGGGGTGGGGGACAGAGAGGTACAAATGGGGTCCGCGAGGGTCCAGAAGGGGGAATGGTGGGGCTGCACAGGGAAATGAAGACACCAGGAAGGCCCAGCCGCCACACTGTCCCTGCTAAGCTGCCGCCCGGGCTGTGCTTCCCCTGCCCAGGGAGCAGGTGTCATTTGCCACCACCTTGGGAATAGGCAGAGCCACAGAGGCAAGGGTCTATGGCCCCACTCAGGAACTGCAGCCTTCTGCAAGCCTAGCTTCTCCTGAGGCTGACATGGATGAAGAGGAAGAGAAGTGAGTTCATGGGGGATGAGAGGCCGGCAGGTGTCAGCCTGAAGGCGGGTTGGTAGCTCAGGAGCCATCTGCACCTGCCAGCAACTCCTGTCCCACACAAACATCTGGACATGGTGCCACTGGACAGAGATACATCTGCTGTTTTATGCTAGTTTGACGCTACACATCTTGGGTGGGCGTCCAGTAAGACCCGTGATATCACAGGTACCTTTCATCACCTGTGGGGCCATGTGCTGTTCTGGGAACCACATGTATAATTGCAAAGAAACTCATTTAATTCTCAAAATGACCTCGCAAGGTTGTTGAAAGGCTGTATCAAGGTAAAGAAACAGGTCACGGAGGTTTGGCAGGCCATGCGTCCAGAGAGGCAGACCCAGATGAAAGCCTATGGCTGCCTGACTCCAGAGCTGCTTTCCACTCCACCAGGCTCCTCCCTGCACACCTCAGAGCCTTTGATACCCACCCTTCCTGGCCACGCAGGGAGCCCCATCTTGTGACATGCCCTCCCTGCATCATCGACGCCCAGAGAGTGGGGGCGCGGTGGGCATACGGTTGTCATTTCCCTGGGATGGGAAGCCCCTGTGTACATTAGGGGCCTTGTGTGTCAGGGGTACCAGGAGGGAAGTCAGGTGTGTCAGGGGTAGGGGGTTAAATATACCAGGCAGACAGAGGGGGCTGGCTCGCTGCATGCCAGACATCAGCTTTCAACAGAAGCTGCTACAGCCAGACTGTTTTGGTCTCATTTAAGCTAAAAATGGAAAGGTAACAGTACAGGGCACAGGGAATGGGGACTGTGAAGACCAGTCTGAGCTGAGCAGGGAGGGGCCCCACTCCTTGCTCAGGACCTGCCTGCCAGATCTCCAAAGGGAAAGGAAAGCATCATAAGGGGCATATAACAAAAAAAGACTGAGAAGGAAAGCCTTCCAGCTGTGGGCCCCCCCAATTTCTGGAGTGTTCTTGTTCAGTCCATTAGACCAGCAGTTCTTTTTTTTTTTTTTGGAGACAGAGTCTCACTGTGTTGCCCAGGCTGGAGTGCAGTGGCACAATCTCGGTTCACTGCAACCTGAGCCTCTCGGGTTCAAGAGATTCTCCTGCCTCAACCTCCCGAGTAGCTGGGATCACAGGCACCCACCACCATGACCCGGTTCATTTTTGTATCTTTAGTAGAGATGGGGTTTCATTGTATCTTTAGTAGAGATGGGGTTTCACTATGTTGGCCAGGCTGGTCTCGAACGCCTGACCTCAAGTGATCCACCCAACTCAGCCTCCCAAAGTGCTGGAATGACAGGCATGAGCCACCGCTTGGCCTAGACCAGTGGTTCTTTTTTTTTTTTTTTTTTTTTGAGACGGAGTTTCGCTCTGTCGCCCAGGCTGGAGTGCAGTGGCGCGATCTCGACTCACTGCAAGCTCCGCCTCCCGGGTTCACGCCATTCTCCTGCCTCAGCCTCCCGTGTAGCTGGGACTACAGGCGCGCGCCACCACGCCCGGCTAATTTTTGTATTTTTAGTAGAGACGGGGTTTCACCGTGTTAGCCAGGATGGTCTCGATCTCCTGACCTCGTGATCCGCCCGTCTCGGCCTCCCGAAGTGCTGGGATTACAGGCGTGAGCCACCGCGCCCGGCCAGACCAGTGGTTCTTAAACCATGGTGCCTACCCAGCCGCAAGACCATTATCTGGAATTTATAAAGATGCAAATTCTCAGCGAGCCCAACCTCAGACCCATTGATTCAGAAACTCAGGGGATGGGTTCTGTGGTCTGGCAAGGCCCCCAGACGATTCAAACGCACGCCTGAGTTTGAGAACCACAACATTAGACCGCTAACTTCTCGAGGGCAGGCCCTCCTTTGTTTTTCTCCAGCTTTGGCTTCTCCAGCTCCTTGCACAGAGTAAGTGCTTGGGAAAGAGAAATGTTTAAATGAAGGAAGGCCAGGGCCATGTTTTATATTTCTCTCGTGTCAACTGCAAGGCTGGGCACAGCACATGCAGGCAAAGAAAACCTGCTGATGAACTGGTTTGCTTTGCTTTCCAAGAGCAGGCACCATGCATACTGCTAAACATAAGACTGCAGGTGCTCAATAAATATCTACCAAACACACACTTTCTTTTCTGTGTCACTGTGCCCTAGTAATGCAGGTCACAGGGTTTACCAGAGAGCCAGACAAAGTCCAAATGTGTTTCTTTAAGGGGAATGAGATGGAAAGACTGAAAAAGGCTGAAGT
The DNA here is from genome assembly GCF_000001405.40 of Homo sapiens. Taxonomy (NCBI): domain Eukaryota; kingdom Metazoa; phylum Chordata; class Mammalia; order Primates; family Hominidae; genus Homo; species Homo sapiens. The sequence goes on from NC_000014.9 coordinate 91,276,716, forward strand.
TTTAAGAATCCTCAAAAGGGCTCAATTGCAGACAGTGAACTTCACTCACTCAGTAACCCAACAGCTCACGTGACAAAATTCAGAGCACTTTAAAGACGTATGTGCAGCTTCAAAAAAGCTAAACGAAGACCTACAGAGGTGGCAGGAGGTTGTCAACAGGCAGTGTTTAGGGTGAGGAGCTGCAGAGCTGGGGCCAAATCCAGCTAGCCGCCTGTTTTTGTATATCCTGTGAGAATAGTTGCTACATTTTTATTTTTATTTTATTTTTTCTTGAGACAGAGTCTCGCTCTGTCGCTCAAGATGGAGTGCAGTGGTGCAATGTCAGCTTACTGCAACCTCCGCCTCCCGGTTTCAAATGATTCTCCTGCCTCAGCCTCCCGAGTAGTTGGGGTTAAAGGCACCTGCCACAAGGCCCGGCTAATTTTTGTATTTTTTGTAGAGACAAGTGTCTCTACAACTCTGCTTATCTTTTGTAGAGACGGGTGTATTTTTTGTAGAGATGGTGGCCAGGCTGGTCTCAAACTCCTGGACTCAGGTGATCTGCCCACCTTGGCCTCCCAAAGGCTGGGATTACAGGCGTGAGCCACTGCATCTGGCCAGTTGCTACATTTTTAATTGGTCAAAAAGAAATTTTGTAAAAACGTATTTCACATCATGCGAAAATCATATGAAATTCAAATGTCAGTGTCCATAAGTAAAGCTTTATCGGATGTCAGCCATGTCCATCTATTGACATAGGATCAAGTGTCTGCTTTCTCGAATGTGGCAGAATTGAGTAGCTACAACAGAGACTGTGAGACCCAGAAAGCCTAAAATCATTCCTCTCTGGCCCTTTCAAGGTCCTTGAAAGTTTGCCAATCCCTGCTGGAGAAAATGCAGGGTAAGCGGGTACTCAGAGCTCTGCCGTGAAACCCAGCGTGAGATCCTAGCCCTGTAAGTCAGGTGCTGGCCACGCACCCTTGGTGCGGGCCACAAGCTCTGCCAGCTCACTTCCCAGACCCAGGGGAGAGCAGCCTCCAGGGTTGGGGCTGGCGGCTGGCTTGCGGTGACTTGTCAGCTAGTGCTCTAGTCAGCCTCTCATGTCCAAGCCAGTCCTGTGCCTAGGCCACGCCACCCCCACCCCATCCTTTCTGCAGCTATGATCTTGAGCCAGGAAGAGACAGAGAGGGAAGAGAGACGGGCCAAGTCCGTGTCCGGATCACTCACATGGGTGGGGGAGCTGCGGTTGCTCTCCTCCAGGAACTCCTCCAAGGTGACCATCTCACTGCTGGGGGAGGCCGAGCAGGGCCGCACTCCGACGTAGGGAGGGGCTGTGCCCCTCTTCTGGGCACCCTCCTGTGGGAGAGGCCCGTTCCGAGGCAAGGGGTACTCGTGGCGGCCGAGGGCGTTGCGTCCCGGTGTGCTGGCTTCCCGGGGCAAAGTGGCCAGGTCCCTGCTGGGGATCAGGTCTTCGCTGCTGAAGCTCTCAGACCGGCCATGGAGCTGCTCGGAGGAGCCTGGGTGTCAGGGCAGGAGACAGAGGACCCTCATCAGTCTTGGCAGCCCTCTGGTGGCTTCTAGAGGCTTCGTGCTGCCTTTGCCCACTTCAAACTATCAGAATAAAATCCCTTGCCCGAAAACCCAGGGCTTATTCCCACCAGGCTGAAAGTCTGGACTCCTTTTGAATTTCACTTTGGCTTTAAAAACAAAATACTTTGAGATAAAAGTGGAAAGCTTCTGCTGAAGTTTAAGTTATTACTGGCTGTAAGGCACTGCCCTTGTCAGCGCTCGCTCATGCACGTATTCAAAGCTTATTCAGCACCTGCTATGTGCTAGGGGCTAAATGTACAGGGAAGGTTCATGAAGAAAGACCACATTCTGTCCCTAACACAAACCATACATGTTCCGAGAATCAAAATCCTCCACATTTGTTCTGTGGCCACAGTAGAATGGAACTAGTGTTACTCTCCCCATTCTTCAGATGAAGTAAATGAGACTCGGGACCTGTGACATGCCTGCATTCTCAGTGCTGCTCGGGGGAGAAGGGAGCTGAACCCCAACCCATTCTAACTCCCAGCCTGTGCCTGAAACTGTACTGTGTGGCCTCTGAATGCGTCAGAATGCATTTGAAACCCCTAGTCATGTATTTTAAAAATTATAATAATATGACCCCAGAGCCAAACCACCAAATACACTTTTTTTTTTTTTTTTTTTTTTTTTTTCTGAGATAGGGTCTCACTTCTGTTTTTCAGGCTGGAATGCAGTAGCATGATCACAGCCCACTATAGCCTTGACCTCCCAGGCTTGAGCGAGCCTCCCACCTCAGCCTCCTGAGTAGCTGGGACCACAGGCATGCGCCACCACGCCTAGCTAATTTTTTATTTTTTTAGAGATGGGGTTTCGCCATGTTTCCCAGGCTGGTTTCTAACTCCTGGGCTCAAGCGATCCACCTGCTTGGCCCTCCCAAAGTGCTGATTATAGGCATGAGCCACTGTGCCTGGCCCAAATCAATTTTTAAAAGTACACAGAAGCACAAGACTTACCTTTTAGGTTAAGAGGTGAGCTGTTGCTGGATGTGTTTCTACTGCTCTCTAAGCTACTTGGCCGCGACACTGAAAGGAAATGGCAGTGTTAAAATTAAAAAGCCAATGACCAGGTATATCCCAGATGAGCCATCTAAGAAAAACGATGCAGCAAAACAATCCCATGCCAAAGCTAAGCCCAACGCCCTCAGGAAGGAGGAGCTCTGGGACTCCCTCTGCGCTCCAGTGAGGAAGCCTCACTTCACCAACGGAGTGCTGGGCACAGCACAAGCAGCCATCAACAGATGATACTCTGCTTATCTACATTTATGAGGCCTGGGGCTGCAGCTTCAAACAACTTCACAAAGGAAATCTCACACAGAACGCCAGTATAGAGGGCAGACAAAAAAAAGGCTGTGCTGGGTGAACCAGAGGTTGAGGTTGCGGGGGGCCCTCCTCTATTACTGCACAGAGCTTTCTGGAACACATGTGGACAGCCGAGGCCGAGGCCACGGGAAGAGAGATGAGGACCGTTCAGGGCCATGTGTGCGCACATGTAAGGGCACGCACCTGAAGGTGTCACGTCAGGGGACCCACAGGGAGCAGGTGCCAGGGGCCTGGGAAGGAAGGGGGCACTCCCTTCTCCTGGACATTTGCTATTCTTCAGCTTCTTTGTGTCATTTGCCTCAAATTTACATCTGCCCCAAAGGAAAAAAATCAAGGTTTATGGTGCTGAGGGCACCTGCCCACCTGGCCACAACAGGTGCTTGCCTGAGTGTGGCTCTGCCATGCCACCCCACTGCAGACTTTCAGGAAGGCTGGCACCATTCCCTACAGAGGGCAGGCCATCCCTTCCAGGGCCTGCACACCTCTCCTGGGCCACTCCTCCAGCGGCCCTATCTCGAGAGCAAACATGTCTACGCTGCTGTGCTATGAACCCCCGTGGCAGGGATGGCATTTCAGTTGTCCCTGCCACCCCCAGCACCCAGCAGGTGCTGAGCTGAGCCACCTCAGGAGCCTGCAGAAGAGACACCTGGGGTTCCTCTGCTCACTGTGCCACCAAGGCAAGTTCACTCAGGTTTCCTGGGTCCACAGGGCACCTGGTTCCAAGGGCTGAGGTGCTCTGCAAACAGCAGATGTCCAGAAAACACCTGCTAGCAAATATGTTTGAAACTGAGCCAAAAACATACTTGGTGATAGCGAATAGCCTAAAAACAGAATCGGTCCCCTCCCTGAGCAGTGAAAATGTGAAATAAACAAATGCACATCTCTCTTAAAAAAATAAGTAAATTTCAGTATAAGGAAACCGTGATAGCGATCAACGGCCCAAAAGCACCATTGTTTATTCAAGTACTGCAATGCAAATCCTTTTCCCTTCTTTTTCCTAAGAGAAGCTAGAGGAAACAGAACATTTATGAAAAAAGTTCCTATGGTTAGCTGACTGATCGCAAATCTGGCTGCTCAGGGAGATGCACCCAGCACACGAGGCAGATTTCTTCTGTTGGATTAGCCTCCACTCAGTGTAAAGATGTAAGACTCCCATTCATTCAATTGTTTCATTACAGTTCTTTACTCAAGTAGAAGACTGTAAGAATGTCATCAAGCTTTTTAGACCGTGGATAGGGGTAGGAGGTGATGCCAGCTCCTACACTTACCGAGCCTTTCACAAGTAAACTGAAATCGATGTAAACTTCAAGGGGTCTTTTTAGGATTATTTTCTCACCCTTGTAGGGTTGCTTTTCAAAAATTAAACCAAAGCAGCTTTTGATTTTTGAGAAGGCAGGTACTGTTTACTGTCTCCCTTCTGCAGAAATTTATAACATGCTCGAATCCAATGACAAGTGCTTCTAACAATTTCCAAGACTAAATACGCCTCAGAGCTACTATGGGCAACTGCAGCCAAGTGAGGACAGCAAGGGACCTTCTTGAAATGAACGCTCCCCACCTGGGCCACCGGAACTTCCTGGCCAGCCTGGAAGGGTGCTTGAAGGCATGAAGAGGAGAGGTCGGTGCTTCCAGAACTGTGATGCTTGGGAGGTAGCGAATTCCCCACCACTGGAGGTATGTAAGTAGAAGCTACACGCTCAGCCCCCTGGGGAGGGGAAGGAAGAATGGGTCCCCCATTTCCACCTTCATTTGGTGTTGGACTCCCGTACAGGACTCAGCTTAAAGGAAAGGTACCGTGGATAAAAACCAGTCTGGAAACCCAGGCTGGAGGACACAGCACCCTCCCTACTCACCGTACTGCCTGTGGTTGGGGACCTCAAACTCCAGGGATGGCTCACAGAGGTTGTCATCTGAGTTATAGCCTAAGGTGAAAATAAGGCTAGTGAGTCATGGTTACGGAACATGCCTCATCCACAGGGAACCCCGCCACCTCGCCTGGCACCCGGATCCCAGTAGCTCCAGCTCTTGGGGATGAGGGAATGGCATGCAGATGCTGCCTTTGGGACCTGCCTCTCCTACCCCTCCACCGTTTCTCCTGCTGGGACAACCCTGACACTCCCGATTCCCATCCCCTTTAAATCACACTTCCACCTCTGCTGTGGCTGGAACGTGTGGACCAAAGGCGTGTTCTGGCCTAAGGATAATATAAAAAGAGCTGAATATTGAGTATCCTGGGGAGTCCTTTCCAGTCTCAGAGGCCAGCCCTGAGAGCAATTCGCTTTCAGCAGTCAAGCTGTCTTCAGGTGGTAGGAGGAAGAAGGAAGAAAAAGAGGCAAAATCAGAATCTACTCCTTGAGGGGAGAGGCTGAATTCCTGGGGAATAACCCTTGCACTAACAGCTCCTGACCAGAAACAGACCTGGAATCCATTGGCCATCAAGCATTTGGCCTTTCCCTGAGGACTGGAAAATGCCCCACGCCTCAAAATCCTGCTAGTTTCTACCTGAGAGCAGACCCTGGGTCCCCTCCAAAATGACAACAGGGTCTCCATTTTGGAGATGGTGACATGCCCACCTGCAACAGATATCTGGAGTGGGAGGGTCCCTTGAGGTCAGGACCCTATCTCTGTTGCTCTGTTGTTCAGACTCAAGGTTCTACATGCCCATGGCTTCAAGAGTCAGGTGAGTGGGTTTATTTATGCAAATTAACCCCTTCTTGCTCTCTCAGACTTCCAACACCCCAAAGGCAATCACTTTCAACTCCTTCAGCTGTTTCTTTGGATATTTTCCTATCTCTTAAATTATAAGGGGAATGCCCTTTTCCGTTTTAAGCATTATCTCTTCCTTTCTCTTTGCATATTTTAAATTTCCAAATGCTTCTCCCTTCCCTGTTGCTTTTTTATAGCATCCTGTTCTTGTTTCTTGGGTGCAATCATTTCTCTTGTCTCTGATTTGAGTGTCACCCGGCAAGATCTGACTGAGCCATTCTGCTGGGACTCTCTCAGGCTAATGAGATTACTCAAAGAATATTTTAATCTCATGCCTAAAGATGTGAACTCCTGGCACCCTGGAGACAGGGAGTTCCTAAATCCTTCACTGAACCCATTTGTTTTCAATACAGGACACCTGCCTCAACTGTGTCAGTGAACTTCCAGTTCAGAGACGCTATCCTTTCTTGGCCAGGTGTAGTGGCTCAACACCTGTAATTCCAGCACTTTAGGGGGCCAAGGCAAGAGCATTGCTTGAGGCCAGGAGGTTGAGACCAGCCTGGGCAACATGATGAGACCACATATCTACAAAAACTTTAAAATACACATACACACACTAATTTAAAATATATAATTTATCTTCTCTCGAGAAAAAAACCCCAAACTTTTACCAAGGTAGGGCAATGGCAGTTGCCTGGTTTTAGCCCAAACTCTGGTTCTCAGCCCACCTTCACCTCCCTTCTGGAGCTATTTGGTGCCTTCATTTCCTGAATGCCGGTGGTGGCAGTGGGTTCTGAGGCCCCATTGCAGTTGGGCCTCTGAAGGGCTTCCTGCCCAAAGTCCTTGGCTGGTAAGCACAGCTGCATCTGTGCCACCAAAGCCTGTCAGCAGCCTCACCCCTCTACTCACCACCTCTCAGACTGAGAGGGAGAGCAACCTCTCTGATTTCCGAGAGCCTGGGGTCTTCAGGAAGGACACTAGGCCCGACGCTCATGGCTCTGGAAGGGCCTGTGACTCACCTTTGGTGCGGCCTGGGTGCCGGGCGATGGGGGTGGAGTTGGAAGGGGCTGTAGTGGTGGCTGAAGTTGAGCAAGTCCGGGAGCCCAGCTCCGAGGGCCAGGACCTCATGGCCAGATCGGTGGAGGCATCTGTGCGGTCAAGGCTGCCTCTGTGTGGGGAGCCTCGCTTTGGTTTTAGATCCCCAGGGCCTGAGGCAGAAGAGGACATTGAGAAATGAGGCTGCCAAGTCCTGTACCCAGGCTGGGAAACCACACCATGGCCTAGAAGCAGGGCAGCAGGGCATGAGGACCACAGAGACAAAAGCGGGGCTGCCACAGCTCTCGGGCTGCAACTTAAATGGGGCCTGGCGGGGCAGGTGGGGGCAAGAGGGCTTGGCTTCAGGTGGTGTCAGAGGCCCCATGAGGATGGCTCTGGCTTTAATGCTGGGGTCATACTGCCAGCCCTGAGAGGCTGGGAGGAGACAAAGGGAGCCCCTGAGGGGATAAACTGTTGGTAAAAGTCACACATATTCACTCTAGGACACATCTCCTGTGTAACACTGTCCGGAACTCCAATCCCTGACTTCCAAGGATCCAAGCCTGTAGCTGAGGATCCGAAGGTCCTGCTAACCTGACTCACTAAGGACTTCAAATAGAAGTTTATTGCTAACCTCACAATATTCTGTTTTTTCAAAAAGGGAAGCCTTAATCTCTGCATGGTGAGACGAACTGCAAGAAAATTTTTACCTTGTGTCTTGTGCTTTTCTGAAATCTCTAACTTTTCTACCATGAACATAAACTCTGGTCAAAATTAAATAAAAACATATAAAATCATAAAAGAAAAACAGCCCATAAAACCAAGTACCCCACAGGAAAGAGGACAGGCTCTCCCAACACAAGATAAAAATGAACATGGCTGGCATTCCTAAGAGCTGACAAAGCACTTTGCAGAGCGTCCCACTCCGTGTGCAGAGCCAGGACTCACTGTTGCAGTTCGGCTTCTCCACCCATCAAGCCGTCTGCCCTCCCAGCCACTCAAAGTCTGGGCTCACTGTGCAGTTTTAAGTGCCCAGAGCTGATGATTTGAAATCAAGGGGAAATTTGGATTTTGAAAGATAACCTTGATGAGAAGCAAGATTCAAGTCTGCCTGAATCGGGACAGGTGGAATGAATCGGGACAGGTCATCCTACAGGTGAAGCTAAAATGAGGATCCACAGGGGAGGCAGAGATGAGTGAACAGTTAGCATGAGCAGCGAACAGAGAAAGCACAATTCCAACAGCATGCGCGGAAGGCAGGTCTGGAGGACCCGGCACCACGGCAGCCCAGGGTTCCCAGAGCGAGGCTCATGAGATGAAGTCAGTGGCACATTAACCGACTCTCATATTTTAGTAATTATGTGTTTATTCTTATGATTACCTTGTTTTTATGATGATATGTGTGTTTTCCACTTACAGGACTGATACTAATCTTTCCTTTTAATACATTTAACTACAAACTGTGAATCAATGTAAGGGAAAACATGCAGGTAATCATATTTTTGTAGGTAATCATAGACGGTATCAGGATATGACAAAAATAACGGAGGTGGTACAGGGATGGCTAGAGACAGGAAATGCTCCATAGGTAATGGCCTAGCTGGCCGGCTGGCATTTTCCCTTGCTCGAGGCATGATTTGTGTGCTGATGTTCTTTCTGTCTCCTGCTGTTTTAACTTCAGCATCCAAGATGTCATAAAACCACAGCACAGTCATAAAACTTCACTCTGGGCTGAACTCTGTCTGGGCAAAATCAATCCAATTAGTCAAAATGCCTGAATGGAGCAATCAATCCTTCAAAACAGAACACATTTTATAAGGGCCTTACCGGAAAAGGCCCACAACTCAGTGCTCTGACAAAGGAAGAGGAGAAAAGGGCAGCAGTTTTAAATTTAGCTGCTTAAAAATAAGTCTTAAAAAAAACCCTCACTTGACAGAGGCTGTACATTTTAGGAAGTGCAGCAACCACCCGCCAGTGCTGCTTGACACACGGGCAAAACATAAGCTCGCAGGTGCAAGAGACGGGAGGGGGGCACGGCCACTCGACTTACTTAGTACGGACATCCTGGCCCAAGGACATGTGCACGTATATCCTGAGGCTCCCCCTAAAACTGTGTTGTGCTGAAGAAATGGTCCAGGGAGTGTGACAACTCATCTTCTATTTTGAAATCAGAATCCACGCTGGCTACTTTAAGCTTGAAATTGGGGGCAGGAGGAGGGGTCCGCTATCGGCCATCTGGCCTTTTAGACGCTGGCTTTTTTTGTTTGTTTGAATTTCGGAAATGAAGGAGGGTACACAATACAGACACATGATAAAGGAAAGGGATTAGAAATCTCCAATGTCGGAGAAAGAGAGAGGCTCGTTAGGAGAGGATGGGATGTCGGAGGAAGACCAGAACCGCAGGCGTTTAGAGAGAGCTGGGTGGGTCGTTGGAGACTTGTCTTTGTCCTTGTTTTTGCTTTTCAAAAAGGGACTCTTTTTGCGCGGAGGTGCTAAATTGTTATCAATCGGATAACCCAAAGGAGGAAGGAAAAAGAAAACACAAATAAATGAAATGAACAATAATGACAAATGAATCGAAATTAGCTAAATGTACTTAAGAAATCAGAATCCCGTCTTGCCCAGGAAAGATGAAAACAGTACACAGTACTCAAGAACAGAATCAGGGCTCAGTAATCATCTGTGCTCTGACTCAATTAATTTAAAGGCACCTGAACGCCAACAATTTATTTCCTCAGCGTGTGAGGAGAATTACATACTGCCCAAGGAGCCAATGGTCTGGATGATTTTTCGGTTTCAGTGTGCCAAATTATTAAACACTAATGCTTATTAATTTAGGGCCCAACTTCTCTTACTCATCCATTTTAATGATGGGGTCCCTAACAGCTCAGCTCACACAATCCTCCCGTTCCCACTCAAAGACCTTGGGAACATTCAATGATCCGTTTCAGGGCGCTGTAATCAAATACTCTACCTGAAGTATTCACTAATGATTCTGTATCTCTAAAATAATCTTTCGGCAGGATGAGTTTTAAAATAATTTAAATACCTCCTTTGCATACTAAAAAAAACCCTTCAACACCAAGAATCATGATTTCCTTTTAGATCTTCTATATACATCCTCCACTCCAATCCTCCACTCCTTAGCCTCTAGTGTCTTAACAAAGCAGACAATTGGGCTAACTTCCTAAACTGTCTTATAGTAACATTAATCGACCTAACCAATTTCTGATGTAGGATTAAAGTTGATACCAGGATTTCCATTATTTCTTCCTCCACAGCACCACCTGGTGGCCACAGTGGCTCACACCACAGAATAAGGGACCAACTTATTCAAGGCTGGTGTCCTTGTGGCCAGTTCAGGGCTAGGCTCTTGTTCGGCATCTTCAGGGACCCAGAGAGCTTTAACTGGAGGCAGTCCATGCAGTTAAGTGCATGCAGTTAAGAGCTCAGGCTCCGGAGTGCGGCCGACCTGCATTTGGGTCCCACTTACCCAAAGCAAATGTTTTACACTGCTGAGCCTCACTTTCTCACCTCTACACAGGGGAGGCCACGTCCACCTGCCTTGATAGGGTCGTTAGGATTCAATGAGATGCATAAAGCACATAAAGTAGTTAGAGGGTGCTGGGCCCAGAGGGAGCACCCAAGACATGGTGGCTGCTAGTGAACATGATCATGGTTTACAGACCTGCTTGCTCACGGATCACTTTGGACCAGTCAAGCATTTTTTTCTCTGAAAGTTTTCCTAACTCAGACTGATTATAGTTAATTAATTCCACTTAAAGAGTAATACAAGTTGAGATGACAAATGTCCAAAAATTAAACAGGAGCCAATATAAAAACCTGAGGCAACAGAACCCCTCTAGCTTAAAAAAAGTTAAGCTTCTCATTTACTTGCATGTGAGGCCTCTAATTTTTTTCCTTCTCACCCTGTCTTACGGTGCTGACTCTATCTAATCTTATCCCCATAAAGAATGACAGTGTGTTAGTCCCTGAACAATGTGCGTGAACATTATTTTTGTTAGAGATGGGGTGTCACTCTGTCACCCAGGCTGGAGTACAGTGGTATGACCATAGCTCGCTGCAGCCACGACCTCCTGGGCTCAAGTCGACTGAGCAGCTGAGACTACAGGTACGTGCCACCACACCTGGCTAAATAAAAATATATATATTGGTAGATGGGGGTTTCCCTGTGTTGCCCAGGCTAGTCCCAAACTCCTGGCCTCAAGTGATCCTCCTGTCTTGGCCCCTCAAAGTGCTGGGATTATAGGCATGAGCCACTGCACCAGGTCTTTTTTTTTTTTTTTTTTTTTTTTTGCATCTGAAGGGGACACAACAGGTACTTGTGAATGTGCCCCCTGAAAGGCTTGTGCACACACCACACTCAGAGGGTAGCCTGTCGCTGGTCTTCAGTGTTATATCCTCCGCCTCCAAGACCCCATGGGTCTCAGGCATAGGCTGGGTCTTCAGAAAGTCCTAGTGTCCTTTGTAAAAATTTAAATGACTTGGGATGCAGGCCTGGGATAAATAATCTCCCCAAAATGATATTTAAAGGTAAAGCTGAAAATTTAACAATGTGTAAGGTAAATGCTGTGTCTAATCGATTCTAAGACACCTTTAACGTCTTGGAAATTAGGAGGCAATTTCAGTGATGTCTCAGTCACCACTGGCCAGGTGGCCACGGTGACAAAACTGACATGGTCATAACCAACTCATCTTGGTCCTATTTTCCTTTTACGTGTGTGTACAAAAATCGAATTCTTATTTAGAAAAGCTCTTTCAACAAGAGCGTAAGAAAAATTCGAAGTGGTGGCCCTGTACCGTTTGATTGCCTCGTGGTATATAAAGTAACTGTGCAGCTTTCATGGCTCCTGAGAGTTGATGAAATACAGCATACATGATGAGAAATCCTGTTCTTGTTTCAGAACCTCTGGCAAACTCCAAAGGACAGCCCTTAGGGAAAAGGCACAGTGTGTCCTGTGGCTGGTGGGACACAAGGCCAGATCAGGCTGAAGAAGTCCTAACCCACCTTTCAAAGTGGTAACAGATAAACCACCCAAGGCTTTCGGGAGGTCTTATATACATGGAGAACGTGTTGAGTGCACCTGGGATCTCCCTGCACAAAGCAGCTTTCTACAAATCTGGCACATACGAGGCAGCCCAAAATAAGCTATGTCGCTTGTCTCTATGGTACCTGCACGAATGTCAGCTTTGGATATTGAGATATCTGCCCGGCTACATGATGAATGATACCTTTTGTTCTAAAACAACAAAAGTGGTTGGGCGTGGCAGCTCACGCCTGTAATCCAACAGTTTGGGAGGCTGAGGCGGGTGGATCACTTGACGTTAGGAGTTCGAGACCAGCCTGGCCAACATGGTGAAACCCCGTCTCTACTAAAAATACAAAAAATTAGCCAGGCGTGGTGGTGGGCGCCTATAATCCCAGCTACGTAGGAGGCTGAGGCAGGAGAATCACTTGAACCTGGGAGGCAGCCAGGCTGCACTCTAGCCTGGGCAACAAGAGTGAAACTCCATCTCAAAAAAATTAAAATAAAATATAAAATAAAGTAACAAAAGCATTATGGGACAAAACGGTCGCCACGCTGAATTTCTACTTGGCTCGTAACACATCTAAGCGAAGGCGCACATGCAGTCACCCACCCCTGGCACGTTCCTGCACACGTGTGCACAGCCACCGGTGCGGGACCCTTCAGGACACCCCCTTCCTCACCCGACCACGGCCAGGACGGCCGCCCCTACCTTTCCCCACAGACCCGTTGTGGGCGTCGCGCTCTTCTGCACAGTTGGAGCCCAGTGCGGGGGTGTCGGGGTTCTCGGCCTGTGATCTGAGCGGCTGAGAGGCCGCCGGCGAGGCGGGGTCTGAGGACTCCAGCTGCCAGGGAGGGCTGTCCACGGTGGATTTTAAGCGTTCCCTCGAACCCTCTTTCTTTGGTTTGATGAGTTTGACTAAGGCTTTGGCTCCAATCCAGTGGTTCTTCCTGGTTAGAAGTAGATGTTTAGGACATAGCCAGCCCTCCCACACACCCCCAGTGGGTCCCTGGTTCCCTAACATGGGCTGGGATGTTCTTCCCCAGTCTGGGAAGCTAGGCCACTCACGTGGGGTTCAGGACAATGACGCTCATGACCATGGTAATCATATTTGGGGCTCAGGAGCTAGAACTTAATTCTCAGTTTGGCACAGGGCTGGGGATGGTAGAGCCATGTGCATTGTGACAGAAATCCACTCTAGTCTCCCAGGATGAAGGAAGTGATGCCGTGCTTAATTTAGTTGGCAATTTTTCTGTCAAAAAGCCATTTCCATGAATCTCATTTTCTGCTAAAGTTAATAATCAGTGAAATAAGCTGGCATTCCCTTGACTCCTCCCTGGCACTGAGTAATCTGGGTGAGGTGGAGAGGGCAGAGGAGAGCAGGCTGTTTGATTAAAAATCAGTGCATTTAAAGAGTAAGCAATAACATCACAGCGAGCTGGACACCGAGGGCATCCTGGTGTGACATGAAGAGAACCCTGCCTGTGCTCTCACCCCGTCTCTGAAACGAAACAGCATCTATTTATATTATCACTCCAGTTTCTCATCTTGGCTTCAATTTCTGTGTCAAACAGAAGATTCAGACTGAGGTTCTGGGCCAGGCATGGTGGCTCACGCCTGTAACCCCAGCACTTTGGGAGGCCGAGGTGGGTGGATCAACTTGAGGTCAGGAGTTCGAGACCAGCCTGGCCAACATGGTGAAACCCCATCTCTACTAAAAATACAAAAATTAGCTGGGCGTGGTGGCACATGCCTGTAATCCCAGCTACTCGGGAGGGTGAGGCAGGAGGATGGCTTCAACCTGGGAAGCGGAGGTTGCAGTGAGCTGAGACTGTGCCATTGCACTCCAACCTGGATGTCACAGCGAGACTCCGTCTCAAAACAAAACAAAACAAAACAAAACAATAAGCACACACACAAAAACCAAAAACAGACTGAGGTTCGGAAATTCTGTGGTTCTGGATTCCCAGAGAGACCTCAAGGGATTTGCAGTGATTTTGACTTCAAGGCTGGGCCAGGACAATCCGAAGGGACAATTCCTGGGGCTCAGGCCGTGGACAAGGGGCAGCACTGCTAGGGTGGGCCAGCCCCACTTGGGGAGAGCTGCTGCTCTCTGGGGAAGAGACATGTCCATGAAGCCACCCTGAGGTTCTGTGAATCCAGAAAAATCTGCATAAGGTCAAAAGGTTCCCACATTTGAAGACCATGGGGGCTGGGCCAAGTGTGCTGCCCAAGCATCCTCTCCAAAATAGGAACATGGGTGTCCAGGTCATGTTTAATCCTGAGACGAAAACCTGACAAGGCAGCCCCGCCATCCTGCTTGAGTGACTCCAGGACCACGGATGCTCTGCCCCCTTAAAAAAGGCTCATAGCTAAATGAAGCCTGTGTCTCATTGGGGTCACCAGACATTGGCCACCCCTCACAGGACAAGCTAGAGTACAGAGGCAGGCTGGAAGGATTCTGAACTCTCTCTGATGTGGGAGGCATCTGTGCACAGGTGGATGGTGCGGGGCCTGCCCTAGATGGCTGCTTTCACCCTGTGCACAGAAAAGGAAGCTTTTAAGTTCTGTCTTTATGCCACTACACTTAAATCAACTCACTTCTTTGGAGGAGGATCATAGAACTTGTATTGATCCATGATTTTTTCTTCCAGCTTTTCCTTATGTCTTCGTAAGGCATTTAATTTGTCTCTGTGAATATAGGAGAAAGAAAACCTATCAATCCAGTTTTAAATCAAACAAGTGAATTTACTCATCGGCCCAGCCTGGAACCTGGTGTACCCGGGGCTGGTATTTTTCCAGGATTGAGATGAGGGTGCTCACCACCGTCATGGTCACTGAGTTTGGAATACGGGAATGGTGGCATGCGCCGTGGGTTCAGGGAGCTCTATGACCCTGAGATTTACTGAAGCCCCTGGGACCCAGCTGTGAGCGAGCTCAAGGCAGCAAACTTCTAACAATCTGAAAACTCACGCTCGGAAGACCCAAGGATTCTCCTTCCAGGTTGTTCAAGACGTGAGATGCTCCTGGGGTCAGGCAGAACCTACCCCGCAGTGGTGACGGGGCGGGGTTCAGGGGGTACATATTAACAACACCTGGGCAGTGAGGTTGAAAAAGTCAGCTCAGCAAAGTCAGATGCATGACTCAGGCCCATTCCCACTCAGAAGCAAACTGAGAAGCTTTCAGGGGCCAGAAAGAGAAGTTAATGAGCACAGCAGGGCTGGAGAAACCAGGGGCGCTAGTGGGGACTGCAGTGAGCCCCTGTGCTGCCATCTCCGGCAGACCCTGCTGCCACAGGGGAATGAACCAGGGCACAGTGGGGCGGACTTCCCGAGATACCAGATGCCCAGATGATGAAGCCAAATCTCCCGATTCCTAAATATTGGAAATTGAGCCACTTTTCAAAAACTCTGCCAGGGACCAAAGAGATATCTCTTGAATCTTGGGCGGGCTCAGGCACCTCTGCTTACCGGGGAGACCTTGGCCTTCCTCATACAAACAGAAAGCTTCTGTTTGCACTTAGGGAGTCACGGGGCTGCGCCCACAGTGCATTCGGAGCCGCGCTGCCCATGGTACTGAGGACTGCTGCCCACTCATGCCTCAGCGCTGGGTGGTCTTGAGAGCCCAGACCCTTGGTTTCCTCGTCTGAAAACGAGGCCTTACATGAGAGGTAACAGCTCATTCTCGAAGCTGCCAAGGTCCTGCCCCAACTGAGGGCTTTCCCAAGAGCTCACGGTGAGGTGAGCCCCTGTAACAAGTGACCCCAGCCACGCTCCGCTCCCAGTCCCTTGACTCGACATCCGTGTGCTGGTGTTCTGTGCTCACGGCCGTGCTGCTGAGCCTTAAGCCTTGAGTGCTTCATGGCTGGGGTTGGCCCCACAGACTCACACGAACTCCAGGGCCCGGAGCAGGCCCCAGGAAGCCTGCCAACCCACTGGCCTGGAGTAGACACTGTCTAATGCAAAAACGTCATCAAATAATCCCCCTGAGTGCTCCTATACTTCTTCCAGTTAGCACCTGCCCAACCTCTGCTGGCGATATTTTATCACCGGGATTATAGAGGGCCAACTTCAGGGTCATTTCCACCCCACAATTACAGTGTGCTTTTACATACAAACCATCCTCCCGAAGGTGGCACGCCAGCCCTAGACACGTAGGTGAAGCCGACAGAATAACAAAGGAGCATCGTTACATCAGAGAGTTGGGATAGCACACCAGTGTTCACTGTGACCACAGTGACCACGTCCCACCACAAGCACGTCCCTTCTTGCCTTCCCCACACTGATGCCAGCACACCAATGCCTGCCCGGACGCCAATACCAGCCATTCCCGATCACGTGGAAGGACAGCCCAACCACCATGGCTAGGATCCAGAAACCACTCTAGATTCTCGATTCCTCGACTTCTGAACCACGAGATTCCTGGCACCAGGGTTCGTCCCCTTGCCTTCTATTTCTGGAAGCTTCCCTGGCCCTGCCAGAGTAGTATCCCTTCCAAAACAACTCCAGGAATCCAACATCTTTAGCTGGACATGGAAGCTACCACAGCTGAGCGCCCACCTCCTTTTCCAGCCTTCTCTCTGGGTGCCTCCTGCACATTCCCCGCACTTAGACCACCTGCCACAGCTCACCTTCCCGTCCTCACCTGCCACGGCTGACCTTCCTGTCCCCTCACCTGCCACAGCCCACCTTCCTGTCCTCACCTGCCACGGCCCACCTTCCCGTCCTCACTTGCCACAGCCCACCTTCCCATCCTCACCTGCCATAGCCCACCTTCCCATCCTCACCTGCCACAGCTCACCTTCCTGTCCCCTCACCTGCCACGGCCCACCTTCCTGCCCCCTCACCTGCCATGGCCCACCTTCCCATCCTCACCTGCCACGGCCGACCTTCCTGTCCCCTCACCTGCCACGGCCCACCTTCCCATCCTCACCTGCCAAAGCTCACCTTCCTGTCCCCTCGCCTGCCACGGCCCACCTTCCTGCCCCCTCGCCTGCCACAGCCCACCTTCCTGCCCCCTCACCTGCCACGGCCCACCTTCCCGTCCTCACCTGCCACGGTCCACCTTCCCATCCTCACCTGCCACAGCTCACCTTCCCATCCTCACCTGCCACGGCCTACCTTCCTGTCCCCTCACCTGCCACGGCCCACCTTCCTGTCCCCTCGCCTGCCACGGCCCACCTTCCTGTCCCCTCGCCTGCCATGGCCCACCTCCTGTGGGCCTCCCCCAGACCCCCTGGGGTAGCTGTGGACTTCAACTCCCCCTGTTTTTTTTCCATGCTTCATGTAACCCTTCACATCTGGCTGGTAATGGATGAAGCTCTGTTCACATTTTACCTCCCCCTACTGGTTCCTGGCTACCAGGGAACTGGTTCTGTGCACCTCACAGGGCCCAACAAGCCCACTTCCCTCCATCCAGGGGGACACAGGCAGGTGTACAGCACTCATTCCCAGCCTTCAGTTTGAATTCTCCCCCTTGAGATACTTCAGTGTTCTCATGATTTTTTCAAGTGAATTTAATTCTAGAAGCAGAGAAAAGAAGTTTCTGGTGGTGGAAAGCGCCTCTGAAAGAGCAAACAAAAGCCAACTGAGAACTCTAGAAACTGAGAACATTCCAGGAAACTAAGGGCAGTCCGTGCTGGTGATCGGTCTGTGCCCTGCCCTCAGGATCCCAACGGGCCCAGGGGCTCCTCTCTGCATGGGAAGCCAGGACCTCCAGAGACTGAGGATGTGCAGCTGTGGTGAGGGTGCGGAGAGGGGTTCAGGGACTCCCTGCTTACATGTACTGCTTCTGCTCCTCATGGTACTGCTCCTTGTTCTCCATGTTCTGCTCCAGAAGCATCTGGTTCTGCTGGCTCAACAGCTGGATCTGGCTCAGGAGGTGATGATTTTCTTCCTCCAAGTTCCCCTTGAGACGGGAGAGCAGCTAGAACACAGACCAACAGCGTCTCAGACACCATGTGACCCGGTGTTCCCACTGCTGGGAACCTAGCTCCCAAAGGAAGAAGGCCACTGCACAAAGATGTTCAACGCAGCATAATCTACGCCAGTGGAAACTTGGAAAGGGCCAAACGGCCAATAACGTGGGAATGGCTGAGTTCCCTCTGCAGCTGCATTGTTTAATCCAGATGTCCCTGGCAACATGGCTACTGAGCAGTAAAATGCAGCTAGTCTGAATCATGATGCACAAGTGCAAAATACGCAGCAGATTTTGAAGGCTTAGTACAAATAAAAAGAATACGAAAAATCTCATCAATAA
Organism: Homo sapiens; assembly: GCF_000001405.40. NCBI lineage: Eukaryota > Metazoa > Chordata > Mammalia > Primates > Hominidae > Homo > Homo sapiens. Next base: position 91,294,652 of record NC_000014.9, read on the forward strand.
TGTTTTCGTTTGTTTGTTTTGAGATGGAGTTTTGCTCTTGTTGCCCAGGCTGGAGTGGAGTGGCATGACCTCGGCTCACTGCAACCTCCGCCTCCTGGGTTCAAGCGACTCTCCTGCCTCAGCCTCCTGAGTCTCAGCTGGGATTACAGGCGCGTGCCACCACGCCCAGCTAATTTTTTGTGTTTTTAGTAGAGACGGGGTTTCATCATGTTGGCAGGCTGTTCTCAAACTCCTGACCTCAGGTGATCCACCCGCTTCAGCCTCCCAAAGTGCTGGGATTACAGGCGTGAACCACCGCGCCTGGCCTGAAGTCTGCCAACTTCTGTTCTAGAGTATGATTGGGGTGCAATGGGAAAATCACAGGCTTTGGATTCCAATACGCGACTATGAGAAAGGAGGATGGGCTCATGGGGCCACCGTAAGGACTGAGTAACATAGAGGAGAACACAGCAAAATGCCTGGTACACCGGAGGTGGGAAACATAGGCTGTCCCCTCCTCTTCACCCCATAAGCAATTCTAACTTTAACTTCACCATTAAAAGAAAAACCAAAATTCTACCTGTTTTTAATATAATTATACATAATTTATGCATACAGTGAGAAGAACTGGAAGGAAAAAGGAGGTGAAGCTATGGCATTTTTTCACTAAAAATACTTCTGTGATTGCCACTGCTATATTGCTTGGGCAAGAATTAAAACAAATACCATAATAAAGCATTAGTCTCCCCAGTGTAGAGAACTGCACGAGGCTTGGGAGTCAGGCACGTCACAAACGTGGCAAGTCAGCGGTCTGCAGGGTGAAAGGCCGTCCCTGGAAACTCAGCTTTGGCCCAACAGAAAGACCCTGTGTGGCCGGGGGGGCCCCAGGGAACCAAGCCGGCTGGGCCCCACCCTTCAGCCCAAGTCCATGATCCTGAGGGCCAGTGCATCCCAGTAACGATGGGGGAGCTGCTCTTCCACCTCATTAGATGCCGGGCAACAAACCAACCCAATGTAAGGCATATGGGCTCCTGGAGAGAGGCGGGTTAGGAGGAGCGGCGAGCACGGCTCCGAGCACAGCCACGCCCTCATCACTTCGCTTATGCTGCTTCGCTTCTGCCACAGGGTGAACCATGTCCCCAGAATTCATACAGTGAAGCCCTAAGCCCCAGTCCCTAGCATGGGACTGCATTTGGAGACAGGGTCCATAAAGAGGCCATTAAGTTAAAATGAGGCTGCCATGAGGGTGGGCTCTGATCCAATCTGACTGATGTCCTTTCAAGAAAAGGAAATCTCGACACGTAGATACTGGGAATGAGCCCGCACAGAGAAAAAGAGCACTGCCTGCAAGCCAGGGAGAGGCCTTGGGAGAAACCAGCTCAGCCCTGCCGGTTCACGGATCATGGACGTCCAGCCTCCCAACCGGAAGAAACCCACCTCTGCGGCTTAAGCCACCCGGCTTGAGGTCTTTTGCTCCTCCAGCCCAGGGAGACGAACATGGTTTCCATGTGTGGCCTGTTTGGGGGGACTGGTTTGTGCTGGACCTGGAGTTCTGCTGAACCCCTCCCCAAAAGCCACCATCCTGGCCACAGCCCTTCCCTTGTCCCCTCTCGTGACCTGTGTTCCACCCTGAGTGAATCATCAGCATCTTCCAAAAAGTACCCCTGTCCATTTCTGTGCAAATCAGTCCTTCCCATGCAAAGCCTACCACACATGTCCAGCTCTTGCCAGTCCTTCACTTCATCAGCGTGACCTTTTCCACGGGGCCTGCGCTGCAGCCCCTGACCTGAAACCTCCTGGAAGATCCTGACGCACCTGCCTGTGACAGCACAGCCCCTGGGGGCGAGGATTCCACAGGCAGTGCCGTGGCCTTTGCCTCCATCCCGCCTCCACCCCCGTGGGGCCCTCAGGGTCCCAGGGTCTCTCATTCTCAGGGGGCAGCACAAGATCTGGGTGGGTGGCTGTGACAAGGCATCTTGGCACCCTGCGCCTCGGTTTCCTCATTTGTGATGTCTCACAGGGCTACTGAGGGATCTGGGCAAAAGGCGTCTGAGACTGTTTCTCAAAGAGCAAACCTTGTCCTGAGGTGCCAGCTGTCCCTGGGGCTGTCTAGGAGGTGGGGTGAGACCTACGTGCTCCTCCCTGCCAGACCTGCCTCACCAGCCTTCCATGTGCTGAGGTCTGTTAAGATCTCATCTGGAGAGGGTCTTGCTGCGTGAGGCCATTTCCAACCTTGTGTACTAGAAGGGACGGCTCTGGAAGCCAGGGACTCCCGAGTGAGCTCCGTCCCAGAGGCAGCCACACCCCAAAATGGAGCAAATTCACACCACTTCTCTAGGACAGTGTGACTACTGAACTGAAGAGATGTAGGAAGACAGTATAGACACAGCTAAGAGGATCGAGATAAAACATCATCAACCGTCCCCACTGTGCCTCTCCCGACCCTGCAAAAGGTGACGGTCAGACAGGGGTGTTTTCGTATACAGTCCCACCAGAAGCCACAATGACCCCCGTCAGCACCTCTGGCTTCACCGCAGCCTCTGTGCCACCTCCACACATTTCTGTCTTTGAGCACAAATGCCCATGAGGACCCCTCACAGCTTGGCTGAGCCCTGGGCTGTCCCCTTGGGGGACTCATCCCTGTCTCCCGAGGCTCCCCTGGCGCTGGCCTCACCTCACAGTGGTTGTCCAGCTTGGTCAGCGAGATGTCCATGGTCTGGTGCTGCTCCTTCAGCTCGTCGAAGCGGGCCTGCCAGCGGTTGAGCTCCAGCTGCGCGTTGTTCAGTGAGGTTTTCAGCTCCTTGGTGTGGGCGTGCAGCTCCTCGTACTCCCCCTTCAGCTGGTGGTGCAGGAAATTGACCCTGGAGGAGGAAGAGTCACAGGGCAAAGGAGCTGAAGAGCCTGACAAACAGGTAACGGCCCAGAGACCTGGGCTATGTCCCAGCTCTGACAGTGGCAGGCTGTGCAACCTTAGACAAAATCACAACCTCTCTGGGCTTTTTTTTTTTTCCATGCATAAAATAAGGAGCTTGGACAAAACTGTCCATCAGCAAACTGTGTTCTTTGGGGATGCATGAGGGTACCCCTGATGCCACTACACTGAGCCTCCAGGGAGACTGAGCAGGCAAGCTCAGACACCTGTTTCAACACAGCATCACTGCTACCATCACTTCCATGCTACAGCTTTGGTATCTGTGTACACTTGAAAAACAAGATTCTGCTGTTTAAAAAAATGTTTAAACCACTAAACTAGACCATTTTTGCTCTAAAATTCTGTCTCTGCCCAGCTCTTCTTCCCAATTCCAAGCCCCTTTCTAATTTCAGCTCGTGAGATAAAGTGTGAGATGGTGTGTATTATGTAAATCTATTAAAATTGCTATCATCAAAACAACTATTATCCAACTGGGAGTTCTCTGGAGATTTATATCAGAAAGCTCATTACCAGGGTCTTGTGGACTTGATTTGGACATAGACGTGTCTTATTTGGCCTGTACAATTTTACTTTTTAAAAACAAATTAGTTGACCAGGTATGGTGGCTCACGCCTGTAATCCCAGCACTCTGGGAGGCTGAGGAGGGAGGATCGCTTGAGGCCAGTTCCACACCAGCCTAGGCGACATAGTGAGACCCCCATCTCTGCAAAAAGTAGAAAAAAGTTGCCGGGAACCCGGGAGGCGGAGCTTGCAGTGAGCCGAGATCGCGCCACTGCACTCCAGCCTGGTGACAGAGCAAGACTCCGTCTCAAAAAAAAAAATGTTGCCGGGCATAGTGACGCACACCTGTGCTCCCAGCTACTTGGGAGGCTGGGCTGGGAGGATCACTTAGGCCCAGGGAGTTAAGGCTGCAGTGAGCCATGATCATGTCACTCCAGCCTCAGTGGCTGAGCAAGATCCCATCTCAAAAAAAAAAAAAAAATTTAGTGGCCAGCATTAAAAAATTTGAAGTTTACATCAATACCCAAACATTCAGGTTCTCTTAAAATATAAAAAACAAAAGGCTGCCCAGGCAGTCCCGGGCCCGCCTCCAGCTGGCGGCCTTTGCTGGAGCCGATTCTCTGCTGCCCTTTTAGACGATGTGCATTCTCCGTTCAACAGTCTGTGGTCTATGTCTGGTACTGTTTCACCCATGTGCTTTATTTGCCTGGGGAGCCAAGGTAACTGAGTTTCTAACCCCCCGTATACACGAACTCGAGTATGTGGGAGGAGGAAGAATTTCGTATGGTCAAGCCTTTGCAATGAGACAGGACCTGGATTCCATCCTGACTCTGCTATTCACTAGAAACACTGACTCGGAACAAGTTATTTAATCTCTCCCAACCTGTTTCCTCATCTGTTAAAAAGAAAGCCAAAAAGATAACAATAGTATAGTCGATTCTCATTATGTGTGGTAGTCACATTCTATAAAGTTGCTGTAAACACTGAATTAGTGAACAGCGAAGCATCCAGCCTAGGGAAAAAATATAGAATTAGGTTCCCGGGAGCCTCTGGCCACATTTTTGTTACTGATCAATACATAACCTTGTTTTATGTGGGTTTCTGTTTGAAGATACCTTATGCAGCAATTCACAGCCAACAGCACTATAACTCATGCCTGAACAAAGCTTATCTAAGACTTTTTCTCTGTAAGGCACATCACAGCCACCTTCTGCTTAGGGACATGAAACAGCACTTCAGTACTACAATTGTGGGTCATTTTAAACAGCAAAGTCACTTCCCGAAAGCACAAAATATGAAAACCGTGGCATTGAAGAGATTCTGAAAGGGACATTTGTTTGCAGTAGGAGCTGAAACAAGAAGGCAGCGTGCTGTCGTGTGTGCCCTCAGCTGGGAAGGTGCGCATCCAGTGACTCCCGCATTTCACCACTCTGTGCGTGTCCACGAAAGCCCCACGGAGACTGGTCTTGGGGCGGCAAATAAAACTTTAGCAAGTAGGTGGATTCACAAATAGGGGTTCTGTGAATCATGAGCAATCTGCAGTTTCTCCTTCATGAGCAAGAGGCAGGCTTATGCCAGATGATGAATTCACCTGTGCCTGATGCAATCCTCACCACAAGGGTGGGAGGGGAGAACCACTTAACTCAGACGACGCGCCATCCCCAGGTGTCACCTGAGTGCTCTCATGCCAGCAACCAGCTAGAGTTGCCCTTTAGCTTATTTTACCCACCCAGCTGTTCACACAGCAAGGGATAAAAATCCACGATCGCCAGGGGACTTGAACTTCTCAGTGGTTGCTATGCAAGGAGAGTCTGAACAGAATCTGGGGTGCTGCTATGTGCAGGGCCGGGCGCCGGCGCTCACCTGTCCAGCTCGCCCCGCAGCCTCTGGTTCTCGCCCATGGCGAGGGCGTTTGTCCTCTGCTCCTGCTGCAGCGCCTCTCGCTCAGTGGTCAAGACCTTCTCCCGCTCCTCCAGCTCCGCCTTGCGCTTCAGCATGTCACCGTGCCTGTTGGAGGGAAGCACCTGCCGTGAGTCTGGCCAGGGCCTTCTTTTCCGACAGGTAACTCACATCCCAGAGGATCTGCGTGCCTCCCGTGAGAAAATGGGATTCCTCTGGAGAGTCTCTCTGCAGAAGTGAGGGGCATGGGGCAGGGAACAGGCGGGGAGCGCAGCCACTGGGAGCCATGTCAAGGCCAGCGCCAAGCCCTGGAGCCCAGAATCCTCTTCCTCCAGCCCGTTCTGTCTCCATAGTCCCTCCATGCCCTGATAAAGCAGTCGCTCTTCCTTTAGCCACCTGACAATGTGATGACTACATTTTCTGAGCTCCATGCCCTTCTCTTTTAGGGAATTATAAATACGCTACTAGGTAGTTCACTAAGCACAAATAAATCTAAGAGAAACCACAAAACAAACAGTGGAATTCCGCTGCACATCACAGCTAATCTCACCCTCCAAGGGCTGGAGAAGCCTCTCCCTCTCCCCTTAGGAGCCTGCATCCACTTGTTCTTAGTCTGGCCTTCCCCAGGGGACAGAGGCTCACCCAGGAGCTGCCAGGGACTAGTTGTCACATACACACAGCAGCTCTCCTCAGGCGCCTTAGCCACAGCCCTCACCGTCCCCACAACTTTCTCCTTACCCTCAAGGCTCTAATCTTCTCCAGGCTCTAATCTATCTTTGTCGGCTGCACTGGCCATCTCTTGGGGGGCAGAGTACAATGATGTAGCCCCATAGGTCCCGGCCCCTCCCCTTCCCAGCCTGTTTCAACCTCGTGTGTTCACGGGTGACCCAGGATCTCCTAGCAGACTGGAAGTGTTGAGAAGTCTGAGGCACAGTCTCCTGATCTTTCCCATTCAGGCAAATTCTTCTCTACAGACCCCTTCCTGAGTGTCTCACACCCAAAGACAATCTGACAGAGGCTAGCCAGTGTCCCTGGGGTTTCTGGCCTTTCTCTTCAGGACTCCACTGCACCTTGTTGGAAAAGCACATTAATCAAGCATGTCTCTAACCATTAGCAATGACCCAACTGTAGGGCAGAAACTTTATAACTCTTACTCACCACTGAATCCCCGTGTGAGGAATGACACGTAGTGAATGCTTGTTAGAGCAATGAGTGGGTGAGCGTCTCCGATTTTAGTGTCAAATGAGAAGAAGAGAAAACCATCATCCTTGTGTGCCATGTACCTACACTCCTAAACCTGTAGCCCTGCTGCAGACACAGCAAGGGAGCCTCCAGTCATCTGTCCAACCAGCAAAAAGCACTGAGTAACTACCACATGCTGTACTGAGCAAGGACCTGCAGGGAAAACAACAGTCCAGACTCCACCTGCCAAAACCTTTGCTCTCTGAATGCACATTAAGAATACAATAAGGGGTCAGCACGGTGGCTCACGCCTATAATCCCAGCATTTTGGGAGGCCGAGACAGGTGGATCACTTGAGGTAGGGAGTTCAAAACCAGCCTGGTCAACATGGTGAAACCCCATCTCTACTAAAAAATACAAAAATTAGCCGGGTGTGGTGGTGCATGCCTGTAGTCCCAGCTACTTGGGAGGCTGAAGTAGGAGGATTGCTTGAAGCCGGGAGGTGGAGGCTGCTGTGAGCCAAGATCGCTCCACTGCACTCCAGCCTGGGCGACAGAGTGAGACTCCATCTCAAAATAAAGAAAGAAGGAAAGAATACAATACAGCATTATTTAATACGACATAACATAACACTAAGAATAAGGCACGCAAGTGCCTGGTGAGTGCTGGGCATCATGCTAGTATCAGACTTACACGAATGCTTCATTAGTTTGTCAGCTGGGTGCAACTCCTACCATGTCTAGACACAGCACCACGTACACAATAAATGTCACACAAATAACAAGATGGGTGGGGGAAGACGAGGGAGAGATCAAAGTGAAAAGAGGCAGAAGATGCTACTTTAGGCCGGAAGGAGTAGTCTTATAGTTTCAGATGCCTCAACAGCCCCTGAAGGATGGAGATCTGGATGGATAAAAGGGGTGAAGAACTCCAGATAGAGACAAAAAGGAAGCACTTGGCAAGTGAATAAATGAATGTCATCACCACCCATGAACCCACAAGCATCATCAGCGCCCGCACAAGGCTTTTGTGATTCAATGACATTTGTGGCTCCTGACCGTGGAGATGTCCTCCCCACTCCCACCTTGAAGAACCAACGATCACTTAGCCATGTTGTTGAGGCGGCTCCAAAGGATATACCATCAGCAGGGCCATTTCCCAGGCAAAGGAAGTAGATCTTGCTCCCTCTGTTGTACTCCAAGTACCTGAGAGCCTCTCTTTAGCCATGTCTCTCTCATGCATCAGATTCAGGTGCACATCACACCTGCCCCTCAGACTCTGGAGAGCAGCATCCTACCTCTCCTAGCCCTCCCTGGATCCTGCCATGCCCTGCGCAGGTGCCTGGTACCATCACTGATCAGCAGGAGACAGAATCCCAGCCCAGATTGGCTGACTTAATGAATACAAAACCCAAGACCATGAACTGTCAAGAGTGCAAAGTTAAGATGTGTGCATTTCAATGTAAGTTTTACCTGTAAAAAATGGGGTGAGGGTGTGGAGAGTGGGAGGTGCACATGAAATGAGAACAGCAGGACATAAATGACTGTCGAGAGTGCATGATGCATACACAAGAGTTTCACTATATGATTCTGCTTCCTTTCTATATGTTCGGAAGTTTCCATAATTAAAGGTTAAAAATGAAAAAAAGCAAGCGAGACCTTGATATGAAAGAGAAGAGCTGGGAGGCCAGAGAAGGCATACCCCTACAAACGGAGCCGTGGAGAATTCCCTCCTTATTTCTGTTTTGGGGAGAAAAGAGACAGAAGAGAACCCTTAGGGATCAGGGCCCCAAAGGCCCACTGGAAATAGTAGAGGCATCCCCTTCTCCACACAGGAGCCCCTCTTACTACTGTCTTCAGTTGCACAAATTCCAAATTGCTAAAGGTAACGTTTATTTCCTTCCTTTTGGGAAAGCTCAGGTGCCCCAACAATGGGAAGCAGCTGGCCAAGAGATTTCCTGCAGGGGAGGTCCAGGGAAGTCCCAGTCCTCCGCGCAGCCTGACAGACTCCCCAGGCCTGGCCTCAGGCCCCGCTGCAGGCCTACCCAGGGGCCCCACCTCCACCCTCCTTCACCTCCCCTCCCCACACACCCTGCCTCTCCCCCGGGCCCTGCCCACTTCCCCAAAGCCCTGCCTCTCCTGAGACCCTCTCCTGAGACCCCACCTCTGCTCCAGGCTCCACCTCTCCTCCAGGCTCCACCCTTCTCACGAGGCCCCCGCCTCTCGTCCAGGCTCCACCCATCTCCCCCAGTCCCTGCCTTTCCCACAGGTCCTACCCACCTCCCCCAGACCCCGCCTCTCTCCAGGCTCCACCTCTCTCCCCAGGCTCTGCCTCTCCTCCAGGCTCCACCCCTCTCCCCAGGCCCCACCCCTCCTCCAGGCTCTATCACTCTCCCCCAGGTCCCACCCATCTCCTCCAGGCTCCACCCATCTTCCCCAGGCCCTGCCTCTCCCCTAGGTCCCACCCATCTACCCCAGGCCCCACCTTTCCCCCTGGGCCCAGCCTCTCCTCTGGACTCTACCCCTCCCCAGATCCCCTTCCTTCCCCAGGCCCTACCTCTCCCCGAGCTCCTTGTGCTCCAGCTCCAGATTCCGATGCAGTGTCTTTAGGCAGCTGTGCTGGCGGATGAGGGCCTCGTACTCGGCCGATTGCCGCTCGTGCAGCGTGCCCAGGTGCTCGTGGTCCTGCAGCAGGGCCTCGTAGGCCGCTGTAAGTTGCTCCTGCTGCCTCTGCAGGCTTTCGTTCTCCGTCTCCTTGGCCGTGTGGTGGTTCTGCAGCAGCGTGTACTGCGCGGTGAGCGCTGCGCTCTGGGAACTCAGCGTGGAGTTCTCCACCTGCCGAGAGGGAGAAGCGCGGCGTGGCGCAGGCCCCACAGTCAGCGAGGAGGGCTGGGGAGCAGGTCAAGTGCTCGAGCAGACACGAAAATAGCCGGGACCCTCAGGGCAGAAGACCCAGAGGGTACCCAGGATGGCTGTTCCAGAACTTAAGCAACTGCTGTGGGAAGGGGACTAAACCGCATAGACGGGCACTCAGAGGGTACTTCAGTCCTGAGCCACTCGCCACAAATGTGAGCTGCTGGGGCAGATGATGTCCTTTCCCTGGATAACTCCCTTGTGTGCTGTGCCCTCTCTGACTATTTTTTAAAAACCTCTTTTCAGCTGACTGTGGTGGCTCAGGCTTGTAATCCCAGGACTTCAGGAAGCAGAAGCAGGAGGGTCACTTGAACCAAAGAATTCAAGACCAGCCTGAGCAACATAGTGAGACCCCATCTCTACAAAAAAAAAGTATTTTTAACTTAGCTGGGCATGGTGTTGTATGCCTATAGTCCCAGCTACTTGGGAGGCTGAGGCAGGAGGACTGCTTGAGCCCAGGAGTTGGAGGTTATAGTGAGCTATGATTGCAGCACTGCACTCCAGCCTGGGCGACAGAGTGAAACCCTGTCTCTTACAATGAAAACAGAACCTATTTTCTAGAACAAGTATACAGAATATCTGTAAATAAGGATATAGAATACCTGAACAATACTATCAACCTACTTAACATAATTGATATTTGTATACCTCTCCATCCAACAACATCCAAAATCATCAGAAAACTGAAGAGGAGGGAATACTTCCCAAATCATTTTATGAAGCCAGAATTACCCTGATATTAAAACCAGATTAAGACTGTAAGAAAAATTCAAAATAGTAAGTCAATATACTATTTTCTTGTTACCAGAACAAATTCCGATTTCTTTGCCAAACAGTTTCCTGTTGATTGTCCTTGCCCCATAAGATACATATTTTCAAACTTTTCTCAGAAATTGCAATAAAAAGCCAGGTGTGGTGGCTCACGCCTGTAATCCCAGCACTTTGGGAGGTGAGGTGGGTGGATCATTTGAGGTCAGGAGTTCGAGACCAGCCTGGCTAACTTCGTGAAATCCCATCTCTACTAAAAATACAAAAATTAGCCAAGGCACAAGAATCACTTGAACCTGGGAGGTGGAGCTTGCAGTGAGCCGAGATCGCACCACTGCACTCCAGCCTGGGTGACAGAGTGAGACTCCATCTCAAAACAAACAAACAAAAACTGCAATAAATAATTTATTTCCCCACAGTCTATAGGCGATAAATGAAAACAAGCATCTGAAGTGGCACACAACCTAGTTCTGCTTGATGCTCTCAACAGTCTGGGAGCCACTTAATATCCTACACTTCCCTCTTAGAGATTAAAAATTCACATTAGCTTAAAAAGAAAGAGTTCTGCCAGGTTCTACAGTAAAGAAACCTGGTTAACTTTGTTAAACCAAGCTTAATCCTGAAACCTCTTTTCCAAGTCAGTCCTAGTAACACTTCAAGGAAAAGACTGGAAAACATGGACAAGAATGCAAGTAAAAGGAGAGAAATGAAATGAAAATGGCCCATGCAGCCATTTTCTCAATCACTGAAAATGGCTTAAAAACTATCACCCCCTTCACTGATCACTGTTTACAGCGGGTCTCTATTAACAAAATCCCAAACTGCTTTGTGCTTTGATCTGCTGCTTTTGAGGAGTCCTAATGCCCCCAGTTGGTCCCCAGGAGCCACAGATAAACATCCCGCCAGGCTTGTGACCACTGGTGTTGGGAGCCCCGCTCACCTGCAGCTTGGCGGTCTGGGTCTGCAGTGTGGTGTTGTGCTCCTGCAGGAAGGCGCTCTGTTTCTGCAGTGTCAAGATCTGGCTGCTGAAGGTCACGTTCTGGGTCTCCAGGTGCTGCAGCTGTTCCTTTAGCAGCTGCTTCTCAGCCTGCAGAGCTGCATTCTAGAAGATCGGGAGGCATGAGCGAATCAAACTCCAACTGGGTAAATGCTAACTGGCCACAGGTACTTGGGTTGTAACGAACCCTCAAAAGTTGATGTTTTGGGGGCCAAATCGAGGGTCCGCTGGATGAGGTCAGTATATTTTCTCTCTTTGAAAAAGATAATCAGCAGGATTTTTTTTAAAGGCTACACATCATGGGGACACTGCCTGACACCTGCATATGTGAGTGGGAGGTGAATGCATGCTGGAGTTAAAGCTGCTTCCTTTGTCTCTTTAATGCTTTCCTTTGTTTTCTGTTGAACACCCTAAGAGTGCATTTCTGTGAGCTGGTTCCATCTCCCATTGACTCCAACCCTGAGTATCTCACAGGACAGGGAGTCAAAGCCTTAGGCTACAGCCTTACTCAGAGGTGACAGCAAGTAGAATAAGGCACTTCACATTATGTGAGACTAATAAAGACCATGTTAAAGTTTGCCACCAACTGGGCTAAGGGCCAGGACCTGTAGTCTTTTACTATCCCTTATTAGCATGGGGCTTTGGGTCAAGTCTCTGAAATTCTGTTTGAGCTTTATCATCGATCAAATAATGAAAATCACCACTCTGAACTTCATAAAGTCATTGTTGAGAATCAAAGTCAGAGGCACGGACATGCATTAGCAGACTTTTTCTAGAAAGGGCCAGATAGGAAATACTTTTGGGTTTGCCAGCCATGGGGTTTCCATCTCAACCTAAAGAATCATTGTCACTGTAGGGGAAGCAGCCCCAGACAACCTCTAAACAATGGGCATGACTGTCTGCTAATAAAACTTTATTTACAAAAGCAGGTGGGGGCTGGAGTTTCCCAATCCCTGGTACTGGGCACTGAAAGACACAACACTACAGGAAGAGGCTGAATTGCCATGAAGGCTGTGTGTGCCCCTGATGTGAGAATCACGGAAGGGACCTCAAATGAAGAGGGGCCCACAGGACCTGCAACTCAAGACGTGTCCAACTAGATCTGGCTAAATCTCCTGTGTTCTTTACAGCAATGACAAGTCATCAATGGGACTACTGATAAGGCAGTCTCTCTCTCTCTGTCCCCGATGGACCATGCCCAGGCCAGCCCACTCACATTCCGCTCCAGCTCGATGGCCCGGTCCTTCACTCGGAGAAGCTCCATGGTGGCTTCCTTATGGCCGGGCCCCCAGGCCTCCTTCCCCTGGTGACTGGCGGCTGTCTTCCCCGCAGGGTGCTTGAAAGAGTTCTGCAAGTGCTGCCCCTCTCCCTGGTTCTGCCTGAGGGTCTCACACTCCTTCTTTAGCTACAGGTGTGACAATAAGCAAGGAGGCTTTAGGCGGAAGCAGCCTGGCCTGGAGCCCCGAGTGAGTGGCTGAGGGCAACCTGCACCACACCCTCCACACTCCCCATACTCGCCCGCCCTGGTCTGTGTAAGCCAGACGCGCTCCTTTTCTTTTGAGGGGAAGGCACCAACCCTCTGCCCTACATTTTCCCTTCCCTTCCAGAGAGGACAGGGAGGTGGGGGCCTGCAACCCGTTCCTGCCTCAGTCCCTGCTTTAGCCATGTGGCTTCCTGCTTTCCTGAGCCTCAGTTATCCACTCCCTCAAACAGAGGTGAGGCTGAGGATACAGGAGGTGAACAGGGATGAGGTCTCAAAGCCCCTGCTGGCACTGGAGCAGCTTTATCCAGATTCCTATTCAATCCTGCAGCCAAGAAGCATGGCATGTGTTCAAAACTGAGGCTGGAAGAGTGCGTGTGTGGAAGGGGGGAGTGTGCACACCTGATCACCTGTGAGAGTGTGCACATTGAGAGCACGTGTCGGGTGTGTACACCTGTGTGTGAGGAGCATGTGTTTGTGTGTGGAGTGTGCACACACGTGGTGGGCACATGTATAATACATGTGTGTAGAGAGCATGCATGTACATGTGTAAGGAGCATGTGCATATGTGGAGAGTGTGTATGTGTGGAGAACACACATCTATATGTGTATGGAAAGTGTGTTCACACATGTGGCAAATACGTGTGCATGCATGCACCCAGAAGTAGACATGTGCATGTCCTCATGAGTCCCTGTGCACCCATCTGTCTCATCAGAGGGCACCCGTGAGACTCTGCAGGCCGTTGCTCAGTGCCCAACGTGCAGTTTCATGGAGGGCTCTCAGGGGTGTTCCCGTATCTTGCCTGGTGGACTTGGTGCTGCTCTAGGCCACTGCCCGCCTCCCCGCAGGCCTGTGGCTCTTATTCTGGTTCTGTTTGGCCCTAGTGCGTGTGATTCTGAGGGTGGCTCCCTCAGTCACTCTGTGGCGCATCTACCCCTGCCCTAGAAAATGGGTATCCAGGCCACCCCACTGCTATACAGGTGAGGGGCTGGAAAGGGTGAGGCTGAGAATGGGCAGCTGGGCCCCACAGTGCAACCTCCACACTCACCATCTGCAGCTCACTCTCTAACTGGCGATTTAGGCTCGCTTTCTCTTCCATCTGTGCTTCTAAGAGCACAATCTTTTCTTCTTTCATGGCTAGTGTTGTTTTTAATGCTGATTCATTTCTGCCCTCCAAAATCTTGTATTTTCTGGAAAACACAAAGATACAATAGTATCACTTATCTACTTCCTCTCCGCAAGTTCCCAGTGTCCTCGCTGCCAACACATCACTCCTTCCATTAGGCTGGGTTACGGAGCTGCTGCAGCTTTTGGCCCAGAAGAACTCACGAGCCAAAACTCATCTTCCCAGAGCCCTTTGGGGGGTTCCCTGGGTAGAAACACCTGTGAAACCTTCAAAGGCGACACCACGGCTACAGTTTTACAGTCACTGTCTGAGGCAGGAATTATTATTGCCATTTTACCGAAGGGGAAACTGAGTCTCAGAAAGGTTAAGCAATTTGCCCAAGGTCACAGTGCTAGGTTAAGTGGTAAGTCTAAGGCCTTTCCACCAGAGAGGACTCCTACTATAAGGCATGTGGATCTTCTCGGTTACAAGTCCAGGAAAAGTCCAAGATGTTCGATTTCCCAAAAAACAAGATCAGGCCGAGCACAGTGGCTCATGCCTGTAATCCCGGCACTTTGGGATGCCAAGGCGGGAGGATCACTTGAGGTCAGGCGTTCGAGACCAGTCTGGCCAACATGGTGAAACCCCGTCTCTACTAAAAAAATACAAAAATTAGCTGGGCATGGTGATGCATGTCTGTAATCTCAGCTACTCAGGAGGCTGAGGCGTAAGAATCACTTAAAACCAGGAGGCGGAGGTTTTCATCACTGAGCCGGGATCACACCACTGCACTCCTGCCTGGATGACAGAGTGACACTTCGTCTCAAAACAACAACAAAACCCATTATCATTTAAGCAAGCATTGCAGGGAAAAACTGTAATAGTCTAATTTTTTAAAAAAATTAAGAAGCGTGGCTGGGAGCAGTGGCTCACACCTGTAATCCCAGCATTTTGGGAGGCTGAGGTGGGCAGATCGCTTTGAGCTCAGGAGTTCAAGACCAGCCTGGCTAATATGGCGAAACCCCCTCTATACAAAACATACAAGGATTAGCCAGGTGTGGCGGTGCATGCCTGTGGTCCCAGCTAGGTAGTGGTCTCCAGCTAGGGCTGGAGGATCGCTTGAACCCGGGAGGTGGACATGGAGGTAAGCCGAAATCATAATACTACACTCCAGCCTGGACAACAGAGCCAGACCCTGTCTCAAAAAAAAAAAAAAAAAAATTAAGAAGCTTTTTCATCAGACAAAATCTCCTTCCACACCTATCTGAGAACCTCAAGGAACAAGAGCTGGAACAGAAACGACCAAGGAACTTTGGGTTCAAGGAACCGCGTGAGGTCACAGCCCTCGGCAGTAGAGAGTTCATGGAGGTCTCAGGGGAGGGTGAGGAGCCTGCAGACTGAACAGTGGAGGAAGTGCTCCCACGATGGGGAGAGGGAGAAGAGGCCCTCACGTGTCACTGCCGCTGTCGTCCTCCTGCAACAGCAGCTCCCTGTTGAGGCCGACCTTCTCCAGTTCCTGGCTCAGCTTGTCCAGCTCACTGCTGAGCTGCTGGCTCTTCAGCTTCTCGAGCACCAGGTCCTGGAATGATGGGGAGAGAGCACTGGATAGGAGCTCAGCAAAACACGCAGGAAGGCCAGGCGCCAGTCCCGCCCGGGTGTGAGCAACTGTCCTCCCGGGCCACGGCTGCCTCCGTGTGGAGCGAGGGGACTCTGAACCCCAGGGATGCTCTTCCCGAGGAAAGCCAATGAATGCACTTGTCCAGCCCTCCTGGTGCTGAAAACAACCAGACCAGGTGGCTACATGTCAGGATGGATCTAATATGCCACTTCTCTAAGTCATGTATTTGAAATGCCACTTATGTTGACCTTTAAGTAGTATGTTTGATTTCTGATAATATGGCTGACTTTTCAACAAAGCAACAAGTAATTAAAGGCCCCTTGTAGACACTTTGAAACAGAAAATGTGTAAAGAGGGGAAATATTTTATTTTAAACCCTGGATCTGGTTTACTTTTCATTTTTTAGAGACAGCGTCTTGCTTGGTTGCCTAGGCTGAAGTGCAGTGGTGTGATCACAGCTCACTGCAGCCTTGAACTCCTGGCTCAGGTGATCCTCCACCTCAGCCTCCTCAGTAGCTGGAATTACAGGTGTGCACCAGCACACCTGGCTAATTTTTAAATTTTTTGTAGAGATGGGGTCTTGCTATATTTCCAGGTTGGTCTTGAACTCCTGGCCTCAAGCAATCTTTCTACCTTGGTCTTCCAAAGTGCTGGGATTACAGGCGCGAGCCACTGCACCCGGCCTTGGTCTACTTTTCAAAACATGGGTGTTGAATGCATGTCGGTGGTTCACTTCCTCCACCCCAGTTTACGTCAGCACCTCTTTGTAGCTCTCTAGATAGTGACCGTTTTCTGCCTGGTGTCACAGTCATTCGCATGCACGCTTAACCCTCCTACCAAATCCTCAGACCTGAACGGCACTGTGACAGAGACAGTGATGCTCATTACCTGCTCCCCCAAATTTCCCAGCCACCCTGTATCAGCTGAAGCCAGGTCACCAGCTCTGGCAAAGGGGATGAAGTGGGAGTGATGTGGGTGACTCCCTGACTGGAGCACAGAAGAGCCTATGTGTGACATTCAGCTGCCCTTTCACCTGCCATGGCAACCGCCCAAGCCTGGTGTAGAGACCGTGGAGCCACGAGATCAAAACAGCCTGGACTGCTGGGTCAAGCAGAGGACAGACTCCCTGAAGGGTCCCCTGGACTCTGGTGAGCAAGAAGTAAGCCTTGGCTGTGATGAGCAGCAGAGATGCTGGGGTTGGCTATCGTAGCACAGCCTAACTAACCTACGCTAACGAGCCGGGGCTCTGCCTGCATTCATATTTTGGATCTCTCCCCCACAGCACATGGAATTGCCTGCATGGATCGTCAGTCATCTCTTTCCAGTGTGGAGACTGCTCAGTGTTCACCAAACCCATTTCCTTCTCTTGTGTGGCATGTGGCACCCTGTGGTTGGGTGTGGCTGTGCTGCTGAGCCCCACCCATGCAGCATGATCTTCCTCACTCTCTCTCTTCCTCCTCTACCCACCACAGGCCGAGGAACCAGAAGAGGACTCCACTAGGGGTGCCCAAGCCTCAAGATGGCAGAAGCCAGGTGCCTGAACTGGGCCTTAAGTGCAGTGACTCCAGCGCCTGGCTTCTCCCATGTGGGCAGGGTCCCCACACTAGACCCTTCACGAGTGAGATAAACGGTGCTGGGCCACTCAGCTGCTGAAGCCATTTCCCAGAGCAGCCATCTACTCACCCCAGCATACTAAACAAATGCCCAGGTGGCCCACACAACACTTACCAGGGTAAGGACAACATGGAATTCTGGAGGATTTTATATCCCTCAAGAGACTAACACGTTCACACTCTTTGACCCTGTAATTCCATTTCTGAGAATATACCCTAAAAAATAGTTTGATTCATGAAGGTCTATGTATACAAGGATGTCTAGTATTATTTAAAATAGTGGAAAAGAGGATTCTAGGAAAAAAGGTAATAAAATTTTAAAAATAAATTTAAAAAAAACTTCAGGAAAGGATTCTAGGAAAAAAGTAATAAAATTTAAAAAATAATAAAAATAAAATAGTGGAAAACACTAAAACAATCTAAACATCTAAAAAATAATTACAGTAAACCTATAGGATTAAATATCTTGGCCAGGTGCAGTGGCCCACACCTGTAATCCCAGCACTTTGGGAGCCTGAGGCAGATGGATCCCCTGAGGTCAAGAGTTCAAGACCAGCCTGGCCAAGATGGCGAAACCCCACCTCTACTAAAAATACAAAAATTAGCGAGGCGTGATGGTGCGTGTCTGTAATCCCAATACTTAGGAGGCTGAGGCAGGAGAATCGCTTGAACCCAGGAGGTGGAGCCTGCAGTGAGCTGGGGTCACACCACTGCACTCCAGCCTGGGTGACAAAGCAAGATTCTGTCTCAAAAATAAGTAAGGGTCGGGCGCGGTGGCTCATGCCTGTAATCCCAGCACTTTGGGAGGCCGAGGCGGGTGGGTCACCTGAGGTCAGGCGTTCGAGACCAGCCTGGCCAACATGGTGAAAACCCGTCTCTACTAAAAATACAAAAAGATTAGCCAGGTGTGGTAGTGTGCATCTGTAGGCCCAGCTATGTGGGATGCTGAGGCACAAGAATCGCTTGAATCTGGGAGGCAGAGGTTGCAGTGAGCCGAGATCACGCAACAACACTCCAGCCTGGACGACAGTGAGACTCCGTCTCAAAAATAAATAAATAAATACATAAACAAACAAACAAATATCTTACGGCCATTGGGAAATTGTGGCTTTGAAATCTAAAATAACAAAAACCACAACATAATTAATAAAAACCACAACAGCTCACCTGTGTGTAAGTATGACATCAAGCATGTGTCTGTACACACGAGGGAAAATGATGAAACGAAACAACTCAAACTATGAGAAGCGTTATCTCTGGGTTGTAAGATTGTAATACGTGGTATTCACTGGGTTCTTAGACCTTTAGGTATTGCTGTTTAGAATTAGATAAAGCATTTAAGGAGGACACAGAGTCTTATTTCTCTCCTGAAACCATGCACCACAGAACCCACTACCACCATCTGCCAATCCCCTTACAGGCGCCGCCTGTGTTTGCTCACCTCCCTCAGAGTTGTCAGTGTCCTTGCATGCACGGTGACTTGCTTGGTGAGGTCCCGGTTGTCCTTCTCCAGCTCCTTCAGCTTGCCGGCTGCGTCCCTGCAGCGGGCCAGCTCCTTGTCCAGCGCGCGGCTCTCCTTCTCAACGGCGGACAGTTTGGCAGTGCTATCGTCCAAGACTGCATCCTTGAGCTCCACCTGCTGCCACAGCCGCTTGGCCTCCTTCTCCAGCAGCTTCTTATCCTTCTCGAGCTGGGCCACCTCCTGCTCCAGGGCCTTCCTGTCCTTCTCGGCCCCCTCCAACTGTGCATTGGCCAGCCGGAGGGCCTCCAGGTCCCGCCGCAGCGCCTGGCGCTCAGCCTCCAGCTCGCCCAGCTCACTCTCCAAGGTCTGCGTCTTGTGGCTGCTGCTCTCCAGGCTCTGCTGCAGCCGGAGGTTCTCAGCGCTCACGCTCTGGTAGC
The DNA here is from genome assembly GCF_000001405.40 of Homo sapiens. Taxonomy (NCBI): domain Eukaryota; kingdom Metazoa; phylum Chordata; class Mammalia; order Primates; family Hominidae; genus Homo; species Homo sapiens. The sequence continues at coordinate 91,313,538 of NC_000014.9, forward strand.
TGAGCTCCAGGCGCTCTGACTTCTTGCCCAGCGCCTTGAGCAGATCCACGTTCTTCCTCAGCTCCTCCTTCTCACGCTCCAGCTGCTGGTTCTCCCTCTCCATCTGTGCCAGCTTGGTGCTGGTGAAGCGCATGGTCTCCACCAGCCTGCGCAGCTCCAGGTTCTCTGCGTCCAGCTGCTTGTTGTCACGCTCCAGGCCCTCAAGCTGCAGGGACACGTTCTGCAAGGTGTCCAGAGACTTCCTCAGAGTCCGGTTCTCCAGCTGCAGGCCCTGGCTCTCATGCTCCAGGGCCTCGACTTTCTCGGTGGCTGTCTCCAGGGAGGTCACCTTCCTGGCCAGCCTCCCGTTCTCCTCCTGGAGTCGCTGTAGCTCCCTCTCCAGCTTCTCTGCCCGCTCCCCCTTCTCCTTGGCCTGCTCCAAGTCCCTGTGCAGCTGCCGCTTCTCAAACTCCAACTGGCTGAGCTTGCCATTGGCCTCCGTCACCGTCTGGTGGAGGGCTTTGTTCTCCTTCTCCACGTCTTTCATGCGGGCCTCACTGCTGACCTGCGACCTCTCCCGCAGCGACCACATGGCTCGGTTGAGGTGGTCCTTTTCCTGCTCAAGGTCCTTGATCTACGGGAAAACACAACAGGCACAACCCAGGCTGCTGCAGGAACCTATTTCAGTGACATGGGCTCACACTGGGGATGGGAGAGAGAAGGCCTTGAACGGCTGTCCTACCTGTGCTCAGACACTGCCTGTGCGTTCCCCAGAGGCTTGACAGACACAGGTGAGTGGGCACAGACACCACCACTTAGATGGTTCAAGTCAGAATACACTCAGAGCAGCCAGGATGATTTTAAAATGTAAATACATCTCTCTCCCTCACTTAAGTTTCAGCGGTTTCTCTTGGTCTCTGGTAGCCGGGCCCTGCCCACCTCTGCAGCCTCTGCTTACACTACTCTCCACCTCCTGCTCACTGCTCCTAGCCCAGCTGACTGTGAACACTTTGCACATGCTGATCCCTCTGCCTGGAGTACTTTCCTCTGGCTATCAGCCTCACTGGCTCTTTCTTATACTTGGGGTCAGTTCCCCAAAACATCCTGGCATGATGATTCTAAGGTAGCCGTGTATCCCAGTATTCTCTCCCTCAGCACCCTATTCTCTCAGTAGCACCCTCCTGAGATCATCTTGCCTGTCACCTGGAAGTGTGCCTTCCTGGCTGTGAGCAACATCTGGGCAGGGCCCTGTCCGTCTGTTTACCATGCACCATTCTAACCATCTTCTCTGGGCTTTTTATTCCTCTACTACAGATGCCAAAAAGCTAAAATACTTGGGGCCAGTGATGGTGGCTCATGCCTGTAATCCCAACACTTTGGGAAGCTAAGACGGGAGGATCACTTGAGCCCAGGAGTTCGAGACCGGCCTGGGCAACACTGTGAGATCCCATCTCTATTAAACAAAAGAAAACATAAACAAAAACAAAAAACTAAAATACTTGGTGCCCTGGCATTCTTTGCAGGCAGAGGTAGCCACACGTTAGTTCTGGCCAACGTGACGTCTACGGAGCATCCTTGGGAGGGTTTCCCTGTGATGCTAAGCCCTCCACCTTTCTCCTGCTTGTACCTTAGGGATGTGCAGCAGCCACTGCTAAGGCTGGCAGAGCTGTAGGCAAGAGGCCTGGTTCCTGATGGCATCCCTGAGCCACTACATCAGCCCTGGACTGCCCGCCGTGTGAGGCAAATAAAACCACACGGATTTGCCAGGGTTCTCAGCTGGGGCACTAAGAACATTTGCAGATGGAGTGTTCCTGACCTGCGCACTGCAGAATATGTAGCAGCATCCTTGGCCTCCACCCACTCCATGCCAGGAGCACCACCCCCTCTCTTCCCCGGGGTCACGACAATCAAAAATGTCTTGAGACATTGCCAAATGTCCCTTGGGAGGCAAAATTCACCCCACCTTTTCCCACCGCCAGTTGGGAAATTGAGAATTGCTGATTTAAGCTGTGGCTAAGCTAGGTAACGGATAATCCATGCATCCACAATACAGTACCAGGAATGGCTGTAATCCCGGCTCTCCGTCTTGCAGGCAGGGGTTCTAGGAGAGGCGTTAGTGGTGGAGGCACCTACCTGCCTGGCTTTGTCAGCCTTCAGGGTCTCCATGTCACTCTGCAGCTGCTCCTTCTCTCTGATCAGCTCCTCACTGAGGGTCTCCAGATCTTGGTTGCTCTGCTTTTCTCTCTCCAGCTGGGTTTGTAACTTTTCAATCTGCAGAACCAAAAGACCCAGCCCAGTGCAGACATCAGTCCTACGAAGTGAACCATGATTTAAAACAAAACAGAAACCACCCCAACAGAATGCACTGATGGGTCTTTTCTCAAGGGAAGACCTCCTGACATCATTCTGTAGCAACTCCCCACACCACAGCTGTCACTCTTAAGACAGAAAGTCACCAGGAAGCAAACCATCACCATCCCCCCAGCGTCCCTCTGCCCCATCCTTGCTGCCATGTGCTCCACCGCCTGAGGCCGCCACCGCTGGGTGCCCTCGGGGGTTTCACACGCACCCAGCTTCCTGTCCTCCTGGAGACTTCCTGCCTCAGTTGGTGATGTCACCTGGCTGCTCAAGTGGCCCTCTGTTATATCTCTTCCTCTTTCACCTCCATGGAAATGTGTCACCAAGCCCTGTCCTTCTTACCCCTTCCACACTTCCACCATCTCCCTCACAGGCCAGGCCACATTTTGTCTGGCCTGGACAGCCACCCAGTGATCTCCTTGACATCAAGGTCTTATGCCAGAACCCACCTGTTCGCAGCCCTCCTAAACATGAACTACCTAAACAGAGGTCCTTATGCTCCCCGTTGCACACGAGTGCCCGCCTTGCTGAAATGCAGATTCTGACTCAACCTTTTTTTTTTTTTGAGATGGAGTTTTGCTCTTGTCGCCCAGGATGGAGTACAATGGCATGATCTTGGCTCACTGCAACCTCCGCCTCCCAGATTCAAGCAATTTTCCTGCCTCAGCCTCCTGAGTAACTAGGACTACAGAAGCCTGCCACCACGCCCATCTAATTTTTGTATTTTTAGTAGAGACGGGATTTCACTGTGTTGGCCAGGCTGGTCTCACAGGTGATCCGCCTGCCTCGGTCTCCCAAAGTGCTGGGGTTAACAGGCATGAGCCACTGTGCCCGGCCAACCCTTGCATTTCTGATTGCTGTTGCTTCTGGTCTAAAGGTGTGATTTCCTGGGTCCTACCTACCCCTGATGGACCCCTCATCTTTCTCATTCTGTGGTTCTTTGTCCTATACTCCGGTCCATCCCCGAAGAAGACCTGTGCACCTGATGAACCTGCTGGGCTAAGGTATGGGATGGCTGCAGACTTTCTGGCCCCCAGAGGGTTTCCTGTCCTCCCTGCAGCCACTGGCATGGGCAACAGTCTCATGTGGTGCAGCATTAGGTTTTCCTGGGAGTTGTGGGTGCCAGGACCCTGCCCCTCAGCCCCCAGGCTGCATGTCTTCACATGAGCTGCTCCTGCCTCTCATGACAGGCCCCCAAAGGGCTGCCCCTCTTCCTCTAAAAATAAGGATTCTTTTTCCTTCCTGACTCAAAGAATGAACTCTTATGACTTCAATACAAAGCTACAGACACAGAGGAGGGAGGGGGCTTCTCTAGGACCCATGGAGGTGCCTTGAGTTAGAGAGAAAGATGTTTTAACTTCAGGGAACTATGGTTTCCAGAGGTCCCAGACCAAAGCAAGCGTGCAGCCTGGGCTACATTCGGGGTGAGATGAAGAGCCAGGTTGGCACTAGGGGCCCCCTGTGGGACTCAGCAGGGCCAACGGGCTTGCTTACTGACTAGGAAATGCCAGCTGGATGGCTGAGGTTGGAGAGGGAAATTCAGGATGAGCTGAGCTGGCTGAGGGTTGCCAGGCCTGAAGCACAGCCTGCCTCCTGCTGGTGCTGAAGGGTTCACCTGTCAAATGCTGGCGAGCACCCTCTACGTGTCAGACTCTGGGCTGGGCACTGGGGCCAATAAAACAGTCAGTGAGACATGGACAGAGAGTGAAGGGAGAACCACCCTGCAGGGTCGGGCCAGATTCCAGCCAGGCTCAGGGCAGGCCAAGGACGAGAGGGAGGAGAGAGCTCCAGGCTTCAGACACAGGACAGCCCTGCCTGCAAACAGCGGCCCCTCCCTTCCGGCGCCCCCACGACCAGAGAGTGTGTGCCAAGACAGGGCCTCCCGAGGGCCACGGCAGGAGAGGCTGGCGTCGGGCCAGGGAGGAAGTGGGTAGGGCCTGAGAGATCAGCATAAGGAGTTGTGGTGGGTGGGCGACGCCCCCGCCAGGTCCTGTTTGTACAGAGGAGGGGCCACAGCAGACAGGACAGGGCAGAGAGATGCCTGGGCACCACCCTGGTGACCTGCCAGAAGGGGCCCCAAAATATCACTAGGCCAGAGAGATAATACTGCAGGCTTTCTGGGGCAGCGTCGTGAGGACCTGCAGAGCTGGAGGTTCTCATCTTCCTAAAGGGCAATTATTTTTATCATGGCCAAGGTTGGGCTGCCACTTATGAAGACATTTCCCGTGCTAGGCCCACATGAATCTAAGAAACCAAAACACTGAGTCAGCCACAGTGGCTCACACCTGTGCTCCTAGCACTTTGGGAGGCTGAGACCGAAGGACTGCTTGAGCCCAGGGGTTTGAGACCAGCCTGGGCAACATAAAGAGACCCCAGTTCCAAAAAAAAAAAATTAGCTGGGCGTGGTGGTACGTGCCTGTGGTCCCAGCTATTCGGGAGGCTGATGTGGGAGGATTACTTGAGCTCTGGAGGTCAAATCTGCAGTGAGCCATGGTCACACTACCGCACTCCTGCCTGGATGACAGAGCAAGACCCTGTCTCAAAAAACCGAGTCACTTTCCCCATGCTGCCCTGCACCAGAAGATGTGGCATGAGACGGGGGTGTCTTCTGTTGTCCTACAAAGAGAGGAAAAACCACCTGGCAGCTCAAACGCTGCAAGGCACACAAAGTTCAAAGGGACAAGAGTGAGGAGCCTCGTAGAAGTCCCATGAGGGAACTCAAGGGACCAGTTCCCAGGAGTGGGGGACCTGTTCCCAGCCTCAGAGATCATGAACCTGCAGAGTGGCTGGGTGCAGTGGCTCACATTGGGACGCTGAGGTGGGCAGATCACCTGAAGTCAGGAGACCAGCCTGGCCAACATGGCGAAACCTCATCTCCACTAAAAACACAAAAATTAGCTGGGCATGGTGGCACATGCCTGTAATCCCAGCTACTTGGGAGGCCGAGACAGGAGCATCGCTTGAACCCAGGAGATGGAGATAGCAAGGAAGCTGAGATTGCACCACTGCACTCCAGCCTGGACAACAGAGCGAGACTCCGTCCAAAAAAAAAAAAAAAAAAAAAGAACCTGCAGAGCCAAGGGACCCAGGTGTCCTGCCACAGTCATGCCTCAGTAAATGACACTGCCAGGACTCACAGCTGGATGGCTGAGGTTGGAGAGGGAAATTCAGGATGAGCTGAGCTGGCTGAGGGTTGCCCATCCTGCATGGCAGTCAGCCCGCAAGAACACTCTGGCCTCCTCCCTCGACTGGAATCTGACAGCTGGTGCATTCAGAGCCCACAGTACACCAGTGCCTCCACAGTGTGAGGCAGGTGGATGAGAGGTCCTCTGACCTGGAATGAGCAAGACCTGTCGGCAATCCCTAGTCTCTCATTGGCCCCTTCCTGCACCTGAGAAGGAATCTGCCATGTGACAGGGATCCTCTTAACTGTAGAACAAGACTGGCTTGCAAACTCTCATCTGTTCACCCAGGTGTCTGGCTTCTACTCTGCTCCCAGGAAGACCTAACAGCTGTCATTAAAACAGAACACAGTTCAGCTATCTCTTCTTCCCCATCCCATAAACCCAGGGGAGGGAGAAAGCACTGACCTGCTTGTTTTACCACAGCAAGACCCTAAGGTGTTCCGTCAGTGGCCTCACACATACAGACCTAGGCTTTGCAGCCCCAAAGATGTTCATTATCACTTTAGTCAACAACTCAACGTCTGGTATTCGGTACCTTACTGGTTCTTCTCCCTGGGTCCCTATTGCATGCTTTATAACAGTGCCCTGCTCTCTTTTTATTGAGTGCTTACTATGTGCCGAATCCGTCACACACACTACCACCTCTAATCCCCACAACAGCCAGCATAAGAAATGTGTGTCTGGGGCCGGGCATGGTGGCTCATGCTGGTAATCCCAGCATTTTGGGAGGCCGAGGCGGGTGGGCCACCTGAGGTCGGGAGTTTGAGACCAGCCTGGCCAACATGGCAAAACCCCGTCTCTACTAAAAATACAAAACTAGCTGGGTGTGGTGGTGGGTGCCTGTAATCCCAGCTACTCGGGAGGCTGAGGCAGGAGAATCACTTGAACCTGGGAGGTGGAGTTGCAATGAGCTGAGATTGTGCCATTGCACTCCAGCCTGGGCAACAAGAACAAAACTCAGTCTCAAAAAAAAAAAAAAAAAAAAAAAAAAAAGAAATGTGTGTTTGGTTGTTGCTAAATTTCCTGGCACAAGTTTCGAAAACCCTTGGAATCTCCAAAGGGATAGGTGTCTTTCTTGTATGCTAAGATGAATGAGGACTGGGGGCTCCTGGAGAGCCTCAGGATGGGAGCTGGTTGCCAAGGGAACCAACCATGTTATTAGAGAGATGAAACTTTCAGGCCTCCCCTACCTCCAGGGAGGAGACAGGGCCTGGAGGTTGAGCTAATCAAATGGCAAATGATGTAATCAATCATGCCTATATAATGAAACCTCCATAAAAACCCAAAAGGACTTGGTCAAAAAGTGTCCAGGTTGGTGAACATGTGGAGGTGCTGGAGGGGCACCCGCAGAGGACAGGGTAGCGTGGCACCACTCCCCGCACCCACCGCCCTGTGCATCTGTTCTGCCTGTGCGTTGTATACTTTGTAATAAACAAGGAATACTAAGCCATCTAGGCAATAGCGGAGCCCACGAAGGGGGTGGTGGGAACCTCTGATCTGCAGCCAGCCGATCAGAAGCACAGGTGACAATCCGGACTTGGATTGGCACCTGAAGTGGGAGGCAGTCTGGTGGGACTGAGCCCTTAGGCTGCAGGGTCTGTAGTGTCAGAATTGAGTTAAATTGTAGGATACCCAGCTGGTGTCCCCCAAGAACTTGAGAACTGCTTGATATGGGGAAAACCCCACACCCCTGGTATAAGCAGTGAGGTACTGGGAGCAGTGGCGTGGAAGAGAACGAGGGAGTTTTCTTTTTACAGGCAGGCACCCCATCAACCCCATTTCACAAATGAAGACAATGAGGCACAAGAAAGTCACATGTCCGGGTCATCCTCTAATGGCAGCGAAGCAGGGACAGGGCCACGCCTCCTCTGGCTCTCCCCAGTCCTCACTCCCATTCCTATTATAATCAGCGGTGACTGCGCCTGGATTCTGTCCACTGCCTGACACCTGCATGCTCTACCTGGCCCCCTCCTTGTCTGTGCTCCAGACAATCACTGGGGAGGATGGGAGGGTGCCCAAGGGTTCTGTGCTTCCCCGGTGGCCTAAGGAGGCCGAGGTACCTTCTTGCTGAGCTGGTGGTTCTCCTTCTCCAGCTCCCCGCACTTGAGGCCGCTCTCCTCCAACACCAGGGACGCGTCCCGCAGCCCCTGGATGGTGCTCTGGAGGCTCTGATTCTCCTTCTCCAGCTTCAGGATGCGGCTGGACGCACATTCGTTCAGCTCAAACACAAACGACTTCCTGGAGGCTGAAGACAAAGTCCAGTCAGAGCCCAGTGGTCTGTGGGCCTCCACTTCCACTCTCTGCCCCAAGCTCCGAGATGGTCATCAGTCCCGGAGTCCAGGGTCTAAGGGGCTGGGGAGGAGCTCCCACAGGTCAGCTGGGGACCCTTCCTCCTGCCCCTCCACTCCCAGTGCCCGAGGGCTCCTCTGCAGGCTTTGCTGGGGTCTGTCAGGGCAGCAATCCAGGGCTCAAGAAGGCGGCAGGTTACAGTCCAGGAGCCAATGCAAGGGCTGTGTCACTTCTGGGAACCATCTGGCTATCAGGCTGCTATCCTAACTGTCCAATCAAGGATTTTAGAGGCTAACAGAGATGACACACAGGTGACATTTTCCATACCCCCCAGAGCATAATGGACATCTCGGCTGCTCAGCAGGCAGGGGCACGTAACTGACCACTCCCGTTGGCCATGGGTGGTAGAAAGCTACACTGGAACATGTGTCGGGCACTTGTCAGCCTGGATGAGATGCTATGCAGAGATTTCTTTCTGTGACTTCACAATTATGTTGAAGAAAACTGTGATAGTGTATGCAAATTACTTTTAAAATTCTAAATGAGATGAAAAATAAGCTAAAAATAGTAAAAGGCAGACTATCTACTCTGCTTTTAAACAGCTCAGGTGCAAATGGAGAAGGGAAGAGTCTTGAGTCAGGAATGGGAGTTCCTGGCCCCCTCCTGCCACAAGCAGGTGCATGATTTTAGGTAAGTCATGGGGTTGTTTTGGGGAGGGGAAAAAAAAAGGTATGCAAAAGCCCTCTTAAGAAAGGAGCCCGGTTCTTCCCCCCTTCATTTACCCAACCCAGTGCCACGTCCTCATCTCTTGGGGCCTTTCCACACTGTTGCTAATACAGCGATTCCTCCCCCTACCTCTTCACCCCAGGGGCTGTGGGTACAGGGGGGTGATGGCTTTCACAGCAAACACATAAATCTGGAAATGTGTGTGGTTCAGATTCCCCGGGTGATCATAAAGACTGAACAGCATCTCGTTTCCCTCTGAGTCTTCATCCTCTACCAAGGATAACGACATGGACCACCCAACAGGCCAGAACGCCCTAAAGACCCAAACCAACAGCAGGCGAGAAGTGGAGGGGATGGTGTGTACCTGGCCCCAGCCCAGCACTGACACACACATAAACACACACACACTCCACATACAAGGACGCTTGGAGGGCTCCATCCCAAATAAGCTGTAAATGAAACTAACCTAACTTCAACACCAAGCCTCAAATAAGACTCCATTATTTCAAAACCTGTGGTCATCTGGACAGTGTCTCTGCAGAATTCATGGGGGTGAACCCATTTTTAAAATTACAGAAAAATATATTTAAAAAGTACCATTTTAGCCATTTTAAAGTGTTTGGATCTGTGGCATTAGGTACAAGCACACTTTTCTGCAACCATCACCACCATCCCTTTTCACCTTCCCAAACTGACCACAGAGATTAATTTTTAAGGTTCTGTGAGTTAAACAATGGAATCGATGTTTCATTTCCTCTTCCATTAAAGTCAGTGCCTTGAAGACTATTAAAACGACACAATGGTTTACTACTAAAACGCCAGTGTTTCTCTTTTTTTTTTTTTTTTTTTGAGACAGAATCTCACTCTCTCACCCAGGCTGGAGTGCAGTGGTGTGATCTTGGCTCGCTGCAACCTCCACCTCTCAGGTTCAAGCGATTCTCCGGCCTCAGCCTCCTGAGTAGCTGGGATTACAGGTGTGCACCACCACGCCTGACTAATTTTTGTACTTTTAGTAGAGGCGGGGTTTCTCCATGTTGGCCAGGCTGGTCTTGAACTCCTGACCTCAAGTGATCTGCCCGCCTTAATCTCCCAAAGTGCTGGGAATACAGGCATGAGCCACTTTGCCCGGCCCAGTGTTTCTTTACTAGTGCAAATCTCGTCAGCACCCCCCAGCAACCAGAGTAACTGGGTATGTCTTAGTAAGACAGACAAGAAGAGCTGCCCTCTACAGAACACACCAAGGGCCAGAGCCGGGGTTCCTGCTTCACTGTTTTCTCTCACTCATCCTCACAGTCATCTTGTGAGGCAGGTTCATTACCCCTATTTTGCAGGTAAGGAAACTAAAGTTTTAAGAGGTTAAGTACTTGCCCTAGGTCACCCAGCTAACCAGCAGAGAAGCCAAGGCTTTATGCCAGGTCTTTCTGGCTCTCGAAGCCACTGCCCCATACACTCAGGCTTTGCTTGCACGATGCCATCATTCTAGCAAACACTAGAATGATGCCAGCTCCTAGCTAGGCACTAGGAGTTGACAACACTAAGAATAAATCACGGTATTAACTTTAAAGAGCTCACACATTATAGAAAATGGTCTAAATCGGTGAGGCCTTCTCACCAGCCACCATGGTCTCTAACAAATATTTAGTTGATGAGAGACCATCCTAGCTGCTTGTACCACCTCTCTGCTCCACCAGGGGGCGCCCCCAACTTGGACTTCCAGAGGCAAGGGATTTGGGGGAACCCCCTTGTGCAGCCCTCAGGCCCCAGAACTACGCACAGATATCAAAGCACAGACAGCTAACTTCTCACACAGATTCACAGTGAAACTGGTTTTAGGTTCGGAACTGATAGGAACCCCCAAATGCAAGAAATATTCACCTGTTTCCAATAACCTTTCCAGAATGCTTAGATGTCTATCAGAATTTTTTAAAGCCACCCACTAAACAAGCCAAAAGCCCCATCACACCCTGGAAAGTCTAAGTAACTATGAACTTGCACGATCACGTGCACGGGAACGGTGAGCGTGTGCTATTTTCAAACACAGGAACTGGCTCATTGTTTGCCGGGGCTGAGGCTTCCTGCGCAGGGGGCTGAGTGCGGCCCCGCCCACGCTTCCCATGACCGACACCTCCTCTCGGGGCGCGGGGCAGTGGGCAGCAGAGCAAGCCCAGGAGGGAAGAGGGAAAGGGAGAGGCCTGGCAGAGGCGCTAAGAACCTGGGTCTCCGGGGCAGCAGCCACTCAGCACCCTCCCCACCCAGGAGAGAGAAAACAGGCTGCCTCCATCTTGCCCAATTATGCAAATGAATGGAGGAAATGACGCCCTGGGTACATTTATAGCAGGGATTCGTGGCCACTGGTGATGGCTCCTGCCATCCAGGGCTTTCAGCCATCCACAGATGGCCTCAGAGAGCCTCTGGGTGTCAGTGCACTATAATCTGGAAGCTCCCGGGAATGTCCATATGGGAATTCGGAAAACTGGCAACACTTAATTTGTGTTTTGCGTCCTGACATCAAGGCTGCCAGACCCCTCGTGTCTTCCCTGGGGAGAACTGTAATGAAACAGTTCCAAGTGGAGCTTGAAGGAAATCATGTTTGCCTGGGATGAATGGATGGGCTAACATGGCAGATTCAGAGCCCAGGACTCAGCTCCCTGGAGGCAGCGGCGGCCACGGCCAGGCTGGCTCCCCGGCACCAGGCGCTACCTACCGTCTGACAAGTCTGCGTTCTTGGACAGCTGCTCCAGCTCCCAGCCAAGGTGGGCAGATTCGTTCATGCTCTGCTTCTGTGCAATCTCAAGGACCATGTTTTCTTCCAGCAGCTCCTCAATTCGTTTCTTATCTGTGTCCCGGTCCTGGGGCAAGCAAGAAGAGGCAAGAAGTGAGGCTGCACAGCTGGAGATCCCCCTGGACAAGCCTCAGCCCCTGTATAGCTACCGTCATGTGCTGTGGATGAAGATGTACTGGCTCACTTCCAAATAAACAGAGCTGCACAGAAACATCCCAACACAGGGCCCTGCTATGAGAGGGAAAGCCACTCAAAGGTACCCTGACCTGGCTACCTAGGTTATGAAGACAGACCCGGCCGGGGTCCCTAACTGAATGCTGTCTGAACAAAGTGACATACTGCACAGGGCTTTAAAGCAAGTGTGCAGTGATGGGCAGCTCTGTGGCTCTAGCGAAGCCCTAACAGGCCTCTAAAGCTGTTAACAGGCTAACAAATCACAGCTCACCCCACACCATCAACACTGGCAAAGACCCTTCTTCCAAGACACACACACACACTCATTCCTACAGAAAAGCAATACAGAAGTCAAGTGCTCTGTTTGTGGGTGTTAAGTGGCACCCGCTCAAGCCTGCTGATTTTAGCAAGCTACTCCCCGCAGTCAACAAGTCATTCGTGGTAGCAGTGGCAGCAGCAACGGCAGTAGCAGCAACAAACCCAGTAGCTAAACTATCAGAGAAGGGCACGCCATAAACCTGAACCTGCCCCAATCGGTTTTCTTTTCTTTCTTTCTTTTTTTCTGAGACAAGGTCTTGCTCTATCACCCAGGCTGGAATGCAATGGTGTGATCACGGCTCACTGCAGCCTCAACCTCCCAGGCTCAAGCAACCCTCCTGCCTCAGTCTCTCCCAAGTAGATGGAACTACAGGCTCACACCACCATGCCCAATTATTTAGTTTTCGTAGAGATGGGGCCTCGCTAGGTTGCCAGGGTTAGAACTCCTGCGCTCAAGGGATCCTCCCACCTTAGCCTCCCAAAGTGCTGGGATTACAGGCATGAGCCACTGTGCCCGAGCCCAATCTGTTTTCAATGTAGTAACAACACAGCCTGCAGTACCAATTCCAGGTCGTGAAGCTTGGATTTCAGCTGCAGGTTCTCCTTTTCCAGCTCATGGACTTTATCGCCCCGGGCCCGAGCAGCAGTCAGCTGTTCCTCCAGCATGGCCTTGGTTTCAATTAAAATGATATTATCTTCTCTCAGCTCCTGGTTAGCAAAAACATACATGAGAACCATCAGATAAAGGCACCTGGGTCATTAGGATGGAATTCTAAAACCAAAACTCTTTCAGGCATCTGGACCCAAGCAAACAATCTAGAGGGAAGTCCGAGGCAGGAAGTTTTTCCTCTACTTTTTTTTTTATCATCTTCACCTTTTTTTTGAGACGGAATGTCACTCTGTCGCCCAGGCTGGGGTGCAGTGGCGCGATCTCAGCTCACTGCAACCTCCACCTCCTAGGTTCAGCAATTCTCCTGCCTTAGCCTCCCAAGTAGCTGCAATTACAGGCGCCTGCTATCGCGCCCGGCTAATTTTTGTATCTTTAGTAGAGACGAGGTTTCATCATGTTATCCAGGCTGGTCTCGAATTCCTGACCTCAGGTGATCCACCTGCCTCGGCCTCCTAAAGTTCTGGGATTACGGGCATGAGCCACTGTGCCCAGCCCATCTTCACCCTTTTTAATCGGGCAAGGACAATGGACTTTCTCTGCTATAAGAAAAAAAAATCCATGAATCAAGATAGGCTGGGAATAGTGCCAAGGCTTTGACATGCCTAATCTCATCTGGACGGACAAGGGGACCCTGAGCCCATTTCCTTAACAAGGAAGGAGTGGGGTTGAGAGTCAATCCTGGGTTCCAGGTCTGAGTCTAGTAGACCTCTTAATTCAACATTCATTCTACAGATGTGGGGCCTGGAAAACAGCAGCTATTCAGATAAACTTTCATTCAATACACTGCTCCTATCTGAGTATCTTACAAACACTCTTAGATAACAAAAGTTCTTGGCAGTTTCCTGGAAATGGGGGTCTTTAAGACAGTTAAGTTTCAGCACAGCAAACCACACAAATGTGAGCTCCACAAATGTATACAGCTGAGGGGTGCGCTGGATCTATTTTTGACACAGGCAGTGATGTGCACAAGGGAAGAAGTCAGTCCAGGGCGCACATCTCCACTGTTCCTTTGCTACGGGCTTTCTTGGCTTCTCTTCTCCTGGGCCCTTCCAAGCACCGCTCGGTATCTGGCGGGGAACTGAGCTTCCCCCAAATGCCTTCGCAGGTTACAAACAGCACACGCCAGGAACGTGTACGCTTCTTTCGGTGGGCAGAGCTGTCTGAGGTTTGTCCCACTCACGAATCACACTGGGAACCAGGCTGGGAGTTTCTACTTATCCACCATGTGCTCATCTTCCTATGTGGGCCAGAATCCAAGACTCCTGGTGGAGGGGAAGCCACACACTTTCCGGCCAGCGGACACAGCTTTGATCAAAGCCTGGCAGGCGGTGAGGGGCTTGGCCATTAAGTCTCTGGATTCACCTGCGTGCCCTCCTCTCGCTGCCTGTGCCCAGCAGAGACCACATCTACTATGTGGCTGGCCCTGCCCCAGGCAATCCATGTCCTGCCTTACAGTGGCCCTCAGAGGGAGGCAGGGACAGTCCCTTCCTGCAGATGAAAGACCAATTCAGAAAAAATAAGAAATGAGCTCAAAGCCACGAACCTAGTGAGGTACAAAGCTGGGGCCTGACAGGCCGCAGACCCGGTGCTCTCCTCACTGCCCTCGGCTCCCTGAAGCCCACCCTCGAGGGGCTTGTGTGGGTGAGAGGCCCCTGTTGTACTAATAACACAAGCCAGAGCACAATGACGGGCTTCAAAGCAGAAAGAAGGCCCAGCCTTTTCTCTCTGGCTACTGCCCCCACTCTTTTGACCAGCGTTCCAGCAGGGTCCACCGCCAGCACTCCCCAGCATCACTACCCTCAGGCCCTGAGCAACCACCGCACAGGCTGCCTGCTGCTTCACCCTCACAAGCAACTCCTATTCAGCCTTCAAGACCCAGCTGGAGTTGTCCCCTAGGAGAAGTGCTTGAGAATTCACTGTGTCCCACCCAAGTCAGGCTTCTGGGCTCCTAGTGTTCTGGGTCTGCTCTGAGGCCACAGCAGGCCGGCCTGTTCCTCCCCCAGACCAGGAACCTCAGGCAGGACTGTTGTGCTTTTGCTCTTGTGAGCCTCGCGTAAGTGTTCAATAACACTACTTGGCCAAATCATGCCACAAGGAGGGAGGAATCAAAGGCGGCATGTGAGGTGGACCTTAAAGAACTCAGAGACTTCCCGGAATGAATGGAGATGGCCAGGAGTGGGAGATGGCATGGAACAGAAGATTTCTAACTGCTACTCAAACATGCTGTGGTTTTCTGGCCATTTCAACCTCCACTATACATAAGGTAACAGAAACATCTCGAGTGCCCTGCACACTGCACCACCACCTCTGAAATGAGAAGCCAGATCCAGAAGCTGTGTCCAAGCTCCCGAAGCAAGCCCAGGGCTCCCCCGGGCACCTGGCGAGGAGGAGTGGGAAGCCGGATTCCACACCTCTGGGTAGCTGTCCAAGGCCAGAACGCCCCACCGTGGCCCTGACCACAAGTGACCTAGGAGGCTATTTAAAGGCCCGACCCAGCCCAGCAAACAGCTGAGGGGACCACACTCATGAAGTCACAGCCCAGGACTGAGGGCTAGTTCAGGAGGCTCAAGAGCTCACTTCTAATCTGCCACTGCGACTTGGGGCAGTGATTAGGCACGGGAGCTAACGGGCCCCGATTCCCAGGGCTGCTACATACACTCTCAACCCGGATTCCTCCTTTACACGATGGGCCTAAAGACAGGGTGACGCGGAGCTCGGATGATGCGTGTGAAATACTCCATGCGCAGCGCCTGAGACCTACAAACTCGCCAGCCGCCATCACCACCAACTCACACCGACAGAGCACCCCCAGCACTCCCCACGGAGCACCTATCATGTTAACAGAAAAAACTGGCTTCTAGGGTGCCTCCTGACCCCTGAGGAGCACACAGCACCAGAGGGGGTGCGGAATCAAACAAACAGGCAGTCTTCCGCCAGGGAGCTCTGTAGCAACCACGATGCCGTATGGTTCCCTAAGGGGGCCATAGCAGCAGGAGGCTGGCCCAGGGCATCCTCAGTGGGGAGGGTCTGGGTCAGCTGACTCAGGGCAGGCAGACATCCTACCCACCCAGGAAACATCACCCCCGCTCTGAACCCTACCTGCTCATCCAGCTTCATGGACATCCCTTGAACTTCACCGAAGACCTGCCTGTTTTTAAACTTCACCCACTTTGAGAAGCATGGGGGACTTAAACCTTAAACCAAACGGCAGGTCTGTCCTATTCAACGTCTTAGTGTGCTGAACCTCATCACAACTCCTCAGCAGTTATTAAGGAACAAGGGAGACACAAAGTTCCAGGTGGGAACAGAAGACTTCCCTGTGTTCAGGGTGTCCTTAGTAAGTGCCCTGAATCTTGACATTCCCTGATTAAGTATGATGTGACATGTCAGCCCTAACGTGAGCTGCTGGAGGCTGGGGCCCTTCCTCAGGCCTCCACGGCCTCTGAGACAGTGGCAGCCCCTCACCTCTCCTAGGAGTACCCCTCTTGCAGCACTTCCCACACCCCCTTTATTTCTTCCTTCCTGTGAAGGCTGAAGCTCACGTTCATTCACAGGCAAGCATCAAGTCATTCACAGGCAAGCATCAAGGTCTGGAGGCAGACAGTCATTCCCATCCCAGGTCCCCCTGCTTAGCAACTGCCATGCTGGGCAAGTTATTAATTAATCAATTGTCAGTTTCCTCATCTGAAAAGAGGGGAGGAACTGCCAGTGGCTGCTAAACCTGCAGGGCCACCATGAGGCTTCAGTGCATGGATGCAGTTAGGGCCTGACATCATTCCCAGCAGGTGGGGAAAGCTCCACAGATACACAAGGTCGTTACCACTCACTGAAAGACCCGACTGTGCACCTCATTTGGGCCAGACCCTGAGAATGTGAAGGCCCAGTCAGGCAATGTTTTCAGCTCTGCAGGTTTTAAGTCTCTGTCACAACTACTCAACTCCACAGAGGGAGCACAAAAAGAGACAACAAATGGGTGTTAGCTGTGTTCCAACACAACTGTGTTCATAAAAACTCACAGGGGCCGGGTTTGCCCAGGG
This sequence comes from Homo sapiens, assembly GCF_000001405.40. Lineage (NCBI taxonomy): Eukaryota > Metazoa > Chordata > Mammalia > Primates > Hominidae > Homo > Homo sapiens. The sequence goes on from NC_000014.9 coordinate 91,330,056, forward strand.
ACTGCCATGTGCTGACCCCTGAGCCACAAGGTGCATGGGGCACAGAGGACCAGGGGTCAGTAAGGCACAGACCCTGTGTTCAAAGAGCTCCCACTCTGGTTGGGAAACAGACAGGAAAGTGCCACGTGATGAGCACTGCCTGCAGTCAGGAGGGGTTTCAAGGAAGCCTGGAGCAGGAGGCTGGGAGACGCAGCCCGCACAGTTCAGCGCCCCACCCCTGACCTGGCCGCAGAGTCGGAAGAGAGAGTGGGGCTGGGCTGAGGAAGCACTTGTGCAAAAGCACCAGGAGTCCTGGGGGAGCTGAAGTGGGGAGTGGCAGACGAGGGTACGGTGTGGGTTTTACCCAGGAGCCATGGAGAGTGGCTGCAAAGGCCTCTGCAGCAGGACAGACAGAGGCAGACTGGCCAGTCCAGACCATTAGGGAGGCACTCCGCAGGCAGACTCTGGAGTAACATGAGCGAGGATGCCAGTGAGGCTGAGCCACACTCTTCAACACCCGCCTCCGGACAAGGACATGCTGGGAGGTGAGAAACAGGCTTACAAACAGGAGGGGCACCTGGACCTGGGACGAGGGGATGGGGAGGAAGACAAAGAACCAAGGTGGCCCTGTGCTCTGGCTTGAGCACCCGAGTGGATGTGACTCCAGACCAGAGACAGGACAGGCAGGTGTGGAGGGAAAGACAATGACTCTGAACACACTGGCCTTGAGATGTCTCTGGATAACCCGGGTACACTGAGGCCTGGAGCGCAAGACAGAGCCTCAGCCAAGGATTAAGATCTGGGACTCGAGGGTCTATGTGTGTGGGCTAAGGGAAGGCGGCAGGGCAGGTGAGCCATCCCTGGAGAAAGCCCAGAGGAGAAGCAGAGGGCAAGGGGTGAATGAGGGCCCTGATACTGAGGGGTGGGCCTGCGATGGGAGAGTGAGTCCAGGAGTGGGGAGAGTGGAAGCTCAGGGAGGAAGTGGTAGGAGGGGCTGGGGCTGAGGAGTGCTTGCCGGATATGTCCATGTCAGGAGCGCCCCTTTACTGGCAAGAGTGGCTTTGGTAAGTGGGGCGGGGGTGGGGGGAGCGGTGCAGGCACGGCAGGTGGCTCCAGACTGGGGGAAATGGGCCCACAGCTGACACTGCTTTCACACAGGTCTGCCTTTGAGCCCAGGGAGAGGCAGCTGGAGAGAATCGGAGGAAAGTGGAAAGGTCTGTTTTAAGTTAAAGATGGGAAAGCCTCAGGGGCCCTAAGACACTGGACTCAAATCAACAAACATGTCCCAAGCACCTTTTCCTCCTGAAGATGACTGAGACCTCTGAGAGCTGCAGGAGATGTTGCCTGGGGCCAGAGGAGGGTGGAGGAGGGCAGAGGAGCTGGGGCCCTGTCTCCAGGCCCCATGGGCAAGGCAGACCAGGCCACAGCAGAGCTCCTGCCCCACCCCGTTCCTGGTCACCATGGTGGGGTGGAGAGTGTGCATGTGCACACGTGTGTGTGCGCGTGCGAGAGAGAGGAGAGAGAAAGACAGACACACATTCTAAGAATGATCATTAGCCCAGTTCCTCACTGGCCGGTGCTGGCCAACAACCCTTTCTGTCCCTCTGGCTGACCCCTCACTGCAGAGATCTATTCCACGGTCCCCACCTCCTTGGGGCAGCTCCCTGTTGGGGAGGCTCCCCACGGACAGGTGCACCCCAGAATAAGCCCATTGCAAACATGCTCCTACATCACAGGATGCCAAGGTCTCAGACATGCCCGAGAGCACCCCCTGCTTTGACAGATGGGGACAAGACTTGCCCAACACCTGGCAAGCTGGGTATAGACTGTGCCCAGCTAGGTCTCTGCCCCTGGGTATACACTGTGCCCAGGTAGGTCTCTGCCTCTGGGTGTAGACTGTGCCCAGCTAGGTCTCTGCCCCTGGGTGTAGACTCTGCCCAGCTAGGTCTCTGCCCCTGGGTGCAGACTCTGCCCAGCTAGGTCTCTGCCCCTGAGTGCAGACTCTGCCCAGCTAGGTCTCTGCCCCTCGGGCTATTTGGGAGCCAGCGCTGCCTAGAGAGCCATAAATCACACAGGAGCAGAGAGAGGCCACATCCACTCCGCTCAGGATGCACACAGCATCTATGCATCTGCCCTTTGCCTGCAGTAGAAACTTTCAGCCAATTTTAAAATACGGGGAAAGAGAACCTTCCAGTTCTCTGCCTTTGTCCTCCTCCCACACAGCCCTGAGGGCAACCCCCATGCCCTGGACAGCACTGAGCAGAACTACTGTTTACAAAGGGAAGTCAGGGACACCCCACGCCCGCCCGCACGCTTCCTCCTGGACCGAGGGACACCTACTCTGCTACTCATTTTGTTTTTTCACCTCTTATGTAAGCTAGGCTAGGAGCAAAAATAGCTGCCAGACTTTTGAAAACAAACCATGTACATTTGTGTTCCATGTTTTTGTAACCAAAATTAATCTGCCCTTGCCCTGAAGCCCGGGTCCTTTATCTTGTCCTCCCACATGGCAGGATGCGCTCTCCCTTCGGTGATGCACACCAATGTGCTTTACGGGTTAGACGGGGCAGCCTGTCTGGGCGGACCTGGCCACCAGTGTCTCCCACTGTACCTGCAAGTGCTGCACCAATTCGAGCTGGCACGAATGCAATAACCTCTCTGCTCTCCTGCCCATCTCACCTAACAGCCCTGTCTCCAATCCCAAGGAGTCGAAAAACTCATGATTCCTCCCCTTCCCTCCTCCCGAGACTGCAAGCCTTGTAACTGCAGAGCAAAGAGTGGTGTGATTACCAAGTGCCTTGTGTGTGCCAGGCTCTGTGTACAAGCAGTCAAGTAAGACAGTCCCACCTGCTGGGGCTCAAGGTCCACACAGAAAGCCTCTGGCCACACTCCACCCACAGACCGGCCCTTGGCTCTGCAAACCCTGCCTTTCCGGAGGGAATCCACGAGTGAAGAGCCTCGGGCGGGGGTCGGGGGTGCGGAAAGAAGCACTCTCTTCATCTGCAACCATATTCCTCCAGCTTGGGAGGAATCCAAGAAGTATAAAGAGAGAGACACACGCAGATGTGTTCATATTTCCATTTGGATGACAGCCACTGACGTATGTGCATCTCTTTTGGCTGTACTATAGGAATACATTAAGTAATTCAATGGAACCTTCTTGCTAATATTTTAATGGTATAGATCTGCTAATGAATTCTCTTCGAAACATATACTTACTGTACCCTGTTGCTTTATGCCTTATTTTAAACCGAGCCTTAAGGGAATATAGTATTTTAACATTAACTCTGCCAACAACTTTATCTAGCAGCCTGTTACCATTTTCGTCGTCTGTGAAATTTATGTCCAAAGAAAGGCAGGATTACATTTTTTCCTAACAGATTGAGTTGGTGTAGTGTGTTCTTGGTTATCAAAATACTCATACAGCTTTGGGATTTCGAATTGGTAAATATTCATGATGTGTGAAAAAGCATGACATATACTGCATGCTCTCAACCATGTAAAACGATGCTGTGTGCACACACAGGACACGGAAGGACACGGCAAACTGTAAACTGCTTGCGATTCTGGAGGACTTTGTTCTTCGCTTGCCTTTTTCAGTTTCCTATAACGCACATATTAGTTTTTTAAAAGTAAAGGTTATTTTTTTAAGGGGGGCAAGATGGCCTGGGAGAGGGCCTGTAAAATGCAGATTTCTAGGGCCTGCCCTTACTCCCTAGGGTCTAGGGTGGGGCCCAGGAATCTGCATTTTAAACACAAACCCTCAGCTGATCCTGATATAGGTAGACACAGACCGCATCTTGAGAAACTGAGAAATGAAGGGCTGAGACTTATGAGAAGCTGCTTCACAGCTTTAAACTGATCAGTATTTTTAACTGTTTCACAATGGATGTGGTTGACCAGGTGTGCACTGAGGCAAAGTGCCTGTTTTCCCGCTGACCTTTTACTTGGAATACCTCTTCTAACACTAACATTTTATCGTAAAAAATATAAAATTTCCTGAAAGGTCGAAATAATTGTATCACACACACCCATACACATACCACCTAGATGCTACAATGAGAATTTTTGCTGTATGTGCTTTATCACATATCCATCAATCTATCCATCTCTCTAACCACTTCATTTTTATTTTCTGCATAAACATACCTCGTACTTGGGTCTTTTCTAATCTAAGGTTTTACCACCTGCGGGTCAACCTCAATTCACGGATGCATTTCTTTTTGAGAGAGGGTCTCACTCTGTCGCCCAGACTGGAGTGCAGTGGCACGATCTCGGCTCACCACAACCTCAGCCTCCTCCAAGGCTCAAGCAATCCTCCCACTTCAGACTCCCGAGAGTTGGGACCACAGCTGCCTGCCACCAGAGCCGGCTAGTATTTCTGGCATTTCCTTGTAGAGATGGGGTTTCACCATGTTGCCCAGGCTGGTCTTGAACTCCTGGGCTCAAGAGATCTGCCTGCCTTGTCCTCCCAAAGTGTTGAGATTATAGGCATGGGCCACCACGCCTGGGCCACAGAGGTGTCTCTTCATGGTGCTGTCTGCTTTTAATTGCATAGGAACTGTTCTTAAGGAATCTCAGGGCAAATTCCCTGGAAATATGCATCGCCACACCCTGAAAAACCTGGATTTTCATATAAACCTGGGCACACACTTATTTATTAAAAGCAAACACGGGCCCATCGAAGTCACCTGTGCATCAAGGTAACGCCGGGCCTTGACATGAAGCCCACTCAGCACTGGAGGGAGTGACTGGCCCAGGCATCTGCCACCGGGGGCAAGGGTTCACCTCAACCCCAGCAGGGCTCAGATGGTACCTGGCTCCCATCTCAAAGCAGCTCAGCTCCAGGCCTCTGAGCTGCATTCTAAGTTAAGTCCAACACACACCTGAGTGCTCAGGTGGGAGGCCCGCCCCAAGAGCCCTGTGCTCCCATACTCGGCTTCTGCAGGTATCTGAGAAGGTGGGGTCTCCAATGCAGCAGAGCAGCCACCAGCTCTGCAAATGCAGCACTGTCCAAAGCCAGCTCCAGATTCACTCAGCAAGCGTCTCTCCAACACCTCCCAGGGGCCAGAACTGCTCTACATGCTGAGAACATGCCCATGAAGACACAAACCAAACTCCTGGGCCAGGGTTCCTCATCCGGTGGGACTCAGGAAAGCAGTGGTAGAAAGCAGGGCTCGTGCATCAGGCAGACTTGGGGCCACGTAGCCTGAGTGCTTAAATGTTCTGAAACACCCCACGCCACCCGCCTCGTGAAAATGCTTGATGGGCACGATGCACGCTGCACACCTTCCATGGCTGGGCCCTGAGAGCCCCTCCAGCCTCACCTCTCACCGTCCACCCAGACACACCAGGACCTTGTGGCCCTGACCTCAGGTGTCTCTCCTGCACGCTGCTTTCTCGGGCTTCCAGGCCTTTGCTCCTGCCTCTGCCTGGCTCTCCCTGCTTGGTTAACTCCTAGCTATTTCAGGCCTCACTTTCAACAGCACCCCCACCCCCTGGCCCCAGCCATGTTTGGGTGAGGCGCCCTCCTCTGTGACCCCCAGCACAGCACTGATGGTGTTGCATCCTAACCATGTGCTGCCTGCCTGCTTCCCTCCCCAGAGGCTAAGCCCTGTGGGTCCAGCTGTCTCTTCCATGACTATATCCATGCTGCTCAATTAATGTCACCGCATGAAGAAGGCAAAGTCACTCACAATCGGAAAGGTTTCAAGTCTGGAAGAGGGACAAGGGAGGGAATCCCAAATTGTTCTAAGCATCCTATGAGGACTGAAGACGGTTTGCTAGGCTGTTGTAACTATTCCAATCTGAGAACAGGTGTCCTCCACCATTTATCTAATTCCTGACACTATGGGCATCCGAAGGGAGTACAGCTCACTCCTCTCAGCAGTGGCCTGGACTTAATCAACCATGCCCAATTCATCACCTGCGTTGGCGGCTCAGTGTCTGCAAACCCACGTTTGTCTCACTACCTATCCCTGAGTAAATGTCTCATGCAGAGAGACACTATTTCTCTTTCTCTTGTGATTAATAAAGTGAATACGAAATCTAAGGCATTATAAATCTCATGGTAATTTTCCACTATGAAAGTCATTAATGTGAAAAATACTTGTCACTTCACAGAGGCATGACACTGGAGATGATGGAAACCTCTCTAAAACTCCAAGAACTCCCTGATGCAGAGGGCACAGCTTGTGTGTTTCTAGATCCTCTGCTCCTGGTGCAGCGCTCAGTTACCATGCAGGCGGGTGCTGGGCAGACGCGTCTATGTGACTGAGCGAGGATGCTCCCACAAGGTCAGGAACGAACACGGAGACGGGATCCCCAAACCCACCCTCCTCCACAAATCAGGGTGCAGGGTGAGATGTGGGAGTCACGTTCCATCCATGACCCCACTCTGGGGCTGCATGAGGTCCCCTATGTGCAGGAGGAGCTGCTGAGGTGGTTTGTGCATGACAGTCCCCAGCCCTCCCACCCGGGGCATTTCCAGTAAGCAATGCAGCCGTCAGAAGCTGCCCATGTTCTGGAACCCATCTGTGCCAGAGATTCGTGCCTCTCATAACCCAGAGAGCCAGTGGCCCATCTCCAGGACAAAGCTGAGAAACGGTCTACCCTCCCCACCCCTCGCCCAGGCATGGGCTGGCTTTGCACAGCCTTCAGGATGCTCCTCAGCAGGAGGTAAGGAGCCTTAGCATGCAAAGACACTCCCTGAGTGGGTCTGAGGAACAGACAGGTCCTCGCCACAGCCTCACCAACCCACCTCACCCAGTCCCAGAGCTTCCAGAGCCTCCAGGGCCCGGCTGCAGCACAGAACACGTAGAGATCCTGGGCTCACAGCCTTCCCCGGCAAGCCCGACAGCTCCACGGCAGGGAGAGGGCAATACGGTGCTCTGCCTTCGGTGGCCTAAGAGGCCTTCTGGCTGGTAGGAGAGACGTTGGGATTATTTCTTAGCCTTGAACAAGTCCACTCAATGTGTGCCAGTATTCTGATTTCACTCAGCTCACGTTTTCTAACCACTTCCAGCCCCCCTTGGAATAGGCAATGGGAAAAATTCCTAAATCCTCAGAAAAGAGGGTCCCGGAAGCTGCTACTGACATGAGGTTGTCAGGGTGAGTGGTCAAAGCATCAGAGACCTCACCTGGGTCTGGGTCTCCATGTAGCCTTGACCCTTTCACCTACATTTTTCCCAGAACCTTGATAAGATTTAAAATAAAGATAGAGTAGCCTCCACTAGCTGATGGCTATGGGGCTTGCCCAACACCAGTTACATCTTTGAAACCTCATAGAGCCATAACAATAATTCCTATTTTATTTTTAGGGACAGGGTTCCTCTCTGCCACCTAGGCTGGAGTGCAGCAGTGCAATCATAGCTCAATGCATTGCAGCCTTGACATCCCAGGTTCAAGCAATCCTCCTGCCTCAGCCTCCTGAGTAGCTGGGACTGCAGGCACGTGGCACTATGCCTGGCTAAATTTTTTTATTTTTTGTAGAGACAGAGTCTTGCTATGTTGCCCAGGCTGATCTCAAACTCCTGGCCTCAAGCGATCCTCCCACCTTGGTCTCCCAAAGTGCTGGGAATATAGGCGTGAGCCGCTGCACCCGGTTGCCCGTTATTCCCACAGATGAGGAAATAGTCCTAGCAAATTAGCCACAGAAATTGCAAGAAGTCTTTTAAAAGACGCACACGGATAGAAGGTGATCATAATGCCATGAGGTGGGGGCAGGAGAAACCCTGAATCACTGCCTTACATCAATCAATTACACTCCTTACCCTCCCCTGCTGACTGGGAGATGAAGAGGAGCAAGACGGGGGCCCTGGGAAGCCCAGGCAGGCTGAGGTGCCGGGGAAGCATCTGCTGAAACAGCTGTGGCTCCGCTCCTCCAAGCCCCCAAGGACAGGTCAGTCTGAATGTGCTTCTCAGGAATTTCCAGCAGCCCCATCCAGGGGCCTCACAGCAAGGCTCCCTACCTCCATGCGGGCCTTGTAGAAGTCCACGTCGTGCAGCTTCTCCTTGCAGCGGGTCAGCTCCAGCTCCAGCCTCTCCACGCGGTTCGCCTTCTCCCGCAGGGAATCCAGCTCGTCTCGATAGGCACGAGCAGACCGGGCGTCTGCCGCTAGCTGGATGTTCTGCAAGGTGGACAAAGGCAGGAGAACCTAGCTTAGGGCATCCTCTAGGAAGGGCAGAAAGGCCATTGCCCTTCTGCATGGTGTCTCCACGACGGCCCAGGACAAGCCAGCTCCTGGTGGCCGGGGGCCTCCATGTGCCACCACCACACGGGATCTCCACCTGCTGTCACTAAGAAACAGGGTCATCCCCATAGCCGTGCTCAGGACAAGTGGCTCTTGTGTGGCTTAAAAGCGCTGCTGTTGAGCTCCTGACCCTCCAGGCCCCGTTACTGGACACTCCAGCCCTGCTACCCCCAGGACACACAGGCTCAGGCCCCCGACTCACCTCCTGCTTAACTTTCTGCAGTTCCAGCACCAGCTGGTCCACCTCATGTCTGGTGTCCACAAGCTGCTCTGTCTTATCCTCCCTGCAGAGGCAGTAAGGAGAAAGAGTGTGGGAGGCAGCTTCCTCAACAAGCAGCCCTGGGAGCAGGCTGCCACTTCCTAAAACCTGTGGGAAAAGGAAAGGACTCGGGATTTGGGCGGTGGGGAGGCGATCTGCTTATGGGGCCTGCAAAAATGTTACTGACTCAAAATTCTTTTCTTTTCATAAGTTTGCAACACCGGCCCTTAAACTATGTCCATCCGCCACTCAGGTCTCCCTCCCTGTGTGTGGGGCAGGTAAGGAGACCCCAGCGGCAGCTGTACCACCCCACAGCCAGGCTCCACAGGTGACATCCATCAGCTGCAGGAAACCTGGGAGAACAGGCTCACCAGATTGGAGGGAAGGAGGGGCACCTCATCCCTCCAGCCAAGAAAACACATCAGGTGTGGTCGTCCCGGCCCCAAGCTGGAGCTGAGCGTGGACTGGAGGCTGCTTCTGTGGACAACTTGCACCGTCTGGACGGGAGGAAACCCTGAAGACCGGGAAGAATCCCCGCCCCCATCCCTGTGCAGGCCTCAGAAGGGGAGGCAGCTAGTCCGAGGTCAAAGAGTAAGCTCAGGGCAGACCCCAGCTGACTCCGGGGCACACGTCAGAGCTGTGCCATTGGCAGCACCACACATGTGAGTCGACACCACACCAGAAACATGTCTGCAACACACACAAAGGTAGGAGAAGCAGCCGGGGACTCACAGCTCCTGCCTGACGCGCCGCAGCCTGGCCTTGGTGTCGGCCAGCTCTACGGCCAGGTGCTGCTTGTCTTCGCTAGAGAGGCTGCTGGTGGGGCTGGGAGTGGAGTCGGCGCTGGAGGACTTGATGGGGCTGGGTGGATGCTGTGCCTGCAGGTAGTCCCGTTCCTGAGTGAGGTCCACGATCAGCTGCAGCCGGGCAGAGAGGGGGATGGAGGAGAACAAACGGGGTTAACCAGCACAACGCCTGAGCTTGAACAGGGTGAAGAAACCGCCAAAAGACAGATATTTCAGCGGAGACTAAGAAACGAGGAGGAAGGTGGGAAAAGGCTGGCATGGGTTTTGAAAAGAGGTGAAATATTTAGTGAAACAAAAGGGAGTGTACGAAGGAGGAGGGCCCCAAGCTCCGCGTCCTGATTCCCTGTATCCTCCCACAGGCCCGAGGTGACCATGCACTGCAGGGGCCGTAACCAGGGAAAGCACGCACGTCCCACCCCCACCAGAACCTCAGCAGCAGGACCGAGGCGTCTAGGCTGAAGATGAAGGGAGAGGAGATGAAGGGGCCTAAGCCCCTTCCCAGGCTGACCGGGCCACCGACCCGCGGACGCACCTCGGTGCACTCGTCCCGCTGGTCGATGAGCCTCCGCAGGTGGAGCACCATGCTCCTCGACAGGGCCTCCAGCTCCTCCGGAGCCACGTCGGGCAGCTCCAGCCACTGCAGGTCAAACACGTTCTCTTGGTTGTGAGTCACCTGTGGGCACACATGGCAGGGCACTGCAGGGGCGGCAGAGACGGGCGCCCACTTCCCTCACACTGCAAACAGCATCCCCTTCCAATCAACCTTACTAATCCCTCAGTGACAAATTTACGGTGGCCAGCAAAAGGGTGCCCTACGCAAGTGTGGCCAAACCCTTCAGCAGAGCCCTGTTCATACGAACCACTTCTGCTTTCAGAACTGGGTCAGAGAGGATGCTGATTTTCAAAGGGGACCAGAAAGCACGCCTCACAATTATTTCCCTATAGGGTCCTGGGATAAGATATCTTCATTGGAGCTACATCAATGTAGAACACAAAGAAGGAAAGCTTCAGGGTGAGAGGGTGAGGAAAGGGACTGTATGTTACTTCTTAAAATCTATGCAAACAGCAAAAATATTAATCTTATGTCAGAATGTTGTGTACAAAGCAATCTTGGGTTGTTTTCTGGATCTATTCATAAACAGTTTTCAGGGAAGGGTGCATCTCATTCCCACGGGCCACAGAAGACAGCCTCTTTGTGCCCCTTTCACTGGCCAGGGAACGGAGATACACAGCTCTGTCTACGTGAAACAGCCTCTCGACGCACACCCCCGGATCTGCCACAGGAGACAGGATCCATTTCGAGCTCTTCTCCTCTCAATTTTGGAAGAAAGATACCATAGTGCTCAGGCCTCAAAAGAGGAAAACAAAAACAATGAAATCAGGGGTATCTACTCTGAAACACACCCAAAGAAGTCTTTATTCAATCAACAGAGATAGAGAAAACAAAAAAACTCAGCTTGAGCAACCTAGTAAGACCCCATCTCTACAAAAAATTTAAAAATTAGCCGGGCGAGGTGGCATGCACCTGTGGTCCCAGCTACTTGGGAGGCTGGGGCAGGAGGACCACTTGAGGCCAGGAGTTTGAGGTTGCAGTGAGCTATGATCACACCACTTGTACTCCAGCCTGGGTGACAGGCTGTCTCTAAAAAAAAGAGACCCTGTCTCTAAAAAAAGACAAACCCATAAAATAAAAAGCAGACAGAACCCTGTCAACAAAGGCCCTTCAATTTCTCAAAATTTGAAGAGACACCACCTTCTTACCTCTCCCCACCTTAAAAGGCCGAGTTTGGATACAGGTGATCTGAGAATTAGGAGAAATCTTATCCCATGATTCAGAGCACCCTAAGGGCACAGGATTGAGAGGCCGGTTCTAGGCCTGGTCCAGACCCAATGCTGGGGAAACTCCTTGGACATCTCGGGGCCTCTGTAAAGGGTGGTGTGGCTGGGCTTCAGGGGCTCAGCCTGGCTGCACCACAGCCACTTGCTGAGCTTTTATTGAAATGCTTATGCCCCCTCCTCCCCCTGAGTCTGACTCAGTGGGTCTCTCATGGGGCCCAGCACCCAAATTTTAAAAAAGCACCCAGGGAATTCTGAAGCCCAGGCCCAATGGCCCCAGCCAGCTGTGGAAGCTGGTAGGCCCAGCTACAGCTTCTCCCCAATATCAACCCAGGGAGTCCTGTGCTCAGCTGCCTCTGCCAATCACACACCAGCTCCTGTGCATGCAAATCTTCATGTATTTATCTCATCTGTCCAATGACACTGACTGCTGAACCCAAATCCCCTAAGGTAATTAAAGCACACAATGCTTATTTTGGAAGGAGTGTGGAAGTGGAGGTCAGGAAAGTAAATTTCCACCTGGATACCGCCCCCTAGGGTGGGCGGCCTCCTTAGCTGATACCACCTTTGCCAACATCAATGGCAAAGGGCCGGGAAGGTCAGGCCTCAAAGGCCAGGGGCTCCTCCTCCTCCACTCCGCTGACGCTCAGTGCAGAGCCCTCCCGGCCCCTCGCTGGGGGGCCTGAGTTGGGGCTGGGCCAAGTCTCCCAAGGCGGTCTTTCTGGGACTCGCTGGTTTTGATTCCCAAGTGGTGTCAGCTTGTCTCTGCCATGTCACTGACAGAAGCAGAGAATCTCTCTATTCTATAAAGATCAACTGTTCAAAGCAGGGTGACATTTGCCAGAATACATTTTCAGGGCCTGTAAATCAAACTCTGGGCCTCAACCAGTTGACAGCTCTTAAAAATAGTCTGAGTCCATATAAGGCAAAAAGAAGGAGACAAAAGATGACTTGATTGAGGTGTTTTTTTTTTTTAATTTTTATTTTTACCCTCATTTTATTTTAGCTGGCTGATTGATGGCTATCTTTCCAAATAGAATCAATGTGTCTGTGGTGTCTGAAACCTAAGATTAGCAAAATCGTAATGGGTGATGTATTCTTCAAACGTTTCCACTCATAGAGAAGTTTTGCCTCCCGGCCACCACAGGAGCAGCAGTCCACAGCTGAGCCCACCACGAGGCCACGCACCTACCTCCTGGATATGGGCCACGATGCCAGCCTGGGTCTCAATGTCCAGCTGTTTGATTCTTTCAATGAACTCCTCTTTCCTCTCACACTGCGGAGGGTTACATGTGTTAATGGAAGCGCTGTTCAAGTGAGGGTGAAGCTGAGTCCACCACAGCCACAGAATGACAGTTTCAAAAGGAACCACCCACCCCGGGCTTCTCCTTCATAACTAAGAACGCTCTTGTCCTCCTACCAGCCTTACACTGATGTGTCTCTAGTGGTTGCCAGGACCACTTACATCAGAATCACCTGGGGAGCTTGTTCTTAAAACTCCCATCCGTAAGCCCCCACCCAGATTGAAAAGACCAGGGTGGAACACAGAACGCTTCATTTTAAACAAGCTCTCCCGGTGATTCTTAAGTACAGAAAGACGGGGGACACCTGGTTTAGGCCAGGGTGGGGCAAACTTCATGTGTAAAAAGCCAGATGGTAAATATTTTAGACTCTGTGGGCCATTTGGCCTCTGTCACAACTACTCAGCTCTGTCGCTGTAGTGGCAAACCAGCCACAGACAATATGTAAAGGTGGGCATGAGGCTGTGTTCCAATAAAACTTTATTTGAGAGAGGGTCTCGCTGTCACCCAGGCTGGAGTGCAGTGGCATGATCATGGCTCACTGCAGCCTCAAACTCCTGCACTCAAGTGATCCTCTCGCCTCAGCCTCCCGAGTAGCCGGGACTACAGGCATGCGCCACCACACCCAGCTAATGTTTTCTATTTTTTGTAAAGATGAGGTCTCACTATGTTGCCAAGGCTGGTCTTGAACTCCCGACCTCAAGCGATCCTCCCCCACCTCAGCCTCCCAAAGTGCTGAGATTACAGGCATGAGCCACTGCACTCGGCCCAATAAAACTTTATTTACAAATACAGGCAGCAAGTCAGATCTGGCCCACAAGCTGTAGTTTGCAGATCCTTGTTCTAGTGATTCCTACGCTGGGGACGATTTGCTAATGGTACCCTGGCCTGAGGGATCCCCATCTCGCCTCCTGCCCAAGGTGCCCTGGTACTAGAAACAGCTGCCACGTAAAACAATGGCCACTCTCTTCCAGGAACCCAGCGGCCTTCTGTCATATTGGACTGAAAGGAGCATCCTCCCACCTAAGCTAAGGGCTCGGTCAAGTCCCGCAAACCCAATATGAGATGGCTGGGGTAGGTCCCTCTGCTGCAGCCCTGCCCAATCCCTACCTGGACAGCACAGCCCAGCACCAGCAGCAGCACCTTCTTGATTTCCTCCATGCTCTTCCCTAGATCAAGAGAGCAACACATTTAACTCAGCTCAACTGCTGATATAATTTCAGTGACATGTTTACCGTAGGGAAAAAACAGATAAAAAAAAATCATCTCTCTACTCTGTGACATTCACTTAGGTATACACACTCCATCGATCTTCCATGTGTGGCTTTATTTACTTTTTATTTTATTTTGAGACAGGGTCTCACTCTGTCACCCAGGCTGGAGTGCAGTGGCAGGCCCACAGCTCATTGCAGCCTTGACCTCCCAAGGCTCAAGCGATCCTCTCACCTCAGCCTCCCTAGTAGCTGGGACTACAGACACATACCACCATGCCCAGCTAATTTTTGTATTTGTTGAAGAGATGGGTTTTTGCCATGTTGCCTAGGCTGGTCTCAAACTCCTGGACTCAAGTGATCCGCCCACCTCAGCCTCCCAGGTTGCAGGAATTACAGGTGTGAGCCACCATACCCAGCCTTATTTACTTTTTAAACCAAATGAGAATTCTGTACATAACTATTTGAAGCCCCTTCCATTCAAATATGTCGTAAGTATCTCCCCATGATAATTAACAAACCATAACATCAGCATCCCTTTTTAGCGCGTAAGCAAAGTACACAATGGGAGAGAACAACTCCCACAGGAAATACTGAGTCAACGCTAAAATAAGGCTGTATACAACCTTCCCCTTTTTATTATGCAAAATTCCAAACAGACACGGGAGGACAGTATAATGAACCTCCACAATACACTCAGCCTCACATTATCAACATTCTGCACCTCTCACTCTACCTGCCTCCTCCTTCCCCCTTTTAAGTTTGTTTGGCTGGAGTATTCTAAAGTAAATTCTATAAGATAACATAAAGCCATCCTTTTTTTTTTTTTTGAGATGGAGTCTCGCTCTGTCGCCCAGGCTTGAGTGCAGTGGTGCAATCTCGGCTCACTGCAAGCTCTGCCTCCTGGGTTCATGCCATTCTCCTGCCTCAGCCTCCCGAGTAGCTGGGACTACAGGCGGCCACCACCGCGCCCAGCTAATTTTTTGTATTTTTAGTAGAGATGGGGTTTCACCGTGGTCTCAATCTCCTGACCTCGTGATCCGCCCACCTCAGCCTCCCAAAGTGCTGGGATTACAGGCTTGAGCCACCGCGCCCGGCCCCTTTTTTTTTTTTCTGATACAGGTTCCCACTCTATTGCCCAGGTTGGGGTATAGTGGTGCAATCATAGCTCGCTGCAGCTTCCACCTCCTGGGTTCAAGTGATCCTTCCACCTCAGCCTCCCGAGTAGCTAGACTACAGGTGCGCATCACCACACCTGGCTAACTTTTGTATTTTTTGTAGACAGGGTCTCATAATATTGCCCAGGTTGGTCTTGAACTCCTGGGCTCAAGCGATCCTCCTGCCTCAGCCTTCCAAAGTGTTGGGATCACACGTGTGAGCCACTGCACCTTTTTGATGGTTGCATACTTACTTTGTAAATCAAGGCCAGTAACTTATTTAACCAATACCCCTTCCAGAGGTTCAATTTATATATATATATATATATATATATTTTTTTTTTTTTTTTTTTTGAGACAGAGTCTCACTCTGTCACCCAGGCTGGAGTGCAGTGGCACAATTTTGGCTCACTTCCACCTCTGTCTCCTGGGTTCAAGCGATTCTCCTGCCTCAGCCTCCCAAGGAGCTGGGATTACAGGCGCTCGCCACCACGCTCTGCTATTTTTGAATTTTTAGTAGAGACGGGGGTTTCACCATGTTGGCCTGGCTGGTCTTGAACTCCTGACCTCGTGATCTGCTCGCCTCGGCCTCCCAAAGTGCTGGGATTACAGACGTGAGCAGCCGTGCCCGGCCTTAAAATATTTCAATCTAAACAATGTTATAAAGAATATCATGGTAGCTAATTCTTTATGCATTCCCTTTTTAAGCTTTTCATATTGACAAACTGCCCTGCAGACAGGCTCTGCCATTTCACCCTGGGAAATGTGTGGTGATTCCCATTTTCCTACCCTTGATCAACATTTACCTCACCACTTTCCCAACTTTGTCAATCAGGCCAAAAATCCTGTTTCGTCATTCTGAGCTGTGTCTCTTTGATTGTGCTTGGGGCTGAATGCATCTTCACCTGTTTATCTATCTCAAACACTTAAACAGCAGCAGAACACCTGCGCCTAGACGATGGGCTTGGTCACCCAGGAACTGTGTGTCCCAGACAAGCCATACTCTGTCTCCAAGCCTCAGTTTCCACATCTATAAAATGGCCTGGGTAATGTGCAGGGTTCCCTTTCAGGTTCAAAAAAAAAAAAATCTATGTGTTCTTTTTCGTTATATCCTATTGTATTGAGGAAGAAAGGACATGCCAGAAATAGCTTTCTTCTCTTAAAAGACTTAACCAACTCACACACTGGGCTACAGTGTCCCAAAGTGTCAAAGACTGCCGGGATGAAAAAACCAAACCGCCGTCCTGAGAACCAATGCTGCGGTTCATTTCAGATCCCTGGGTATAAGTAGTGAATGAATATGCGACCTCCTCCTAAGACCCCTCAACTGAGAAATAGCTAAAATTGGCTTTCCTTGAGATAATGACATCATTGTCAAGCCTCAGAACTGGGAACTGGGGGTTCACTGAACCAGAAACACACCCCGCCCCCCAGCCTGAAGGCAGGGCAGGGAGAGACTGGTGGGTTGGACCACAGGGTCTAAGGCCACTTTCCTGCTCTGGAGGACACACCTGAGAATAAGGCTCAGCGTTGCAAAGCAATCTTCTAAGGTTAAATCCTTCTCCTGCTAGTAAGTGTAGAAATTCATCAATATTTGAAATGGAAAAATTCTCAAAATCTTAGGATTTTTTTTTTTTACTTGAGATCTTTTATTTGGCCCAAGATACTCTAATCCATAGAATAAATATCACCACAGTGACTCACTTCCCTATTAACGTGGAGCTATTCATCAGCCACTTAATTTTAGTTTCGATAAAGAGAAAAGGGGCTGGGCACAGTGGCTCATGCCTGTAATCCTAGCACTTTGGGAGGCCAAGGTGGGAGGTGAGGTCAGGAGTTCGAAACCAGCCTGGCCAACATGGTGAAACCTCGACTCTACCAAAGGTACAAAAATTAGCTGGGCGTGGTGGCACGCGTCTGTAATCCCAGCTGCTTGGGAGGTTGAGGCAGGAGAATCACTTGAACCCAGGAGGCGGAGGTTGCAGTGAGCTGAAATTGCTCCACTGCACTCCAGCCTTGGCGACAAAGGAAGACTCTGTCTCAAAAAAAGAGAGAGAAAAGGGAATGCCCACATGAGTGTTAACAAAGCCTCCAATCAGTCTTTCTGACAGTGCTTGCCGGCTCAGCCCAAGTCACCCACCTCCCCCTTTCCCTTTTGTCGGCCCACAGATCACTGGCAAGTGCTCATCACATGCCCATGCTGGATATAAGAGGCACAGACCCTTCCCAGCCGTCACTGGCTTGTCTTCCTACAATGAGACTCACTTTTTGAAAGGCCACTCACCTGGTACTGTACCCACCACAGGAGCTGAAACACTAAGAAAGCACTTAAGGGCCTGAGATCAGCCCAAACAGAAGTCAGGGTTTGCACAGAAAATCTTTATGTACTCTATTCGCAGCAAAGTCCCCAAATAAACTAATTACATCACACTGTAGAATCATTTGGACAACTCTGGTGATCCATTTCCCCAGCCCAAAGCACATTACAACAGCAAATTAAAAGGGAGGAAAGTGCTAGAGAGGCTCACTGATGGTGTTCTGAGAGCAAGGAAGAGACCAGAAACCTTGCACACACACTAGAGGGCTCAAAACTACACTCTGAGGCCGGGTGAACTCAAACAAATTTACAAGAAAAAAACAAACAACCCCATCAAAAAGTGGGTGAAGGACATGAACAGACACTTCTCAAAAGAAGACATTTATGCAGCCAAAAAACACATGAAAAAATGCTCACCATCACTGGCCATCAGAGAAATGCAAATCAAAACCACAATGAGATACCATCTCACACCAGTTAGAATGGCGATCATTAAAAAGTCAGGAAACAACAGGTGCTGGAGAGGATGTGGAGAAACAGGAACACTTTTACACTGTTGGTGGGACTGTAAACCAGTTCAACCCTTGTGGAAGTCAGTGTGGCGATTCCTCAGGGATCTAGAACTAGAAATACCATTTGACCCAGCCATCCCATTACTGGGTATATACCCAAAGGATTATAAATCATGCTGCTATAAAGACACATGCACACGTACGTTTATAGTGGCACTATTCACAATAGCAAAGACTTGGAACCAACCTAAATGTCCAACAACCATAGACTGGATAAAGAAAATGTGGCACATATACACCATGGAATACTATGCAGCCATAAAAAATGGTGAGTTTTTGAGATGGAGTCTCGCTCTGTCACCCAGGCTAGAGTGCAGTGGTGCAAGCTCAGCTCACTGCAACCTCTGCCTCCTGGGTTCAAGCGATTCTCCTGCCTCAGCCTCCCGAGTAGCTGGGATTACAGGCGCACACCACCATGCCCAGCCAATTTTTGTATTTTCATTAGAGATGGGGTTTCACCATGTTGGCCAGGCTTGTCTCAAACTCCTGACCTCAAGTGATCTGCTTGCCTTGGCCTCCCAAAGTGCTGGGATTACAGGTGTGAGCCACTGCGCCCAGCCAAGACCCTATCTCTATTAAAAAAAAAAAAAAAAAAAAATTAGCCTGGCCTGGTGGTGCACTATTTGGGAGGCTGAGGTAGGAGGATCGCCTGAGCCTGGGAGGGTGAAGCTGCAGTGAGCTTTGATTGTGCCACTGCACTGTAGCC
Organism: Homo sapiens; assembly: GCF_000001405.40. Lineage (NCBI taxonomy): Eukaryota > Metazoa > Chordata > Mammalia > Primates > Hominidae > Homo > Homo sapiens. The sequence continues at coordinate 91,348,452 of NC_000014.9, forward strand.
TGGGCGACAGAGCAAGACCCTGTCTCCAAAACAAACAAATAAACAAAAAACACCACAAAAACAAACAACACTCCGAGGCTGTTTGGTGACAGAGCAAACGGTTCTACTCTCTCAGCACCCTGCAATCACACACAATGACAACCCTGAGTTCATTCATTCCCTCATTCATCCCAACACCCATTAGACATCAAGAAAACAATCTGACCCACAGCACAGGTTAGAAGAGTATGGATTCCTGTTTGCTAAGGTTTGTAACAGGAGGGAAAAAGGCTTTAAAGGTAGAGAATTAAGTTTAGAAAAATATTCATGAAAAAAATAAACTCTTTGGTGATGAACAGGTTACTAAGAAATTCACCTCTGCCCTCATTCAAATGAAGCAGAGTGATGCTTGCTCTCACCAGGCTGAGTGAATAGAAACATTTGCTTATTAACAAAAACATCCTGTGATCCCCACCCCTACAGATTCCTACAAAATTTTTTTTTAAAAAGCGCCCAGGGCGGGAAGCAGAAGTTTCCTCATTTCTCATGAGAAGCCGATGCCCAATTTCTTTCAGGATTTCAGTCATAAGAAAAACCGCTATTTCCATAAATCTACCAGATTGTGGGTTTTGAATAGTTTCAAAACACAGCAGAAGATTCCCTCCTGGGTCCTTGCCAGTAAGACTGGCTCAGTGACACAGTCAAGCAGGCCAAGATCAAACAAACCTACAGACAGCTCCCTGCCAAGTACCTACTATGTGCTGGGAGCCAAACCAGCAATCAGAAAGCTGATAAATGCTATGGGAACCCGGGAAAGGAACTTCTAATTTGCAGCAAGGCCCAGGGCAAGGACTCTAAAGGGAATAACCTTTGAGCTGAGTTCCACAGATAAGGAGGAGACAGACTTATCGGGTAGGCAAGTGTGGGCTTTCCAGGCCCAGGGAACAGCACATGCGAAGGCCAAGAGGTAAGAGAGCACGCTGCTTGTCAAAGTATAAGTGCTTTATGGTTACACTTACTCGAGCTGCTGTTCAGAGGGAGAAACGGGGGCAGGTTATAAAACGACGTGAATTTCTACACCAAAAAAGTCACAAGCAACCACTGCGGGCGGGGATCGAGAAACATCAGACCGGACACACTCCACACTTAACACAACTACACTCTGTTGAGAATAGGAGAACCCCTGGGGGAATCCCAGGACGGCCTGAGTCAATAGCTGAGTCTAAGAAAAACCTTACCTTACTACCTGCTTCCTGGAGTCTTGACACAAAGAAATTCACCCCAGCCTTTCTTAGCAGAAATGCAATGCAGGCAGGCCAACATAAGCTATATAGAAAGCTGCAGACGTTAACAGTCATAAGCTTCCAAAACAAAAGGGAAACTGCCTGATAGCACACGTTTCTAAGGGCAGAGGTGAGGATAGAAAAGTAGTTGCACAATTAAAATACACCATCCTCTAAAATGTGCATTATATCAAGGTTTGAAAATTCCCCGACTTGCTAACTCTGAGTCCATGGCAGACATGATTAGTCAATCACAGCACTTTCTGACTTAGGGTGGAACTAGGCCTCAGAATCCTTCTGAACACAGCCCTCCACAGACTACCAGTTAATGGAAGTTAACACATGGAACAAAACCTATCTTCCTTCCATGACTGGTACATAATGTGTATAGTCCTTTTTGACTCCACTCTGGTTCTTTAAGCTGTAGTCATGCACATGTTCAGAAGACACTTTTTTTTTTTTTTGGAGACAGAGTCTCACTCTGTCACCCAGGTTGGAGTGCAGTGGCACAATTTCGGCTCACTGCAAACTCCGCCTCCCGGGTTCAAGAGATTCTCCTGCCTCGGCCTCCCAAGTAGCTGGGACTACAGGCACCCACCACCACGCCTGGCTAATTTTTGTATTTTTTAGTAGAGACAGGGTTTCACCATGTTGGCCAGGCTGGTCTTGAGCTCCTGACCTCAAGTGATTCATCCGTCTTGGCCTCCCAAAGTGCCGGGATTACAGGTGTGAGCCACCATGCCCAGACAGAAGACACTTTCTGATTTCTGGATACAGGAACTAATTCTTGTTGTGTATAAACAATGACTGAGGTGTGAAGCTGGGGATTTAAGCAATGGCAGGCAAGCATCCCTTTCCCTTCCTGCCCCAAACTGCACACTCTCTGCCCTTGCTGGGGTCAAAGGCACAGTGATGTCTCTCCACAGACGAACAGGGGTCAGAGATAAAGCAGTGAAACTGATTCCTCTGTCTTGCTAACTCAGCTCCCCACAACCACAGAGGCCCAGGACCTGCAAATGACCAGCCAGGCTCAGGGTTTAACCCTCACAACCTGGAAGGACTGACCATATTCCATAGAGTAATTCTGCCCTTCCCTCCTACAGACCACCATTACTGCACCTTAATATACGGCATGCTACCATGTGACTTAATTCTAAAAGCAATCCCCCGAGGACGGCATGATGACTCCATCTCAGAAATAGAAGGATGCAGCTCAGAAAGGCTGAGTCACAGAACTAAGATCTGTCCCCGGGTCCACCACTACCTACCATCTCCTAACTTATTTATGTTTCCTTCCAAAGCAGGGAGCTATGTGGTTTCGCTTCTGATCCCGGTGGTCCCACGCAGGTTGTTTAACCAGCGTTTGCTGACTGAGTGAGGTTAACTGTTAGCATCAAGTACCTGGGTTAGAACCGCAAAGAGAGCAGTTTCAGTTTCTCTCTTCTACGGCACGTATGTGTGCTTACTTATTCTACATTCTCTTCTCTTCTGGCTTACATGCTGGTGTGAACCACTAACTGCTTTCCCTGGTTTTGTACTTAAAAACCAGTTATTTCATAAGGATGCTCACGAGGCTGTCACAGTGATTTGAAAACAGCAGTGCACTGAACACGACCCTGTTGTCTCTCCTCAGTACACGGGCACACCCCAACACTCACTCACATGGGCACGGCTCTGAGGGCCCTCCTGAGGGCTCAGCTTACAACGAGAAGAGCTGTTTATTATTATTTTAACAGTTGGGGTACTTCCTAGGCACTGCCGAGGAATACTCAAGGTGGAGAGTTCCCCGTGGGTGGGCACATGGGGATGCTCCATCATATGTGTCCCCACCCATGGGGAAGGAGGCAGGCACCTCTACGCACGGGCTCACATTCTGGGGAGCGGCCCCTGTGGAATCCTCATGTCACCACGTGCCCCCACCCCCCGGCATTAACATAACCAGGCACACATATTTATCAAACGTGGACTCTGGCAGGCGCTAAGCTGCATGCCTGTGTGGAATGGTGCAGGAGCCTCCCGGGGGCACTCTGACTAGTGGCCCTTTACTCTAGTGTCTCTCTGCTGCCCATGTCAAGTCAGTCCCACCCCCACAGATACCCCAGCACCACCACGCACAACAGACGACAGCTACCCCCAGGTCATGTAGAACACTTTGAAATATCAGCCCCTCGGAGCACCCTCACCCCAAAAATGACCTCCTACCCCACCTGCCTGCCACGCCTGCAGAAGCTGAGAGCGAATTCATTTCCCAGCACCAAACAACTGAAGACCAGAAAAGCAGAATCAGCCACAAGCCTGCAGCTTGAGACTCAAGTTTGCCCTGGGAAGGGGCGAGGAGCTAGGGCAGGCAGGGGACGCTCTGGGAAAGGGTCCCTCCCAACCACCACGTGGAAAACTCAAACATAAAGACCTTTGACAAATAGCATCTCTTCCCTCCTCCGCAGACGGCGGTGGCCACAGAGAGTAGGGCTGCTGGAAGCCATGGTGTGGCTGTTGCAGCCAGCGGCGTTCTCTGTGTGCCTGGGCCATCGCTAGGAAGTTTACTAACAAAGTCTGGTCTCCAGGCAGATCCGCGGGTGCTTGGAGGCCGGCGTGTGGGCCGCACTGTGACGCTCGGCTGGGCTTGGTGTCAGCCAAACTCTGCACCTTCCTAGGAAAGGAAAGCCTCGGCTCCTGGCTTAAGTGCCCCAGCACCGCACGTGGACTGGAGCCCTCATTTCCGGATCCAACAAGCAGCACAGAAGCAAAGAAGCAGGATAGAAACGGGGTAGTTTAAAACAGCATTTGGTTGCTTTTCTGAACCTTCTCTCTCAAGGATGAAAGAGGAAATTTTAGAACAATCAAAATGCCTGCAAGATTAGCTTTTTCTTATTTCTTCCCTCCCATTCAAACGCCCAAAACGTTTTGCAAATATGAAAATTATATATATATACACACACACATATACACTTATACACAGGATTAGAGAATTATGGCCAGGAGAAATAAAATAAAAACAACAGGGGTAGGGGAAAAGAACACAAGAATGGCTCATGAAGCCTGAGTGGCCGACCCTCAGCCTCCACACCACACGGTGAGCAGGCATGGAGCCAGGGGCAGGACTGGGAGGGCCGCAGGGCCAGGAAGACAGGGCTTTTGATTTTTAAAAGCACCATCTCTGCAGCAGGAGGACTGTTCCTCACAAGCCGGACTCTGAGCCTGTGCCTGGGTTGCCAGGATGGAGGTCAGTAAGCCTGGGGCACACCCAGCCCTCACAAGTTCCCCGGGGCCCCCGAAGGAAGGCAGGGCTGTGCCGTGTGGGCTACGAGAGAGAGGTTTCCATGGGATCTGAAAAGCACTCCAAGGACACACTGGCAGGAGAGCAAATCAATACTGAGAGGGTTAAATATTAAATTCCAAGGAGTTTCAGGAGGTCTGTTTCCTCTGGCCCATGAATCCTAAACCTCAGCTGTCACAGAAGGCCTCCTCCTTGCCCCAGGCTTGCTGATCCTCATGAGACTTCCAGCAACTTGCACTCCCCTGAGCTCGTTCCACCTAGAACACCTTTCCTCGCTTTCTCTGTCCGTGGCTTGCCCAGATATTGCCTCCTCCAGGAAGCCTTCCTGGCCTGCCCAAGCAGAACTCATCAGCCCCCTTGCACTGGCTGTGAAGCACATTCTTGCACCATCTTCTGTCCTAGAATAAATGTCGCAGGACTCTGTCTTCCCTTCCTGCCTCAACCCAGACTGGGGGCTTCCTGAGCAGAGGCGGCCTGTTCATCTCACCAGCAGAGGGGAGCTAAAGGAGGGGCTTGGGCTGAGCTCCTTTTGTGAGCCTCTGGCTGAGGGGCAGCCAGCTAAGATGAGGAAGGATGAAAAGGTACTCCAGTCTTTTATTTGGGGAGGTCAGAAGTCGGGCCTTCTGGCTTCCTCAGCCGGTGCAGTAGATAGAGTTCTGCACTCAGCTGAGAAGGAAGGTCGGTCACAGCATTTTGTGCGCACAGAACCTTGTCTCTTCAGGGTGCTTCCTCTGCTGCTGGAATGCGCACCCTCTGTAACCATCATAAGAGAGAGAAAACATAGGACAGAGGGCCAGGCCGCTGAACGGCAATTAATGAAACCCCAAGGCTCTTCTCAAAGGTTCCAGGGGCATTCAGACAGGACCCTGTAGGGTGTGCATATGCAGTCGCAGCCCCTCCAGGGCTTCCAGGAATCCTGCTTGGCATTTAGAATGTAAGAAACATCAGGGCAGACCAGTGACAGTAACCCTCTTGCTTGGAACCAGTGGCTTACTGTCCACAAAAGTAACCATCTGTGCAATTTATGGTGTGAAATCTGTCTTGCGCCTATGGGGACCTCCATGCTGTGTGCCTCTGAATGAGCTCCTCCGCTCTCTGGGCTGGGCTTCTACACCTAAATGGCTCGTTCCCTTCCATTCTAAATGGCTTCGGTGGGATCGGCCATGTGTAAGTCTGGAAACCACTACTATACTTGGATACAAACCCTGGAAGAAAAAACAATGCTTTCTTCCAGTGCAACTGTCCTGTGATTCATCGCAGAAAGTAATTTGCTAACACCCTGGCTTCCCGTCAGACAAATCTAGTCTTTTCTTGTGCGTGTGGCACAGTGACAGGCCTGGCTGCTGAGCAAGATGCTGAGAAGCCAGAGCTGGAGGGACCCCGGAGCTGGTCTAGCTCCATCCAGCATCCTCCCTCACAGCACAGACGTGAGCTCTTGCTTCTCACAGGCTTCTTGTAGAAAACACTCACCAGTAACCGCGAAAGATATTTAATAGCTGTGCAGCTGGCAAGATGGTGAAGGCGGTTTTCAGGGAGTCATCTCAGGCCTAGGGGAGACAGACACGTGGTACTGGGCAGAGAATGAATCTCACTTGACCCTGACCACTGACAACTGGCCTTCTTATCTATGAGAGCAAGTGGGTAACACCTGTCAGGGGCCCCAGCTTGACGGGAGAGCAAAGTGGAGAGAGGAAGAGAGAAAGGTGGGCCCCCTGCATGGATGCTGTATTTACTGAGCACCTACTACATGCCAGACACTGATCTAGGCATTCGAACGCACTGACAACAACAACAAAAAACCCCAGGATTCCTGCTGTCATGAGAGCGTGCACCCTAACGGGGGAAAAGTATGCAATGCCACAGAGGGGAAAAAATAAGTGAACAGTATAGGCTATTCACAGGTGCCAAAAGATATGGAGAAGGGAAAGCAGAGCAGAACAAAGAAGACAGGGCGTGTGGCAGGAGAGACAGGTGGGGCCACACTGAACAGGGGCTCACAGGAGGTGTTTACACAGCTCGCTGGCAGAGGGACCGGCAGGTGCACAGGCCCTAGTGCCCGGAGCGGGCTGCAAAATGACAGTCGGCTGACCTGAGGAGTGGGCTGCTCGGGCTGCCATGCTGGGAGCAGACTGCAGGGGGCAGAGGTGAGGACACTGCCCTGGGGAGCAGCCAGGCGGAAGCAGGGGAGCTGGTGGTGGTGAGGAGGGCTGCAGAGGAGAGCTCGGCTTCTGGGGGTGCACTGAGGGTAGACCCGGGACACCAGGCGACAGCGCAGACACGGGTAAGAGGGAAGGATAAGGATGGCTGAGGGGAAACAAGGCGAAGGACGCTCTACGGCACTCAGGCCCCAGAAGCCTGCACACCGCCTCACTATGGGGGCAGGCTCTTATAAGAGCCGTCATATAAAAGTGAGGGCGGGGTTCAAGCAGGGTCCAGCCAGAGCCCAGGCCGTGCTCGGAGAAGCAGAGACTACAGCAGTGAGGCACCAGACAGACCCTCCCCTCCCCGGGGGCGTGGGTGCAGCTGAGAGTGAGCTGCAAAACCACAGCACCATCAGAGCAGAAATCCAGAGACGGTCCCAGGGCAGACACAGCGTAAGGGAGTGAGGAGTTTGGGCCGGGACGGGCAGATGCTGAGGAGAGATTTCAAAAGCAATTTTCAGTATACGAAGTACTGTTTCATAGTTACTGCACTGTCCTTGACTTCCACCCAGGATAGGAAGAGAGTGAACACCCTTCTGTCTGATGGGTGTGGGGGGTTAAGTGAGACATACAGAAAAACTGTAAGTTGTGGCACCTCCCTTTTTTAGGTCAGAGAAAGGGGACAAATGCGTAGACTCTCAGGGTCTTTTAGTATCATTGTGTTGGGGAACAGTGGGTGGACCAGATGCTCTGTTGGGATCTGGAATCTGGGAGCTTGTGATGCTATGTGCCCAAAACAGAAAAGTTACCCCAAACTATAAAACGTTATAAATAACAGTACAGTGTTAGCATCCATCAAAAAGAGTACAAAGCAAGCCCCTCACACACGACGGGGATAGATTTAGTCAAAAAGCACACACATGCCCCACCCCGGGCAACCATACAAATTAAAAAAACACCAACTTTGTTCTTTGTTTAAAAAGAAACGAAAAGAGCTTCACACATCTATTTTTACAATTTAAAACTGAAAATGCTATTTCATAAATACATCCCTCTGCCCCTAGCACTGGTGTCTGCATCTTCCTGCTGGTGGATGTCCGCTGCCAGCCTCCTCTGCTCTCAGAGCACCATGGGACCCCTGTCAAACCTACTCATCCGTGCACCCAGCTCCCCGTCCCCCAGCCCTGACACGTTGCCCTCTGTGTGCAGCCTGCCGAGGCCACCGTCTAGCATGTCAGTCAGCGAGGCCCGGGGCCCTCTGAGCCCTCGGTGATGGGTAGAGTTATTCCCGTCCTTCACTTTCCCAGCCCTCACTGTCCAGTTTCTCCAACTCCACCTTCAGAGCTGGGACCAGCTGATCCATGTGGGCTGATTATATACCACGGGGGCCCCAGGGACATTCAATTCACCTGTCAACAGTCTAAAACCAGCTTCCTCTTAACATTCTAAAAACTGAATTGTGGTTAGGGTTTTACAGCTTTGTATATTTATGAAAAAAAATCACTGAATTATACACTTACAATGGGTGTGTTTTATAGCATGCAAATGATACCTCAATAAAGCTGTTAAAAAAAAAAATCAGCATCCACATCTTTACAGATGTTTCTGTTTGGCAGCAGACCTGAGATGCGGACCTATGTTCTCTGCCCATGGACAATCTCTGTGGTGTTGGGAGGTGCCTGATGGTAGTGGGGCAGAGAGGGCAGGCTTCCAGATGGTAGTGGAAGGGGAGACACCTGCAGGGATGAGAAGAGGGGGAGCACCAGCAGGAAGGTGGGCAAGCTATGCAGGTAACATTGGAGCTAAAGGGAGGGGTGAGAAAAGGCGGGGAGAAGGATGCGTTTAATATTAGGTTCAACCATATGCCATTTTTATAGGTCAAAAAAGACTGGATATTGGCAATTGCCTACAGTTAAACCTAACCCATAGATGTCCATGTGTGACAGATGAAGAGGCTCAGGTTTGGGGGCGGACAGAGCAGGTTTCCAATCAGCCCCTCTGCTTACAGGCCAACTGGTCAAGGACATGGCACCCAAGCCCTCGGAGCCTCAGTTCTCTCCCTATAAACGGAAATGGGCGCAGCCACACCACAGAAGCACGTTTTCATTCCTTTAAATACAAATTTTAATTAACTAATTAAAGATGGAGTCTTGCCTGTCGTCCAGGCTGGAGTGCAGTGGCACAATCACAGCTTACTGCAGCCTCGACCTCCTGGGCTTAAGCAATCCTTCTGCCTCAGCCTCCTAAAGTAGCTAGGACTATGAGTGCGTGTCACCATGCCCGGCTAACTTTTTTATTTTTTGTAGAACTAGTGTCTCGCCAGCACGCTCGGTCTTTCATTGCATTTGTAACGCACGTTCAGTGCCAAGCACAGGGTGGGCGTGCTAAGGAGTGGCTGTCCCCTCCTTTTGCTCCTCCACTGTCTCCAGGGCAGACGGAGTGGCTGTCCCCTCCTTTTGCTCCTCCACTGTCTCCAGGGCAGACAGAACAACAGGACTAAGCTACCGCCAACCTCTACAGGCATCACTCTCATCTCCTCCCGTAACCAGCCCCAAATAAACTAGGAAGGTGGCAGAGTTCTGCTCAGCAAAACAGGCTCCACTTCCCTGAAGTTACCAGAAATCATGAGAGTCCCCCGGTCCCTGGAGCCCAGGGCTGTGGCCAGCATGGACTGCATCTGGCGTCCCCGCCCTTCTCTGGGGGAGCCATGAAATAAAGCCGGAACACACATGGCCCCATGGCAGAGCTGGCAGGGGAGCAGAACCAAAGGCCCCCTGCTACTAACACGGGAAGTGGGGGAGGGCGCTTGCTGCCGGGGGCCACCAGGAGGACCAGGGGTGGCCTCTGCAGGGTCTCCATGTAAGGCGGTGAGTGCCCACAGGCCAGAGCACTGAAGACTATCAGGGGTCCAGGGATGCTCTTCCTTCTGGCTCATGCAAAGGCGGACACCTCAGCCAGCTGGAGCCCAGAAAGAGCGCCCCCACGGAACAAGGAAGCCGCTGCTGATGTTCTCAGGGCGGTGGCACTAAAAGAAGACTGCTCTCCTACCAGCTTTGTCCTCGGCTGGTTACTCAGTGAACTCTTCTAAAGTCTCAAGGCCACTAGCTACTGTCATACGGACAGGAGAGGGGATGGCCAGGCTGCAGTGAGACCAGGCTGAGGAGACGCCAACAGAGGAAGCCCGAGTCCCTTTTGGAAATGTCTCTAATGTTTAGGATTCACGGTTTATTACCATCCTACAGGTGTGGCTTTTCCTGTGTTCCTTGACCCCTCACCTACTCCAGGAGGCCCCAGACCTAAGGTTTCAAAATGATGACAAGGTCTCCATCAGAACAAGGGAAGTCCTAGCCAGCGAGTAACTCTGTCCCTGGGGCCTGCGACTTCTGTCCACCAGCTATGGGTGCAGGTAAACACACACAGGTGAAAGGGACGCAAGGCATTACTCCATTTAATGCACCAAGGAAGTTATCTGACAGGCAGAGATTAAGTTCTGACTTTCTGTAAGATGCCAGGAGGACATTTAATTTGGTCTTTCTTTTTTTCATTTTATAATTAGAGATGAGATCTCACTATGTTGCCCAGGCTGGTCTTAAACTCTTGGGCTCAAGCGATCCTCCTGCCTCGGCCTCCCAAAGTTTTGGGGTTATAGGAGTGAGCCACTGCGCTCGGCCTCATTGAGTCTTTCAAACTCACACTGAGCGTCAGAGACTGCGGGGACCTAGAACGCGTGCCTGCCAGGAGAGCTGAGTCCAACAGGGAGACATAAGACAGATCAATGAGCTCCGTCACCGAGCATGAACCTCGCAGGACCCCAGTGACAGATGTCAGTTCTCTAAAGAGATTCTTACTCTCTTGTCTAAGGTACCACACTCCCTGATGGTGTCAGCTGATTCCACACTTACTGAGGAGGTGAGTCCACCAGATGGTATGACTCAGGCACCTAAACCCAAACTCATCTTCCCAGGAGGAACAAGGCGGTGGCCTCACTGGCCTCTGCACACACATCTGAGCGGTTGGGAGGCTTCATTCTTTTTTTTTTTTTTTTTTTTTTGAGACACAGTCTTGCTCTGTGCCCAGGCTGGAGTGCAGTGGCACAATCTCAGCTCACTGCAAGCTCCGGGCCATTCTCCTGCCTCAGCCTCCCGAGTAGCTGGGACTACCATGCCCAACTAATTCTTTGTATTTTTAGTAGAGATGGGGTTTCACCTTGTTAGCCAGGATGGTCTCGATCTCCTGACTTCATGATCCGGCCGCCTGGGCCTCCCAAAGTGCTGGGATTACAGGCGTGAGCCACCGCGCCCGGCCTGGGAGGCTTCATTCTTAAGGAAGAAATGTGCCCTTGGCTGAATGCCTCAGGGTAATGAACCCACTCTTTAAAATCTCACCAAAACGATCACGTGTTTTCACTGTGCTGGCCCAAGCTGGCAGCCGGAGCTCGATGGCCAGCAGCTGCCCAACGCCATGCCTCTGGCTGGGCACCACAGGGGAGAAGGGAGCGGCTTTCACTCACCAGACAGTGGGTCTCTGCCAATCATCAAAACATTGGGCAAATTCATTACAATCAGCTGCTGGAGAACTTCCTGCAGAAACAAAGGGGGAAAAGATACCATTAAGAACCGGAAACAAAAATAAAGAGGGATTAAGTAAATTACAAGTAATGAAGCCCCCGGACGGGTGCACAGCCATCCCGTGGTGACTACGAAGGAGCTAAAATGACAGCAAGGAGCACGTAAGATGCAAACAAACACGAAAGCCAAAGCCTAACTGTATTTCTGTCTTGATTGTTAGCAAATAAAAAGTATGCCTACAAGAGATTTAATGGGGTTATGAAAAAAGAAAAAGCATATTTAAAAAATAAAATGAAAGCTAAAGTTATGTCTGCATAGGTAGAGAGGTCTTGGAAAAAAAGGCAATAGATGACATGCTAGGACAGCAGTATGATGTTTCTTTTTTAAAAGATACCCTTATTTTTATTGTATGGCTTGTGCAATTAAAAAATAAGGAGGCCAGGCGCAGTGGTTAATGCCTGTAGTCTCAACGCTTTGGGTGGCTGAGGCAAGAGGATAGCTTGAGGCCAGGATTTCGAGACCAAGCCTGGGCAACATAGCAAGACCCCATCTTCACACACACACACACACACACACACACACACACACACACTCTTAAATTAGCCAGGTATAGTGGTATGTGCCTGGGATCCCTGCTACTTGGGAGGCTGAGGTGGAACAATCGCTTGAACCTGGGTGGTCGAAGATACAGTGAGTTATCACACCACTGCACTCCAGCCTGGGGAACAGATGGAGATCCTGTCTCCAAAAAAGAAAATAAGAAGAAGAAGAAATAAAGATTAAAGAGATGCTACTGAGCCTTTCTAATCTGATGGTTCAGGATCCAGCACTAAGCAGGTCTTTGGTACAAGTTATAAATGAGGAGACTTCTCTCATTTATAGCATGGGCTTCCTAAGCGAGGGATACATCAGAGCTGCTCTGCCCAGCCCGAGGTGGGGCACAGGCGATGAGCTGCCTTCCCGCCCTCACACCCGTGGGCTTGGAGAGAAGGCCCAGGCATCAGCTATCAGTCATGCCCGCTCGTCTGGGTACAGGCTCTCCTCAGCGTGCCGGCTCACAGCCCAGTCTACCACTTACATCCCCCTAAGTATTTCTTGGGGCAGATCAGTCTTCTGTGCCTAGATGCAGGACGTTGTTCACAAATAAGGAGATTTTAAAATTCCAGTTCTGGTGGGGCACGGTGGACACGCTTGTAATCCCAGCACTTTGAGAGGCTGAGGTGGGAGGCTTGAGCCTGGAGTTCAAGACAAGCCTGGGCAACACAGAAAAAACTCGGATCTACAAAAATTAAGAATCAGCTAGGTGTGGCACTGAGGCCTTGTGGTCCCAGCTACTCGGGAGGATTGCTTGAGCCCAGGAGTTCCAGGCTGCAGTGAGCTATGTTGCACGAGTGCACTCCAGCCTGGGTGACGAGTAAAACCCTGTCTATAAAAAAAAAAAAAAAAAATCCAATTTTACGGAAGACAAAAAAGAGGGTGGGTTTCATAACTATTCTACAAGTGGCCACTATAGAAATTCTTCACCAAGAAAGCTCCTGTTAGGCCTTTAAAAATGTGTTTCTGTTAAGACACAACTAGTTTCGTAAGTCGCTCTATTGCATAACATGCGGAATCTCTATATCCAGTGTGCTGCTAACTAGCACTCGAGAAGAAGAGGGGGATAATTACACAACCCACATGGCCCGAGTGCGTATCTCAGACCATCTCTGAGTCAGATTAGAACGGGGGCCGAGGCCGCATGCCAGGAGAGGCCAGCACCTGCAGAGAACATAGAAGATGGTCTTCTCGTCCCTCCTTATTGTCTTTCTATGGCTCCTATCCACACTGCAGGAGGGGATGTTAAACCGTGAGGTGTACTCTACTCCTGAACACACCAACCCCCCTCCACTCAGTGCTGGAAATCACATTTCTCCATTATCCAGGGTCACATGTCACCGTGTCAGCAACGGCTAATGCTTTCTCAAACATGTCTCAGCTGGTAAATATCTGTACGTGTTGGACAATAGTGTGAGTTGTTTAACAGCCTCAGCCCTCCTTTAGGGCTTGGGAAAAGTCAATGTGAAAAAATTGTCTCTTAAATGCATGAGTTTGCCAAAGGGTTCCAACACCCTCGCCCTACCACCCCCGGCAAAATACACCAGTAAAATCAGTGAAATCTGCTTTCCAGCTAATTTACTCAGTGAAAGGAGAGTGCCCAATGACATGAGCCTGTCCGTCACACAGCTCCCTCCCAGCCTCAAAACTACACTCCAGGCTGGGTGCAGAGGCTCACGCCTGCAATCCTAGCACTCTGGGAGGCCAAGGTGGGCGGATCACCTGAGGTCAGGGGTTCAAGACCAGCCTGGCCAACATGGTGAAATCCTGTCTCTACTAAAAATACAAAAATTAGCCAGGCCTGGTGACGCATGCCTGTAACGTCAGCTATTTGGGAGGCTGAGGCAGGAGAATTGCTTGAACCCAGGAGGCAAAGGTCGCAGGGAGCCGAGATCGCACCACTGCACTCCAGCCTGGGCAACAGAGCAAGATTCTGTCTCAAAAAAAAAAAAAAGAAAAAAAAGACTACGTTCCAGTGTTCCAGTCAACCCAAAAAACAAAGGTCATCACCAGCAAACCAGCCACAATCCCCTTTCCAACTCTTGGCTAGCTTTCTTCTGCCATTTGTCCAAGCTCAGCCCTGTATCAGGGTGAACGTGTTTATAAGCGAGATGCAATATGTGAAATCATCCTGTTTTGTTGTTTTGTTTTTTGAAATAATCTGAAGGTCACTGCAAAAAATGCAAATTGTTATTTTTATGTGAATGTTAATCTAAGCAAAACACTGCTAGAAATATTGCTAGAAAATGTATGTGTTCTCCTTCCAAAACAGGATGTTTAATTTTGTCTAATCAGTACTTTCTAGTTTTCCCACAAGAAACATGTGTCATTTGTGCAATTAAGAAATAACGTTTTGCCGGGCGCGGTGGCTCACGCCTGTAATCCCAGCACTTTGGGAGGCTGAGGCAGGTGGATCATGAAGTCAGGAGATCGAGACCATCCTGGCTAACATGGTGAAACCCGATCTCTACTAAATATACAAAAAATAAGCTGGGCGTGGTGGCGGGTGCCTGTAGTCCCAGCTACTCAGGAGGCTGAGGCAGGAGAATGGCATGAACCCGGGAGGCGGAGGTTACAGTGAGCCGAGATTGGGCCACTGCACTCAAGCCTGGGTGACAGAGCGAGACTCCATCTCAGGAAAAAAAAAAAAAAAGAAATCATGTTTTAGGAACAGACAATATCTTTCTGAGTTGTTCCTTTCAAAACACCATGGTTCTCCTAAGATGTAATCCTATGGCCAAAGCTACTCTCGAGCCATTAACTGGTCCCCTTAAAGAACCATCAATCACATTTCCAGCAAAAACTGGCTCAGATGCCAGGGCTGTCCAGCAATATACATAATTGAGACACATTAATTTCAAATTTTCTATTAGCCATCTTTAAAAAAGTAAAAAGAAACAGGTGAAAATATTCAACTTTAATTAAGCCAATATAACCAAAATATAATCATTTCAACCCATAATTGACATAAAAATGTATTATTTTACTTTTTTTTTTTGGAGAGAGGGGGTTTCACCATGTTGCCCAGGCTAGTCTTGAACTCCTGGACTCAGGCAATACCCCCACCTCGGCCTTCCAAAGTGCTAGGATCACAGGTGTGAGTCACCTTGCCCGGCCTTTGCATTCTTTTTCCATACACTTTGAAATCAGTGTGTATGTTACACTTACAGCACATCCCAATTCAGATGCTAAATTTTCACTGGAAATACTTGACTGTTTCCAGATTTCACAAAATCTAGAGTTGAAAAAGTTCATTTGTTGGAGGTATAATATGCGAGATTAAGAAAAAATAATAAAAAAAAATTTTTAAGAAAGAAAAAATAGACTTGTATTCCCAGGTTGTTCCAAACACATTTAAAAGTTTTCCTACAACTGAACTGAGTACCAGTTTTTAAATTTAAATGAACTAAAATAAAAAATTCATTTCCACAGTCACACTGCGGTATCTCCAGGCCCTGAAGGCCACATGCGACTGGTGGCTACTGGGCCCCAACACCAGGCCTTTGCCCTCCCCCGCGGGGAATGTGGTGGGGTGAGGGGCCTCTGGGCTGGCCCTCAGTCTGGCAGGGACGTGAGGAGGCTGCTGACGAGGGGACCCTCCCACGTGGCATCAGAACAGAAAGCCACTCACTTGGAGGCTGCAGCTGATGCTGTCCTGCCAGGGCACCTGGTCACACCCCAGCCAGCCACCTGTGAGGCAGGACCACACCAGGCTGGAGAGTGCAAGCCCAGTGGTGCTCTGGACAGGCCCCCACATTTGCCAGTGAGCCCTCCTTGTGCCACTCTAGTCTTTGCAATGGCAGAAACAAGTGCCAAGGCAAGCTTGAGGGACAAGGGACACACACCAGCCTCGCTGAGGCCTCTGTCTTGTCACCGGTCCTTGTGGTCTGATGGACAGGGAAGAAGAGGGTCAGGCTTGGCACATGGCCCTCCAAGGGAACCCCCTTCCGCAGAGCACATGGTAGGGGTGTGGCATTGCAATCCAGGGTAGATTGCACTCCTCCCCACTTCTCCTTTAGGTTTGCTTTCGGATCCTAAAATAAGATTTTGCTTTTCATAAATGACTTGCTTTTCAACTGCATCCTGGAATGACTCCTCGGCCAATTAAATGCTTTAAACAAACCAAAAGAAGTCAATGAACAAAGGGTCAGAGGCAGGTGCATTTGTGTTTTGGATACTGCAGGGGCCACTGGTGTCCCTAGGGGTTGGGGGAGAGCAAGGCTGAAAAGCGCTTTGTAATCTCACAAGGGGAGAGGGCCCACCCACCTGACAACACCCTGGCCTCAAATCTAAAATCTAGGCTCTTATCAGTCACCCCAAGGGGGAGGGTTGGGGTGGGCCAGGACCCCCTCAGGAAGCATTTGTCACCCCGGCAGGAAGGTGGCAGGGGCAGCAGTTGTGTCTGCACACGGTGTCAACAAGCCTCCATTCCCAGCTCCCAACCCAGATCACAGGAAGCAAACTGAAGGTGGCCCAGAGCATGCTGCATCTCAAGGCCTGTAGCGGTGGCTTTCCAAGGTCACAGGCGTAGAGTTCTAAGAACAGAACCAAAGAGAAAGCTGATTCTATTAGAACCTGCTGGGGACAAACATCAATGTACTTGTTGAGAAATCGGGACCATCCCCAAAACACAGGATACAGGTGTCCCACTCCAGGCTTCATAGGCAATGAAGCTCTGACAGGGGAGGACGACATCAGATCGTAGCGGCGCCTGGTTAGGGAGTGACGCCCATGCTGGGTGGTGGGGCCACTGCAAACAAGACCAGCGTCCAGGCCAATGCTGTGACGCTAAGCACTTGTCACTGCTGGCTCCAGGAGGCCACAGGCACCCTACGGTCCCCTCCAGCCTAAGTGCTCTCCTCCTCTCCTCCAACTCCCTCACCCCTCACCCCTCACCCCTCCCAGGCAGGTTTCACCTTGCTGGGGCTTCTGCCCTCCTGAGAGGCAGGACAGAATGAGAGGCAGGACAGAATGAGTGGCAGGCAGGTGTCTGGAGCCCATGAAGCAGGTAGGGACCAGGACGGGAAGGGACTAGGCTGGGAAGGACCCAAGGAAAGGGGTCTGAGCGCCTCCCTTCTCCACCTACGGTGGCCCCTCACGCCCCACATGACCCTGTATGGCTCCTGGGGCTTGTAGATGAAGCTCATTTTCTGTTTTGTCCAGTTGAGGCCATTAAACTGTTAGGGGGACAGGCCGCCTCATTCCTTTTCAGCCAGTCTCTATCTGGGACTTAGAAATGGTGCATCCACTCAACCACGTTCGCCACGGGCTCAATGTCTTGGAGACCCTGAACTGAGCCTGTGCTTTCTTTTGGGACCTCCACCCTTGGTTTGGCAACAAGGTACTCAGCTCAAGTACCTTAAATGACATCCTTAGCCCCGCTCTGAGAACAAGTATGTAGACCCCAACTCTGAGTCAACCATCTACTATGCAATCTGTCAACCACAGACTATTAAAGGCCCAAATCCTCCCCAAAACTACAAAAGGAAGCATGAAAGAGGTGTGAGATTAGAGAACAGCACTCTAACAGTCTTGCTGCAAATTAACGCTGGGGAACGGTTCAGGACGCTATGGCCACTCATCCCATTTAGGAAGGCAGCAAAGAGTGCTCAAAGGTGTAAAAAGATACATAATTGTATGTACAGTAGGAAATGGATGTTGAAAAAAGAAAACAAAACCTCAAAGGAAATATATTACACTAAAATGACAGAATTTTCTTTATTAGAGTGATTAGGGCAAGAGCAAGTTTCCCCAGCATTTTCTAAATATTCTGTAAAGGTTCTCACAGAGACCATATAGTCAGAGGCATCTATTTAACTAGGTATTTCAGCTGTGAACATGACAGACCTACTTAAAAAATACACACACACACACACACACACACACACACACACACACACACACACACAGGGCTGGGCATGGTGGTTCACGCCTGTAATCCCAGCACTTTGGGAGGCCAAGGCGAGCGGGTCACCTGAGGTCAGGAGTTCAAGACCAGCCTGGCCAACATGGCAAAGCCCCATCTCTACTAAAAATACAAAAACTAGCCAGGCACAGTGGCATGTGCCTGTAATCCCAGCTACTTGGGAGGCTGAGGCAGGAGAATTGCTTGAACCCGGGACGCAGAGATTGCAGTGAGCCGAGATTGCGCCACTGCCCTCCAGCCTCGGCAACAGAGCAAGACGGTCTAAAAAAATATAAAAATAAAAAAAAACAAGAAACAAACAAACAAAAAACCATGTATCTGTATCTATATCCATATATCTATAGCCACTCTTTCCTCTGAGACAATTCACCAACTATCCAAGATGAGGAATGAAGTAGATTGCCATTTTAAATAATAGCCACAAAAAGCAAGCTGCACCTTCAAGCATCTTCTCATCAGGAGAAGCCAAGCCTCTTGATTGGGAAGAACAGATGGGAGCCAGGAGCACCCAAGGGGTCTGTAACCAGTGAAGGGGGACGGGGTCCTGGGCGAAAGGCTGACTCTCAGGGTATAAGCCCTGTGAAGACAGAGCCTCAGAGGTCCCAGAAAAGGCCCACTCAACACCTGAGGCAAAGTAAGGGCCTCCTGAAAAGACTTAACAACCTGCCAGGGCCATCTCAACCACTGTGCCTGCTCCAACAAAAAGGTCATTTTCTCCGCAGGTGGGAGAAACATTACAGTCCTGGGAAAGATGCAGGTGGAAACACCGTTCTGTGCATGTGGCAGAGGTTAGCTTCAGTATCCACTGAAAACACTAGGACAGTTGGACCAAGAACAATGATTTCACGAAGAAATGGGAAGAATTATTTTTCTCCTTCTAAGTGAAACTGAATCTCGCAGCTTGATATTTTACCAGGAAGGAAGAATAAACGCTGCCGAAAGCCAAGCGTTTAGGCCCACAGGATGCCCCTCATGTGGCTATGAATGGGAGCTGCTAATGCAGAATAAATGAGAGGGAAATCCCAGAAAAGTTAAGATGAACGCCCAGCACAGGCATTCAGGATGAAGGTGACGCTCACGGTTGCCAAGGAGACCAAGATGGTCCAAACAGCAAAGAGAGCCTTCCACACAGCCAAAGCAAAACCACAAAGAATGCCGCTGTTGACCCACACACGCTAACAGTCAAGACTGAAATAGCAGAAGCATGAGTGACGTCGGCTTCGCAGGTGCACCCAGCACACCTCTAGACACCGTCTTCCCTGGTGCCCAAAGCCGGGGCATTTTCTACACCTTTAGGTCTGCTCTGGGGTTCAGATATTCAGAAGACACGTACTGTGTACACCTTGCAGCGAGCAGAGAACTCTCGGCCTGTCTGGGAGGGAGGTAGACAGTGGCAGCACAGCACAGGGAGTACTGCCAAACTGCCCAGACAAGTCTGGGAAGGCTTCCCAGAGGAGACAGCTTCTGAGCTGGGCTGTAGAGAATGCTTAGGAGTCTGACACGTGAGGGACAGAGCCAGGAAATGTATTAACTGCTAAGTGTGGGCAGCAAGTCAACCCTTCGGTTACCCTGAGCATCAAACTGAACTACCAACACTCTCTGCGCTTCCCACGAGGGTGCCCTTCCTCCCACAGCCCCATTACCACCAGATTACCACCTGCCAGACCCTACTCGCCCTCCAAAGCTCAGCTAAAACGCCCCCTCCTCTAGGCAGCCACCTGATGCCGGATGATTTTTTTCTCCCCTGAACTCCTAATGCTTCCTCAGCCCCCTTCTGCGGCACTTTCTACACTGTGCCATGTCAATCAACTCCCCACTCCGAAGTGGCAAAAAGCTGCTAATAGTGACAGTTGGGAAAATTAAATCAGAAAATATTCCTCAAAATATATATTGAGTACACAGTTTTTAAAAACCTCTTTTGTGGAGGAGGTGTCTTCTCTGTCTCTTCCATGTTGACAAGGGAACCAAGATCTGAAAACCTACTGTTCTGCTCTATCACTGCAATGAGGGTGGTTTCTCTGCTAATTCCTGTGCCTTGAAACCTGGAAAATCTGACACCATATTCCTTAAGATTCACAGCCTGTAGCTGTTAACAAAAGTTAAAAACATTTCAGAGGGAAAAAAAGCTTCGAATTTGTTTTAGAATTTTCCATTAGAACTTGTGTAAGTAGAAGATTGAATATAGATTTTTAAAAACATTCCAAAGTGAACTGGTAATGCTGGCTTGAATATACCATGCTTTCCAACTGTAAAATCCCAAATGCAATAGTTTTATGAGCAAACTAAGCAAAAGTAAATTAATTTTAAATTCCTAAACTACAGAAGTGACTTCAGACAGGAAAGGCCCCACACGTATTCCAGTGTTCCCAATGTCTAGTCCAGTGCTCTAGGAGGGGTGTCGAAACCCTGCATCGATTTAACACTTCCAGAAACGGCACGGTGCTGGCTGTGCTTCAGGCAGGTGGGATGCTTTTTGAGGGCCCCCAAGAGAACCCTGTAGTCAGGAGGGATATTCCACAGATCTCCTTTGCAGGTGTTGGAACGTCTACGCTCATGCCACTGATTAACTCTCCACAGGACACATCTCACAACCTCTTCCTGGATTTGGCCAGAAGCAGCCCCTGAATGCACCTCAACAACTTGATGGCCAAAACAAAAACCACCTGACGACCTGGCACTGGCAACCAGCCAACCTCAGGCCCCGTTACCAGAAACACCAGACAGTGAAGAGGTTCCATCTCCTTTCTCCTCCTTCCTCCCTGACATTCATGCGAGGTGGCCAGGACAAGAATTATGAGCATTTCCAGTGGGAGGGAACAGCCGCAGCACAATGTCGCTGATCGTTTGCCAGCAGGGCCTGGAGCAAGACCGGGGTTGGAACCTCAGGCCTGGAGAGCTTCCCTCATAGACACCATCTTCATCACCTCATGCCCAAAGCCAGAGCACTTTCTACAGCACAGGCCCGCCCCAAACCTTCAATAACGACTCACGACACAGCCTGTGGCCCAACCCCAGCCAATCACACCCGCCAGGCTGGAGTGCAATGGCGTGATCTCGGCTCACTGCAACCTCCACATCCTGGGTTCAAGCAATTCTCCCGCCTCAGCTTCCGAAGTAGCTGGGATTACAGGCGCCTGCCGTCATGTCCGGCTAATTTTCGTATTTTTGTAAAGATGGGGTTTCATCATGTTGGCCAGGCTGGTCTTGAACTCCTGACCTCAGGTGATCCACCCACCTCGGCCTCCCAAAGTGCTGGGATCACAGGTGTGACCCACCATGCCCGGCCAATTTTCTTATTTTTTATTCATTATTATTTTTCTTTTTTTTACCTCTGGAACATAGCACATTTTCTAACATAGCCACTGAGAGGAAAACCCAAGCAGTGGTTTGTCCTTGCTGCCTGCACAAAGCCCAGGCCCACATGCTTGTAACTCCATCTGCACAAGAGGCTCTCCTCTCCACCCAGTCCCTCTTCGGGGCGGGGAGTCCTGGCAAAACGAGTGGCAATGAAGTGCTTTTATGTTACGAGGCTGTCATGTAAAGCTGCTGATAGATTCAATCCATCTGTTCCACCTCATTTCGATTAATCCTGGGATCCCTAGGGCCTGAAACCAACTGCAATCTGCACAAGCCCAGGAGCGCCGGCTCCCCTAACAAGGCCACCCGTGTCTCCGTACCCAGGGACCAACTCGGCCCGGCCGAGGCTACCACGTCATCAGAAAACCCCCTCCCACGGAACACTTCCTAACTGCCTGTCCTTGTGGCTGCATTCACAGAAACAAACATAAGTCGGTTCTTTGTTCACAGAAAGGAAAACAAATATTTCCTTTGAGCTGACCCAGGAGGAGGAGAACCGCTGGGAAGGAGCACCTGGAAACTCAAACACCGCAGCATGAGGGCAGAGCCGCTAACTCCTGCCTCTGCCTGTAACCTACTGTGTGGCCTCAGGCAAGTCACAGTCCCTCTCTGAGCCACACCCTCATCTGTACCAGGATCAGGACTCCACAGTCTCTAAAGGACTTCAGTCTCCTTCAGAAGGGGGAAGGGAGGGGCTGGAAAAAGAGACGCTGCTGGCAAGAGAGGCACAGCACATCTTTATGGCGTTAACTCGGCTGCCAGCTCTCACCAGCAGGCAAGTGCCCACGCGTCCAGAAGAACTCAGGGAACCCGGCAGGGAGGGAACCAGAGGATGTTTCAAGTAACCCCAGGAGCTCCTGCCACCTTCCCTTTAGGGCTGGGTGATGCCCTGGATTGCTCTGTGGGCAGACCTGTCTTATCTGATGCCAGGAAGGGCCTGTTCTGAGCCCCTGAGCCAAAGAAGGGGGCGGGGGGCAGCCCCAGAAACACGGGCAGGACACGGCATTCGACTCCTTGGAAGAGAACCTCTGCCCATAAACAGTAGTTCAGGAACCATTTTACAAGAGGAATGCAAGCCGGGTCTCTGCATCGGGCTTTAGGAACGACCTGCTGCAGTGATGCCTCGGCAACCACAGGTGCGGATGGTGGGGGAGGGGAAGGCGGGTCAGTAGGTGGACACATCCGTGCATACAGACCCCAACAGCAGAGGGATGCTGAGAATCTGCATTTTAAAACCAAAAGAGCCATCAAGATTATCCATAGAGTCAGGAAACTGAGGTCCGGAGCAAAAAATGACAGAGGCGTAGCCCCACATTCAGGTCTGGAAACCCAGGTCTCCTTGCACTCCGCCCTAGGGCTCCTTATGCCATACCAAGAAGCTTGTATCCACTCAGCGGTGTCTGCTGAGTGCATGCCATGCCCTGAGGTGTGTGTTTGGGGTGAGGCAGAAGGACTTCAAGGATTAGGCTAAGGATGGAGAGAGCAGGACCCTTTCCCCACAGGACAGCACCTGCAGCAGTTCTGGGCTGCCCTTTCCTCTGTCCCTAAGTCCACCCCTCCTGGCTAAAACGACAGCATCGGTGCTCCAGTGCTTGGAGTTGATATAAGGGCCCTGATTTTATGGCCGTGAGGGATCGTATGACTGTGACTTCATGGTGGTAGAGTACTTTTTTTTTTTAAGCTTCTTGGCAAAGTCAGTATTTTTGCTGATGGATGGAAAAGTCAGTAGTTCTGCTGATGGATAAGCAAGAAAGGGGCAGAGAAAGTGTGGCCAGAGGAAACTACGGTATGCATGCAGGGTGGGCTGGGACAGGCATGACCCCCCCAGCCAGAATGAGTGTAGTGGTCCCATGGGAGGAGCCATGTGCTGTCCAGGCCCAGCCAACCTCACCCGCCGGTGGCAGGAGTACAGAGGCCGGCGGTGGCAGGAGTACAGCACAGACCAAGACCACAGTCTTGGTCCCGAGGAGCCTGTGGAGTCACAGACTGGGACCAAGACTGCCTCCCACACCCTCCAGTCAGGGGTGGCTCTAGCTGATTTCCTGGGCAGGCACCTATCTGTCCTGGGCACACCCTCCCTAGCTCAGCAGAAGCAAGGCCTTCCTCGTCCCAGCAAGTAGCTGGGCTGGGGGAACGTGGCGCCTGCCCACACAGTGTCCCATGTCCCACTCCACCGCTCACCCACCCAGGCCCACAGGCACCTATGCCAGGGCAGGGCTGGGGCCACGCCACACCCTGGCAGCCCTCACCCGGTGGCCTGACAATGCCGCTTCACTCCCAGGCACAAGTCGGAGCAGGATGGTGGAGGGCACCTAGGAGCCTCCAGCGGTAGATGGCAGCCCAGACCACCCCAGCCTGCTGGGACCTGTGAGGGTGGGAAAGGCAGGCAGTGGGGGCAGCCAGCCCCCAACCTCACGCCCCAACCTGAGCCCAGGCCTCAGGGTACGAGCACCACAGCACAAGGGGTACCAGCACTCCCGAGTGACCAGGCCTCCTTGTCCAGTGTCCCAGGGCAGGCATCTGGAGGGCAGGGAGAGCTCCTTGAGGAAGGGCAGCCATTCCCTCTCTCATTTATGCCACACTTCCCGGGCACCTGCTGGGTGTCTGATGGCATGCCAGTTGGGAGGTGGAGGGTATGAAGCCAAGACTGCTACCCTCAAAGCCAGGAAACAAAGACAAGGAGGACAAAGCCTGTGGGATGGGGGACAGTGAGGGGCCCAGGGTGTTTGCTATAGGGCCAGGCCCTGTCCTGGGGAGCTCACAGCCTGATCCCACCAGCAAATCCCACCAGCAAGTCTGGCACCCTAACAGAGGGATGGCAGGCACCTGAGCTGGGGGCACTGGGAGCAGAGGAGAGCGGGGAATCCAGAAAAGCTCCAAGAAGGAGGTGGCCGGAAGCTGAAATGGGAAAGAACAAGGAGCAGGTGACATCCAGGTAGATGGCAGTGGTGCGGGGGGGGGCGGGCGGGGGGGGGAGGCGTGTGTTAGTGCAGGGAGGGCTAGGAATAAAGGAAAAGGAAGACACAGAAGGTGCCCCCATCTTGTGTCTCTGGCTACAGTCCCACGATGAAGGACAACTGAGAACCAGATGTGCACAGAACCACCGTTCAGGGAGTCTGGACCCAGCCCTGTCTGCACGTTATCTAAACGGTGACAGCAGCAGCTTTGGAGTCCCCTCTGCCGGCTCCACCACCACGTTGCTGCTGGGCCTCGGCATCAAGCCCTGCCAGGTGGCCAGAAAGGCAGGTGGCCGGGCAGGCAGGCATCACTTAACCTAGCGACAATCAAGCCTGTGCCTGGCATGAAGTCAGGCCCCCGGAGGTGCTGGCTGAACCTGAGGCCTTTCCTAGCCGTCAGGTTTTGCTGGGCACTGTGCTCTCAACATGCTCCGGGGCGACACACCATCCTCCCTCCTGCTTCAACACAGGGCAGCTCTGCAGGGGGCAAACACAGGAAGCCACAGTCACCACAGTGAGCCCATAAAGGAAGACAGTCCCAGCTACCTGTGTGTGCGAGGAGTGGGGTCCATTCTAGAGATCCCCAGGAATGCACAAACCGTCCCCAGCCCCTGGGCTCAGGACCAAGGAGGAAGAACTGAGCTGGGACATCTGCTGGGGCCACCTTCTCTCTTCTCCCTCTGGCCTCAGGAGGGCCAAGAAAAACACACACGATACCAGTGCCCTATGGTGGTCTGGACTCAAGAGAGCTGGCTTGGACGCTATGCTGAGAACACTAGGGGCAGGTCTGGCCCTGGGAGCAAGTGTGCCACGGTTCATCAGTGACATCTGCCTGGGGCCAAGCAGAACTTGTGCTGGTCAAATAGCAAAGGATGAAGAGAAGGAAAAATTCTACACACATGGGAACCATGAGTCTCCAGCATGGATAAATAAGACTGTAATTACCCCTCCTTAGCCCCCACTCGCTCCTCCAAAAAAGCTTTCTGGAGGAAACAGACAGCAGAGCAGACATTTCATGCAAACTGGTCTCTTTTCATTACAGGAGTTTGCAGCAAAAGATCAGACTTCATCTAGAGAGCAAGAAACTCTCTATTCTATCACCAAGAATGTATTCTATAGCAGGAAACTGGGGGAGGGCATATCGGGACACAGTTGAAAAGCCGGGGAGGAGGAAGGTTCAGAAGTGACAAGTTTCTAATGACTAATATCTCGGCAGGAAGTGAAAATCTCAAAAGATGTTATCAACTTTGCAGCAGCTGTCCAAGTTGGGGGGTGGGCAGGGGTTGGAGGTGACCTGGCAGCCCAGCCGGTCCCCTGCCCACCCGCACCTGACAAAATCCTCTCTGTCCAGCCACACTTGCCTCCAATGCCTTCCTCAAACCCCTCCGCCGGCAATGATCACTTCCTCAGCAATCAGTGCCCCCAGGCCCCTCTCTCGTGTCCCTGCCTGAGTCCCACACAGGGAACTGAGATCCTCAGGGTCCCCAGGGCAGATGCTGGAACATGCTCACCTCTGAATCCCCCCAGGGCTCTGCACAGTGTGGCCCACAGCAGATGCCTGCCAGCTGCTGGCTAAATGGAACTGGCTGCGGGGAGGAAGGCTCTGGTGAGAACAGAGGCTTTTTGGGACCTCCAACTAAACGCACCCTCCCCCATCTACAGTGTAAAGAACACTTTATTTCGAACAGCAATAAATCAGCATGCTGCATAAACCAGGAGCTTGGCTAGACACACTGTGTCTATTACCTCTCATCCTAACTCTTGCAGGCAGTAGCAGGGTTAAGTCCACCAGGTATCTGCTAATGCAAGGTCCATTTGATCAATAGGTATTTTTCATTGCTTGGAATATTGGAGTAAATGAGAGGGCTAAAGAGGTAAATATATGTCACATGTGTGTGTTAAGAAGCAAAATAAAGGAACATAGGAGGAAGTGACAGAAAACATAGCTCTTACAGACAGGTGGTCAAAGAGGGCCCTCGATGAATCGTCAGCTGAACAAAATGCGAGTGTAGGGAGGGTGTGAGCCAGGTGGACGGGTGGAACTGGAGAATCCCAGGCAGAGGGAACAGCCAGGGGCAAGGGGTTACAGCCAGAACAGGCCGTGCAGTCCTGCTGAGCACAGAGCCTGGGGTGGCCCAACCGACCTTTGAGGCCATTCCAACAGTCTGGCAGCATCTGCAGTGGTCTCTGCAGTCAGGCTCATTCCGAAGCCTCAGGAGGCACAAGGAAGTCTCACACAAGTAACTCACTGTGATCCCAGGGGTAGTTTAAGCTTGGGTTCCAGGCACAGATGACTGGTAGTGGTTACCTAGAGTTCTGTGTTGAGAAGGATTCTGAGGCCAGATCTGGGCTCAGAGACAAAGAGGGCCAAGATCGGTCAATGGTGCCTGTCAGAGCCAGGAATGAAGATGTGGTGACACTCCCTTACGGAGCCCAATGGGACAGGCACTGTAACACGTATGTGGTATACAACATGCCGAGGGGATGTGGGCAAAACACCAGGAACTCTCTTCACTAGTTACGAAGCTACAGACTGAGTTTCCTCTGCTAAACCAGCCTTACTCTTCGAGTCTCCTTCTTGGGCTGTGGGCTCCTGAGGGTGGTGATCTGGGCGGTCTCGCTCCCCAGGGCTCTCCCAGGGCCTGGCACACAGCAGGGCTCAGCCATCATTTGCCAAATGAGCTAATGAAGGGCCACAGGCCCCAGGGTTAGCATGCGCGCGTGTCTGTGTGTGTGTGTGCGCGCGCGCATGTGGGAGAGAGAGAGACAGGCTGTGTGAACAGCCTGAATCTAAAGGACTGGGACAGAAACAATGCCCTTCAATTAGACCAACTGGACCCCTGCTGTGTGAGGCTCCGACCTGAGGACTCCAAAAAAAATCAAATCAGATGAAGCTTATTCTTCCTTTTTTCCTTTAAGTAGGGAAGCTTTTCTTCAGATGTGGGTGAGGTGGGGAAGAGGGGGGTGGGCAGCGGAATCAAAGAGCGTTTTCGGGGAAGGAGGGAAGGGCAGGCGCACAGACCCGCCCCGGCACCTGCTCACGAGGCAGACCAGCTGCTCTGGCTTCCCCGCAGGGCCGGCCGAGAGCCCACACTTCAGGCAAATAAAAGCACCCTCACCAGCTGTTCCCATGGCCAAGCCAAGCAGGATGGCAGTCTGTGCCAGCCCTGCCTCGGCAGCAAGTGGACTCTTCCAGCCCAAGCCACGAGATGAGGGGAGACTCAACCCTGTCCGTGCCCGGAGCACCTTCCCTGTGCGAGGCTCCTCAGGGCGAGTGGGGGGCAAATGTCTCCTTCTGATCTGACCCTTTCCAGCAGGCATGCATCTTCTTGCGTTCAATGGGGCAGGTGCCGTAACTGTGCCCATTTTACAGAGGAATAAACTGAGATACAGACAGTAAGGATGTGCCCTGGGGTCACATGACTACAAGTGGCGAGGCTGGGGCTGGAAACGTAGACCTTCCAGCCCCGCGAGTTCACAGGAGAAGAGGCTTGAACCCAGTCAGCCAACAGCCAGCAGCCCAAATGTATCTGCGGAGGAGACCTGAGGAGCTGGCAGGCGCAGAGGACCCTTTAGGCTGTGGCAGCCAGGAAAGGCCACACTTGTCACTCCCGCTGCTGCCCCCCAGGACAGGGTGACGATCATAGGTCAGGCTTCTCTCCTGTGAGCTCAGAGCCTCCTGAAACACCCAGGTGCTCGTCGCCGGGCATATGCATGTCTGGCTGGTGGTGGGGGCGCTGTCTGCTCCTGCTCCCTGACCTTGGTCGCCATCTTCTGCGCTTTGCACACTCATGACTGCCTCGATTTTATATCCACTCATGTGTTCATTCACTCACCCAACAAGCGTTTAGTGAGCCCCCGTCCCCTCAAGGCATGTGCTAGGAGCCAGGGCGTTATAGTGAATGGAAACAGATAGGACCCCTGCCCCCCAGGAACCACAGTCAAGGTAGTGAGGGACTTTTATCCACCGCCGTCTCTGGAGAGCCCACAGGTGGGAACACAGCCCTGGTGGGGCACAGGGAGGCTCTAAACAAACATTTCCTGCATGAACGCAGAGGTGAGAAGGAATGCCGGGAAGCCTGCAGCTGGGCATCCTGAGAGCCACCTGGCAGCAGAGGCAGAGAGCAGAGATGCGGAAGAGTGGCTGGTGCTGTCTGTGGGGAGGCCCAGGGGTCCCCTGGATGGTGCCCTCCCATGGGGGCCACGCACCCCCAGGTAAGCCCAGTGTCGGTTCAGCCCCCAGCTGGCTGCCCACGACACCCAGGCCTGCCGAGGTAGGAAAGGATGTCTGTCTCTCAGTCACACTGCCGAGCCCCTGAGGTTAATATCCCAAAGTGACTGCCACAGCCCCGGCCACCCAGACCTGGGAAAGTGGGGCTGGCCCCAGGACATCGTGAAGAACTGCTCCGGGTGGGCAGACCAGCCACTCCACACCCACCCGAGCAAAGCTGCCTGCCCGCCCCCCCTCCCTAACCAACTGCCACAAAGTGGCTCTCACCCTGTGTCCACTGAGACACTGGTCTTGAAGAAAGGAGAAAAAACAAAGAGAAACAGAAACCATGAAAAAGCACCCCCACCTGAACAAACAAGCTCATCCCACCTCAGACTGCCTGCCCTGAGCTTTTCTCAGGAGGAGGGGGTGGCAGTGGCCACTGAGGGCTGGCAGCATCAGTTGCCAGGGACAGGGCATGGGTGCCACGCGAGCCCTTCCACCCATTCCTGTGTGGCAGGCTGAGACATGAGCTTACTCTTCCACCGCGGAGCTCCCAGCCTGAGGCCTGCTGTGAAGATGACAGTTCACGCGCATGAGAGCCGGAGCGATGGTGCTGAACTGCTGACGATCTATGCCACTTAGCTCTGAGGTCGGCAGGCGCGGTTATTCACTCCCTGAACCAGCGAGCAAGTGGAGTTCAGGGGGTTAAGGGATGCACCCCGGCCACCCGAGCATGGGACGCATCATGGGACTCGTCGTCAGTTCTTGAGAGTCCAGATCTCTTGCTAAATGCAGATGGCCCCCCCCCGGTGCCACTTCAAGGTTCTGACTTTTTTAACCCACAGGATTCACAGTATAATCATTATGTACCCAGAAGTGCTAAGAACCATGGTGGGGAGGGTTACAAGATGCACCCCTGAGAATTATGTTCATCTGTGAGTAACAAAGACCTTAAAAATTGTGACTTACACAAGATTGAAGTTTCTCAGGAGACAGGCAGCCCAAAGCTGCTATACGAGCCCCCCAGTGCTGGGTGTCAGGGACCAGTCTCTGTCTGGTTGCCCCTCTGTGGGGACTGGACCTCCAGCCATTACGCTGCAGTGCGTGCAGCAGGAAGGAGGAAGGGGGAAGGGAGGCGCGCTGCCTCCTCCTTCTAGGAAGGCTTCCCAGGAGCACACGACGCTGCTCCATACATGCCATGCAGCCACATGGCACTGCCTAGCTGAGGGGAGACTGGGGGTTCTTTAAGTAAGGAAGAAGAGGAGAGTGGTACAGAATTGGGCAGAAATCTGCCACATTAGAGGAGATAAAACATGACCTCTGGCCCTGTGGAGATTACCAGCTCATTAAAAGACACACGCACATGTGGAAATGATTAGTGGGTGAGGCCATCTATAACAAGGCAATAATTGTGTGACACAGATAGGAAACAGTAGTTGAGGAAGTGCAAAGCCGCAAGCTGGCAGAGGTCACTACAGCCAGCAGGCATCCTGAAGTGGGGAGGCCTGAGCTGGAGGGACAGGGGGTGACAAGAGAAGCAGGGGAAAGAGTAACTGGAAAAGCAGACTCCACCCCCTCCCCCAGTGAACGCCAGGCCATCACAGCCTCAGCTAAACCAGCTTGGGGCCCGGGGAGCGCTGGGCCTGACATGCAGGGAACTGGGTTAATTGTTCATGGCAGTCCTTGGCTCGGGACACTCATCTTTGGTTTGCACATGGCCCACTTCCACTTAGTCACTTTTCACAATGTAATAACCACCTGCACACCCACCAGCTGAAACAAAGGCTAGGGCCTTGACAATAACCTACAGCCAACCAGATGGCGCCCCCAGCACACTGCCACCTCCTGCCACCCAAGACACCAAAAACGGAATGAGAAGTACACATTCCCATGCTCTTTTTTATGTAGTTTTATTGCACCTGTAAATTTTCCTAGAGAGTACAGTCATTGTAGTTGCTTTTAACTTTATTTTTAAAAGGCATAGTGCTGTAAGTCATCATTGGGAACATGCTATTTTTACTAATATTTATGATATTGCCAGAATCCACCTACATCACTGAAGTTATGCTGCAGTTAATGTGTTTGGACAGCTGTATAATATTCCATTGTGTGATCGTGTCTTCGTGTATTCATCCCTTCTCCCACTGATGGGCATCTGGGTGGCTTCCAGGTTTCTGTTATTGTGTGCAGAAGGGCTGTAAAGTCCCAGGCATCCATGTGCAGAAGTTACTCCGGGATACCCTTAGGAGAGAAATCAGCTGGGCCACAGTACGGTGTGTGGATGTGGAACTTTAGGCTTTACTGCCGGAGAGTTTTTCCAAAGTCAGCACAGCAATTTGCATTCCCACCAGCAGCTGAGGAAAAGCAGAACAGCAAAAACTTGCGACACACTGGAGGCCCACGAGAGTTCTGATCCCTTCTCTGACCCCTCATGTTACTGGTCCCTTGACAGGGAGCAAACAGACGCACTATGACCCAGCATCACAAACTAATGTGTGGAAAGGCTGGGTCTTATCCCCGAGCCAACCTGACTCAAACCCCAAGCTCCTGGCACCAACGCCTCCCATGCCTCAGGGCAAGAAGCCACAGGGGGAGGCAGCTCTGAGAGGCAGAGGATGAGGTTGCAGTCAGAGGATCACATCAAGATGGACACCTCCAGAGGGTCAAGTTCACGGTCAAGGGCTGAAATGCAGACACTCCCAGACCTGTGTGTACAGGATGTGGCCTTGGCCACCCGGGGCAGCTAGGAACTGGGCCCACACATGTGCTGTTGCAAGGTCTTCTACTCCGGTGTTTCTCACTCCATGTTTACTGCCTGATTCAGGTGCCTCCAGGGGATCACACGAGCAGAAGTGGGACGCTGACGGTGCCTCCTGGGGTAGGAACTCCGGCCTCAAGCTCACCTTCTTCCACTCCGCCCCAGCACCCATTCTCCTTGCTGGCTGTCAGTGCCACTCCCAGAAGAGCCCACAGTGATGGCCTTCCATGGCCAGGCCTGGCAGCCACACCCCGTGCCCGGGCCTCCTGCGGGGGTGTCTTGTTCACTGTCCACTTCCACTGGGTTTGTTTGAAGCCAATGCGAAAACTCAAACGCTGTGTCTGCCCGCAAGAAGTTTAGTTACCGGAAAAAGGGTCTATCCTGAAAACAGGATGAGAAGATTTTACTAAAGGAAAAGGCGTTTGGGGGCTGAATACAGGCTCACTACGGGGATATCGAAAGGGGTAAAACTGTTGGGAACTGCGCGAGCCCACCGTGAGAACCAACTCCACGCTGAAGGTCCTTTCTCCTTACAGGGGTGTCTCCCTTGCCAGCTTCCGGAGCAGGGTCCTGAGACAGTCAGGGTCCCTCCCCCACCTCATTCATTTCCTCATATTTGTTTTCCCACATATATGTTCAATCAATATTTGTCTAGTAAAAACAAAACTCACATTACTATTTATGCAAGAGTACAAATAACCTTTGTAAAACTGTTAATAATAGGATTCGGCTATCTTGGGGCGGCTGGACATACTGCAGCTTTTCAGAAAACCTTACATAAAGCACACCAGTGTTCAGCTAGGAGGCGGCAGCAGCAAAGTCCCAAGAACACAGTGCTGGTGTAGGAGTCAGGCCCGCATCTCTCAATAGGTAAATCAGTTTTTAGAAGAGCGCCAAAAATTACATGCAAGCCAAAAAGTTGTCATTAGAATTCTATACACTTTAAAAACATTTTTATTGTGAAAAGTCTCAAATGCAAATAAAAGCAGACAGTACAATAAGCCCCTGTATACCCTCCAATTCAACAACAAGCAAGATTGGCTCCATCTTTTTTCCCTTTGCTGTAAAGGGAAAGAATTTTAAAGCAAACTCCAGCATCATGTCATTCCACTTCTCCATCAGAATGTGCCTCTAAAGAATATTGGCGTTTTCTTACATAACCACAATTACATGCTCTGAAGTTGTTTTTTTTTCCCCTATGTGCCTCTTAAAATGAAGGCCTCTGTATGTGTTTGGAGGCCAGCCCAGAAGTAGGAGACAGAGGGAAGGGGCGGGGGAGACCATGGAGAGAGAACTGTGTTGGTGGAAGCTGCAGTCCCCAGGGAGCGTTTGTGATTTGCACGCCCCGTATCCTCCCTGTAGTCCTCCCTTCTGTGACTATAACCACTAACCACCAGCCAAGGAGAATGGGAACTTGGAAGGCTGACAACGTGGCCCACCAATCCGGTAAGGGTGTAATAGCATTGCTGGTGGAAAAATTTAAGTAACTCTTCTAAGTGCCAAACTGATGCCCCTTCCTGCAAGAAAAATGGACCACAAACAGGGCTGTGAAGCAGTGTGTGCCCTGGTCCACCCTCTGTTTAACCCACTGAAAGCCACTGGTCCCATTACAGGAAAGGTTACCTCCATCACTCAGGGGCTCCCAGAGAAGCACCTGTGGGTGGGCAGAACTGAAAGGTGTGGGGCTTTCCCGGTACGGTCTGAGTCTCCTGTCCCCCAGCTTGTCCTCTGAAGGAGACTGTGACCCACCAGACCCCTCACACATGCCCGTGAGGGGGTCAAACTCCAAATCTCAAACAACCTGTGCACAGGGTACTGGGGACACAGATGTGACCAACCAGCCCGCAAACTTGGGGAGGAATTTTTTGGGTTTAGGATGTGATCTTCTCTATATTCTCTATGCCCACGAAAGTTGCATCCTCTTCCTGCTACTGAAGAAAAATGCTTTAAAACTTGACCCAAGAAGAGAGCAGGCAGCAACACTTTCTGCCCCAGGTGGCCCCTGCAGGGGACTGCAGACTGTCTTCCATTCAAGCCGGGCCTTTTGGCCGGGTGCGGTGGCTCATGCCTGTAATCCTAGCACTTTGGGAGGCCAAGTTGGGTGGATCAATTGAAGTCAGGAGTTCGAGACCACCCTGGCCAACTTGGTGAAACCCCGTCTCTACTAAAAATACAAACAATTATCTGGGCATGGTGGCGCGTGCATGTAATTCCAGGTACTTGGGAGGCTGAGGCAGGAGAATCGCTTGAACCCAGGAGGCAGAGGTTGCGGTGAGCCAAGATCGTGCCAGCCAGGGCAACGGAGCAAGACTCTGTCTCGAAAAACAAAAACAACAAAAAACCGGCCCTTTCTTGCGAGACTCAGCTCACTCCTCTCTCCAGTCCGAGCCCACCTCCCTGCCTCCTTCTTGATGCCTTCCACGGTGTATTTTCTGAACAGCCCATTTTATCACGACATCTTGTCTTCATTGTTTCACACTTTGACTCATCCTCTACTAGGATAGGTTCTGTAATGTCAGGGAAGTAGAAAGAGCACTGGGTTGGATCTCAGCAGCCTTAGGTTTAAGTTTCAGACCCGCCATTAAATACAGAGACAAGTCACAATTTCTCTGGGCCCTGGTTTTCTCATCTGTAAGATGAGAGATAGCAAACACTGTGTATGGAGCGCTACTGTCCACCTCCTGCCCCCACAGCAGACATCACTAATTGATGAAGCACTCTTTTCCACAAATCTCAACGCAGAGGCCTCATAATCCTTCTCAACACAGCCCTCTGGGCAGCCACAACCAATCAACTCAAGATTAAACCTATCTGCCACTCCCTGGACCAGGTGGTTTCCAGAGACCCTTTCAACATGGCGGGCCCCATGACACAGCACCTTGGAGATTATGCAAAACATGAGAACACAATCTTTCCCCAGCTTATCTGGACTCTAAATTGGCCTTCTTTGTCAGGAATAACAGACCCTGAAAGGTTCTTCAAAGTCAGGTCCCTAAGAAAGCTGTTCCATCTCCAGCTCAGCGTGTTTCCCTTTGTTCTACAGGACATGGGTCCTACAGACACCATCTAGCAGGTGAGGCAGAGATGACCCAGAGAAGACGGAGAAATACACAACCACCAAAGCTGGGGATGAAATTAAATCTGACCTCAGCCCAAGAAGTAGGTACAGGCATGCATAGATGCTCCCAAGGACTACCTGGCCTCCTACAGAAAATTCAAGGGACGACCTTGTCTGCTTGGATTTTTGGCACAGACTCAAGCGAACACTCCAAACCCAGGCTACGCACCCGCTTTAAAATTCTCTGCTTTATCTCCTGCAATATAAAGACTAGGGCCTCTCAGGGCCCAGGTGTCATCTGATTGTGCCTCTTTAACAACCAGTGTCACAGGCCCCGGAAATCTGAAAAGCCCTGGGCTGTGACCCTCATCCTACTTACCCAGGAGGCTACAAAGCAGGGGCCTGTCAGTCACTATCCCTCCTTCCATCCTCCAACTCTGGGGTTGCTCCTGCCTCCCGCAAAGCCTCATCTTAAAGCCAGATCCTACTGAAGGACCCCAGGGCTCCAGTGCACCCCTTCCCAGCACCTTCCAGCCCAGTGCCTTCCTGCATCACTGCAGCCTCCAGCTTTCTTATAGAGCCCTATTCTCCTCACCATCTGTAGACTTGGAGCTGGGGAAGCTGCTTCTCAAAGGTAAGAGAGTCACCCCCTCGAACCCTGGCTCTGCCAGGCCTGGAGTGCCCAGGGCAATCCGTTCCACAGAACGGCTCATCTCCCAAGGAGACTGCCCAAAGCCCAGGCTGGCCATGCTGCCGTGGGGGGCCCAGCCAGGAATCTCAGGGGGCCATGAACAGAACCCCCAAGAAAGACTGTCGTTGTTTCCACCAAACACCACTACTTTGATCAAGGCCTCCTCCCCAGCACCAAGGAATGAGAAAGCCCCTCCCTCTTTCTGCTTGGGCACTCAGATGTCCGGGAGCCAGGAGGAAGGGGGTGGAGAAAGTGGGGAGCCAGGGACACTCTGCCTCCTCGGAGGTCGCCAGGCACTTATTAAACTGTCTCATCCTTGCTGGCTGAGGATACTCCACGAGGTATCGGTTTACTTTGCAAAACCAGTTCTTGCTGCTTAATAGTGTGGGGACCGGATGAATGGCCAGTTGGAAACCAGACACCCCTGGGAACAGCCCCATTCCTGGGGAAAGCAAGCACTGGGAAAAGACACAAGGACTCCCGCAGGTCACAAACCATTTTATTACCCACATTGTGCTGTGACAGGGAGGGGTCTCCAATGAAGAGGACCTAGCACTGGAAGGTGATAGCCCCAGAAGAGAAGAGGCTTCTTTCTCACTGTGAGGCAGAAACAAATTTATCTGTATGTAAACTTTTCCAGTAATGGGTGATGCTGTGACACCTGCAGAAAGCAGCCTCCCTCTGTTACTACTATAAACACCCATTCTGCAGGCAGTGTGAGGGCACAGCCTTCTGGAGTGCCACACCTGGGTACCACGGCACACTGGTGCATCCCGGGAAGATGTTCCTAGGGCACCACATCTGGGTACCAAGAGGACTGGTGCATCCAATTAGACCGAGGTGCAAAAGCCAATGCGTCAACATCCAAGCCATGAAGATTATCCAAAAACTCTCAGGTGGAGGCTAGGCGTGGTGGCTCACATCTGTAATCCTAGCACTTTGGGAGGCTGAGGTGGGAGGATCGTTTGAGTCTAGGAGTTCGAGACCAGCCTGATCAACATAGCGAGACCCCCATCTCTCTTTTTTTTTTTTTTTTGTATTTGAAATTTTTATTTTAGGCTGCAAAAACAAAAACAAGCAAACAAACAACAAATAACTTGAAAATAGGCTTGTCAAATGATGTAAATTCATCCTTTCCAGGGAAGCGGAAGGTAGACCATCCTGCTTCACTGCTGCTTGCACTCTGTTGGGTTTTGATCCTTCTTTGGGTCATAGTCTGGATCATTTTCCTCATCTCCTCCTTCTTCCCCTTCCTCATCTGCTTCTTCACCTTCTTCATCATAATCATCACCCCATCTCTTAAAAATAATAAACCAAAAATTCTCAGGTGGAAAAACTATGACCTTCACTATTGTGCTGCACACTACGCACTGGCACCGGGAGGAAAGGGTGGCCAGCCTACCCCAACTGCACACCTGGGACGCCCATCAGCTGCTCTCTCCAACACGTGCGGCTGCTCTATGGTGCAGGGCCAGCTGGGGAACCAGGCTTGTCAATGTGCTGCGAACAAGCCCAGTGTGCTGCTGGACTCCGGATCCTGGAGTCCTCCCCCACTCCCTTCCTGGCCACAGACAGCCCCAAGGGTGGATGAAGCCCACGGGTGATGCTCCAAACCCTGACCCTCAAATCCACAGCACGGGGGTGGTTCTTAGGGCACCATCCACCCAACGGCAAAGGATACTACAGTTCCCATCCTCTAAAGATGACAAACTTTTTCCTTCCAAAGCACATTCTCCCCATGAAGAAATGCAGTGTGATCCCTCAGATCCCTGGAAGCCTTTTCTAATGAGCCACATGGTGAGACCGGCACTACCAATCCTTTTCTAAGACAGACAAGGTCCACCAGGACACAGCACGCTCAGGTAGTTTTACTTTGAGGTTTGGGTGTGCTGCTCTGCAAGACCCCAAAGCACACAGAGCCCACGTGGAAAGTGTCACCCACCGGCCAGGAGGTTTACCTAAGAAGTCTACCAATGAATGCCAGCCCACCGCAGCCAGGGCCCCAACACACCTTTCCATCTCTACCCCAGACCCAGGGTTCTCTCACCCCACAAGTAACTTTAGCACAAGAAACGCCCTCATGGCATGTACTCCCCACCACCCCCACCCCATCAGGCCTCGATTCTGACAGACAGCAGCACCCTGACGCATATTACGAAGGTGGGAGCCTCCTACAGCCTCAGTGAGAAGGTTCCCAGGAGGAGGAGCTAACACAGTGCCAGATGTCTCGCAGCTTGCCCAGCCCTGGGAGGTGAGGGTTTCCGTGCCCACTTGGCCCACAGAAAACCTGTGTTTGGAGAAGGGCCTCAGGTCACAAGGTGGGCGGCAAGGCCAAACTCGGACATCAAAAGCTGGTTGCCCCTCTTTGGTAGTCCAGGGTGTGCCGAACAGGGGGCTAGATATTCCAGGGTTTTAAAAGCCTGCTTTTGACCAGGTGTGGTGGCTCACACCTGTAATCCTAGCACTTTGGGAGGCCAAGGTGGGAGGACTGCTTGAAACTAGAAGTTCCAGACCAGCCTGGGCAACATAGCAAGACCCTGCCTCTTTAAAAAAAAAAATAATTAATTAAAACTAAAAGCCTGCTTTTGTCCTGGGTGGGGCACAGGGCTTGCTGCCTATGACACATCTCCACCTCCTAGGAGAACTGTCCACATGCATTTCTATATCAGAGGCCACACAGTACAGAGAAAAACATTGGGCCAGGAGCAGAATGGCCTGTATTCCAATTTCAGGTCTGACACTCACTAGCCATGTGTGACCCTGAGCAAGCCAGTTAACATCCCAGGGCCTCATTACCTATCTGTAAAATGGGGACAATACTTCCTGAACCATCTACTTCACACTCTTTATAGATCCTGTGATGACTGAGCTCTTTCTATGATGAGCCAACAATTTAAAAAGTAGAGCAGGCCGGGCGCGGTGGCTCACGCTTGTAATCCCAGCACTTTGGGAGGCCGAGGTGGGTGGATCACTTGAGGACAGGAGTTCGAGACCAGCCTGGCCAACATGGTGAAACCCTGTCTCTACTAAAAATACAAAAAAAAAAAAAAACAAAAACCTAGCTGGGCATGGTGGTGGGTGCCTGTAATCCCAGCTACTCGCGAGGCTGAGGCAGGAGAATCACTCAAACCCAGAAGGCAGAGGTTGCAGTGAGCCAAGATCACACCTTTGCAGTCCGGCCCGGGAAACAAGAGTGAAACTCCATCTCTAAATAAATAAATAAACAAATAAACAGTAGAGGAGACCAATGGTAGAACCGACAGGGCCTGTGCACATCTGCGCATGCCACACACACACCTGCCACGGTGGCCATAGTTCATTCGCCACCCCAATGTGCGACCCTGCTCTGGAAGCTGACAGTCTCCATGCTCGGGCCAATCTGTGTGTTTTCTGCTCATGCAGCTTGCATGCCACCTTTTAGACTTTCCACCATGGCCGAGCCCAGTGTTGGACGTGATTGTTCAAATGGGAGGGAAGCCTTGTGGATTCCATCTTAGAGGCCAGCACACTTTCTCCTCACGCCCAGCGCCAAAACAGCCCTGGGCTCTGCATTCATGGGCTATGACCCAGGCTAGCCCCACTTTAGGGGCTTGGGACCAACTAAGTCATCTCTGCCAGAGAAGGTAGCCAGGACCCACCACAATGAGGTAGTACTGGGCATCCTCTGTGATGAAATGCAAAAGTGGTGGTAATTGTTAATATTTGTGTACTAAGCGCCCAGCACCATTCTAAGTATTTTAAATATACTAACTTATTTATCCTCAGTCTAATCTAACCTTGTTGTGATTCCCACTTTATGAATGTGGAAAATGAGGCATAAAGATGCAGAGTGACTCGCCCAAAGTGGAATCAGCTTTTGGCGCAACTGTCCACATCCAAAACGCACAGCCTAACACAAGGACTTGTTCTGGGAAAAGAAAATCAACCACGGGGCTCTAAACACACAATGTTTACGCAAAGATAATTTAACTCCTTTATAGAACTGACAGTCAGTTTCAAGGGGCTGAGCTGTGTTACTGAACCTCTCAGCTCCGTTCCCACAACCACAGAACCTCTACGGGTTGTCATGGAGAGTGCCAACGTCCGGGCCATGGAGGTTTGGCGAATTGGCTCAGATGACGGTTACACTCCGCTGCGTCTTCTTCCAAAGGCCCAGTCAGGCCAAGCTACCTCCGCAGCATGTGTGGCGGGAACCACACACGATATAGACAAAACTGCTCCCAGGAAGGCAATGACAGTTGCCGCCTATAAGAGCTCTCTTTCTGTTGCCCCCAGATTTCCAAAGCCAGATGGAAACTGACAAACCTGAACTCTCTTGCCTGCTGGGTTAGGCCCTGGACAAAGGCACTAGGAGGCAGACTAGACAGGCCTCCTCCCGTCGCTCTGACCACAAGAAGTGCACGGGCCAGCTGTCGCCACTCCAGGGAGTTTCCACAAGGCTTTATGCAGCCACAGGAAGATTCCTGGTTGATGCCTGACAGGGAAACAAGGAAAGGAGGGAAGGCAGCACCCTGAGAGACAAGAGCCGAGATGCTGATGGCATGGACAAAAACCACTTAATGGCCCATGTTTCAGTTTTCTTGTTGGCTAAACGAGGAGCAGCTTGGGCAGGATCAGCAGTGCCCAACCCTGGCTGCACGTCGGAATCACCTCAGACAACGGCTTTTAAATAATACTGACAGCCAAGCCCACTTGGGCCAGTTAAATCAGAAACCCTCACTCTACAAGGGGTGGGGTCCAGACAATGCATTTTAAGGGCTCCCCATTGGTTCTGCCTTGCGGCTGGGGATTCAGGTCCCTGCAAGCTTGAACATTCCACTGCTGAGCGAAGCCACACACCATCAGGACTTGCTCTGAAACCATCCCCCTTAGAGTCACCATCAGCCTAAACACAGAGGAGCAGTTACCACGCCCCAGCGATATCCCCACTGTGCTGCGGCCAGCAAGCGGGAGACGGCCAGGGTGTGAAGGGCCCTAACCAATGTATGACCAGATTTCTGTCATCTGTCACACAGAAGTGAGCTCCAGCTCTGCTATTAACTCACCATGTGGCCTCAGCCCACCCCCCGCTCCACCTCCCATGTAAAATGAGGGGACTGGGCCTCGTGGCTCTAGGCTGCCTCGGCCCAGCTTCTCAACGTTCTTGACACTGATGCTACAGCCTCCAGGCCTCAGGTGCTCAAGGCCCAGGCAGGTACCAGGTAGCGCCTGTTCTGGAAACGTCCAGGGCTAAGGTGTCTGCCATAGCAACACTAGATCCCTCTTTTCCTGAGTGACCTGAGCTATAGCAGCCTTGAGCAGACGGTGACCGCGTCTGCTGCCCAGAGCTTAACTCAGACGCTCACAGTAAGCTCTCAAACTGATGTATAAACAAGAAACACACACAGCGAGCTGTCAGCCACTCGCAAAACAGAGAATGACTTAAAAAGGATCGAAACACTCAAACACGTGACATTTCAACCAAACACAGACTGAGATCCGCTCTAACTGTGGGCCATGACTCAAGCACACTTGCAGCGAGGGATGTGAACTTCTCCCTTTGGGGCTGGTGGAAAGGACTTCCCTGGGTATTAATAGCCCTCAGCTGTCCCCACGAAAGCCACAGATTCCCTTCCAAGGGAAGGGCCACAGGCTCCGCAGGGAACCCTGAAGCACCTGAATGTGCTGAGGTGGCAGGATGGTGCGTGAGTCTCTGTCTTCTTCAGACCCCATCATTCATGTGACAAAAACAAAAGACAGAAAATAAAGCACCGAGGGTCCTGATTCTGCTCAGCCTGTCAGAATATTAGTCTGCACGCCAGCCCAACATGAGGTTCAAGG
Source organism: Homo sapiens (assembly GCF_000001405.40). Classification (NCBI taxonomy): domain Eukaryota; kingdom Metazoa; phylum Chordata; class Mammalia; order Primates; family Hominidae; genus Homo; species Homo sapiens. Next base: position 91,389,074 of record NC_000014.9, read on the forward strand.
GAAACTGAAGTACACAGAGACACTCCTGTCCCCCACCTGAATGAGGAGCCAATTAGTTCATCTGAAGACCTGCCTGGCCCTTATGGCCTCAGCAGCTACTGGTCAAGTGGAGTGGGGGTAGTTTACAAACCAGGGAGGGACAGGTACGGTGAGGAGGGAAAATGGCTCCATCCAGGCTTCCTCCGAGTCCAAACGTTAAGAGAAAAGAGGGTCATGGGCCCTGACCTCTGCTCCATCCTCCTCCTGGCCTTCCCGGCTTCCCCAGGGGAAAAGTCAACAACTGCTCTTGAAGATGTGATTCCAAGTTCAAAGTCAAGGTCACTGACCCCAAAGGTTTCAAGTAGAAAGGGATGCTTCCGTGTCTGACAGTTTAGTCCTGCTTGATTTAAGCATGAGCTTCTAAAAAGCTTTGCTATCCTAGGACTATCCATCATCAACAGGAGTACCTTGGCTGCTGGGGCTTAAGAGGAATTGCTTTGATGTGGAAAAACCTCTATGCTGACTCCAAGTGAAAAAAGATTTTTGGCTGGGCGTGGTGGCTCACATCTGTAATCCCAGCACTTTGGGAGGCCGAGGCAGGAGGATCACTTGAACCCAGGAGTTCCAGACTAGCCTGGGCAACACAGCAAGACCCTGGCTCTATTTAAAAAATAAAAAAAAAAAAAGAAAGAAAAAGAACGAAAGAAAGAAAAAAAAAGAGGAGAAAAGCTTTTTCTTGGCCAGGCGCGGTGGCTCACGCCTGTAATCCCAGCACTTTGGGAGGCCGAGGCGGGCGGATCACAAGGTCAGGAGATGGAGACCATCCTGGCTAACACGGTGAAACCCCATCTCTACTAAAAATACAAAAAATTAGCTGGGCGTGGTGGCGGGCGCCTGTAGTCCCAGCTCCTCGGGAGGCTGAGGCAGGAGAATGGCGTGAACCCGGGAGGCGGAGCTTGCAGTGAGCCGAGATTGTGCCACTGCACTCCAGCCTGGGCGACAGGGTGAGACTCTGTTTCAAAAAAAAAGAAAAAGAAAAAGGATAAAAAAAAAAAAGAGAAAATATAAGAAATGCTGATGAGTCCTGCTCAATGAGCCATGGTTACTTTGTTCCCTCAGTGGAGCAAGTTGCTACTTTCAAGGCGGGGCTGGGGTTCCAAACCCCTTATGATGACTGTCACACACATTCTTAGTAGATGCCCGATTCTGCTCCTTGACACAGATTTAAGCACGGCGTCTGGCACATAGCCATATGTTCCACAGAAACCCTCCATCCGCTTAATTTATGCTTTTGGCATCTCCACCTCGTTATCAGACTGGAGAGGGTGGGGACTCTTCTCACTCAGTGCAACACCGAAAGTATGCCCCGTGCTCTGTGCTAAATGAAGAAAAACCAAGCTGGCATCTCAGAGGCGCTCCTGTTCATTAAAGCCTCCCATCACAGAGAACACTGGGGCAGTGACGCACAGGCTGCCACAGGGCCCTCACCCCTCCAGCCTCTGGGTTTTCTAACTAACTGTTCCAAGTCAGTGTTGTGGGTCACCAGGAGGCAAAGTCCATGGCCAGCCCACTGCACCTTCCCAGTGGCCAGTGGCCATACCAAAGTCGCCTTCCAGGTACACATGCGAAAAGCCAGTGGCTGGTCCCATCCTATTACAGGATTCCCAGAGCCTAAGGGAGTTACAAAGAAAAAAAAACCCAAACAACAGATTCCAAAGCCCAGAGAATGGGGTGGAAGCACCCCACTTCCTTTACCTGGTCTCCCATCACCTATCAGAACCAGAGAGCGCAGAGGACAGGGGTCTCCAGAAAGGAAGAACATGGATTCGGTCCTCAGGCTCACCACTTCCTTGTTTTAAGGTCTTGGGCTCTGGGACAAGGTTCCCAGGGTCCTTGGTTTCTCTGAACTTCTGTCTCCTCATCTTTGAGATGAGAATAAATGCCACCTAGTGAAGGTGAAGACTGAAATGGGAAGGAAGTAAGGATTCTTAGCAGCAGTCCTAACACCCACTGCCTTCAACACCAAGCGCTTAACACAATGGCAGCCACACACCAGAATGTTCTAGAAGCCTGAGAAGCTTGCCCATTCACTGGCACCTGTGTGTTGAGCCTCATGCTGGACCCAGGGAATGCAGAACACAGTTCTTTTAGTTTACCATCATCCTCACAGTACAAACTCTCTTCCTGCTAAAAACAAAACAAAACAAAAAAAAAAACCCACTGGGTGCCCGTTTTTAATTGTGGTAAAATATGCATAACCTAAAAAAAAGCTTAAAATGGTTAAGTTTTAAGTGTACAGTTCAGTGGCATTAAATACATTTATGCTGTTGTGCAACCATCCCCACCATCCATTTCTAGAACTCTTTTCATCTTGCAGAACTGAAATTCTGTACCCCTTACACAAATAACTCTCTGTGTTTCTTGCTTTTTAAAAGTCAGAAGTAGGCCGGGCACAGTGACTCACACCTGTAATCCCAGCACTTTGGGAGGCCGAGGCGGGCAGATCACTCGAGGTCAGGAGTTTGAGACCAGCCTGGCCAACATGGTGAAACCCCGTCTCTACCAAAAATACAAAAATTATCCAGGCGTGGTGGCGTGTGCCTGTAATCCCAGCTACTCGGGAGGCTGAGGCAGGAGAATCGCTTGATCCCAGGGGGCTGAGGCTGCAGTGAGCTGAGATCATGCCACTGTACTCCAGCCTGGGTGACAGAGCAAGACTCCGTCTCAAAAAGAAAAAGAAAAAAGAGGCAGCTTCCTAAAAGACCAGAAGTTACATGTTCCTGAGTGTACTATATTCCTTTTTCTTGTTTTTAAAATTTTTACTCTACTCTGGAGCTGAAAGTCCGCTTTCCAGCTACTTTCTTTTTTTTTGGAGACGGAGTCTTGCTCTGTCGCCCAGGCTGGAGTGCAGTGACGCAATCCAGCTACTTTCTAAACTCTTTCCAACTAAATCTGAACATACACTTGGATCTCAAAGTTGCCTCATGAGTTCACTCCCTGGCTCCATTTGGCTGTTCCTGACTCTCTAGTGCCTCTGGGGCCTCCAGGGTAGCAGCTCCCATGGCCACCATGACAGCTGCTCCCACTGACCCTGTTCCCACGAACACGGCCACCTCCAGAGGTTCCAGCTCTCCCTTCCTGAACCTGTACCTAGGAGGAGTTCAAACAGACCCAGAACTTAACATGCTCTATAAACTCTGGCTTCAGATCACCCTTTCCTACATGCCACCCCCAACCCTGCCAAAACAAAACAAAAGCAACAACAAAAATCCCTATCCAGGAAACCTAGAGGTGGGAGTCGGTGGACATGGAGCTCCGAGGGGCTGGCTTCAACCACCCAGAGCAGGGAAGGACACCTTAATTAGGGCTAGAGGAGGAGAACCTTTTCAAGGGGAAAGAGAAACGAGAGAGGCTTCAGCTGGTCACATTTCCAATTCCTTTCTGTTCAAAAGGAATGAGATCAAAAGGCTTGTCAAAGTGGCTTTGCCTTTAGAAATCAATTTACCTCATCTTTTAAACCCAGAGCCGATAATAACCCAGGGTTTCCATACCAGCGATGCATAAAAGAAGGAACATTTTAAAGCCCAGCCCAGCCCGAGGACCTGGCCCTTTGGAGTTCTTGAAGGCAGCACCAGGGACCCCAGCAAGGGCGGCCCCTCACTGCAACCCCTCACTGAGCCCCCTCACTCTCACCACGCCCCTCACTCTCACCGCGCCCCTCACTCTCACTGCACCCCTCACTCTCACTGAGCCCCCTCACTGCACTTCCTGGGAGAGGCAGAGGCTGCCGGAGTCCCCGCCCTGAGTGAGTCTGCAATGTAGGGTGGGACACAGAGAAAACAAGTCAGGGCCAGGGGTGTGATGACGGCGATAATGATGTTAAATTCCAGAGAGTCCTCAAGGCCTCACATAGCGAAAAAGGAAAGGTGCTGGGGAAGGAGAAACTGCAAGGACAGGACGTGTGAGGCAGCGGGAGAGGGAGAGACAGTACCGGAGTCCGCTCCCGGAAACGGCCCCTGGGCACTGGGCTGGGCATTTCCCAGGCACCAATCGCTCACTGGCTCTCTCAGAATCACTGCAACCCAGGGAGGGGAGTGCAGTCATCACCCCCATCTGACAAAAGAGGAACAGGCTAGGAGGGGTTGGGCCGCTTGCCCCAGGTCACACCAGTGTCAGGGCAGCCCTGGAGGACAAGAGGAGCTGCCCCGGGAGAGGCTGAGCTGGGAGATGACAGGTCCAGGTGCCAGCTATTCTGTCCGCAAGTAGGATGGGAGCCCCCCCACCCCCTAAACCCCCAGCCCTGCAGGCAGAGGGGCAGATGAGGCAGAGGCAACCTGAGCGAATTCTACCTCCCGAAGGAAGAAACAAGGGCAAGGTAGGAGAAGGGGTACAGACAGAAGCGCCCTCCCAGACGGCCCACACCTCAGCCCCGATCTGGCTTCCTCTGAAGGTCTGGACTACCTGTTTTGGATTAACTGCCCCAGGTGGTTATCAAAATAGCCCAGAGTTCTCAGAAACCACCAACGCTTCCTTCTTCTGGCATCTAAGCTTGGGATACTCGCCTCTGCAACTTAGTCCATTTCCACCTGAAATATTCAACTTCCCAGCCTGTCCAACATGGTGAAACCCCATCTCTACTAAAAAATACCAAATTAGCCGGGCATGGTGGCCCATGCCTGTAATCCCAGTTACTCAGGAGGCTGAGGCAGGAGAATTGCTTGAACCTGGGAGACAGAGGTTGCAGTGAGCCGAGATCGCACCACTGCACTCCAGCCTGGGCGACAGAGCGAGACTCCGTCTCAAAAAAAAGAAATCAACTTCATGAGCTCTACTCCGTAAAATCTGAATGCCACAAATTCTCACCCTAAAAACAGGGTGCTAGAAGACCAATTGAGCACAAAAAGTGCCAGCTGCTCCGGAGTTTCTGTCCTTTAAGTAGCCACAATTCCACACTTTAAAGGCACGTAAATCTGACTTGCTGGGCAGAAGGTGAGCCTGTCTGGTTACTAAGGTTTGGAAAGGAGGCAAAAATTTTAGTCTTAAAATTTTAAAGTCATTCAGCCTAAACCTTAGAATGCTCAGGGGAGCCAAGCTGGCTAGACAAAGTTGAAAACAATCAATTTAATTTCCACCCCCCAGGGACTGAGCCTCCCAGTACCTGACATATGGCATTTCCATCAACAAAGCAAACACCACATGAAAAGCCTACAGGTCTGCGTGAAAACAGTAGGGGAGCCCTAAGCTCCAGCCCAGCCCCCTCACTGCATTGCACCTCCATACCGGTTTACCCCTGTTTACCCTCTAAACAGTCAGGGTCTGGGTCCCTGCCATGTGTCAGGGACACAGAGGAACAAGGCAGGCCCCATCCTCTAATTATTCAACAGTCTAGAAAGGGCAGCAGGTCGGGGGCACTTTGCAGGGTCATTTTAACCTAGAGACAGGATTCCCGGCCCAGGCCTGGTGTGACACCGTGCTCCCTGATTGTAATGACTTATTCTCTGAATTATTTACTCCACTGAATGGTGGCCTCCGTTGTTATGTATCTTGTCATTAACACATGCTGACTGACGGCAGACACATTTCCATGCTGGTGTGACAGACAAACAGAAAGATTCAGTGCCTGCTTTTAAGGAATTCTATTGCTGGTGAGGGATAAAATCATGAGGCTTCCTTTGATGAGATAATATGTGTAAGTCACTCAGCTTAAAATAAAACGATCATACAGGAGAAAAACGTGCAGGGCTAGAGACAGGCACACGTGCACACTCGCAAGATTAATCCAAATGAATCAGAGCGCATTACTCCGGGAGGGGTCCTTGGATAATCCGCTCAGTAACAAATGAACACAGAGTGGCCAGGGGACGGGCCTTGGGTGGGGGGCCTGCCTGCCACCCCTCTGCCAGACGGGTGGGCATCCTCCCCTCCCACCCACGTGTCCCCTGAGTACAAGGCCTTTGTAGAACCCCTCCTACAACCCTCCCAGGCTGGCACTATTAATATCTCCACTTTTCAAATAAGAAAGACTCTCAGAGATGAAGTAACTTACCCAAGGCCACAAATCTGAGGGGTACGCTCAAAGGAACCCACCATTCGACCTTGTGCCTCTGCAGATGGTGAGGCTCTTGGTTGTTTTTCCATTTCTATTTGGATTTGTGTCTCCTGCCTCCCAAGACCCCTACCTGCAAGTAACTGCCCCCTCCGCCTGCAGAATACAGGTGAACAAGTACGTCCCCTGCAGAGTCAGCCTGGGACCCAGAGCTGTCGCTATTATTATTCACTGATTAAAGAAACGTCTTGTGATCTCATTTGAGCCTCACAACCACCTATAAGGTAATTTTTACCCCTGCTCTACAGGTGAGGTTGGACGATGCACCCTAAGTCACACTGCTGGGAACAGTGAACACAAGCTTCTGGACCAGGGAAAGCGTTCAGGGACCCAAGCTGACACAGTGGCAGAGCTCTCATCATTCCTGCCTTCCCACCTCCCATTCCACCTTGTTCTCTGGCTTCACTTTTCTGGCCTTCGGGTAACCAAAGAAGTCACCCCACAGAGCTGGCTCACCCACTTCCACCAGGCAGTGGCTAACGTTATCCCCCAGCCGAGAAGGCAAACCTGCCTGCTCCCTCCCCAGGCCACCAGCCCCCAGGCCAGGATTGCCCAGCTGCAGCTAAGGAAAGCAACCAGAGGCTTCTCCCTAGAGCTGCAGTGTGCCCCATCTCTTCCCCTACAGAACACCCCTACATGTAGAATTACCACCCCTCAACCCTTAGCCTCCCCGAAACCCAATCCCAAACCAATAGAACCCTCCCAGTGGAACGTGGCAGCCTTGACTCTTTATCTGAAATCTCTGCCTCCCCCCTAAATACCACCAACTCAGAACTGGGGGTACAGAGTGCGGCCCCTTCAACTTTTACAGTACTGGCTGAAACCACCAATTTAAGACCAGCACTTCCTCATCCTCCTTCCCTCGACATTCCTCTCATTACTAGAAAAATAAGACGACAATTATATCGCGACAATTACATCTCGAAGGATCAAGGGGCCCTGGATGCCAAGGCGAAGCAGCAGAGAATCTCTGCCATTCCCCAAAGAAGAGCTGAATAACAAAAACTGTTACGAGCCCTGGAGGTGAGCCACGCAGCCGGCTTCACGGAGAGGCAGAGCCTGCCTGGGCAAGTTCTTCTTCAGAAACTCCTTTTGACAAACCAGTGAGAACATCAAACATGCTGATCCTGGCATCTAACACCAAACCCAAGGCAAAGGAGAAACCTCTGTTTTTTCTTTTTAACGACTTGAGAAATCCATTTCTCTCCTTTCTGTCACAAAAGGAACTGGTTCCTCCTGCCACTTCCTCCCACTTTGGCGTTTAGGGTATGTCCATAAAGTGAGCTGTGTTTCCAACCTTCATTCACGCCCGCATCACTCGATTCCCACAACACTCATCACCCACAAGTGCAGCTTTCAATCGGAGCTGAACGAGAGCTAACTAAGAATGAGCCCGACAAGCACCGGGAACACCAAGCACAGCTCACTCGCGGCTTCTGCAAGCTTAACATTCATCGTTTCAGCCATAATTTTTCCGGAAGCACAAATTCAGACCCCTTGCCCTCCGATCAGGGGATCACTCAGCTTCCACTCCCAGAAGCTTTGTTGCTTACTTTGTGCTCCCCAAGATGGGCTCATAAACACACATCTCTGTAAATAAATGGCCATGAATTAAGAAACAACTTCAGGAGTTCGAGACCAGCCTGGGCAACACAGGGAGACTCTGTCTCTACAAAAAATCAGAAACATAAATTAGCCAGAAGTGGTGGTGCATGCTGGTAGTCCCAGCTACTCGGGGGGCTGAGGCAGGAGGATTGCTTGAGCCTGGCAGGTCAAGGTCGAGGCTGCAGTAAGCCGTGATCGCACCACTGCACTCCAGCCTGGGCTACACAGAGCAAGACCCTGTCACCAAAAAAAAAAGAAAGAAAGAAAAAAACTTGAGCAAACGGTGAAAAAATCAATACTTGACATGGTAAGATAACCTGTATCAGAAACATGATTCTGGAACAAACACCAATAGGGGAGGGAGAGGGGCCTGGGGGAAGTCCCGATGTGTCAATGTCCAGAGGTGGGCAGGTCTCCAAGCAGACCCTGTGAGGCTGCATGTTCTGAGCATCTGGGCTCGGTGCTGTGCCCAACAGGCCCAGGCAAGGGGACAGCCACAGGGGCCTGGGTGGCATCCCCAACACCAGGAGTGAAAGCAAGACTCCTGAGCCAAACCTCCTTCCCGCAAAGGCTGAGGAAATGATGGCCGCTCCTGAAACAGGAGAAAAGCCCCAGCAAATCAAGGTCTTGACTCAAGTCCTAGAGAAGGAAGCCTCAGAGAACAGAAAGACTGTGTACACACACACACTCACACACACTCTCACACTCACACACTCTCACACTCATACTCACACACACACATTCTCTCCATCTCCTTGCCCTGGCTGAACTCCAACTCTGCTAATTACATCAAACCCACCTTTCGCCCTCTGCAACACCTGCAATTAACCCTGAATCTCTGCTTCCTGCCGCTCTGGGGTGAGGGGTGAAGTCTGAGGCCAGCTGCTCCCTGTTCCACCCTCCGCCCAACCCCGGAAGTTTCAGAGGTGCCTGAAGCAACCCGGTCCCTTCCTCTGGGCTCCAGGCTGGTGTGAAGCCGGGTTATCACGGGAGCCCACACTCCCAGCTGGGGGGCACACCACACGCAGCACCCCCACCCCACTGCGGGTGCAGATCCTGACTGGCCCTGCCAGCCTTTACAGGACAGCACGTCCACCTGCAGCAAGTTACCTCCCTACATGATTCTAGAAAGCCTGGCTTTTAGAAAGAAGCTTCTCCAAGCAGCTGATGATGAAGAAAACTTGCAGCTTTCCGGGGCTGTTTCCTGATCTTGCTCCATGAGCCTTGGTTTCCTAATCTATCGAATGGAGACAGTAATTTCTTCTTTATAATACCGAAGTAACAGTGAAAAATGACGAGGCTCTAAAGCCCCCAGCATGGGCACTCAGTAAAGGTTAAGCTCCCTCCCATTCATCTCTCAGCCTTTTGATTTGGGCACAGATCTGAGTCCCACAGTTCCTCGCTGCTATCTGATATGCCTGGACAGCATTTCTTCTGACAACAAAAAGGAGAGAAAAGAAAGGAAAACAAGTCCAACTGGCACTCTAACAGCTTACAGAAACCAAATCTGCCTCCCAAGAGGTTTGGGCGTTCAGCACACCACCAGGTCCTCAGCCCGTTTGCTTCACCCCTGGCCAACAGTTGAACCACTGAGCTTGTAACACCAACACTGGCTGGCATGGTGGCTCACGCCTGTAACCCCAACACCTTGGGAGGCCAAGGCAGGAGGATCGCTTGAGCCCAGGAGTTTGAGTAGCCTGGCCAACACAGTGAGACCCCATCTCTACAAAAAATACAAAAATAATTAGCTGGGCATGGTGGTGCACACCTGTAGTCCCAGCTACTTGGTAGATTGAGGCTGGAGGATTGCTTGAGCCCAGGAGTTTGAGGTTACAATGAGCTATGATCGCGCCACTGCACTCCAGCATGGGTGACAGAGTGAGACCCTGTCTCAAAAATAAATAAATAAAAAGGTAAAATAAATAATTGAAAGAAATACAAGCAGCAGGAGCCAGCAGGACAGGGAGCACCACAGGCTGGGAGTGCAGGCCTTTTGTTAAGTGTGGAAAGGGTGATTCTAGTGGCCCTGAGAGCTGCAGCCCTCTTGTCTGGCTGATCAGGAAGCTACTGCCAGCAGCCTGCAGCCCTGGGGGCGCACAGGTCTGCTGCAGAGCATGGCTTTCCTCGGCCCAGACGGCTGTTCCTGCTCCTCTAGGGTGCTTGCTCCAGGTGGGCACTGAGCCGCCCACAGCTGAGTGGTCTCCTGGGCCTCGGGCAGCCCTGTGTGCTGGTGCCCTCTCTCCTCAGGGGTTCTCCTCTCTGCGGACCACTCTCCCTCTGGTCCTCCCACTTGGGGGACTCCTCACTGTCATCTTGGGGAGTCCCATGTGCTCTGCCCAGCCCTAACCCTGGGGCCTGCTCCCACCTCCTTGGCCATGGGCAGTTCTCATTCTCCATGCCTGCTTGTGACTCTTGAGCCAACCTCCCCATGGCTCCCATCTGCATTCCCAGCCAGGAACGCTCAGATCCACCTGACCGACACCAGTGACACCAAGCTGGCTTGCTCCCCACTAAGCCCACTTCTCCTCACCCAGAGCCCCAGGCCCACCCAGAGAACAGCACCAACGCCCCAACCCCAAGTCACACCAGGAACCCACGGACCCCTCAGCCCTGGATTCCCACATCTGGGCTGGATCCCCATAGAGTCTCCTAGAGCTCGTCCTTCTCTCTGCTGCCGTGGCCACAGTCCAGGGCCCTGCCACCTGCCAACCCCTCCCAACACCTGTGCATTCTCCAAATGGGAGCAGGAGTTTTCTTTCCTAAGCTCTCTCTTTTAGAAGTTCAGGTTCCTAGGCCAGGCTCAGTGGCTCACGCCTGTAATCCCAGCACTTTGGGAGGCCGAGGCAGGTGGATCATCTGAGGTCAGGAGTTCAAGACCAGCCTGGCCAACACGGTGAAACCCCGTCTCTACTAAAAATACAAAAAATGTGCCAGGCATGATGGCAGGTGCCTGTAATCCCAGCTACTCAGGAGGCTGAGGCAGGAGAATCATGTGAACCCAGGAGGCAGAGGTTGCAGTGAGCCGAGATCGCGCCACTGCACTCCAGCCTGGGCGACAGAGTGAGACTCCCTCTCAAAAAAAAAAAAAAAAAAGAAGAAGAAGAAGAAGTAGTTGAGATCCCTAAGCACCTAAGCACAGCCTGGAGCCTCACCCCCATACCCGCAAGAGACGCCCCAACCTTCAGGCTGCTTTATGTCTCCAAAGCTCTGCAGGTGCCGCTCTTCCCCAGAGGACACCCCTTCCCTGCCAGTCAACCCCACCAGCCGCAGGCAGACATTTCCCCCGAGAAAGCTCTCCAGGATCCCTGCTCCCCAGGCCTGTGTCTGGCCATATCCCATGTCCTGCGTACACAGGTGTTATTGCAGCTGATTTACCTGGCCACTCTCCCACCCCACAAAACGTGAGCATCTCGGGCATGGAGAGGACAAGAAAGAGAAACAGAAAGAGGAAGAGCCGGTAACCTGTCAAGTCCCACCCACCTGGGGGCCACCAGAGCTTCCACATCCTGCATTTCCTTCTTCTATTATACAAGCTCTAGCTAGGGAATGGGGATCGGGAGGAGGACGGGGGACCCCCCGCAGACCATTGCCCTCCTCAGGCACATCTCCCAGCAGTCTGGAGGGTTCGCTCTTGAATTCTGAACGGACTGCAAACCTTCACATGGAAGCTGACTGTGACCTCCGGATGGTTGGGTCCACAAAAGCTCCCGCTGCCGACATGGGGACAGAGCCCAGGCCAGAGCTGGACTCCCGGCCACAGCCAGGCCCTGCCCCTAATGGCTGCCTTGTTCTCTAACCCCACTACGATTCCCTCAGGCAGTCCTGCTGGAGAGATCCCCAAAAGGCACTCAAGATCCTCCAACAAAAACGAAGTCCACCCAGACATTGCAAACACAACCTCAGGACCTCACCGCCTGGCAGGGACTCGAGAATCTTCAGCATGCAATAGCAATTTGTTAAAATAGCTGCATTTTAACCAACACAATCACAAAGGGTGAAGAACACAAATGGGTAACTGACCAAAGAAAAAGGAAAAAACCTATAAATAAGGCTATTTTGGCAGTAAGTAGCAAAAATTCTCAAAGTATTCATGTCCTTTGACCTAGGAACTCCCTGCTAAGGAAATAAGAACATTTGTTGAATGACTTATGTACCAAGTATGTTCACAGTGGTATGGTTTATAATTCTGAGACAATGATAGTAGTTACACCCACACGATAAAATGTTACACAGACACCAAAATTCATATTATGAAAGAGTATTTAATGGCAGGGAAAAGCTTTCTCACTGCCTGGTAAATGAAAAAAAGGCAGGTTACAAACAGTATAATGATACGAGCCACACTTTAGAAACACACACACACAAAGCAAGCACAAGTACCAAAATGCTGGCAGTGGTATACCTAGGTGTTGAGATAACAGGTGAACTTAAGTTTCTTTCTACTTCCTAATCCATAGTAAGAATATATATATTTATATATTATATATTATATAATATATACATTATATATATTATATATTATATACATTATATATTATAATGTATATATTTATTATATATTACATATATTATATATATATATATTTTTTGAGACGGAGCCTTACTCTGTCGCGCAGGCTGGAGTGTAGCGGCACGATCTTGGCTCACCGCAACCTCTGCCTCCCAGGATCACGCCATTCTCCTGCCTCAACCTCCTGAGTAGCTGGGACTACAGTCGCCCACCACCACACCAGGCTAATTTTTTTGTATTTTTAGTAGAGACAGGGTTTCACCATGTTAGCCAGGATGGTCTCTATCTCCTGACCTCATGATCCGTCTGCCTTGGCCTCCCAAAGTGCTGGGATTACAGGCGTGAGCCACCGCACCTGGCCAGAAAATATTTTTATAATCAAAAATGTTATTTTTAATTTCCTCACAATGTGGACATGAGCTACAAAATAAAAAATGTGGCCCTCCTCTTTAACCTTTGAAGTCAAAAGTGGAGAAACTAATGTCTCCTCTGCAAATTCTGTACAACGTATTATTACTCCTAAAGCAAATGCCTCTTGTACCAGTAGCCATTGCCTGAGTGGACTCTAAGTTCCCTTGAATCCTGTCCCTGCCCATCAAAGCAGTTAAGTGGACTAAACCCTCTAGACCACACAAATGAAACACAGCCACAAGTTTAACGTGTTCTTTCCACCAACAATGTCAAATGGACATTTCCTTCTATTCTCGCTTTTGACAAAAGATTTTCCATGGTGGATCATGCCTGTAATCCCAGCACTTTGAGAGGGTGAGGCGGGAGGATTGCTTGAGCCCAGGAGTTTGAGACCAGCCTGGTCAACTTAGCGAGACCTTGCTTCTACTAAAAATAAAAAAAAGTAGCCAGACGTGGTGGCGCACACCTGTGATCCCAGCTACTCAGGAGGCTGAGGTGGGAGAACTGCTTGAGCCTGAGAGGTTGAGACTGCAGTGAGCTATGATCATACCACTGCACTTTGGCCTGGGAAACCGAGCAAGACTGTCTCAAACAGCAACAACAACAACAACAAAAAAACACAAATTAAAAGACTTTCCTTCTTCAAACAAAATGTCCACATTTCTTAAAGATAATCCTAATTTTTAGTAAACAGAGCATGCTTATCTAATACAACTACCACAGAGGCTGACATCTCAGAAACAAGGCTGAGCAGAGGAAGAAGTTACAGGCAGTGTGCTGCCGTTTATGGAAGTCTCGAAGAAAGATCACACAAAGCTGTGTGTGTGTGTACACAAGTGTGTATAGTGTGCACACACGCATATATATACAACACACACACATAAACACAGCAAGCGGATAAAAGTGTTAAGTAGATACCACCCAATTAATGAGAGGTGTTAACCCCAGGAAGGGAGAGGACAACAGGGCTTAGTAGTGGCTGCTGGGAACGTCTATCTCAAGAGAAAATTTTTATTTCTTAAAAAAGGAAAAGGTCTCAAGCAAATATGGAAAAATAGAACCGTATGTTCATATTTATTTTGAACGACAGGTATGTGAGTGTTCGTTATGACCACTTGTACTGTTTTATTTTTAATTCTTCAAAACAATAAAGGAAAAAGAAAAGGGCTGGGAGAAGCTAAGGCACCCGGGCTGTATTTATTCTGCTGTTTCACTTGAGATAAGGAACCTTCTGGCCTTGTGCCCATGCTAGAGGCCAGAAGTCAGAGAGCCGAGCTCAAGGAACCCAGAAAGCTAAACTTCCTTGAGCTGATCGTAAACTCTAAATCTCCTCTAAATCTCGCAGTTTCTGGTCACCATGCAACTGTAGCATTTCAGGCCCACCCCCTTTTGCTTGAAGGAGGGCACTCAGGAGGCTCAGAGAAGGAGAGCAGCCCGCCCAGAGAGACGGCGGGACCCCAGCCTTGCTGCCTCTGCACCTGGCGAGGAGAGGCGCATGAAGAAACAGCAAATTCCTCATTTCAGAGTGAATCCAATGGGTAAGTCCCCACATCCATCCAAGGGTCCCGATCTCACTGGATGAGATATCCACGTGTGGACTCGATGACAAAGACATACGTCTCCAACAACACACAGGGAATGTATCCAGGCCACCATCTGAAGTGCTTCCCGCCATACAAAGCCAAAGAAACCTCAGAAACTTCACATGACAATGAGGCCCTTTCCAGACAAGGCGCCGGACTGAAGGTGTCCAGGGCAGGGAATGGGGATGGGATGCCAGGCACAACCCCAGAGCACAGACAGGCCAGCCACTGCTGCACAGGGCGGACTTCTGCTGGAACAGCCTCACTTTCAGCCTGACTCCACTATCTGCATTTAATGTAAACATTCAAGGCTCTTAATGAAAAAAGTGAACCATTACATAAATCCAAAATTTAATTTTAACAAAAGCCAGGCCAGACGCCGTGAGCCTTACAGGCTCGTGCCTATAAGCCCAGCACTTTGGGTGGCCAAGGCAGGAGGACTGCTTGAGCTCCCAAGTTTGAGACCAGCCTGGCCAACATAGTGAAACCCTGTCTCTACTAAAAATACAAAAAGTAGCCAGGCGTGGTGGTGCCCACTGGTGGTCCCAGCTACTCGGGAGGCTGAGGTAGGAGGATCGCCTGAGCCCAGTGGAGGGGGAGGTTGCAGTGAGCTAAGACTATACCACTGCACTCTAGCCTGGGCGACAGAGAGAGACCCTATCTCAAAAAATTAAATTAAATTTTTAAAATGCCAGATGAAAAGGAGGTTGGCTGTTGAATGAGTAAAACAAGCATCGGAGGACACAGGGTAAACCTGGCCAGCCAGGCTGAGGCAGCGTGGGGCTCTGGCCCAGCCTTGCCTGTCCTCCAGGCTGCTCAGCAGATATCCCATTTGAGGGTGCTGTCCTAAAGCCGGTGTCCCCACATTGGACAGGCCAGCCTTTTCTTCTCCAAAATGCAGAGACTGACCCAGGTGCTCTCTCTCCAAGGCTTTGTCCTACTCTGGCTTTCTCTGCCCCTTCTCAGCTACCCCCTCAACACCCCCTGCTCCCTCTGGTAACCGCATCCTCTCCTTCCCCTCCTCCAGTCTGAGACCCTGCCTTCCTGTCCTGGGGCGGTGAGACGTGAATCTGGTGTATGTGATGGAGAAGGGTCACCTGGTGAGGACTGAGCTCCTTCTACCCAGGAGATTCAGCTCAACGTGACTCTTCTAGAAATCACCAGAAATGTTCTAACCCATTGGTTCCAGTGGTTCCCATGGGCATGTGCGTCAGAATCACCTGGGGGCCTGTTAAAATACAGACTCCCAACTTACATGCAGGCCCAACAATCTGCATCTCTAACAAGCTCCCAGCGCGGCTGCAGATCTGGGGACCATCCTTTGAAGAACCACCACTCTCACCCACTGATTCTCAATCCTGTTGGAATGGTGAGACTCAAGAAGCTGGGAAATTTTTGAAAGTGCAGATTCCTTGGCTGGGCGCGGTGGCTCACGCCTGTAATCCCAGCACTTTGGGAGGCTGAGGCGGGTGGATCATGAAGTCAGGAGATCGAGACCATCCTGGCTAACACGGTGAAAACCCGTCTCTACTAAAAATACAAAAAAAATTAGCCAGGAGTGGTGGCAGGTGCCTGTAGTCCCAGCTACTCGGGAGGCTGAGGCAGGAGAATGGCATGAACCCGGGAGGCAGAGCTTGCAGTGAGCCGAGATCACGCCACTGCACTCCAGGCTGGGCGACAGAGCGAGACTCCATCTCAAAAAAAAAAAAAAGAGAAAAGAAAATGCAGATTCCAGGGCCCCAATCCCAGAAGAGTCCAATGCAGTAAGCCAGGAAGGCGGAGAATCTGCCTTAGACCCCGGTGGTGGGATAGGATCTCAGCCACACTGGTTTCCACCCACTTGCTGACCTATGCCCTGCTCAGGAAAAGGTCAAGGACCCTTTGCCTCCCCAGGTTCTCAGAGGTCAACTTGAGCATCCTAGCGACACGGCCCACGCTCTTTAGGAAAGGCCTGGCCTTCCAGACTGTCACTGCTCCAGTGTGCCGCAGAGAAGAAGGGGACAGTTAGGGGCACAGAGCCATCTCCTGGCAAACAAAACCCAGAGCCAGAATGCGCGACCTTGATGTGTCTACCAAAAAGCCACAGGTGAGAGGGAGGCCCGCCCACGCAGCACCCCAGTCAGAGTAAGGAACAAGGTTTGTCCCACTTCATTCCAAGCCCTCAGGACCTTCGGGGCTACTTTCCCAAGAAGAGGCCGGGCGGCAGCTTTACGGAAATGTTCTGGAATACCCCTTTACTATAATAACCGGTTATGTTTGTGCTATAATGTTAGGTGGGAGGGAAAAAAGGCAGGATACGCAATTGTATATATGGCAACAACCACAATGGCATAAAACAAAAACTATTCACTCAAGAACTGAAAGGAAATACTACAAACGTTAACGGCGATTGTCTCTGGGTGCTGGGCTGATGGGTGGGTCTTTTCTCTTGCTACTTGTCTGTTTTCTAAGCTGTTTACAAAGAGCACGTACAGTATGACCTATATAACAAAAACTTTATTTTGTTATAAATTGGAAGGAAAAAAAACACACAGCAGAACACCGTCCACATGGAATGTGTCAGCCCTGAACACAAGCGTCCTGTCAGCTTCCTTCAAGAGGGCAGGACTGAGACGCAGTGACCACTCCCTGGTCAGCAGCAAGTACTGTCAGCATACACTGACTGACCATTTGCTCTGAGCTGGGCCGAGACTGCCAGCGCACACCAGCCCAGTCCTCCAAGAGCTCCCAGCACAAAAGGAGGGAGAGCAGGGATGCAGGGTCCTCTTTCCATCTGGAAGTCCTTCTGGACCCTGAGGGTGGGCTGGCCATCTTTTACTTTGTGTGGCCACTTCCCATCTTCTGGAACTCTGCACAGTACCCCAAGAACAGCAAACTGCTTCTCAAACCCACACAGTCTCAAGTGAGTGTCAAGTCCATTTTGCCCGGCCCAGAGCTGGATGGACCCTCAGAGTGGCTGGTCACCAACAGCAGAAGTCCTCCTGGACTGGCAGGGCCAGAGGATGGCATTTCTATGGCCAAACAGCTTGCAGCAAGAGCCTCACTGCCCCATGCTACTCACAAAGACCTTCAGAAACCTCACCTCCATTTGAGACCTTCATCAATCCAAGCTCACCCAAGAGCTCACAGTGCAGGAGGAGGGAGGACAGGGATGCAGACACCTGCCCAGTGCTATACCACTGGCTCTGGCCAGCCCTGCCCATTCCCTCCCATGACCCTCCAAACTGGAAACTCAGTTGCCCACTGAAACTCCACTCAGGTATCACCTCCTCCAAGAAGACTTCCCCAACTGCCCGCACGCAGGCTGGGTTAGGGGGTCTTGCCTCTTGAACTTTCAGCACTATGTGCTTCCCCTAGCACTCAGCACAGAGTCCTGAAAGCACTTGCCTGTCACGAATGGCACCTGCAGACAGGGCCCATGCCCTGCGTATCTGCTGAGCAGCCGGCACAGCCACCAGGCCCTCATCACAGATGCCCAGGTCATTGACAGCACCATTGCCTTTACCCCACTGCCCCTGTGCATGGCTGTCGCGAGGGAGACGCCAGCAGAAATGCCCCTGCCTATAGCATACACCATGCTGAGTGTGGCTCCCCTTCAAATCCCCAGAGCCAACTCTCACAGGCTCCCACACCAGCCCTCCAGGCCTCTCCCTGACCCTCGGCCCCCACCTCAGACATCTGGAACTAAAGGGATGGGGCTGGTTCTAAGCTTCCCAGATGCAATGTCCAGAGAGCCCATAGTGCCCCTCTCCCAATGGTCTCTGGACTGAGCACAGATGGCTCACTGAACTGGCCCACACAGGCAAACTACGCCAGCCCCCCCCACCCAACAGGAGGAGGACGGAAACAACCATCTCAGAAAACCCAGGCCATTGTCCACTCCCTCCCTCTCACGTTCAGTTTCAAATTCATGTTGAAACAGAAGCAACCACAGCCCTCAACAGGAACTGGGCCCAGCACAAAGCCCAATGCCACAGCACACATTCTGCCTGGCAGCCCACCCAGCAGTCCCTCAGCAGACCCCAGAACCAGCAACCACTGCACAAGGGCAGAAGGGGAGTCACGGCTGGCCAGACGGCTTCCTCATGTCAACAGAGGCCTCACAACATCCAAAGATGCTCCCGAATCCCAGAACCAAGACTAAGTTACAGCCCAGGAAGCCAAGTGCGAGGCACAGGTCCCAGGCGGAGTCTGGTCACATGTTTAGTGAAACGCTGGCGTGAATCTGGGAGGCAGTTGTTCTTGAGCAGTTCTCAATCTGTGTCCTCTGGAGTCCCGGGAACCCAGACAGATGCCCTGGAGGCCGAGGAGACAGCTGAGCACAGTGCACTGGGCTTCACCTGGGTTCTCGAGAAAAATCATATGGGGGGAACGTTTCACTGCTAAGAAAAGGTTTGAAAACCAGGGCTCCAAGGTACACAGTTTCAGTCCATTTCCATCCGTATTGGCCACACAGAGATCACTAACACCATCAAAGACTCAACTGGCCTTCCCAAGGCTGGGATGGGTTTTGGGTTTAGTTTTGTTTGTTTTTGAGATGGAGTCGTGCTCTGTCACCAGGACAGAGTACAGTGGCATGACCTTGGCTCACTGCAACCTCCACCTCCCAGGTTCAAGCGATTCTCCTGCCTCAGCCTCCTGAGTAGCTGGGACTACAGGCGTGCACCATGCCCAGCTAATTTTTGCATTTTTAGTAGAGGTGGGGTTTCATCGCGTTGGCCAGGATGGTCTTGATCTCTTGACCTCATGATCCACCCGCCTCGGCCTCCCAAAGTGCTGGGATTACAGGTGTGAGCCACCGCGCCCAGCCTGGGATATTAAAGAGCAAATCCCCATCAGGCTGGCTTGACTGTCCCATTGACCACACAGATCAGATGCGGTAAACACTTGAAAGACAGACGCTCCCTAAGCCCAGTGCTCCTGCTTGCAGCTAGAGGTGGGTTAATCACATTCTTGGTCCCATCTTCATAACCCTCCAGTGGTTCCTCCTCTCCCTCAACCCTTGAATGGCTCCTGTATAAAGAGCCACTGAGCCAGGGGCTGCGGATAACCACCTCAGGGTCACCTTCAGGAAGCCCATTCCAGCCAGTCCCCACTCAACTGCATTCTCGGGGCAGAGGCTGCAAACTGAGGCTCCTCTCTGGGACCTTCACAGCATATAGCACGATGCTACACACAGCTCAAAGAACATTCACCAAACAAAGGAAATCAACGCACCATCTCATCCTCACACATGCCCCAACAAAGGGTTCACATGAAAGCAGACCAACTGTCAACAAGTAGAGGCCTAAACATAAGCACCGTTTCCTCCCGGCCTCCTGTGGGAAAACCGTGACAGTGACGATACTGATGGACACACATCAGAATTCCCGACAGCAGAACTGCCCTTACCTGGTAGTAGGTCTTAATGTTTCTCACCAAGATGGTCAAATTCTGAATGCGAAGGTTCACATCATTGTTGACGTGCTTATTGATGCGTTGATTTGTGGGCCTGGGATCTCTAGGGGAAGAAACACGAGAATGGAAATTGCATCTCCCAGCAGCTGCCACACTTCCTTTCCCAGCCACGACCCAGCATCTTGTCCTCCAGTCCCTAGGTGACCATGAGGCTGTGCTGTGGCAGTTGTGGTTCAAGTCAAATCCCAATCCTGCCACTGCTAAGCCAGGACCTCAGGTGGGCCACATCGCCTTTCTGCTCCCTGACCCGAGCACCTGGCCCACCGCAGGCCCTCAGTCAGTGCTGTTTCCATTCCCACCGTTCCTAGCACCCACAAAAACCAACCACATATCAGTGCAGACCCCAAATGTTATACTGTATAAAACCAACCCAGCCAAATATATTTCAAGATTAAAAGAATTAAAAGCTGAACAAAGAAAAATATGTGAAATATCAAGAAAGACAGAAGGAGAAAAATGGTAGTTTTTTTTTTTTTTTAAATAGAGACAGGTCTCACTCTGTCACCCAGTCTGGCATGCAGTGGCACCATCACAGATCACTACAGCCTCGAACTCCTGAGCTCAAGGGATCTTCCTGTCTCAGCCTCCCAGGCAGCTAGGACTACAGGCCCAGCTAATTTTTTTTTAATTTTTTTTATAGAGACAGGGTCTCACTATGTTGCCCAGGCTGGTCTCGAACTCCTCAAGCCATCCTCCTGCCTCAGACCCCCAAAACACTGGGATGACAGGTGTGAGCCACTGTGCCCAGCCTAAAACGGTACATTTCTTTTTTTTTTTTTTTGAGACGGAGTCTTGCTCTTTTGCCCAGACTGGAGGGCAGTGGCACGATCTCAGCTCACTGCAACCTTCACCTCCTGGGTTCCAGCGATTCTCCCACCTCAGCCTCCCAAGTAGCTGGGATTATAGGTGCATGCCACCACGCCCAGCTAATTTTTGTATTTTTAGTAAAGACAGGGTTTCACCATGTTGGCCAGGCTGGTCTCGAACTCTTGACCTCAAGTGACACCCGCCTTGGCCTCCCAAAGTGCCGGGATTACAGGTGTGAGCCACTGTGCCAGGCCAAAATGGTACATTTTCTGACTTAATTCGCCAATAAAATCATAATGTTCCATTAAACACAGGTCTCCCTCTGTCATGCGAATTGGTCTTGGGCTGGTCCTCCCTGTGATTTACAAATTCCAGGGACAAAAATCCTATCTTGAGAAACTGGCATAAACAATCTATGGCACTCTATGGTGTACAATGCACCCTGTAAGAAATGCTAAGAGACACAATTAATTCATGTGGGGAATCCCCGAAGTGTCATTTATTTTCCAACCTCAGGCAAAAGTTGGGTCTGGCTGTGATGAAACTAGAAATCTACATCAAGTGATGTATCATGTCCCTCCCTCATCTATATACAGGACATTTCTCAAAATGCTCAGTGTCAGAAAACGTTCCCCATTAGACAAGAGCACTCAGCATTACTGAGTTCGCTTCCACCCTTCCACAGACTGTGCGCTGCTTTTCATAACAAAGGCCTCCCTTCCATCTGACAGTCCCAAGACACCGCAAAGGATGGCTAATTCAAAGGAGAGCCTGTCTTCACAGTTTCTTCTGTTATCCAGACCCCGTGATGAAGGTGCTGAGCCTCTTGGGGGTTAGTGTGGGGAGTTAAGGAAATCAATCTCAATGCCATCTGGCTCATTCAAAGCCAATAATTAGTAGAAAATTGACAAAGGAAAAAAAAACCCTACAAATCGAAAACGTTTCAAATGTTTCTGGAAGTACAGTGATGGAGTGTGGCCAAGTCATTTACATGTTACATGTTTCTCTTGGAGTCATGCATAACTGAGAAAATAAAGGTTAAGAGTTCTGTGGAAATTAATTCAGGAAAAGAAGAGGCATTCAGAATTTAAACTGCAAAGGCATTTTTAGCTACAGAAGTGTTCCTGGCAGCATAAAGTAATTTATCTTAAAGGTACAATTCCCCTCCCTTTACTGTAGATACCTTAAAAGATGAAAATCAATTTCACAGTGACAAATGCACTTCTTAAAATAGCAGAACTCAGAGAACATGCAGCGCTTTTTCTGTTTTGTTTCTTCTTTCTTTGGTCTTTGTCATTGTAGACCCATCTTTCATTGAAGTCAGACGGGACCACCCCAGGAGTGGCCAGGAGCCGAAAGCCTCAGTATACATCGTGGACATCTCCAGCACGTGCAAAGGCATAGCATACACTCAGGGTCGGGAACCTGGGAGTCCCCTCACATCACAGCATAGAAGCCTCTGACCATCCCTGCTATTGTTCTCCCCAGTTCTTGCAAGAAATAGCTCACTGAAACAACTCTAAAAGAACCCTGACATTTACTGTATGAGTAATTAAGCTACTTACCGTGATTATTACGACTCCCTCCTTTAACTAAGCCTCTCTGGGTAGAGAGCTATCAGGACACTAATCAAAACAAAAGCCTCAACTACAGTTAAGGCAGGCACATCTCAATCTCCACTCTGCCCAGCACCCCCGTAACTCCCACCTTTCCATGCTGTACAAAATGGGAATCAAGAGACATGGGTTCTAGCCCAGGTCCCAAGCCCAGCCAAAGCTCACTGGGCTTCAGTGTTCTCATCTGCAAAATGGCTACAGGATCCTTCCGGCCTTCAAAGTCTATATGGTTCCATGAAGCCTACATCTGCAGTAGCAAACGTGGACTGTACTTGCTTCTGTACCACAGGAAGATGTTATTATAACCGCTAAACAACTGCACTTCCCCAAAAGTTGTCATTCAGAACAACAATCATCTTTATATGATAGTCCTAAAACTTAAAAGGCCAACACTCTAGTATCAGGATCTCAGAGGACACGACATAAATATGGTAGCTGGTCGGAACTTGGAGAGTTCCAAGAGTTCCAAGTCTAAAGTGTGGGCCCCCAGGGATTCCTTTTCATAAAAACTTCCAACTAGAAAAAAAGAAACTGGCCAAGCACGATGGCTCATGCCTGTAACCCCAGCACTTTGGGAGGCCGAGGTGAGAGGATCACTTGAGGTCAGGAGTTCGAGACCAGCCTGGCCAACATGGTGAAACCCTGTCTCCACTAAAAATACAAAAATTAGCCAGACATGGTGGCATGCGCCTGTAATCCTAGCTAATCGGGAGGCTGAGGCAGGAGAATCACCTGAACCTGGGAGGCAGAGGTTGCAATGAGCAGAGATCAAGCCACTACACTCCAGCCTGTGCAACAGAGTGAGACTCCATCTCAAAAAAAAAAAAAAAGGAAGAAGAAAGATAACCAATTCTTGCTAGAATTTTAAAAAGAGTTATAATTTAGGCTTACAGTAACCTTGCCCCCCTCCTTTGGGAAAGCCAGCCCCCAACTTTTGGTCATATTCCAAAAACTTCCTAAATTTAAAGCTAAATCAAGAAACTATGTATTGACACAGAGAGATATCCCTAATTTATCACAGGTTAAAAAACATGCTAAATGTTTTTATATATGTTTAATGTATTTTTATACAAATATGGACCCATGCTAAAAAACAATAGCAAGAGTCCATATTTGTATAAAAATATTAATACATTAAGGACACGTATTAATATATATCATAGATAACATTCGGAAGGCACTAGAATATTGACATTGCTACCTCCACATGGTAAAATCACAGGCAAGTTTTATTTTGCTCATCTGTATATATTCCTATTCTCCTAAGATGAACATAGTTTGTGTATTTTTTTCTTTTTTTTTTTTTGAGATGGAGTCTGGCTCTGTTGCCCAGGCTGGGTGCAGTGGCACAATCTTGGCTCACTGCAAGCTCTGCCTCCCGGGTTCATGCCATTCTCCCGCCTCAGCCTCCTCAGTAGCTGGGACTACAGGCGCCCGCCACCACGCCTGGCTAATTTTTTTGTATTTTTAGTAGAGACGGGGTTTCACTGTGTTAGCCAGGATGGTCTCGATCTCCTGACCTTGTGATCCGCCCACCTCAGCCTCCCAAAGTGCTGGCATTACAGGCGTGAGCCACCGTGCCCAGCCTGTTTGTATAATTTTTAAGGACTCAAAGCCCCCATGTGTCATATACTGCAGCCAAAAGATGGAAATTACTTAAGTTCATAGGTAAAAATTGTTTTTTCCCAAGATTTTTGCGCCAATACAAATTCATTCAACCAACAAGTAAAATTTCCCCTTTTATCCTAAGCTTCTACATCTGCAAAAGGGAAACATAAACTCTCCTTCAAGTGCACTGGGGTAAAAGTTATCCTTCAAATGCTTTTTGGGAGGTAAAGAAACTCTCCTATTTCCCCGAGGATGTTTCTAACCTATGAATAATTAACACAGTATCCTGAATTTTGCAGCTAGCACCAGGGGTCACAAGCAGCCTGAACAAATATGGTTGAACTTAAAGGGCACAAGCTCTCAGCCCTAGTACCAAGTTCCAACTTTAGCCACTGCGTCAAACCGGATGGTTTACTCTCACAAGTAGAGATGTACAGCACTAAGGGCATGGGTACACGTACGTATGTCCACACACAAACTCAGATCTGGGCCTCATCTGCACAATGATAGACATATGTTAGGCTTGTTCTATATACATAGTTTTATTTAAATCTCCCCCAAATTGGTAAAATACCATCCCCTTATTACAGATCAGGAAATCAAGGCTTAGAGAGTTTCAGTCATTTGCCCAACATAATAACACTAGGAAGTGGCAGAGTGGGGATTTGAACTTGTCTGCCTGATGCTAGGGTTAAGGCTCTTAAATAATTTTCCTACAAGAGAATGAAAAACGTGTCCAAAGTTAACCAGAGCAAACTTTGTTTTCTCTTGGGTGCTGGTAGGTACCCAAGACACTGTGTTGACAGAGGGGCTATTGAGCAGGCATTCCCAGGCCTCTCCATCCAGGCCACTCAAAGCCTCAGTTTCATTCATGAATTCTCCTAGCCCTGGGCCTCCCCAGAAAGCTGAACCTGTGGGGCTTCCCTGCTTCCAGGTGCTGATGTCACCAGGAGACCAGGGCCGAGAGACTACTAACAGCCTTCTCCGGTTGCCGGAGACAATGGCCAGGTGCAGTCACGTGACCCCCAGCCAACCTCCACAAGGCTCCCAGGTGTTAGGTAACAGCCTCTTATCTGAGCTCTGTTAGCAGTACTGCTCAACGCGATTTCTTCAGGTCCTACAAACTTGGGGTGAAGGAATCAAAACAGGCAAATAGCACAGTCTAGGAGCTACTGGTATGGGAGATGAGGCAGAACAGCCTTACCCCTTACCTGCTGGCTAGTGACATGTTGCCATTTGGTAGAAGTGAAAACAGAGGCTTAAGTGCAGTACAGTCTAAATGCGGGGCTAGGACTTGGGTCCCAGGGTCCAATGTTGCCCTAGACCTCATTGGTAGAGGGCTAAGGGCTGAGAACTGTGGGGTAATCCAAGGATCGAAGAATGTGGGGGAAAAGGTAGGCCACACAAAAAAAGAACTTTTAGTTGGTGCCTCAAATCCTTTCTGGATTAAGATGGCACCTACATAGGCAAATAGCTAAATGTTAACACAAGGTTTCATTCTGTCCTCACAACCATCTCTTAAGGAAGGTACTTTACGTCCCATTTTACAGATGAGGAAACTAAGGCACTGAGCGACATGCCCAGTGTCACACTGCTGGTAAAAGGGAGGCCAAGGGTTTGAATCCCAGCTGGCTATGTAGGCTGTCCGATACAGGCCAGGGTTCATTGTTTAGTTGAGGTAATTTTACATAGCATGAAATGCATAAAGTTATAATTTGAGGAGTTTTGGAAAATGAAACATACTCCAGCCACTCTGCAGGACATTTCAACTACCCTGAAAAGGTTCCCCCGGGTCCTTTCCAGTCAATCCTCACCACTTCCAGACACAAAAACACTATTCTGACTTCTATCACCTGGAACTGGGTGATTCTGATGACCCATGCAGGAAACCATGCCCACCCGCTCTCTCTTCTCTTTCCTCATTCTGGAAAGCCAGCCATTCAGCCTCCCCACGCTCCATTCCTCTGTGCCCAACTCATCCTGAGGGACCCAGAAGCACTTCTTGAAGTCTTAAGAGCTACAATTTACCAGTTCCCACTTCTGGAATGATTACCTTGGCATATCACAGAGAGAACATCTAAAATTGCCCAGGGAAGGGGAGAAACCCTCCCACCCCACACCACCCCGGCCGAATTTAGCCATGGGCCAAATGAGAACAAGTGATGAGCTGGCGTTTCTCAAAGGAACGGTCCAACAGGCTTTCCTGATTTACAAGCAAGTGGGAAACGCTTCAGGAATTCCAAAGGTCAGGGAAGAAAGAGAAACAGTCCCAGTGCTTTTGTTCCCCCCTCTGCCTGGGTGTAGGAGCTGAATGAAAAGGCTGGGGATACTGCTGGTTTTTTTAATTAAACAGTCTTGGGCTTGGGTAAGGACAGGTTGAAGTTTCACCGGTCATTGCGCCAATGGAATCCAGTAATTTTCAGGGTCTAACAGAATGAGGGGAGAGTGGCCAGAACTCGAATATGCCACGAGACAGCTTCCGGAAAACTCAGTTTCAACAAAGTTATCTAAGAAGTGCTGTCAAAGCTGGCAACAGATTTATGTTTTTCAATCTAATCAGACACTGAAGACTGGTAAGATTGGTAGTGACTTTTTTTCCTACACCCACAGCTGTGAACTTTAAAAAAAAAAAAGCAAAAACCATTAAACAGCATGACATCAAATGACTTATTAAAATAAAAGGAGGCCGGGCACCACAGTGGCTCATGCCTGTAATCCCAGCACTTTGGGAGGCCAAGGCAGGCGGATCACCTGAGGTCGGGAGTTCGAGACCAGCCTAACATGGAGAAACCCCATTTCTACTAAAAATACAAAATTAGCCGGGCGTGGTGGCGCATGCCTGCAATCCCAGCTACTCGGGAGGCTGAGGTAGGATAATCGCTTGAACCCGGGAGGCGGAGGTTGTGGTGAGCTGAGATCACGCCATTGCACTCCAGCCTGGGCAACAAGAGCGAAACTCCGTCTCCAAAAAAAAAAAAAGCAAGGTTCTTGAATTATTTTTTTCTAAACAGGCTGTTTAAGGCAATCTATATAAGCCACTTTCTGGATATGCCAAAGCAAACTGCTCCTCTGCCTTTGTGAGCCACAAACGAAGCTGATCTCTCATTAGCTAATAGATTTATGCTCCAGTATGACAACTTGCTCAGTCGTAGGTGAATAGGTGCGCACACGAGGCTGATCCACAGAGAACATTAGGATGTTTTATTTTGCTTCAAGTGCCTGTGAATCATCCCGACACTCAGTTCCAATGTTCCCTGCAGTTTGAGTTAAAAACAGAATGCAAAGGTAGAAGCCAACACCTACGTTGTGGCAAGCTGTCAATCAGGCCGTGCAGAGCTCAGCAACAGGAAAGGATGTGGTCAGATGTACTCGCTGGCAAGAGTAACTTCTACTAAGACCCTGTTCAGGCTGCATGCTTCCAAACAAACAGCACCATGGGACCCTCCTAACACTGTGACTTTAAACTCAGTCCATACAGTAGGACTTAATGAATTGCACTTGCTTTGGGGCAACTGAAAAAGGAAGATGAAATGTAAAGGAGCTCAGAAACACAGACACCCTCATCTAAAATGAAACTTTACAGTAACCCTCGGATGCCTGGGCCCACCCCGACACTTCCTGTAACCAGACACTCTCCGTTACAGTTCCTTGCCCTCCAAAAGGGGACTTTTTCATTTCATTGCTCAAACCACAATTAAGTCCTTGAGTCTGAAGTCAATTGCACTATCTACACCACGTAAATGACAGTCATTCAATTCCAAATTTCCTTCATCAAACCAACTGCCAGACCCACTGTCCTGGAGTTCTTCAAACACCTACGAATGTCCAACAGGCACGTTAATACTGAGATACCAGCGTCTCCACCTTCAGAGAACTACCCCCCACCCCACACACACCCCGCCATGCAACCTTCCACTCCATTTCTACTCTCAAACTTTCTAACGCACCATTCTTTCCTTCCTCCGAGAAGAAGGTAACTTACATTTGCAGCATAATTTGGTTCAAAAAGATGCCGTCCACTAAATCCATGTACATAGTCAGGTTGTCCTGGCTGCCGCTTCCAAACGGGCCAAAAGTTTTCACCTGCGGGGAGGGGGACGAGGAGAGAAAGACAGGAAGTCACCCCGTGCGCACAAACGGTCCAAAGCTCTCCCAGGCAGAGACTGGACGGGTCAGTGTGAGCAGAAGGGGGTCACCCACGCCCACACCACCCTTCAGCAGGCACCAAGCCCGGCCTTCTCCTAGGGCCTGTCTCCCCTCCCCGCGCGGGGCAACAGACACGAGACAGGAGGAAAAACTTCCTCGCCACTTTTCTCCCGCGTTCCAGAGCGGAAGAAATAAAAATAAAAAGGACTTTTCAATAAATGTCTCACGTCTCAAATCCATTGTAAATCAGTGCGCCCACCCCAGTCTGTTCGCTTTCCCATTCGGCGCCCCCCATTCCCCACCCGTCACCGCCATCCACCGGCTGGTCTCAGGGATTCAGAAAAACTACATGAGATATTTGGTTGGGAAGAATGGGGTCCTTTTCGGGAGTGGCTAAACCCCAGGGACAGGAGTGACCACTGGGACCCGGTCCGCCCCGAGGCAGCCAGCCTAGAGCCCCAGCGGGAACAGGTGTACCCGCCCGGCTCCTGGCCCGGCCGAAAGCGCGGCGGGGTCCCGCGCCGGACGCACAACGGGGGCGCCGGCTCCAGAGTTACAAAGCTCCGGACTCCAGGACGCGGCCCCAACCCCGGCCGGGAGCCACTTGCTGCGTCCCTCGCGCCCCGGAGCCACCCGGGGCCCCGGCCGTGTCGGGTCTGCGGCGTCCCGTCGCCGGGCTAGAGAGAAGCCGGTGCACCAACAAAGGGGCGGGGAGCCAGGCGCACTCACCCAGGTCACCAGCGGGCTCTGCAGGAAGAGCTCCAGGAGCTCCGAGACTGTCACGTCCATGCTGAGGCTGCGCCCGCCGGCTCCGCGCCCCCCGCCCCGCGTCCCCGTTCCCCCGCGCCGCGGCACAAAACGGCTCCGCAGCGAGCAGCGGGCGCGGGGCTGCGGCGGCTCGCGCCCGGGAGACAAAGGCGGGGCGCGCGAGCCCACGTTCCGCGGCTTCGGCGGCCCCGCGCCCCGCCCGGGTCTGGGGGAAGGGGAGGGCCAGCCGCTCGGGGAGGAACAATACGGGCGGCCCCGCCCCTCGGCGGCCCTGGGCGACCGGCGCGCCGCCTCGCGGTGCCAGCCCGGGAGCCCGGGAGCCCGGGCGCGGGACCAGGCTACGCGGGGCGCTGGGAGGGGACTGGTGGCCCGAGGCGGGTGGGTCGCGGGGCCCGGCTCCCCGCCCGTGGGACCGCGCGCCCTCGCCGAGCGCAGCCTCCCCGCGTGTGGGGCCCCAGCACGTGGCGCATCCCTGCGCGCGTGCGCGTGCAGCCGGGGCCCGAGCGCCACGTGCGAGCTGGGGTGCGCGGGCACTGGTGCGTGCCGGGAGCGGGGACGCCCTGCCCTCCGAGGTTGCTCTGCCCTCCGAGGTCGCCCGCAGCTGCCGCCCGCTCTGGGCTTGGGGACCTCGGCCCTGCGCCTTTCCGCACTCCTGGCAGGTGCAGCCCCAGGTACAGTCAAGAGGCCCCGCAAACCCCCGCTCCTCACGCTTGTGCGCGGCGCGATAAACGCGCCCCGACCCTGGGGCTGGGCTGGAGGGCAAAGAAGAAACTTTATGTTGAGTTTAGGCCTTAGGGGCGCGGCCCCTCGCGCCCTACCGTGCCCCACCGTGCCATGTTCCGGGCTGCCTGCCTTCTAAAAGTTCCTGCAGGAAGCAGGTGATGTGGCCTCCCCGACCCGGGCCCGCCCCCACCACTTTGCCGGAGGCGAGCTAAATTCCAGCCGGGGTTCCTAGCAGCAGCTTAGTGGCAGGCGACAGGAAAAAGGGCAAAGGCCCCAACTGGCTGGAAGGCAAGCCCGGGGGCAGGACCTCCTTGCGGGACGGCACGAGGCAGGAGCCGGCTCCAGGCTGGTCTCGGCCTGGTAATAATTTCACACCACCAGCCGGTCATTGTTCAAAGCACTGTAGACCATTTTACTAATTTAACCCTAACGATCGCCGCATTTCGCAGCTGGGCCAACTGGTACAGGGTTGACCCGAAGGGCCCTGCGTGGCGCTTGGCAAGTATACAGCAGGCACTAAATGGCTGCCGACAGGCTCGGTGGTAATTTTGAAAGTTGGCTCTGTGCAGCGTTGGGGCTGCGGCATCTGCTGGTGGCGAGTGGTATTACAGCCCAGCGCTGGCGGACCCCGTTGGGCTGGGGAGGGTTGTGAGATTATGGCCTGAGAGCCAAGGGGGTCGGTTAGGGGTCCCTAGAGACTGTGGAAGGCGGGGTAGCATAAAACACAATGGGGGACTGCGGAGGAACTAAAATTTCGAGACTACATGGTTTTGTTGTGCACCAGAAGTTCATTAGAGAAGTTCCTTAATTGCTTCTCCGCCCGCCGCGATGGCACTCGACCCCGCGGATTAATTTAACAACTCTGATGGTTGCTCTGTGAAATTTAAAGAACAGTGGTTTAAGCAAAGACCACAAGAAAGAAGAATTGAGATCAAAGAGGAGTGTGTGCCATCGCTGTGGAGGAGTTTCAGTTGTGAATCATGAAATGTCCTGTAAACCATTTCAAGGAGTTTGATTTTTATACCAAAAACAATGGGAAGACACTACAGGTTTTTGGAGCAGCAGCTCAGACGTGTCGAAAAAGATGTTTTGATCCCTAAAATAATGAGAGAAAAGGCCAGAGAGAGGTCTTCTGACAAGTTCAAGATTTTACCAAATGTTGCAAGAACTCTGGAATCCTTATGGTAGTAAAATGCTGGAAAGAAAATTCTGCATTGAAAGAATGTCTTAACAGCTCACTATAATGACCCAGCCTTTTATGAATAATGCAAAGTGGAAAACCTGAAGGAAAAGGAAGAATTCAGAAAAACTGGAATTTCTACAAAGAAAAGTCTACAGAAGCTGCCCACAAGTGTGTAGACAAATATTCAGATGACATTCAGGATCTCTAATACTCATGGAAGTCGTTTATAGAATAAACCTTAAATAATGGACTCAAGAATGTGTGTTTGCTAATTATGTGTGTATCCTAATTATGGAAATATTAATTTTATCTGAAATAAAAATCTTTTTTTCTTTTCTCTTTTTTTTTTTTTTTTTTTTTTTTGAGACAACAGAGTCTCACTCTGTTGCCCAGGCTGGAGTGCAGTGGCGTGCTCTCTGCTCACTGCAACTCCGCCTCCCGGGTTCGCGCCATTCTCCTGCCTCAGCCTCCAGAGTAGTTGGGACTGCAGGCGCCCACCACCACGCCCGGCTAATTTTTTGTATTTTTTACTAGAGACGGGGTTTCACCGTGTTAGCCAGGATGGTCTCTATCTCCTGACCTCGTGATCCGCCTGCCTCGGCCTCCCAAAGTGCTGGGATTACAGGCGTGAGCCACCGCGCCCGGCTAAAAATCTTTTATTTAAAAAAGTTCCTTAATTGCTCATAATGTAAGTTAGTTCAAAAATAGGTATGATGTGTACACACACCGCTCTTCGCTCGGAAGCCTCTCTTCTGAAAAGTAAGGGATGCAGATGCGGCCAAAGTTGTTTTTCCAATTTTTTTGGAAAGACAAGGATGAGGAATCTTTAAAGTTATTTATTGAGGCCGGGTGCAGTGCCTCACACCTGTAATCCCAGCACTTTGGGAGGCCTAAGTAGGTGGATCACTTCAGCCCAAGAGTTCAAGACCAGCCTGGCCAAAAAAAATAGAAAAATTAGCTGGGTGTGGTGGTGCACACCTGTGATCCCAGCTACTCTGGAGGCTGAGAATCACTCGAACCCGGGAGGGGAAGGTTGCAGTGAGCTGCTATTGCACCATTGCACTCCAGCCTGGGTGACAGAGCAAGACTCTGTCTCAAAAAAAAAAATTTATTGAGTAAGCTTATTCTTTCACACTAAGAAATACAGTGGACAAATGCCTTCTGACAGTTGTGAGACTTTTCCCATCCTGGTGAGGGAATTTTCCCCTGGGGACATTGACAAGGCCCTGGGCCACAGCCATGTCAGGAATGTTTGCTTTGGGGTCAGTTAGCTGCTGTGTTGGTTCATAATCATTGATGTATCTGCTACCATGCCTTGGCTTGACTACGCCACCAGGATTAAAAGGATCTAACTCAGCTCCCTTGTTCCCTAGGAGGCAATGGGGCAGGCAAACTGGATGGTGCCCCAGGTGTAGCAAGCTTGGAAGGCTTCAAAGGACGGGACAAGTTTGGCCTGGACAAGTTTCCTCCTAGAAGTCACTTAATCTGCAAAATCAAGATAAGACCATTTTCCCCATGTGACTTGACAAGACAATATTAAAGCTCAAGGTGATGCATGTAAAAAGATTGTGGAAGCCATAAAGCTTTATAGAGATACATAATCACTGTCTCTTCCTCATCTCCTGCCCCATTCTGCTACCCTTGCTTTAATAAAAATTGTTTCCCCGAAGTCTCCGTCGGGCTGGGGCATAAGCTTCAAGGAGCAAATGCACAGACCCTCCACTGACCACTACACAGAGAGTCCCAATGCCCCTCCTCCATCCTTCCAGAACACCCTTGGCTTTCACTCCATCCATCTGAGCCTTAACTCTTTATTTTTAAGTTTTTCCTTGTTAATCTCTGGATATAAATGTATCTATTGCTTAATACATTGCTTCCTGGGTAGAAGCAGTATTTTGTGTTCTTCTGATAAAGGAATTTTCTACCCTCTCAGAAAATACTGACTCAGCAGTGTTAGCTAATGGCATTTCTACTTCACCTGATAGGAGCAGGAGCTTAAATTGTTACTACAACTTGGGGTGGGGAGAGGGAATGGCTATTTTTTTTTTTTTTCGAGACTGAGTCTTGCTCTGTCACCCAGGCTGGAGTGCAGTGGCGCAATCTTGGCTCACTGCAACCTCTGTCTCCCAGGGGTCAAGCTATCTCAGCTCACTACCATGCCGAGCTAATTTTTGTATTTTTAGTAGAGACAAGGTTTCGCCATGTTGGCCAGGCGGTTCTCAAACTCCTGACCTCAGGTGATCTGCCCGCCTCGGCCTCACAAAGTGCTGAGATTACAGGTGTGAGCCACTATGGCTGGCCACAAAATACTATATTCTATGATAGTTTTATATTCTGTCACAGATCTGACATTTTGGAACGTTCTTTTATTTACTTTATTTATTTATTTATTTATTTATTTTTGAGACAGAGTCTCGCTCTGTTGCCCAGGCTAGAAGTGTAATGGCTGAGCAATCATAGCTCACTGCAGCCTCAGTCTCCTGGGCTCACGTGATCCTCCTGCCTCAGGCTTCTTAGTAGCTGGGACTACAGGTGAGCCCCACCATGCCCGGATAATTTTTTTTTTAAATTTTTTAAATCTTAGTAGAGACAAGGTTGCTATGTTGCCCAGGCTGGTCTCAAACTCCTGAGCTGAAGTGATCCTCCTGCCTCGGCCTCCCAAAATGCTGGGATTACAGGCATGAGCCGCCATGCTGGGCTGGAACATTCTTAAAATATTGGAAATTAGGCTGGGCGAGGTGGCTCACGCCTATAATCCCAGCACTTTGAGAGGTCAAGGTGGGCAGACCACAAGTCAGGAGTTCGAGACCAGCCTGACCAACATGATGAAACCTCATTTCTACTAAAAATACAAAAATTAGCCAGGCGTGGTGGCGTGCACCTGTAATCCCATCTACTCAGGAGGCTGAGGCAGGAGAATCGCTTGAACCCTGGGGGCGGAGGTTGTAGTGAGCTGAGATTGCGCCACTGCACTCCAGCCTGGGTGACAGAGCAAGACTCCATCTAAAAAAAAAAAAGAAAAAAAAATTGGGAATTAATATTATTGTCAAATTCAGGAAAAACATAAAGGATTTGGGGTCCTTTGGGATGCAAGGCATAGGAGAGTATCTGTGTTTCAACCTGCTGCTTGTTAATGTGAGACTGATATTTTGGGGAAAATTTCAACCTATTTCAAAGATTTTTTTTTTCAGAGAATAGGAAACAATACACTAAAACATGGAAATGCTGCTGAGCGCGGTGGGCTCATGCCTGTAATCCCAGCACTTTGGGAGACCAAGGCAGGCAGATCACGAGGCCAGGAGTTCAAGACCATCCTGGCTAACACGTTGAAACTCCGTTTCTACTAAAAATACAAAAATAATTAGCCAAGCGTGGTGGCACGCACCGGTAGTCCCAGCTACTCGGGAGGCTGAGGCAGGAGAATCGTTTGAACCCAGGAGGCAGAGGTTGCAGTGAGCTGAGATCGTGCCATTGCACTCCAGCCTGGGCGACAGAGCGAGACTTCATCTCAAAAAAAAAAAAAAAACATGGAAATGCTGAAGTATACACATAATATTGGAAACCAGGATGCTCAAGTAAACATATTTTCAACTGATTTATTTTTCCTTTAACTTTTTCTTAAAGATATAGCTTAAATCATATGAAATTGCTGATATTTGTCAAATTTGGGCCTACAAAAATGGCAATTTCATATGTTGAAACTAAAGACTAACAATATTTAACAATTAAAAAATAAACATTATAGAATTTCTGCTAAGTGCTAAACATTATGATAAGCACTTTAAACAAGACATGAACCTGCTCTCAAGAAACAGTAAGAGTGCCAGATGTGGTGTCTCATGCTTGTAATCCCAGTACTTTGGGAGGCCAAGGCAGGAGATTGCTTGAGCCCAGTTCAAAACCAGACTGAGCAAATATAGTGAGACCCCATCTCTACAAAAATCTAAAAATTAGCTGGGTGTGGTGGTGTGCACCTGTAGTCCCAGATACTCGGGAGGCTGAGGTGGGAGGATCACTTGAGCCCAAGAGGTCAAGGCTGCAGTGAGCCATGATCATGCCATTGCACTCCAGCCTGGGCAACACAGCAAGACACTGCCTCAAAAAAAAAAAAAAAGGAGTAAGAAGTAATCACAGATAAATTTAAACCTTTCGCATTTTTAAAAGTTATGTGCAGACAAGTAAAAATAATAAAAGTTCAATCATTTATTATGATGCTAGATGCATCTGAAACTGGATAATACGATATAGTTGTTTTTTTTTTCTTAAGACAGAGTCTCACTCTAGCGTGATCTCAGCTTGCTGCAACCTCGGCCTCCAGGTTCAAGCAATTCTGCCTCAGCCTTCCGAGTAGCTGGGACTACAGGCATGCACCACCACACCCAGCTAATTTTTGTATTTTTAGTAGAGACAGGGTTTCACCATGTTGGCCAGGCTGGTCTCGAACTCCTGACTTCAATTGACACACCTGCCTTGGCCTCCCAAAGTGCCGGGATTACAGGTGTGAGCCACCACGCCCGGCCATACAATATAGTTTTATGTCATAAGACAACCTTACATGAAACCTTACTAGAAAATGCATAAATTTGGGGTCACCAGATATATGGGTTTGAGTCCTGGCTGTGCCATCTACTAGCAGTGTGACTTGAAACAAATTCTTAATGTCTCTTAGCAAAGGTTTTCTTGTCTACACAGTGTGGCTCCTGCTACCTCCCTCCCAGGAATGCTGTCAGAATGAGGAACAATCTATGTAAAGCACCTGGTACAGCCTAAGTGTTCAATGAAAAGTGGCTTTTTTGATCGTTGAAATTATTAAATTGTTGCATTTATAGCACTTGATATTTTTCAAAGCATTTTCACTTATACTGTCATTTGTCATAAATCTCAATGGAAAAGAGAGTCTAATTAATGTGATCTGCCTAAATTGGCTGAGCAAATTTAGATTTGGGACTAAAAGCCAGGCATCCTGAATGGTTCCATGCTTTCTCTTCCTGATCACAGGCGCTGAAGACATAAGCTGTATTGTAAAGCTATGTGTTAGCTCAGAACTACGTCTTCAGTGACAACATAATGAAGACTAGACGTGACCCTTGACTTTAAGAGCTTGATCGTGCATAGGAGGGACAGCATCTTGGAAAGCATGTATAAGGTACAGAAATAGTACAATGGAGAGTGTGTTTACACCTTAACTTCTTTTGGGGAATTGTGAAAGGCTTTGCTGAGGATGTGATATTTGGCCAGAGTACTTAAGGCTGAATAAAAGCTTGTCCTGCAGATAGGTGGGAAATGTTGCACGTGGTGACTTTCTGGGGCCGCTGTCATGAGGGTGATAAAAAAATTTTACTAAGATAGTTGTCAGTGAGGAAAGGCAGATTTATTAGAGAAACTAGGAAAACATGTTGCAAGGAAGCAATGGGCAGGTCAGCAAGAGAAGAGCTGACTGCAAAGAGACGAAGGCTTGCTGGGGATTTTACGGTATGCCGCTTGTACTGTGTGCTGAAGAGAGCTTTGTGCAGTGCTGGTAATGCCAAGGTTGCAGTGAGCTAACTTGCATTTTTCTATCAGCCGAAGGTCTGCTGATAAGTTGGGTGCAGGAAGATTATGAGTTATTCGTGAAGGAGGGCTGTGTGTCCTGGACCATAAACAAAGGCTGACTTACAGCTTATCTGCTTTCTCCTTTTGCTTTCCCCTGGTCCTGCCAAGCCTAGCTCCTTTTCCCTTACTAGGACTCACAGTAAGGACATTCGAGGCAGAGGGCACACCATGTGGAAAGGCATGTGGGAACCACAACATTGCCGAGACACAGAGGGAGGTGATGTTACTGGGATATGGGGGAGGTGGGCAGGGCCCAGCTTGTGAGAGGGCCAGTGGGCTCAGTCCAGGAGTTTGGACTTTATCTTAAGGAAAGGTGGGAGCCAGCAAAAGGGCTAAAGCTGGAATGGGCCTTGACTAGGTTTGCTTTTCTTTTTCTTTTCTTTTTTTTTTTTTTTGAGACAGACTCAGTCACCCAGGCTGGAGTGCAGTGATGCAATCTTGGCTCACTGCAACCTCCATGATATGGTTTGGCTTTGTGTCCCCGCCCAAATTATCACCTTGAATTGTAATAATCCCCACATGTCAAGGGTGGGGCCAGGTGGAGATAATTGAATCATGGAGGCGGTTTCACCCATACAGTTCTCATGGTAGTGAATAAGTCTCACGAGATCTGGTGGTTTTATAAATGGGAGTTCCTGCGCACAAGCTCTCTTGCCTCCCGCCTTGTGAGATGTGACTTTGTTCCTCATTTGCCTTCTGCCACGATTGTGCGACCTCCCCAGCCGTGCGGAACTGTGAGTCCATTAAACCTCTTTCCTTTGTAAATTCCCCAGTCTCGGGTATGTGTTTATTAGCAGTGTGAGAACAGACTAATACAGTAAATTGGTACCAGGTAGTGAGGTGTTACAGTAAAGATACTCAAAAATTTGGAAGCAACTTTGGAACTGGGTAATAGGTAGAGGTTGGAAGAGTTTGGAGGTCTCAGAAGATGACAGGAAAATATGGGAAAGTTTGGAACTTCCTAGAGAGTTGGAGGGCTCAGAAGACAGGAAGATGTGGGAAAGTTTGGAACTTCCTAGAGAGTTGTTGAATGGCTTTGACCAAAATGCTGATAGTGATAAGGACAATAAGGTCCAGGCTGTGGTGGTCTCAGATGCAGATTAGGAACTTGTTGGGAACTGGAGTAAAGGTCACTCTTGTTACTTTAGCACTAAGAGACTGGCAGCATTTTGCTCCTGCCCTAGAGATCTGTGAAACTTCGAACTTGAGAGAGATGATTTAAGGTATCTGTTTGGAAGAAATTTCTAAGCAGCAAAGCATTCAAGAGGTGATTTAAGTGCCGTTAAAAGCATTCAGTCTTGGCTAGGTTTGGTGGCTCACACCTGTAATCTCAGCACTTTGGGAGGCCAAAGCTGGCGGATCAGTTGAGGTCAGGAGTTCCAGACCAGCCTGGCCAACAGAGCAAAATCCTGTCTCTATTAAAAATATAAAGATCAGCCAGGTGAAGTGGTGTGCTTGCACCTGTAATTCCAGCTACTTGGGAGGCTGAGGCACAAGAATTGCTTGAACCTGGGAGGCAGAGGTTGCAGTGAGCAGAGATTGTGCCACTCCAGCCTGGGTGAGACTCAGTCTCGGAAAAAAAAAAAAAAGTGAGACTTAAAAAAGGTGAGACTCAGTCTCAAAAAAAAAATTCAGTTTTATGTATTCACAAAGACATGGTTTGGAATTGGAACTTCTGTTTAAAAGGGAAGCAGAGCATAAAAGTTAGGAAAATTTGCAGCCCGATGATGCCACAGAAAAGAAAAACCCATTTTCTGAGGGGAAAATTCAACCCACTGCAGAAATTTGTGTAAGTAACTAGGAGCCAAATGTTAATCACTAAGGCAATGGAGAAAATGTCTCCAGAACATGTCAGAGGTCTTCATGGCAGCCCCTCCCATCACAAGCCTGGAGGCCTAGGAGGAAAACATGGTTTCCTGGGCCGGATTCAGGGCCCCGTTGCTTTGTGTAATCTGGGGACTTGGTGCCCTGTGTCCCAGCCGTGGCTGAAAGGGGCCAATGTAGAACTCAGGCCATTGCTTCAGAGGGTGAAGCCCCAAACCTTGGCAGCTTCAACCTGGTATTGGGCCTGTGGGTGCACAGGAGTCAATAATTGAGGTTTGGGAACCTCTGCCTAGATTTCAGAGGATGTATGGAAATGCCAGGATGTCCAGGTAGGGGTGTGCTGCAGAGGCGGTGCCCTCATGAAGAACCTCTGCTAGTGCAGTGTGGAAGGGAAACGTGGGGTCAGAGTCCCCACACAGAGTCCCCACTAGGGCACCACCTAGTGGAGCTGTGAGAGGAGGGCCACTGTCCTCCAGATCACAGAATGGTCGACCTACCAACAGCTTGGACTGTGGGCCTGGAAAAGCCACAGATACTCAACACCAGCCAATGAAAGCAGCCAGGAGTGGGGCTGTACCCTGCAAAACCACAGGGTGGAGCTGCCCAAGACCATAAAGACCCACCTCTTGTATCAGTGTGACCTGGATGTGAGACATGGAGTCAAAGGAGATCATTTTGGAGCTTTAAGATTTAATGACTGCCTTGCTGGAGTTTGGACTTGCATGGAGCCTTGATTTTGGCCAATTTCTCCCATTTGGAACAGGTGTATTTACCAAATGCCTGTACCCCCATTGTATCTAGGAAGTAACTAACTTGCTTTTGGTTTTACAGGCTCATAGGCAGAAGGGACTTGTCTTGTCTCAGATAAGACTTTGGACTTGGACTTTTGGGTTAATGCTAAAATGAGTTAAGACTTTGGAGGACTGTTGGGAAGGCATGATTAGTTTTGAAATATGAAGACATGAGATTTGGGAGGGGCCAGGGGCAAAATGATATGGTTTGGCTCTGTGTCCCCACCCAAATCTCACCTTGAACTGTAATAATTCCCATGTGTCAAGGGCGGGACTAGGTGGAGATAATTGAATGATGGGGATGGTTTCCCCCATACTGTTCTCACAGTAGTGAATAAATCTCATGAGATCTGATGGTTTTGTAAATGGGAGTTCCCCTGCACAAGCTCTCTTTCCTGCCACTGTATAAGATGTGACTTTGCTCCTCATTCACCTTCTTCCATGATCGTGAGGCCTCCCCAACCATATGGAACTGTAAGTCAATTAAACTTCTTTTCTGTATAAATTACCCAGTCTTGGGTATGTCTTTATTAGCAGCGTGAGAACAGACGAATATACTCTACCTCCCAGGTTCAAGTGATTCTCCTGCCTCAGCCTCCCAAGTAGCTGGGATTACAGGTGTGTGTCACCATACCTGGCTAATTTTTGCATTTTTACTGGATGGGATTGTACCATGTTGGCCAGGCTGGTCTCGAACTCCTGGCCCCAGGTGATCCACCCACCTCAGCCTCCCAAAGTGCTGGGGTTACAGGCATGAGCCACCATGCCTGGCCAAGGTTTGCATCTTAGAAAGATCTCTGTGCAACCTCAAAAACAGGATTAAAGAGGAAAAAAGGCAAGGAGATTAAATCAGGAGAGTTTTGCAATAATTCCTGTGAGGGTGATCAGGGTCCAAACTAGAGCAGGGGAGGTGGAGAGGAGGGTTGGTGATTGAATGTGGAGGGCTTGGGGGATTTGGATGGGATAGGAAGACTGAGTTGTGTCACCAACGCTGGGGAGCCTACCCAAATTTCTTTCATGGCCCCTTGCTTGGCAAAGCCTAGTCAGTGGATCCAGCCACAAGCTTGGTAAAAATGCAGTCTCAGAACCCTCCCAAGGCCTACTTGAATCAGAATCTGCACTTGAGGCTGGGCGCAGTGGCTCATGCCTGTAATCCCAGCACTTTGGGAGGCCAATGCAGGCAGATCACTTGAGGTCAGGGGTTTGAGACCAGTTTGGCCAACATGGTAAAACCCCATCTCTACAAAAAAAAAAAAAAAAAAAAAAAAAAAATTAGCCAGGCTTGGTGGCAGGCATCCCAGCTACTTGGGAGGCTGAGGCATGAGAATTGCTTGAACCTGGGAGTGAGCCAAGATTGTGCCACTGCACTCCAGCCTGAGCAACAGAGCGAGAGTCCATCTCAAAAAGAAAAAAAAAGAATCTGCATTTGAACAAGGTCCCTAGTTGATTCCTAGGTGCCTTTAAGTTGAAGCAGCAGAGCTCAAGAAAGCATTGCTTTCATTCACTCTTTCATAGCCAGCTGGCCTCCAGCAGGAGCCTCAATCTGGTAAAGATAGGTTTACTGTAAAGGTGCAGGATTAAAGGATGTATCACAATATATCCGTGTTCAATAGTATCTGGCACCAGAAGTATCTGGGTAATGGAAGAGAAACAGGTTTGAAATGTACAGGACTAGCCAAGTGACACAGAGTAGATAGCTGGCGGGAGGAAGCAAAGAGAGAGATTTCTTTGAGCCCCAGACTCTGCTGGTTCATTTCCAAATTCTAAACTCGTAGCATGTTTTCATGTGTAACAGTCAATAAGCAAGACTAATATTTATTGTTTAATACCTAAGGGTGAGCACATTTTCAACAATGGCTTACTTGTTTAAGGGTATTTTTAAAACATCAACAGGGAAATAAATGACTTTGAGACCTTGTCGCTGAAAAGTTTCCTGTAATCTTTGCTCATGTAACTGAGGCAGAACAGGACAAAGCATTTTTGGGACCTGATGCAGCCTTTGAACGGGGGTCCTAACTCTGGGGTTCTGAAAACACCTTTTTATGATTAAATGTTAAGACCAGGCCAGGCGCAGTGGCTCACACCTGTAATCCCAGCACTTTGGGAGGCCAAGGCAGGTGGATGACTTGAGGTCAGGAGTTCGAGACCAGCCTGACCAATATAGTGAATACCTGTCTCTACTAAAAATACAAAAATGAGCCAGGCATGGTGGCGCACACCTGTAATTCCAGCTACTCAGGAGGCTGAGGCAGGAGAATCACTTGAACCCAGGAGGTGGAGTTTGCAGTGAGCCAAGATCGCGCCACTGCACTGCAGCCTGGGCAACAGAGTGACACTCTGTCTCAAAAAATAAAAGACCTAAGTGAACCACCAACAATATGTGAAAGTGCTTGTTTCTCTACCCCACCACTGTACCACCAGAGGGGACTGTTAAACTTTTGAATCTTTGCAATGTGATCAATTAGAAATGGAGTCTCATTGTAGTTTTAATTTGCCTTTTCTCTTATTGCAAGTGAACTTGAACATCATGTTTCTAGTACATCTTTTAATATCTCAGCCAGGTGTGGTGGCTCACACCTGTAATCCCAGCACTTTGGGAGGCCAATGTGGGCAGATCATCTGAGGTAAGCAGTTTGAGAACAGCCTGGTCAACACGGCAAAACTGTGTCACTACTAAAAACACAAAAATTAGTGGGACGTGGTGGCAGGCACCTGTAATCCCAGTACTCAGGAGGCTGAGGCAGGAGAATTGCTTGAACTTGGGAGGTGGAGGTTGCAGTGAGCTGAGATCGTGCCACTACACTCCAGCCTGAGTGACAAATGAAACTCTGTCTCAAAAAAAAAATCTATTTGTGAACTGTCTGTTCAAATATCTTTTTTCCATTTATCTATAGGATTTTTGGACATTGTCAACATTTTAAAGAGTTCTTCATATAAATTAGGATTTTTGCCCCTTGGTGATGTATGTCACATATATTTTCTGCCAGTTTATCATTTTTCTTTTGACTTTGTTTTTGCTACAAAAATGTTATGTATTGTTATATATTTATACCTGTCAATATGGTGGATTACATTGATTGACTTTTCTTTTTTTTTTTAATTTAAGTTTTAGGGTACATGTGCACATTGTGCAGGTTAGTTACATATGTATACATGTGCCACGCTGGTGCACTGCACCCACTAACTCGTCATCTAGCATTAGGTATATCTCCCAATGCTATCCCTCCCCCCTCCCCCCACCCCACCATAGTCCCCAGAGTGTGATATTCCCCTTCCTGTGTCCATGTGATCTCATTGTTCAATTCCCACCTATGAGTGAGAATATGCGGTGTTTGGTTTTTTGTTCTTGCGATAGTTTACTGAGAATGATGATTTCCAGTTTCATCCATGTCCCTACAAAGGACATAAACTCATCATTTTTTATGGCTGCATAGTATTCCATGGTGTATATGTGCCACATTTTCTTAATCCAGTCTATCATTGTTGGACATTTGGGTTGGTTCCAAGTCTTTGCTATTGTGAATAATGCCGCAATAAACATACGTGTGCATGTGTCTTTATAGCAGCATGATTTATAGTCCTTTGGGTATATACCCAGTAATGGGATGTCTGGGTCAAATGGTATTTCTAGTTCTAGATCCCTGAGGAATCACCACACTGACTTCCACAATGGTTGAACTAGTTTACAGTCCCACCAACAGTGTAAAAGTGTTCCTATTTCTCCACGTCCTCTCCAGCACCTGTTGTTTCCTGACTTTTTAATGATTGCCGTTCTAACTGGTGTGAGATGGTATCTCATTGCGGTTTTGATTTGCATTTCTCTGATGGCCAGTGATGATTAGCATTTTTTCATGTGTTTTTTGGCTGCATAAATGTCTTCTTTTGAGAAGTGTCTGTTCATGTCCTTCGCCCACTTTTTGATGGGGTTGTTTGTTTTTTTCTTGTAAATTTGTTTGAGTTCATTGTAGATTCTGGATATTAGCCCTTTGTCAGATGAGTAGGTTGTGAAAATTTTCTCCCATTTTGTAGGTTGCCTGTTCACTCTCATGGTAGTTTCTTTTGCTGTGCAGAAGCTCTTTAGTTTAATTAGATCCCATTTGTCAATTTTGTCTTTTGTTGCCATTGCTTTTGGTGTTTTGGACATGAAGTCCTTGCCCATGCCTATGTCTTGAATGGTGATGCCTAGGTTTTCTTCTAGGGTTTTTATGGTTTTAGGTCTAACGTTTAAGTCTTTAATCCATCTTGCATTGATTTTTGTATAAGGTGTAAGGAAGGGATCCAGTTTCAGCTTTCTACATACGGCTAGCCAGTTTTCCCCGCACCATTTATTAAATACGGAATCCTTTCCCTATTGCTTCTTTTTCTCAGGTTTGTCAAAGATCAGATAGTTATAGATATGCGGCATTATTTCTGAGGGCTCTGTTCTGTTCCATTGATCTATATCTCTGTTTTGGTACCAGTACCATGCTGTTTTGGTTACTGTAGCCTTGTAGTATAGTTTGAAGTCAGGTAGTGTGATGCCTCCAGCTTTGTTCTTTTGGCTTAGGATTGCCTTGGCAATGCGGGCTCTTTTTTGGTTCCGTATGAACTTTAAAGTAGTTTTTTCCAATTCTGTGAAGAAAGTCATTGGTAGCTTGATGGGGATGGCATTGAATCTGTAAATTACCTTG
The DNA here is from genome assembly GCF_000001405.40 of Homo sapiens. Classification (NCBI taxonomy): domain Eukaryota; kingdom Metazoa; phylum Chordata; class Mammalia; order Primates; family Hominidae; genus Homo; species Homo sapiens. Next base: position 91,432,453 of record NC_000014.9, read on the forward strand.
GGCAGTATGGCCATTTTCACGATATTGATTCTTCCTACCCATGAGCATGGAATGTTCTTCCATTTGTTTGTATCCTCTTTTATTTCCTTGAGCAGTGGTTTGTAGTTCTCCTTGAAGAGGTCCTTCACCTCCCTTGTAAGTTGGATTCCTAGGTATTTTATTCTCTTTGAAGCAATTGTGAATGAGAGTTCACTCATGATTTGGCTCTCTGTTTGTCTGTTATTGGTGTATAAGAATGCTTGTGATTTTTGTACATTGATTTTATATCCTGAGACTTTGCTGAAGTTGCTTATCAGCTTAAGGAGATTTTGGGCTGAGACAATGGGGTTTTCTAGATATACAATCATGTCATCTGCAAACAGGGACAATTTGACTTCCTCTTTTCCTAATTGAATACCCTTTCTTTTCTTCTCCTGCCTAATTGCCCTGGCCAGAACTTCCAACACTATGTTGAATAGGAGTGGTGAGAGAGGGCATCCCTGTCTTGTGCCAGTTTTCAAAGGGAATGCTTCCAGTTTTTGCCCATTCAGTATGATATTGGCTGTGGGTTTGTCATAGATAGCTCTTATTATTTTGAAATACGTCCCATCAATACCTAATTTATTGAGAGTTTTTAGCATGAAGGGTTGTTGAATTTTGTCAAAGGCTTTTTCTGCATCTATTGAGATAATCATGTGGTTTTTGTCTTTGGCTCTGTTTATATGCTGGATTACATTTATTGATTTGCATATATTGAACCAGCCTTGCATCCCAGGGATGAAGCCCACTTGATCATGGTGGATAAGCTTTTTGATGTGCTGCTGGATTCGTTTTGCCAGTATTTTATTGAGGATTTTTGCATCAATGTTCATCAAGGATATTGGTCTAAAATTCTCTTTTTTGGTTGTGTCTCTGCCTGGCTTTGGTATCAGAATGATGCTGGCCTCATAAAATGAGTTAGGGAGGATTCCCTCTTTTTCTATTGATTGGAATAGTTTCAGAAGGAATGGTACCAGTTCCTCCTTGTACCTCTGATAGAATTCGGCTGTGAATCCATCTGGTCCTGGACTCTTTTTGGTTGGTAAACTATTGATTATTGCCACAATTTCAGCTCCTGTTATTGGTCTATTCAGAGATTCAACTTCTTCCTGGTTTAGTCTTGGGAGAGTGTATGTGTTGAGGAATTTATCCATTTCTTCTAGATTTTCTAGTTTATTTGCGTAGAGGTGTTTGTAGTATTCTCTGATGGTAGTTTGTATTTCTGTGGGATCGGTGGTGATATCCCCTTTATCATTTTTTATTGTGTCTATTTGATTCTTCTCTCTTTTTTTCTTTATTAGTCTTGCTAGCAGTCTATCAATTTTGTTGATCCTTTCAAAAAACCAGCTCCTGGATTCATTAATTTTTTGAAGGGTTTTTTGTGTCTCTATTTCCTTCAGTTCTGCTCTGGTTTTAGTTATTTCTTGCCTTCTGCTAGCTTTTGAATGTGTTTGCTCTTGCTTTTCTAGTTCTTTTAATTGTGATGTTAGGGTGTCAATTTTGGATCTTTCCTGCTTTCTCTTGTGGGCATTTAGTGCTATAAATTTCCCTCTACACACTGCTTTGAATGCGTCCCAGAGATTCTGGTATGTTGTGTCTTTGTTCTCATTGGTTTCAAAGAACATCTTTATTTCTGCCTTCATTTCGTTATGTATCCAGTAGTCATTCAGGAGCAGGTTGTTCAGTTTCCATGTAGTTGAGCGGTTTTGAGTGAGATTCTTAATCCTGAGTTCTAGTTTGATTGCACTGTGGTCTGAGAGATAGTTTGTTATAATTTCTGTTCTTTTACATTTGCTGAGGAGAGCTTTACTTCCAACTATGTGGTCAATTTTGGAATAGGTGTGGTGTGGTGCTGAAAAAAATGTATATTCTGTTGATTTGGGGTGGAGAGTTCTGTAGATGTCTATTAGGTCCGCTTGGTGCAGAGCTGAGTTCAATTCCTGGGTATCCTTGTTGACTTTCTGTCTCGTTGATCTGTCTAATGTTGACAGTGGGGTGTTAAAGTCTCCCATTATTAATGTGTGGGAGTCTAAGTCTCTTTGTAGGTCACTCAGGACTTGCTTTATGAATCTGGGTGCTCCTGTATTGGGTGCATATATATTTAGGATAGTTAGCTCTTCTTGTTGAATTGATCCTTTTACCATTATGTAATGGCCTTCTTTGTCTCTTTTGATCCTTGTTGGTTTAAAGTCTGTTTTATCAGACACTAGGATTGCAACCCCTGCCTTTTTTTGTTTTCCATTTGCTTGGTAGATCTTCCTCCATCTTTTTATTTTGAGCCTATGTGTGTCTCTGCACATGAGATGGGTTTCCTGAATACAGCACACTGATGGGTCTTGACTCTTTATCCAATTTGCCAGTCTGTGTCTTTTAATTGGAGCATTTAGTCCATTTACATTTAAAGTTAATATTGTTATGTGTGAATTTGATCCTCTCATTATGATGTTAGCTGGTGATTTTGCTCGTTAGTTGATGCAGTTTCTTCCTAGTCTCGATGGTCTTTACATTTTGGCATGATTTTGCAGCGGCTGGTACTGGTTGTTCCTTTCCATGTTTAGCTCTTCCTTCAGGAGCTCTTTTAGGGCAGGCCTGGTGGTGACAAAATCTCTCAGCATTTGCTTGTCTGTAAAGTATTTTATTTCTCCTTCACTTATGAAGCTTAGTTTGGCTGGATATGAAATTCTGGGTTGAAAATTCTTTCCTTTAAGAATGTTGAATATTGGCCCCCACTCTCTTCTGGCTTGTAGGGTTTCTGCCGAGAGATCCGCTGTTAGTCTGATGGGCTTCCCTTTGAGGGTAACCCGACCTTTCTCTCTGGCTGCCCTTAACATTTTTTCCTTCATTTCAACTTTGGTGAATCTGACAATTATGTGTCTTGGAGTTGCTCTTCTCAAGGAGTATCTTTGTGGCGTTCTCTGTATTTCCTGAATCTGAACGTTGGCCTGCCTTGCTAGATTGGGGAAGTTCTCCTGGATAATATCCTGCAGAGTGTTTTCCAACTTGGTTCCATTCTCCCCATCACTTTCAGGTACACCAATCAGATGTAGATTTGGTCTTTTCACATAGTCCCATATTTCTTGGAGGCTTTGCTCATTTCTTTTTATTCTTTTTTCTCTAAACTTCCCTTCTCGCTTCATTTCATTCATTTCATCTTCCATCGCTGATACCCTTTCTTCCAGTTGATCGCATCAGCTCCTGAGGCTTCTGCATTCTTCACGTAGTTCTCGAGCCTTGGTTTTCAGCTCCATCAGCTCCTTTAAGCACTTCTCTGTATTGGTTATTCTAGTTATACATTCTTCTAAATTTTTTTCAAAGTTGTCAACTTCTTTGCCTTTGGTTTGAATGTCCTCCCGTAGCTCAGAGTAATTTGATCGTCTGAAGCCTTCTTCTCTCAGCTCGTCAAAGTCATTCTCCATCCAGCTTTGTTCCGTTGCTGGTGAGGAACTGCGTTCCTTTGGAGGAGGAGAGATGCTCTGCGTTTTAGAGTTTCCAGTTTTTCTGTTCTGTTTTTTCCCCATCTTTGTGGTTTTATCTACTTTTGGTCTTTGATGATGGTGATGTACAGATGGGTTTTTGGTGTGGATGTCCTTTCTGTTTGTTAGTTTTCCTTCTAACAGACAGGACCCTCAGCTGCAGGTCTGTTGGAATACCCTGCCGTGTGAGGTGTCAGTGTGCCCCTGCTGGGGGGTGCCTCCCAGTTAGGCTGCTCGGGGGTCAGGGGTCAGGGACCCACTTGAGGAGGCAGTCTGCCCGTTCTCAGATCTCCAGCTGCGTGCTGGGAGAACCACTGCTCTCTTCAAAGCTGTCAGACAGGGACATTTAAGTCTGCAGAGGTTACTGCTGTCTTTTTGTTTGTCTGTGCCCTGCCCCCAGAGGTGGAGCCTACAGAGGCAGGCAGGCCTCCTTGAGCTGCTGTGGGCTCCACCCAGTTCGAGCTTCCAGGCTGCTTTGTTTACCTAAGGAAGCCTGGGCAATGGCGGGCGCCCCTCCCCCAGCCTCGCTGCCACCTTGCAGTTTGATCTCAGACTGCTGTGCTAGCAATCAGCGAGACTCCATGGGCGTATGACCCTCTGAGCCAGGTGCGGGATATAATCTCGTGGTGCGCTGTTTTTTAAGCCGGTCCGAAAAGCGCAATATTCGGGTGGGAGTGACCCGATTTTCCAGGTGCGTCCCTCACCCCTTTCTTTGACTCGGAAAGGGAAGTCCCTGACCCCTTGCGCTTCCCAAGTGAGGCAATGCCTCGCCCTGCTTCAGCTCGCGCACGGTGCGCGCACCCACTGACCTGCGCCCACTGTCTGGCACTCCCTAGTGAGATGAACCCGGTACCTCTGATGGAAATGCAGAAATCACCCGTCTTCTGTGTCGCTCACGCTGGGAGCGGTAGACCGGAGCTGTTCCTATTCGGCCATCTTGGCTCCTCCCCAGCCTTTTCTCCTTTCTCTGATTGACTTTTCAAAGGCTGAACCAGCCTTCCATTCTTGGGATAAACCTTAGTTGGCCATGATGATTTATTCTTTTCATGTATAATTAGATTCAATTTGCCAGTAATTTGTTGAGAATTTTCACATCTGTATTTATGAGGGATATTGGCCTCTAGTTTTCTTTTTCTGTAATGTTTTTGGTCTTGGTGTCAGGTAATGATGACCTTAGCAAATGAATCGGGAAGTGTTTCTTGTTCTTTATAGCCTAAAAGAGTTTGTGTAGACTTGATATTTTTCCTTACGTAATTGGTAGAATTTGCCAGTGAAGATATGTGCACCTGTAGTTTTTATTGCTAAAAGGTTTTAAATTATAAATTCAATTTCTATAATAGATACAAACTAACCAGGTTATTTAATCTTTGTTAAGCTGTATAATATGATTTGGCTCTGTGTCCTCACCCAAAACTCATGTTGAATTGTAATTCCCAGTGTTGGGGGAGGGACCTAGTGGGCAGGGATCCCTAGAGGGATCACAGGGGCAGACTTCCCCCTTGCTGTTCTCATGATAATGAGTGAGTTCTCATAAGATCTTGTTGTTTAAAAGTGTGTGTCACCTTCCCCTTTGCTCTCTGTCCTGCTCCGCCATATGAAGATGTGCCTGCCTCCGCTTCACCTACCACCATGGTTGTAAGTTACCTGAGGTCTCCCCAGCCATGCTTCTTATACAGCCTGTGGAAATGTGAGTGAATTAAACCTCTTTTCTTCATAAATTACCCAGTCAGGTAGTTATTTGTAGCAACAGGAGAATGAACTAATACAGAAAATTGGTACCAGAGGGCCAGGTGCAGTGGCTCATGCCTGTAATCCCAGCACTTTGGGAGGCCAAGGCAGGTGGATCATGAGGTCAGGAGATCAAGACCATCCTGGCTAAAATGGTGAAACCCTGTCTCTACTAAAAATACAAAAAAAAAAAAAAAAAATAGCCGGGTGTGGTGGCGGGCACCTGTAGTCCCAGCTACTCGGGAGGCTGAGGCAGGAGAATGGTGTGAACCCGGGTGGTGGAACTTGCAGTGAGCCAAGATCATGCCACTGCGCTCCAGCCTGGGCAGCAGAGTGAGACTCCTTCTCAGGAAAAAAAAGAAAAAGAAAATTGGTACCAGAGAAGTGGGACATTGCTATAAAGATACCTGAAAATGTGGAAGAAGCTTTGAAGTTGGGTCATGAGCAGAGGTTGGAACACTTTTGAGGGCTCAGAAGAAAAGGGATGATGAAACAAAGTTTGGAACCTCCTAGAGACTTATTAAATTGTTGTGACCAAAATGCCGATAGTGATATAGAAAATGAAGTCCAGGCTGAGGTGGTCTTAGATGGAGATGAGGAGCTTATTGGGAACTGGAGTAAAGGTCACTCTTGCTATGCTTTAGTAAATAGAATGGAGCATTGTGCCCCTGCTCTAGGTATCTGTGGAACTTTGAACTTGAGAAAGATGATTTAGGGTATCCGGCAGAAGAAACGTCTAAGCAGCAAAGCTTTCAAGATGTGGCCTGGCTGCTTTATTTTTTGAGACAGAGTCTCGCACTCTTGCCCGGTCTGGAGTAAAATGGCATGATCTCGGCTCACTGCAAACTCTGCCTCCTTGGTTCACATGATTCTCCTGCCATAACCTCCCAAGTAGTTGGGATTACAGGTGCACACTACCATACCTGGCTAATTTTTTTTTTTTGTATTTTTAGTAGAGACAGGCTTTCACTATGTTGGCCAGACTGGTCTCGAACTCCTGATCTCGTGATCTGCCTGCATTGGCCTCCCAAAGTGCTGGAATTACAGGCGTGAGCCACTGCACCCGGCCCTGCCTGGCTGCTTCTAACAGTGTATACTTATATTCATGAGCAAAGAGATGGTCTAAAACTGAAACTTATATTTAAAAGGGAAGCAGAGCAGAGAAGTTTGAAAAATTTGCAGCCTGCATGTGATAGAAAAGAAAAGCTTATTTTCTGTGGAGGAATTCAAGCCAGCTGCAGAAATTCACATAAGAAAAGAGGAGCCAAATGTTAATAGCCAAGACAATAGGGAAAATGCCTCAAAGCCATTTCAGAGACCTTTATGGCAGCCCTTCCCATCACAGGCCTGGAGGCCTAGGAGGGAAGAATGGTTTCATGGGCCAGGCTGAGGGCCCTGCTGTTCTGTGCAGACTCAGGTCAGGGTGCCCTGCATCCCAGCCACTCCAGCTTCAGCTGTGCCTAAAAGGGCCCCAGATGTGGCTCAGGTCACTGCTCCAGAGAGTGCAAGCTGGAAACCACCAAGGTTTCCACATGGTGTTAAGCCTGAGGGTGCACAGAGGGCAAGAATTGAGGCTTGGGAGCCTCTGCCTAGGTTTCAGAGGTTGTATGGAAACACCTGGACGTCCAGGCAGAAGTCTGTTACAGGGGCAGAGCCCTCATGTAGAACCTTTACTAGGGCAGTGCAGAGGGGAAATGTGGAATAGGAACCCACACACAGAGTCCCCACTGGGGCACTGTCTAGTGGAGCTGTGAGAAGAGGGCTACTGCCCTCCAGACCTCCGAATGGCAGATCCACTGACAGCTTGCACCATGCACCTTGAAAAGCTTCAGGCACTCAATGCCAGCCTGTGGAAGCAGCTGCAGTTGCTGTACTCTGCACAGCCACTGGGGCAAAGCTGCCCAAGAGCTTAGGAGCCCACCCATTGCATCAATGTGGCCTGGATGTGAGACATGGAGTCAAAGAAGATTATTTTGGAGCTTTAAGACCTAATGATTGCCCTGCTGCATTTCAGACTTGAATGGGGCCTGTAGGCCCTTTGTTTTGGCCAATTTATCCCATTTGAAATGGGAGCATTTAGCCAATGTTGGTACACCCATTGTATCTTGGAAGTAAGTAACTTGTTTTTGATTTTACAGGCTCATAGGCAGAAGGGACTTGCCTTGTCTCACATGAGACTATGGACTTGGACTTTTGAGTTACTGATGGAATGAGTTAAGACTGATGGACTGTTTGAAAGGCATGATTGTGTTTTGAAATGTGAGAAGGACATGAGATTTGGGAGGGCTCTGGGGTGGAATGACATGGTTTGGCTCTGTGTCCCTACCTAAATCTCATGTTGAATTGTAATCCTCAGTGTTGGAGGAATCCGGTAGGAAGTGTTTGCATCACAGGGGCAGATTTTGCCCTTGCTGTTCTCATGATAGTGAGTGAGTTCTTGTGGAATCTGATTGTTTAAAAGTGTGTGGCACCTTCCCCTTTGCTCTCTCTCCTTCTCCACCATGTGAAGATGTGCCTGCTTCCCCTTTGCCTTCTGCCACAATTTTAAGTTTCCTGAGGCTTCCCAGCCATGCTTCTTGTAGAGCCTGCAGAACTGAGTCAATTAGACCTCTTTTCTTCATAAATTACCCAGTCTTGGGTAGTTCTTTATAGCAATGTGAGAACAGACTAAAACACTTTGGTAGCTTGTGTCTTTCCAGGAATTTCTCCCCTTTATCTAAATCCAAATTTATGGGCATAGAGTTGTTCCTACCATTGCCTTATTATCCTTTTAATGTCTTTAGAGTGTGTATTGATGTTTCTATTAATTTTTCTGTTCTTAATTTCATTGATTTGTGCTCTTTATTTTCTTCTGAGTTTGGTTTAATTTCTTCTTTTTCTAGTTTCTCTTTTTTTTTACTTTTAAATTTATTTATTTTCTTTTTTATTTTTTTAGACAGAGTCTCACTCTGTCACCTAGGCTGGAGTGCAGTGGTGCATTCATGGCTCACTACTGCCTCAATCTCCCAGGCTCAAGTGATCCTCCTGCCTCAGCCTCCCAAATAGTTGGGACTACAGGTGCACACCACCACACCCAGCTAATTTTTAAAATTCTTTGTATTAGAGATGAGGTCTCACTATGTTGCCTCGGCTTCTAGTTTCTTAAAGTGGAAACTTATATAATTGTTTTGCAACCTTTCTTTTAGTTTTTTTTAGACACCTTTTTTGAAATATAATTCAAGGCTGAATGCGGTGGCTCATGCCTGTAATCCTAGCACTTTGGGAGGCCGAGGTGGGTGGATCACCTGAGGTCAGGGGTTTGAGAACAGCCTGGGCAACATGGAAAAACCCAGTCTCTACCAAAAATACACAAATTAGTCAGGTGTGGTGGTGTACCCCTGTAATCCTAGCTACTCAGGAGGCTGAGGCATGAGAATCACTGGAACCCAGGAGGCAGAGGCTGCAGTGAGCCAAGATAGCACCACTCACTCCACCCTGGGAAACAGAGTGAGACTCTGTCTCAGTCACATATTATACAGTTCACACATTTAAAGTGTACACTTTGGCCAGGTGTGGTGGCTCACGCTTGTAATCCCAGCACTTTGGGAGGCTGAGGAGGGCGGATCACCTGAGGTCAGGAGTTCAAGACCAGCCTGGCCAACACAGTGAAACTCCATCTCTACTAAAAATACAAAATTAACCAGTAGTGGTGGCAGGCACCTGTAGTCACAGCAGACTTTTCAGTGAAACCTTATAGGCAACTCTCTGACATATTTAAAGTGCTGAAGGAAAAAACCTTTTTTTTTGAGACAGAGTCTTGCTCTGTCACCCAGGCTGGAGTGCAGTGGCGTGATCTTGGCTCACTGCAACCTCTGCCTCCCAGGTTCAAGTGATTCTCCTGCCTCAGCCTCCCAAGTAGCTGGGATTGCAGGCACCCGCCATCATGCCCAGCTAATTTTTGTATTTTTGTAGAGACGGGGTTTTACCATGTTGGCCAGGCTGGTCTTGAACTCCTGACCTCAGGTGATCCGCCCACCTCAGCCTCCCAAAGTTCTGGGATTACAGGCATGAGCCACCACACCTGGCCAGAAAAAAACTTTTATCCTCGAATAGTATATCCAGTAAATATATCCTTCAAACGTAAAGTAGAAATAAAGACTTCCCCAGATAAACAAAAGCTAACGGATTTCATCAACACCAGACCTGTCTCACAAGAAATGCTAAAGAGAGTTCACCAGTCTCAGAGAAAAGAACATTAATGAACAATAAGAAATGATCTGAAGGTACAAAACTCACTGGTATTAGTAAGTACACAGAAAAACACAGAATATTATAACACTTAATTGTAGTAAGATGAAAAGATGAGCTAATCAAAAAATAATAACTAAACTTTTTGAGACATAGCTAGTACAATAATATATAAATAGAAACAACAAAAAGTTAGAAAACAAGAAGTCAGGTGCAGTCGCTCACGTCTATAATCTTAGCACTTTGGGAGGCCAAGGCAGGTGGATCACTTGAGCCTAGCAGTTTGAGACCAGCCCGGGAAGCATGGCAAAACCCTGTCTCTACAAAAAATACAAGAATTAGCCGGGCATGGTGGTGCACACCTGTGGTCCCAGCTACTTGGGAAGCTGAGGCAAGAGAATTACCTGAGCCCAGGAGTTTGAGACTGCAGTGAGCTGGGATTGTACCACTGCATTCCAGCCTGGGCAACACAGTGAGACCCTGTTTAAAAAAAAAAAAGTGTAGAGGTTTCATTACTTTTCTTTTTGCTTGTTTATGCAATTGGTGTTAACTTGCCATTAGTTTAAAATAATGGGTTATACTTTCAAGCCTCATGATAGCCTCAAATCTAAAAACATACAACGATACACAAAAAATAAAAAGCAGAATATTAAAACATATTACCAGAGAAAATCACCTTCACTAAAAGCAAGACTGGAAGGAAGGAAAGAAGGAAGAGAAGATCACAAAACTATCAGAAAACAAATAACTAAATGGCAGGAGTTAAGTTGTTACTTATTGATAAGAGCATTGAATGTAAAAGGACTAAACTCTCCAATCAAAAGACATAGAGTGGCTAAACGGATTTAAAGAAAAAAGACACAATAATCTATTGCCTACAAGAAACACACTTCACCTCTAATACACACACAGACTGAAAATAAAGGGATGGAAAAATATATTCCATGAAGACAGAAGCAACAAAAAAAGCAGGAGTAGCTATACTTATATCAGGCAAAATAGAGTTCAAGACAGAAGCTATAAAAAGAGACAAAGGAGGTCTCTCCTTTATTTCCTTATCATTTTATATGTATATATATCATTATATAATGATAAAAGGATCAATTCAGCAAGAGGATATAACAATTTTAATTATATGCACCCAACACTGGAGCACCCAGATATGTAAAGCAAATGTTGTTAGAGCTAAAGAGAGAGATAGACCCCAATACAATAATAGCTGGAGACTTCAACACTCCACCTTCACCATTGGATAAATCTGCCAGACACAATCAACAAAGAAACATCAAACTGAATCTGCACTGTAGAACAAATGGACCTAACAGACATTCAGAGAACATTTCATCCAATGGCTGCAGAACACATTCTTCTCAGCACATGGATCATTCTCAAGAGTACACCATATGTTAGGCCACAAAACAAGTCTTAAAACATTCAAGGCTGGGCGCGGTGGCTCATGCCTGTAATCCCAGCACTTTGGGAGGCCGAGACGAGTGGATCACGAGGTCAGGAATTTGAGACCAGCCTGGACAACATGGTGAAACCCCATCTCTACTAAAAATACAAAAATTAGCCAGGCGTGGTGGCAGGCACCTGTAATCCCAGCTACTTGAGAGGCTGAGGCAGAAGAATCGGTTGAACCTGGGAGGTGGAGGTTGCAGTGAGCTGTGACCACGCCATTGCACTCCAGATATTTCATATTCATAGATTGGAAGGATCAATATTGTTAAAATGTTCATGCTATCCAAAGCAACCTACATATTAAATGCAATCTCTATCAAAATACCAGAGCCTGGGTGGCAGAGCGAGACTCTGTCTCAAAAAACAACAACAACAACAACAAAAATTCAAAAAAATTGAAATGATATCAATTTTCTCTGACCACAATAGGATAAAAATATAAATCAATGACAAGAAATTAAGGAAACTATACAAATACATGGAAATTAAACAATATGCTCCTGAATGACCAGTGGGTCAATGAAGAGGTTAGGAAGGAAATTGAAAAATTTCTTGAAACAAATGATAATGGAAACACAACATACCAAAACCTATGAAATACAGCAAAAGCAGTGTTAAGAGAGAAGTTTATAGCTATGAGCGCCTACATCAAAAAAGAAGGAAAACTTCACAACCTAATGATCCATCTTAAAGAACTAGAAGAGCAAGAGCAAACCAAACCCAAAGTTGGGAGAAGAAAAGAAATAATAAAGATCAGAGCAGAAATAAATGGAATTGAAACAAAGACAACAATACAAAAGATCAATGAAACAAAAAGTTGGTTTTTTTGAAAAGATAAACTTGACAAACCTTTAGCCAGACTAAGAAAAAAAGAGAGAAGATCCAAATAAAATCAGAGATGAAAAAGGAGACATTACAACTAATACTGCAGAAATTCACAGGATTATTAGAGGCTACTATAATCAACTATATGCCAATAAATTGGAAAACCTAAAAGAAATGGATAAATTCCTAGATACATACAACCTACGAAGACTGAACCATGAAGAAATCCAAAACGTGAACAGGTCACCAATAACAAGTAACAAGATCAAAGCTGCAGTAAAGTCTCCCAGCAAAGAAAAGCCCAGAACCCAATGGCTTCACGGTTAAATTTTACCAAACATTTGAAGAACTGATACCAACCACTCAAACTATTCTGAAAAATACAGGAGGAGGGAGTACTTCCAAACTCATTCTAAGAGGCCAGTATTACCATGATACCAAAAGCAGACAAAGACTCATTAAAAAAGAAAAAAGAGAAAGAAAGAAAAAGGAAGAAGGAAGAAAGAAGAAAGACAACTACAGGCCAATACCCCTGATGAACACTGATGCAAAAATCCTCAACAAAATACTAGGACTGAATTTAATAACAGATTAAAAAGATCATTCATCCTGACCAAATGGGATTTACCCCAGTGATGCGAGGATGGTTCAACATATGCAAATCAGTCAATATGATACAGCGTATCATCAGAATGAAGAACAAAAACCATAGGATCATTTTAATTGATGCTGAAAAAGCATTTGGTAAAATTCAGCATCCCTTCATGATAAAAACCCTCAAAAAACTGCGTATAGGAGGAACATACTTTAATATAATGAAGCCACACATCACTGACCCACAGCTAGTATCATACTGAGTGGGGAAAAACTTAAAGCCTTTTCTGTAAGATCTGGAACACGACAAGGATGACCACTGTCACCACTGCTATTCAACATAGTACTGGAAGTCCCAGCTACAGCAATCAGACAAGAGAAAGAAATAAAGAGCATGCAAATTGGAAAGGAAGAAGTCAAATTATCCTTGTTTGCAGATGATATGATCTTATATTTGGAAAAACCTGAAGACTCCACTAAAAAGCTATTAAAACTGATAAATTCAATAAAGTTACAGGATACAAAATCAATGTACAAAAATCAGTAGCATTTCTATATGCCAACAATAAACAATCTGAAAAAGAAATCAAGAAAGTAATGCCATTTACAATAGCTACAAATAAAATTAAACATCTAGAAATTAACCAAAAAAGTGAAAGATCTCTACAATGAAAACTATAAAACAGTGATGGAAGAAATTAAAGAGGATGCAAAAAAATGGAAAGATATTTCATATTCATAGATTGGAAGGATCAATATTGTTAAAATGTTCATACTATCCAAAGCAACCTACATATTAAATGCAATCTCTATCAAAATACCAACATTCTCTGCAGAAATAGAAAAAAAAAATCCTAAAATCTATATGGAACTACAAAGACCCAGAATAGCCAAAGCTATCCTAAGCAAAAAGAACAAAACTGAAGGAATCACATTACCTGACTTCAAATTATACTACAGAGCTATAATAACCAAACAGCATGGTACTGGCATAAAAACAGACACATAGACCAATGGAACAGAATAGAGAACCCAGAAACAAATCCATAAATCCAAAGTGAACTCATTTTTTACAAAAGTGCCAAGAACATACACTGGGGAAAAGAGAGTCTTCAATAAATGATGCTGGGAAAACTGGCTATCTATGTGCAGAAGAATGAAACTAGATCCCTATCTCTTGCCATGTACAAAAATCAAATCAAAATGGATTAAAGACTTAAATCTAAGACCTCAAACTATGAAACTACTGCAAAACAAAATTGAGGAAACTCCAAAACATTGGACTGTGCAAAGATGTCTTGAATAATACAAGTACAGGCAACCAAAGCAAAAATGGACAAATAGGATCACATCAAGTTAAAGAGCTTCTGCACAGCAAAAGAAACAACAAAGTGAAGAGAAAACCCACAGAATGGGAGAAAATATTTGCAAACTACACATCTGACAAGAGATTAATAACCAGAATATATAAGGAGCTCAAACAACTCCATAGGAAAAAAAATCTAATAATCCAATTTAAAAATAGGCAAAAGATTTGAATAGACATATCTCAAAAGAAGAGATACAAATGGTAAACAGTTATATGAAATGGTGCTTGGCAGGGCACGGTGGCTCATGCCTATAATCCCAACACTTTGGGAGGCCGAGGCAGGAAGATCACTTGAGCCCAGGAGTTCAAGACCCGTCTGGGCAACATGGTGAGATTCCCAACTCTATAAGAAAACAAAAAACATTAGTTGGGCATAGTGGTGCATGCCTGTGGTCCCAGCTGATCGCTTGAGCTGGGAGGCGGAGGCCGCAGTGAGCCATGATCACACGACTGCACTCCAGCCTGGGCGACAGAGCCAGTCTCTCTCTGTCTCTCTCTCTCTCCATATACATACGGTGTTCAACATCATTGATCATCAGAGAAATGCAAATTAAACTACAGTGAGATATAATCTCACCCCAGTTAAAATGGCTTTTATCCAAAAGACAGGCAATAATGAATGCTGGCAAGGATGTGGAGAAATGGGAATCCTTGTACACTGTTGGTGGGATTGTAAATTCATGCAAACACTATGAAGGACAGTTTGGAGGTTCCTCAAAAAACTAAAAATAAGGCCAGGCGTGGTGGGTCCGCCTGTAATCCAGCACTTTGGGAGGCTGAGGCATGCGGATCACCTGACGTCAGGAGTTCAAGACCAGCCTGGCCAACGTGGTGAAACCCCATCTCTACTAAAAATACAAAATTAGCCGGGCATGGTGGCACATACCTGTAATCCCAGCTACTGAGGAGGCTGAGGCAGGAGAATCACTTGAACCCAGGAGGCAGAAGTTGCAGTGAGCCGAGATGGCGCCACTGCACTCCAGCCTGGGCGACAAGAGTGAAACTCTGTCTCAAAACAAAACAAAACCTAAAACCTAAAAATAGAGCTAGCAGCATATGATCCAGCAATCCCACTGCCGGGTATATACCCAAAAGAAAGGAAATTTGCATAATGAAGAGATCTCTGCACTCCCATGTTTGTTGCAGCTGCGTTCACAATAGCCAAGATTTGGAAGCAACCTAAGTGTCCATCAACAGACAAATGGATAAGCAAAGTGTGCTATACATATACACAATGGAGCACTATTCAGTCATAAAAAGGAATGAGATCCTGTCATTTGCAACAACATGGATGGAACTGGAGGTCATTAAGTGAAATAAGCCAGGCAGGGAAAGAGAAACTTCACATATTCTTGCTTATTTGTGGGAGCTAAGAATTAAAACATTTGAACATGGATAAGAGAGTAGAAGGATGGTTACCAGAGGCTGGGAAGGGTAGTAAGGGGGTCGGGGTGGGGAGGGTGGAGATGGTTAATGGGTACAAAAAATTAGGGGCTGGGTGCAGTGGCTCATGCCTGTAATCCTAGCACTTTGGGAGGCCAAGGTGGGAGAATCACTTGAGCCCAGGAGTTTAAGACCAGCCTGGACAACGCAGTGAGACTCCCTCTCTACAAAACATAAAATTAGTTGGGCACGGTGGCACACGCCTCTAGTCCCAGCCACTTGGGAGGCTGAGGTGGAAGGATCACTTAAGCCAGAGAAATTGAGCCTGCAGTGAACTGTGATCACGCCACTGTACTCCACCCTGGGTGACAGAGCAAGACCCTGTCTCAAAAAAAAAAAAGAATAAGATCTAAGATCTAGTATTTGATGGCACAACATTTGATGACTGTACTCAATAAGAATTTAATTGTACATTTAAAAATAACTAAAAGATTATAATTTGATTGTTTGTAGCACAAAGGATAAATGTTTGAGGTGATGATACCCCATTTACCCTGATGTGATTATTACATATTTTATGCCAGTGTCAAAATACCTGCATATACCCTATAAATATATATACCTACTGTGTACCTATAACAATTAAAAATTTTAAAAAAGATTCTGTTCTCTAGATCTACTCTTGGTATTAAAATAGGTATTAGTGGCTGGGCGCGGTGGCTCATGCCTGTAATGCCAGCACTTTGGGAGGCTGAGGCAGGCTGATCACGAGGTCAGGAGATCGAGACTATCCTGGCTAACACTGTGAAACCCTGTCTCTACTAAAAATACAAAAAATTAGCCGGGCGTGGCGGCGGGCGCCTGTAGTCCCAGCTACTGGGGAGGCTGAGGCAGGAGAATGGCGTGAACCCGGGAGGCGGAGCTTGCAGTGAGCCGAGATTGTGCCACTGCACTCCAGCCTGGGCGACAGAGTGAGACTCTGTCTCAAAAAAAAAAAAAAAAAAATAGGTATTAGTTTGCTAGAGCTACCATAACAAAATACCACAGACTGGGTGGGTTAAACAACAGAAATGTATTTCTTCACAAATCTGGCGTCTGGAAGTCCAAGATCAAGGTGTTACCAGGATTGGTTTCTTCTGACACTTTTCTCCTTGGCTTCTAGATGGTCAGCTTCTCCTCCCTATGTCTTCACATAATCTTCCTTCTGTGTCTGTCTGTGTCCTAATTACCTCTTCTTAAAAGTATACCCCAATGACTCATTTTAACTTAGTTACCTTTTTTTTTTTTTTTTTTGAGACAGAGTTTTGTTCTTTCGCCAGGCTGGAGTGCAGTGACGCGATCTTGGCTCACTGCAACCTCTGCCTCCTGGGTTCAAGCAATTCTCCTGCCTCAGCCTCCCAAGTAGCTGGGACTACAGGCACACGCCACTAGTTACCTCTTTAAAGACCCTGTCTCCAAATACCATCACATTCTGAGGGACTGGGGGTTAGCACTTCAACAGACGAATTTTAGGTGTACTCAGTTCAGCTTGTAACAATATCCGTGTTGCAAATCAGTTGACCATAGACACATGGTTTTATTTCTGAACTCTCTCTTCCATTTCAATTGATCTCTATTTTATATGCTAGTACAACACTGTCTTGATTGCTCTTGCTCTGTAGTAAGTTTTGAAATTTGGAAGTGTGGGTCCTCCTACTTCTTCTTCTTTTTTTTTTTTAGAGATTGTTTTAGCTATTTTGAGACCTTTGCAGTTCCAGATGAATTCTAGAAGCAGCTTTTCAACATCTACAAATAAGTCAGCTAGTGATTCTGATGGGGATTGCATTCCGTCTGTGGATCAAGTTGTGGAATATTGCCATTTTAACAATATTAATCTTTCAATCCATAAACATGGGATGCATTTCCATTTATTTAAATCTTTAATTTTGGCCAGGCCTGGTGGCTCATGCCTGTAATCCCAGCACTTTGGGAGGCTGAGGCAGGCAGATCACTTGAGGCCAGGAGTTTGAGACCAGCCTGGCTAACGTGGAGAAACCCCATCTCTACTAAAAATACAAAAAAACAGCTGGGCGTGGTGGAGTGCACCTGTAATCCCAACTACTCCGGAGGCTGAGGCACGAGAATCGCTTGAACCCAAGAGGTGGAGGTTGCAGTGAGCTGAGATCGCGCCACTGCACTCCAGCCTGGGTGACAGAGCAAGACTTTGTCCCCAGACAAACAAACAAACAAAACTTTAATTTCTTTCAACAATGTTTTTTAGCTTTCAGGGTATAAACTTTGGACTTCTTTTGTTAAATATGTTTGTATCTTATTTTTCTTTATGCTATTGTAAATGGAATTGTCTTCTAAATTTTCAGATTATTCATTGCAAGTGTATAGAAATACAACTTTTTTTTTTTTTTTTTTTGAGTCTCTTGTTGCCCAGGTTGGAGTGTAATGGCGCGATCTCGGCTTACCACAACCTCCGCCTCCCAGGTTCAAGCGATTCTCCTGCCTCAGCCTCCCAAGTAGCCAGGATTACAGGTATGTGCCATCATGCCCAGTTAACTTTGTATTTTTAGTAGAGATGGGGTTTCTCCATGTTGGTCAGGCTGGTCGTGAATCCCAACCTCAGGTGATCCGCCCGCCTTGGCCTCCCAAAGTGCTGGGATTACAGGCATGAGCCACCGCGCCCAGCTTTTTTTTTGAGACGGAGTCTCACTCTGTTGCCCAGGCTGGAGTGCGGTGGCGCAATCTCGGCTCACTACAAGCTCCACCTCCCGGGTTCATGCCATTCTCCTGCCTCAGCCTCCCAAGTAGCTGGGACTACAGGCACCCGCCACAACGCCCGGCTACTTTTTTGTATTTTTTAGTAGAGATAGGGTTTCACCGTGTTAGCCAGGATGGTCTCGATCTCCTGACCTCACGATCTGCCTGCCTTGGCCTCCCAAAAGTTCTGGGATTACAGACGTGAGCCACCGCGCCTGGCCCCAGAAATACAACTGATTTTTGTATGTTGATGTTACATCTGCAACTTTGCTGAACCTGCTTATAGTTCTAAGAGTTTTGTATGAATTCCCTAGGACTTTGCATGCAAGATCATGGCATCCACAAACATCTACAGTTTTACTTCTTCCACTTTTTTTTTTTTTTTTTTTTTGAGGCACTGTGTTGCCCAGGCTGGAGTATGGCGGTGTGATCTTGGCTCACTGCAATCTCCTCTGCCTCCTGAGCTCAAGTGATCCTCCCACCTCAGCCTTTTGAGTAGCTGGGACCAATAGGTTCATGCCACCATGTCCAGCTAATTTTTTTTTTTTGAGATGGAGTCTCACTCTGTTGCCCAGGCTGGAGTGCAATGGCACGATCTCAGCTCACTGCAACCTCCGCCTTCTAGGTTCAAGTGATTCTCCTGCCTCAGCCTCCAGAGTAGCTGGGATTACAGGCATGCACCACTACGCTTGGCTACTAATTTTTTAAAATATTTTTTGTAGAGAAGGGGTTTCGCCATGTTGGCCAGGCTGGTCTGGAACTCCTGGGCTTAAGCCATCCACCCTCCTTGGACTCCCAAAGTGCTGGCATCACAGGGATGAGCCACTGCACCCAGCTACTTTTTCCTTTCTAATCTGATGCTTTTCATTTAATTGTTTTACCTAAATTGGCTAATACCTGCAGTACAATGTTGAAGAGGCAAGAGACACTTCTTGTTTCTGATTTTAGGTGGAAAACATCTAGTCTTTCACCATTATCATGTTAACTCTAGATTTTTCTTAGATGCTCTTTATCTGGTTGAGTTTGTGTAGTGTTTTTATCATGAAATGGTGTTGAATTTTGTCAAATGCTTTTTCTGCATTTATTGAGATAATCATGTGGTTTTGTATTTTAATCTTTTGATATGGCTTATTACATTAATTGATTTAAAGATGTTAAACCAACCATGCATTCCTAGGATAAATCCCACTTGGTCATGGTATATAATTCTTTGTTGCTGGATTCAGTGTCCTAGTATTTAGTTGAGAATTTTTGCAACCATATCCAGAGATACTTTGTAGCTTCCTCTTCTTGTGATATCTTTGTCTGGATTTTGTTATTAGGGTAATACTGATCTCACAGAATGACTTGGGAAGTGATCCCTCCTCTTCTGTTTTTTGGAAGTTTGTGAAGAATTGGTAAAATTCAGTAATGAAGCCATCTGGACTCCAGGGTTTTCTTGTGTGTGGGGATAGTCTTTTGGATTACTAATTCAATCTTTTCACTTGTTATAGATCTCTTCAAATAGTGTTTCTTCTTGAGTTTCAGAAGTTTGTCTCTAAGAATGTGTCCATTTCATCTGAGTTATCTAATTACTGGCATACAATTATTCATACTACCAACCTTCAAGGTTGGTAGTAATGTCCCAACCAAGTGTCTTTTATTTCTGACGTTAATAATCTGAGTCCTTTTTTTTCTTGGTCAAGCTACTGCTTCTGTGAACAAGCAGGAGTGTGTTTTTTCCCTCCACTCCAAATGAAATCTATCCTGCTTAGTAGAACTACCCAGCTGGTTGAGCTGAGGGATTGGGAGTGGGGAAGTAAGGCGGCTTCGGGGGATGGGAGTAGCCCCAGGCCAAAATTCTAGATAGACTCCCACTGTTCTTACCCAAGATTATTATTTTTTGAGACAGGGTCTCACTCTGTCACCCAAGTGGGAGTGCAGTGGCATGATTACAGCTTGTTGCAGCTTTGACTCCCTGGGCTGAGGTCATCCTCCTACTTCAACCTCCGGAGTATCTGGAACTACAGGGATGTGCCACCATGCCCAGCTAATGTTTGCATTTTTTGTAGAGGTGGGGTTTCACCATGTTGGCCAGGCTGGTCTCGAACTCCTGAGCTCAAGTGAGCTGCCTGCCTTGGCCTCCCCAAGTGCTGGGATTACAGGTGTGAGCCACTGCACCTGGCCCACCAAGATTGTTTTCTTAATTTGTTATATGTCTTTGGTTGATTTCTACAGTCCTGAAATGGTTGGTTTTGGCAATTTTGCTGTTTTGTTTTTTGAGACAGGGTCTCTGTCACCCAGGCTGGAGTGCCGTGGTGAGATCATGGCTGTCTGCAGCCTTAAACTCCCCCGCTCAAGTGATCCTCCCACCTCAGCCTCCAGAGTAGCTGGGACTACAGGCACACCATCATGCCTGGCTAATTTTTGTATTTTTTGTAGACAGGGTTTTGCCATGTTGCCCAGGCTGGTCTCAAACTCCTGGGCTCAAGCAATTCTCTTGCCTTGGCCTCCCAAAGTGTTGGGATTACAGGTGTGAGCCACTGTGCCCGGGCAATTTTGCTGTTTTAACGTTGCTGTTTGGGGAGAGATTTGCCAAGTTCCTCACTCAGCCATTTATGGATGTATAATCTTAATCAATATATTAATTCCCACTGCATAGACTATGAATGACTCCTAAAAGTAGATAATTTACAGACTTGTTTGGACTATATTAATATATATTAAATAGCTACTACTTATTGAGTACCTACCATTGGGATAGCTGTTTTATATACACATATATTCCACAGCCCTCATGTTGTTTTGTGGATATTATTCCTATCACAAATGAGAAAACCAAGGCTAAAGGAGCTTGCCTAAGATCTTATTAGCAGAGTAAGAATTTAAACCCAGGCCTTTCTATGCTCTTGCTATTCCATTTTGTCCACTTTTCACTGCTGCCTTACCAGGAAAAGCGTTCTTAGAATCAATTTATCAATCAACATACAAGCATGGAACACATATTGTGGGATTTCCTGAGTGCTGATTTAGCCTCTTTTATTTTGCACCCCAACCCCTATCCCATTCCAGTCTTCCAAAGTAGGCCCTTGAAGGGCTTGAATTGGGGGTTTTGGGTGAAAGGTTTTCACTAATTCTTCATTCTCTACCTTTGTTGAAAGCCACCCTAAACATTCCAAAGGCCAAATATTTCTGGGCTCTTAGTTTTGGAGAGATTTTTACCTCTCACAGTATAAGCCAATCAGAATTATCTTGGAGGTTGGTTAATAAAGTATTATTATTTCCTCACCTTCCTTTAGAGCAGTGATCCCCAACCTTTTTGGCACCAGGGACTGGTTTCATAGAAGACAATTTTTTCACAGACCAGGGTGGGTGGGGGGATGGTTTTGGGATGATTCAAGTGCACTTACATTTATTGTGCACTTTATTTCTACTATTGCATTGTAATATATGAGATAATTATACAGCTCACCATAATGTAGAATGAGTGGGAGCCCCAAGCTTATTTTCCTGCAACCAGACCATCCCATCTGGGGGTGATGGGAGACAGTGACAGATGCCTTGCATGTGCAGTTCACAATAGGGTTTGCGGTCCTGTAAGAATCTAATGCCACTGCTGATCTGACAGGTGGAGCTCAGGTGGTAATGCAAGCAATAGGGAGTGGCTGTAAATATACAGCTTTGCTCGTTTGCCTGCTGCTCACATCTTGCGGTGTGGCCCAGTTCCTAACCATGGACTGCTGCTGGCCTGTGGCCCGGGTATTGAGGAACCAACCAGCTCATACTAGGTCTGGTGATGAAAGTCCTACTTAGGGGTAAAGACCTATGACCAAAATGAACGCTGAGCTGAGGAGTTAGAGGTGCTGGGGCAGAGATGAATAAACCAGGAAAGCTTAAAGAAGCAGGACTGTAGGAATTGTTGATGCAACAAATGTTATGCCAAGGGGGTATTTTGGGCTTTTAGAATTACCCTAAGGTCTCTTTCTAGCTGCAGTTCATTAACAAAAGAAAAAAGAATTACCCTAAGGCTCATGGGTACAAAGGATAGGAAATTTTGTGGTCAAGAATAAGTCAAACTCTTGACTGTTTTAAGAGCATCAGCTGCTTTCCTAGTCTGTACTCTGTGTGCACATTATTCAGTCTTTCCTTCATTTACTCAGATTACCCAAAATCTGCCTGTGGGTTCAGTATCATGCTATATGCTAGGGATACAAAGTTGAAAAGGATATAGCCCCTTCCTTCAAGAAATGAGTGGGGGTATCAGGGGATCACTTTTGAATGTTGAAAGAATTTAAGTTCATCAGCAGTCAAGGCAGAGAAAAGAGCAGTCAAGAAAAGGGGCACAGTGCAGGTAAGGGCAGATCCTTTAGAGCACAGCATGATTGTGTCAAGGACCTAACAAGAAATGTGGTCTGGTCAGAGCTTGGGAAGTTGAGTGCACAAAGGTGGAAACCTAATGAATCCCAGCATTGAAGGGGTAGAGAATGGAGACGTCAAATTTGAGACTGGCCTGGGCAACATAGTGAGATCCCATCTCTTAAAACAAACAAAACCCATGGTGGCACGCACCTGTAGTCCCAGCTACTAGAGTCCTGGCTATTAGAGAGGCTGAGGCAGGAGGATTGCTTGAGGCCAGTTCAAGGCTGTAATGAGTGATGATTGTGCCACTGCACTCCAGCCTTGGCAACAGAGCGAGACCCTGTCTCTTATCACCACCACTCTGGGCAACACAGTGAAAACCAGTCTTTACAAAAAAATACAAAAATCAGCCAGGCGTGGTGTCACATAACTAGTTCCAGCTACTCGGGAGGCTGAGACAAGAGGATTGCTTGAACCCAGGAGGTCAAGGCTGCAGTGAGCTGTGCTCGCCCCACTGCACTCCAGCCTGGGCAACAGAGGCCCCATCTCCAAAAAAAAAAAAAAAAAAAAAAAAAAAAAAAAAAAAAGTTAAAACACATGTGTAGAAACCAAGACAAAGATATCAAAAAAAACAGTGGTTGGTAGCTAATGCTGCCTCAGCGTCAAATAATAGAGAACGAAAAAGGATCCAATAAACCTGCAGGTAGGATGTTACTTATACCAGAGCACTTTCTTTGAAATGGTAGGAGGCAGAGGAAATAAACAAAAGCCCATCTGGCCTCATGTTGAAGTAACCACTATTTCCTCTGAGTACATGGAAGAAGAACCTTTTATCCAGGAGACTGAAAAGGGTCAAGGAACGTTGTGTCTCCAACAAGAACTATTTGAAGAAATGAGACATTTGACTCCAGCGTTAACATACTCAGCTGAAAACAGGATCTCTACAGTTTTCTTTCAGATTCATCGTTCTACAAAGCCAAAATAAGATATTAAGGCTGAAGAAATAAAAACTGAAATTAGCATTGGGAATCACAATATACTGATGACTCTCATTTCCTCATATGCTCTCAAAGCCCCAGTGTAATGGTAAATAGTCCATACATAAAAATGTCTATAATCTTTCTTGAAATAACATTGTCAGAAAAAGTTAATATAATCTGAATAAAAGAATTTTGAGGGCCTAATTTTTCCTCCAAAAAGAACTCTGACAATGCTGTTTTAGCAGTTATTTATGGTTAAATACCAGAAATCTGACAACCTGAAAAAATTTCCACTTAAAATCTTCCAGTTTAAACTTGTTGCCATTCTAATCTTGCAGCCTTTACAATGACCAATTGTTAATTAAGAACAAATAGTAGGGAATGTTTTCCCCTGCTCCATGCCTCCCCTGCATTTCCAAATTCAAAAAGATTGACTTGCAAATTGGAGTTCTGGGAAAAATTAGATGCAAGATCTGAGTATAATTGGGCAGAAAAAAAAGACACATCATTCTATTAAAAAGATGTCAAGGTGTTTCCTGCAATAATTATAAATCTTTTTCAGAAACTGTTGAGTTCACTCTGGGAGGTGAAAATGTTTTCATTTTAAACACTGCAAAATGACCGAAAGAACCAATTGGTATCGTTAAGGTGGGAAATAATTTTTAACTACATTCGTGTCAGTTACCAAGATAGTATCTTTGATTAAGGGTTTGGACTTTTGGTCAGGCATGATGGCTCACACCTGTAATCACAGCACTTTGGGAGGCCAAGGCAGGAGGACCACTTGAGACCAGGACAACATAGGGAGATCCCGTCTCTACAAAAAATAACCAATTAGCTAGGCATGGTGGTGTCCCTTTGGTCCCAGCTACTTGAGAGGCTGAGGGAGGAGGATCAGTTGAGTCTGGGAGGTCAAGACTGCAGTGAGCCATGGTCATACCACTGCACTCCAGACTGGGTGACAGAGTGAAACAAAGTATGGACTTTTGAGTCAATGGAACTGTGTGTAGTGTTGTATTTCTAGCAATTTCTAACAGTATTCCTTCATAAGATGACAAGCTGTTTCTAACCTCATTTCTCCTGTTTTAGGAACACTTGTGTCAGGTTTCTATTTCAGTAACCATAATCACTAATAACTAAGGGAACACAAAAGTCCATCAATGAGAAGTCATCTCTTAACTGTGGAAGGCCAGCAGTTAATATACTGGACCACAAAATGAAATCAAGTGATGCAAGTTCTTCCCTCAATCTAAGAACCTGCAGAATACCAAGACAAGTGTTTCAAGAATCATCCAGAAAGGTCAGTTTTAAACTATATGTTTAAAGCAGAAACATTACTTGGCATGGGGCTTTCTAGGTAAAAAAGGAAGACATAATATAATTGGCTTAGATCCTAAGAGTTTTTCTTCTCTTTATTTGCAAGATAAGTTGATTAACTTCAATTATTAATAGCCAAAACTTGTGCCTCCTAATTAGATCTATACTCTAGTGAGATATAATCTCATAATTAAGCACCCAAAGTTTTTGTTGTTAAAAAAAATTATCAGCCAATAATAAAACTTTTAATGACTGTAGCAAGTTGACACTTTCTGGTTTTCTATCCAACTATGCAGTATAGTCTTGTTTTTGGTACCACCATTGTAATTTACTGAGGAATAAACAAGACAAGACAGAGAAGCACACAGCGCTTGCTAGATACTCTTAAAGTATATGATACTTAAAATAGCATCCTTTCCTGGATATGAAGTTTTATTCACATTTGAAAATATATTCTTAAGTTCTAAACTCTTCACTTTAAAAAGTGAGGGTAAGTAGAATTATTTTCATTTTCCTTGAAATAATTTGATCACATCTAAGACAACAAAAAGAACCTATTTAAAAATACTGTTTTAATAAGGTGACAGGTGATGGTCCTCTGGCCAGGTATTTATTTAGAAACCACCACTTACAAGTCAAACTGGTATTCCAAAGGGAGTAGTTAAAAACAAAAACAAGAAACATACAACTAATACAATTTCTCTTACTCTTCACTTTTCTTTTTATTATTCAAAAGTCAAATGTTTTTAAATCATCCATCCTCAATTTTGATTTAATGTACCGTCATTTCCCCAAGAAAAGAAATTTCAGAATCTCTTTGGAATACTAATTTCATGTTTCTAGATTTAACAAAACTGTTGAAGTTTTAAATTCCATTCTATTTCCCTGAATTCTCAAGACAGTTGCTGATGTAAATTTTAATATAAAATATTTAGTCACAAAATAGTATTGCTTTTGTATGCACATAGTTGTAAGATTACTTTGCTTTTGTCAATAAAAACTATACCATCTTTCATAAAACTCTAAACAAATTAAGAACTGTGATGTAGAACAAAAATTACACATGGTAAAACAGGTACCAGCACAACGTTAGGTTATATTACATCAAAAAAAGTTTTAATGGTCCCAAATATATATACTCAACAACTAAGCATACACTCAGGGGAGGAAAAAAAAAATCAAAAACAAAATAAAACAAAAAAATTATGACACAAATGACCACATCTAGAATTCCACTCAATCTTTAATCAAGTAGGGAGAAGTCCCCACTTAAAAAAAAAAATATCTGCAGTTTGAAGGGCAAAGGGAACAGTTAAAAAAGAGGAAAACTTTATACTCGCCCCTCCCCCACAGAGGTTTTCCAAACCTGTTGTAGCTTGACTAAAATGTTCAGAATGTATGATTTTAAAGGCAGGTCTCTTTATACAAAGAAACTGCTGGCATTCTTGACTAGTGAAGAATTATGGCAGAAAGGCCCATTCTTCTGAGTCTCAAACATGGTCCAAGAAAGCATATTCTGATTGTAGCAACTGACCAGTCAATCCAGAGTTCCACTTACAAAACCCCTGCCCTGTTGGCTTTTTGTTTCCATTTCCTTCCCTGAGAAAAGGGCAATGTGTGGTCCAAGCTGGAGAGCTCAAAGGCTTAAGTCTTTCCCCTAAATATATGATATCCCCTCCTCCTGCTCCATTGAATTGGCACTTGATGAGCAGAAGTCAAGTGTAAGAGGCTGATCTGTGTCAGTCATTCACAAGAGACCACTGCGCTTTGTTGTGGATTTTGTATGGGGGAGGGGTGGAGAACCAGTTTTTTTCAACAGGTACTGATCCTAGGCCGTTGCCATTATTATGAATCAAATTTTGCTTTCTTTGACAATGGTAACGTATCTTCCTTATCTTCATCCTCATCATCATCTTCATCATCATCAGGATAATCTACCAGACCCACGAGGCCTCCCTGTTAAGAAATAAGGATTATTTAAAGAACAGAAAATAAAACATATAAAAACACTGGTGTTTTCTGGCTGGAGAAAGAAAATAGATCCTACCAACATAGTAACGGTGGTTATTTCTGGGTGGTGGGACTGTGTTAAACTTCAATTCATTATGTTTACATATTTTCTAAATTTCCTGTAATAAACATGCATACTTTTTTACAATAAGGGAAAACTTTGAGTTAATTAGAATTAAAGCAAAAATTTTTTTTTTCCAAGTCGGAGTCTCGCTATGTCACCCAGGCTGGAGTGCAGTGGTGCGATCTCGGCTCACTGCAACCTCCACCTCCCAGGTTCAAGCAATTCTCCCTGCCTCAGCCTGCCGAGTAGCTGTGATTACAGGCGCCCGCCACCACGCCTGGGTAATTTTTGTATTTTTACTAGAGACAGGGTTTTGTCATGTTGGCCAGCCTGGTCTTGAACTCCTGACCTCAGGCGATCCACCTACCTTGGACTCCCAAAGTGCTGGGATTACAGGCATGAGCCACTGCACCCAAACTAAAGCAAAAAAATTTAAGTAGTTTATAATCCTAGCAAATTACCCAGGAGTTAGAAAATGAATGAAAAATGTTTGTTTCAAGACTTAATAGCATCTTAAAATTTTTTTAAACATAAAGTCTAAAATAGTATAAAAATGAGGCTGAGCATGGTGGCCTGTGCCTGTAATTCCAGCACTTTGGGAGGCTGAGGCGGAGGGATCACATGAGGACAGGAGTTTGAGACCAGCCTGGCCTGTTAATTAACATAGTGAAACCCTGTCTCTAATAAAATTACAAAAATTAGCCAGGTGTGGTGGTGCACATCTGTAATCCCAGCTACTTGGGAGGCTGAGGCACAAGAATCGCTTTAATCTGGAAGGTGGAGATTGCAGTGAGCTAAGATCACGCCACTGCACTCCAGCCTGGGTGACAGACTGAGACTCTGTCAAAAAAAAAAAAAAGTACCAAAATGAAAACTGCAGCAGATAAAGAGACCACCAGAAATGAGGGTAGACAGGCTTTTTCTATTTATTAGAGGTTAGGAAAGCAGTTCTACCCTGACTCTTCCTCATCATTTCATCTGGGTTTCCTTTTAGCCCTGCTCCTTCACCAGAAACCACTGCCGCTTGCTTTATTTATTTTTTGAGATGGAGTCTCACTCTGTCGCCCAGGCTGGAGTGCAGTGGCGCCATCTCAGCTCCCTGCAAGCTCCACCTCCCGGGATCACACCATTCGCCTGCCTCAGCCTCCTGAGTAGTTGAGACTACAGGCGCCCGCCACCACACGCGGCTAATGTTTTTGTATTTTTAGTAGAGACGGGGTTTCACCGTATTAGCCAGGATGGTCTCGGATCTCCTGACCTCGTGACCCACCCCCCTGGACCTCCCAAAGCACTGGGATTACGGGCGTAAGCCACCGCGCCTGGCTGCTGCTTGCTTTATTTCGATGCTAAGGGAAAAATTCACACTGCTCTGCTCTCAAGCCTGCCTCTTCATTTCAGCGTGTCTCAGATTCACTTCTTAGCCGTCAGGAGTCTCCAGCTCACGCCAGAAAAAAAAAAGACTGAATGGGCATTACGTGTCTGATTTAGATCAGTGATTCCCAAATGCCAGTCTTTTAACTGCTAGTCTGCTAGCCCAATAATCAATATATTATGTCTCAAAAGAAAAGGGTGGTTGGCATAAGGAGCCCCCAAAACTGGTTTTATTCTGAGATTGCATGTTTTCTACATTTTTTCTTAAGATTTTGTTCCTTTTTTTTTTTTTTTTTTTGAGATGGAGTCTCGCTGTTGCAGTAGCGATCTCAGCTCACTGCAAGCTCCGCCTCCCAGGTTCATGCCATTCTCCTGCCTCAGCCTCCAGAGTAGCTGGGACTACAGGCGCCCGCCACCACGCCTGGCTAATTTTTGTATTTTTAGTAGAAACGGGGTTTCACCACGTTAGCCAGGACGGTCTCGATCTCCTGACCTCGTGTCCTGCCCGCCTCAGCCTCCCAAAGTGCTGGGATTACAGGCGTGAGCCACCGTGCCCAGCCCTTGTTCATTTCTTATATGAAATGTTAGTGATAGTAGATGTTTAATTTTCTTAACAAACCTTAACTGGCAAAGTAAAGTTAGAAGTACCCAGATATTTAGATTATCATTTCCCCACAAAGGCTTTATCTGGGTATTAGTTAGGAACATTTATTCAAGAATAACTGAAAACCTTGAACATTTCTGTAAATGTTTTGACATACAAATTTGAAGTTTCAGTTCTAAAATCCAAAATACCCAAGTGAGAATTCACACTATATGCAGACTTGCATTGGTCATAAAAAAAACTTTCAGAAATTTCTCAACCTTTATATAAGTTCAAGCGGTGGGGGGGACTCATCCTCTAGTTCAGGGATGTTAAATCAGTTCTAGGTGGCAGTAACCAAAGGGAATCTTAGTCAAAATTATTGTTGAGAAAGCTTCAATTGGGAAAAAAGGGGGCAAAATGGGAGTCAAGAATGTACCTTTGTAGTAATAGCTGCCGTCTGAGATGTATTTTTAGGTACGGATCCAGGAGAGCCT
Organism: Homo sapiens; assembly: GCF_000001405.40. Lineage (NCBI taxonomy): Eukaryota > Metazoa > Chordata > Mammalia > Primates > Hominidae > Homo > Homo sapiens. The sequence continues at coordinate 91,461,439 of NC_000014.9, forward strand.
GGAGATCCTGGGGATCCAGGTGATCCCGGAGAACCAGGCAGATTTGTTGTAGATGACTGGCTGGTGAGGTTAGTCTTCGTTCCACTGGACAGGGAAAGCTTGAAACTTGGGCTCTGCCGTCCAGAAAGGTTTGTTTTCAGAAGCACTTCCTTTTCCTCACTTTCTTTTACTAAAAATGAGAATACTGTCAATAGTCGTCCCCCATACTTCTTTTTTAAATTTCCCCAAATGAGGTAACACTAAAACACATTTAACTAGCTTACTACGCTGGGTAGAAACATTGAAGTTCAATTTATAAAAGAAGCTTACCAAAATACTAACCACAATTCCATTCATTGGATCTTACCCCAGAGAAGAATTGAAACCTTCAGAATCATATTTAGTATCCCTACCCTTCCTGAAATAGTATATTCCTTATTCAACTCAAATTAAGAAAACTTAAGTTTATGCCTACACAACACTGCTATTCAGTCACATCCCATAAAGCAATAGAGTCTTTAAACCGTATGCCATCACACCTTCCAAGCAAATAATCATTTTGTCAAGAAATAAGAATAAATCTAGAGTAAGAAAGCCTTAATTTTCTCTTGCCCATTTTTTTCCAACATACATTTCTTCCTTTCCATGAATTTACTTATTGGATCCATAATATCATCATCATTTTTAGTTTTGTCAGATGGAGACACTACAGCTTCTCCATCTTCCATGTCATCTTCATCTGTGTTAAACCACATCTCTTCTTCATCTTCTAGTGTTCTGGCATCTCTTCGATATCTGTGATTCCTCAAAATGGAACGCATACTATGAGTAGGGAAGAAAGAGTAAATACAATCATATATGGACTTAATTGTACTGTTACAGATGACTTATTAAACTTGTTAACATAGGGAATTAACATGAAATTTACAAATATTAAAGTATCAATGTAAATCCAGGTATTTAGATTAATGTACAAAATTTTAAATAATAATTTGTAACCTTAGTAACTTGTAAATTCAAAGCAAGTAATATAATCCTCTGATTTTATTTGGAACACATGAAGCCTCACTTCCACTGTTTGGTCTTTTTTTTTTTTTTTCCCTTATCTAGCCTGATACATGCCTGAGGTATTATACTAATAACCAGCCTAATCTTCAGGGAAACATTTATGTTGACCCTTACAGGAAGCTACAATTTCTATTTGCTATCTGCTGATTTCCCTGTTCCTTGTCAAGCCAAATAATATCAAATAAACAATAAAGCCACTACCATACGACTTGATGCTGAACGAATAGGTTTAAATATATGGTAATTTACCTGTCAAGTTTGGGATTATCTTGCCTTTCTCTTTGTTGTTCAAATCTCAGTTTTAATCCTTTAAATGTCTGTACATAATCTACATCTTCCAGTGCTTTCCAGTAATTTTCAATTACATGAGCAGTTAATGATTTTATATCTTCCTACAGAAAAGAATAGTAATGAAAAAATGATAGGAAAATGTCATTTTAGCAAGATGAGGCTTAATTTAATCAATTCATACCCACCAAAAATAGCTTAATTTAATAAAACTACATAATCTTAGAGATAACCAAACAATAAAAAATGGGAATAACGTACACTGGCTACTATAGTAGTCCCCAATTTATCTATGGGTCTTTTTTTTTTGAGATGGAGTTTTGCTCTTACTGCCCAGGCTGGAGTGCAATGGCATGATCTCGGCTCACTGCAACCTCTGCCTCCTGGATTTAAGCGATTCTCCTGGCTCAGCCTCCAGAGTAGCTGGGATTACATGCATGCACCACCACGCCTGGCTAATTTTGTATTTTTAGTAGAGATGGGGTGTCTCCGTGTTGGTCAGGCTGGTCTCGAACTCCCGACCTCAGGTGATCTGCCTGCCTCGGCCTCCCAAAGTGCTGGGATTACAGGTGCGAGCCACTGCACCCAGCTATCTATGGGTCTTTACAAAGTAAATGCCCAGGTCTTGCCCTAGGTGATTCTGATTCTGATGTGCGGGCTGGGTATGTGTATTTTTTAGAGATGGGGTCTCGTTCTGGCACCTAGGTTGAGATATAGTGGTATGATTATAGCTCACTGCAGGCTTGAACTCCTGGGCTCAAGCAATCCTCCCACCTCAGCCTCCTGAGCAGCTAGGACTATCGGCATGCACCACCATACGGGGCTAAGTTTTAACAAAAAATTTTTGTAGAGATGGGGTCTTGATATGTTGCCCAAGCTAGTCTCTAACTCCTGGCCTAAAGCAATCCTCCCACTTTGGCCTGCCAAAGTGCTGGGATTACAGGCATAAGCCACTATCCCTGGCCATGGACATATATGTTTTATTAATTAATTTTTATTTTAGGTTCAGGGGGTCCATGTGCGTATTTGTTATACGGGTAAACTGCGTGTCACAGGGGTTTGGTGTATAGCTTATTTCATCACCCAGGTAGTAAGCACAGTACCCAATAGGTAGTTTTTCAATCCCCACCTTCTCCTACTCTCTACCCTCAAGTGGCTCTGGTATCTGTTGTTGTTCCCTTCTTTATTTCCATGTGTACTCAAAGTTTAGTTCCCACTTACAAGAGAGAACACACAACAGCCATGCGTATTTTAAAAGCATGTCACAGGCCGGGTGAAGAGGCTCATGCCTGTAATCCCAGCAGTTTGGGAGGCCAAGGTGGGCAGATCACCTGAGGTCAGGAGGTTGAGACCTGCCTGGCCAATAGTGAGACCCTATCTCTACTACAAATACAAAAATTAGTCGGGTATGGTGGCGCATGTCTGTAATCCCAGCTACTCTAGAGGCTGAGGCAGAAGAATCGCATGAACCTGGGAGGTGGAAGGCGCAGTGAGTCGAGATCATGCCACCGCACTTCAGCCTGGGTGACAGAGTGAGACTCTGTCCCCACCCCCCTCCCTCACCCCCCAAAAAAAGCATGTTACAGAAAAGTTCTGGAGATGAATAATGGTGATGGCTGCCAACAATGTGAATGTTTACTTTAAAATGGTTAAAATAGCAAGTTTAATGTTTTATATTATTTTATCCCAGCTTTTAAAAAAGCACGACATCCAGGTACTGTGGTATGCACCTCCAGTCTCAATTACTTGTGAGGCTAAGGTGGGAGGATCGTTTGAGCCCAGCTGGGCAACATAGCAAAACCCTGTCTCTAAGAAACAAACAAAACAAAAAGCCATGCCAGATAAATTTGCACAGCATCAATGAGAACCACTAGCTTATTACATTACTAGAGAATAAAGAGTATTATGAAATTGGTCTTTAGAAATGTGTAAGTTAAGAAAAACACATTCAAATGCTTATCTGTCAAGTGTAGTTTTGCTTTCTTAAAATGATTACTGTGACCATCCTACAAAGCAGCAGTCCCTAACCTTTTTGGTTTCATGAAAGACAATTTTTCCACCAACTGGGGTGGGAGTGGGGGAGCACAGTTTCAGGATGAAATTGTTCCACCTCACAGTTAACCAAAGGGTTCATGCTCCTAGGAGAATATAATGCTGCTGCTGATCTGATAGGAGGTAGAGCTCAGGCAGTAATAATGCCTGCTTGCCAGCAGCTTACCTCCTGCTGTGCAGCCTGGTTCCTAACAGGCTATGGACCGGTCCGCGGCCAAGGGGTTGAGGACCCCTGCTATAACAGATTTGTAGCTGCTGAGAGGTAAGATGTAGCTTGACTCAAATCTCTCACAGGCTTTTAGTACTTTTTTTTTTTTTTAAATCTCTCCAAATATTATCATCTCAAGCCAAAATACTAGGTAATGCATATTCAATTTTCTCAAACAATTAAAATGAAAATTCTAATTAAAAATACAGAACCTACCACTCTAATAAATTCAAACATCTCTATTATGGCAGAGTTCATCAGATTGTAGCGGGATCCATTGTTGAGAAATGCTTTCACTACTGGTTCAAACAAAAAACTTTTCATTATGTAGCGGTTGTAAAACTCATCTTTTAATCCAATAATCTTTCTTTTAAAACGAAGGGCACCTGAAACACAGAGGCATGGTTGTTTAAATCACATACCACTCTTCCATACTTTAGACTTACCAAACAAAAATAACCATCAAACCAAAAAAAACTGTTTAACACATATCAATAATTATTTATGATGTTTGCACTTCCGGAACTGTGAACCTAAAGATAAGGATTATGAAAATGTTATCAGAAAAATGTCTTCTAAAAGTAGTATATGTCATCATAGAACACAAGTCTTAGAAAGCCAGAAAAATCCTGAAAATAAACCAGTTACTAATGACCAAAATGTAATTTACATCTAAAATAAGAGCTAAGACAAATGAATGAACCTATCACACTACTTAAGATGAAAAAATTCAACATGACCTTTTATATCCACCTTAATAGAAAAAACCAGTGTTTTATTAGGGCAATCCACTGTATAATTTGATCTTCAATATTTTTGGACACTCTTATTATTTTGCATTGTAGTTCATGGAATTTTATTTATTTGTGGATGTGGCTGTAGAAAGGCCATCAACCCACAAAAATCTGCATGACCCAAAATTTGCCTTGCCATAGTTTAAAAATAAATTTAGAGGATGTTATTTAAAATGTGGTCCTCTATGCTTATTGTAGCGAGTATGCTTTTTAATTTTTTTCTAGTTTTCATTTTCATAATTAATTAGGCTTTAACTTACAGATTAAAAGGTATATTTACATCTTGAGGTATGGGGAGTTACTTAAGTCACCATTCATCAAGACACAAATATACTCAGACAGCTAGACTTCAACAAAGCCCTCTTTACCTAAATGGAATTATCAGTAAGTTAATGCCCCAGTTATTGTAAACAGTGCAAAAAAGCATACTCACTTCATGCAGTCACATCGTCTTCGGTTGGCAAGATTAAATATTGTGTTTGTATTTTGGTTTCTTTGGAGATCATGGAAGTGGCTCGTTAAATTGCCAATTTGCTATTAATCAAGTCCTTCATGAGCAGGTAGCCAGGCAACCATGCTGACACGGTTTCTGGGTGGGAAGGCAGAGGAGTAAAGCAGCTCAATTTTTCTTTAGTTGGCAGAAAAGAGGTCCACAAGTGAATGCCCAATTAGGTACAGTTGATTATTAACTGCCTTAACAATGCAACTTATTTAAGAGTGTATCTTTCTTAAGAAACACTCTGGGCAGGGAGTTTCTAAATAGTTTATAGAATAATAATTGCATTTTATTTTTTAAACTACTGAATATTTTTAAAAACATACTCATGGTGAACTAAGACATTTTAAACACTAAGAGGCATCTTTCTGTGTGATAAGTCAAAGCCTAACAAGGGTTTATTTTCCCAAAACAATATTTTCAGTTTGTATTTTTAAGGTTATTTGACAAAGGAACTTACTGAGGCATTTCCATTTGTTAGGAATAAAAATCAGTACTTTAGAGCTCATGCTAATAGACCACATTTTAAACTTGTAATAATTAAGGCAGGAGTATTACTATTTTAAGAATTTGTACTCCAACTTTGCGGGCTTTGTGGAGACTTGTGTCCTACCATAACACACACACACACACACACACACCCCTCTTGTCTGACTATAGTTCCTAGGTGAGTGAAAAACTCCTTTCCTGAAATTCACTAAGACAAGGGAATGTAGATGGCACCACTGCACTTCTTCCAGAGCACTTCTATCCAGAAACTGCTGGGGTAGATAGAAGGAGGTTCTAGTGGTCTTTTTGTTTTGGTCCTTATTTCCATTTGCTCTTACATTTTATATCAAGAACTTTGTATTATTACCACTCAAATCCATCCCTTAAAAGAAACCTGCATCAAAAACATCCAACCACTATTCTTTGCTGTTGAGTAAAAAGCTGCTTTCAAAATTTTACCAGTAAGATCTAGGAAGTCAAGTCACTCAAAGTAGAGTGGAGAAAGCTTTTAGGATAGGCCAAGTTGGCACTGCCATTGGATTTTCAATGTAAAGCACATTCTGCTTCCACTCACATCTCTAACCTTCATTAACATTTCCAGGAACCTCTTGTGCTTAGTTTCAATCATCTCTAAAAAACATTATTTATCTGTACTTTATAAAACGTGAATTTCATGTAATAAATTTGTGACTTTTTACCTTGTAACTAATGATAATTGAATAAATGCCTCTATAATAAAGCTTTATTTCACTCCTTTTTAAGATTTCCATGTTTTTAACAACAAAACACTCTCAAACAACATAAAAGTATGAGCTAAAGGGCTACAATGTAAGATCCAAGGAACTTAATAAGGCCAAGGAAATTGATAGATGTGATATCTAGCCTATAAAGACCGAGTTTAGAAACGATTGCTAGACACACCTACATACTTAACTAGTTGTCTTTAAAGATGACAAAGTATAATAATTAAGCAGCAGCAAATATAAAAAAATTAAAAGCTCCCTAAATCCCCAAACTGTTACATTTAATTGCTCATTACTGTCTGCATTTATATATGTGCACCTAAACTTAAATATCAATAAACCCTCCTTTAAAAAATACTATACCTAATACTTCAATGTACACTTTTTTTCAGAAGAACCACAAGTATCTTAAATTTCCTCAAATTTATTTTAGTTCTTAGATATCTTTGATAAAAACTCCTATTGCATACTACAAAGCCAGTTCTAAAAAGCTTGTTCCTAATGACAGACATCTTTGTTAGGAAGATACTTATATATCCTCAACCCTGGGAAGAGAGGTACACCAAGAGGTCCTTTCAAAGAGTTAGGTTTAATGATAACCTGACTCAGTTTGGAAAATATCAACAATGAAACATAACTAAGATTTTGCTAACATACTTAGTTTCCAACAATAAACTTTCATTTACTTAAAAGATTCTCTCCAAAGTTCTCATTAGATTATGAGAAATTTTCTTTGCAATACTGCAAGCAAAATAATGAAATGATGAACTGAACTAAAGAAAAGTCCTTTGCTTTCAGCTGCATTGTCCTGACTCTCTTTAAAAATGACCAAGTAGGCTGGGCGCCATGGCTCACGCCTGAATCCCAGCACTTTGGGAGGCCGAGGCAGGCGGATCACGAGGTCAAGAATTTGAGACCAGCCTGACCAACATGGTGAAACCCCATCTCTACTAAAATACAAAAATTAGCTGGGTGTAGTGGTGCGCTCCTGTAATCCCAGCTACTCAGGAGGCTGAGGCAGGAGAATTGCTTGAACCCAGGAGGTGGAGGTGCAGTGAGCCGAGATCGTACCACTGCACTCCAGCCAAGGCGACAGAGTGAGACTCCGTCTCAAAAAAAAAAAAAAAAAAAAAAGGAAAAAAGAAAAAAAAGACCAAGTATACTTTGTCCACATGCCACACTTTTTTTTTTTACCCAATTAACATCTTAACTATGTATTCAACCAAGAATGCAATACTCTCCCATGACCAAGACACAACTCAAGTTACCAATTGTGTGAAATTTTTCATCTGCCTCATTAAATTATAATGAATTATTTCCACTATGCATCCAAACACACCTCAATGTAGTGCTTATTACTGTTGCATTTTGATTTTCACATGACTCCCTCCTCCTAATGAACTGATTCCATTGATGGCCAAGTCCAGGTCATAACCATCTTCATTTTCCTAGTACACCAGATATAAGATAGTAATCAAATCTAAGATGCCACTGACTAAGCTACCAATTATAGTGACATGCCATTAACCCATTCATGCTAGAGGTTGCAAATTTTTTCTGTAAAAAAAAAAAAAAAAAAAATCAGACCTTGGTGTTGACCTTAAGCAGGATATAAATAACTCCCACAAGCTTAGCGTTCCAATAATGGAACACTAGGCATAAATGGGTTAATTGTAAGACTCATCTTAATTTCAGAGATAATGTTTAAAAGTGTACATTTTTTGAATCAATGAAATATAGTTGTGTTTAATATGTTTGGTAAAATAAAACAATTTATTCATTTATTCAGTTTTTCCATTCTGCTCTCAAATCCCCTTTTCCACACTTGAACAAAACTCTATTGTCAACATAAAAGAACAAGTCAAAGAGCTATAAACTCCCCCTCTAAACTTGGCCTTGGTGTTCTCACTTTTTCTGTGATAGTATATGAGAAAAATGAATATAATGTTGCCCTGATAGGAAGTTTAATGAATTTTAAAAGAAAGCAATGTTGCTTTTATAAAATATAAAATTTATTATTTTTCTTGGGTGGGGAGACAGTGTCTCTCTGTTGCCCAGACTGGAGTGCAATGGTGCAATTTCAGCTCACCGCGATATCTGCCTCCCAGGTTCAAGCGATCCTTCTGCCTCAGCCTCCCGAGTAGTTGGGACTATAGGCGTGCACCACCACACCCAGCTTTCTATTTTTAGTAGAGACGGGGTTTCACCATGTTACCCAGGCTGGCCTAGAACTCCTGACCTCAGGTGATCTGCCAGCCTCATCCTCCCAAAGTGCTGGGATTATAGACATGAGCCACTGCACCTGGCCATTTATTTATTTATAAATTTAAAATAAAATTTTAATTTATAATTATTTTAATAATATGTAATTACATGATTTAAGGATTTTTAAAAAATCAATTAAGCAAAACAATTAGAAATGAAGTAAAGAAGATTAGCAAAAATGGATATATATTCAGGCCTCTAATTAGTGCATGACTATGACTGCTTCAAACAACAACAACAACAAACACTCAAACTTACCTTTAAAAACCAAAGGGCAAAAATTAAATTACCACCAGAAATCTCTTACAGAACCTCTAAGGTACCCCTAAATTTGGTCTAACAACTTACCAGTAAGGACCACTTACATATGGCAACTCATTACCTGAGATGTCTGGCTGCTGCTTGATAAAGAACATCCTGGATTAACCTATTTTCAATTCAGAAACATGGTTTTCTCTAACAAACTCGGGTCTTAAGAACACTGTGAAAGTCATTCTGAAAAACTTATGTCTAAGAACAATCTTGTTATGAGACTATATTGCTCTAAAAGAGTCTACAAACGTTTTCATAAAGGTCCACCTAGTACATATTTTAGGCTTTGTGGGCCACATATGGTCTCTGTACCATATTCATTTCTCTCTTCTCAGGCCACCTTTTAAAAACATAAGCATGTTTCAGCTTGTAGGCTGTACAATCACAGGCCATGGGCTGGATCTGGCCTCAGCTGTAGTCTGTCACCCCTGCTATAAAATATCCAAGGTAAAATGATCAAAGTGCTGTTTTAGTAATGGAATATAACACTGTAGATACATTCTACTCCCTTACTGTATATTAAGTAAGAAGAGAGTCAAGAAAAACACCTGCTCAACATGGCAAACCTGCATAATCAGTGGCAGAGCTAGTATTACGACCTAGATCTCCTGACCTGTAATCAGTGGTCTTTTCATTTGGGCAATAAGATGTAAAAAATACCAACATGTCAATATACAAAGATGATAAATAATTCTAACACTTACATAATGCCAAGAAAGCATGCTTCGAGGCCATAAGAACTAGCACTCTCCGGAGGATATCCTTATTAATAATGTAGTTCTTTATGTGGTAGGTATGGTGCTCCACACAAAATGTTAACAATTCCAATACAAGTGCCAATAGTTGGGCAGTCTGAAAATCATCTAAAAGAAACAAAACACAACTAATTATATTTAATGACTAACATTTTTCCTTCTAAAATGTAAGAACTCAAATTCTAATCAAGTAAAATCTCTTCTATTAACCTAAATATATTAACTTTAGGGAGGAGGAAATTAGCATTTACTGAACGCCTAACATGTGCCAGGAATGGTGCTTTACTTTTTTTTATTTAATTTTAACAACCCTATAAGAAACTGTTTCACATTATGAGCCTATTAACTAACTAGACCCAAGTTGGAAAAGTTAGTAAGGCAGAGTTATGATACAAATCTAGAGTATCTGCCTTATTCCAAAATTCAAGGACCCTCTACCAGGTACCTTAGCATGTTCTCCAACAGATATAGCATATGAGGTTTTGCCAGACACCGTGTCATCTTTGGTGCAATTACTCTCTCTCCCTGTTCCCTTGATTCCAGTGTGTTTTGTGCCTCCTTTACTACTTGTAACGAGTCTATACTGAATTATAATCATTGACTTATCTTTACTCCTCACTAGGCAGCAAGCCTCTGAAAGGCTTTTTTTCATTCCCCCACGTTTAGATTATAACACAGTCCTTCACAAAATCACAATGAGTTCTCATCTTAATAAAGGTTGGAGGAATAGAACATGTGGTTTGGAAAGAAGCCTCAAGCTTTACCTAATATGAATAAAGCAGGTAAGAAAAATGGACATTCACATTTCATGGACTTGATTCTGGAGTTACACAAAAAGTAAATTTAACTTGTGTTTTATGTGAGTGCTATAATTATGCTATATTAAGAATTCAAGGCTGGGCGTGGTGGCTCACACCTATAATCCCAGCACTTTGGGAGGCCAAGGTGGGCAGATCACTTGAGGCCAGGAGTTTGAGACCAGCCCGGCCAACATGGTGAAAACCCTGCCTCTACTAAAAATATAAAAATTAGCCAGGCATGGTGGCAGGTGCCTGTAATCCCAGTTACTCAGAAGGCTGGGGCAGGAGAATTGCTCAAACCTGGGAGGCAGAGGTTGCAGTGAGCCGAGATCCCGCCACCACACTCCAGCCTGGGCAACAGAGCAAGATTCTGTCTCCAAAAAAAAAAAAAAAAAAAAAAATTCCAATGACAAAATAATGTATTTACTCCTAAAGCTTAAATAAGCAATTTTTGAATGTAGACCTAAAACTACCTCCTAAATTAAACACACGCACACGCACGCTAAAGCTCTAATGAATATAATACAAAAATAACAAACCTTAACATATCTTCAATATAAATAAAAGTAGCTTAATATTGTGCAAAAATCCTAGCTCTGTCTATACATCTGGAGTACAAATAATTTAAAATGAATTTTTTCATAGCTACTGCCTTCTATTTATATTTCACCAGTGTAGATGCAAACTGAATACAAATATTGTTCAACAAAAAATTATCTTATTTCTTTTACATGTTTCTGTTATCTGATTACAGTACTTTCAGGAAAATTGTTTTTTTTTTTTTTTTTTTGAGTTGAAGTCTCACTCTGTCGCCCAGGCTGGATGGAGTGCAGTGGGGCGACCTCGGCTCACTGCAAGCTCCGCCTCCTGGGTTCACGCCATTCTCCTGCCTCAGCCTCCCCAGTAGCTGGGACCACAAGGCACCTGCCACCACGCCCAGCTAAATTTTTTTTGTATTTTTTTAGTAGAGATGGGGTTTCACCGTGTTAGCCAGGATGGTCTCGATCTCCTGACCTCATGATCCGCTTGCCTTGGCCTCCCAAAGTGCTGGGATTACAGGCCTTTTAGGGACATTTTTGTCATGAACCTTTCTTTTCAAAATACATCATTAATTCTCCAGGTTGCTTTTGATAAAAACAACCAACCAACCAACCAACCAACCAAATTATTAAGACCTCTATGTTAACCTGATGGTTTGAACTTTTAAAGACTACTACTTTTTAAAAGGTGTGTCCTCCCAGCCTCTACCTCCCACTAACTGCCTCCTAAAAAGACTGACTTAACACCAACTTTGAATTCAGCATTCAAGAACAGAGAACTTAACTACCAACCTGAATTATCTTACCTTTACTAGGTTTGTCTTCTGTTGTATTTGCTAGTAAAGGAGCAGTGAGAACATGCATACAGTGCTTGTAGAAGAAACCCAGAAATTCAGTCTTTTCTGTTTTCTAAGGAAACAAGAACAATTCCATGAACTTTAACCACACTGGTTCCTACCAGCAATACACAATATACTAGCTATGAAAAAGAGGGGAAATGCTCATGGCTTACATTGGCAGTGGCTAGCATGTTCTCTGGGTCAACTAAAGTTCGAAGCAGGCCCATAAGCTGGACTGCTCCTCCAAGTTCAGGATCTGTATCACAAATCATATGTTCTATAATGAGGTTGATGAGCAAAATATCCTGGAGAGAAAAATAGACATACTCAGGATCACTTATTATGAGAGAACGGAAAAAGCAAAAACTAAGACACATACCACAGCATTATACCTAGGCTCTAGCTGTTTTGTTAACTGCAAAGTGAAATGTTTAACTCAGTTATCTGACAGGACATATGACAGTGTTTCATTCCCTAAAGTGTGGTACAGGGACATAGCCCTAAATAGAAATTTCTTGTCTATTATCTTTAAATTCCTCTGAATAAAGCAAAAGCAAAGTTTTAGTTTGGTGATAATATATCTTTACAACTTTCTAATAATGTAATCTACCTTTTGAAGAAAGCCAGTGGGTTTTATGACCATAGCTTTAAGAGTAAGAATATTTAGGTAGGATTTAGAACATCATAATACTTTCGTTGCTTTTATTTTTATTTTATTTTTTTGAGACGGAGTTTGCCTCTTGTTGCCCAGGCTGGAGTGCAATGGCACGATCTCGTCTTACTAACCTCCACCTCCCGGGTTCAAGCGATTCTCCTGCCTCAGCCTCCCTAGTAGCTGGGATTACAGGCATGCACCACCATGCCCGGCTAATTTTGTATTTTTAGTAGAGACGGGGTTTCTCCATGATCGTCAGGCTAGTCTTGAACTCCCTACCTCAGGTGATCCGCCTGCCTCAGCCTCCCAAAGTGCTGGGATTACAGGCGTGAGCCACCGTGCCTGGTCTATTGCTTTTATTATTATAGAGTCCTTCTATTTATGGCCAGTGATGTATGTTCTCCATTTGTAAAAGTGATATAAAATTTCCTTTTAAAATAAATTTAGGAAAAAATTATCTGAATGTCTGAAATTGGAGAAAATGAGACTATGGTATTTAGAGAGTGCAGAGAACAAATGGATTATACACATTCTAAATATCAAAGAAAAGAGATGGCTGGTTTTCCTGAGGTCCTATTATGACTGGTATTCCTCACCTAAGTAGTAAATAAGATTGAGAGGGATTCAGTGAGAAAATCCCTGCTCTTGCCTATGTGTATGCAAAGGCAGGATGGACAAGGGATAGAGAAAATGCAGACAGTAGATGGAAATGATGATTAAGAAGAGTGGGAATCAAGAGTCCTAGTGACTGAAATGTTATTCTGTTGCAAAACAGGAAAAAAAAAGAGTCCTACTGTGTGTATTTTGAGGTATATCAATACATGTTCATATGTTCAGCTCATGGGTTAATGGGACCAACAATAGCCTTTATTTTCAATAATACAGATACTTTGGTTCTCAAAGAATTTTTTTTTTTTTTTGAGATGGGGTCTGGCTTCGTCACCCAGACTGGAGTGCAGTGGAGCAATCATAGCTCACTGCAGAGTCAAACTCCTGGTCTTAAGAGACTCTTCCTTCTCATCCTCCTGAGTATCTGGGACTATGGGTGCATGCCACCATATCTAAGTTTTAAAAATTAATTTTGTACTAAAGGAGGGTCTTGCTATGTTGCTGAGGCCGATGTTAATATTTTATAAAAGAAAAACATGACACAACAGTTCAAACTGGTGCTTTTTTGCACCTATCCTGCACTATAAAAATAAAAACTTAAACATAGCAGTTACATGGCATTCCATTTCCTTTTGACATCACAATACATTAAATAGGATCTTTTCAAAAAGTAAGACAGTCTATTTTCCTATTTCGTAAAAATACCACAGGCTGGAATTCTAAACAGATTTTTTTTTTTTCCTTAGGGGATCTTTATTCCCCTCCTCCCTTAAGAAGGACCTGAGAGCAGGTCCTTCTTACTCATTCTTACGTAAAAAGTTGCTTCCAAATTGTTATGGGGGAAGCAGGAAAAAATCAGAATCATTGGTTCAATTATTTTAAAATAAAGGAGAGCACACACATTTAGTGCTCTCACATGTCACGCACTATGTGATCCAGGCGCACCCTTCACATTACCAGGATATATTCTCTACTACTTTAAAATCTGGTATATCTCAGATGCTAACGTGAGTGTTTGTGAACAACGTAACAGCTTGTTCTCTATGGCTAGGCAGTAAAGAAACAGCACCCTTCATATTTTAAGGGACTGTGCTACATTTCTTCATTCTTGGCGATTTTGAGAATCTACCCTAAAGTCAATGTTTTCCTAGGTAACTTACTCTTAATTCCCCAGATACAAGAATTGATTGACTAAATGATTTAAAAAACACAATATAGCAAGTTGACTTCAGAATTAAAACAAAACAAAACAAAAAAAAACTGACATGAATATTTTAAAAGGCAATTTAAATGAACATAAATAGTTGCTGTAGGACAAATTGATAAACTGAGACAGGAACCAATTTAGGGGAACAATAAGCTGTCTGATATTATGGCTACACTTTTCCCAAACAGCAACAATTAAATCTTAAAAGTGAATAATAAAAACAGTTATAGCTTCCTATGTATAAATACTTACTATTAGTACAAATAATATTTACCTTGCTGGTTATTTTTTGCTCTGTTAACTTCTTACTTACATCATCATTCTGTTGTGCCTCCTGCATGACAAACTCTCGTACCATGGATGGATTATATTCAACCAAGTATGAGAATATATCAGTAGCAGCACTTCGCACCTGTGTATCATCCATGCCCTGCAGACAAAAAACATTTATTTTTCCTGTATTTATAAAAATACGGAACCTATAGCTATGTAAATATCCAAACCTAACAAAACATATGAAAAAACTTCAATGTAAAAGAAAGGTCAAAGAAATTCTTCTGCATATAAAACTCTTATTGTACGGATAAAATTATACTTTCTAAATCATTTATTTGTTTGCCTATTTTAACATTTCAGCTAATAAGCTGCAAAGCTGACAAACTATCATTAAATTATGGGAAATTCCTTTACTGCATTCTTTCAATACTGTGTGAAAACTGTCTAATATTGGAATTTTACAGCTTCTTTAACTTAATGAACTACGCAGCTAATTTCAAATATTGGCTATAATAGAATATTTGCATGTAGCATTAAAAATATTAATTTTGGGATTAAAAAATGGTAATTAAAAATGAGGAGACACAAAACTTACAAGGATGACTTCTAAAGCTGGTAATATGCCCATGTTTGACAAAGTCTTGAAAAAAGCATCTCTGTTTTGAGGCTGTAGCGTTTGGGAAAACGCACAAAATTCTTTTAAAAAGTTAACCTGAAATTAGAAAAAAGGATAAGTGATATAAAAAGTTTATTTTATTTATTTATTTATTGAGACGGAGTCTTGCTCTTGTTGCCGACGCTGGAGTGCAATGGCACGATCTTGGCTCACTGCAACCTCCACCTCCCGAGTTCAAGCGATTCTCCTGCCTCAGCCTTCTGAGTAGCTAGGATTACAGGTGCCCGCCACCATGCTTGGCTAATTTTTGTACTTTTTAGTAGAGATGGGGTTTCGCCATGTTCGCCAGGCTGGTCTCAAACTTCTGACCTCGTGATCCACCCACCTCGGCCTCCCAAAGTGCTGGGATTTACAGGCGTGAGCCACCAAGCCCGGCCAGTTGTTTTATTTTTATGCCTTTCATAGTATCTAATTTCTTACCAATTCCTGTCTTTTTTCCTCATCTGTTGCTTCATCTGTTAGTTGTGCAAACAAATCTGTCAGAAATTTTTCATCTTCCTGTGAAACAAAGGACAAATGCAATTATGTTAATGCTAAGATTGTCCTAAAATATAATTTCAGGAATGCTTTAATATACACAGCAATAACTATAAAAAGGAAAGGTGGTATTGGCAATGCTGTCTTTTTTTTTTTTTTTAACAGAAGGAAAAACCACACTATTAAAGTATAAAATTTTGTCAAGGCTCTATTTTCTAAGCCTATATAAAGGCCAGGTAGTAAATATTTTGAGCTTTGCGGCCCATGTGATCTCTACTACGAGTACTCAACCCTGCTCCAGTAATATGAAAGTAGTCACAGACAACTGGAAATGAATGGATATGGCTGTATTTCAATAAAATATTACTTACAAAAATAGCAGGACCAACACTTGCTGACCCCTCACTTTCATAGGTTTTATAACCTTATTAACTTTTAAAAGGTAGTTCTACAACCTCTCAAATGAGAATGAAAATGAAGACAAAGCTACTTTAGTGTTTTAAAGATACAGAGAATGACTCAATTATTTAAAAAGCAAAATTTAGAACTTTTTGTTTTACTTCCTCATTTTATAATTGAGACTTGGATTTTAAAATTTACCCAAGCCCAATTAAGGTGGCAGAGCCTTCATGATTGTCCGGTCAATGTTTCTCATCACTATTTTTTCATCAAGATCTTGGCTTTTGTTTTGTTTTGCTTTTTGAGACAGAGTCTTGCTCTGTCACCCAGGTAGAGCACAGTGGTGCCATCTCGGCTCACTGCAACCTCCGCCTCCCAGGTTAAAGCAATTCTCCTGTCTCAGTCTCCTTAGCAGCTGGGACTACAGGCACACACCACTACACCCAGCTAATTTTTGTACTTGTAGCAGAGATGGGGTTTTGTCATGTTGGCCAGTCTGGTCTTGAACTCGTGGCCTCAAGCAATCCACTGGCCTGGGCCTCCTGAAGTGCTGGGATTACGCACATGAACCACCATGCTCGACCAAGATTTTAATTACTACCTCAGCTAGTGGAAGTAGATTCAATACCACTTAAGCCCTAGACATGCCTCACTCTAAATACACATACACATGGATGTATATACAAGCTCCCACTAGATTACTGGCTCCACATTCACTGTTGTGAGTGCTCCAGAAAAATCTTCTGTGGCACTAAGTTAGTTTGGTTATTCTCACCTTTACTTTTTCTAAAATGAACAAATAGGTCATACCTCATTAATATGATCTTGACCATGTTTGCTACCCAAATGGCATCCAATTTCAAGACACATCTCCAATATACTATATTCTACCAAATGGGTATCAAATGGTTAAAAAAGACATTCTCTGAACTGCTGCAGTTGGGGGTACAGAAATAGAGAAAATAAGAATGTTTATGGTACTACAAAGGAAGCAGTCAATGTTAAGAGGGTGTGATATTTATTTTGTGTGCATGGGGCTATACAAAGTGGGCAGGAACCTGCATTAAACTGTACCTCAATCACTTCTTGCCAAAACATTTGTAAAATGCTACAGCCTTCACAGCAGCACTTTGGATAGAAGTGTCCAGCATCAAGAGAAACAGACATATTGGCAGCCAGTATTTTACAAAGCACATTACAGGGAAGCAAAGATTTAACAACTTGAAATTATTCATACTTAATGAATAAAACTGGCATTTTACATGTATGAAGACCAAGAAAACACAGAAGTGACAAATCCCCACATAACAAAAACAGAACCATATGGAGCTAAAGAAAAGGATCAGGAGAACTCAGTATTTTAGTTCATACTTTTCCTTTTTTTGCCTATCACTGGCTAATATTTTAGAAATACAAAATTTTCTAAACAGGAACAGACATGATTAAACATACTGCTTTATATGTAATGTGTGCTACCAGGCAGCTCTTACTACATTTATTGTCTTCCTTTCTATACTTAACAAATTCAGGTTTCAAATAAATTTTACTTATACACCTGAGGTAAAGTCTTAAAAGATCTTCCAAGTCATATTACACTTATCTGCAGCGGTGCGACCTTGGCTCAATGCAACCTCTGCCTACCAGGTGCAAATGATTCTCCTGTCTCAGCCTCTGGAGTAACTGGGATTACAGGCATGTGCCTCTGCCTCCTGGATTCAAGCGATTCTCCTGCCTCATTCTCCTGAGCAGCTGGGATTACAGGTGTCCACCATCACGCCTGGCTAATTTTTGTAGTTTTAGTAGAGACGAGGTTTTGCCATGTTGGTCAGGCTGGTCTCGAACTCCCGACCTCAAGTGATCCACCCACCTCAGTCTCCCAAAGACCTATTATTCTTACAATACCACAGGCATCAAAGAATAAAAAACAACGTGTGTGTGTGTGTGTGTGTGTGTGTGTGTGTGTGTATGGGTGCAAATAACAATTCTTTCTTTGTACTACACAAACTTATTTTTTTGTTGTTGAGATAGGGTCTCACTCTGTTGCTCAGGCTTGAGTGCGGTGGCATGATCATTGCTCACTGCAGACTCAAACTCCTGGGCTCAAGCGATTCTCCCAACTCAGCCTCCCACATGGCTGGGATTATAGGCATGCATCACCATACCTGGCTAATTTAAAAAAAAAAAAAAATCTTTTTTGAGACAGAATTTCACTCCTGTTGCCCAGGCTAGAGTGCAATGGTGTGATCTCAGCTCACTGCAACCTCCGCCTCCCAGATTCAAATGATTCTCTCGTCTCAGCCTCCCGAGTCTGGGATTACAGGCGTCCACCATCACGTTTAGCTAATTGTTGTATTTTTAGTAGAGACGGGGTTTCGCCATGTTGGCCAGGCTGGTCTTGAACTCTTGACCTCAGGTGATCCACCCGCCTTGGCCTCCCAAAGTGCTGGGATTGTAGGCGTGAGCTACCGCATCCAGCCCCAGGCTAGTCTTTAACTTCTGGGTTCAATCGATCCTCCTGCCTTGGCTTCCCAAAGTGGTGGGATTACAGGTATAAGCCACTAGGCCCAGCCTATGTAAACTTCTATTTCAGTTAGAATAGACCAATTCACACACTGGGATGACACAGTAAGAGCTTTTCTAATTTTGGGGGTGTTACAAACGCAAATTATTGTCTAGCTCTCAGAGACTTTGACTCAGGTTTTGTGCAGAATTCATGATACTGCACCCTAGGGGACTGTGATGCAAATACCCTAAAACACCAGATCAGAGAGATTGGGCATACTATAAGAAAAAAAAATCTACATTTTAATAAGCAATTATCAATAGACACTTAAAAAATTCCCATGAATCTTACATCATATTAAACACTTTCTTTACATGCCTGACCTCAGTTAATTTTCAGACAACTTTACAGGGTAGGCATTAATGTCACCATCCTTCAGATGGGGAAACCGAAGCTTTAAGAAGTTAAGGCTGCCCAACTCACATAGCTACTGTTATTAAGTGACAGACGGAGCTGAAACTCAAATTCACATGGGTTTAACTCACCCACAGGCACACCCCTTAGCAAAACGTGGCTTTTGGTAGGGATACATGCAGTTATAATTTGCCTCCTCTGCTACATTCCCTAGACCCTGAAACTGGACTTTTACCGTATCATTATCTGGGAATTTTACAAATTCGTTTTAAATTTTATTTTTTTGGTAGAGACAGGCCATAGCGCCTGGCCCACAATTCTCATTAGAATTTATATTCTGTGTTTGGTGACATTTCTCTTGGCTTTGTGCTTCACTCTTTCCTCTTCCAATCTGTTCTATTCTATGCAAAATTCATAGAGTAATAACCCCAAAGTTCAGCATTCAACCATTTCATTAATATTATCCTCCTATAGTTGAGTATGGTGGCTCACAACTGTAATCCCAACACTTTGCAAGGCTAAGGTGGGAGAATTGCTTGAAGCCAGGAGTTTGAGACCAGCCTGGGCAACAAAGTGAGATCCATTCTTTACAAAAAAATTTTTAAAAGGTGGCTATGGTAGCATGCATCTGTAGTCTTAGCTAATTGGAAGGCTGAGGTGGGAGGACGGCTCAAGCCCAGGAGTTCAAGGTTGCAATAAGCTATGGCTGTGCCACTGCACTCCAGCCTGGGCAACAGAGCAAGACCTCAACTTAAAAAAAAAAAAATCAGGCTGGGCCCAGTGGCTCACACCTGTAATCCCAGCACTTTGGGAGGCCAGGGCAGGCAGATTGCTTGAGCTCAGAGGTTTGAGGCCAGCCTGGGCAGTATGACAAACTCCATCTCTACAAAAAATACAAAAATTGGCTGGGGGTGGTGGTGCACACCTGTGGTCCCAGCTACTCAGGAGGCTGCAGTGGGAGGATTGTTTCAGCCAGGGAAGCGAAGGTGGAGGTTGCAGTCGCTGAGACTGCATTATTGCCCTACAGCCTGGGTGACAGAGCAAGACCCTGTATCCAAAAAATCATCCCCTCATACCATTTCTTCAAACTACATTTGTCACACTTACCTCTCCTACCCCAGATAGAGTAACCTTCTGGTCTCGTATTATTATTGTATATTATAATCTCTTAAAATAACTCACAATACTTAACTTTATACATTAACAAAATTAAAACTCAATGTATGTATTTAAAAGGAGCAAATTGTTTTCGCTGCATCTCTTGAAATATGAAAAAAGGAATGATCTAACTCACCTGCAACATGCCAACAATCTCTACCTTATTGAAAAAGATAAAAGAGTGAAGTGTTGATAACATGTTTTCTTCAAAGACCGAAGGAGTTGGTAGAACCATATCTTGTATATACTGAACTCTGTATGTCTGATGAATTTTTTGTTTCAGCTCAGGATCTGATATGGGAATCACTTCTTTAAACTTGGCTGTTTTTGTTAGAAATTCCCTGTGTTTTCGTGGTTGTGATAAAGCAGGATCATATTCTAAACATCCAATGACGTCCATTATACATTCTTCAGAGAACATAACTTCAAAAAGAGCAGTTCGATTCAAGAGAAAGATGCCTTTGATAATTTCATACAAGTGGTGCAGTCCTTCAATATTTTCCAAATCTTCACACACATGAAAAAGCTCCAGGAGCTTTTTAATATAACCCTCATTTTCTAGTGCCAGTGCAAGTTTTTCACGACGAAGAGGTGAAGGTAAAGATGATGCCACAAGTTCTGCAATTTCTTCAAGGCGACTTAATTCACAAGATGGCAATTCTAAGCCTGGCGATGACATATCATCAAAACGCTCCTCTTCAGATTCATCCACAAGGTCCTGAGTGATGTCCACGGAAGGGTCCTTTCCTTGAACCTATGAAAAAAAATTTAATTGCTGACAAAATAGATAACAGGTGACCAGCAAACCTAAATGCTACTCTAAGATGAATACTAGAAATGTTGTAAGAAACCTATAATGGTCATTTTCAAGACAAAACTGCCTACTTTTCTACATTACATTTCTCCAAATATGTATACTTTCAATTTTAAGGAAGTTAGTCAAAGTTCAAAAACAGAATGAGCTTCCCTATAAAGTATGAGGTCTGCTGGCAAGAACAACTTTCTAGGACAGGCTAAACTAAGTGAGACTGTTACGAAACAGCCCTCTGCAGACCCACAACATAGAAGCCTGATGCTAAAACAGCCACTAACATCTCATATCCCTGGCCCTCTTTTCCAGCAGACCAAGGCAAGTCTCAGAAACAGTCCTAGGACTGTGCTAAAGGACACTGCCACCACCAAACTCTTCAATATTTAACTCTGAGGTGAAGACCAAATAAACACCAAATATCATAATGTTATGATCACAGAAAATATATATAATTATAAGCAAAAAGGAAAATATTTAACATCAATTGATTGTAGAAACCAAGGGCCAAAGAGCATGAACAAACTGGCTTTGGACCAAAGTGAGTCACTGATCTTCTATAAATACTGACAGCCCAAACACAGGATTTAAAAAACACTAGGCAGAATACAAGTGTACCTACATAAAAATGAAGCCACATATAAAGTAAATACAACCTATATGTAGTAGAGTTATTCCCAAAAAAGGTCTGCTGAAGGTTAAGTAACCAAACCACGAAAATATTTTCCTTTCTACACACCCTAACCTGTAGCCTTCATGATCCCTCTAGGAGCCTGAAAATCTGTCATAAAACCTAATTTTATGCCACTGGAGGGGCTCTTATTATAAAAAGGTAACTTATATTGACTACATTTTAAAGTAAGGCATTTTTTTTGGTAACAAAAGGTCAAGGATAAACTTTGAAATGAAACAAATTTTGTTATCTTGGCCCTAGAATTTGGGACAGTGAACACTAAAGCAAGTAGAAGGCCAAGTAGAATGGTAAAGCAATGAAAAAAATTAGACCTTATATGGAAAAGCCAAGAAACTTAAATTGCTTAGCGTAATGAACAGATGCACTGATAGATACTAGAAAAGATGACGACCTGGAATACTTTTCTTGAAATGTGCTGCAAGGTGATATGGTCTTGACCTCAACCAAGTGGACAGCAGCACTGAAAGGAGGCAAGTCACATTCATGGCTTGTACCTGCATGGTCTCACACTGGCTCTGAATTTGTTAATTATGTAAGCTCTCATTATAGTTTTAAGTTCCTGATACCCAAACTATGACTTTATCCACAGAAAAATGTTAGATTTTGATTAGCAAACCAAATGAAAAGAGAGGAGTGCCCTTATTATATTAAGAATGCCATCTTTTTGAGTTGAGCAAATTGGTGAACATGGTTCAAGAAATAGAAAAACATTTAATATCTCAGAGAGCAAAATGTAATGACTTTCTTGGATCTAGAAAATGATTGAGAAGTTCAGACAGAACCCATAAAAAGAGTGACTGAGAAATGACACCTTGAACATAAACTATATAAAAGTTGAAAGGGAGTATCAGAAAAGAATATTAAAGCAGCTAGTGATAAAATTATTAAGATGATGAAAAACTTTATGATATTAAAGACCAAACAAAGGTAAAGATCAGACAATATTAAAGGAGAGCCAGGCATGACAATGACAAAGTGAGTTCAGGTTTGAGTTACACATTGGCATAAAGGAAGACTGTATCCAGAGTGGAAGTGTTTGATTCAGAAAGATGAGAGAGGAGAACAAGATTTGTCTGAATAACAGATGCTATTAACATAGCCTGAACTCATTAATGTCACCTCTCTCTCTTTGGGATAACACTACAAGACAAAATCTAGAGACATATGCTATAAATATAATTGTTGGATGGAAAGCAAAGAAAAACTAAAAAGATGGATGGTATTCAGATATAAATGTTAGTCCTTTCATGTTTCAGAGAAGGAAAGGGACAGCTTAACAGACAGGTTAATTTATGAAAAGCACAGCGAAGTAGAATATATTCTTGAAATAAATTCCATTAAGTCAAGGAAAAACTGTGCTAAGGACACTATATCTTCTATGAATGCTATAGCTGTCAAACTTTAGGGTGCATCAGAATCACCAAAAGCAGGGGGCGACAAACCATAGCCAAATTTGGTCTGCCACCTGTTTTTGTAAATAAAAGTTTTACTAGAAGACAGCCCCTCCATTCATTTATGTGCTGTCTATGACTACTTCCGAACTAGAACAGCAGAGGTGACCTAGCTGTGACAGAGACTATATGGCCTGCAAAGCCTTAAATATTTACTATCTTGTTTTTTACAGAGAAAAGTCTGGCCTATAGGGCTTGTGAAAACAGAATTCCTAAGAAAGGATTTTAAAAAACAATTATTGGACCCTACTTGCAGTTTTTGATCCAGTAGGTCTGGGGTCGGCGGGAGGGGTGCTAGTCTCAGAATTTGCATTTCTATCAGTTCCCAGGTCATGCTTGTGCTGCTGGTTTGAGGGCCACATTCAAAGGAATTAAGGAATCTGGTGAAGATTATTCTCTAGATAAAGTAAACATGGAGATGGAGAAACCTTCTCTAGAAAGAAATGGCCTAAGAAGTGTATAACAAGAGCCAACAGCATTAGCTACTAGAGCACATACAAATGCAAATTCACAAAAGATTGTGATTATGTCACTAGGGAAACTCCAGAATAAATTAAGAACATTCGAGCCTAGAGGCACGGTAAGGCTGAATAGTCAGTCAACAGCCATACTGCTCAAGACAAGTACAAGGGTGGGTTTTCTTTCAAAAGCCACAAGAAGTTATGAACAAAGAGTGATGTAATCAGACTTGCATTTTTAAAAAGATCACCTAATTGCTCTAGCTAAAATGTTGATTTAGGAAGATCAGTCAAGACAAAACCAATAAACCAGGCAAGAAATGATGGTGGCTTGGAAAACTACAAAAGTAAAAATGAAGATAAGCCAATGGATCTAGATTTATTATCGAGGGACTGAATGGATAAAAGCGATGATGGAAGGATAAACAAGATCCACAAGTTTCTGATTTCAGCAACTGCATGGCACTTAGAAGGAGATGGGATAGATATATGTGAGAAGATTATGTTTGGTTTTGGAGTACTAAATTTGAGATGCTAGTGAACATGAAAAGAGAAAGTTTCAAAAAGGCAGGTGGATATAAAACACTGGAGTTCAGCAAAGGTATGAGCTAGAGAGTTTAGTGTCAATAAATTACACCTTCCTTTAAATCAAGTTCAAAGACAGCAGTGAATTTAAAAGATCAATTTGAAATTTATTTAAACTCTTGGGCATTAGTTGAAAGCATGGCAAAAAACTAAACACTTAAAGAAAGCATGTTGATTTTTTTATTTAAAAAATTACCTGACATATTTTCTCCCAAATTTCATCACATCCAGCTTTTTCTTGAAAGCTAAGGGCCAAGTCATAATTTTCTGCTTCAGACCACACAATCAGAGTGTCCTTTGGAGACATAAAAGGAGTCTGAATGATTAACATACACTATCACAAACGAAAATGAACAAACAAAAGGAAATAAAACTGTGCTCATTTTTACTTTTTGCAACACTAATACTGGCAATTATCAATGTCTTTCTTTTTCAAAACAATGACTTTTTACACTTCACTTCCCCCAATCTATAAAACAAAAATAATGTTTCCTTAAGGACAACTTAAACCAATATATGAAATATATTCTTTTCATGCATTGCAAAAGATAAAAACAAAACATTATACCAATTATACCAACGCTATCCGAGCATACTGACTTACATTTTATGCTGTCATTAAAATGTCCAAAGAGGAAATCTAAGCATAAAATAGCTAGGGCATGTTAGGACGATAGGGTTAATAAAACTCCTTCTCTCTTCCCTCTATTGTCAGCAGGTGTTTTTCACCAGGGGCCTCTGAGGTCCATGAAGCCCTTGAAATTATTGGCTACATTTGTAGTACGTGAGCATTTACCTATACATAGGTTTTTTTGTTTTTTTTTTTAAACTTAGCAAAGTGCTATGGTTCAAGAAGCAGCAAACTCCTAGCACCTACCACCCTTTCATTCCTATTCAGAACTTCTTAGTTTCATTTTTTGTAGAGATGGAGGTCTTGTCATGTTGCCTAGGCTGGTCTTGAACTCCTGGCCTTGGGCCCTCCCGCCTTGGCCTCCCAAAGCACTGGGATTACAGGCATGAGCCACAGTGCCTGGCCATCTAGACAGAACTTTAATGAAAATTTAATGAACAGTTCAACAGTTTTTATTAAGATGTAATCTCAGCAAGACACTGCACATACAATACTTACTGAGACCATTTTATATTCCTCATAGTACCAAGAGCATATATTCTACAATATGCATGGTATAATAAAAATATTTGGCTGGGCGTGGTGGCTCACGCCTGTAATCCCAGCACTTTGGGAGGCTGAGGTGGGCGGAGGTCAGGAGTTTGAGGTCAGCCTGGCTAACACGGTGAAACCCCATCTCTACTAAAAATACAAAAATTAGCCGGGCATGTGCCTGTAATCCCAGCCACTCGGGAGACTGAGGCAGGAGAACTGCTTGAACCCAGGAGGCGGAGGTTGCAGTGAGCTGAGACTGCCCCACTGCACTCCAGCCTGGGCAACAGGAGCAAAACTCTGTCTCCAAAAAAAAAAAAAAAAAAATAGAGAGTCAAAATATTTATAAGGCCTAATATATCCTTTTGGCAGGGTGCGGTGGCTCATGCCTCTAATCACAGCACTTTGGGAGGCCAAGGCAGGCGGATCACCTGAGGTCAGGAGTTCAAGACCAGCCTGGCCAACAGGTAAAGCCCCGTCTCTACTAAAAATACAAAAAAATTTTAGCCGGGCATGATGGCGGATGCCTGTAATCCCAGCTACATGGGAGGCTGATGTGGGAGAGTCACTTGAACCCGGGAGGCAGAGGTTGCAGTGATCCGAGATCGTGCCACTGCACTCCAGCCTGGGTGACAGAGTGAGAGTCCGTCTCAAAAAAAAAAAAAAAAAAAAAAAATCCTTTCAAATCTTACTGGCAATAAATAAATATACATACTGTTTGATAGCAATCAACCATTTCAAAAAAGGATCCTCTCATTGAGAGCAATCTATAAATCATCTCATACAAGAAATACTGAATGGTACTAGGGAGAGTTACATTTAATGGCTAACTTCAAAATCTGAAGGGCTATGTCACTCAAGTGTTTTTTCAAGCTGGTACAAAGAGAATTTAGAAGAGTAAAGTTAGATGGATTTGAATATGGTATAAAGAAAAAAATAATTCAATCTGACTAGCAAGTAACCAAAAACAGCCATGCAAAGGCCGACTGGGTATCCATCAGGATGATAATGGTTCCTGTATTGAGAAGGAAAGATGACTAGCTTAAGGTACCTTTAAGGACCTATGATTCTATTGCAGCAGTTTCTAATCTTTCTCACTAGGCAAGGACACTTCTGTTTTTTTTTGTTTGTTTGTTTTTTGAGATGGTGTCTCTATCACTCATACTGCAATGTAGTGGTGCCATCAAGGCTCACTGCAGCCTCTACTTCCCTGGGCTCAGGTGGTCCTTCCACCTCAGCCTCCCAAGTAGCTGGAACTACAGGCATGTGCCACCATGCCCAATGTTTGTATTTTTTGTAGAGGCGGAGTTATGCCATGTTGCCCAGGCTGGTCTCAAACTCCTGGGCTCTAGAAGTGCTAGAATTATAGGCGTGAGCCACCAACCCCAGCCAAGAACACTTCTTAATGTAACACAAATGGATTCCATGTTTAAAAATGTGTCTAAGCAAGGCACAATGGTGTATCCCTGTAGTCCCAGCTAGTTACGGGGCTGAGGAGGGAGGATTGCTTGAGGCCAGGAGTTGGACGCTGCAGTGCACTATGATCACACCTGTGAATAATAGCCACTGTACTCCAGCCTGAGCAACATATCAAGACCCCATCTCTAAAAAAAAAAAAAAATGAAAAATTTATCTGCCAAACTGCATATTAACTCTGTTCAGTCATTTATATAACTGTCAATCATGAGACCAGTAGTCTCACTGGACTAAAGTGCTGCCAGCCAGAAATAAACAGATAAGAATCTGATTTGGTTGTGCAGTATTACTAAGTCTATAATTTTTATTCAGAATTTTGGAAAACACCTCAAACTCCACTTTTTATACTATCTTAAAGGACTTCCATATATCACAGACACCAGGCAGGCAATCTGATCCAGACTGAGTGGCAATTCAAGCTCAAAACTATTAACATTCTAAGATCAACATGCCAAAAATTGGTAAGGTTTCATTTTTAGTTTACCTTTATAATTCACCAGAACAGAACAAATGGTAGAAGAATTTGCAGTTAATCTATAATTCTGGCAGCCTAAATACTTTACAAGGTTATCTGCTCAGTAAATACTGAGCACTTATTATAAGGCTCCAGATAAGACAAAATTAAAGTTATGTTATTTTCCCTCAAAATAGCATGGAATGAAAATACTAAGAAATTTAAGAGGTAAAGAGGCCACGGTATAAATTCTAATACCACCATCTATGTGGCAGGTAATGCTTAGAAAGTGAGGTAACCTCTCTGAGCCTCAGTTTCCTCATCATTAGGATGGGAAAGATATATACTGTTATGAAAACTAGTCATAATATAGATACCACTTTTTTTTTTTTTTTTTTGAGATGGAGTCTCGCTCTGTCGCCCAGGCTGGAGTGCAGTGGCGCAATCTCGGCTCACTGCAAGCTCCACCTCCCAGGTTCACGCCATTTTCCTGCCTCAGCCTCCTGAGTAGCTGGGACTGCAGGTACCCGCCACCACGCCCAGCTTATTTTTTGTATATTTAGTAGAGACGGGGTTTCACCGTGTTAGCCAGGATGGTCTCGATCTCCTGACCTCATGATCCGCCTGCCTCGGCCTCCCAAAGTGCTGGGATTACAGGTGTGAGCCACCACGCCTGGCTGGTACTACTTCTTAGTGATGAAAACAAAGTTGGCAGAAAATAACAATCATCTTGGGGGTGAAAGGAACAACCTGCCCAAATTAGATGGCTCCTAAAATTCTGATAAATACTTACAATTATCAGCCTTATTAAAGGCTACTAGGATAAGTGTAAAGCCAATAACACATTCTGCTATAACGTATATTCAGAATCACTTTGTGGCTGATGCTTAAGTCAGGGTATAGCCAGACATATGCTCTTAATTACCCATTTGACAAATCTAGCAAGTTTATAAAATTTTAGAAACTGCTTTTCTGTTTTCCTTGAAGATTCCAAATATTACAGCAACTTTTCCCCAAATTATCTTGCTTATCACCCAAAAACCTATAGGCTGAGACACATGAATCTGTTCATTCATTCTCAAAACAGTTTCAATCTTTCCTTTTTCTTAAGATGTGCTTTTACTCTTCAGCTGAATACAACTTCAAAACATGTATTTAATGTATTTAAGTATGGAAGACCAAAGCCAAATATTCCAGGCTCTAGATTTTTCCATTAAACTTAAGTTTTCTTAAGAACACTAAATGCAATACAGTATTCTATCAGACTATCAAACTATCAAGAAAATATACTGTATGAATGTTTGGTGGACAAATAAATCACGACTAAATATATTTAGGAGTTGACACCAGCATTCCTAACCACTATTTGTGTGGTCAAACAAGTCACGACCTTTACGCATCACCCAATGGGAAAAATAAAAACAATACTAACTTCTTTCTAGTATTTTAAAGATCAATGATGAAGCAAAGCACTTTATGAACAAGCTGGTAATCTTCTTTCTTCTCAATTAACTATTTTGTATCTGCATCTTCTGGGCAATGAGGGAACTGATCTTGACTTCATTGGCTATATAGAGCACTCATCCTGTGTGTCTGTGTGGGTGTACGTGAAGCGCACGCGCGTGTGTACTGAATGAATACCATTTAATAACAGCACTAGTTGATACTAAGTGAAAGATTTACTTTCTAATATTTTTTTGCATATTAGAAAGGTTTAAGAAAGTGTATTTTGAGTACACTGTACTGTGAAGTACAGTTACCTTCAAAACTGTAGTATCATAATAAGACCCTATTCAGGAATCTGTAAAAGAAATCAGATTCATATGACAGATTCCTATCTACACAGTACTGCTGTAGAGGGAGATACTAATGTTCCTTCTGCACTATCATCTACAACAGGAATTTTCACCATTTAACTGTGTTTGTAGCAGCTTATCACATCAATGGTCACCTTTTTTTTTTAGGTAAAAACAAGGAAATTTTAGGGCTCAGTTGCTATAGTAGGTGGAACACAAACTCCATTTTAACTTGTGGCAAGCTTTTTAAATTTAAAATTATTGTATTAAACACTATAGGAATTGGCAGAAATCCTATTTTAGAATTTCACTGCCAAACTGTTGTAATCTCTTCTAAATTTTTCACTATAAGCAATCAGATAATAAACTTTCATTTACTCAAAAGGAAAATATGCAAGATAAAACACATCTTCAAAATTTTACCTGTTGTTTCTGGTATGCAGTGTTAGGATTTATTTTCGACTCTAAAAGTAGAGAACCTAGGAAACAGAAAAAGACATTCCATTATGTTACTGTAAAACAGCAAAATTATATTCCCTTACATACACACATATTTCCTTAAAAAAAATAATAATAATTTTTTTTTTTTTTTTTTTAATGAGACAGGGCTTCTCTCTGTCGCCCAGACTGGAGTGCACTGGCACGATCCTCAGCTCACTGCAACCTCCGCCTCCCAGGCTCAAGAGATTCTCCTGCCTCAGCCTCCCAAGGAGCTGGGATTACAGGTGTGTGCCACCACACCAGGCTAATGTTTTGTATTTTTAGTAGAGACGGGGTTTCACCATGTTGGTCAGGCTGGTCTCAAACTCCTGACCTCAGGTGATCCACCAGCCTCGGCCTCCCAAGGTGCTGGCATTACACCCGTGAGCCACTGCGCCTGGCCTCAAAAAATATTTTTAAATATTTTTTCACTTTTTGTAGAGATAGAGTCTCGCTATGTTGCCCAGGCTGGTCTCCAACTCCTGGGCTCAAGTGATCCTCCCACTGCCCCCTCCTCCCAAAGTGCTGGGATTGCAGGTGCAAGCCACTGTGCCCGACCATATTTCCTTTTCTGAACATTTGATGCAAACTCAACTTCAGTTACAGAAAAATTATTATTATTGGGGACAGAGTCTCACTCTGTTGCCAGGCTGGAGTGCAGTGGCGCGATCTCGGCTCACTGCAACCTCCGCCTCCCAAGTTCAAGCGATTCTCCTGCCTCAGCCTCCTGAGAAGCTGGGAGTACAGGCATGTGCCACCACGCCCAGATAATTTTGTATTTTTAGTAGAGATGGTGTTTCACCATGTTGGCCAGGATGGTCTCAATCTCTTGACCTCGTGATCCACCAGCCTTGGCCTCCCAAAGTGCTGGGATTACAGGCGTGAGCCACCACGCCTGGCCTAGAAAAATTATTTTTAAAACAAGGTAAGTTTAATTACAGTAACTTGTAACCTAAGAAATGTTTTTCTGAGATAGGGTCTCAGCTCTGTTGCAGTTGTGCGATCTCAGCTCACTGACTGCAACCTCCACCTTCTGGGTAGTTGGGACAGGTGCCAGCTACCATGCTTGGTTAATTTTTTTACTTTTTGTACAGACGGGGTCTCCCTTTATTGCCCAGGCTGGTCTCTGGGCTCAAACAATCTACCCATCTTGGCCTCCCAAAGTGCTGGGACTACAGGCATGAGCCACTGCACCCAGCCAATAAATGTTTTATATACGTGCTTACTTTTAGCAGTAAAGACATGATAATCTGACGAGTAAGGACTGGGTAACAATAGAAATCTACTAATTTATGGACAGCAGAAGGTAATTAAACAACACAGTGTGAAGTCAGATGATCTGGGTTAAAATCTCTTATATATTGTATGACTTCCCATACCCCTCTCCTCTTATCAACCAGTTCTAGTTTATACCTGCAAGTACTACCTGAAGACAAACTCTGGCCCAAAATATTTGAGAAAAAGCAGTTTTCTCTGCAACTGTCTCTCATACGGAGCTTTCATTTCTTCTATTACACTTAACAATTGCTTTACCCATTCCAAATAGTGGTTAGATGGCTAAGAGTGCTCTTAACATTTCCAAATTTAGTTTGCTTTTACATCAAAGTTCATTTGTTTTATGAATGCTGTCCAGTATTAATGATTTAATGACCATTCACTACTGTGTGCTCAGAACAGTACCAAGTAATACCGAACACAGTAAATTAACCAAGTTATGATAACTCAATTTGTATATGTCTTATGCACATGAACAGCTTTCCACTTCACACCAACCCTCCCAACTATGTCTAGGACAGGTGACCTAATTAATCCAAAATCTCTTTCTTATCCTTTGAGTGCTTAAGGTAACTAAACATTCACCATATTATTTTTTCCCACCTGTATTCCCCACAAACCCCATTTCTTTGGGCTTTTTTTCTTTACAAAAACTGGTTTTGGCTTAGGACGCTCAGATAAGCATTCTCACATTTTGGAGAAAATACTGTTTTAATCTTCTTCCTCTTTATCCAACTTTTGCCAGATTAATCAAAACACATTTTCCAGTGCCCCTTCAATTCTCTTTACGCTCAATTTTCAGGATTTTATTTTGGTTATTAAGAGCTGTGCTAGTGATACATTCATAACAAGAAAAAGCAGCAGGTGGCCAGGTGCGGTGGCTCACACCTATAACCCAGCACTTTGGGAAGCTGAGGTGGGAGGATCGCCTGAGGCCAGGAGTTTGAGAACAATTTGGCCAATAAAGCAGGACCTTGCCTCTGCAAACATAAAATAACAATAAAATAAAATAAAAATAAGAAAAAGTAGGCTGGGCGTGGTGGCTCACGCCTGTAATCCCAGCATTTTGGAAGGCTGAGGTGGGCAGATCGCTTGAGGTCAGGAGTTTGAGACCAGCCTGGCCAACATGGTTAAACCCCATCTGTACTAAAAATACAAAAATTAGCCGGGCATGGTTGCTGTGAGCTGAGATTGCATCACTGCAATCCAGCCTGGTCAACAGAGACTCTGCCTCAAAAAAAAAAAAGAAAAAGAAAGAAAAAATAAATTAGCTGGATGAGGTAGGGCATGCCTATAATTCTAGCTACTCAAGAGACAGGCAGGAGGATCTCCTGAGCCCAGAATCTCAAGACTACAGTGAGCCATGATTGCGCCACTACACTCTAGACTGGGTTCTAGACTGGGTGATAAGAGATCCTGTCTCAAAAAACAAAGGCAAGGTGCAGTGGCTCATGCCTGTAATCCCAGCACTTTGGGAGGTCGAGATGGGAGGATTGCTTGAGGCTAGCCTGGTCTCATATATAGGATGGTGAGACCCCATACTATATATTTTTAATATAAAATTTAAAAAAGGTATAAAAATCTCCAACTATCTTTGTAGTCTTTCATTATTTTAATTACTAGAATAAAAATTGCATTCTATTATTCTCCACGGAAATCATAAAGTATATAAAGTACATTATGGATCAATATTACTTTTTTTTTTTTTTTTGAGACGGAGTTTCACTCTTGTTGCCCAGGCTGGAATGTAATGGTGCAATCCCGGCTCACCACAACCTCTGCCTCCTGGGTTCAAGTGATTGTCCTGCCTCAGCCTCCTGAGTAGCTGGGCATGTGCCACCATGCCTGGCTAATTTTGTATTTTTAGTAGAGACAGGGTTTCTCCATGTTGGTCAGGCTGGTCTTGAATTCCCAACCTCAGATAATCTGCCCGCCTCGGCAGGCAGGTGGGTCACTTGAGGTCAGCAGTTCGAGACCAGCCTGGCCAACATGGTGAAACCCCGTCTCTACTAAAGACACACAAAAACCTACTTTGAAATACAACTCATATTCTCAGACACAATCTATCTCCATAAAATTACAAAAGTAAAATAGAGTGAAAGAATTGCATTACTTTAACAAATTATATTTCAGAAGATGCAAGATCTCTAATGGCATAGGACCCAACTAGGAAACGCTTCTCTAAAAGTTAAAACTGCACAAAAGTACAACCTATATAAAAGAAAAAATTGGGCATCACAATTAAAAATTTGTTTGTGCTGCAAACAATACCATCAAGTAAAAAGAAAGCCCACAGAATGAGAGAAAAGATTTGGAAAGCATATATCTGGTAAAGGACTTGTATCCGGAATATATAAAGGACTCTTACAACTCAATATTAAAATGTGGGCAATGAATTTGAATAGAAATTTATCCAAAACGGATATACAAAAAACTAGTAAGCATATGAGAAGATGCTCAGCATTAGTCATTAAGGAAATGCAAATCAAACCCACAAATAAGGGCCAGGCACGGTGGCTCACGCCTATAATACCAGCACTTTGGGAGGCTGAGGCAGGTGGATCACTTGAGGTCAGGAGTTCGAGACCAGCCTGGCCAAAATGGTGAAACCCCATCTCTACTAAAGACACACAAAAAATTAGCTGGGCATCGTTGTGCATGTCTTTAAACCCAGCTACTCAGGAGGCTGAGGCAGGAGAATCACTTTAACCTGGGAGGTGGAGGTTGCAGTGAGCCAGGATTGCACCACTGCACCCCAGCCTGGACGACAGAGACTCTGTCTCAAATGAAAACAAAAACCAAAACCACAAATGAGATACCATTTAGTACCCACTAGAATGTCTACAATCAAAGACAAGACAATAACAAGCGGTGACAAGGCTGTAGAGAAATGGGAAGCTTCATACATTGCTTCTGGGAATATAAAATGAGGCATCAATTTTGGAAAAGTTTGGCAGTTCCTTCAAAAGTTAAGCAGTTACCTTGCAATTTCCCTTCTCGGTATATATCCAAGAGAAATGAATACATGCCCAGACAAAAACTTGTACATTTATATTCACAGCAAGGTTATTTACAACAGCAAAAAATGAACAGATAAATTCAATGTGGCATATACTCAGCTACACAGAGTAATGAAAACCTAACACATTACAATATGTATAAACCTTGAAAACATATGAAATTAAAGAAGCCCATCATAAAATACCACATGTCCAGATACATAATGTGTGTGTGTGTGTGTGTGTGTATGTTTTTTTTTAGACAGTCTCTCTGTCGCCCAGGCTGGAGTGCAGTGGCGTGATCTGAGCTCACTGCAGCCTCTGCCTCCTGGGTTCAAGCAATTCTCCTGCCTCAGCCACCTGAGTAGCTGGGACTACAGGCACATTCCCAGTCCAGATAGGTAAATTTAGAGACAGAAAATAGATTAGTGGTTGTTTAGGGCTGGGAGGAAGTGAAAGTGGGTAGTGATTGCTAATGGGCACATGATTTTTTTCAGAGGAGACAAAATGTTCTAAAATTAGATTGTGGTGATGGTTGCAAACCTGTGATTATACTAAAAAACAATGAATTGTACATTTTGAATTGGTGAATTATATAGTATGTAAATACTGTTAAAAAAAAAACAAAAAACAGGTGGAGTGCAGCCTAGGCAATATAGTGAGACCTTGTCTCTATAAAAAAATTTTAAAAATTAGCCAAGTGTGGCAGCGCACGCCTGTAGTCCTAGCTGCTCAGGAGGCAGAGGTGGGAGGATTGCCTAAGCCTTGGAAATGCAGGTTGCAGTGAGCCAAGATCATGCCACTGCACTCCAGCCTAGGCAACAGAGCAAGACCCAGTCTCAAAAAAACAAAACAAAACACACACACACACACAAAAAGGTAAACTGTAAAGTATAAATATTCATACAATGGATACCACGAACAATGTTAATATATGAATCAAAGAGTAAACACAACAGATATTTTACAAACCTGAGTAAAAGACAGCTGAGACAAAGGTATAAACCATAGAATTCAATTTACACAAAGCTCACAAAGTGGCAAAATTAACCTATCATTAGGCTAGCAGTTTTCTCTGGGTAGGATAGTGACTGGGGAGGAACCTGAAGTAGGCTTCCAGAGTAGTGGTTATGTTGTTTTTTCAATGGTGTGCTGGTTATTTTTTGAAAATTCATCAAATTGAATACTTATGATTTGTGTACCTTTTTGATGTATTATACTGCAATTCAAAAGTTTTTTTAAGTTTAAGAAGTCAGAAACACATAGCACAGGGGATTGAGGTTGTTATTCAAGTTGTGCTTTCAAGAAACACACGCCTGATTTTTACAGTCACTAAAACAAAAAACACGGCAGTGCAGTGGTATGACATTGTCAGCCACCTAATCCCTAATAGCAATTATTTCTCAAGTACCAGTCTCTTTTACATTTTCTTCAAAACTCTCTTAGTAGTGTTTACAGGATCAGGATAATAAGAAAGAGGGAAAAAAAGGTTTGACGTACTCCCTTCCAAAGTTCTGGCTAAAACAGGACACACTAGAAGCTTCTAGTGTTGGGAAATGTTTTTCTGGTCTATTCAGGATATTAGAGGGAAGTATCCCCTGAAACTCTCTTTTCAGCCATATCACAGTTTTGGTCTAGGAAGTCCAGCTCTCATCCCCAATACCATATTCCCAAAGAGATAAGTAGGCTATAGAGGCTAGAACACCGGAAAGTCTTTCAACTTGAGGGCTCAGTAAGACAATAAATAAAAGACACAATACTAGGTTTATTCCTAGTCTATTGGGTTTCCCTCCATCACCTAATAGGTTTTATTGAGCCAAGTTATAAACACTAAACCAATCAACTATAACAGATCCAGTTCAGTGTTAATATCAATTAACACAATCCTTACCCCCAACAAGTTTGTTTGTATTTTGTTGCTATAGCTACAGTATTAGGCACAGTAATTCTATCCTACTAAGGTATGGGTATGGATGGGGATATAGAGCTCAACTTTAGGAGAGGAATTTATTAAATAACATGGTAGCAGAGATGACAGGCGAGAAATGATGATCCTTAGCAGGAGACCTCAGCAACATTAAGAGGGAGGCAGAGAAGGTTCTAACTAAGAGCAACATGTTTCTGATAACAGTTATGTCTAGTGGAACTCAATAACTGAAGCACACACTCAAGACAGACCCCATTCACCCCAACTCATTTGAGAAACACATCTATCCTCTCCAATGAAACAGATGCCCTTATCTCCCAAGAGGAATCTTTTATTTACACACACACACACACACACACACACACACACACACACGATACCTTTTCCCACACATCTGAGAAAGACATTGTCACAAAGACCAAGGAAAGGAAATCCTACACTCCAATTCAAGAAAACTCCAATATTGAGACTTGAGAAAGAATGAGAAAGGAAACACAGAGAAAAATGAAAATCAAGAGAGTGCTCAAGCTAAGTGGAATGCATCAGTACAATTAGATCTGCCACTGTGGAATCTATCATTCCTAACAAGTTCTAATGTCTACTAATTGATATGTGCACTTGGACTTTCTCAAAAAAATAAGGTGTCCTTAATACTCATTTACCAGTACCAAGACTGAAAATTGAATCATCTTCACCTACCCAACTTTTAAACACATACTACTCTTTGGGCCAACTATTCTTCTAGGAAATTACCCTACACCCTCAGATAAGTGCCAAGGTATATGGATAAAGATTTCATTAGGAGAGTCTGTAATGGCAACAAACTAAAAACAATCTATACCAGCTGTTCTCAAAATGTGATCTGAGGACACTATGGGGCCTGCAAAGTCAAGATTATTTTCAAAATGATACTACAAGGTTACATGCCTTTTCCACCATTAATTCTCTCAGAGTCTACACTGATACTGCCAAAGACTGAATGCAGAAGCAGATGAGAATCTTTCTGGTTTTTTAAAAATTAGGCCAGATGTTGCAATTTGTAAAAGTAGGCCAGGCATGGTGGCTCATGCCTGTAATCACAGCACTTCAGGAGGCCAAGGTAGGCGAATCACTTGATGTCAGGAATTCGAGATCAGCCTGGCCAACATGGTGAAACCCCGTCTCTACTAAAAATATAAAAATTAGCTGGGTGTGGTGGTGCATGCCTGTAATTCCAGCTACTAGGGAGGCTGAAGCAGGAGAATTGCTTGAACCTGGGAGGCAGAGGTTGCAGTAAGCCAAGATTGTGCCACTGCACTCCAGCCTAATTGACAGTGAGACTCTGTCTCAAAGAAAAAAAAAAAAAGACACTCTTCTCATTAAACTCTTATTTTAGAAAAGTTATTTTTTCTTAATGATATTTTGTTAACATGCTAAGTTAGAACATTATTTTTAAGTGATTTTTTTCCTAAAGTCTGTTTTAATTTCTAATATGGTAAATATTGATAAATACAATCCAAATAAACATCTGGGGAATCCTCAATTTAAGAGTATAAAGGTATCTAGCTGGGCGTGGTGGCACGCGCCAATGACCCCAGGTACTTGGGAGTCTGCTATGGGAGGATCACTTAAGCCTGGCTAATTTTTTTGGCTGGGCGCAGTGGCTCACGCTTGTAATCCCAGCACTTTGGGAGGCAGAGGCAGGTGGATCACGAGGTCAGGAGATCGAGACCATCCTGGCTAACACGGTGAAACCCCGTCTCTACTAAAAATACAAAAAATTAGCCAGGCGTGGTGGTGGGCGCCTGTAGTCCCAGCCACTCGGGAGGCTGAGGCAGGAGAATTGCATGAACCCGGGAGGCGGAGCTTGCAGTGAGCCGAGATGGCACCACTGCACTCCATCCAGCCTGGGCGACAGAGTGAGACTCCAACTCAAAAAAAAAAAAAAAAAGAAGCCTGGCTAATTTTTTTATTTTTATTTTTAGTAGAGACAGGGTTTCACCATGTTGGCCAGGATGGTCTTGATCTCTTGATCTCATGATCTGCCCCCGCCCTGGCCTCCCAAAGTGCTGGGATTACAGATGTGAGCCACCACGCCCAGCTGAGACCTCTATCTCTACAAAAAATAAAAATTTGCCAGGCATGGTGGTACAGGCCCATAGTTCCAGCCGCTTGGGAGGCTGGGGTAGGAGGATTGCTTGAGGCCAGGAGGTTGAGGCTGCAGTGAGCTCTGATCACACCACTGCACTCCAGCCTGGGCGACAGAGCGAGACCCTGTGTGAAAAAAACAAAATAAAATATAAAAATGAAAACAAAACAAAAAAAAGTCTAAAGGTATCCTGAGAAAAAAAGTTCGAGGAATGCTACACTGTGCCACCAACAAGCTACTGTGTGAATAAGTACAGTGGAATACTACACTACTTTTAAATGAGATCTGTGTATCCTGACATTAATTGATGTCCCAAATATACTGATAATAGAGGTGTTTACAATTAGGAAATGGGAAAACAATGTCAAAAGGAGAAATGCGACTCAGAACATCACCAAGACAACTGCAGGTAGAAACTGTCACATTCCAATAGCAAGAAAAAATATAAGAAAGGCCAAGGCGGGCGGATCACAAGGTCAGGAGTTCAAGACCAGCCTGGCCAACATGGTGAAATCTCATCTCTACTAAAAATACAAAAATTAGCTGGGCATGGTGGTGCGTGCCTGTAAATCCAGCTACTCGGGAAGCTGAGGCAGGAGAATCGCTTGAACCCGGGAGGCAGAGGTTGCAGTGAGCCGAGATCGCACCACTGCACTCCAACCTGGGTGACAGAGCGAGACTCCACCTCAAAAAAAAAAAAAAAAAAAAAGTTCCCTCCCTGCTTCATATCTTGGTTCTTCCTATAAAATGAAATGTGAGGCCCTTTCTTGTAGGGTGCTACCAACCCCCACCAAAACACAACACAACACTACACCTCTGGGGATTGGAGATAAAGATGGCTGGTAGTACAGAGTGAGGTATCCTTCTAACAAAGTCTACATTACAGAGAACTCAGCAAATATTTTTAAAAGGAAAGGTTTTGCATAAAAATTATAGATTTCTTGCCAGGTGCAAGTTAATACAACAAGATTTATAGTTAAGAAAAAAATAATACCTACCTCACAGGGTTGCCATTAGCATTAACTGAAATTTTTTATTCAAGTGCCTGTCCCAATATGTAGTACATAACCAGCACTCAATACTTTTTTTTGAGACGGATTTCACTCTTGTCAGGCTGGAGTGCGGTGGCACGATCTCGGCTCACTGCAACCTCCACCTCCCGGGTTCAAGTGATTCTCCTGACTCAGCCTCCAGAGTGGCTGGGACTACAGGCGCACACCACCACGCCCAGCTAATTTTTGTATTTTTAATAGAGACGGGGTTTCACCATATTGGCCAAGATGTTCTAGATCTCCTGACCTCATGATCTGCCTGCCTTGGCTTCCCAAAGTGCTTGGGATTACAAGCTGAGCCACCGCGCCTGGCCTCAATACTTGTTTTTTTAGGGCATCATCATACAGTCATTTCACTGGTAACACTGTACTGTTGTATAGCAGGAAAACGAGTATTAATAATGACCCATAAACACCAAGCATTAATAATGACCCATAAACACATTACGAATAAGAGGTTAACCAATATATTCATTTACTGTTTAGGAAAAACATTCCAGTACACATTTAGTCAACATTCCATAAAAAAATTACTGACTTTTAAAACTTATGGTAGGCCAGGCATGGTGGCTCATTACTGTAATCCCAGCACTTTGGAAAGCTGAGGTGGGTGGATCACTGGAGGCCAAGAATTGGAGACCAGCTCAAGACCAGCCCGGGCAACATGGCAAACCCTGTCTCTACAAAAAATGCAAAAATTAGCTGGACATGGTGGTATGTGCCTGTAGTACCAGCTACTTGGGAAGCTGAGGCAGGACGACTGCTTGAACCCAGAATGTTGATGCTGCAATGAGCTATGATCACACCACTGCGCTCCAGCCTGGGTGAAAGACCAAGACCCTGTCTCTAAAATTTAAAAACAAAAAAACCCAAAAAACACCTTCTGGTACACAGCTTTTATTCATCTGGAAAATTCACTTGTTTAGAAGATTTAACTTCCTCTCACTGAAGAAACGAGATAGTATAGAGAATTCCTGTAATTTTTATGGTTTTATCTTCACTATCAACCAACTAGACTCAGGTAGCAGGGAAGTAATATGGGAGTGTTTGGGTTTGGGTTTAAGTAACTTTGGTCTTCACCACAGCCCTGATTTGGATAAATACTGAAGGATTTCAGAAAGAAGAGCTACACCCTTGTCACTCCTAAGCAAGCAGCTCAACCCATCAGCTTCTAGAGTATATTGTCCTTATCAATATTCAAGGCTTAAGGCAGGGACTTATGTACTATGCTTCATTAGTAGAGAGAATGCACCATCAAAAATGAGTTAATGCCAGCCTGGGCAACATAAGGTGACCCCATCTCTACAAAAATAACAGAAAAAACTAGCCAGGTATGGTGGTGTACACCTGTGGTCCCAGCTACTTGGGACACTGAGGTGAGAGGATTACCTGAGTCTGGTGGTCAAGGCTGCAGTAAGCCCTGATCACTGCACTCCAGCCTGGACAAAAGAGTGAGATCCCGCCTCAAAAAAAGAAAAGTCAATGGGGCCCAAAATCTCATGTAGGTGGGAGACTAAAGTGTGCTTTTTTTTTTTTTTGAGACGGAATCTCGCTCTGTCACCCAGGCTGAAGTGCAGTGGCGCGATCTTGGCTCACTGCAAGCTCCGCCTCCCAGGTTCACGCCATTCTCCTGCCTCAGCCTCCTGAGTAGCTAGGACTACATGCTCCCGCCACCAAGCCCGGCTAATTTTTTTTTTTTTTTTTTTTTTTGGTATTTTTAGTAGAGATGGGGTTTCACCATGTTAGCCAGGATGGTCTCGATCTCTTGACCTCGTGATCTGCCCATCTCGGCCTCCCAAAGTGCTGGGACTACAGGCGTGAGCCACCGCACCCGGCCAAGACTAAAGTATGCTTTAAACCCGTAACAGGTATGTGCTCCAAGTCCTTCTTTCCTGACTTTTCGGAAAAAAATTTAAATGCCTCATTACATAGTGGCATTTAAAAACTAAAATGGGCCAGGTGTGGTAGCTCACAGCTATAATCCTGGCTACTCAGGAGGGTGAGGTAGGAGCATTGCTTGAGGCAGGAAATTCAAGACTAGTCTGGGCAACACAGTAAGATCCCACCTCCCCTGAAAAAATTTAAAAATAAATCAGCTGGGCCTGGTGGCATGTGTCTACAGTCCCAGCTACTTGGGAGGCTAAGGTAGGAGGATTACTTGAGCCTAAGAGTTTGAGGCTGCAGTGAGCTATGATCGTGGCACTGCACTCCAGCCTGGGTGACAGCAAGACCTTGTCTCTAAATAAACAAACTTTTCAAAGTGAAATACTTCCCCTTGTACCGACACTGAGCTCTTCTTGATAAATATACAGAATGCTTGGCATATACAAGATTCTATACTACTGACTGATCTGTTCATTTCTCTCACAGCTCTTACCCCCAAAAGCTTTTCCACCCTAAGTGTTCTGACCTCCTTTTCTAATCACAGTAGGGATAGAGGCAGACCCACCTACAATGAACATGGAGTTCTATCAAGAGGCAGAAACAGCACAGAATCCCAGTTTTACCATTCGCTAGCAGTGCTGCCTTGAACAAAAACATTTCTCCATGTCTCATTTTCTTCATGCCTCAAGTAACAGTGAGAATTTAACCTGTTTAACTCTAAGATATGAGTCAGAGAACAGATAAAACTATTTTGAAATGTAAAGAATACTTTATAAAATTCAAGGTAAAAACTCAATGTAAGCACACTATTCTGGATGCCTTGGCAAGTACTTCGTAATAAGGAGCACAAATATGATTATGGCCAAAGACACTCTTCAGTGTGTGGAGGAATTCCAACTCCCTTACATTTCTTTCTTTTTTAAATTTTTTGTTTTTAGAAATAGGGTCTCATTCTGTCACCCAGGCTGGAGTGCAGTAGCATGACCAAAGTTCATGGCAGCCTCAAACTCCTGGGCTCAAGCAATTCTCTGGCTTCAGCCTCCTGAGTAGCTAAGACTACAAGTATGTGCCACATGCCCAGCTAATTTTCTAAACTTTTTGTGGAGACAGGGTCTTGCTATGTTGCCCAGGCAGGTATCGAACTTCTGGCCTTGAGCAATCCTCCCCCACCTTGGCTTCCCAAAGTGCTAGGATTACAGATGTGGGCCACTGTGCCCGAGCTACATTTTTTTTTTTTCTGAGACAGGGTCTTGCTTCATCAGCCAGGCTGGAGTAGTGGCTCAGTCACAGCTCACTGTAGCCTCGACCTCTGGGCTCAAGCAATCCTCCTGCCTCAGCCCCAAGCAGCCGGGACTACAGGTGTTTAACACCACACATGGCTAATTTAGAAATTTTTATTTTGTAGAGATGGGGGGTCTCACTTTGTTCCCCAGCCTTGCATTTATCAACTGTAAAACTGGCAGGTGGATATGGTAAAAATCATAATGGTGAAAAGTAGTACAAAGGGGCAGAGGGAGAGAGAGTATCAGGAAGAATAGCTAATGGATGCTGGGCTTAATACCTAGGTGATGGGTTGATCTGTGCAGCAAACCACCATGGCACACATTTACCTATGTAACAAACCTGCACACGTACCCGGGAATTTAAAATAAAAGTTGAAGAAAAAACAAAAGAAAGAAAAGTAGTATAATGATTTCACCACAAAGGGAGAGCATAAGCAAGGTATGAAATTATTATCCTTACTTCAAGTTAACAGACACAGCATACACTGAAAGAATTAAAAATAAAAACAAAATAATCTGAAATGGAAGATGGAACTTTGCAGGTATACGGCTATCATAAAAACTGAGAGAAATAAGGTAATCTATCTTCCTTAAAGAAAAGCATGGGCCAGGTGCGGTGTAATCCCAGCACTTTAGGCGGCCAAGTGGGAAAGATCACTTCACATCTGGAGATCGAGACCATTCTGGGCAATACAGTGAGAACCTTTGAAAAAATTCAAAAATTGGACCAGGCATGGTGGCTCATGCCTGAGCCCAGGAGTTCGAGACCAGCCTGGGCGACAAAGTAAGACCCACCCCCTTCCATCTCTTAAAAAAAAGAAAAAAAAAATTTTTTTTTAATTACCCAGGCACAGTGGTGTGCACCTGTAATCCCAGCTAGGTGGGAAGATCAACTGAGCCCAGAAGTTTGAGGTTACAGTGAGCTATGATCCTGCCACTGCACTACAGCATGGGCAACAGAGCTCTTAAAAATTAAAAAAAAAAAAAAAAGAAAAGAAAAGAAAAGAAAAAGAGCAGGGTGCGGTGGCTCACCTGAGGTCAGGAGTTCGAGATCGGCCTGGCCAACATGGTGAAACCTCGTCTCTACTAAAAACACAGAAATTCACCAGGCGTGGTGGCAGGCACCTGTAATGTCAGCTACTCGTAAGGCTGAGGCGGGAGAATCGCTTGAACCCGGGAAGCGGAGGTTGCAGTGAGCCGAGATTGTGCCATTGCACTCCGGCCTAAGTGACAAGAGCGAAACACTGACTCAAAAAAAAAAAAAGAAAACAAAAAACAAAAGGGACGTGTTCTTACAACCTATTTTGCCAGCAGAAACCTACTGGATAAAGATGCAATCCAAGAAATGGGCCCAGAAGCTTAGTGGGACATCCCTTTTCCTCTAAAGCAAGGTAGGTTGAGTGCCAAGTTACTCGGTTTTGGAAGGGAAGGCATACAGTACTTACCATGACAGATCTGCTCTGTAACATGAAGGCCACAAGTACTTCCATTTAGAAATTCTCTTCTGTGATTTTTAGACGAGCATATAAGCTCCCCTAACAAGAACTGAGCCTACAGTTGAGATAGCATTATTATAGCTTCCCCGTCCACAAATATAGACCCAATAATGAGAGAATTTTAAAACTACCCAGCCTTTCTATACCCATGCTAACACTATATACATTATAAAATTCCCAAACGCTTTGTCATTACTAAGTAGTGTGTACAGTTTAAAATGAATTGCCTGAATTTGAATCCCAACTCATACCATCTTAATAGATGAATGACTTTGGACATGTTGTCATCCTTTCTGAGAGAACTTATTAAAAAAAAGAAACGCGGCCGGGTGTGGTGGCTCACGCCTGTAATCCCAGCACTTTGGGAGGCTGAGGAGGGCGGATCACCTGATGTCAGCAGTTCAAGACCAGCCTGGCCAACATGGTGAAACCGTGTCCCTACTAAAAACACAAAAATTAGCCATGCATGATGGCAGACGCCTGTAATCCCAGGCTTGAGGCTTGAAGCATGAGAATCCCTTGAACCTGGAAGGTGGAGGTTGCAGTGAGCCAAGATGATGCTACTGCACT
Source organism: Homo sapiens (assembly GCF_000001405.40). NCBI lineage: Eukaryota > Metazoa > Chordata > Mammalia > Primates > Hominidae > Homo > Homo sapiens. Next base: position 91,505,418 of record NC_000014.9, read on the forward strand.
CCAGCCAGGATGACAGAGATTCTGCCTAAAAAAAAAAAAAAAACACACACCATTTATTTCACAGGTATGCAAAAGCCCCTATCACACTATCTCTAGCACTGACCACCAAATTAGCTGATAGCCTATTTCTAAGGTGGATGATTAACACATCACAAAAACTTAATTTTACAGACAATAAATACTTGAAAAGTGTTAAGAATCAAATATTTATTTTGTTCTAAAGAAATAATCTGAAAATCAAAAGTTTTTTTGGGGAAAAGCTACAAGTAATTTAGAAAAGAAAAACTTCAACACAATAATGACTAGGTCTAGCCCAAGTATGGAAAAGCGCAATAATTTTAAGTTTCTATTGGACAAATGACTCAATTTATGGAAAATCAGAAATACTTTCCATTTTGCTCATGACAACAAAAAGAAAATATCAATTATCCTATGATGGAGAATGGAGCAAGCACACAATAATGGCTGACCCCAACTGGCAGTCAACACAAAAACATCCATGTAAAGCTTGTAGATAAACTATAATTGAAATTTTTTTTTTTTTTGAGACGGAGTCTCGCTTTGTCACCCAGACTGGAGTGCAGTGGTGCTGATCTTGGCTCACTGCAAGCTCCGCCTCCTGTGTTCACACCATTCTCCTGCCTCAGCCTCCTGAGCAGCTGGGACTACAGGCGCCCGCCACCACACCTGGCTACATTTTTGTATGTTTTTAGTAGAGACAGGGTTTCACCATATTAGCCAGGATGGTCTCGATCTCCTGACCTTGTGATCTGCCCGCCTTGGCCTCCCTAAGTGATGGGATTACAGGCATGAGCCATTGTGCCCGGCCGAAAATATCTTTAGGCTAAAAGTAATTTTCATTTTCTTTGAAATAAACCTTCAGGCTAATAAAGCAGCAAATGCAAGTAGACAGTAACATGGGAGTTTAATATGGTTAATAGCACTAAATCAGACACTGTTGTAAGAATTACGTAAGTCAATATAAGTAAACTGCTAAAAGAGTTTGGCACATAGTAGGTAGTCAGTAAATTTTGACTTATTATCCCTATTTAGATGTGACAAGAAATGTTAATCATCGACTAAAGATTACTGACAGTATTTCACAAGTATCCTGGAATTTTTTCTAAGTCCATGGTGTGTGTGTATGTGTGTTTGTGTGTGACAGGGTCTCCCTCTGTCACCCAGTGCAGTGGCATGATCACAGCTCACTGCAGCCTCCACCTCCTAGGCTCAAGTGACCCTCCCACCTCAGCCTCCAGAGCAGATAGGACTACAGGCCCGTGCCACCGCACCAGCTAATGTTTGTATGTTTTGTAGAGATGGGGTTTCGCCATGTTGCCCAGGCTGGTCTTGAACTCCCGAGCCCACACAATCCGTCGGCCTGGGCATCCCAAAATGCTGGGATTATAGGCGTGAGCCACCGCACCCAGCCTAAGTCCATTCTTTGCATTCAGTTTTCCTTACAGCCTAAATTTACAAGGGCACATCAGTAATTTAGTTAAGCTCTCCCTGCTAGATAAAAATTAAAGTCATTTTGTTTTAGTCATTTAACCTCCAACCTGCAAAATGGAGGAAGAGAGATTTGTGGCTATTTCCAAAATGGTAAAAATATAAATGGAGGTTCGGCGCAGTGGCTCACGCCTGTAATCCTAGCACTTTGGGAGGCCGAGGCGGGTGGATCACCTGAGGTACAGAGTTCGAGACCAGACTGGCCAAAATGTTGAAACCCCGTCTCTACTAAAAATACAAAAAAATTAGCCAGGCATAGTGGCACATGCCCATAGTCCCAGCTACTAAGGAGGCTGAGGTAGGAGAATTGCTTGAACTCAGGAGATGGAGGTTGCAGTGAGCCACGATGGTGCCATTGCACTCCAGCCTGGGAGACAAGAGCAAAACCCAATCTCAAAAAAAAAATCTATACATATTATATATACTATATAGTATATATACTATAATTATATATACTATATAGTATATGTACTATAATTATATATACTATATAATATATATACTATAATTATATATACTATATAGTATATATACTATAATTATATATACTATAGTTATATATACTATATAGAATATATGCTATAATTATATATACTATAGTTATATATACTATATATTATATATAGTTATATATACTATATATTATACATACTATAGTTATATATACATGTTATACATACTATAGTTATATATACTATTATATATACTATAATAATATATACACGGAAAAAAATTGCTTATATTAATTATGCAGAAAAGCATACTTCTGATAGTACGACATTAAACTTTTATACTTAAAAATATCTTAAAGGATTTTTTGTATAATGAATCAAATTAAACACATGATGTGAAGGTTATATGTATTATTTTTAATATGGATTTCAATAAATTGATCTCAAATCTACATATGCTTTCAGCTGGGATGGGGGTCATGCCTGTAATCCTAATACTCCGGGAGGCCGAGGCGGGTGGACTGCGTGAGGTCAGGAGTTTGAGACCAGCCTTGGCAACAGGGCAAAATCCTGTTTTTATTTTTTTGAAAGTAAAAAATTAAAAAGAAATCTACGGATACTTTCATCTCATAAGAAGCTGATACAAAAAGTCCATACCTTCCAACATACTATGTAAAGTTTTCCAAATGTGTGAAAGATCTAGAGTAGGTTATTATGTGAGTCACATACAAAATTACACTAACACTTGACATTCAAATTGTATTTTAAGAAGCCAATAACTCAGGCCCAGAAAAATACACCCAACATTCAAAAATTTTTAAATGCCTCCAAAAGAAAATAATTTCTCTCCAGATTTAAGTTACTTTGGGTAACCTTATAACCTGTGGGCAATATACTCCAGATTACCACTTTCAATTTAAATAGAACATCAATATTCCCAGAGTCTTCAATTACAGAAGGGCTAGTCTTGTTGGTTTTTCATGGAATTGGAGTTCTGGGGAGAGTCCAATTGAAGAAAATTCCTTGAAATTAGTTTGCAATAATTCAGATACAGAATCGCTACAATCATAATAAACTGGCATCGTTAGCAACTGCAAAATATAAACTAATGTACAAAAAGAAGTGGAAGATAACTTACTTTCACGTTTGGAAGTAACAATTTGAGAATAGTTTTACCCCACTTGAGTATTTTAAGTGAAATTCACTGTATATCGCCAAAAACAGTGGCAATCCCTACAGAGAATAAGCCTTTTAAAATATGAAACAGCACATGTGGAAAAAAGAAAAAACGTGAAACACTTATTTTCAAACAACTTAGTCTTTGAACCTTGAGGGCTGTTTCAAAATTTGTGAAGCATAAACACTAGGGAAGATCCGAAAGGTTTTAAAAATTATCTGCCAACTTCTCTGCACCTGTTAACCAAATTATGAACACCCATTTAAGCAATCAAAAAAAGCTCATATGATTCCAACTTTGCAAGATGTTTATATAGTAAGCTACACACAAAATTCTGCATTACTATAAAAAAGACAACCAACACTGGTGAACGAAAATCTTCGCAAGGGAAAGCGTTTTCTCTTAGTGTAGAGTTGCCAGATACAGTGTTGCCAAGCTTCAACACGATCAGAAACATGTAGCAAAAAGATGTTTAAAAAGAAAAACAAAAAAAGCACAGCAAAACGTTCTTCAAAGTGTGAAAGGTCCAAGAACTTTCTTAGCTCCAAGCAAAGTTTCATGCCTGCTTTACAGATGGGTGAACTAAGGCAGCAGATCGGATTAATCAGTGTCTTTCTCAAGGTCACTCTAGTGCAAAAGAACAGCACACTCCGGACTCCCTATCTCAGGTCCTCGACCTCTCCACACTCCAGGGCGGCACAGCTCAAACACGCTTGGCTCTCCTCGTACCCAAAATGCCACCAGGCACTCAGAGAAAGGAAACATTTCAAGCGCTCTCCGGGGAGCTCCCGCAAGACTGGGGTACCTGGGGCCCGTCCTCCCCCGAGGTGGCCGCCCTCCCCAGCCGTCCCTCTGTTCTCGTGGAGCGAGCGCCATGCCCCGCAAGAACCAGGGAGGCGGCCCAGGGCCGTGGGGGCTGCGAGGGTCCCGCCGCGCGGGGCTTCACTTACCGTCGCTCTCAGCCCTGACAAGCAGGGACATGCCCTTCAGCCGCTCCACGTAGCCAGACGACACATGCCCGGTGCCCCGGTCGTCCCACTGCCGGTCCTCGTTGAGCGTGTACACCTTCACCCGCCGCCGGGTGTCGGTCATCGTGCCGCCCGGGAACCGGGGCGGGGGCCCCGCCAGTAGACGCCCAGGAAAGGGGCCCTGGAGAGGCGAGGGGCGAGGCGTGAGGGCGCCCGCGAGCGGAGGGCTCCCCGGCCTCACTGCCGCCGCTGGGCGCCGCGGGGCCGCGCCGCCGCCTGCATGGCCCGCTCCAGGGACCGAGCTCTGGGCCGCCGCCTTTCCTCGCCTCCGGCTCCCCGGCGCTATTGTCCAGGCCTGGCGAGCCCGGCGCCCGGCAGCCCCGAGGGGGCCGCGCAGCGCTTCGTAGCCTCCCGCCCCGCAGCGCTAGGAACTCGGGGCTCCCGTCACTGCCCTGCTCCCGCCTCCGCCATGATCTCCGCGAAGCAGCTTCCCGCGCCGCCGCCGCCTCCTCAGGCCGCCGCCGCCGCCGCCATATTTTCCTTCCTTATACCTGGCCCTGCCACCGCGGCCAGTGGCTCCCTTCCGCTCCCCCTGTTTTAAACGTCAGAAGCCGACAGGCGCCTGATCCTGCTGCAACTGCTACCACTGCCCGGGAGACTCTGAGGGCCCCCGGCCGCCCAAGCGACCCGGACTAGTGGAAGTCGGTTTCCCTCCGCCGCCGTCTCTTCCGTCTTCCTCACACAGCCAAAACCGCCGCCATCTTGGTTCGCCCCTCAAAAGCGGCGCGCGGGGCCACCCAGGGAGCAGCTGCAGGGGCGGCTCGTAGCCCCACCATTTAAAGAGACAGCAGCGAGACCGGGAGCCTTACTGCGGCGGAGGCTTCCGACGGAGGCGGGAGGCGGGCGCGGAGTTGCCGAGGTGGCGGGAGCGCAGGGAGCGGAGGAGGCGGGACGCAGATTGCGCCGGTGACAGCCCGAGGCTCCCTCCCGCCTCCTTGCACGCACCGTCGTGCGAGCGCTGGGCGGTGTGTGCGTCCGTCGCGCCCTGTGTTCGTCATCAGCCCCGCTCCAGGATGCACGAGGGGCGTGGATACGTTTGCGGCCTCTGCCCGCGGGCCCCGGCGCTTCGGCCTCGCCTCCGCCCGCCGCCACCTTCCCTTGTTCCTGCCCCGTCCCTGCCTCTGCCCCTGCCCCTGGCCTGCGGACGCCGGGCAGCGTGGGCCTGGGCCCCTACCCGCTTCCGAGAGCGTTTTCCCGGGGCCGCCTTTATGGCTGAGTCGGGCGCTCGGGACCCACCCGGCGCCTTGCGGACTTGAGGGAATGAAATGGAAACGCTTCCGGGGAAGGTCGCGGGTGTGGGCGCCTAGGTCGGCGCAGCCTTGGGAGCCGCCGTGGGTCGCGGACTGGCGTGGCCAGTGTGGAAACTTGGGACTGTTTGCGATTTCTGGGCGTGGGACCGAGTTCCAAGTGACAATTCTAAAACTTCACCTTACAGCCTAGGCAAGCCCCAAGTGCTCCATTCCTTCATCCCTATCAGAACTGTCTGCCAGCCTTTCTTGTCGGAAAAGGAACTTAAGGCGCTCACAAAAACAAATGCGACACTGTGTAATCGGGAGGAGTAATTCTCAGCATTAGGTAGTCCTGTGTTTTGAAGACCTACTTGATGTCAAGTATTGTTGATCTTCACAAAGGAATATCATTCTCGTTCCTATCATGCAGCTCATATGCCACCATTTTGGTGGCTTTTACCATTTGCCAGGCCTTGCCAGGTCGGGCTTGTCCGCTCGGAATATAATGCAGCCACACACATAACTTTAAATTTTGCAGTAGCCACAAAAAGTACGAAGAAACTGGTGAAATTAGTGTTAACGTTTTAGTGCGGTATTTTCAAAAGTTATTTCAATAATCAAATTACTAATGAGATATACGTACAATGTCTTAAAAATGTGATATATTTTGTCCTTCCAGCAAGTCTCTGTTGGGATACTAAATTTTCATCAGAAATATCTACGTTTAGATTTTATTGAAAAAAAATTTTTTTTGAGACAGGGTCTCTCTGTCACCCATCCTGAAGTGCAGTGGCTCAGTCTCAGCTCACTGCAGCTTCAACCTCCTGGGCTGAAGCGATTCTCCCATCTCAGCCTCCCAAGTAGCTGGGACCACAGGTGCGCAGCACCACTGCCAGTTAATTAATTAAATTTGTTATTATTTTTTTTTTTCGGTAGAGACGGGTTTCACTGTTGCCCGGGCTGGTAGAGTTTATTAAATTTACAGTTGAAAATGTAGATTCACATATTCTGTTATTCCAATCATACTTAAAAGTTTTCCAAAAGCTGAATCAAGTATCAGTTTTTAAATTTAGCTGGGCGCGGTGGCTCACGTGGTCAAGGAGTTCAAGACCAGCCTGGCCAACATAGTGAAACCCCGTCTTCACCAAAAATACAAAAAAATTAGCCGGTCATGGTGGTGTGCGCCTGTAGTCCCAGTTACTCGGGAAGCTGAGGCAGGAGAATCCTTGAACCCGGGAGGCGGAGGTTGCAGTAAGCTGAGATTGTGCCACTGCATTCCAGCCTGGGCAACAAAGCGAGACTCTGTCTCAAAAAATAAAATAAAATAACAATTTAAATTTAAAAATTAAGTAAAATGAAAAATTCAGCTTGTGAGTTGCACTAGCCAAAATTTGAAGGCCTGGTAGCCACATGTGGCTAGTGGCTAGTTTTGGAAGGTTCGAGTGCTTGACATTGCCAGGAATCTTTTAAACTTGCAATGTGGCCGGGCGCAGTGGCTCACACCTGTAATCCCAGCACCTTGGGAGGCTGAGGCAGGCGGACTGCTTGAGGCCAGGAGTTCGAGACCAGCCTGGCCAACATGGCAAAACCCTGACTCTACTAAAAATACAGAAATTAGCCAGGTATGGTGGTGTGCGCTTGTAGTCCCAGCTACTTGACTGTCTGAGGCACGAGAATCCGCTTGAACCTGTGGAGGCGGTGAGTGCAGTGAGCCGAGATTGTACCACTGCACTCCAACCTGGGTGTCAGAGCAAGACTCTGTCTTAAAAAAAAAAAAGAAAAGAAAAAGAAGAAACCTGTAAAGTAACTGGTGTTACACCCATCTATTAGGAAGGAAGCTAATAGCATGAACAGGGCTGAGGGGTTTCTGGGATACAGGACTTTCAGTTTTAAAATCCTTTAGAAGTTGGGACCTTCCTCCCCAACAACTTAAAATATAAACAGGGCGCGGTGGCTCACGGCTGTAATCCCAGCACTTTGGGAAGCCGAGGCTGGCGGATCACGAGGTCAGGAATTCGAGACCAGCCTGGCCAACATGGTGAAACCCCCGTCTCTACTAAAAATACAAAAATTAGCAGGGCACGGTGGCGCGTGCCTGTAATGCCAGCTACTCGGGAGGCTGAGGCAGGAGAATTGCTTGAACCCGGGAGGCAGAGGTTGCAGTGAGCCGAAATTGCACCATTGCACTCCAGCCTGGGCAACAAGAGGGAAACTCTGTCTCAAAAAAACAAACCAAAAAAAAAACGATAGAAACGAGTGCTTGCAAAGACCAGTCGGAAACTCATTGTTCACAAACAAAACTGGAAAATTATGAAAACAAAGCAGTCGCTTTTTCTTTAAAAAAAAAAAAGGCAACAATTTATTTACGTATTTTGAGGTGGAGTCTCCTTCTGTCACCCAGGCTGGAGTGCAGTGGCACGATCTCAGCTCACTGCAACCTCTGCCTCCTGGGTTCAAGTGATTCTCCTGCCTCAGCCTCCCAAGTAGCTGGGATTACAGGTGCCTGCCACCACGTCCAGCTAATTTTTGGTATTTTTAGTGGAGACGGGGTTTCACCATGTTGGCCAGGCTGGTCTCGAACTCCTGACCTCAAGTGATCCATCTGCCTCAGCCTCCCAAAGTGCTGGGATTACAGGTGTGAACCACCACGCCTGGCCAACAATTTCAAGTATTAGGGCATGAGAGCAATTTTGTCAATTTTTGATGCAATGAAGACATCAGTAAATTTATTCATATGCTAATACTTATTTGATCCCCAAACCAAACATGAAATACTTTGTAGAAAATAATAAAGTAAATTAAAAAGAAATTATTTAGTATATGGAATAAGGTTAAAAATTATAGTTTATGGAACATACCATAAAATATTAGATTTAAATGAAATTTAATACAATACAATCTTAACAGTTCTATGAGTCTAGATTCTACCAGAGAAACAACCAGTAGAATACATCTACACAAGGATGGAGAGAGTTATCTCAAGAAATTTGTTTGCATGATAGTGCAGTCTGGCTAGGCAAGTCTAAAGTATGTAGGACAGGTTAGCAGCAGAGGGGAAGCTCTGAGGCAGGAGCTGACACTGCAGTCAACAAATTCTTCCTTGGAGAAATATATTTGCTCCTTTTTTTTTTTCTTTTGAGACAGAGTCTCACTCTGTCGCCCAGGCTGGAGTGCAGTAGCACAATCGCAGCTCACTGCAACCTCTGTCTCCCCAGGTTCAAGGAATTCTCATGCCTCAGCCTCCCAAGCAGCTGGAACTATAGGTCTGTGCCACCATGCCTCGCTAATTTTTGTATTTTTAGTAGAGATGGGGTTTCACCAAGTTGGCCAGGCTGGTCTCGAACTCCTGACCTCAAGTGATCTGCCTGCCTCAGATTCCCGAAGTGCTGGGATTACAGGCTTGAGCAACCACACCCAGTCCTGATTTGCTTTTAAGACCTTTAGCTGATTGGATGAGACCCATCCAGATAACTTGGGATAATTTTCCTTTAAAGTCAACTGGTTGTGGATGTTTAATCACATCTACAAGTACTCCCACAGCAATGCTTAGATTAGTGTTTGAATAACTGGGTAGTATAGCCTAGCCAAATTGCCAGAAGAGCTGGGTGTGGTTGTTCATACCCATAATCCTCGCATTTTAGGAGGCTAAGTGGGAGGATTGCTTGAGGCCAGGAGTTCGAGACCAGCCTGGGAAACCCTATCTCTACAGAAAATACAAAAATTAGCTAGGTATGGTGCTGTGTGCCTGTAGTTCCAGCTAGTCAGGAGGCTGAGGCAGGAGGATCCCTTGAGTCCAGGGGGTAGAGGCTACAGTGAGCCAAGATCACACCACTGCACTCCAGCTTTGACAACAGAGTTAAACCCTGTCAGTAAGAAAAACAAACACATGCAAAAAAATAAATTGCCACAAAACTAACTTATAATAATTTAATCATATTCCATGCACAAATGGTGATATGGTTAAGAAAATTCCTAATGGAATTCAATAAGGGAGGTTGCAAATCACAAAAGGCTGAGATACGTTGTCTTAGTGGTCAAGCGTGTGGAGGATGGATCACCAGTCCAGGTACTGCCTCTTAGCAGTTGTGTGACATTTCCAAGCTTCTTCAGCTCTCTGTACCTCAGTTTCCTCATTTGTAAGATAGGAATAATGTTAACGTCTAGGGTTGTAAGAAATAAGAAACTGATTCTTCATTCTTCCTGTGCTCTAAACATAAAGCTTTCCCACTGAACCTTTGTACCTTCACCTGCATGCATAACATAGATTTGTAAAATATGTACTGGAAGGAGCCTGTTCATTATGTAGTATCTGTACCTGTTTATGTTACTTACCTTGATCCATGTTGCATTCATCATTTTATAATATTGCCTGCCTTAGGTTTAAAATCCTGGAAAGGACAGGGACAAGGCTGCTGGCTTGTACGCTGCCCATATCCAGAAGGTGCCACCAACGTAGATGACCTCTGTGTTTGCCAGTGAAGATAATGTTGTCTGTATGGTGAAAAGGGCATACCACCAGAAGTTAGAGGAGTTGAGTCCTCATTTTGGTTCAGCCACTAAGTTGGTGGTCTAGGATAAGACCTTAGCCTTTTTTGGCCTTAGTTTTCTAATCCTGATAAGATGACTTAAAATTTTTTAAAATTTATTTTTATTTTATAAATATATTTTTTATTGACACATAATATTTGTAAATATGAGGTACAAGTGATATTTTGTTACATGCATAGAATGTGTAATGAGCAAGTCAGGGTATTTAGAATATCTACCACCATGAGCATTTATCAATTCTGTGTGTTGAGAACATTTCAAGTCCTCACTTGTAGCTATTTTGAAATGTACAATACATTGTTGTTAGCTATAGTCACCCTACTGTGCTACAGAACATTGTAACTTATTCCTTCTGAAACGACCTTTGCAAAATTATGACAGTAAAAGAAATCTGACATAGTGGACTCCATCTTGTGTCTGACCCCCAAGCTGTCCTTTGTCATTCCTGGGCATAGGCCAAGCTAGCTTTGGGAGGAATTCAGTTTATAGTTTAACTTGAAAACAAGGACAATAACAATTCCTCCCTAAAACTAACCCCTTCCTTGCTCAGGGACAGAAAACTGCATTTTTAAGACTAATGAAAGGCCACAAGAATAGCATTATGGGAGGAGCATGAACTCTGCTAAAACGTAGGCATAATTTCTATAACCCATTACGGCGCAGGAGTCCTGTGGCCGGAGGTCACAAGACTTGTGACCTTCCCAATTGCTCCTATAGATAACAACAATATTGTTGAACCTAAGATTGTTTTTTCTGAGATGTTTTTCAGACTGACCCCACCCAGACTCATGACTCAACTGGTCCTGTGACCCCACCCAGAGGCGGACTCAGCACACACCTTTATGATTTCATCTTCAAGCAGTCAGCAGTACCCATTCCCTAGTCTCCTGCCCACCAAATTGTCCATAAAAACCCTAGCCTCTGAGCCTTCAGGGAAACTGATTTGCGTGATAACTCCAGTTCTCACAAGTGGGTGGCCTCTAGTCAGTTACACTCTTTCTTACTGCAGTGCCGTGGTCTCAGTGGATTGATTTTGTCTGTGCAGCAGGCAGGAAGAATCCCTTGGGCAGTTACATTTCTATTTATTATAACTGCATGTTTGCATGTTTGTACCACCCCCCCCCACTTTTTTGTAGGCAGAGTCTCACTCTGTCACCCAGGATGGAGCGCAGTGGTGCGATTTCAGTCACTGCCTCAGCCTCCTGAGTAGCTGGGAGCACAGGTGCTCACCACCATGCCCAGCTAATACTTGTAATTTTTTTTAGACATGGGGTTTCACCATGTTGCCCAGACTGATCTCAAACTCTTGAACTCAAGCGATCTGCCCACCTTGGCCTCCCAAAGTGCTGGGATTACAGGCGTTAGTCACTGTGCCTGGCTGTTTGTACCCATTAATTAGCCATTGTTTGTCCTAACCCTCAACATCCTTCCCAGACTCTGGTAACTATCATTCTACTCTGTACCTCTATGAGATCAGCTTTTTTAGCTTCCACACCAGTGAGTGCATGTGATACTTGTCTTTTTGTGTCTGGCTTATTTCACTTAATATAATGACCTCCAGTTCCGTCCATGTGGCTGCAAATGACATGATTTCATTCTTTTTTATGGCTGAAAAATATTCCATTGTGTAAATATGCCACATTTTCCTTATCCATTCTTCTGATGATGGACACTGTTGTGAATAATGCTGCAATAAACATGGGGATGCATGTATCCCTTTGAAATTGTGATTTCCTTTCCTTTGGTTATATGCCCAGTAGTGGGATTGCGGTATCGTTTGGTAGTTCTATTTTTAGTTTTTTGAGAAATCTCCATACTGTTCTCCATAATGTCTGTACTAATTTACATTCCAACCGCAGTGTATGAGAGTTCCCTTTTCTCTGAATCCTTACCAGCATCTGTTATTTTTCTGAAATGATGATGATTTTTAAGGAAACTTCTAGCTTTCAGATTCTGTTAAGTGTGCAATGATGGTTGTAAGAACAATAGAAATCACTAAATTCTCCCCATAAAGGTGGATGTCGATATGACCACACATGAGCATTTTTATGACATTCATTAGAATCTTACTACAAAGCATCATGTTTTATATATGTATATATATATATATATATATATATATATATATGAAAATAATCACCAGAGAAAATACTCAACAAAATAGGTATTCCAACAATCATCTCATCCATTTTTATCCTATTTTCTTTTTTTCTTTGAGATGGAGTTTTACTCTTGTTGCCCAGGCTGGAGTGCAGTGGCCTGATCTTGGCTCAGTGCAACCTCTGCCTCCTGGGTGCAAGCGATTCTCCTGCCTCAGCCTCCCAAGTTGCTGGGATTACAGGTGCCTGCCACCACGTCCAGCTAATTTTTTGTATTTTTAGGAGAGATGGGATTTCACCATGTTGGCCAGGCTGGTCTCGAATTCCTGACCTCAGGTAATCCACCCGCCTCAGCCTCCCAAAGTGCTGGGATTACAGGCGTGAGCCACTGTGCCCGGCCTTTTGTCCTATTTTCATAAGTTATGTACATACTTAATTTGCAATGTAATATTTGTGATAAAATTATTACAGAAAAATTATTCATGATGCTATTAAAGATTATAAGGCAGACTTTATTCAAAGGGAGCCATGGTGATAGGTATAGGGACCATTGCAATGGGGTCTCACAGTCGGGGAGAGAGATTGGACTCAACTCTGTCTCCAACAAGGATGAGTGAGGATTTATCACCAAGGAGCAAGTTGGGAGTGGGTGGAAAATTGCTAAGAAGAAACATGAAGGATAAGAGGTTTCTGGCTAAACCAACTTGATAGGATTATTGCTAAAGGCAGATCAGCGTGATAAGATGTGGAGGCTGGACAGATATAAGTGTGGAAGACTTTTCACTAAACCAATTTGTCAGGATTCTTGCTCAAACTGGATTTAATAAGGACAGAAAGAGAAGCCCAAGGTCGAGCCTAGTGCAGGGAGGACTCAGAGGAGCCTGACTGAGGTTTTGGTCAAAGGAGAGTCTTTGTCAAATGTTGAAGTTTCCCTTATCCTACCCTTAACATAATGACGTTGGGAACAAATCAGAAAAGAAACATAATTTTAGATAAAAGCTGGAGCAGCCACAAACTAACAGCTTAGAACTCACTACCATTCACAATTCATTCCTTTATATGTAAAAACAACCTCACAACGTGCTGACAAGCAAGTCTTCCTAGTTAACAATAATCAAAACAAATGGGAAATATATTTGTAAAGAACAAAGCGAATCAAAGAAATTCCTTAAATCTGTCATTCAGCTAGCATGCTTGGGAATTATTCAAAATACTGCTAGGCTTGGTACAATGGTTCATGCCTATAATCCCAGCACTTTGGGAGGCCAAGGCAGGGGGATCACTGCTTGAGCCCAGGAGTTTGAGAGCAGTCTGGGCAACGAAGTAAGACTCTGTCTCTATTAAAGTAATAATAATAATAAATATATAAAATGCTTCTGGGGGGCTGGGCGTGGTGGCTCATGCCTATAATCCCAGCACTTTGGGAGGCCAAGGTGGGTGGATCACTTGAGGTTAGGAGTTTGAGACCAGCCTAGCCAACACAGTGAAACCCCATCTCTACTAAAAATACAAAAATTAGCTGGGCATGGTGGCATGCGCCTGTAACCCCAGCTACTTGGGAAGCTGAGGCAGGAGAATCGCTTGAACCCAAGAGGCAGAGTTTGCAGTGAGCCGGGAACAGGCCATTGTACTCTCGCGCTCCAGCCTGGGTGACAGAGCAAGACTCCATCTCAAAAACATTTTTTTTTTTTTTTTGTAGAGATGGGGTCTCACTTTGTCGCCCAGGCTGGTCTTGAACTCCTGGACTTAAGCGATCCTCTTCCCTTATCTTCCCAAAGTGTTAGGATTACAGGCATGAACCACTGTGCCTGGCCTAAAATGGCAAATTTTATGATAAGTATATTTTGCCATGATAAAAGAAACCTACACTTTAGAAGCTGAATTCTGGTGGTGATATTGAAGACAGATTGAAGAAGGTCAAGACCGGAGTCCGGGAGGCCTGCTTGGACATGATGTCTTAGCTAGCAAGAGATTCTCAGGAGGGCCTGCACCAGCACCAGGGCAGAGTTTTGGAAACAGAAGGGTGATGACAGAGCTATTTTAGATATACAGTCAAGAAGAATAAGACACTCACTGACCATTGAGGTGGGGAGGAGTCATGGATTTCTAATATTTCCAAGTCACATGACAGAAAGAATATGGGAAAGGGAACACAAAAGAAAATTTGATAGAAATAAGTATAATTTACAAAATGAAAAATACAAAAGCAGTTTTAATTAAAGGATTGTGAAGCAATCATTGCCTCTTTATCTAGGTGCAGTGCAGTCAACTCTGTTCTGTATTATTTGCAGGACCAAAGTTCATTAGTGGGGCTAAGAGCAAAGTTCCAGATTCAGATTGTACTTTGCCATGCTTTATTCTTTTTTTTTGGAGACAGGGTCTTGCTCTTTCTCCCAGGCTGTAGTGCAGTGGTGCAATCTCAGCTCATTGCAACCTCCGCCTCCCTGGTTCAAGCAATTCTTGTGCCTCAGCCTCCCGAGTAGCTGCGATTACAGGTACCCACCACCATGCCTGTCAAATTTTTGTATTTTGAGTAGAGATGGGGTTTCATCATGTTGCCCAGGCTGGCCTCGAACTCCTGACCTCAGGTGATCCACCCGCCTCGGCGTCCCAAACGGGAGTATAGGCCTGAGCCACCACGCCTGGCCGTAGTCTTTCTATCCCTAAATTTTCTTGACATCAAGGTACAAGAGATAAGTCTATCAGATGAGGTTAAAGTCTGTTTTAAGTTATGAAATGTATTATACATACACAAAAATATATAAACATATTGTACAATTTATTGAATAAGATGAACTGTGAATTGCCATCTAAAGTACATCTTTCTTGTTTTGTTTGTTTTTTGTTTGCTTGAGACAGAGTCTCATTCTGTCGCCCAGGCTGTAGTACAGTGGCGCAATCTTGGCTCACTGCAACCTCTGCCTTCCAGGTTCAAGCAATTCTTATGCCTCAGCCTTCTGAGTAGCTGGGGTTACAGGTGTGCACCACTGTGCCAGGCTAATTTTTTATTTTTTGTAGAGAGGGGGCTTTACCATATTGGCCAGTCTGGTCTCAAGCTCCTGGCCTGCCCCCCTTGGCTTCCCAAGTGCCAAGATTACAGGTATGAGCCCCCATGCCCAGCCTCAGATAGATCTTTACCATTATCTTAGAAGTACTCCGTGACACCTTTCCTTTCCATCCTCCATCAGGAGAATCACTTGTTCCTTTGTTTTTCTTTTTAGTGTTAACTCCAACATACTAATTTCTGGTGACAGAAGTCCTCATCTGCACATATCTTCTCAATTAAACTGGCGATGAGCCCTTCCGGTACAAAAACGAAGTGGACCAGGCCTCCGGCCATGGAGCCTCTCCTAGCTCTTCATCCCACTCGAACACTTTCCCCTCTCCCAACTGTCCCAGTTGTAACTCAAAGGGTGGCATATCAAGGTCTTTAAATATATATATGAATTTCTAAACGATATGCTATTAATGTGTAAAGAACTGAAAAACAAGCACAAAATTAGCTGTGTAAAAAAAAAGACTACTGCCACTGTTAGAAAAAGACTCAGTCATTGCTATAGACTGAATGTTTTTGTGCCCCAAATTTCATATGTTGCAACCCTGACTCCAAAGCTGCTGGTATTTGGAGATGGGGCCTTGGGAGATCATTAGGTCATAAGGGTGGGGCCCTTGTGATGGGATGAGTGATCTTATAAGAAATGTGAGGGTTTTTCCTCTCTCTGTTCTCTGCCATGTGAGGATACAATGAGAAGACCATGCACAAACCAGGAAGTAGCCCTCACCAGACACCAGATCTGCTGTTTGCTCTTGGACTTTCCAGCCTCCAGAACTGTGAGCCACTCAGTACATGGAGTTTTGTGACAGCAGCTTGAGCACACTAAGACAGTCATAGTCTGGGTAACTGCCTGGATTCAGCTTTCCTCAGAGCTCATAAATGCCCCTTCTGGAGAATTCAGTGGGCAAAGCTGTGAGTGAGTCCTGGGAAACAAAGACTTCCCCTTCTGGAGCATCTGTAGGTTCCCCTTCTGAAGCATCTTCAGGTTCCCCTTCTGGAGCATCTGCAGGTTCCCCTTCTGGAGCAACTGCAGGTTCCCCTTCTGAAGCATCTGCAGGTTCCCATTCTGGAGCATCTGCAGGTTCCCCTTCTGGAGCATCTGCAGGTTCCCCTTCTGGAGCATCTGCAGGGCTGAGCATGGGGAAGGGATTGGTCAGAGGAGTGACCACTTTCTATTTTCTACTTTCAGGAGATGTTCTCAACTCTTCTTTCCAACTCAACTATTAATGTCTTTTTCTTTTTTTTTAGAAACAGAGTCTCACTCTGTTGCCTAGGCTAGGGTTTAGTAGCATGATCATAACTCACTGTAACCTTGAACTCCTGGGCTCCAGTGATCCTCCTGCCTCAGCCTCCAGAGTAGCTAGGACCACAGGCCTGTACCACCACACCTGGCTAATTTTATTTTTTTTTAATTTTTGTAGAAATGAGGTCTTGCTATGTTGCCCAGGCTGGACTCAAACACCTGGTCTCAAGTGATCCTCCCACCTTGGCTTCCCACCTTGTATAGAACCACTACACCAAACTGAATTTTTCATTTTTTAAATTATACTTTTATTTTCCAAGATCCCTCTTTTGTTCTCTGAATCAATCTTTCTTTCTTTCTTTCTCTTTCTTTAGTTTCTTCCTCTTTCTTTCCCTTTCTTCTTCCTTCCTTCCTTTCGTCTTTCTTGTCTTTCTGTCTTTCTTTCTCTTTCTTTTTTTTGAGACAGAGTTTCACTCTGTCGGCCAGGCTGGAGTGCAGTGGCACAATCTTGGCTCACTACAACCTCTGCCACCCGAGTTCAAGCGCTTCTCCTGCCTCAGCCTCCCGAGTAGCTGGGATTACAGGTGCCTGCCATTGCATCCGACTAATTTTTGTATTTGTAGTAAAGACAGGGTTTCACCATCTTGGCCAGGCTGGTTTTGAACTCCTGACCTTGTGATCCACCTGCCTCAGCCTCCCAAAGTGCTGGGATTACAGGCGTAAGCCACCGCGTCCAGCCTGTTTCTTTCTTAAAGTATTTCATTTTTGTTTTATGGATATCACATCTTCTGTCTCTGAGGATATTGGCAGGTTTTTATAAATTTTTTTTTTTTTTTGAGACATGATCTGGCTCTGTTGCCCAGGCTGGAGTGTAGTGGTTTGATCATAGTTCACTGCAGTCTCAAACTCCTGGGCTTAAGTGATCCTTCTACCTCAACCTTCTGAGTAGCTAGGACTACAGGCATGCACCACCACACCTTGCTAATTTTTATTTTATTTTTTTTGTAGAGACAGGGTCTCACTTTTTTGCCTAGGCTGTTCTCAAACTCCTGGTCTCAAGCAATTCTCCCACCTTGTCCTGCCAAAGTGCTCGAATTGCAGGTGTGAGCCACTATACCCAACCAAGTTTTTCATTTTTTAAATTATGCCTTTTAATTTCTAAGGTCTCTCTTCTGTTCTGTGAACATTTCTTTCTTAAAGCATTCCATTTTTGTTTTATGAGTACCACATCATCTGTCCCTGAGGATACTGATTTCTTTTTTAGAAATTTTCTTTTTTCTTTTTTTTTTTTTTTTGAGACAGGGTCCTGCTCTGTTGCCCAGGCTGGAGTGTAGTGGCACAATCATAGCTCACTGCAGCCTTGACCTATGGGCTCAAGTGATCCTCTTACCTCAGCCTCCTGAGTAGCTAGGACTACAGGTGTGTACCACCACACCCTGCTAATTTTAAAATTTTTTTTTTTTTTTTGAGACAGAGTCTCGCTCTTGTTGTCTAGGCTGGACTGCAATGGTGTGATCTCGGGTCACTGCAACCTCTGCCTCTGGGGTTCAAGTGATTCTCCTGCCTCAGCCTCCCGGGTAGCTGGGATTACAGGCACCTGCCACCACGCTCGGCTAATTTTGTATTTTTAGTAGAGACGGGGTTTCTCCGTGTTGGTCAGGCTGGTCTCGAACTCCTGACCTCAGGTGATCCACCTGCCTTGGCCTCCCAAAGTGCTGGGATTACAGGCATGAGCCCCCACACCCAGCCAATTTAAAAATTTTTTTTTATAGAGACAAGGTCTTGCTTTGTTGTCCAGGCTGGTCTTGAACTCCTGGTCTCCAGCACTTCTCCTGTCTTGGCCTCCCAAAGTGCTGGGATTACAGGTGGGAGCCACTACACTCAGCCAGAAGTTTTTCCTAAGAATAGTCTCTGTTTCCTCCAAGTTACTTTTCTACTTGTTTGTTGTTTGGCATCTGTCTTTCATGTTATGGACTTTTCTCAAATATCTGATGATCCTTGGCTGCCTACTCATGTTTAAGAACAGGGCACTTAGAAGCCATTTGGAAGCTATGTGAATAAGTTAGATTTATCAACTGTGGATGCATTGATCTGGCTGGACCATTTTCCTGGGAAACCCAATGATTTAACATCTTTAAAACATTTTCCTCTATGATCAAATTCTGCAGAGAAGAGTATGCCAACTGCCTGCATAGGAGGGGCAAAAGGCTTCTCATCAGCCCCAAGATTTAATGGGAAAACTTTCACTTAATTACCTTTTAAAAAATTGGTCCTTCTTCATACTCTCAGGCTCACCTTACTCTTATTCTAGGCACCACTGCAGTGACCAGTGCTGTATGGGCACTCATCAGATTCACACAGACGCACCTTGACAGCCTCACCACAGTCCTGTGTCACATGCTTCTCACCTCCCTCCCCAGGGCTCCTCTAATGCTGTAGGGGGCGATGCTGTGAGAACCTGCTCTTTGTCCATGAAAGCATAACCCATAAGTGCAGGAGAATTAACACTCCATCAGGTCAACTTTGGATTTAGGAACATTTGAACTAATGGACAGATGCTATCCCTTTCTCTCCACCAGACCAATGCTTCCGAGGGCTCAAGCAATCATCTACCCATGGCAGTGACTGTCTTTGCTAACACCTCCCTCAACTGGCTCCTCCTCCTGGTCTGCATTGTATTCGTCTTTTTTTTTTTTTTTTTTTGAGATGGAGCCTCACTCTGTCACCCAGGGTTGGAGTGCAATGGTGTGATCTTAGTTGACTGCAACCTCCATCTCCCGGGTTCAAGCAATTCTCATGTCTCAGCCTCCCGAGTAGCTGGGATTACAGGCCTGCACCACCACACCCGGCTAATTTTTGTATTTTTAGTGGAGATGGGGTTTCACCATGTTGGCCAGGCTAATCTCGAACTTCTGACCTCAGGTGATCCACCCATCTCAGCCTCCCAAAGTGTTGGGATTACAGGCGTGAGCCACCACACCCAGCTCTTCCTTGCTTTTCTCCATAGGATCACACTCCCCAACAGAAAACTCATTCTCAAGACTTTGTCTCAGCCTCTGCTTTCTGGGATCCCTCAGGTAAGACACCCTAACGTCAGCCATACTTGATGTCCTCCAGCCTATGGCTTCCATGTGTGTGCTTCTCAAGCAAACTCATCCAAATGGACTGCATCCAGGTGAAACAGGCCTTCAGGATCACATCTGAGGCTGAGCCTTACACTAGGAACAGGCCTGTCTGCCAGAACCTCACTCAAATCTTAATGCTCAATAGAGGTTCTGGAAGACACGGACTGTCTCTTGTTCACTGTTGGATGCGTAATGCCTCCTGATTCATTCAGATATCAGCTGAATGAATGAGTGAATCCATTTGCTAGGGAAAATGCTAGAAATGACCAAATGCTAATAATGACCAAACGCATTAGTCATTGTTCCTCCCCTAGTTTATCTTGAGAGTCTGAATATTTCTGCCCAGGTCAATACTCTACTTGTGCCATTATTTTCCTCATGGTAGATCAAAAAGGGCTACTGTGTTAGGCCGTTCTTGCATTGCTGTAAAGGAATACCTGAGACTGGGTAATTTATAAAGAAAAGAGGTTTAATTGGCTCACAGCTCTGCAGGCTGTACAAGCATGGCGCTGGCATTTCTGCTTGACTTCTGGGGAGGCCTCAGGAAGCTTTTACTCATGGTAGATTTTACTCGTGGCAAAAGATGAAGTGGGAAAAGACACATCACATGGCAAGAGCCAGAGCAAGAGAGAGGGTTGGGGAGGTGCCACACACTTTTTTTTTTTTTTCCAGGCAGGTTCTCACTCTGTCTTCCAGGCTGGAGTGCAGTGGTGAAATCTCAGCTCACTGCAACCTCCACCTCCTGGGTTCAAGCGATCCTCCAGCCTCAGCCTCCTGAGTAGCTGGGATTATAGGTGCGCAGTACCATGCCCAGCTAATTTTTGTATTTTTTGTAGAGATGGGGTTTCACCATGTTGCCCAGGTTGGTCTCAAACTCCTGAGCTCAAAGCGATCTGCCTGCCTTGGCCTCCCAAAGTGCTGGGATTACAGGTGTGAGCCATCACGCTTGGCTGCCACACAGTTTTAAACAATCAGATCTCATGTGAACTGAGTGAGCACTCAGTCATCACCAAGGGAATGGTGCTGAGCCATTCATGAGGGATTCATCCCCATGATCCAAACACCTCCCACGAGACCCCATCTCTAACACTGGGGATTATATTTCAACAAGAGATTTGGATGGAGCATCCAAACTATATCGCATAGCTCCCCCATGTCTGCTTGGATTTCTGGGGGCCAAAAAGAAGCCTATACTTTTTTCTTTTTTAGCCATGTTGTCCTATGTGTACTAATAGCTGGGAAAACTAAATGCCATTTGGTCTGTACCAAATTCCCATCAATACCAGGAGAGACTATAAAACTGACAGATTGGGAACAAGAGGTTTCACAGCATGGATCTGGGATCCTGTAACACACCTGGGATCATCTCATCATGATTAGATGATTAGCTCTCATCATGATTTTTTAACTTCCCACACTACACCAACCTAAAGGGCTACCTTCTTTAAGACATGTTGGGGTAAGAGCTGGAACACTTAATATGTTGCAGTGGGCTCTAGGTGAGAAATGATCAGGCTGAAAGCCTGTTTAGTTTTCCTTTCTCTGGGTTGCCTGGGCTCTTTCCCTGGGCCTCATCTCCTCGGCTTCTTCTCTTGACTATGACTTTTTGCACTCTCTTGCTCAGCTCTGGTGTTTCTTCATGGCCTCCCAAGATCAGTCTTGGCTGAGAATCTGCCTCTTGGACCATGAATTCTCTCCTTTCCCATGCTAACCGTGTAAGCCTCTGCTCTCAGCTTTAATCGGTCAGGCCTAGCATAGGGCCTGGGAAAATAATGCTGACCTTTAACTGCTGCTCAGAGAAAGCACAGTGTTCCCATTTCAGTGGTTGAAGGAGGGTCCTGTTTTCATTCTTTATCATCATCTCTCCCTTCATATTTTTCTTTGATCCAACTTCAAATAGAAATTTTCAACCTGAGAAAGTTGATTGGAAAAGAAAAAGAAATAATATTATAAGCCCAAGTTAAACTAAACTAAACAAAAATTTCAAGGCCACCCATGTTAGGAAAAAAAAATGATACCACTGATTTTTCGTACAACAAAATACATGTGCAGTCCCTGTAAGACTGTGTGGTAAGATCCGATCTATACTTGACAAATCAAATCTTGGAACCAGAGTCAGACATTTAAGATCTAGACTGTGCTCAAAAATCCATTTCAGACCAGGTGTGGTGGCTCATGCCTGTAATCCCAGCACTTTGTGAGGGTGAGGTGGGAGAATCACTTGAGGTCTCGAGTTTGAGGTGAGCCTGGACAACAGAAGGAGACCCCATCTCTACAAAAAATAAAAATAAAAATAAAAAAATTAGTTGAGCATAATAGCACAAGCCTGTAGTCCCAGCTACTCAGGAGACTAAGTCAGGTGGATTGCTTGAGCCCAGGAATTTGAGGCTGCAGTGAGCTATGATCATGTCACTGCACTCTGGCCTGGGTGACAGACAAAGACCATGTCTCAAAAAATAAAAAATAAATACATTTCATATAGTCATTGTAGCTGTTAAGAAAAGAGTTTTATAATACGTAAGGAGCATATCAGCAGAAGTTTTTAAGAAAACACATAGCATTTAGATCTCATCCATTCCATCCATGGAAAATGTACCACTACTGCCATTACTTTGAGATTGGAATCAATTGCCCAAGCAAAGATACATTCTAGTTACTATTACTCTGTAACAAAGTCTCTCTAAACTTCGTGGTTTAAAGTAGGCATTTTATTTTGCTCCCAATTTTGTGAGTCAGGTATTGGGGAAGGGTTTTGCTGGGCAGTTCTCATTTGAGGCCTCTCATGTAGTTGCAGTCAGATGTCAGCTGTGCTGCTGTCATCCGAACGCTCAACTGGGCTGTGAATGTCTACGATGAAACACTGACATGGCTTGCAGGGAATACTGGCTGTTGGCTGGGAGCTCAGCCAGGCCTGTCTGCCAGAACAGGTATGCATGGCCTTTTTGAGAGGGGAGTTAGACTTCTACATGGTGGCTGCTTTCCCTACAGAAAGCATTCCAAGAGAACCAGGCAGAAGTTGCATGGTCTTTTCTGACCTAGCCTCCAATGTCACACAGCATCATTTATGCTTTATTTTATTGGGTACAAACAAGTCACCAAAGCCAGCCCAGATTTAACAGGAGGGAATAGAGACTTCACTTCTGATGGGACAAATGTGAAAGAACTTGATAACAAGTTTAAAAATCACCTTAGATGATGTTAACCCATAGAGTTATAAGGAAAGAGATTGCATTTACAGCCAATAATACAAAATAAATTTCAGAGAGGTTGAGGTAGGGTGTAGATTAAAAGAATCAGTTCATCTCAATTCCTTATTAATTTTTTTTTAAATGTAGACACGTGGTCTTGCTCTGTTGCCCAGGCTGGAGTGCAGTGGCATGATCATAGCTCAGGAGTCTTGAACTCCTGGGCTAAAGTGACCCTCTTGCCTCAGCCTCTCAGCTCAGCCTTCTGAGCAACGGGTACCACAGGCATGCACCACTACACCCGGCTAATTTGTGTGTGTGTGTGTGTGTGTGTGTGTGTGTGTGTGTGTGTGTAGAGACAGGGTTTCACCCTGTTGGCCAGGCTGGTCTTGAACTCCTGGATTCAAGCAATCCTCCCACCTCAGCCTCCCAAAGTGTTGGGATTACAGGTGTGAGCCACCATGCGCAGCCCCTTATCTCACTTCCTAACAGACCCCAGAAAGACACTCGTCTGGTTTGGAGGATAACTGGGATCCCCACACAATGTTCTGCTTTCTTCTCTCTGATGCAGACATATTTGCCCACATTGTGAGTGGCAGTCGGGGGTCATGGTTATATGCAGCCCTATACCTCATCCTTCTAAATTTGATGTTCAGGAGTTAAAAGCATTTCTCACCCCGTGACAATCTGAAAAATCCAGGCAGTGTATTTGAGTGGCCTGGCTTTTCTCTAAGTATTACCCTAACCACTGTGGCTGGGGGTAAGGTATAGAATGTTTGCATCATTTAAGGATAAGCATATTCTTCTCAAACACAGAGTTAGAAAGATTATTTGAAATGACAAAAATTAAGTCACAATCATACATTTGATTTGATTTTTTTTTTTTTTTTTTGAGACGGAGTGGAGTCTCGCTCGCTCTGTCACCCAGGCTGGAGTGCAGTGGTGCGATCTCGGCTCACTGCAAGCTCCGCCTCCCGGGTTCACACCATTCTCCTGCCTCAGCCTCCTGAGTAGCTGGGACTAGAGGTGCCCGCCACCACACCGGGATAATTTTTTGTATTTTTTAGTAGAGACGGCATTTCACCATGTTAGCCAGGATGGTCTCAATCTCCTGACCTTGCGATCCGCCCACCTCGGCCTCCCAAAGTGCTGGGATTACAGGCATGAGCCACCGCACCTGGACCATTTGATTTGATTTTAAAATAGCTAAATAAAAATTTTTAATATTTACATATTAACACCATCATCCTTGGCTTCCTATTCTACCTGTATTGGTTTTCAAAAGGTGGAAAAAGAAATTGAGAGTAATGAATGCATGAATGTGTTTGTACATTCAGAAAATACTTATAAGTTATTTCCTTTTTGCCAAAAGATAGATAGTCTGAAAAGATGATCTATCACAAAGAACACCCTGAAAATAAGAAGCCCTTTGTGATCTGGACATCAAAGATATTAATCTGGGTACATTTCAGGACTGGGGGGTCTGTAGGGTGCACACATAAAAGAAAATGCAGATTTAACATGACCTAAAAGGGATCTGTTCTACTCAGATGAGAGCAGGGAAGATGCACACGAGCTTTTACTCCTGACAGCCTTCTCAAAACTTAGGCAGATATGAATTTTATTTTATTATTATTTTTTGAGACAGAGTCTCACTCTGTTGCCCAGGCTGGAGTGCAGTGGTGTGCTCTCGGCTCACTGCAACCTCTGCCTCTCGGGTTCAAGCGATTCTTCTGCCTCAGCCTCCCAAGTAGCTGGGATTACAGGTGCACGTAATCACACCTGGCTAATTTTTGTATTTTTAGTAGAGACAGGGTTTCACCATGTTGGCCAGGCAGTCTGGTCTCGAACTCCTGACCTCAGGGAATCCGCCTGCCTCGGCTTCCCAAAGTGCTGGGATTACAGGTGTGAGCCATCACGCCTGGCCTTTATTTTAAAAGAGAAATCTCTATTTGTATTGCAAATTTTGATATTAGACACAACTCAGAATTCTTAAGAAAAAATCTAAGAAAGAACAAAGTCAAAGCTATGTTAGAAATGTTATTTTTCTCATTTTATAGAAGAGTTTCAGCAAACATCCAAATCAAAAGACACTGAGGGGCTGGATGTGGTGGCTCATGCCTATAATCCCAACACTTTGGGAGGCCAAGGTGGGACGATCACTTGAGCCCAGGAGTTTGAGACCAGACTAGGTAACGTAGAAATCATCTGTACAAAAAAAAATTTTTTTTAAAGACACCGAGAACATAAATGTCAACTCTCAGTGTCTAATTTGGCAGTCCCTCAGCATAGCTGTAAATGAATTTCAGTTTTCTCTTACTTATGGTTAATTTCTTATGAACTAAATCAATACTTATATATTTTATATTTAAAAGACTTACTGTGTCTAAGAGCTGAATTTAGCACTGTCTTGTTGGGTTGGACTGGGCCCTCCAAAATGCAGACATCAAGATGGAATTAAACATGCAAGGATTTTATTAAGGGAAATGCTTGTGTGAAAGGAAATAGGGAGAGAGCCAGGATGGCTGGGAGAGGCATCACTTGGTGATGCAAGTGTGAGCCTGAGTGAAGGAAAGAGAGAGAGAAGGCTGAGCACAGTCATCCTAGAGAGCATTGCAAGGAAGATTTGGCAAAGTTTTTTTTTTTTTTTTGAGATGGAGTCTCGCTCTGTCACCTATCAGGCATGATCTTGGCTCACTGCAACCTCCGCCTTCTGGGTTCAAGCAATTCTCCTGCCTCAGCCTCTCAGGTAGCTGGGATTACAGGCGCAAGACATCATGCCTGGCTAATTTTTGTATTTTTAGTAGAGACGGGGTTTAGCCATGTTGCCCAGGCTAGTCTTGAACTCCTGGCCTCAAGTGATGTGCCCACCTCGGCCTCCCAAGTGCTGGGATTACAGGTGTGAGCCACTGAGCTCGGCCTCGGCAAAGTTGATAAGGGAGTCCCTGAGCCAAAGTCAGCCTGCAAAGGAGGCCATGCCTCCCGGGAGTGTGTCTGCCTTGGTGTCCTGCTGCATCCAGTCCCTAGCGGGAGCAGCCTATGAGCAGAAGCACCATGCCCAAGCATACTGATGAATTTCAGAGCACAGCAGCTGGGGCCTTTGGTCAATTATGTTCCAAAAAAGAAGTCTATGAGGCATGTTCTCATGGCCACCACGTTTGCCATCACTGGAGTAGTATGCAGCACTACAGTTTTTCAGACACCAAGAAATAGGAAGCAGGAAGCAGGAAGGGGGTGTCCAGTTGCAAGCACTCAGCCCTGAGGGAAATGTAGAAGATCGAAAAGGCATGTGTATGCTGCAATTCCCTGTGGATAATGCCAGTGCCCAATCCATCCTTCTCTTCCCATCCTTTTCACATTGAATCTTGGGGCCCCTGAGGAGACTTCCCCTACCTAAGCAGGCAGCTGTCGGAACCTTCTCTGCAGAACTTTTTTTTTTTTTTTTTTTTTTTTTGAGAAAGAGCCTCACTCTGTGGCCTAGGCTGGAGTGCAGTGGTGGGATCTTGGCTCACTGCAACCTCCACCTCCCGGATTCAAGCAATTCTCACGTCTCAGCCTCCTGAGTAGCTGAAACTCCAGGTGCTCACCATCACAACTGGCTATTTTTTTTTTTTTTTTTTTTTTGGTATTTTTAGTAGAGCTAGGGGTTCGCCATGTTGGCCAGGCTAGTCTTGAACTCCTGACCTCAGGTGATCCACCTGCCTCGGCCTCCCAAATTGCTGGGATTACAGGTGTGAGCCATGGCACCCGACCCTCTGCAGAATCTGATCACAAAGGAAAAAAAGATTTAAAGACACTAAATCATTGAGTTTCTTAGCAAAATGGTCAAGGCAAATCAATATTCACACAGTTTCCAAATAGCTTTTCAGTGCCCCATTCCTAAACATGAGTAGACAGCTAAGGATCATCAGACATTTGAGAAGAGTCCACGGCATGGAAACAGATGGGAAACACCACATAAGCAGGAAACGGCAACCTAGAGGAAATGGAGACTATCCTTAGAAAAGAAAACTGCTACAAACCTATCAATGTTCTCTGAGACAGAAGATGTGGCACCCATGAAACCAAATGGAGGGTTTTATAAAGAAAGGAACATTCAGAGAACAAAAGAGAGGTCTTGGAAATTAGAAGTATAGTAACAAAAATGAAAAATTCAACAGATGGTACGAAACAGAAGCTGAGGATAGCTCCTGAAAGTAGAGCAAGAGGATGTATATAGGAGGAAAGTGATAAGAAAATCAGAGAAGCTTACAGGTAGAACAAAGCCAGAATATTAGGAGTTACAGGGAGAACAGAGACAATGGAAGGAAGACAATTATTAATCACATGATTCAAAAAGATTTCTCAGAATTGAGGGATGTGAACTTGTACACAGAAAGGTCCACCACAGTGTCCAGAGCCCATGACATGGATATAGAACAAAAACAAAGCCCACCAGGCCAGATGTGGTGGCTCATGCTTGTAATCCCAGCACTTTGGGAGGCCGAGGCGGGTGGATCACTTGAGGTCAGGAGTTTGAGACCAGCCTGGCCAACATGGTGAAACCTCGTCTCTACCAAAAACAGAAAAAAATTAGCGGGCACAGTGGCATATGCCTGTAGTCCCAGCTCCTCTGGAGGCTGAGGCAGGAGAATCACTTGAACTCAGGAGGCAGAGGTTGCACTGAGCCAAGATCGCGCCACTGCACTCCAGCCTGCATGACTGACTGGAGTGAGACTCCATCTCCAAAAAAAAAAAACAAACAATGAAACAAAACACGAAGCCCACCAGTATGAAATGTCATAACACTAGGGACAATGGAAAGATATTTAAATCTTTCCTTACAGAAGAATCAGACAAAATAATGGCACTGGGCTTCTCAATGGTAATACTGCAAGCTAAGGGACAAAGGAGCAATGCTTTTGAAATTTTGAGGAGAAGTGGTTTCAAGTAGAGAATTATATACGCAGCCAAACTATGAATCCAGTGGTAAGTAAATAAAGACATTTGCATACACGAACAATCTCAAAACACCGGCCACCCATCTATTTTTTCTTTGAAAGTTACTGGAGGACGTGTTCCACTAAAATAAGGTATTATATTAATAAAGTAGAATATATGAGAGCCGGGAAACAGAAGATCCATTAGAGGGAGACAAAATAGTGAACAGTGCATAGAGAACTAAGTGAAAACAAGGACATGTATTAACACCAAGAACAAGAAAATGTTATCAGGGAAGAAAAAGAAATGTGGCTGTACCGTGAATTTGGCTAACATTTCCATAATAACACCAACAGTGAATCTGACTCAACTATTCTATTTTTTGAGATGGAATCTCACTCTGTCACCCAGGCTGGAGTGCAGTGGCGTGATCTCGACTCACTGCAACCTCCACCTCCCGGGTTCAAACAATTCTCTTGCCTCAGTCTCCTGAGTAGCTGGTATTACAGGCAAGTGCCACCACGCCCGGCTAATTGTTTTTGCGTTTTTAGTAGAGACAGGGTTTCACTATGTTGCCCAGGCTGATCTCGAACTCCTGGGCTCAAGTGATCTGCCCGCCTCAGCCTCCCAAAGTGCTGGGATTACAGGGATAAGCCACCACGCCTGGCTTAAGCTATTTTATTTTACTTTATTTTAATTTTTAGAGACCAAGTCTTGCTCTGTCACCCAGGCTGGAGTACAGTGGCATGATCATAGCTCACTATAGTCTTGAACTCTTGGCTCAAACTATTGCATGAGATCCTCCCACCTCAAGCCTCCCACTGACTAAACTCTTCATAAAACTTTCATGTGGGAGGATGAGAAGAGTGAGTGTTTATGTATGGCGGTGATAGTAGGGCTTAGAAAAGACCTAAATCCTCGTCTTTCATAGTGGAATGTTAATAGATTATACTTTTTTTTTTTAAACTTTAAGTTCAGGGGACATGTGCAGATTTGTTACACAGGTAAAGCTGGGGGTTTATTGTACAGATTGTTTCATCACCCAGGTATTAAGCCTGGCACCCATTAGTTATCTTTCCTGATCCCCTCCCTCTTCCCATCCTCCATCCTCTGACAGGCCGTTTTTCCCCTCTAGGCGTTCACGTGTTCTCATCCTTTGGCTCCCACTTATAAGTGAGATCATGAGGTATTTGGTTTTCTGTTCCTGCTTTAGTTTGCTAAGGATAATGGCCTCCAGCTCCATCCATGTCGCTGCAAAAGACATGATCTCATTCATTTTTATGGCTGCATAGTATTCCATAGTGTATATGTACCACATTTTCTTTATCCAGTGTACCATTGATGGATATTTAGGTCGATTCCATGTCTTTGCTATTGTGAATAGTGCTGCAATGAACATACACATACCTGTGTCTTTATGATAGAACAATTTACTTATAACTTAAAAAAAAATGGCAGTATAAGTCCAGGCACCATGGCTCATGCCTGTAATCCCAGCACTTTGTGAAGCTGCGGTGGGTAGATCAATTGAGCCCAGGAGTTTGAGACCAGCCTAGGTAATGTGGCAAGACCCGGCTCTAAAAAAAAAAAAAAAAAAAAAAAATTAGCCAGGCATGGTGGCATGTGCCTGTAGTCCTAGCTACTTGGGAAGCCCAGGAGATTGAGGCTGCAGTGAGCCAAGATCGCACCACTTCACTCCAGCCTGGGCAAGAGAGTGAGACCCTGTCTCAAAAAAAAAAAAAAAAAAAAAAAAAAATAGCAGTGTAAGCAGGTTATTTAGAGATTCCGAGGCAAATGTCCAAATAAACAGTTAAAACAATTTTATGTGGTTGCCTCTGAAGAAAGGGAAATGGAAGAGGGATATGTACAGGGAACTGTTAGATTTTATAATAATTTAGGATTATTTGACTTTCTGAAGTATGTGCAGGGATACATTTAATGAAAACGATAGCAAAATGAGAAACTTAAAAACAGAAAGCTAGGACTAGTTCAGGTTGATGAATGATTTTTAAAAGCTTATAGACATCTGGAATTACCCATAAAGTTATTTACTAAATGTTTATTTGGTTGCTTGGTTATTCAATGGGCATTAGTGTAAGAAATCTTGCTTTCAAGTTTATTGACAGCATAAGTAAGTACTCAATCTTCACTTTTTAATATTTACTTAACAGTATTCAAAGCATATGGTGCAAGTTGCTCAACTTATGGATTCCAGCAGCTATTGTGCAACATATAACTACATCAATGGCAATGATATCTATTTGTTTAAAAACCCGTTGGGTAAGTACAAAAATTAGCTGGGCATAGTGGCATTCACCTGTAGTCCCAGCTACTCGGGAAGCCAAGGTGGGAGGATCACTTGAGCCCGGAAGGTTGAGGCTGCATTGAGCCAAGATCGCGCCACTGCACTCCAGCCTGGGTGACAGAGCAAGGTTCTGTCTTTTGTTTGTTTTTGTTTTAGTTTTTTGAGACGGAGGCTCACTCTGTTATCCAGGCTGGAGTGCAATGGCATGGTCTCAGCTCACTGCAACCTCTGCCTCCCGGGTTAAAGCAATCCTCCTGCCTCAGCCTCCTGAGTAGCTTGGACTACAGGCACGTGCCACCATGCCCAGCGAATTTTTGTATTTTTAGTAGAGATGGGGTTTCACTATGTTGGCCAGGCTGGTCTCAAACTCCTGACCTTGTGATCTTCCTCCCTCAGCCTCCCAAAGTGTTGGGATTACAGGCGTGAGCCACTGTGCCCGGCCAAGGCTCTGTCTTAATAAAACAAACAAACAAACAAACAACCCCCTACCCCACCACCAATAAAAACCACTGGGTAGATTTAAACTACTCTGCTAA
Source organism: Homo sapiens (assembly GCF_000001405.40). Lineage (NCBI taxonomy): Eukaryota > Metazoa > Chordata > Mammalia > Primates > Hominidae > Homo > Homo sapiens. Next base: position 91,535,829 of record NC_000014.9, read on the forward strand.
AGATAAACTTTTCTCCTGAAAATTATAAAAGAATTCACTATCCTAAAAAAATGGCTACGATAAATGGGATAAAAAGATGTTTTAATCAGTGAGAATAGTGGAGCATATATTTAACCATCTGTATCATACCAACCATATTTTGATTATGGGTATAATTATCTAATTCCTTTTTGAGCTAGGAAGACTTTTGAAACATAGAGAGCAACGTAGTGGTTCTATCCATGAAATGAAAATGGGATTTTATGTAACGCATTTAATATTATTTGAGCTGAGACCTGGGATGTTTGATGAACTCTGTCAGAACATGTAATAATCTTGGAGGATAAGAATGGCATTTGGGGCCGGGCGCGGTGGCTCACGCCTGTAATCCCAGCACTTTGGGAGGCTGAGGCAGGCGGATCACCTGAGGTCAGGAGTTTGAGACCAGCCTGACCAACATGGTGAAACCCCGTCTCTACTAAAAATACCAAAAATTAGCTGGGCGTAGTGGCGCGTGCCTGTAATCCCAGCTACTCAGGAGGCTGAGACAGGAGAATCACTTGAACCCAGGAGTCAGAGGTTGCAGTGAGCTGAGACTGCGCCATTACCCTCCAGCCTGGGCAACAAGAGCGAAACTCTGTCAAAAAAAAAGAATGGCATTTGGCAAGATGAGACTTTGGTTCCTAACTGCTCTAGGACCTAGGCTGGCTTGAGGTTCAGAGTGCCGGTTACTCTCCATTTGACTGTCCCCATTTCCCCTGCAACATCCATTCTTTGCTCTTCTCTGCCCTACTCTGTGACCTGAAGTCTGATCCCCATGGAGTGTTTCATCCAGGCTCTCTTGCTCTCTGGCTTCTCACTTCTGGTTGAGCTCAGCCAGTAGGAGGAATGGCACAAGATGGGAGGGGAATATGGGCAGAGAAAGTAGTTGCAGTACAGTTGTTCTTGGTATCTGTGGGGGATTGGTTCCAGCACCCCCCAACCATGGATGCTCAAGTCCCTTATACAGTTAAGTCCTCCCCTAGCATCATCAATAGGTTCGTGGAAACTGTGACTTTAAGTGAAAAGATGAATAAAGGAACTCATTAACCATAGGCTAATTGATAGAAACAAGAGCTAAGTTCCTATGGCATATTTCTGCTTATAAAAATATCACCAAACTTCTAAATAAAGACCCAAAACCTTTCTAATATTAAACACTGAAATAGACCGGGCATAGTGGCTCATGCCTGTAATCCCAGCACTTTGGGAGGCCGAGGTTGGAGGATTACTTGAGGCCAGGAGTTCGAGACCAGCCTGGTCAACACAGTGAGACCTTGTCTCTACCAAATATTCAATAAATAAAATATTGAAATAAATGTGAGTGATACATACATTTAAGAAAGATTAATAAAATCAAGCAAGATAATTATTTACCCAATGATTCCATTTCAGGGTTGCAGGTGGCCAGAGCCTATCCTGGCAGCTCAGGGCACAGGTGGGAACTAACCCTAGGCAGGACAGAGTTCCATTGCAGGGCTCTCTCTGTCTGTCTCTCTCTCTCTCTCTCTCTCACACACACACACACACACACACACACACTCACTTACACTAGGACAATGTATTTATTTGTTGTAGAGATAGGGTCTTGCTCTGTTGCTCAGGCTGGAGTTCAGTGGTGCAATCATGGCTCACCGAATCCTCAAACTCCTGGGTTCAAGCAATCCTCCTACCTCAGTCTCCTGAGTAGCTGGGACTACAGGTGTGTGCCATCATGCCCTGTTCATTTTTAATTTTTTTGTAGAGATGGGGTCTCACTTTGTTGCCCAGACTGGTCTTGAACCCCTGGACTCAAGTGATCCTCCTGCCTGGACCTCCCAAAGTGCTGGGATTACAAGTGTGAGCCACTGCACCTGGCAACACTGGGACAATTTGGACACACCAATTCCCCTAATGTGCACAGCTTTGGAATGTGGGAGAAAACTGGAGTCCCTGAGAAAACCCACGCAGATGTAGGGAGAATGTGCTGACACCACACAGACTGCAGCTCTGGCCAGGAATCGATTTTTTCTCATCAATATTATAACAAAATGATGTCGAATGAAATGATGTTCTTCAAGGATCTGCTGTATAAAATCATTAGTATTTGCATATTACCTACACATATCTGCCCATATACTTTAAGTCATCTCTAAATTACTTGTAATTCCTAATACTACATAACTGCTATGTAAATAGTTATACTGTATTGTTTAGGGAATAATGACAGGAAAAAAAGTCTACATGTTTAGTAAAGATGCAGCCATCCATTTTTTTCTTCATCTTTTAAAAAATATCTTCAATCTGTGGTTAGTTGAATCCATGGATGCATACCCCATAAATATGGAGGGTTGACTGTATTTTTTGTCTCTCTTTGCTTCCAGGCCTCAGTGCTGTCAGGGACTGTCTTCCAGGACAAGTGCTTTGATACAGCTGATCTACAGGGTTCCCTAGTTGTATTTATCTGTTCTCACATTGCTATAAAAGAATACCTGGGACTGGGTAATTTATAAAGAAAAGAGGTTTAATTGGCTCAGAGTTCCACAGGCTATACAGGAAGCATGATGCTGGCATCTGCTTGGCTTCTGGGCAGGCCTTGAGAAATTTACAATCATGGCAGAAGTAAAGGAGGAGCAGGCACATCTTACCTGGCAGAGCAGTAGCAAGACAGAGCGAGAGAGGAGGTGCCATAAAACCAGATCTTGGGAGAACTCACTATTGAGAGAACAGCACCAAGAGGATGGCGCTAAACCATCATGAAGAACCAGCTCCCATGATCAAATTGCCTCCTACCAGGCCCCACTTCCAACATTGGGGATTACAACTGGACATGGGATTTGGGTGGGGACACAGATCTAAACCATACCATTCTGCCCTCAGCCCTTCCCAAATCTCATGTCCTTCTCACATTGCAAAATACAATCATCCCTTCTCAACAGTCCCCCAGTCTTAACTCATTTCAGCATTAGCTCAAAAGTCCAAAGTCCAAAGTCTCATCTGAGACAAGGCTAGTCCCACTTATGAGCCTGTAAAATAAAAAAACAAGTTAGTTACTCTTAAGATACAATGGGGGTATTGGCATTGGGTAAATACTCCCATTCCAAAAGGAAGAAATTAGCCAAAAGAAAGAGGCTACAGACCCCACACAAGTTTGAAACCCAGAAGGGCAGTCATTACATCTTAAAGCTCCCAAATAATCTCCTTTGACTCCATGTCCCACATCCAGGCCACACTGATGCCTTTCTGCCTGTGTGACTTTGCAGTGTTCAGCCCCCAGTGACTGCTCTCACAGACTGGTGTTGAATGTCTGCAGCTTTTCCAGGCACACGGTGCGAACTGTTGGTGGATCTACTATTCTGGGGTCTGGAGGAGGGTGGCCCACTTCTCACAGCTCCACTAGGCAGTGCCCCAGTGAGGACTCTGTGTGGGAGCTCCAACCCCACATTTCACCTCTACACTGCCCTAGTAGAGGCTCCCCGTGAGGGCTCTGTCCCTGAAGCAGGCTTCTGCCTGGACATCTTGGCTTTTCCATACATCCTCTGAAATCTAGGCAGAGACTCCCAAGCCTCAACTCTTTCACTCTGTGCACCTGCAGGCCTAACACCATGTGGAAGCCACCAAGGCTTATGGCTTGCACCATCTGAAGCAGAGGCCTGAGTTCTGGGCCCCTTTGAGCCATGGCTGGAGCTGGAGTGGCCAGGATGCAGGGAGCAGTGTTCAGAGGCTGTGCAGGGCAGTGGAGCCCTGGGCCTGTCCCACAAAACCATTCTTCCCTTCTAGGACTCTGGGCCTATAATAGGAGGGGCTGCTGTGAAGGTCTCTGAAATGCCTTCAAGGGCTTCTCCCCATTGTCTTGTCTATTAGCACTTGGCTCCTTTTTACTTATGCACACTTCTTCAGCCTGCTTGAATTTTTCCCTGGAAAAATGGGCCTTCTTTTCTACCACATGAGCAGGCTGCAAATGGTTCCAAACATTTACGCTTTGCTTCCCTTTTAAATACAAGTTCCAACTATAGGCCATTTCTTTGTTCATGTATATGTGATAGGTTGTTAGAAGCAGCCAGGCCACATCTTGAACATTTTGCTGCTTAGAAATTTCTTCTGCCAGATACCCTAAATCATCACTCTCATGTTCAAAGTTCCACAGATCCCTAGGGCAGGAGCACAAGGCAGCCAAGTTCTTTGCTAAGGCATAGCAAAAGTGATCTTTGCTCCAATTCCCAATAAGTTCCTCATTTCCATCTGAGATCTCCTCAGCCTGGACTTCACTGTCCATATCACTATCAGTATTTTGGTCACAACCATTTAACCAGTCTGTAGGAAGTTCCACACTTTCTCTCATCTTCCTATCTTCTTCTGAGCCCTCCAAACTATTCCAGTCTCTGCCCATTACCCAGTTCCCCAGTCACTTTCACATTTTTAGGTATCAGTATAGCAATGCCCCACTCCCAGTACCAATTTTCTGTATTAGGCTGTTCTCACATTGCCATAAATAAATACCTCAGGCAGGGCACTGTGGTTCATGCCTGTAATCCCAGCACTTTGGGAGGCTGAGGCGGGCAGATCATTTGAGGTCAGGAATTTGAGATCAGCTTGGCCAACATGGTGAAGACCTGTCTCTACTAAAAATACAAAAATAAAAATTAGCTGGGTGTGGGTAAATGCATCTGTAATTCAAGCTACTCAGGAGGCTGAGGCACAAGAGTCACTGAACCCAGGAGGCGGAGGTTGCAGTGAGCAACATTGCACCACTGCACTCCAGTCTGGGTGACAGAATGAGACTCTTGTCTCCAAAAAAAAAAAAAAAAAAAAGAAATACCTCAGGCTGGGTAATTTATAAAGAAAAGAGGTTTAATTGGCTCATGATTCTACAGGCTGTACAAGAAGCATGACACTGGCATCTGCTTGGCTTCTGGGGATGCCTCAGGAAACTTACAATCATGGCAGAAGGTGAAGAGGGAGCAGGAATGTCTTACATGGAAGAGCAGAAGAGAGAAGAAGTGAGGAGGTGCCACACGTTTTCAAACAGCCAGCTCTCAGGAGATTCACTCAGTATCATGAGAATAGCACCAAATGGATGGCGCTAAGCCATCAGGAGTAACCCACCTCCATGATCCAATCACCTCCCACCAGGCCCCACCTCCAGCAATGGGGATTACAACTGAACATGAGATTTGGGTGGGGACGCAGATCCAAACCATATCATTAGTGGAGTGAGATGTTGCTGGAAAAGTTGGCAGGGACCAAGTCCTGAAGGACTCTCTTTGTTTTGGATTTTATTCTGGAGAGTGTAGGGATTCATGAAAGGGTTTTAAGTAAGGGGATGTGATGACTGGGTTTATGTTTTGTAAAGATCACTCTGCAAGCATTGTGGAGGAAGGATGGGAGGAAGAAAATGTCAAAGTTGGGGAGTCCATTTACAAATTAACTGTCCCAGACCAGGCATGAAATGACAAATATTGAGTTAAATCAATTCCAGTGTATACAGAGAGAAAGGAATGGATTTCAAGCACCACTGCCCTTCTCATACTGAAAGGTATCAGTGGAGGCCTAATGAGGTGCAGGAACTCTCACCCCAACACAGTAGAGACATGGAGCACCCCAGCTTGGTGTCAAAGGAGGCTGAGTGGGTATCTGGACCTTTATCCACATTTGGCAGTAACAAGGCAGCAGTGCTCCCTTCTCCTGCTGGAGTAGTATCACACACACATAAGAAAACCAGCCAAAAAGAAGGTTAAGATATAGAGTCTCATAACACAATACGCAAATATCTCAGATTCCATTGAAAATGAGTGCCATGTCAAGAGCTAGTAAATCTCAAACTGAATGAAAAAAAAATACAATCAACAGATGCAAATACCAAGATGACAGAGATGTTAGAACTATTTGAAAAAGATAAAAATGCTTCAGTGAAAAATTATGAACATGCTTGAAGTAAGTGAAAAAATTGAAAGTCTCAGCAAAGAAATAGAAGAATGAAATAGAAATTTTTAGAAATTAAAAATACAATAAGTAAAATAAAATATCCAGCAGATGAGCTTAATTTGCTGAGGTGACAGAGGAATGAATCAGATAATTTGAAGATAGAACAATAGAAATTGAGCAATAGAGAAAAATAGACTTAAAAGGAATGAACAGAGCTTCAGGGACCTGTGGGTCTATAATGAAAGGTCTAACATTCATGTAATTGAAGATCCAAAGAAAAAGAGAAAGAAGGGACTTCCTTGTAAAAGTACTCAAATAATAATACCAGAAAAATTCCCAAATATGGTAAAATACATAAACCTACAGATTTAAGATGCTGAGTATATTCCAAACAGGATAAACCCAGAGAAATCTACAACATTAACATAGTCAATCTTCTGAAAACAAAAGACAAAGAAAAAATATTAAAAGCAGAGCAAGAGAAACAACACCTTAAGTATAAGGGAAAAAAGTATAAATGTCAGTTAATTTCTCCTCAGAAACCACAAAGGCCAGAAGGAAATGGCAAAACAGTTTTCATGTGCTAGAAGACTATCAACCCAGAATTTTATACCCAGAGAATATATCCTTCATGAATAAAGAAGCCACAGCATTCTCAGATGAAGAAAACTATGAGAATCTGTTGGCAGACCACCCTAAGAGAATGACTAAGTGAAGTCCTCTAAGCAGAAAGGAAACAATAAAAGAAGGAATCTTGGAATACCAGAAAAGGAAAACATGGAAGTCAAAATACAGGTGAATACAGAACACCTTCCAAAACTCCTACTGAGTTTTCTAGATTATATTTAGTAGTTGAAGCAAAAATTATAACACTGTCTGGTATTGTTCTAAATGTATAAGGAGAAAGTAGTTAACATAAATAAATCTGGGAGGATAAAGGGAGGTAAAGAAAGGTAAAGCTTCTATACTTGAACTGGTAAAATGACACTTGTAACTATGATAAAATTTTGTATATATGTGTGTTTGTGTATACACATATAATTTCATATTATATATAACTATATTCTATATATAAATTCATATTTTATAAAATTATACAATAAAATATGTTATATTAGAAATCATTTATTATATATCTAAATTATAACACATTATTTAAATAATAAAATATGTTATATTTTATATTTCTGTAAAATGTAAAATTATATAAATATAATTTATAATTATATAAAGTATATTTATATAATATACTATAGATTAAATATTTATAATTCAATATTTATAATTTAATTATAGACTAAATATTTTATAATATACTATAGATTAAATATTTATAATTCAATATTTATAATTTAACTATAGACTATATATTTTATAATATATTATAGATTAAATATTTTATGTTTCTAAAATAGTTTTTTTTTGAGACAAGGTCTCATTCTGTTGCCCAGGCTGGAGTGCAGTGGTGCGATCTTGGCTCACTGCAACCTCCACCTCCCAGACTCAAGCGATTTTCCTATCTTAGCCTCCCAAATAACTGATATAGTTTACCACAAGGTAAACTATAAGGTATTACCACAAGGATCCCTCCTCTTGCTCCTTTATGGCCACACCCATTTCCCTCCAGCTGCACACCTCCCACCTCCTTAACCTGTGGTAACCACTAATCTGTTCTCCATTTTTAAACCTTCTTTTTGGCTGCTTTGTGTGTGTATGTGTGTGTGTGTGACACTACCCCAGCAGTAGAAGGGGGCACTGCCTTGTGACTAACAGATGGGGTAAAGGTGAGCCTCCTCTGACACCAAGGTAGGGTGCTCTGTATCTCTACTGTGTGGGGGTGAGAGTTCCAGCAACCCACTAGGCCTCCACTGACACCACCATGCTCAGCTAAATTTTGAATTTTTTGTAGAAATGGGGTTTTGTCATGTTACCCAGGCTGGTCTCAAACTCCAGGGCTCAAGTGATCTACTCACCTTAGCATCCCATAGTGCTGGGACTATAGGCATGAGCCACAGTATCAATATCCTGACTGTGATATTGTACTATATATAGTTTTACAATACAATATTGTATTATTATATTATATTGCATTATATTATAAAATGGTATTGTAATAATATAATATAATATAATATAATATTTCATGCCCAGCCGAGAACCCAGAAATATTTTTTTAACTTCATTTACATATATGTACATTTTTTATAGAGACAAGGTCTCACTATGTTGCCCAGACTGGTCATGAACTCATGGGCTCAAGGTATCTTCTCGTCTCAGCCTGCCAAAGTGCTAGGATTACAAGTGTGAGCCACCGCGTCTTGCTGAGAACCCAAAAATAGAGCCACACAAATATCCCCAACATATATTTTACAAAAGTGCAAAAACAATTCAATGAAGGAAAGCTAGCCTTTTGAACAAATGGTCCTGGAATATTTGGACACCCATAGGCACAAACACTAACAATAATGAACTTGGACCTAAATCTCACACCTTATAAAGAATTAACCCGGCCTGGTGCAGTGGCTCACGCCTGTAATCCCAACACTTTGGGAGGCCGAGGCGGGTGGATCACTTGAGGTCAGGAGTTCAAGACCAGCCTGACCAATATGATGTAACTCCGTCTCTACTAAAAATACAAACATTAGCCAGGCGTGGTGGCATGTGCCTGTAATCCCAGCTACTCGGGAGGCTGAGACAGGAGAATCACTTGAACCCGGGAGGTGGAGGTTGCAGTGTGCCAAGATCGCACCATTGCTCTCCAGCCTGGGCAACAAGAGTGAAACTCCATCTCAAAAAAAAAGAAAGAAAGAAAGAAAAAAAAAGAAAGAAGGAAGGAAGGAGGGGAAGGAAGGGAAAAAAAAGAAAGAAAAAATAAAGATTAATCCAAATGGATAATGGATGTAAATGTAACACGTAAAACTATAAAATTTTAGCAAGAATTCTAGCAGAAATTCATTCTTCGGGACCTAGGAGTAGGAAAAGAATCATTGGACTTGACATTAAATGCACAATTCATAAAAGGAAAACCTGGCAAATTGGACTTTATCAAAATTAAAAACTTCCTCTGTGATAGATGCTGTTAATAGGATGAAAAGATGAGCTACATACCAGGTGAATATATTTGCAAACCATATACCTGATAAAGAATTTCTTTCTTTCTTTCTTTTGATGCAGAGTCTCGCTCTGTTGCCCAGGTTGGAGTGCGGTGGCACCATCCAGGCTCCCTGCACCCTCTGCCTCCTGGGTTCAAGCAATTCTCCAGCCTCCGCCTCCCAAGTAGCTGGGATTACCGGCACACACCACCACACCCATCTAATTTTTGTAGTTTTAGTAGAGACGGGGTTCACTGTGTTGGCCAGGCTGGTCTCGAACTCCTGGCCTCAAGCAATCCACCTCCCTTGGCCTCCCAAAGTGCTGGGATTACAGGTATAAGCCACTGTACCTGGCCAGTATTTCTTTTCCATTCCTTGCCTTTTTCTTGCTTCCTTCCTTCCTTTCTCCCTCCCTTCCTCCTTCCCTCCCTTCTTTCTCTCTCTTTTCCATCCCTTGCTCTCTCCTTTCTTTTCTCTTTTTTCTTTCTTTTCTTTCTTTCTTTCCTCTATTCCTTCCTTCCTCCCTCCCTCCCTTCTTCCCTCCCTTCTTTCTTTTTCTTTTCCATCCCTCACTCTCATTTTTCTTTTCTTTTTTCTTTTCTCCTTTCCTTTTCTTTCTCTCTTTCCTTCCTTCCTTCCTTCCCTCTTTCTTTCTTTCTTCCTTTCTTTCCTCTATTCCTTCCTTCCTTCCTTCCTTCCTTTCCTCCTCTCTCTTTCTTTCTTTCAACAGAGTTTTACTCTGTTACCCAGGCTGGAGTGCAGTGGTGCCATCACAGCTCACTGCAGCCTTGACCTCCTGGGCTCAGGTGATTCTCCCACCTCAGCTTCTGAGGTAGCTAGGACTACAGGCAAGCATCACCACACCCAGCTAATTAAAAATTTTTTTTTTCTTTTTTTTGGGTAGCAACAGGGTCTCCCTATGTTGCCCAGGCTGGTCTCTAACTCTTGGGCTCAAGTGATCCTCACACCTTGGTTCCCCAAAGTGCTGGAATTAGAGGCATGAGCCACTGCTCCCAGCCCCGGATTTTTTTCTTAAATATATGAAGCAGGCTCAAAAATCTATAGTAAGAAACCCACACACAATCCAATTAGAAAATGGCCAAAGACATGAACAGACATTTCACCAAAGAGGATATACAGATGGCAAATGCACACATGAAAAGATATTCAGCATCATTAGCCATTAAGGAAATGCAAATTCAGTTCACAATGACATATCACTACGCACTTAACAATGACTAAAATAAAAAACCTTGACAACACCACATACTGTGGAGGATGCAGAGAAACAGGTTTACTCATATATCACTGGGAGAAAACAGCTTGTCAGTTTCTTAAAAAAACTGAATCTGGATATGACCCAGCAATTTTACTCCTGGGCATTTATCCCAGATAAATAAAAAGTTACATTCACAAAAAAACCTGTACATAAATGTTTATAACAGTTTCTTAGTAATAGCCAAAACCTGCAAACAACCCTGATGTATTGTTATGGATGAATGGTTAAACAATGTATGTCCACACCATGGAATACGATCTGCTATGGCTTAAATGTTTGTGCCTCTCCAAAATTCATGTTGAAGCTTAATCCCCAATGCAATCGCTTTAAGAGGTGAAGCCTTTAGGAGGTGATTAGTCAAGAGGGCTTTGCCCTCATGAATAGGATTAGTGCCTTTATAAAAGGGATTGAGGGAGTCTGATCCTTTTCGGCTTTTGCCCTTCTGTCATGTGAGGACCCAAGCATTCAACCCTTCTGCCATGTGAAAATACAGCAGTGAGAAGGAGCCATGTTGGAAGCAGAGAGAAGCCCTTACCAGACCCAAATCTGCTAGTGCCTTAATTTTGGACTTCCCAGTCTCGAGAACTGTGAGCAATACATTTCTATTATTTATAAATTACCTAGGCTAAGGTATTTTGTTATAGCAGCAGGAATGGATGGAGACAGTATTTAACAATCAAAAGGAATAAACTGCTGATGAATACAGCAACCTGGATGGATATCCAGAAATTTATGCTGAGTGAGAAAAAGCCAATCCCAAAAGGTTGCATATTTTGTGATGCTATATAAAACGTTCTTGAAATAATAAAATTATAAAAAGGAGCCCGGCTTGGTGGCTCACACCTATAATCCCAGCACTTTGGGAGGGCGAGGCGGGCAGATTGCTTGAGCCTAGGAGTTCAAGACCAGCCTGGGCAACATGGCAAAACCCCATCTCCACAAAATATACTGGTGGCATGCCTGTAGTCCTAGTTACTTGGGGGGCTGAGGTGGGAGGATGGCGTGAGCCTGAGAGGTCAAGGCTGCAGTGAGCCGAGATTGCGCCACTGCAGTCCGGCCTGGATGATAAAGACCCTCTCTCAAAAAAAAAAAATTATAGAAATGGAGAACAGATTACTGGTTACCAGAGGTTAAGGAGGTGAGAGTTATGGAGTGGCAGGGAAGTGGGTATGGCCATAAAGCAGCAAGAGGAGGGTAGTGGAAATGCTCTGTATCTTGACTGTATCAGTGTCAATATCCTGACTGTGATATAGAACTATATATAGTTTTACAATATAATACTGTATTATGATATAATACAGTATTATATTGTGTCATTATATTATATTGTATTATATTATAAAATTGTAATATAATGTTCCTTCCTTGGAGGAAACTGGGTAAAAAGTACATGGGATCTCTTTATATTATTTCTTACAACTGCATGTACATCTATAATTATCTCAAAATAAAATTTGGGCCAGGTGTGGTGGCTCATGTCTGTGGGAGGATCAGTTGAAGCCAGGAGTTCGAGACCAGCCTGGGCAATGTAGCAAGACCCCATCTCTAGAAAAATAAATGAATAAACAAAACAATTTTAATGAAAATATTATAAAGCAAACAACCGTGTAAACACCTGCCAATTAAGAAAAAAGAACTTGCCCAGGGCTGGTCGTGGTGGCTCATTCCTGTAATCCCAGCACTTTGGGAGGCTGAGGCAGGAGAATTGCTTAAGCCTGGGAGTTTGAGACCAGCTTGGGCAACAGAGTAAGACCCTGTCTCTACATAAAATAAAATAAACGTAAAACAAAATAAAGTAAAATAGATGAATAAAGTAAAATAAAAATAAAATAAAATAAAATAATAGCTAGGCTAGGTTTATGCCTGTGGTCCCAGCTTCTCAGGAGGCTGAGGTGGGAGGACAGCTTGAGCCCAGGAAGTCAAGGCTGCAGTGAGCTATGATCACACCACTGCACCCCAGCTTGGGTGACAAAGCAAGACCCTGCCTCAAAAACAAAAACAAAACAAAACTTGGCCAGCACTTCAGAAAAACAAAAAACAAAAAAACTTGGCCAGCACTTCAGAAGCTGCTACATGTCTCTTCCTATTCAAAATTACTTCCCCTAAATGTAACCACTATGTTGACTTTTTTTGTTTGTTTGTTTGAAACAGGGTTTTACTCTGTCACCCAGGCTGGAGCCCAGTGGTGCAGTGGCGATTATGGCTTACTGCAGCCTCAACATTCTGGGCTCAAGCAATCCTCCCACCTCAGCCTCCTGAGTAGCTGGGACTACAGGCATGCACCACACGCCTGGCTAATTTTATTGTTTTTTAGAGATGCGGTCTCACCCTGTTACCCAGGCTGGTCTGGAACCCCTGGACTCCAGCAATCCACCTGCCTCAGACTCCCAAAGTGCTGGGATTATAGGCATGAACCGCTGTGCCTGGCCCTTTTCTGAATTTTCACGGCAATAACTTTCTTGCTTTTGTTTATAGTCTTACCACTATCTCAAAAAAAAAAAAAAAAAAAGAACCTCTGTTCTATACACTCTTTTTTTTGTTTGTTTTTGAGATGGAGTCTCGCTCTGCCACCCAGGCTGGAGTGCAGTGGTGTGATCTCAGCTTACTGCAAGCTCCGCCTCCTGGGTTCATGCCATTCTCCTGCCTCAGCCTCCCGAGTAACTGGGACTACAGGCACATGCCATAGTCCCCGGCTAATTTTTTGTATTTTTAGTAGAGACGGGGTTTCACCGTGTCAGCCAGGATGGTCTCGATCTCCTGACCTTGTGATCCGCCCGCCTTGGCCTCCCAAAGTGCTGGGATTACAGGCGTGAGCCACCGTGCCTGGCCCGTTCTATACACTTTGAAGATGAAACGTTTTCCTCTAAAACTGCTTCAGTTACATCCCCAACCAGGTTTGATATGAAGTATTTTCCTTATCATTCTGTTAACAATGTTCTATAAGATCACTATGATTTCATTTTTGACTCCCACACGTAGGGAGTAGCTTTTATGTTGTTGTTTGGTTATTGATTTCTAGTTTAACTGCAGTGCGGTGAGGGAACAAATCTAAATCATTACCATCCTTTGAAATTTGCTGAGACTACTTCACAGGCAGTATATGGTCAATTTTTAAGGAGTTGTCAGAGTGAAAACTCAGTGGCAGTGTTTGTCATATTAAAAATATAGAAGCTACAGTTGTTCAGATGACTAAATTGGAACTTTTCTCCTGCATGTGTCTATATGTCAAATTGTCAGCATGACAAAAGTGACTGATGTGGCCGGGTGCCGGTGGCTCACGCCTGTAATCCCAGCACTTTGGGAGGCCGAGGTGGGTGGATCACTTGAGGTCAGGAGATCAAGACCAGCCTGTCAACATGGCGAAACCCCGTTTCGCTAAAAATACAAAAATTAGCCAGTCATGGTAGTGCAAGCCTGTAATCCCGGTTACTTGGGATGCTGAGGCAGCAGAATCGCTTGAACCCAAGAGGCGGAGGTTACAGTGAGCTGAGATCGTGCCACTGTACTCCAGCCTGGGCAACAGAGCAAGACTCCATCTCAAAAAAAAAAAAAAAAAAAAGACCGATGTTATTTTTGTATTTTTAAAAACCAATTTGTTGTATATAAAATTTCACAGATTGTGCAGATCACTTTTAAACTCACATAGGTCGGTGTCTTTACAGTGGTAAACTATGAAATGTCAGCGTTCAGCCAGATGGTATGATGGAGCAGCAGAAGTCAGAATTCAGTGAGGGGACACTGAAGGAACAGATAATGCTCCTGCTTTGCCTTGAAGTGTCATCAATTTGTAATTTCAGGGTTAACTGCAGAAGTGTCTGTAAGTACATTTTATATTAAGGACAGACCAAAAACCAACACATCAAAGCTTCAAAAACTTTGGGAAAGGGTGAGATTAAGAACAAGCACATTTGGCTTATAGTAAATGAACTGATTTTTATTAACTGCTTTTGTCCATATAAAATGCTGATATTTACTGGAAACCTAGCCACCTTCATAATTATGATAAAAGTGCCAGGTTATAATCCAGAAGATAATATGCAGGCAATAGCAGATATCTCTGACAAAGTATGTCTCAAAACTGATTATATATATATATATACACACACACACACGTATATATTTTTATTTATTTTTTGAGACAGGGTCTTGCTGTGTTGCCCAGGCTGGAGGGCAGTGCCATAATCTCAGCTCACTGCAACCTCCACCTCCTGAGTTTAAGTGATTCTCGTGCCTCAGCCTCCTGAGTAGCTGGGATTACAGGCATGCGCCACCACGCCCAGCTAACTTGTGTTTTTAGTAGAGATGGGGCTTCACCATGTTGTCCAGGCTGGTCTGGAACTCCCGACCTCAAGTGATCCACCTACCTCGGCCTCCCAAAGTGCTGAGATTACAGGCATGCGCCACCGTGCCTGGGTGCATTTATTTTTTAAACATTAGAGGCAGGGTCTTGCTATGTTGCCCAGGCTGATTTTGAACTCCTGGGCTCAAGCGATCCTCCTTTCTCAGCCTTCCAGGTAGCTGGGACTACAGTACAAATTTAATTAATTAATTAATTATTTGTATAGAGTCGAGGTCTCTCTATGTTGCCCAGGCTGGTCTTGAACTCCTGGGCTCAAGGGACCCTCCTACCTTGGTCTCCAAAAGTGCTGGGATTGCAAGTGTGAGCCACTGTGCCCGGCCTACAGTACAAATTTTAAATGGTTGTATCTTCCTGGTTAATTGACCTTTTATTATTATAAAGTGACTATCATTATCTCTGGTATTGGTTTTTGCCCTAAAGTCAATTTGATCTGATATCATTATGGTCAAACCAACTATCCTATTGCTAATATTTGCTTAGTACTGTATATCTACTTAGAACTCTACAGGACATTCTTTTTCTTGTTTAATACATTTGGAGTTACCCACTTATTGTTACCTATTTTACCTTTATTTTTTTTCTCCCAACTCGGACCCTTCATATGGGATCATTTTCCTTTTGCCAGAAATGCTTCTTTTATAATTTCCTATAGTGGATTTTGATCCTGGCAAACTCTCTTAGCTTTTATTTGTCTAAAAATATTTCCATTTTTCTCTCATTCTTAATAGACATTTTTTTAATTGACATAGAATTCAATATATTTGTTTTTCTTTAGCTTCACTATTTCACTTTTTATTTATATTTCTTAGGTTTTCTTCTTTTTCTTTTCTTTCTTTCTTTTTTTTTTGTTTGTTTAGAGACAAGGTCTCACTCTGTTGCTTAGGCTGGAGTGCAGTGGCTCAATCATAGCTCATCGCAGTCTTGAATTTCTGGGCTCAGGCAATTCTCCTGCCTTAGTCTCCTGGGTAGCTAGGACGGCAGGTGTGTGTCATCATGCCTGGCTAATATTTAAAAATATTTTATGTAGAGATGGGGTCTCACTATGTTGCCCAGGCTGGTCTTGAACTTTTGTCCTCAACAGATCATCTTGCCTCAGCCTCCCAAAGTGTGATTACAGGCATGAGCCATCACACCCAGCCTACATAACTAATACACATTATTTACTTGAATCTTATTTCTTCCTAGTAGGGTTCAGCTTCACTCACCTTGGTTACATGGATGTCATCACCTGAATGCTTTGTATCAACAATTGTTTTAAACATGAAAAGCAGTTGTAGTAAAATTAAAACCTTGCATTTCATTCCCAGATGTTCTATTAACTTAAGTTGTAGGGATAGCGGGGGTGCACCAAGATTCTAATGGGTTTAATATAATCAAAACACTTGTTCACTGTATGTTTATTGAGTTTCTCATTTAAATCAATCAATGGATTAATGCTTACATAATATTGCCATAAAATTTAGACTGCTAAATGACATGTTGATATTGATCCATTGATTGATTTAAATGAGAAACTCAATAAACGTACAGTGAACAAGTATTTTCCGTTGTCATCCTGTCCAGGCACAGTGGCTCACCCCTGTAATCTCAGCACTTTGGGAGGCCACAGCAGGAGGATCTCTTGAGCTCAAGAGTTCAAGACCAGCCTGGGCAACATAGGGAGACTTTGTCTCTACAAAAAAATTTTTAAAAAGTTGTCATCCTTTTAGTAGCCTGTCTATGAATGATAAGAATTTATATTCAGTAACTGTTTCAATATGTGACACAGCAGGAAGGCTGCCATCTGCAAGCCAGGAAGAGAGAACTCACCAGAAACCAAATCAGCTGGCATCTTGATTTGGACTTCCCTGCCTCCAGAACTGTTAGCAATAAATGTTGATTGTTTAAGCTACCCAGTGTATGGTATTTAGTTATGGCAGCCCAAGGAGACCAATATGTGTGAAATTTTTCATATTTAACTGAAGATTTAACTGTTAACTTGAGAATATTTTACTTAAGGAAAAGAAAAAAGAAAAACAAAGAACAAAAAACAAACAACTCCCCAGAGAGACTCTATGGAAATGTTGCAACTTCTAAAAAGGAGTTTAATTCACATATACAGTATATGGGATTCTTTATAAGATTATCATATTTCAATTTATCTGTGGATATGATGGCTCATAGGTTAGTCTGTGTTTAAAGGGTTTTCCATAATAAAACATATTTTCATTTTTATACCAACAAGAATAATTTCACATCCTGTAGGTCTCCAGTTAAAAAATGATTGTTATTTTCTTATACTACAATTTTTATCATTGAGTCTAACAATATGTAGGAAGCACTCTAAGAATAAAAATAAACACAATCATAGATGGTTAGAGTGGAAGCAAACCCCAGAAGTCATGAAACCCAAGCCTCTAACTTTACTGATGAGGAAAATGAAGTTCAGAGAGGCTTAGGGCTTGCTTATGGTTCTCATAGCTGGCAAGAAAAAAGATGAAGCTTAAAAGTGGGGCTCTGGGCCCCTAGTTCAATGTCCTTTCTACCACACTAAGCTGCCTCTTCGACAAGGTTTACAGCTTTTCCTCTTCAAATGACCAAGACAATACTTTAAAAGAAGCCATTTCATTAAGAGTACATTATAGTATATACATATTATAATACCTTTAGGAGGGTTAAATATATTTTGTTAAGTTTTTAAAAGCCATACTTTGTTACTGATTGTTAATATGGTAAATTAATAGAGCAGATGTCAAATCTTTATTTTAAAAGTTTAAAAAAACACTTTTGTATCATCCACATGCAGTTTAGCAACAGATATACATTTTTAAGCAAATTTTAGATACAATATGACAATTTTACCATCGACCAAATGTTTGACATTGGGATTCTACTTGTACTAGATAAGTTAGAAACTTCAGAAATATCCCAGGATATACAATATGTAATTGAAAATAAACTTACAGGACTCCAAGCATGGAATAGTACTTGGGTAGCCTTTACTTTATCTTCTGTCTTTATAACAGAGATTGACAACTAATGGAATACATGCTTAAAAGACTCACAAGCCAGGTGCGGTGGCTCACGTCTGTAATCCCAGCACTTTGGGAGGCTGAGGCGGGCAGATCATGAGGTCAGGAGATCGAGACCATCCTGGCTAACACGGTGAAACCCCATCTTTACTAAAAATACAAAAAAAATAGCCAGGCGTGGTGGCGTGCGCCTGTTGCCCCAGCTACTCGGGAGGCTGAGGCAGGAGAATGGAGTGAACCCGGGAGGCGGAGCTTGCAGTGAGCCCAGATCGTGCCACTGCACTCCAGCCTGGGCGACAGAGCCAGACTCCGTCTCAAAAAAAACAAACAACAACAACAACAACAAAAGACTCACAAGCTAACAATCTACATGGCATGGCCAGTGCTGTTGCAGGCCAAATTGTCAAGTGTCCAAGTTATTCTTCATCCCTTTCAAAATTTCTCCATCTTCTTTCTCAGTCTCTTTCTTAAATCTTGTCATATATATCCTTCGGTCACATCCAATTACCAAACAAAGAGAGATTACATGTGCACTATGTCTCCCACATAAAAATAAGTAAGACTGCATGAAAATTGGGCATGTTATCTCTGAAATGTCTGCAACAATTTCTGTAGAGAGAATTGGGCAAACCATTCAGAATACATTGAGGACCCTTCTGTATTATAGATTGCCAGCTCAATGGAAATATCTCTGCCTATCCTCCCAATTTTTTAAGTGGGCAGTTAGTCAAAATGCATACCTGCTTTTGTCTCTCACTCCATCCAGAGCTCAGGGTTAGGTCTTCACTGCCCTGTGTCCTCTACTCCAGGAGGTCTAGGTGATTCTGCCACAGCCTCAGCCTCCACCGCTCTGCGAACTGCTGGTTTTGGAAGATTCATAGCTAAGACTCCAGGGCACCCCTGAAGCCAAGAAATGGTGTCACTATCTCCAAGCCAGACCTGATCACCTGTCTGTAGCAAGAGAAAGAGCCCTGCAATGTGAAGAGACATGAGACAGTAGCCAAATACCCAGCCAAGGACCAAGATGGCTGACTCGAAGCAGCTGCGGTTCGAGGCTCCCACTGAGATGAACGAAAACGGTGAATGAATCCTACACTGGCAACTAAGGTATCCAGAATCTCTCATTGGGAATGACTAGGTGGTTGGCATGATCCACAGAAAGCGAGGAAAGGTAGGGTTGAGTGACAGCCCACCCGGGAGCCACATGGAGCAAGAGCAGCTCCCACCCCCAGCCAGGGGAGGTGGTGAGTGATTGTGCTACCTTGCCTGGGAAACCATGCTTTTCCCACAGATCTGTGCAACCCACAGATCAGGAGATCCCCTTGTGAGCCCACACCACCAGAGCCTTGGGTTGCAAGTACAGAGCTGCGTAGGTTCTTGTCAGCCGCTAAGATTACCAAGTTCCCAGGGGAAGGGGCAGCTGGCATTACTGCAGCTCCAGTCTGCTGTTTTCCCCTGCTGGTGCTGGGGAGACTGGGCGGTTTGGACCCAGGGGCAATTCCCCACAGCGCAGCACAGTGGCTGTGGAAGATCGTGGCCAGACTGCCTCTTTAGGCCAGACCTGGACCCATATCTTCTCACTGGGCAGGGCCTCCCTGTGGGAGCTTCAGCAATTCCAGCCAGGGTTTTATGGACAGAACTTTGATCTCCCTGGGATGGAACCCCTGGGGGGAGGGGCAGCCACAGTCTCTGCAGATCAGCAGACTTAGTCTTTCCCCCTGCTGGCTCTGTGGAATCTGGGCAGTCTGGGAGTGGGATAACCCCCAGCACTGTGCACCCTCTCTGCTAAGTGGCAGCTAGAGTGCTTGGTTAAGCAAGTCCCTGATCTCTTGCTTTCTGACTGGGTGAGACCTGCCCCCCATCCCAGCAGGGGTCATCAGACATTATACAGGAGCGTTTCTGCTAGCATCAGGTGAGTGCCCCTCTGGGACAGAGATCCCAGAGGAAGGAACAGGCATCCATCTTTGCTGTTCTGCAGCCTCCACTGGTGACACATCCAGGGGTGGGAAGAACCCAGAGGAATAAGGTCTAGAGTGGACCCCCAGCAAACTGCAGCAGCCCTGTGGAAGAGGGACCTGACTGTTAAAAGAAAAACGAACAAAGCAACAACAACAACAGCATCAACAAAAATGTCCCCACAAAAACTCCATCCAAAGGTCAGCAGCGTCAAAGACCAAAGCCAGATAAAATCAGGAAGATGAGAAAGAATCAATACAAAAATGCTGAAAACTCAAAAAGCCAGAAAGCCTCTTCTCCTCCAAATGATTGCAACACCTCTCCAGCAATGGCACAGAACTGGCCTGAGGCTGAGATGGATGAACTGACAGAAGTAGCCTTCAGAAGGTAGGTAATAACAAACTTTGCTGAGCTAAAGAAGCATGTTCTAACCCAATGCAAAGAAGCTAAGAACTATGAGAAAACATTACAGTAGCTGTTAACCAGAAGAACCAGTTTAGAGAGGAACATAAATGACCAGATGGAGCTGAAAAACACAATACAAGAACTTCACAATGCAACCGCAAGTATCAATAGCCAAACAGACCAAGCAGAAGAAAGAATTTCAGAGCTTGAAGACTGTCTTGCTGAAATAAGACAAGCAGACAAGATTAGAGGGGGAAAAAAATGAAAAGGAATGACCAAAACCTCTGAGAACTATGAGATTATGTAGAAAGACTGAACCTACGACTGATTGGGGCACCTGAAAGAGATGGGGAGAACAGAACCAAGTTGGAAAACATACTTCAGGATATTATCCAGGAGCACTTCCCCAACCTAACAAGGCAGGCCAACATTGAAATTCAGGAAATCCAGAGAACCCCAGTAAGATACTCCATGAGAAGATCAACCCAAGACACATAATTATCAGATTCTCCAAGGTCAAAATGAAAGAAGAAAGGTCAGGTCTCCTACAAAGGGAACCCCATGAGAATAACAGTGGACTTCTCAGCAGAAACCCTATAAGCCAGAAGAAATTGGGGGCCAATATTCAACACTCTTTTTTTTTTTTTTCAACATTTTATTTATTTTTATTTTTTTGATTTTTTAAATTTTTTTTTTTTTTTTGATCATTCTTGGGTGTTTCTCGCAGAGGGGGATTTGGCAGGGTCATAGGACAATAGTGGAGGGAAGGTCAGCAGATAAACAAGTGAACAAAGGTCTCTGGTTTTCCTAGGCAGAGGACCCTGCGGCCTTCCACAGCGTTTGTGTCCCTGGGTACTTGAGATTAGGGAGTGGTGATGACTCTTAACAAGCATGCTGCCTTCAAGCATCTGTTTAACAAAGCACATCTTGCACCGCCCTTAATCCATTCAACTCTGAGTGGACACAGCACATGTTTTAGAGAGCACAGGGTTGGGGGTAAGGTCACCAATTAGCAGGATCCCAAGGCAGAAGGATTTTTCTTAGTACAGAACAAAATGAAAAGTCTCCCATGTCTACTTCTTTCTACACAGACACGGCAACCATCCGATTTCTCAATCTTTTCCCCACCTTTCCCGCCTTTCTATTCCACAAAACCGCCATTGTCATCCCGGCCCTTTCTCAATGAGCTGTTGGGTACACCTCCCAGACAGGGTGGTGGCCGGGCAGAGGGGCTCCTCACATCCCAGTAGGGGCGGCCGGGCAGAGGCGCCCCTCACCTCCCGGACAGGGCAGCTGGCCGGGCGGGGGGCTGACCCCCCCACCTCCCTCCAGGACGGGGCAGCTGGCCAGGAAGAGGGGCTCCTCACTTCCCAGTAGGGGCGGCTGGGCAGAGGCACCCCTCACCTCCCGGACGGGGCGGCTGGCCGGGTGGGGGGCTGACCCCCCCACCTCCCTCCCGGACGGGGCGGCTGGCCGGGCGGGGGGGCTGAGCCCCCCACCTCCCTCCCGGACGGGGCGACTGGCCGGGCAGAGGGGCTCCTCACTTCCCAGTAGGGGCGGCTGGGCAGAGGCACCCCTCACCTCCCGGACGGGGCGGCTGGCCGGGTGGGGGGCTACCCCCCCACCTCCCTCCCGGACGGGGCGGCTGGCCGGGCGGGGGGCTGACCCCCCCACCTCCCTCCCGGACGGGGCGGCTGGCCTGGCGGGGGCTGACCCCCACCTCCCTCCCGGATGGGGTGGCTGCCGGGCGGAGACGCTCCTCACTTCCCAGACGGGGTGGCTGCCAGGCGGAGGGGCTCCTCACTTCTCAGACGGGGCGGTTGCCAGGCGGAGGGTCTCCTCACTTCTCAGATGGGGCGGCCGGGCAGAGACACTCCTTACCTCCCAGACGGGGTCACGGCCGGGCAGAGACGCTCGTCACTTCCTAGATGGGATGGCGGCCGGGAAGAGGCGCTCCTCACTTCCTAGATGGGATGGCGGCTGGGCAGAGACGCTCCTCACTTTCCAGACTGGGCAGCCAGGCAGAGGGGCTCCTCACGTCCCAGACGATGGGCGGCCAGGCAGAGACGCTCCTCACTTCCCAGACGGGGTGGCGGCCGGGCAGAGGCTGCAATCTCGGCACTTTGGGAGGCCAAGGCAGGTGGCTGGGAGGTGGAGGTTGTAGCGAGCCACGATCACGCCACTGCACTCCAGCCTGGGCACCATTGAGCACTGAGTGAACCAGACTCCGTCTGCAAACCCGGCACCTCGGGAGGCCAAGGCTGGCGGATCACTCACTGTTAGGAGCTGGAGACCAGCCCGGCCAACACAGCGAAACCCCGTCTCCACCAAAAAAGTACGAAAACCAGTCAGGCGTGGCGGCGCGCGCCTGTAATCGCAGGCACTCGGCAGGCTGAG
This sequence comes from Homo sapiens, assembly GCF_000001405.40. Classification (NCBI taxonomy): domain Eukaryota; kingdom Metazoa; phylum Chordata; class Mammalia; order Primates; family Hominidae; genus Homo; species Homo sapiens. The sequence continues at coordinate 91,558,251 of NC_000014.9, forward strand.
GCAGGAGAATCAGGCAGGGAGGTTGCAGTGAGCCGCGATGGCAGCAGTACAGTCCAGCTTCGGCTCGGCATCAGAGGGAGACGGTGGAAAGAGAGGGAGAGGGAGACCGTGGGGAGAGGGGGACTGTGGGGAGAGGGGGACCGTGGGGAGAGGGAGAGGGAGAGGGAGAGGGAGAGGGAGACTCTTAAATAAAAAAATTTCCAATCCAGAATCTCATATCTGGCGAAACTAAACTTCATTAGTGAAGGAGAAATAAAATCCTTTTCAGACAAGCAAATGCTGAGGAAATTTGTCACTGCCAAGACTGCCTTGCAAGAGCTCCTGAAGGAAGCACTAAATATGGAAAGGGAAAAAATGTTACCAGCCACTACAAAAACACACTGAAGTACACAGACCAGTGACACTATGAAGCAACTACCTCAACAAGTCTGGAACATAATCAGCTAGCATCATGATGACAGGATCAAATTCACACATAACAATGTTAACCTTAAGTGGAAATTGGCTAAATGCCCCAATTAAAAGACACAGAATGGCAAGCTGGATAAAGAGTCAAGCCACATCAGTGTGCTATATTCAAGAGACCCATCTTATGTGCAAAGACACACATAGGTTCAAAATAAAGTGATGGCGGAAAATCTACCAAGCAAATGGACAGCAGAAAAAAGCAGGGGTTACAATCCTAGTTTCTGACAAAACCAACTTTAAACCAACACAGATCGAAAAAGACAAAGAAGGGCATTACATAATGGTAAAGGGTTCAATTCAACAAGAAGACCTAACTATTCTAAATATATATGCACCCAGTACAAGAGCACCCAGATTCATAAAACAAGTTCTTAGAGACCTACAAAGAGACTTAGACTCCCAAACAATAATAGTGGGAGGCTTTAACACCCAACTGTCAATATTAGACAGATCATCAAGACAGAAAATTAACAAGGATATTCAGGACTTGAACTCAGCTCTGGCTTAAGTGGACCTGATAGATATCTACAAAACTCTCCACCCCCAAACAATCGAATATAAATTCTTCTTGATGTCACATGGCAACTTACTCTAAAATCAATCACATAATTGGAAGTAAAACACTCCTCAGCAAATGCAAAAGAACTGAAATCATAACAAAAAGTCTCTTAGACCGCAGTGCCATCAAATTAGAACTCAAGACTAAGAAACTCACTCAGAACCACACAAATACACGGAAATTGAACAACCTGCTCCTGAACGACTCCCAGCTAAATTATGAAATTAAAGCAGAAATCAAGAAGTTATTTGAAACCAATGAGAATGAAGAGACAATGTACCAAAATTTCTGAGATGTAGCTAAAGCAGTGTTAGGAGGGAAATTTATAGCACTAAAGGCCCACATAAAAAAGCTGGGAAGATCTGAAATCAACATCTTAATGTCACAACTAAAAGAGCTAGAGAACCAAGATCAAACAAACCCCAAATCTAGCAGAAGACAAGCAATAACCAAGATCAGAGCAGAACTGAAGGAGATAGAGACAGAAAGAACCCTTCAAAAAAATCAACAACTCCAGGAGCTGGTTTTTTGAAAAAATTAATAAAATAGACTGCTAGCTAGACTTATAAAGAATAAAAGAGAGAAGAATCAAATAGACACAATAAAAAATGACAAAGGGGATATCACCACTGACCCCACAGAAATACAAACAATACTATACGAATACAAAAATACTATAAACACCTCTATGCAAATAAACTAGAAAATCTAGAAGAAAAGGATAGATTCCTGAACACATACACCCTCCCAAGACTAAGCCAGGAAGAAGTTGAATCCCTGAATAGACCAATAACAAGTTCTGAAATTGAGGCAGTAATAAATAGCCTACAGACCAAAAAAAGCCCAGGATCAGACAGATTTATAGCTGAATTCTACCAGAGACATAGAGAGGAGCTGGGACCCTTCTGAAAATATTTCAAACAATTGAAAAGAAGGAACTCCTCCCTAATTCATTTTATTAGGCCAGCATCATCCTGATACCAAAACCTGGCAGAGATACAATAAAAAAAAGAAAACTTCAGGCCAATATCCATGATGAACATCAATGCAAAAACTCTCAATAAAATACTGGCAAACAGAATCCAGCAGCACATCAAAAAGCTTATCCACCACGATCAAGTTGGCTTCATCCTTGGGATGCAAGGCTGGTTCAACATATGCAAATCAATAAACATAATTCATCACATAAATAGAACTAAAGACAAAAACCACATGACCATCTCATTAGATGAAAAAAGGCCTTTGATAAAATTCAACATCCCTTCATATTAAAAAGTCTCAATAAACTAGGTAGTGATGGAACACACATAAAAATAATGAGAGCCATTTATGAAAACCCATTGCCAATATCATACTGAATGGGCAAAAGCTGGTAGTATTCCCCTTGAAAACTGGCACAAGACAAGGATGCCCCATCTTACCACTCCTATTCAAGATAGTATTGGAAGCTCTGGCCAGGGCAATCAGGCAAGAGAAAGAAATAAAGGATATTAGAATAGGAAGAAAGGAAGTCAAACTGTCTCTGTTTGCAGATTTTATATCTAGAAAACCCCATTGTCTCAGCCCAAAAGCTTTTTTTTTTTTTTTTTGGAGACAGAGTCTTGCCCTGTCACCCAGGCTGGAGTACAATGGCATGATCTTGGCTCACTGCAACCTCTGCCTCCTGGGTTCAAGCGATTCTTGTTCCTCAGCCTCCCAAGTAGCTGGGACTACAGGTGTGTGCCACCACACCCAGCTAATTTTTGTATTTTTAGTAGAGACAGGGTTTTGCCATGTTGGCCAGGCTGGTCTTGAACCCCTAACCTCAGGTGATCCACCTGCCTCAGCCTCCCCAAATGCTGGGATTACTGGCATGGGCCACTACACCTGGCCACAAGCTTCTTAAGCAACTTCAGCAAAGTCTCAGAATAGAAAATCAATGTGCAAAATTCACAAGCATTCCTATACACCAACAACAGATAAGCAGAGAGCCAAATCATGAATGAACTCCCATTTACAACTGGTACAAAGAGAATAAAATACCTAGGAATACAGCTAACAAGAGAAGTGAAGGACCTCTTCAAGGAGAGTTACAAAACACTGCTCAAGGAAATCAGAGAGGACACAAACAAATGGAAAAACATTCCATGTTCAAGGATAGGAAGAATCAATATCATGAAAATGGCCTTACTGTCCAAAGTAATTTATAGATTCAATGCTAGTCCCATTAAGCTACCATTGACATTCTTCACAGAATTAGAAAAAACTACTTTAAAATTCATATGGAGCCAAATAAGAGCCCGTATAGCTAAGACAATCCTAAGCAAAAAGAGCAAAGCTGGAAGCATCACACTAACAGACATCTAACCACACTACAAGGCTACAGTAACCAAAACAGCAAGGTGCTGGTACAAAAACAGACACATAGACCAATGGAACAGAATAGAGAACTCAGAAATAAGACTGCACATCTGCAACCATCTGATCATTGACAAACCTGACCAAAAAAAGCAATGGGAAAAGGATTCTCTATTTAATAAATGGTGCTGGGAGAACTGGCTAGCCATATGCAGAAAATTGAAATCGGACCCCTTCCTTACACCTTATACAAAAATTAACTCAAGACGGATTGAAGACTTAAATGTAAAGCCCAAAACTGTAAAAACCCTAGAAGAAAATCTTGACAATACCATTCAGGACATAGGACTGGTCAAAGATTTCATGATGAAAATGTCAAAAGCAATTGCAACAAAAGCAGAAATTGACAAATAGGATGTAATTAAACTAAAGAGCTTCTGCACAGCAAAAGAAACTATCATCAGAGTGAACAGACAGCCCACAGAATGGGAGAAAGTTTTTGCAATCTATCCATCTGACGAAAGTCTAATATCCAGAATCTACAAGGAACTTAAACAAATATACAAGAACCAGAACAAACAACCCTATTAAAAAGTGGGCAAAGGATACGAACAGACACTTTTCAAAAGAAGACATTCACGTGGCCAACAAACATGAAAAAAGCTCAACATCACTGATCATTAGAGAAATGCAAATCAAAACTACAATGAATATCATCTCATGCCAGTCAGAATGGCGATTATTAAAAAGTCAAGAAACAACAGATGCTGGTGAGACTGTGGAGAAATAGGAATGCTTTTACACTGCTGGTGGGAATGTAAGTTAGTTCAACCATTGTGGAAGACAGTGTGGTGATTCCTCAAAGATCTAGAACCAGAAATACCAGTTGACCTAGCAATCCCATTACTGGGTATGTACCCAAAGGAATATAAATTATTCTATTATAAAGATACATATACACATATGTTTATTGCAGCACTATTCACAATAGCAAAGACACGGAATCAACCTAAATGCCCATCAGTGATAGACTGGATAAAGAAAATGTGGTACATATACACCATGAAATACTACACAGCCATAAAAAGGAACGAGATGTGATCACATCCTTCGCAGGGACACGGATGGAGCTGGAAGCCATTATCCTCAGCAAACTAATGCAGGAACAGAAAACCAAACACCACATGTTCTCCCTTATAAGTGGGAGCTGAACAATGTTGCCATTGCTTTTGGTGTTTTAGTCATGAAGTCCTTGCCCATGTCTGTGTCCTGAATGGTATTGCCTAGGTTTTCTTCTACAGTTTTTATGGTTTTAGGTCTAACATTTAAGTCTTTAATCCATCTTGAATTAATTTTTGTATAAGGTGTAAGAAAGGGATCCAGTTTCAGCTTTCTACATATGGCTAGCCAGTTTTCCCAGCACCATTTATTAAATAGGGAATCCTTTCCCCATTTCTTGTTTTTGTCAGGTTTGTCAAAGATCAGATGGTTGCATATGTGTGGTGTTATTTCTGAGACCTCTGTTCTGTTCCATTGGTCTATATATCTGTTTTGGTACCAGTACCATGCTGTTTTGGTTACTATAACTCTGTAGTATAGTTTGAAGGCAGGTAGCATTATGCCTCCAGCTTTGTTCTTTTTGCTTAGGATTGTCTTGGCAATGTGGGCTCTTTTTTGGTTCCATAGGAACTTTAAAGTAGTTTTTTCCAATTCTGTGAAGAAAGTCATTGGTAGCTTGATGGGGATGGCATTGAATCTATAAATTACCTTGGGCAGTATGGCCATTTTCACAATATTGATTCTTCCTATCCATCAGCATGGAATGTTCTTCCATTTGTTTATGTCCTCTTTTATTTCGTTGAGCAGTGGTTTGTAGTTCTCCTTGAAGAGGTCCTTCACATCCCTTGTAAGTTGGATTCCTAGGTATTTTTTTCTCTTTGTAGCAATTGTGAATGGGAGTTCACTCATGATTTGGCTCTCTATTTGTCTGTTATTGCTGTATAGGAATGCTTGTGATATTTTCCACATTGATTTTGTATCCTGAAATGACTGAAGTTGCTTATCAGCTTAAGGAGATTTTTTTTTTTTTTTTTTTTTTTTTTTTTTTTTGAGACAGAGTCTCACTCTGTCGCCCAGGCTGGAGTGCAGTGGCGCAATCTCAGCTCACTGCAAGCTCCGCCTCCCAGGTTCACGCCATTCTCCTGCCTCAGCCTCCCAAATAGCTGGGACTACAGGCGCCTGCCACCATGCCCAGCTAGTTTTTTGTACTTTTAGTGGAGACAGTGTTTCACCATGTTAGCTAGGATGGTCTCGATCTCCTGACCTCATGATCCACCTCAGCCTTCCAAAGTGCTGGGATTACAGGCGTAAGCCACCGTGCCCGGCCAGCTTAAGGAGATTTTGGCCTGAGATGATGGGGTTTTCTAAATATACAATCATGTCATCTGCAAACAGGGACAATTTGACTTCCTCTTTTCCTAATTGAATACGCTTTATTTCTTTCTCTTGCCTGATTGCTCTGGCCAGAACTTCCAACTCTATGTTGAATAGGAGTGGTGAGAGAGGGCATCCTTGTCTTGAGCCGGTTTTCAAAGGGAATGCTTCCAGTTTTTGCCCATTCGGTATGATATTGGCTGTGGGTTTGTCATAAATAGCTCTTACTATTTTGAGATACGTTCCATCAATACCTAGTATATTGAAAGTTTTTAGCATGAGGGCTGTTGAATTTTGTTGAAGGCCTTTTCTTCATCTATTGAGACAATCGTGGTTTTTGTTGTTGGTTCTGTTTATGTAATGGATTACGCTGATTGATTTGTGTATGTTGAACCAGCCTTGCATCCCAGGGATGAAGCCAACTTGATCGTGGTGGATAAGCTTTTTGATATGCTGCTGGATTCAGTTTGCCAGTATTTTATTGAAGATTTTTGCATCAATTTTCATCAGGGATATTGGCCTGAAATTTTCTTTCTTTTTTTTTTTTTTTTTTTTTTTTGAGATGGAGTCTTGCTCTGTTGCCCAGGCTGGAGTGCAGTGGCACCATCTCCGCTCACTGCAAGCTCTGCCTCCTGGGTTCACCCCATTGTCCTGCCTCGGCCTCCTGAGTAGCTGGGACTACAGGCGCCCGCCACCATGCCTGGCTAATTTTGTTTTTGTATTTTTAGTAGAGACAGGTTTTCACCATGTTAGCCAGGATGGTCTCGATTTCCTGACCTCATGATCCACCTGCCTCAGCCTCCCAGAGTACTGGGATTACAGGCGTGAGCCACTGCACCCGGCTGAAATTTTTTTTGTTGTGTCTGCCAGGTTTTGGTATCAGGATGATGCTGGCCTCATAAAATGTGTTAGGGAGGATTCCCTCTTTTTCTATTGTTTCAACTGAGGGGCGGTTGCAGTGAACCGAGATCACACCACTGCACTCCAGCCCGGATGACAGAGTGAGACTCTGTCTCAAAAAAACAAAACAAAACAAAAAACAAAACATGACTACCATGCATAATGAGAATTGACTGTATTTAGTGTACATTTTTTAAAAGATGAAATGAAGGGGAAATTATCTTCTGTTTTCCGTGTTGAAATACTTGAGTGCATCATTAGGAGCTATATGTTTATCTTATTCACAATAATCTTATGAATCTTAGTTTTCTTTTTATTTTTCTCCAGCTTTATTGAGTTGTAATTGACAAATAAAGTTGTGTCAGTTTAAGGTGTACAATATGTTGTGAAATGATGACCATGATCAAGTAAGTTAACATGTCTATCACTTCAACTAGTTATGGGTATTCTGAGTTTTGGTTTTCGTGGCGAGAACATTTAGCTACTAAGATTTTAATTATGCCTTAATATATTATCAATACTTTCAAAATAATAGGAAAAAAGGGGCCTCTTTGTAATATTTCTGAACTAAAAAGAATGCCTCGGGAGTGCAAGTTACAAACTCAAATGCCTGCAGGGCCAAGCAGTAATTTAGCACTGTCAGTCAGGTGTTTTGGAATCACCCCTTTGTGGAAGTTTCATTACCGGGCACTGCAATTTTCAGTGTTTGCAACTAAATTGGAATGATTTGTTACAGTGTTTGGGCCGGACAGAGTAGTAGGCCTATCAGTTTATGGCCTCTACTCTAGAATTTTGCCACTGCATATAACGTTGACTTTTTTCTTTTTTTTTTGAGACGGAGTCTCACTCTGTTGACCAAGCTGGAGTGCAATGGTGCCATCTTGGCTCACTACAACCTCCGCCTCCTGGGTTCAAGCAATTCTTGTGCCTCAGCCTCCCAAGTAGCTGGGAATACAGGCACATGCCACCACACCCAGCTAATTTTTGTATATTTTGTAGAGACAGGGTTTCGTCATGTTGCCCAGGCTGGTCTTGAACTCCTGGGCTCAAGTGATCCTCCAGCCTCTGCCTCCTAATGTGCTAGGATTACAGGTGTGAGCCACCACGCCCAGCCTCATGCTGACTTTTTAACATAGTTTTCTTCTCATTATCTTTTTTTTTTTTTTTTTTTTGAGACAGTGTCTCAATCTGTCACCCAGGCTGGAGTACAGTGGCATGATCTCGGCTCAGTGCATCCCCCGCCTCCCGGGCTCAAGCAATTCTCCTGCCTCAGCCTCCTGAGTAGCTGGGATTACAGGCATGTGCCACCACGACGCCTGGCAAATTTTTGTATTTTTAGTTGAGACGGGGTTTCACCATGTTGGCCAGGCTGGTCTCGAACTCCTGACCTCAGGTGATCCGCCCATCTCGGCCTCCCAAAGTGCTGGGATTACAGGTGTGAGTCATGGCACCTGGCCAGTAGTCGTGTTTCATAAGGTCACTGTGATCACTGAATTTTCTCACAGGAGAAATACAGGGTTAGAATCCTGAGAGCCTCTGTCCCAATATTTTTGTAAACTGATCAATACGTAGCCTTGTCTTATGTGTGGTTCTGTTTAAAGACACTTATTTAATACATGTTGTTCATTCATTAACTCTTGTTTTACAGGTAGTTCTGTTTAAAGACATCTTGGTTAATATATGTTGTTCATTCATGAACTCCTGGCCAACAGCACTCTCACACCCAAATGAAGCTTATCTCACACACATATTTTCTCTGTAAGGCACATTGCAACTTTCTTGTACTTGAAACACTAGATCGCCCTTCAAGCACCATGCTTGGGGGCCATTTCACAGGCAAAATCACCACCCAAACGCACAAAATAGGAACAATGTGGCACTAAATAGATTTTGTAAAGAACATTTGTTTGCAGTGGGAGAGTTGAAACAAGAAGGCAGCGTTGTCACCTTGTTTCAACTCAGCTGGGAATGTGCCAGGTGGGCAACTCAAATTTTTGCCACTCTTGAGCATATGTTTGTCCATGAATGACCAGGAAAGTGACCCAAGTTTTGTTTTTGAGATAGGATCCTGCTGTGTTGCCCAGACTGGAGTGCTGCAGTGAGAGCATGGCTCAAGATAAAACTTGAATGGGTAAGGAATTGCTTCCTACAGATGAGCAAAGAAAGTGGTTACTTTTTTCTTTTTTCTTTTTTTGAGACAGGGTCTTACTCTGTCACCCAGACCGGAGTGCAGTGGAGCCATCATGGCTTACTGCAGCCCTGACCTCATGAGCTCAAGTGATCCTCCTGTGTCCTGAATTTATTCCTTCCAGTGGGTTCTTGGTCTCGCTGATTTCAAGAATGAAGCTGCGGACCCTTGCCGTGAGTGTTACAGCTCTTAAAGATGGTGTGTTGGCTGGGCGCGGTGGCTTACGCTTGTAATCCCAGCACTTTGGGAGGCCAAGGCAGGCAGATCATGAGATCAGGAGATTGAGACCATCCTGGCTAACATGGTGAAACCCTGTCTCTACTAAAAATACAAAAAATTAGCCAGGTGTGCTGGCGGGCTCCTGTAGTCCCAGCTACTCGGGAGGCTGAGGCAGGAGAATGGCGTGAACCCGGGAGGCGGAGCTTGCAGTGAGCCGAGATCATGCCAGTACACTCCAGTCTGGGTGACAGAGCAAGACTCCATCTCAAAAAAAAAAAAAAAAAAAAAAAATGCTGTGTCCAGAGTTTGTTCCTCCAGATGTTCAAATGTATCCAGAGTTTCTTCCTTCCAGCAGGTTCTTGGTCTCACTGACTTCAGGAGTGAAGCCACGGACCTTCGTGGAGAGTGTTATAGCTCTTAATGATGATGCAGACCCAAAGAGTGGGCAGCTGCAAGATTTGTTGTGAAGAGCAAAAGAACAAAGCTTCCACAGCATGGAAAGGTACCCAAGCGGGTTGCCACTGCCGCTGCTGGCTCAAGTGGCCACCCTTTATTCCCTTATTTGGCCCTGCCCACATCCTGCTGATTGGTCCATTTTACAGAGCTCTGATTGGTCCATTTTACAGAGTGCTAATTGCTCCATTTTACAGAGGGCTGATTGGTGCGTTTACAAACCTTTAGCTAGACACAGAGTGCTGATTGGTGCATTTTTACAGAGTGCTGATTGGTGCAATTACAAACCTTTAGCTAGACACAGACTGCTGATTGGTGCATTTACAATCCTCTAGCTAGACAGAAAAGTTCTCCAAGTCCCCACCCGACCCAGGAAGTCCAGCTGGCTTCACCCCTCACTCCCACCTCAGCCTCTGGAGAAGCTGGGATTACAGGTGTGCAGTACCATGCCTGGCTAATTTTTGTAGAGTTGGGGTTTTACAACATTGGCGATATTACAGTTATGCTTTGATGTATTCACACAATAGAATGTCAAGGATAGTTTTCTTTAAGTCAACAGAATAATAAATTTTCTCATTCTGTCTGCTCAGCCATACATAGGCACAGCTTAGTTTAGTCTTTACATAGACAAGACCCCCGTATATGAAAAACTTAAAGACAGTGCCTTCCTCTGCTTGCTTCCTGAGGATGCCCTACTCTGTAAAGAAGTAGCTTTCAATAAAATATCTCCTTCTCACCCTTCCAGTGAGAGATCCAAGAACCCTCTCTGGGGGTCTGGATGGAGACCGCCTTTTCCAGTAACATTTTCACCTTCTCTTTAATAGAGCGACTGAACACAGGTGTTCTTCTAGGTAGAATCACCTTTCCAGGATGTCTTGGGCCCTTTACGGGTAACTCAACATAAAATTAGATCTACAGGTGCTCGGGGATCTGGAACCATGGAGGTGGCTCCTCACAGCTCCACTAACAGAGCCTGCAGGAGACCTGGGGTTGGCTGATGGCCACCCTCTGCCCCCTGCAGCATTCACTGGAGACAATGCCCTCTGCAGGCCATTCCCAACCAAGGACTGAACCCTGCAAGGGACTTAGACCCTGGCCATTCCTGCTGGACATGAGACTCCTCTCATGTCTACTCGTTGACCAAGACTTTATTAGGAGTTTTTTAGGGTTACTCTGCTGCTCTTGCTCCCTTTTGCCTCTATCCTCCCTCTTGTACATCTAATTCCATCTTGGCAGCTGCTTCTCAGATGACCCAGGCTACAACAGGACCCTAAATTCAGCTTTTAGATTTACAAGAAAATCTATAAATTCCTACAGTTAATTCCCTGGACCCCAGAACTTCAGGGCGATTAGCATAGAGGAGTGCATGAGCAGATAGGCTTGGATCGTCTGCTAACTGTGGGCTGTATGATTCAAGACTCATCAGAAGTTACCAACTGTCTAAACAGAACTTCTTCACTGATAATAATTCCTATATTAATAACATTTTCTCCTTTTGGTGTCTTCCTAAATCATTACCACAGAACCACTTACTTGTTTTTACAGTGGTCTAAGGATCAAACATTTTCCCTTACAGGAATTTACAAAAAAGTTCAACCTGTTCCTTCCTTCCTTCCTTTCTTCCTTCCTTCCTCTTTTTCCTCCTCCTTTTCTTTCTCTTTCTTTTTCTTTTTTCTTTCTTTCTTGCTCTCTTTCTTTCCTTCTTTTCCTCTTTTTTTCTTCTCTTTCTCTCTCCCTTCTTCTCTTTCTTTTCTTTTTCCTTCTTTCTTTTCACCTACCTTCCTTCCTTTTTCTTTCTTTCTTTCCCATAATACTTGCTGTCATTTAGAATCCCCAACCTGGCATTTTTAATTTCATGGTTGCATTAAAAAAATTTTTTTAAAAATATTTTCATCTTTCTTTGGCTCCCTGGTCAGAGGAAAGAATGAACAAGGTTGAATTTTGGACATCAAATTCTGTTTTTTTCTTGGTTGACTCTGTTGCAGATAAATAGATTTGAGATATCTGTTCCTCATTCATGCAACAGTTGCTTGATAACTACTATATGTAGGGAACTAGTTGCTGAAAGAAAGGACCAGATGAAAAAGAAATATATAGGAATTTCTGAGAAGGAAAGGGAGGATTACATTAAATACAATAGCTGTTAGTCTATTCAAAATGCTCAAAATATCTTAGACTGGGTGGCTTATAAACAATAGGAACTTATTTCTCACAGTTCTGGAGGCTGGGAAGTCCAAGATCAAGTTGCCAGCAGGTTTGGAATCTTGTGAGGGCCACTTCCTTCATTAAATGGATGTCTTGTCTTTGTAGCCTCATTTGGTGGAATGGGCAAACAAGAGGTTAGTGACCTTCCTCAGGCCCCCTTTGCAAGAGCACTAATCCCATTCTGGAGGGTGGGGCCCTGTGACCTAATCACCTCCCAAAGGCTCCACCTCTTAATCCTATCACAGGGGATTATGTTTTAACATATGAATGGTGCGGGGGGTGGGGGTGAGGGACACAGACATTCAGACCATAGCACTAACTTGCCTTGGTTATATTTCAACTCCATATAAAAAACCAGATACTTCCAAAACTGAGGCTGTGGCATATAAAGGTGACAATTCCATCTTTGTAAACAAAAACAACTAATTTTTGAACGTGCTACTCATTTTAGATAGATCAATCTGTGTCAGTGGGGTAATATTTTTCTTTTAAATCCCAAAAGAAAAAACATGCCCTTTATTGTAATATAATATAATTAAAGCAGAACAGAATTCACCAGAAGGAATCAGTATCATTAGATACTTCACTGTAACAGTAGCTTCTGAGATTTATGAATGGCATGATGATAAATCAGAAAGTGAGCGCTGGCTCCCTCTCTTTTTTAAAGTACATTATTTTTATTTTTATTTATTTTTGAGACAGGATCTCACTCTGTCACGCAGGCTGGAGTGCAGTGGTGAGATTGTGGCTCACTGCAGTCTTGACCTCCCAGGCTCATGCAATCCTCCTGCCCTCGTCTCCCAAGTAGCTGGGACTGCAGGTGCACATCACCATACCCGGCTAATTTTTTAATTTTTTTGTAGAGACGGGATCTGGCTTTGTTGCCCAGGCCGTTCTTGAACTCCTGGCCTCAAATGCTCCTCTTGCCTGGGCCTCGCAAAGTACTGGGATTACAGACTTGAGCCGCTGCTAACTCTGGCTCTATTTTATTCAATCCTAGGAAACTTTCATGAGATATAGCTAATTACAATCACTTATGCAGAGACAGAATCTATCATAATAGATGCTTCTATAAATAGTTCTAAATTGAGGACCAAAGAGGGGAAAGAGCATTAAAGAGAGAAGGACCAACCACAGTCTGACCCAAAAATATTTTTCCAAGAGAAGAACCTAAGCCATGGTCAGATAAGTTATCTGATTATTTTTCTCCATTGTGATACTCATAATATCATTTAAAATTATTATCAGTTTCTTTGCTACAAGCCTAACTGCAAAATTATTTAGAATAGTTAAGTGATAAGCACATAGTATAGGAAGGGCTCATTAAATGTTTGTGGTATCTTCTTTACCTTTAAAGATAAATGCTTGAATTAAAAGGATAAGCATGAATTTGGCCTTCTTTATTTTTGCTGTAAATTTACAACATAGGAAAAGCATGTGAGTATGAATGATACTAAAGTATTTATAATAAAGCTTATTAATTTTCTGTTCTTTAATCTACATATGATCATGCATAATAATGAATATCTTTAGGTGTGGAGGGCAGAGAATAGAGAACCAACCTAGGAAATTTATAGAGGCTGTTAAAGAAGACATCAACACAATCAATGCATAGATAATATTATTCAAATACATCATCAAAGGAAACTTGTCTGAGTTTCAAAAAAAAAATCTAAAGATACACAAAGTGCTCCCTGGATTCTAAGTGACACCCACTAAAAATAATTTTAATTACAAGGGTAAAGGGAAAAAAAAACTATCAGTATCTGGCAAAAACATGAGTTATTCTCAAAGGAAAGAAATCATTGCTTTCTCATTTTTTCTAGGACAAGAAAAATATCTTTTTAAACCCATATTCTTAACAAAGCAGTTCAGATGAAATATCTTTTTGTTTTTGGTGACCACTATGAAAACAAGCAAATGAAGAGAAAACCTGAACTTGCTAATGGTGTAAACCTTTAACAGGTAGGGACTCTGGGCAAAGATTATTTTAACTAAACAAATCAACATAAAGGCCATTATTGCCAGCTAACATGTTCAGTAATTGCAAGCATCTTTAAGAAAATTCACATTGAACAAAACCAGGAGGGTTTTCTTTTGATTTTTGCTTTTTTTTTAATTTTTTTTTTTTCTGAGACCGAGTCTCACTGTGTCACCCAGGCTGGAGTGCAGTGGCGCGATCTTGGCTCACTGCAAGCTCCGCCTCCCAGGCTCATGCCATTTTCCTGCTTCAGCCTCCTGAGTAGCTGGGACTACAGGCACCCGCCACCACGCCTGGCTAATTTTTTGTATTTTTAGCAGAGACAGGGTTTGACCATGTTAGCCAGGATGGTCTCGATCTCCTGACCTCGTGATCCGCCCACCTCGGCCTCCCAAAGTGCTGGGATTACAGGCATGAGCCACCATGCCCAGCCTTTTTTTTTTTTTTTTTAAATTAGAAAACACCCACATATGGCCAGACATGGTGACTCGTACCTGTAATCCCAGCACTTTGGGAGGCCAAGGTGGGCAGATCACCTGAGGTCAGGAGTTCAAGACCAGCCTAACCAACATGGTGAAACCCTGTCTCTACAAAAATACAAAAATTAGCTTGGCGTGATGGTGGGTGCCTGTAATCCCAGCTATTTGGGAGGCTGAGGTGGGAGAATCCCTTGAACCTGGGAGGTGGAGGTTGCAGTGAGCCGAGATCGTGTCATTCCACTCCAACCTGGGCCACAGAGTGAGACTCCGTCTCAAAAAACAAAACAAAACAAAACAAACAACCTATATTCAAATGCAAAGGAAAGAGGGAAAGACTTTTAAAAAGAAAAAAAAAGACCAACATATAATAAATTACGAATGTCATATGGCAGCAAGCTCTTCATGTTACTTTCCTTTCCATTTAGACCCAGTTAATGTATCTATATTACGTATGTTTAATGTGTATGGACACACACACACACACACACACACACACACACCATAAAAGATTAAGAAGTATGCCTAAATTTTAAGTGGTATGATTTATATTTTTTTCATACTTTTATTTTCTAAATTTTCCAGTTATTACTCTTAGAAAGTTAGAAAGTTAGAGACCAAAAAAACCAATTCCCTTATAATTATATATATATAATGATTCCCCAAAGCCTCTTATTTTGAGTTCTTTCTTTGTATTCATTTTCAGGCAATATTTATTGAGTGTCTAGTCTGTGCCTGAAATGTATTTTATATGAACTTCTCTTATAACAAGATGTTCTTATGTCTTATTTATATTCTCATAGTCTCCCCTGAACCTGATTATAAACAGCATTTTTCTTTTTCTTGTTTTTTCTTTTTCAATCATTTGTTGAATATCACCCATGTGTTGGTCACTCTTTTAGGAAGGCATTAAAAAGAAATGTGACAGAAAGTTAGCACTGTCCCTATTGCAGGGGAGAGATAAGCATGTAAATACCAAAACCGGGCCAAGAAGCTTGATATAGAAATGTGCACCATGCTACCCCACTCAAAGGAGAGAAAGAACTAACTATCAGAGAGAACTGGGGAGAAACTTTTCTACAGAGGTGACATTTCAACTAGGCCTTGAATGACAGGTCAAATGATCTTAGATGAAAAGGGAGGAGGGGGCTGGTGAGAAGGAAGAGGCTGGCAGGGGAGGAGGAGGCTGGCAGAAGAGGGGGAGACTGGCAGGGAAGAGGGGGGTGGCAGGACAGAAGGTTGGCAGGGAGGAGGAAGCTGACAGGAGAGGAGGAGGTTGGTAGGGAGAAAGAGGCTGGCAGGAAGGAGGAGGCTTGCAGGGAGCAGGAGGCTGGCAGGAGAGGAGGAGGTTGGCAGGGAGAAAGAGGCTGGCAGGAAGGAGGAGACTTGCAGGGAGGAGGAGGCTGGCAGGAGAGGAGGAGGTTGGCAGGGAGGAGGAGGCTGGCAGGAGAGGAGGAGGTTGGCAGGGAGGAGGAGGCTGGCAGGAGAGGAGGCGGCCGATGGGGGAGGAGGAGGCTGGCAGAGAGAAAGAGGCTGGGCAGGGAGGAGGAGGTTGGCAGGGAGGAGGCGGCTTGCAGATGAGAAGGCTGGCAGGCAAGCGCTGCGGGCGACCGTGGGTGGTGGGCGGGTTTTCCCCTCAGGCAGGTGCAGGTCCTAAGGGGGCGGGCCCCGTTGGGTGCTCATGACGCAAAGGTCCCTAGGATTTGCTCCTCACAGCGGGAGCGCCCTCGAGAGGAACCGCGTCTGCGCCTCCCGAGACGGACCACTCGGGCGCCTCCGCCCCGCGCCCTGCCTCGGGGGCCGCCCCGCGCAGTGAGCTCAGCGTGGAGGCGGCAGCGCCCTCGCCCTTCCGCGCCCTCCCAGCGCGGTCTCTCCTCGTCCGCGCGCCCCGCTCCCCAGGCGTTTCTGGGATGCTGGTTGGCCGGGCACTTACGTGTTTCAAAGCGGGTGACAGCCGCCGCTCGGGTGTACTGTTCGCTCTCTCCCGCCAGGATCCGAGTTCTTGTTCCCCGACAACTCGTGGGAGTGCCCGCTCCAGCGTGGTTTCTCCTTCTCCGGGAACGGCCCCAGTGAGCAGAAGAGCTGGGTCTGGATTGCATGGCTCTGTCTCCCAGCCATGGTTGACTAATTTAGGGACACTCATGGCTCTGGACTCCTGCAGCCAGCCAGACGCCTGTCTTTGGATTTTTGACTTGGATGAGAGCCCTGTAGCTGGAGGTTGTGGTTGAGAGGGGAGTTTAGTCACATGATGGCAGTGCCTACAGAGATCTGGGTAGGAGGTTCTGCTGCTGTGGCCCCCTCGGTGATGCTGTGCTCAGAGGCCCCTGAGGGTGATGTGAGATGGGGAGGGAGCTGAGGGATGTAGGTAGTCAGTGACTGCTGAAAGAAGAGGAATGTTAGCATTTCTGGGTTAGGTGGTTGCTTCTGATGGCACTGAGACAGGCAAATCCCCAAATTACTGATCTAGACAAAATGGTCTTAGTCAGAACGATTTTGTGACTCTTCTGAATGAAGCTCTCATTGCCCGTGGCCAAACGCTGAGATGAAAATGCAGTTCAGAACCGATTTTGTGGATTTCTTAAGTCGAATACCAGTTGAGCTCACAGCTCAAGCAGATTTCTTTGATGAACATCAAAGTTGCAGATTGTGTTTCCAAAGATGACTACAACAATCCCCCCCAAACGACAGGATTTTTTGCAATGTCCCCTTGCCAGTCAAAAGAGGGGGAGTCTACTTCTCCTTCCTTTGAACCTGGGCTGTCCCTGCAACCACCTTGATAGTAGAATGAGGCAGAGGTGACATTCCGGGGGCAGCCAAGACCAGGCATTAAGGAGACTCCAGCAGCTCCCGTTTTTGTGTTCTGGTGGAAGCACATCGCCATAGAAGTCTCCTTACCGCTGAGGCAGGAGAATAGGGTCTGGAGGCAGGGAACTTAAGCCCAATTCATGCCGACTTCCTAAAGCTGAATCAAGGGAAAACACCAAGGTCTGGGGGCAGGACTCTGAGGCCAATTCACGATAATTTCCCAAAGCTGGACCAAAAGGGGAGCACCTGTGTCTGGGGCAGGGAACCAAAGAACAATTAATGCCAACTTCCTAAAGCTAAACCAAAAGAGAAAACCCCAGCTCCCCACGCCCAGTAACAAAGGATCAAAGGCCACTCTCCCTACAGCCCTCCGGCTTCCACCACAGCTCAGATGGAAAGGGAGAGTGCCCTGGATTGGCCGCGGGCCGAGCAGGGGCCATGCCTTCATCTGCCTAGGGCTCTAATTCACCCCAGCCTGTAATTAGCCACGGACCAAATCCTTCATCCAGATCAGGGGTAACTGATAGGAATCTCCAAAGGAGGGCTTAAAACCCAGAAAACTTTGTAACTGGGCCCTTAAGCTGTGTGCTTGGGCCCACTCCCACCCTGTGGAGTACTTTCTTGCTTTAATAAATATCTGCTTTCATTGCTTCCTTCCTGTATTTCATTCCTTTGTTACTTTGTGCATTTCGTTCGAGCAATGACTCATTCTGTCGCCCAGGCTGGAGTGCAGGGGCATGATCACGGCTTACTGCAGCCTCAACTTCCTGGGATCCAGTGATCCTCCCACCCCAGCCTCCCGATTAGCTGGAACTATGGGTGTACACCACCACGCCTGGCTAATTTTTTTTGTGTGTGTGTGGCTTATTTTTTTTTTTTTTTTGGTGGTTTATTTTTTTATTTTTTTGGTGGTGGTGGTGGGGGGCAGGTCTCACTATGTTGCCCAGGCTGGTCTCGAATGCCTGGCCTCAAGTGATCCTCCTGCCTTGGCCTCCCAAAGTTTTGGGATTACAGGTGTTTGCCACCAAGCCTGGCTGGCCACATGATTTGATTTGGGTGATAAACTACAAGCAGATGTGTTGTACAGCTGCCCAAGTGGCCCCTGCTCTTTGGCCTGTGTCCTAGAATGAGAGACATATGGAGCCACCACAGCTGATCGGCTGAACAGTGGGCAAGAAATGTTTATTGTTATAAGCAACTGAGAGTGAGATCTGAGGGTTGTTACTGCTATAAAAACTGAGTAATAAGCCTGGCCAACCAAGTATCACCTGAATTCTTCCTACAGTGAAATCTTTGCCATTTCCTAATGTGCTACCCTTGCAGCCGAAACCTCAAAATCCTTCCTGTGTCCCACTGTTTGTCAAGTGGTAGATTCTAAATCAAAATAAACTGAAAGGTGTTAGGCATCAGAATAGAAAAGAGCTACATTGTAGAATTGCAGTTTATAGAAATGTGTTCACTGTATTGCCTAAAGTCTGGGGAAATTTTTACAGGCCAAGTTTGTAAGAATTCCTGGAGCCCAGGAAGTTGAGGCTGCAGTAAGCTGTGATCATGCCCCTGCACTCCAGTCTGGGCAACAGAGTGAGACATTGCATTGAACAAAACGCACAAAGTAACAAAGAAATGAAATACGGGAAGGAAGCAATGAAAGCAGATATTTATTAAAGCAAGAAAGCACTCCACAGGGTGGGAGTGGGCCCAAGCACACAGTTTGTAACTGGCCCAAGCCCGGTACAAAGTCTTCTGAGTTTTACACAGAAACTCTCTGCGCTGTCTTCACAACTTTTCTGTAAATCTTAAACTATTCTAACATTTTTAAAAGTTTATTAAGAGAAAAAACCCAGGCTTTAGATTCTGGAGCCTATACTTTTAACCACTGTGCTATACTCTATCTCTAGACCCCTGGTCCAAGGGAAGCTCGGAGGAGTTGACAAACACTTGTTTCCTAGGTCCCCAGAATGGTCCTCATTCCTGCCCATGACAAAAACTGATTGTTTAGACTTTGCTTTGTTTATCTGACATTCTGTAGTGTTTGTTCAGTGCATCTCCCTTGTTATTTTAATTAGACAAAAATCTATTACTTACGACCTAAAAACATCAGCAGGGGCAGCAGCATCAATTACACCCAACACTTAACACACTCACTGTAAATGGGTCCTGTTCTAAACATTTTACACGTATTCATTCATTTGATCCTCCTGAGAACGCTGTTAGTGATAGGGACAGGAGGCAGAGAAATTCTAAGCAGAAAAGGGCAGAGTCCCTGGAGAAGCCCCACCCTCAAGCTTGGAACCATGGCCTAAAGTGAGATTCTTGTTTTCCCGCTCAAATATTGCCTTTTCCAAAACCACACATGGCCTGCCACACCCCCAATCCTGTACCCATTAAAAACCCCTTACCGTACTGGCAGAGAGCAGAGAAGGGGAGAAGAGGAGAAGCAGCTGGACGTTGGAGACTGTGGTCTGATGTCAGAGACAAGCAGCTTGACTTCAGAGGGATGGTTTTGAGAGGTGACAACGTGCTGGTGGCCCTCACTCGCTCTCAGCGCCTCCTCGGCCTTGGCATCCGCTCTGGCCACGCTTGAGGAGCCCTTCAGCCCACTGCTACACTGTGGGAGCCCCTCTCTGGGCTGGCCAAGGCTGGAGCCGGCTCCCTCTGCTTGAGAGGAAGTGTGGAGGGAGAGGCGCGGGTGGGAACCGGGGTTGGGCGGGAACCGGGGCTGTGCAAGGCGCTCACCGGCCAGCGCGAGTTCCAGGTAGGCATGGGCTTAGCGGGTCCCGCACTCGGAGCGGCTGGCCTGGGACAGTGAGAGGCTTAGCACCCGGGCCAGCAGCTGCGGAGGGGGTGCCGGGTCCTCCAGCACTGCCAGCCCACCCACGCCGCGCTTGAATTCTCGCAGGGCCTCAGCCGCCTCCTGGCAGGGCAGGGCTCAGGACCTGCATCCTGCCATGCCCAAGCCCCGCCCCCCCCCCCCCCCCCCCGCCCCATGGTGGGCTCCGGCACAGCCTGAGCCTCCCTGAGGGGCACCACCCTGTGCTCCATGGCGCCCGGTTCCATGGACCGCCCAAGGGCTGAGGAGTGCAGGCCAGCGGTGCGGGACTGGCGGGCAGCTCCGCCCGCGGCCCTGGCGTGGGATCCACTAGGCGAAGCCAGCTGGGCTCCTGAGTTGGGTGGGGACTTGGAGAACTTTTATGTCTAGCAGCAGGATTGTATATGCACCAATCAGCACTCTGTGTCTAGCTCGGGGTTCCTGCATGCACCAATCAGCACTCTGTATCTAGCTAATCTGGTGGGGACTTGGAGAACCTTTATGTCTAGCTAAAGGATTGTAAATACACCAATCAGCACTCTGTGTCTAGCTCAAGGTTTGTAAACGCACCAATCAGCACCCTGTGTCTAGCTCAAGGTTTGTAAACACACCAATCAGTGCTCTGTGTCTAGTTAATCTAGTGGGGACTTGGAGAACTTTTACGTCTAGCTAGAGGATTGTAAATACACCAATCAGCACTCTGTGTCTAGCTCCGGGATTGTAAACGCACCAATCAGCACCCTGTCAAAACGGACCAATCAGCTCTCTGTAAAATGGACCAATCAGCTCTCTGTAAAATGGGCCAATCAGCAAGATGTGGGTGGGGTGAGATAAGGAAATAAAAGCAGGGTGTCCAAGCCAGCAGCGGCAAGCTGCTCTGGTCTCCTTCCATGCTGTAGAAGCTTTGTTCTTTTGGGGTTCACAAGAACTCTTGCTGCTGCTCACTCTTTGGGTTCTACACTGCCTTTATGAACTGTAACACTCACGGTGAAGGTCTACAGCTTCACTCCTGAAGCCAGTGAGACCCCTAACCCAGCGGGAGGGACGAACAACTCCAGATAGAAGAAACAAACAACTCCAGACACGCTGCCTTTAAGAGCTGTAACACTGACTGCAAAGGTCTGCAGCTTCACTCCTGAAGCCAGTGAGACCACGAACCCACCAGAAGGAAGAAATTCTGGACACGTCTGAACATCAGAATGAAAAAACTGTGGACACACCATCTTTAAGAACTGTAACACTCACGGCGAGGGTCCATGGTTTCATTCTTGAAGTCAGCGAGACCAAGAACCCACCATTTCCAGACATAGTTTGACGGTGTTGCTTCAGAGAGGAGTCTGGCCAGGGATGACCAGACTCCAGGGGAAGATCACCTTTGTGCTCCAGTCCCCTTCCAACTCCCCTTCCTGCCGAGAGCCACTTCCATCAGCAATAAAATCCTCCACATTCACCACCCTTCAATTTGTTCATGCAAACTGATTTTTCCTGGAAACTAAACAAGAGCTTGTGTACCAGGGGTGTGGACACTAAAGGCTGTCATACTGACCCTCTGCCCTCGCTGGCAAAGAGCAACTGCCTCCAACAAAAAGGCAGAGAGCCCACTGAGCTGTTTACCACCTAAGCCATCCATGGACAGCAGAGTTAAAAGAGCACTGTAACACATGCCCTCTGGGGCTTTGGGGATCGTGGATACTCCTCCCTACATGCTGTCTTGGGGCCTATGTGGAGTTTTGCTCCTGCTGCCACCCAAAAGTGCTCACTCTGGCTCCTACACCCGCTCACCTGCATGCTCCCCCTCTCATGAGGGGTTGAGAGCTGCAGGCTGAATAAGCGAGGCATCCGTGTCACGAGGCCTGTTAAGGGGTCAAGGAAAATTTCCTGTTTCATTAGGTAGGTGTTACTGTCTTCCCATTTTACAGGTGAAGCAACTCATGCACGAATAAATTAACTTCCCAAGGTTACTTATCTAGTAAATGGCAAACCCAGGAGATCTGGCTCTGGAGTCTGATTCTCTTGCCTACCTGCCGCACTGCCCTCTCTAAGGAATTTCAATGATAGATCTCAGACCTGGATTGGATGCCTTCCTTTCCTTATGTTGTCAAAACTGTGCTCCCCTTCTGAGCTTTTCCAGGGAGCATGAGGCTCTGATCTCTGAATGTTATGGTCATCTTCTGACTATCTGGGGACATTTACTTTGAGAGCACACAGAGATATAGCTTTTGGAATTCTCCATGCTGCATGTAGGTTTATAAACCAATACCCTGCTCAGACACCGCGTTCTTCTAACACCCTAATGATGGGGTCACATTTCTCTCTTTAGGTACTACAATCTGGTTTTGAAGTTGCCCAAAGAAACTTGAATGGCTTCCTCTTTCATTCCCACAAGGCTCTGAAAACACTGCTGCTGATCCGCTGTCTTCACTCCTATCTCACCCTGGCATAACTGCACTCTACTCAAACTCTATCTGGAAGGAGCAGAGCTCAGGGGTTCTGACCCCACAGAATGGGCTCCAGGCACTAAGAGCTGAACAACACAGAACACCTGTTCCATGTCGAGTTGGTTATCATTTTATACTTTTCTAAAAACCTCAAGGAAGATCTTCAACATAAGCCCTGGCATAAGACATTTTCTATGTATTCAAAATAAGAAAAGGAAATGGTGAATATATTGACAAGTAGCAATTTGAATTATAATGACAATTCTTTAGGATTTTATGTAGCTTGCATATTTAACATTTAAATATATTGTTCTAGGAATTGGCTGATAAAACTAGAAAATAAAGAGAAATTATGATCACCATGTGTTCACTCTTCAGACTTTGATCTATGAATCAGCTCACTGAGAGAGATACTTGAAAACTTCTCTTGGTTTCTTCTAATCCATCTTTGGAATGTCCTCCACGGATGGATGCCTTGCAGTTGAAACATAAATGCTATAAAAATTAATCCCCCTAGCACTACCGCTGTTGCCACGGCAATAAGCGTGTGTCCTGGGAATGGCAATGGTGCCTCATCAACATAAATCTGCAACAGAAAAAGCAAAGTCTTTAAGCTTTCTGAATTTAGCAATGCAAAACACTGAAAATTTAATGTTCCCCACAATTAATCGGAGAGCAAAACGCTGCCCAGAGTTACAAAGACATTCAGCATCCACAAAGCTTGGAAACAGTCTCTTGACAGTTGAACAAGTAACAATTTGCCTACAATAAATAGGGGCTAAGAAGTCCATGTATTATCCTATGCCTTTACCCTGTCTTTAATGGTGGAAGGAGGCAGATAAAATGCTTATACAGCAGAACATTCTCTGTTCAGTCTCAGAGGAATGGGCAAAGAGCTCTGGGAATGTGGAGGAGGGAATGCCTACCTGCCTAGGGCAGTCAGGGAATGCGCTTTCTGAGCTGGATCATGACGAATAAGTAGGTTCACAGAAGAGAAGGAGATAAAGGAACATTCCAGGTAGAGGCATATGTCTGTGCTCTTTCAAGTTACCACCTCTTTAGAAAATCCTCTTTGTAGGTGCTGCCAGTATAGGTAACTTTTTATGTATTCAAAATGTTTCCTCTGCATGAATAGCTAATTAACAGAAGCAAGTAAATTTCTGGAGGACAGATAGGATTATTGACAGAGAGGGACAGTGATGTCTTTTTCTCTGAGATGTGAGGCAAGGGTGGGGTCATTGTATGTTAAATATAGAAGTGGGGCATAAAGAGAGTAGGGGGTTCAAGCCCAGGCTTATGTTTCCTTTGTGAAGCAGGAAGCCAGATCGTCTTTTGTGGGAGAAGAACGTGCTGATGAATGGAACTAGGACAGTAGGGAATGTGGGAAAGTGCAAAGGACAAGAAAAAGGATGACAGGCTGCTTTAAGGTCTAGCTCAAGTTAAAGGTACCACCATCCTCCCAGTGACCCAAGGAGGTAGCTGATTTCTTAGAAACAGTCCCTCCATGCTATACATTCTCTAAAATTCCCCTCACATTCATTCTTTCCATTCTTTCAGTACTGCTACTGTGATTATTGTGCCACTTTTCATAAATAGGCTACTCTAGTAGCCTCCTTCCCAGCCCACCAGTCCGTGTTGACATCCTAACATTGCCAGATTTATCTTTGTATAAAACACCAGTCTGTGTATAAACACCTTTTTCCAAAAATGTTTAATAGCTTTTCATTGTTGACAGGAATGTTGACAGGAATGTTGACAGGAGTGTTCTAAAGCTTTCACTCTGACATTCAAAGCCTTCCACAATTGGACCCTAACCTACCTGGCTTTCTTCTAAATAACCTTATATTCCAGCCAAATGGATTTGAGCTATTCAAAAAGCAAACTTTATGCTTTTGATTGTGACAGGAGGCAGTCAAATGCCTAGGCAGATAGGGGTGGGTCGCCGGTGAAACCTGACCTTCAAGCTGAAGGCAGTCCCAGGTAAATCCACATACCGAATTCAGAACCTGTCTTCCTGTTTGGCGTGCTTTCCTCTGACTGATCCCACCCTTCAACTGTTTTACATATACCTACCCTTCCTAATTGGTTTTCTACACTGCTGTGCCCACCTTTGAGTGGTACCTTTGCTTTAGCCTTTCTTTGCTTACTCATAAGCCAGTCAGCACACTCTCCCCTATTCTGAGTGCATAAAGGCCCCACTCAGCCACACTGGCAAAGAAACCACCTGACTGCAGGGGTGAGGGACCACACCCTACGTCCCCTGTCTGCTGAGAGCTGTTCCATCACTCAGTAAAATTATTCTTTGCCCTCCTCACTCTTCAATTGTTAGTGTTTCCTCATTATACTTGGATGCAGGACAGGAACATGGGTACACACTACAACATAGTTGGGACAAGTGGGCAGGGTGCCTCCAGTGGCAGGCTCAGGGCTGAGCAAGGCCCAGGTGGAGGATGTCACCAGCTGTGGAGGTCCCCGGTTGGCAAAGTGGCCAAGAAAAGTCCTGCATCACTTTCCCATATCTGTACCTGGTCTCTCCATCCAGAATGCCTTCCTTGTTCATTTCTGCCTAATGAAATTTCAGTCACTCCACCAGATGATGTAAAAATTTCACTTGTGGCTGGGCACGGTGGCTCATGCCTGTAATCCCAGCACTTTGGGAGGCCAAGGCGGGCAGATCACGAGGTCAGGAGATTGAGACCATCCTGGCTAACATGGTGAAACCCCATCTCTACCTAAAATACAAAAAATTTAGCCAGGCATGGTGGCGGGTGCCTGTAGTCCCCGCTACTCGGGAGGCTGAGGCAGGAGAATGGCATGTACCCGGGAGGCGGAACTTGCAGTGAGCCGAGATCGTGCCATGGCACTCCAGCCTGGGCAACAGAGCGTGACTCCATCTCAAAAAAAAAAATTTTCACTTGCTTATTTAAGCCATTTATTATATTTCTAAGATTAGAAACGTCTATCACCTCTGAATTCTGTATTCTCCACCTAAATTGCTACCTCTAAAGTTCTGAAAAACACTTTTTCTTCAAATGTTTCCCTTCTAATCTTCTTCAACCATCCAAATATTCCACACCATTTCTAAAAAACGTTAGACCTCAGAATTATGAGTCTGTTTTAGATACAATGTCTATTTACTCCTAAAATACTTTAATTTGTGTTTTTAAGCACAAAAATTCACTTAAATAACCACAGTGCAATGATCAAAGTCAAGAAATTAACATTAAGACAATACTATTCTGTAATTACAGATCTTACTCCTTTTTTTTTTCTTCAGTTATCCCCATAATGTATTTTGGGTGAAAGAAAATCCAAGCTTATGGGTTGTGTTTCATTGTTTCAGGATTCTCCTTTCTCCTCCCCTTTCTTTTCTTGACGGAGCTTCACTATGTTACCAGGCTGGAGTGCAGTGGTTATTCACTGGCATGTTAATACTGGACTGAGGCCTCAAACCCCTGGCCTCAGAGGATCCTCCCTCGGCCTCCCAAATAGCTGGGGTTACAGTCATGTGTCACCAGGTCTGGCTATTTCAGGGTACTTTCTTTTTTTTCCTTTTTTTTTGAGACAGAGTCTCACTCTGTCGCCCAGGCTGGATGAAGTGCAGTGGTGCGATCTTGGCTCACTGCAATCTCTGCCTCCTGGGTTCAAGCAATTCTCTTGCCTCAGCCTCCTGAGTAACTAGGATTACAGGCATGCACTACCACACCTGGCTGATTTTTGTATTTTTAGTAGAGATGATGTTTCACCATGTTGGCCAGGCTGGTCTCGAACTCCTGACCTCAAGTGATCTACCCATGTCGGCCTCCCAAAGTGCTGGGATTACAGGCATGAGCCACCATGCCCAGCCTATTTCAGGGTACTTTCAAAAGCAGGTTCCGACAGTCCCAAGAAGCTTTATACACTTTCTCTATATTTTCTTAACAATTCTTTTCCTTCATTAATGGTGCAGTCACACCTATCTTTTATCCATTTTTGTTCTTCCTCCATTCCTGAAGCTTCAAGGTTCCTGCTGTTATCACTTTTCTTCTGTTTGAATAACTTCTTTAAGCATTTTCAAAAGAGAAGTTCTCCTGACAATGGATTCTCTTAGTTTTCTCTCATTTGAGAAAGTCTTGATTTTTTATTCCTGAAAGATATTTTCAGTAGATAGAGAATTCTGGATTGACAATCCTTCCTCCCCACTCAACCCTCACCCCTAACACTTTAAAGATGTTGTATAACTTTCTTTTGCCTCTGTGGTTTCTGTTGAGAAATCAGCAGTCATTCAAACTGTACCCTTGTATATACAGTGTTGTTTTTCTCTGACCACTTTTAATATTTTATGATCTTGATTTTTGGTAGTTTGATTATGATGTGTTCAGGCATGGTTTTCTCTATCTTTATCTTGTTTAGGGCTCATTAAGCTTCTTGAATATGTAAACTTACGTCTTCACCAAACTTGAGGCTTTTCCGTCTTTATTTCTTTCCTTTCTTCTTCTTCTTCTTCTTTTTATTTTTATTTTTTATTTTTTTTGAGACAGGGTCTCATTCTGTCACCCAGACTGGAGTGCAGTGGCATGATCTCAGCTCACCTTAGCCTTGACCTCCCAGGCTGAAGCAACCCTCCCACCTTGGCCTCCAGAGTAGCTGGAACTACAGGTGTGTGCCTCCATGCCTGGCTAATTTTTTTGTATTTGTAGAGACAGGGCCTTGCCATGTTGCTCAGTTGGTCTTAAATTCCTGAGCTCAAGCGATCCACCCACCTTGGCCTCCCAAAGTGCTGGGATTTTTTTCCCCATACCAGTCTTTTTCTCCTCTCCTTCATGGACACTGATAACATAAATGTTAGACCTTCTGATACTGTCACACAGATCCCTGAGGCAAGATCTTCTTCTTCTTAAAATACTTTTTCTTCAGGTTGGGTTTCCACTGACTTGCTTTCAAGTTCACTGATTTTTTTCCTGTTCCATATCCATTCAGCAATTGAGTCCTTTTGGTAGTTTTTAAATTTAAATATTATAGTTTTTAGTTCTAAAATTTCCATTTTGTCCTTTTTAAGTAGCTTCTAGATCTCTGCTTATAATTGATCATTTTCTACTTATTTCAAAAGTGTTTACCTGTACTGCATGGAGCATGGTTATAATAGCTAGTTTAGAATATTTGATAATTGCATTTGTGGTCCTTTGTTGATGTCTTTTCTCTTCAGAATTGATTATATTGTCTTGGTTGTTGATATGGTGAATAATATCAGATTGTATCCTGGTGAATAATGGTGAGTAATATCAGATTGTATCCTGGTAAATATGGTGAATAATATCGGATTGCATCCTGGACATTTTTGATGTTATGTTGGGAGATTCTGGTTCTTGTTTAAAAGTCATCTGGAAAATGCTGATTATTTATTTGTTTGTTTTTAGCAGTCAATCACACTGGTTGAGTTCAGGTCACAAGTTATGCCTCACCTTCTGTGTGGGTGGTGGTTTCAATGTCAGTTCAGTTTTCCAAGCTGTTGCTATGCTATTTGTGTCTTCCTGGTTGGTACCTGTGCCACTCAGGAGCTGCTCTGAAACTAGAGGATGTTTACTTTGTAGTTTCATTTCAAAGGCTTTGCTGTTTTCTTCAGGTGTGCCCTGGTCATATGCAGCTTCTTCCTGGTGCTAGTTTACATAAAGAATCAGGACTCCCTTTCTCCAGCCCTCTTCTCATAGAGATGTCCCCCCATGCTTTCCACTCTTAGAGGTCCTTTCCCTTGTTCTCTGGAAAGAAAGTGGAGCTTCTATGAGAATTTTAGCCCTCTGTGCTATTGTGCTGTTCCCCACAACCAGGGCTGCTCTTGGGCCAAAGAGATGAGAAAAGAGAGAAAAAAATAACAAGGATTTTCCTTCACACTCCTCATGTGACAGATGCTTCTTTTCCTAGTTTCTTTATCTAGTGGGTTGAATTTTTCTCTCAGGGTTTTAGAGGTTTGCACTGCTGCAATGGCCACCCACCACTGTAGTAGTGCAGAGCCATTATTGGAGCTGGCCTTAGAGCTGGGCCGGAACAGGAGAGAGAGAGAGAGAGAGAGAGAAAGAGAGAGAGAGAGAGAGAGAGACAGAATGTTAATGTAACATCAGCATTTGACAATGACTCATTAATTGATTTTTATCAAATCCTTATTTCTTCCCATGCCTCACAGGCAGCACATGTCATTATATGAATAAGCAAAAATGAGTTGTTGCTTTCATGGGATGATTTGGGAAAGACTGATTCTGGTTTTCAATTCCTTTGGATCTTGAAAGCCTTTGAAATATTTAAGACAATGATTACAGTTCAAACAGCCAAAAGGAGGATAATCAGACTAGAAACTAAAAAGTTACAGAAATATGTTCTTTGGAGAAGTAGAGGTGAGAGGAAGAGCATTAAAAGTCAGAAAACTGGGCTCAACAAGGAAGGTGGAGAAGGAACAAAAACAAAGACAGCCACGTATTATTACATGTATTATTAAAATTCTGGCAGCATCAATCAGTCCTGGCACCCATGATGCACCCTGGCTTTGTCACTACTGACAGGGTCAATGCTACCCTTCAGGATCCCCTGTCTTTAAGCCTTGTCCATCACACAAATTCTGCCAATTTTTTCTCTTCGGTGTCTCTTGAATTGGTTTTGTCATGTTTTTTCCCCAGCCATCACCCCTCTGATGCCAAGTGCATCCATTTTACCTGAAATTCTTCAATTAAGTTACAAAAAGTTACTCCTGAAATGACGGTCACTCTAAAGTGGAAAAGTTCAGAGCCCTGTGGAAAAAAGCACACCCAGTTGTTAGCAGCATCAACATGTACATTCCTTTAAGTATTAATAAAAATATACCCTGGGGCCACTGTCCCTATAGATGCTGCATGAAAAGATTCCCATCCTCTTCCTAAGGCTCTCGGACATACACATCATGCATCAAAATAAAAAGATGGATTGAAGTGGAGGGATTCAATAGCTGATACTTTTTTTTTTTTTTTTTTTTTTTTTTTTAGAATGAGGAGACAAAAACTAAAAACTAAACCTGGCCTTGATAAATACTTTGGGCTAATCCTCGTATTTGTGGCTTCAAGATGTTCCCTAATTCTGATTGGTTTTCACAATTATCTGTATTATACCAACTTCATGTATTTTTATGGGCAGCTGGAACCAGAAGATGTGCTCGTCCATATCCAGGTGAATAATACTGAGCCCATTTCTTCCCTTTCACTTTCGGAAACACTCTTTCTTCTCCACTTTGCTAGATAATATGGCTTGCCTATCTGCTCAAAACTTTGGAAATAATAACACCAAGGGAAATGGAGAAAAAAATAAACCCTCTTCATATACTTTAAAGGTATATACTTTAAAGATGTTATTCCCACCATTCCTGGTTACCTATACTTTAGAATTAAAACCAATCTTAGTTTAGACATACATGTTTTATCTAAACTCAACACAGTAAAAACAACAATGCCATCATTACCTTTATGCTTAAGTTGAGACCTGAAGGATTATACACTGCAGCACCAAGAATTGGTTCTACTAATTGTTTCATTCTTTTAATATTTTCTGGCACAGTGTGTTCTAAAAATACATAAAACATATTTTAAGCACACTTATTTTTCTCATTTTGTATTAGGTTGGTGCA
Organism: Homo sapiens; assembly: GCF_000001405.40. Lineage (NCBI taxonomy): Eukaryota > Metazoa > Chordata > Mammalia > Primates > Hominidae > Homo > Homo sapiens. The sequence goes on from NC_000014.9 coordinate 91,588,143, forward strand.
AAAGTAATTGCTGTTTTTGCCATTACTTTTAATTTACTATTACTATTTCATTTGCAATTACTAATATAAAATTTGTCATGCACATTAAGGTACAATGAAAGATTTCACTCCATAACATGACCAAGTTATCCCATACTTTTAGTTCTGCTTGACTTTGTAGACGATGTATTTAGGGGAGTTAGGCCCAATATCTCACATTGCCTTCAAGGGCATCCTCAAGAAGTTCAAGACTTCTGATCAGCTTCATGCTGACCTTTTCCTTCCAGCCCCATGCTCAGGATCAGTCCTGACCTGCACGTGCTTCGTGTTTTTGGCAGTAAGGTCATCTCAGGACCTCCTTAGTGATAGGTAAACGATTTATAATAAGGTGGCAGTAAAGTTTTACAATGAGATTACTTGACTATTTTCCTGCCTTTCTTGTCATCCTTTCTAAAACTAGATAGCTAGTGTAGGGGTTAGACGTTGCAGTGGTATAAAGGTACACAGAATCTAAAGGAAAAGAAACAGCTGTGATTGTAATTTCCAATTTCCATAGTGTAAATACTCTCACCCTGACTAATTTCAAGCTACAAATGGTTTAACATCTAGCTTGTAAAATGTTTAAATGTTTAATGATCAGGACTCTAAAACTGGTAAGAACAGTTTCCAGCATACCACAGAAAATGGGGATGTCAGTTAATGCAAAATATTTAGTAGCTTTATTTTGCTGGATTTTTCATTTCAAAAATGCATATATGTTGGCCAGAGTAAGACTCACTGAATACCAAGTGCCTGGATATTTAGTAACATATTAATGGCTGACCAAAATTTCTGTTTAGTTAATTATTTCTATCTACCTACATATCTCCTTAGAGTATTCATACGTGAACACAAAATGTGCAACAAAAAGTTACATATCTGAGGTAAAGTGAATAGGGGTAAACATCTTATTTAAACTATTTCTGCATCTTTTCAATTATTTTACCATAAAACCTTTAAGAAACCTTTAAGAAACTCGTATAATTAGAAGACAGATCCTAAAGATTATCTGGCCCCACCTTTTACAACCTCCTCTGTCACACTGAATGGGCAGAGAAAGGAGATGCCAGACCACCATGCAGCACAAATTCAGTCAGTCATTGTTGTTATTGATCCACAAAATGACCTTCAATTTTTTTGCAGTGTAAATTATTCAAAAATGCTTTTACCCTAGAATCCAGGCCACTGGGAGTGATGATGAAATAAGTAGGAAACAATAGAAGTAAACAGCAATATGCCAACTGATCCAAATCCATTTGCAAGAACTCCTGGCTCTCTTTTGTGTGAACAGGCTTTGAAAACCATTGATCTTTGTAAACCAGTAACAATATTACTTATCAGATAAAATAATTACAGATGAAAGCAAACCCTACTCAGTTTCCAGTTGTGCCTCATGTTCACTTCAGTCACAGTAACCAGATATGGAGATTGCAATGGGACACGTCCATCCTCGTTGATAATTTCCAAAGAAACTGGATATTGTGTAATTGGAAACTTAAAGCGAGGAACCTAAAATACAAATTCCAAGAATGAATGTAAACTTGGGAAAGTCAATAGTCACTTCATTTCCTGGTAAAAAACGAAAAGATATATTGCCAATAGTTTGGCTGTTCAATGACATGTGCTCCTGAGGGGTTTCTGCCTTTTCAGTCATGAAAATGTCTTAGAGCAGAATCAATGTGAACTCCAAAGGCAGTATATACATTGTGGTAACAAAACTCATCACTTCTATAGGCCCTTTTCACAGGAATTTACTATGATGTCACTCAAACTTTTTTTGGCTAAATCATATCCCAGGAGGCTGTGCATAGATTGCTCACCCTCCTTTTGCCACTCTTTCAGCCAGTCAGTCTTGCGGGCACAATCTGTAAACTTGGGCTCTGGCGTCAGAACTCAAAGCCAGCCCCAATGCATGTTAATAATGCGATCTTTGACAAATTGCCTGACTTCTCTGTGGCTCGAATTAAATGAGATAAATCACGGAGAAGGCTTAGAGTAGCATTTAGTAGATAGTAAGTGCTCATGAAACATTATTTTGGTTCAGCAAGGGGGTATATAAAAACAGCCCTCATAATTTACAGAATGCTGGCTAGACACAATGGCTCACGCTTATAAATCCCAGCACTTTGGGAGGTGGAGGCAGGTGGATCACTTGAGGTCAGGAGTTTGAGACCAGTATGGCCAACATGGTGAAACCCCATCTCTACTGAAAATACAAAAATTAGCTGGGCATAGTGGTGGGCACCTATAGTCCCAGCTACTTGAGAGGCTGAGGCAGGAGAATCACTTAAATCCAGGAGGCGGAGGTTGCGGTGAGCTGAGATGATGCCATTACACTCCGACCTGGGCGACAGAGCGAGACTTGGTCTCAAAAAAAGTAAAAACGAAAATAAAATAATAATAATTTACAGAATGCTGACTCTACACCAACATATTGTGTATATACATATATAATATCATATATAGTCTCTAGATGTCTTTTTTTGTTTGTTTGTTTTGTTTTGTTTTTTGAGATAGAGTCTTGCTCTGTCGCCCAGGCTAGAGTGCAGTGACTATCTCAGCTCACTGCAAGCTCCACCTCCCAGGTTCAAGCCATTCTCCTGCCTTAGCCTCCCCAGTAGCTGGGACTACAGGCGCCCACCACCACGCCCGGCTAATTTTTTTGTATTTTTAGTAGAGACAGGGTTTCACCGTGTTAGCCAGGATGGTCTCAATCTCCTGACCTCATGATCCGCCCGCCTCGGCCTCCCAAAGTGCTGGAATTACAGGCGTGAGCCACCGAGCCCGGCCTCTAGATGTCTTACATATGTATAGTCTGTGTAATAACAGTTTCTCAATATACAGTGTCACAAGGACTTTGAAATTGATCTGTTTGAAAGATATACCAACTGCATATTTGTTTTTTTCTTTTTTTTGAGATGGAATCTTGCTCTGTCATCCAGGCTGGAGTGCAGTGGTGCGATCTCTGCTTACTGCAACCTCTGCCTCCCAGGTTTAAGCAATGCTGTCTCAGCCTCCTGAGTAGCTGGGACTACAGGTGCAAGCCACCATGCCCGGCTGATTTTTGTATTTTTAGTAGAGATTGGGTTTCACCATATTGGTCAGACTGGTTTCGAACTCCTGACCTCAGGTGATCCACCGGCGTTGGCCTCCCAAAGTGCTGGGATTACAGGTGTGAGCCACCACACCCGGCCCCAACTGCGTATTTGACTCTTCTAATGCAAATTTTGATACTAACAGAATAAAACATTATTTGACACAGAAGCCTTCTCTTAACCAACATATTACACCGTCTTTCATTTGTGACTGTCAGCAGGCTGAGCTTGATTACAATGACTTTGCCTTCTATATTCCAAGAACCTGATACTAGATACTCAAAGTTATTTTAAATGAATCAATATTTACCATAACCTGGTATATGTTTTACAGACTACAAGTTGCTTTCGTATACACAGGGGTGTGTGTGGGTGTGGGTGTGTGTGCGTCTTTATACAAATGCTGTGGAATGGACAAGGTAGTGCAGGTATTATTGTTTTATTTTACCGATGAGGTTCATTAACTTGCAAGGTACATTTAAATCTGGATCTTTCTAGCTCGGTGTCATATTTAGCTCTGCATCATAATAAGACATTATTTCTATGTCTTAGTTTTCATGTTTAACCTAAAGGCACATTTCAAAATCTTGTTAATAAGAAAGTATCCTGTATTCAGGTAATTAGAAATGATCTTACTTTTTCCCTGCAATCCGAGAAAGCAACAGCATGTGAAAACTTCTGATCCTTTGTGCAGTTACACTCCTCCCGAGTGGAAACATTAGCACACTGTTTGAATTTACCGGTTTTCTGCAAATAGAAGTAACAGATGTTGACTTGTTTTTCTGCGTTGCGGGATTTCTGCAAACTGATAAATATCTAATAAATATTTATTCCCTGAAGAAGTGGAATTCCTGAGAAGTTAAAAGGGGAAAGCAATTCATTAATAATAAAGTAAGAATAGAAGTACAGTATTTCTGAATTTTAGTTGCCCCCTTGCTTGGTAATTTGAACCCAAGTATTACTCAGCCGCTTGCCGTTCACCTCGTGCAGTTGCATGGGACCTAGAAAGCCTGTGTCATTCTGAATTCTGCATCCCAGGACTACCAAACTAACTGCTCTTGGCCCCTGCCAGTGCAGGGATCCAGACGGAAACATAAAATGAGTGGCCTTGATAATGTGGGGCTGCACACTCTCCAAACCTACTATTTCATACTTGTCTTTCTTCATAGCATATGTTGATATTTTAAATCTCCACTATATCTGCCCATTTGTCATTCATTTATACTTGATCTCTCTTGCCATTCATTTATTTTATTATTATTATTTTTAGAGATAGTGTCTTGCTGTGTTGCCCAGGCTTTAGTGCAGGGGCTCAATCATAGCTCACTGCAGTCTTGAACTCCTGGACTCAAGCAATCCTCCCATCTCATCCTCCCTAGTATTATAGTTGGGACTACAGGCACACACCACCACACTTGGCTGATTGAAAAAAAAATTTTTTGGTAGAGAGTCTATCCTGACTATGCAATAGAAAAGAAAAACCCATTTTCTGGGGAGAAATTCAAGCCAGTTGCAGAAATTTGCAAGTAGCAAGGAGCCTACTGTTAATCCTCAAGACTATGGTGAAAATGTCTCCAGACCATGTCAGAGACCTTCATGGCAGCCCCTCCCATCAAAGGCCCAGAGGCCCAGGAGGAAAAAGTGGTTTTGTTGGCCGGGCACAGGGTCCCCATGCTGTGTGTAGCTTAGGGACTTGGTGCCCTGTGTCCCAGCTGCTCCAGCTGTGGCTGAAAGGGGCCAACGCACAGCTCAGGGTGTGGCTTCAGAGGGTGGAGGTCCCAAGCCTTGACAGCTTCCACGTGGTGTTGAGCCTGTGGGTGCACAGAAGTCAAGAACTGAGGTTTGGGAACCTCTGCCTAGATTTCAGATGTATGGAAACACCTGGATGCCCAGGCAAAAGTTTTCTGCAGGGGTGGGGCCTTTATGGAGAACCTCTGCTAGGGCAGTGCAGAAGGGAAATGTGGGGTGGGAGCTCCCACACAGAGTCCCTACTGGGGCACTGCCTAGTGGAGCTGTGAGAAGAGGGCCACTGTCCTCCAGACCCCAGAATGGTAAATCCACTGACAGCTTGCACCTGGTGCCTGGAAAAGCTGCAGACACTCAACATCAGCCCGTGAAAGCAGCCAGGATGGAGGCTGTACCCTGCAAAGCCACAGGGGTGGAGCTGCCCAAAACCATGAGAACCCACCTCTTGCATCAGCATGACCTGGAGTCAAAGGAGATCATTTTAGAGTTTTAAAATTTGACTGCCCTGCTGGATTTTGGACCTGCATGGATCCTATAACCCCTTGGTTTTGGCAAATTTCTCCCATTTGGAATGGCTGTATTTACCCAATACCTGTAACCCTATTGTATCTAGGAAGTAACTAGCTTCTTTTTTATTTTACAGGCTCATAGGTGGAAGGGACTTGCCTTGTCTCACATGAGACTTTGTAATGTGGACTTTTGGGTTAATGCTGAAATGAGTTAAGACTTTAGGGAAGTGTTGGGAAGGGATGATTGGTTTTAAAATGTGAGGACATGAGATCTGGAGGGGCCAGGGGCAGAATGATATGGTTTGGCTGTGTTCCCATTCAAATCTCAACTTGAATTGCATCTTCCAGAATTCCCGCATGTTGTGGAAGGGACCCAGGGGGAAGTCATTGAATCATGGGCGCTGCTGGTCTTTCCCATGCTATTCTCATGATAGTGAATAAGTCTCACAAGATCTGATGGGCTTATCAGGAGTTTCCACTTTTGCTTTCTCCTCATTTTCTCTTGCTGCTGCCATGTAAGAAGTGCCTTTTGCATTATTCACAATAGCAAAGGCTTGGAACCAACCTAAATGTCCAACAGCGATAGACTGGATTAAGAAAATGTGGCACATATATACCATGGAATACTATGCAGCCATAAAAAATGATGAGTTCAGGTCCTTTGCAGGGACATGGATGAAACTGGAAACCATCATTCTCAGCAAACTATCACAAGGACAAAAAACCAAACACCGCATGTTCTCACTCAAAGGTGGGAATTGAACAATGAGAACACATGGACACAGGAAGGGGAACATCACACACCAGGGACTGTTGTGGGGTGGGGGGATGGGGGAGGGATAGCATTAGGAGATATACCTAATGCTAAATGACGAGTTAATGGGTGCAGCACACCAACATGGCACATGTATACATATGTGACAAACCTGCACGTTGTGCACATGTACCCTAAAACTTAAAGTATAATAATAATAAAAGAAAAAAAAAAAAAGAAGTGCCTTTTGAACTCTGCCATGATTCTGAGGCCTCCCCAGCCATGTGGAACTGTAAGTCCAATTAAACCTCTTTCTTTTGTAAATTGTAAATTCTTTTGTAAATTGCCCAGTCTTGGGTATGTCTTTATCAGCAGTGTAAAAATGGACTAATACAATGGGGAGGTCCCAAAAGCTCATTTTTAGCAGGTTGTGAAACCTCATGTCTTGTGAAGAGAAAATAGAGGGGAGGAAGGGAGAAAAAATAAAAAATTAAAAAAAGAACAGTCCTGGAAAAATCAATATAGGCCACATTACTCTGAAGTCCATATATTAGTAGGCAGGTATGAAAGTGGCTTATGTATGTAAATAGGTTGTAGTTATTTTCTCCTGAAGTTTAAGTTGTCTGGCTTCAGTTTGCAGGGTTTTAAGAAAGCACAGCTTAGTTTTCAGTGACTCCAAATAAAGACAAAAGGGGGTAAAAAGGAAGGAAAAAAATTGAAAAAATTATTTTGAAGACTTGTAGTCAAGAAAAATTAGAATTCAGTCCAAACTATAGAAAAACACAAAAATTGAAAAAAATATTAGGCAAGACTAGGATCTAACAACAGGTCTACTGTAGTTCTGAAACATAATTTTTCTCTCTCCAGTTTCCCATTTTTACTAAAGACAAATCACGGTATGACTGGTATGCTTTATTATACTTGGCCTAATATTCGTATACAGTGTAGAAGAAAAATTATTTTTTACATAGGCTTTTAAATTGACTTTGATAGAACTTTGTTCTATAGGAGGAATCTCAGATAAGGTTTATTTATTTATTTATTTATTTATTTTTAATTTATTTATTTTTATTTTAATTCTTTTAGTAGAGATGGGGTTTTACCGTGTTAGCCAGGATGGTCTCAATCTCCTGACCTCGTGGTCTGCCCATCTCGGCCTCCCAAGGTGCTGGGATTACAGGCATGAGCCACCGCACCCAGCCCAGATAAGACTTTTTTAAAGCCGAGCCCAACCATGGATTTGTGCCGTCAAATATCTATGAGTTGTGTGAATTTCCTCTCCTCTTGAGGATCCAAGATAAACCTGGGGCTTCTGTGCCTGTCAGAAAATGGCATTCTTTACTAAGCACAGGTCAGAAACCCTGTACAGGGACTGTGTACACAAAATATGAGGCCAGTTTCCCAAGGGCTTTATTGGCTCCATAAGTCAAGTTTGCTTCCTTAAAGAAAAGCACATCATTCCAGTCAAAGCCTTGGTAAAATAACCAATTCCTCCAATTGTGTCCTATTGCAAAAGAAAACAGATTCTTACTGCACTTATGCAAATAACTATATTGCTATAAATTAAGAATAGTCACAAATAGTTTCCAAATTCTAGAGAAATCAGGTAGAGGGAAACAAATAGGTTCCAAATTTTGTTCACAGGGGTATACTTTACTCAATTATTAAAAGCTGTAAATAGCTTAAAAGAATTGTTTTCTTAACTCTGAAAAACAAAACAAAGTATCAGCAACATTTTAAGCAAAAAGTCAAAAAGATTACTTCCGTTTTCTATTGGTTCAGTTAATTCAGTTAACTCCTATTCTGCTTGATAGTCATGAACATTTCAGCTCTCCATGAGAGTTCTGAAAGTTCCTTTATTCCAATGTCACAATTTCCAAAGTTATCAGAAAACCTGCATTTAAGTGCATCTGTTAGAGTCTGATAGCTAATTATAAATCCACCCCCCTTTTTTTTTGAGACAGAGTCTTACTCTGTCACCCAGGCTGGAGTGCAGTGGCACAATCTCGGCTCACTACAAGCTCCGCCTCCCGGGTTCACGCCATTCTCCTTCCTCAGCCTCCTGAGTAGCTGGGACTACAGGCGCCTGCCACCACGCCCGGCTAATTTTTTGTATTTTTAGTAGAGATGGGGTTTCACCTTGTTAGCCAGGATGGTCTCAATCTCCTGACCTTGTGATCCGCCCACCTTGGCCTCCCAAAGTGCTGGGATTACAGGCGTGAACCACCACACCTGGCCTATAAATCCACCTTTTAAAGAGCATTTAAAACAAGGCAAAACAAGACAATTGTCTGTGGATGAAAAAAAGTTTTAAGGTAGCCATAGTTAAAAGACACAATTGACAAGGAAATTTGTTACCTCTGTGGCACAGGATAATTTTAACATAACAATTATGATTATTACTGATAATGTACACTAAGTTATATCAGAATTACAGGAGTTTCCTATACATTTGGAACAAAGTTAGCTATGTATACAAATATAGCCCAAAGAAAACCAAACACCATTTCATATTTGACAATGCTTCCTGTATAATTTTTACACCAAAATAAGCCAAGTTATGTCATTTTTGGACTTAAGGAACCTAATGTCTTAAAGGACTAATTAGGTTAGAAAAAGACATAATTTTTTTTTTTTTTTGAGACAGAGTCTCGCACTGTCACCCAGGCTGGAGTGCAGTGACGCCATCTCGGCTCACTGCAAGCTCCACCTCCTGGGTTCACTCCATTCTCCTGCCTCAGCCTCCTGAGTAGCTGGGACTACAGGCACCCACCACCACGCCCAGCTAATTTTTTTTTTTTTGTATTTTTAGTAGAGACAGTGTTTCACCGTGTCAGCCAGGATGGTCTCGATCTGACCTCGTGATCTGCCTGCCTCAGCCTCCCAAAGTGCTGGGATTACAGGCGTGAACCACAGCGCCTGGCCAAAAAGATATAATTTATAATTTGATTTTGGAAAGTTTGTCAAATATAAAAGCTTTAAAACACTTGATATTACAAAATAGGATTACAGGTCATTGTAAAGTCATTTATTTAACCAAAGTGATAATTCCAGCATTCCAAAAAAAGTGAAAACCTTCATTATTTGAGTTGAGACTTAATTTTCTAAACAAGAAACCCTAAGAAAAACAGCCCGAAGCCAATTACATTTGTTTTTCAAAATTTTGTAAACAATCTATAAAATTTAATCTTGATTATAAAATATAACTTCCATAAGCCTTTTATAACCTTTATTAAGAAGTTCTTTAATGCTTCAAGAAAACCTTGTTAATCTGACATAGGGATCCATATACTGGTTTTGCATCAGTGTGCCTTTGACATTAATAATTAATTTATAGAGAAACTGAACTTATTTTATCTTTCAAAATTGGCCCTCACAATCTCATGTGCCCACCTCTTCTGCGATAGTCCCCGGGCCTTGAGGAGTTGAATGGCTTTAATTTCTTGCCCTGTGTCTCAGGAATGCAGTTTGTTTTAATTGGCATCTTCTATGGGGCCTGAAGATGAGGCTTTAATTGCTGTCAGTGTTTAAGATTTAGCAGGACTTGGTGTCCTTTTTAGACCCAGGAGTTAAAGCCCTGTAACTCAATGTTACAAGCACTTTAAAAGCACATACAGGAAGATAAATGGATGCAATAACATTAAAACATTTTTTATCTCAGTTTTTTTCCCTAAGCAAACCAAAATTTAATAATAATATGACAACTTGATTATATAAAAGTTTTTGTTTTTTTTTTTAAATATATAAATCCTCTTATTGTGACTTACACTGACTATTCATGACATGGCCAGACTTTCTGATTTGTTCTGAAATTCCCTCCTTTTTAAACAACCAGTTATTTTATTTTAGGACTAAATTTACCACAGAAGATTCTTTCTTATATAAAATTATTTCTTTTTAAGCTTTTTTACCTAAAAATAAAACCTCTTTATTTTTATAACTTTTTTTACATCTTTTTTTATTCCTGGCTCCTTTTACCTTGTTTTATATATAACCTTTAAATAAGCTTTGAATTAGACAAAACTTGTTCACTTTTTTTTTAAAAGGACACATTTTTCTTTCTTTAGCAAGAATGTTTTTCTACAATATATATTTATTGGAAAATACTCAATGAGATATCTATTATTTAATTTAATATAACTTTATATCCTAAATTATGACCAGTTTGTCTACAAGTATTTATCCCATTACATTTACCTAATTGTTTTAATTATTTACCTAGATTATTTATGAAAACTGTGATAGTCATGATTTAAAGTTATGAAACTGCCATTGCAGCATTATAACTGAGACTGTCAGAAAAGATTTGACTGGCCGGGCGTGGTGGCTCACACCTGTAATCCCGGCACTTTGGGAGGCCAAGGCAGGTGGATCACAAGGTCAGGAGATCAAGACCATCCTGGCTAACATGGTGAAACCCCATCTCTACTAAAAATACAAAAAATTAGCCAGGCGTGGTGGCAGGCGCTTGTAGTCCCAGCTACTTGGGAGGCTGAGGCAGGGGAATGGCGTGAACCTGGGAGGTGGAGCTTGCAGTGAGCCGAGATCGCACCACTGCACTCCAGCCTGGGCAACAGAGCAAGACTCTGTCTCAAAAAAAAAAAAAAAAAAAGGAAAAAGATTTGACCTAACTGATTCCATACTGCTCTTAACCTGTAAGCTGTCCTTGTTCATTCCTGGGCATAGGATGAACTAACTTTGGAAGGAACTTGGTTTATAGTTTAGCTTTTAAACAAAGATAACAGTCCTTTCCCAAAACAAACCTCCTTATTGTCTGTGTATCAGACTGACCAAATTTTGGGATATCAGGGATTCATTGGAGGGGTGCTCTCAGACCTCAGCAAATTGTCGTATTGGTTTGATCCATAAAGTTAGCTCATGCTGGTACCAGGCACTGATAAGAGATTTGTCAAAGGTCAGGGGCATCTCCATTCAGAACCCCTTCGTGGTTACCAAAATGTGAACCTAGAAAATCTGAGACAGGTCTCAGTTAATTTAGAAAGTTTACTTTGCCGGCCGGGCACGATGGCTCACGCTGTAATCCCAGCACTTTGGGAGGCCGAGGCGGGCGGATCACGAAGTCAGGAGATTGAGACCATCCTGGCTAACGCGGTGAAACCCCGTCTCTACTAAAAATACAAAAAATTAGCTGGGTGTGGTGGCGGGCGCCTGTAGTCCCAGCTACTTGGGAGGCTGAGGCAGGAGAATGGCGTGAACCTGGGAAGCGGAGCTTGCAGTGAGCTGAGATTGTGCCACTGCACTCCAGCCTGGGCGGCAGAGCAAAAAAAAAAAAAAAGAAAGTTTATTTTTATTTTGCCAGGGTTGAGGATGCACCCGTGACACAGCCGCAGGAAGTCCTGACAACATCTGCCCAAGGTGGTCAGGGCAAAGCTTGGTTTTATACGTTTAGGGAGACATGAGACGTCAATCAATATATATAAGAAGTACATTGGTTCAGTCTGGAAGGGGAGGACAACTTGAAGCAAAGGCACCAAGACTCAAGTGGGGAGGGAGCTTCCAGGTCACAGAAAGGTGATACACAAATGGTTACATTCTTTTGAGTTTCTGATTAGCCTTTCCAAAGGAGGCAAATCAGATATGAATCTATCTCAGTGAGCAAAGGAGTGACTTTGAATAGAAAAGGAGGCAGGTTTGCCCTAAGCAGTTCCCAGCTTGAATTTTCCTTAGTGATATTGGGGGCCCAAGATATTTTCCTTTGACACCACTGAATGGATATAGCACATTTTGTTTATCCATTCATCAGTTAATGCGCATCTGATTGTTTCCACTTTCTGGCTGTTATGAATAATGCTGCTATGAAGTTTTTGTCTGAACATATGTTTTCAATTCTTTTGGATATATCTAGGAGTGAAATGGCTGGCTCATACAGTAATTCTATGTTTAACTTTTTGAAGAAGCACCAAACTGATATCCATAACAGCTGCACCATTTTGCATTCCTGCCAGCAATGCATGAGAGTTCCAGATTCTCCACATTCTCGCCAACAATTATTTTCATTAAAAAAGCAATTATTATAGCTATTCTAATGACTGTGAAGGGATATCTCAAGTGATTTTGATTTGTATATCTCTAATGACTAAGACGTTGAGTATCTTTTCACGGGCTTGTTGGCTGTTTATATATCTTCTGTATTAGTCCATTCTCATACTGCTATAAAGAAATACCTGAGACTGGGTAATTTATAAAGAAAAGAGGTTTGGGTTTGTTTGTTTTTGTTCTGTAAGAATTTAATGTGTAAACATACAGAAAAGTAAGCATTATAGCAACCAAACAGTTTTGCTCACGATAGCAATTTTAAAGACACTTCAACACATACTTTTATGTAAGAGGCTAATTCTGCAAAATAACATTCACTTTCCTATGGAATAATTTCACTGTCTCAGATTTTAAGCCAGAAAAATGAGATTCATGCTGGTAAAGCAACCTGCAAATCCTGCATGTTCTCACAAATAGTATACTTTAACATGGTAAAAAGATCTTCCAAAGGGAGGAAAGAAGGCTCTTAAAGGGGATGGCTGGTGCCTCCCAGAGTAAATCCTTGCCCCAAGGGGCTGCCCTGCTATCTTCAAGACTAAAATGGTCATCACAAATTCAAAGCTAAAAAAAGAAATAACTTTTACCTTCGGTGTATTTGCCTGTTTCAAGTGGTTATCTGCAGATTTATGATAAGTCAGTAAACAGAACAATATTGATAAGATTTCTGAGAACTAAATGGTATTTGGCTCTGGTACGAAGGAGTTGAGAGAATACAACACCTATGTTAATTATCAGCTGCAAATGACAACTTTATGTGAGGTTTCTACTCTAAGGCTTACTTTATTCATGTATTCCATTTAGAATCTTAAAATTTTTTGATACTTCCTTTAAACAAGAAGTAATTCACAAATGCTTAACATAGCACTAAATTAATAAAATAGGTCCTCACACCCATCTTGAATTACTAAAGAAAGTATTGCCATTGAAAGTGATCTTTTTCCTGAGAAAGTTATGTTGCAAAATGGCACAAGACAATACACTTTTTCTCTAATTTTCCACAGGAATACAAGATAGGAAAATCAGATTACAATATATTTTGTGAGGAAAACATGTTTCTTAAAATTGTGTTTTCAGTTACTCTCCAAACAACATATTTTTAGAGGGTGAGAGCCAAATGTAAATTAAGAAGTGATCTTTATGGCAAGAGAATGAATATATATGGTAAATTTTGGTTGGTGTTTACACAATTTTTGTAGGAAATTGTTTACGAGTGGAGAAACTAAGGCACAGAAACAACCAAGCTCAGGTTCAAGGTTGAGTTTAATAGTACAGGTAGAAATAGAATCTAGGGATCTGATTCTCACATTAGAGGATAATAATATCTTCCTAAAGGGGAAAAATAAATTTTTTTTGGTAGATCACATTGATAAATCATTTTTGAAATACATAATATGAATTTCCTTGAAGATCTTTGGCATTTGTGAGAGTATTTGTAGGTTGAGGTTTTTAGGTATTTTTTCCCCAAAAATATATAAAGTTAGGGGAGCTAGCTCTAAACAACAAAAAAATTAATCTTAATTTCAAAATGACCTGAGTTCATTTTGCATTTTTATATAAATCAATAGTACAGCTTGCATACATAAAAGGCCACCACACTTCACTTCATAGAGTTCACACACATGCATTCTACAGTGATATTTATATGATCAGAACTTATTTCACACTTACATAAAGTATAAAATTAAATGTCTTAGTCAAATTTTTCATAAGCCCAACTACTTGAAGATGTCAAAGTTATTACAGTGGGATGATTAATTCATATATCATACAGTATTAGGTTAGTCCCAAATTCAAGTATTTATAATATTCACCTCATGTGAAAGTTTCTTTGTACTGGCTAAGCTGTGAGCTGTGAAATTTATATTGCTTAGCTTGGTATTTTTCCCTGTGTGTATGTTTTCCATCACAAAACCTCTATCTCACAATTCTGTACTTGTAAGAGGTCAGGTAGGTTTATGTAGTCATAATGCAGTAGTCTAGAACATACCATGTAAAAATAAAAAATAAAATTATTTTCAAGTTTGTTTTTAAAGTGCTCCATGTGCTGTATTATATCAACTTTCAAATTCTAGAAATCCATTATGACTAGCAATAGTCTTAGAAAAGATCAGCAGTTAAGCAAGAATGTATGTATACATAGATTAAGGGAGCAAAAATTATTTAGGCACATTCATATTCAAATAATACAAAAAAATCCACGAGAGTACATAAGAGAGATGGCAGAAGGGTTTAGAAGGAATGTCAGAGTGTCAGGGACTAATTTGTAAGGTAACTAGAATGTAAACTCAAAGTGGTTTTGAATATTTTGGTAACAAATATTTGTACAAAAAAAAACAAAAATAAAAATACTTATTCCTTATCAGAAATAAAATATAAAACAAATCTGTCCAAATGTTCAGAAGCTGCATCATAAAAACATTTTTTGAAAAATTTCATGCCTACTAGGTTGCTTCATCCATGTTGTCATCACTGTCTGCACCAAAATCATCTCCATCTTCAAAGTATGAATTAATGTAGTCATTTCCCTCTTCTTGCTCTTCTTCATCATATCCCTCCTGTTCTGCAGCATCATTGTCATCATCATCATCACCTTCTCTACTTTTCTCTTTGCTTCCTTCTTTCTCTTCTTTTCTCATCTGATTTTTCATCATCACCTCTCTTTTCCAATTCCTCAATTTTTTTCAACACATCTGCAGTATTAGTGAGTGATGTGCCTTTGCCTGTGTCTTTTGCCTTTTTGGGTTTTGGGCCTGCTTTTTTACATTTATTTCTTGGCATCATCTCTCTTGGAAGTCTTCTCCAATCTGGTATCCACTCTTCCTTGTATACCTTCATGTATCTTTTACTATACCTTTCAATATCTTGTCTTTCTTCATGAGGGTGTTTCAATAAAATAGGGCATTCTTTTCATTGTTTCTCTCAACTCCTGTTTCAAAGCCAGCATATATTATTCACCTTCTCCTGTCTTCAGTGGCACTGGTTTATAATCTGTATCAGGAAATAGTGGGGGTGGTTTCAACACTACATCAGGTAACTTTTTACCTTTGCTAAATCCAACAGCCTCAATATTAAAGGTATAAGCAGCACGTCCTCATCCTTTATTCCCAGCCATCAGAACTAGTTATACCAGATGAGTGGGCAAATTCTGCTCCCTAAGTCTTAAAGTGTGGGCAAAACTCTGCAGCTGAAATGCCGGCCAGCAAGGAAGGGGTGCAGGCAGAGGACCCCACCGCTCTAGAGCCTGAGAAGCGCGCACTGCCCTCAGAAGAGAGGTTTAATTGGCTCACAGTTCCACAGGCTGCACAGGAAGCATGGCAGCATCAGCTTCTGGGGATGCCTCAAGGAACTTACAATCATGGCAGAAGGTAAAAGGGAGTGAGGCAGGAAGAGAGGGAGGAGGAGCAGGAGGTAGAGAGAGAAGGGGGAGTTGCTACAGACTTTTAAACACCAGATCCCATGAGAACTCTATCACGAGAACAGCACTAGTGGGATGGTGCTAAACCATTCGTGAGAGACTGCCCCCATCATACATGAGGCCTCACCTCTAACACTGGGGATTACAATTCGACATGAGATTTGGTGGGGACACAGATCCAAACCATATCACCTTGTCTGGAGAAATGTCTATTCAAGAACTTCATCTATTTTTTTTTTTTTTGTCTCTCTCTCCCTCCCTCCCTCCCTCTCTGTCTGTCTCTCTCTCTCTCTCTTCTTTCTTTCTTTCTTTTATGGAGTCTCACTCTGTCACCCAGGCTGGACTGCAATGGTGCAATCTCAGCTCACTGCAATCTCCACTTCCTGAACTCCAGTGATTCTCCAGCCTCAGCCTCCTGAGTAGCTGGGACTACAGGCACATGCCTGTCTTTTCTCCAGGAAGATCCAACAGGAAAAAAGAAAGAAATCTCTCTGATTAGACTCCAACCATACCCCACCCTCCATCACATTGACTGGATAGGCATAATGGAAACCAGAACATGTGGTTTCCAAACAAGAAAAATCCTATGAGGGATGGGAGGAGGGGAGAGGAAGGATTCAGCCAGTGCCCAGACTGAAATTGATTAATGTCAATTGCACTCTTCTTCACACATCTTCAGGTTGCATGTTCGTGGAGTAGTTTAGGAATAAATCCACAGCTTGTGGAGTACTAAAATACCTAGTGGTCTGCTGTATTACATTATGGCCTTCCCCAGCAGCTTCCAAGGCAGCCTCCAAGTCACTGGCAGGAGAATTTGGCTGGAACTGCATGGAGGACTGCAGAGATTCCTCTCCATAGTTATAGAAGGGACTGTTCCAGGCCTGATTGTTCCAGGACTGGGTGCACCAGGTCTGAGTGTTCCAGGAGTGGTTGCTCCAGGACTGGATGTTCTGGGTCTGGTTGCTCCAGGTTGAATTGTTCCAGGTCTGGTTGCTCCACATTGGAAAGTTCCCAGTCATGTTCACCAGGCATCCCCAGTGGTAGGAAGAGTAGAGGCTGGGGTAGGTAGGTGCTGAGGCCTTCTGAGTCACACCATTGCTATTCTTTGGCCAGTTGTTTTCCTGCCACCTCTTAGATTTCATTCTCTGGTTCTGGAACCACGTCTTAACCTGTTTGTAGCTGAGGTTCAGGATGTTGGAAAGTTCTTGCATCTGCTGGAGGCTGAAGTATTTCTGTCCCTGAAATCTATCATTGAGTACAAACAGCTGTGTGGAAGAGAACACAGTTCTGGTCTTCTGTTTCTTGAATGGGACCTTGTCTTCCTTTTTTCTGGCACTCTTCTCTGCAGAAGTGGGTTGTTTGCCTTTGGGAGGGGTGGAAGAATCAGGGCTGTCCTAAATAAGCAGATCCACGGAGGAAGGAAGAGGAGAGACAGTCTCCATGTGAGGCATCTCAGCAGAAGACATTTGCAAGGATGGATAGTTTTCTTCAGGCCCACAAATCACAGGTGTAAGTGAAGAGTCTTTACAGACGGATGCGTTGGAGCAAGGCAGGCTTTGTGAACAAGCTGGAGCCACACTCATGTTATTATTGGGGAAGAGGAGGAAAAAATTTAAGAGCTGGACTGGAAAAAAGGTTAAGGTGGCTTTAAGACTTTTTTCTGGAAGATCTTAGAGAAATATGACCTCCAGAAGCGAAAGTATCAAGAGGTTGGGATGAAGTGAGTCGCCGCCACAGTAACCATCATGTTACTTTCTTGCTTAAAACCCTAGATGGCTCTTGATTTCTCTTAGGATAAAATTTGAAATCATTTCCACGGCCGAGGAGATCCTGTAGCATTAGGGCCTGCTGTCCCCAAACTCTTTCGCTGGCTCATTATGTTCCAGGCTGAATGGTCTTTAAGTTTGTCAGAGACACTGAGCCTTTCCCCATCGCCACTCTTTGTATCTGGTGTTGCCTCAGCCTGGAATGCTGTTTGACTCCCTTTCCCCTCCTCTCTGTTACCACTCTCTCCTCCTTTGTTTGGTTAACCCCTATCCATCTTTCAGTCTTGACTCAGAAGCATTTCCTCTGGGATGTCTCTCCTGACTCACTCATACTCTGTTTTGTGTCTGATCTACTACTGGCCTATCTTAAACTCTTTAAAATGCAGATTTCAGCTGGGCGCTGTGGCTCACGCCTGTAATCCCAGCACTTTGAGAGGCCGAGGCGGGCGGATCCCTTGAGGTCAGGAGTTCGAGACCAGCCTGGCCAACATGGTGAAACCCCGTCTCTACTAAAAATACAAAAATTAGCTGGGTGTGGTGGTGGGTGCCTGTAATCCCAGCTGCTTGGGAGGCTGAGGCAGGAGAATCGCTTGAACCCAGGATGTGGAGGTTGCAGTGAGCCAAGATCGCGCCACTGTACTCCAGCCTGGGCGACAGAGCAAGACTCCGTCTCAAACAAACAAACAAACAAATAAAATGCAGATTTCAGGATGGTACCTCATAGTTTCTGATGCAGTAGCTATGAGATTCAGAAAGATGCATCGTAGAAATATTTTTGGGGTGGGTGCAGTGGCTCATGCCTATAAACTCAGCACTTTGAGAAGCCGAGGTGAATGGATCACATGAGGTCAGGAGTTTGAGACCAGCCTGGTCAACATGGCAAAACCCCGTCTCTACTAAAAATGCAAACATTGGCTGTGCGTGGTGGTGCACGCCTGTAATCCCAGCTACTCAGGGGCCTGAGGCAGGAGAATCGCTTGAACCCCTGAGGCGGAGGTTGCAGTGAGCTGAGATCACGCCACTGCACTCCAGCCTGCGTGACAGAGCGATACTCCGTCTCAAAACTAAACAAAACAAAAAATATTTTCGAATAATTCTGGTTCAGGATATGCAGGGCCGTACTGTTCAGAAGCCCTGCACTCGATGACGCTATTTAATTTGTATGTCTTTTTGCTTAAGATATACAAATTCTCACCTATTAGAGTCCATGAAGCTACCATGCTTATCTTGTGCATTGCTGTATCTTCAGAAAATGTCTGGATAGTGCCTGATAACACTGGAAATGGTGAAATTAACACTTGTTGGATGCATAAAAGATGGGGTAGTAATCATTAGGTGTACATACATTCCCTATTTAACTCACAAGAAAATCCTGGTGAAAAACCTGGGAAATCAAGGATTTCCATGTAAACATAGTAAAGTCATATTTCAGTAGAGGAGGTGGTTCTTTGTCTTTGGGAGAAACTGGACGTGGAGAAGAACTCAGTATCATAGCTAATCATTGCCTGGAGCAGAGCTTCTTAACCTGAAACCCAAGATTTCACAAGAAGTCTGTTCACTTCCTAATTGTGTGTGTGTGGGCGGGGGGGGGGGGGGCGGTGAATGTGTATTAATATGTTTCACAATTTTAAAGCATTCTCTAAGTCTGTCACTGTTCTGGGCACTGGGGATATAGTAGAGAAGAAATAGATAAAAACCTCTACCTTATGAGCTTACCTTCTCATGGGGTCAGAAAGACAAGAAATAAAATAAGTGAGTAAAATAGGTAAAACCGTAGTAAGCGATATGGAGAAAAATAAGGCAGGGAAGGAGGGGAGACAGTGGAGATGGGGGTTATGATTCTAAATAGAGTGGTCAGAGAAGGGCTTACTGTGATGGTGACTTGAGGAAAAGCACCTGAAGAGTCAGCCATGTGGTATCAGGCAGAAAAGCATTCCACACAGAGGGATTTTCTGCAACTGTGAAGGCCACGGGGTGGAAATATGCCCAGCATATTGGAGAAACAGCAAAGAGGCCAGCATGGCTAGAGCAGATCAAGCTGGGAAAATCAGGTCAGACGTAATGTCAAGGCCAAAGTCCAAGGAGGACTTTATAAACCATTGCAAGAATTTGGTTTTCACTCTGAATGAGATCGGAAGACAGTGGAGAGTTTTGAGCTAAAGAAACACCAATTTTATGTATTCGTGTACGTGCACATGTGTATGAATGAATATGACTGTCTGTGCATGTGTATGGGCAGGTGGGTGCATTTTTCTGGAGAGATTCCACAGGCGTCCATGTGGTCTCCTTGAGAAGCTGCCCCACGCTGCACTTTTCCTCTGAACCTAATGGCTCCTCCCTTGTCTCCCTCCCTCCCTCCCTCCACCTTTAGAGAGGCAGGGTGCTGCTGGGAGTTGGTTATTTTCTAGGCAGAATCTTAGCAGGAGTTTAAATGTGCCTGCATTGGAGCAGGCAGTTTTCTTCCCTCTTGGACATCATTCCGTTCACAGAGCTGAAGAGCTGGGGGCTCCTTTCATTCGAGAAAAGATGCTCTCACCCCATCAATGAAATCCAAATGGGAAGCAGGGAGAGTCAAGGGGGAAAGCGTCCATTTGGACTTCTTGGCTCCAAAACTGTATTCAGGAATAGCTGTAAGAGGAGGGGCTAAAGTAGAAGGAGGAGGAACAGAGTAGCAATCACGATAATAACAGCTTCACCTTCTCATTTAACACTTATAGCTATATATATAATTTTACTGAATGATTTCCTGAATTCAAATAAGTGCTAGATTATTTGTAAAAAAGTTATTTACCTTTGACATGTGAAACATGTTTCTTGGTATGGGTTTGCTAGGATCTGCATGATAAAAATTATCTGTGAGTGGAATAGCAATTCCCATATTAGATGGAGGCCTGTAGTTTATCTGCAAGTGATTAAACAAAGAAAATGTACAATTCATTATTATGAAGTCTTTAATTTATAGATCTTGACTTTCTAGAAAACCAATCAAGGCAAAAATTCAATTTTTAGCTACAGGTATTAAAGTAAATTTATCTCCCCCAACTTTTCTACCCCTCATTTTCTGGAATTTCAACAATTTTAACCAATGATAATATAACTTGTAAATAAGTGAAAAAACTGCCATAAAGTCAATGCAATTAAAGTTTAAACACTTTATCAAAGAGTCTTAGTGATGTATCATAGTTAGTAAATAATTCTTCAAGTTTGGTTATTTGCTTTTTGTCACAAAGAAAATTATAAGTAATAAATTAGTTGATAAAGAGCAACATTTTATATTTAAAAAGAGTCACAAATTCTGACAAGGCAAAAGTTAAAATTATTACATTGAAATGGGTAGATATATAGTTGACCCTTGAACAACACAGGGGTTAGGGGTGCAGACCTCCTGCACAGTCAAAAATTCACATATAACTTTTGACCACCCCAAAACTTAACCATTAATAGCCTACTGTTGACCAGAAGTCTTACTGGTAATATAAAGTCGATTAATATATATTTTGTATGTAATATGTATTATATGCTGTATTCTTACAATAAAGTGAGCTAGAGAAAAAATGAAAATGGATTTATAGTAGTATTCTGTATTTATGGATACTGTAACTTTACATCATCTGTTTACAAGGTGAATTGTCTGTCTGAAATCCAGGGAAACTGCAGCTGAAGAACCTCAATCTACAGTGTGCTTCAAGAAATTCACCTTTTTTTTTTTGTAATGTCATGACTTTTCTCTGCCTCTTGGGAGTACTTCCAGCACCACTTCATATGGAACCCATGGTGTTATTTAAGGTTTACAGTATTACACGATGAAAAGTACATTAGAGCCACGAGAGGTCACTTTTTATTGTGAATTGCAATTTACTGGCTAGGTGAACTGCTCACATGCAGATGAATAGCCTCTCAGGGCATTTTAAAGGAATACTGGCAACATTAGAGTTCACCCAAGTAGCACCAGAAGGCGGCTACAAAATTATTACAGTAGTACAGTGTGTACTACAGCTGATTTTATGCAGTTATGATTTAATACTGTATCTTTACATTTGCTTACATTTCTCTGGCTTGATGTACTATCTGTGTTTGTGTGTGTAAGTTTTGATAAATTTTAACTTTTTATAATGGATTTGTGTATAGTTTATGATAGCAAATGATAAAATAGACTAGTATCTATATATATTTTATGCATTCATGACATATCCAACTTTTTATTAATTTTTTAGATATTTCTTTTTAAAATTTATGTATTTATTTTTGAGACAGAGTCATGCTCTGTGCTCTGTTGCTCAGGCTGGAGTGCAGTGGCACCATCTCCGCTCACTGCAACCCCTGCCTCCCAGGCTCAGCCTCCCGAGTAGCTGGGATTACAGGCGCGTGCCACCGTGCCGGGCTAATTTTTGTATTTTTTGTAGAGATGGGGTTTCTCCATGTTGGTCAGGTTGGTCTCGATACCCTGACCTCAAGTGATCTGCCCGCCTTGACCTCCCAAAGTGCTGGGATTACAGGCGTGAGCCACCACGCCTGGCTGATTTTTTCTGCATTTCTAAGCTATGAGGTTTGTCTGTGAATTTTTTCAATTGTCACAAAATTCCAAAAGAAGTCCAATATATTTCTTGAAAAAAATCCGCATGTAAGTGGACCTATGCAGTTCAAACCTATTGTTCAAAGGCTAATTGTATCAGCTTAGGACAAGTCAATGTAAGGGAAAATAGTTGAATATATCACAAAAGACAAAGATCACACCAACATATAAAGTGTAAAATGATAATAATAATGACACTAAGTTACCAGGAAAAATAATTATTTCAGAAAGCTTTTACAGCTTAGAAATCATCACATCCTCAAAATGACATGAGGATTAAAAAATAACTGTGAAGTGTTTTGAGCCACTCACAAAAGAAATGCTGAAACTGAATGGGTAGGCAATCACACAAAAGTCACATAGCATTGCTTCTTAAACCAATATACTTAGATTTTTTTTTTTACCGGCAAAGTTTTGATGAGGTTAAAACCCTGACTGTCTTTATGAACTCCACTAATCCAGTCTTCAAATGGGATAAATTTGCTAGGAATGTGATGCATAGATCTGAGATAACTACAGCTGCTTTTCAGTGTTGGCACCATTGTCGTAACAAAGCACTCAGTAGAGGCTGACCACATAAT
This sequence comes from Homo sapiens, assembly GCF_000001405.40. NCBI lineage: Eukaryota > Metazoa > Chordata > Mammalia > Primates > Hominidae > Homo > Homo sapiens. Next base: position 91,610,657 of record NC_000014.9, read on the forward strand.
AAATGCCAGTGAAGTTGAACCCTGGAAATAACCAAATAAATGAAGGTTATTTAAAGTAACTGTTATGGACTGAACTGTGTCCAACCAAAAATCACATGTTGAAACCCCAACCTCCAGTATCTCAAAATGTGGCTGTATTTGGAGATAGGGCCTTTAAGGAGGTAATTAAGGTAAAATGAGGTCATTTGGGTGGGCCCCAATCCAGTGTCACTGGTGTCATCTTATAAGAAGAGGAGATTAGGATATAGACAACACAGAAACTGAGGGGCAACCATATGAGGACACAGCAAGAAGATGGCCATACACAAGCCAAGTAGGGGGGCTGCAGAGGAAACCAACCCTGCTGATATCTTGCTCTTGAACTTGTAGCCACTAGAACTGTAAGAAAATAAATTTCCATTGTTTGAGTCACCAAGCCACCAAGTCAGTGGTATTTTGTTGTGGCAGCCATAGCAAACTAATATAGTGAAGAATATAGAAAACTAAAAAATATAGAAAAAGAAAAGAAATACAAAAAGACATGACAGAAGTAGAAAAATATTTGACCATAAAGATCTGTTTGAGAATAAATCATAATAGAAAACATATTCTTTTCCAGGAAGAAATATATTCCAATCTAATTGGTTCGGGGAAGTATTTGGAAATAAGCTAGGATCAAGAACCTGAGGACTGGCTGGGCACGGTGGCTCACGCCTGTAATCCCAGCACTTTGGGAGGCTGAGGTGGGTGGATCACCTGAGGTCAGGAGTTCAAGACCAGCCTGGCCAACATGGTGAAACCCCACCTCTACTAAAAGTACAAAAATCAGCCAGACGTGGTGGCATATGCCTGTAGTCCCAGCTGCTTGGGAGGCTGAGGCAGGAGAATTGCTTGAGCCCGGGAGGTGAAGGTTGCAGTGAGCCAAGATAACACCACTGCACTCCAGACTGGGTGACAGAGCTAGCCGTCTCAAAAACAAACAAACAAACAAAAAAACCAAAACCAAAAACAAAACCAAAAACAAAAAAAGAAACATGAGGACTATAGTTAATAATACTGTATTATAATCAGTACTTGAGTATTTTTGCTGAATTAGCAGATTATAGCTGCTTTTACCACATTAGGGGAAAGTGGATGCCTATGTGAGGTATTTATTCCACAATGGTAATCATTTTACTACATATATGTGTCTTACAACAACACATTGTATTCCTTAAATATACACAACAAAATTTATTTTAAAATATTTTTTAAAGACTTATTAAATAAATACCACTGTTACATCCAACTCATATCGTTGAGGCTTCCCCATTCACTGATGAGCACCTGAATATTTGGTTTGATGATATAAATAAAATAACTTTGATTGTTTACTGTTTTCTTTCTTTCTTTCTTTCTTTCTTTCTTTCTTTCTTTCTTTCTTTCTTTCTTCCTTTTTTTAAGAGATGAGATCGCGCTCTGTCACCCAGGCTGGAGTACAGTGGCACTATTATAGCTTACTTCAGGCTTGAACTCCTGGGCTCAAGCGATCCTCTCACCTCAGCTTCCTGAGTAGCTAGGACTATAGATGTGTGCCACCACACCTAGCTTTTGAAATCTGAAATTTACTCTTAGCAATTTTGAAATGTACAATACTCTATTATTAACTATATTCACCATGCTGTGCAAATAACTAAAAAAATTTTTTTAAATTTTTATAGAGACGGGGTCTCGCTGTGTTGCCTAGGCTGGTCTCGAACTCCTGGCCTCAAGTGATCCATCTGCTTTGGCCTCCCAAAGTGTTGGGAACAGAGGTATGAGCCACCATACTTAGCCTGATTGGTGTACATTTTGAAAATAAAATTCACTTAGTAATCACTGTATTTCATAAAGATAGATTTTTATCTAGATTTTTGCTAGATTTTAAAAATATACGCACAGTAAATGTACTTGATCTTTGAACAATATTAAACAGCAGTGCAATTCAATAAATTCTATTTACAATTCTGAAGTATTTTTGGAACTTTAAAAATGTAGAAATACTAATAAACGTAGTGATATAGTAGGTTCTGGTAGTGGTCATTTTGTCCTGTCCCCATACTCTGTAGCCATTAAGAATAACGTATTTTTATTACTTTTGTCAAACACATTGACACTGAATTTAAGCAGAGTTCCACTATTAAAGGAAATACAGAGGTCTAATGGCAAAAGTTAAGATACAAGGAAGCAAACAGAAAAATCTGGAATGTTGGAAATTCTATAGTACAACTGACCCAATTTCTACAATTCAATGGCAGGGGAAGAAAATGGAGTAGTAGCTGCCTTCAAATAAAAGACTTAAAAGATAAACAACCATATACTGTGTGAATCTTGTTTTATCTCAGTTCAAACAAACTGACTATAATTTTTTTTTAGAAAATTAGGGAAATTTGATTATGAACTACATTTTATACAATATTAAAAAGTATTTTAAAAAATTTTAGGGATGATAATGGCTGTTGTCATTATGTGGGAGATAACATACTTTTTTTAGAGATGTATATTGAAGTATGTGGGCATGAAATCACATGCCTGATGTTTGTTTTAAAATACCTCAGAATACAAACAAAACAAATTAAATAGGGATGATAAAACAAAAGTAGCACAATCTTGACTATTGTTTAATTTAGGTAATGGATGTATGGAAGTTCTACTTTTGTCTATATCTTAAAGTTTTCATGATAAAAAAATTTTAGAATATGTAAGAAAAATATTGACTTGAAAGGATTAGAACATACAGTTAAATGGAATGAGCACGTCTAAAAGTGTATATACCATGTGTCCTAATTTCAGGGAAAAAAAAGAAAATATTGTAAGTTAATAGTTATTGAGCATTTTCTGGGTGCCAGGCAATGTTTTAGATATGCTATTTGTAGTATTGTTAGAGTAGGCAGAAGTGAGCAGGAAGAAGAGCCTCTGGGAAAGGAATCCTTGGAGATGCTGCCCACTGATTGCAGGCACTGCCCACTGATTGTCAGCACTGCCAACTGACAGCAAAGAAAAAAAACAATGGCTACAATGGCAACTTCTGGCCTCATGGACTGGGCTTATCAGGCTTATTAGGCCCTAGTTGGAGATAACTGTGGTAGGGACTCTATCTGATGACAAGCACCGCACTCCTCCAAAATCTCGCCCTAGAGTAGCCTTTTGCTCATTATAATACTAAAAAGCACACCCTGGGTGGAGAATTTAAATGCTAATGAGAAATGTGATGTGTGTCCTAGCATGTGCAACCACAGCGCATGCACCCAAGGGACCACTTGAAACATGCTTGCAAGTAACACCCCCTCATGGTCCTTCATGAATAATCATGTAAGATTCTCATGAAGAAGGTTTCACTAACGCTAGTTGGAGCTGCATCATTCTCTTGAGCAGCCAGCTCTGAGTGTATTGTTGCTTTAAATAAACTCCCTTGCCGCACGTCTCTTGGCTGAATTTTTTCCTCCAAGAAGACATGAACTGAGGACCCCGCACCCCTCCTGGTAACACTATCACATTTAATTCTCAAAACAACCATGTGAAGTAGGTATATTGTCACCTCCATTTTACAGATGAGGGATCTTAGCCACAATAAAGTAACTTTCCCAAGGTCACACAATACCAGAAGTGAGAGCCAATCCAGGTAGTCTTCTCTAGGGCTCACACTTTTATCCTCTGTTCTGAACCTCTACACTGCCTTTTTAAATACCCAAAATGTTAAAAGTGCTTAGTCATCCTTAAAAGATATGGCTAGGTGCAGTGACTCAGGCTTGTAATCTTAGCACTTTGGGAGGCCTAGGTGGGTGGATCGCTTGAGCCCAGGGCTTTGAGACCAGCCTGGGCAACATGGTAAAACCCCATCTCTACTAAAAACACAAAAATTAGCCAGGAATGGTGGGCCTTTAGTCCCAGCTACCAGGGAGACTGAGGTGGGAGGACTGCTCGAGCCCAGGAGCCCAGTACCTTGAGACCAGCCTGGGCAACATGGTAAAACTCCATCTTTACTAAAAACACAAAAATTAGCCAGGCGTGGTGGGCCTGTAGTCCCAGCTACTAGGGAGACTGAGGTGGGAGGACTGCTTGAGCACAGGAGGTCAAGGCTGCAGTGAGCTGTGATCACACCACTGCACTTCAGCCTGGGCATCAGAGAGAGACCCTGTCTCAAAAATAACCAAAACAAAACAAAAGATAGATAGAATTAAGCATATTTTTTTCCTTCTGTTTCATAACTTACATTATAAATTTGCTATAATTATGAATATAATGTGGAATAATTAAATCAATCTAGTTAACATAGCCATCACCTTGAATACTTAATCATTTTGTGGTGAGAACATTTAGAATTTACTCTCTTAGCAATTCTGAAACGTACAATACTATATTATTAACTATATTCACCATACTGTGCAATAGAACTAACAAAAACCCATATTCTTCCTGTCTGAGATCTTGTACCCCAGGGGTCCCCAACCCCCGGGCTGAGGACCAGTACCAGTCTGTGGACTGTTAGGAACCTGGCCTTACAGCAGGACAGCAGGAGGTGAGTGGCAGAGAAGCATGTATTACTGCCTGAGCTCCACCTCCTGTCACATCGGCGGCAGCATTAGATTCTCATAGGAACTCGACCCCTATTGTGAACTGCACATGCGAGGGATCCAGGTTGCACATTCCTTATGAGAATCTAATGCCTGATGATCTGAAGTGGAACAGTTTCATCCTGAAACCATGCCCCCGCATCCCATTCCATGGAAAAACTGTCCTCCATGAAACTGGTTCCTGGTGCCAAAAAGGTTGGAGACCACTGTTGTACCCCTTGACCATCCTTCTTACCTCCAGCTCTGTAACCACCATTTTGTTCTCTGCTTCTATGAGTTCAATTTTTTAGATTTCACATACAACCGAGGATGTGTGGTATTTATCTTTCTGTGTGCCTGGCTTATTTCACTTAGCATAATGTTCCAATTCCATCATTTTGTTGCAAATCACAGACTTTCCTTCTTTTAAAAGGCTGAGTAGTATTACATTGTGTATATATTCCTGCACCATATTTCTTTATCCATTCATCTCTTAATGAACTTTTAGGTTGACCCGGTAACTTGGCTGTCCTGAATAGTGCTTCAGTAAACACTGGTACACAGACATCTTTTTGACAAATGGATTTGAAATATTTTGGGTAAATACCTCGATTTGAAATTGCTAGATCATACAATAATTCTACTTTTAGTTTTTTGAGGATCATACATACAGTTTTCCTTTTTTTTTTGAGATGGAATCTCTCTCTCTGTTGCCCAGGCTGGAGTGCAGTGGTGTGATCTCGGCTCACTGCAACTTCCGCCTCCCGTGGTCAAGCGATTCTCCTGCCTCAGCCTCCCGAGTAGCTGGGATTACAGGCGCATGCCACCATGCCTGGCTAATCTTTTGTATTTTTAGTAGAGATGGGGTTTCACTGTGTTAGCCAGGATGGTCTTGATCTCCCAACCTCAGGTGATCCGCCCACCTTGGCCTCCCAAAGTGCTGGGATTGCAGGCGTGAGCCACTGCACCTGGCTGTATACCGTTTTCCATAATGACTCTACTAATTTACATTCTCAGCAACCGTGTACAAGTGTTCCCTTTTCTCCACATTCTCACCAAAACTTATCTTTCATCTTTCATCACTTTGTACCTCATAAATTTATACAATTATAAACTGTTGATTTACAATAAAAAAAAAGAAAAATGCTGAAGAGCACATTTATTCCGTATCTGTCTCTAGTCCTTTCCAGTGATTTTTTGTGGTTCTCATTTACTGAATAAAGTAATGCTAACGAAGGGTTCATGCCCTGGTAATTGTCCACTGCTAAAAAAAAATGACTTGTAAATTTATAATTTGAAAAATGTTTGTTTTTCCTGAAGAATTGAGATATTTCTTCCTCTTAGATGCTAGGAGTTTAGTAAGCTACATGTATTTTATTTTTCACCATTTAGTTTTCATTTAGTAGCTCATCTTTATTCTATCACAATTTCAATAAGTCTATCATACTAAGTACATATTAAGAACATGGTATAAATAATAAGCCTTTATTTCAACTAATGAATTTCTTATTATTTAAAGTATTCCCCTTTTTTTTTTTTTTTTTTTTTTTTTGAGACAGAGTTTCACTCTTGTTGCCCAGGCTGGAGTGCAATGGCACGATCTCGGTTCACTGCAACCTCTGCCTCCCAGGTTCAAGTGATTCTCCTGCCTCAGCCTCTCGAGTAGCTGGGATTACAGGCAAGGGCCACCATGCCTGGCTAATATTTTTGTATTTTTAGTAGAGACGGGGTTTCTCCATGTTTGTCAGGCTGGTCTTGAACTGCCGACCTCAGGTGATCCACCCGCCTTGGCCTCCCAAACGTACTGGGATTACAGGCGTGAGCCACCACACCCAGCCCATATTCCCTATGTTTAAGCAGTTGAAGGAAGAAATGTAATTAACCGTATACACATATAAAGCGATAAAAAGGAGTCCAAGTTAAACAACAACAAAAAAAGAAATGGCCTCAATTGCTACTGTTTCTTGTTACCTTTTTCTTTAATTTTTAATGTGATATTTGCAAAAATTATAAATTGAACCTATTAAATTGCCAAGATTTCACTGTGTTTTGGTCTGCAAAAGGGTAATTTCATACAGCTCAACTTAATATTTTTGTGGTAAAAAAATATGATTCTGAAATGTGCAGTTACCTTTAGTTGCATCTCAATTTTTCTTTTAAGTTTGATAAATATATAAGTAATTACTAAAAATATTATGTAGGACATAGATCTATTTTTATAAAATTATTACAACACTTTCTTCAATGTATTTATCCTTGTAACCCTATACTCTTATGTGTGTATTTATAAACAGAGATGTTTAAAATGATGCTCATTAAATATTAATAATAGTTGTTTCAGAAAATTTTTTCATCAGTAAGAAATGTTTTGTAAATGAAGAAAATCCTACCTGATGTAAAACTTTGCTAGCTGCAGAAATTGTTATTACATAACTGTCAGTATCATCAAAAGTCACTTCAGCTGTAACTTCCAACAAATTAGGGTTTCCAACAAACACAGTCAGTAGTGGTATTTCAAGCATTCGAAAACCTATGGAAACAAGGTTAACAGTTAATATTAGATAATGAAAACTGTAAACTCAATTGAATAATGATTGGCTAATCAGATTTTAGAACATCAACTGAATCTATTCTGAAGGTTGCACAATGACTGCACATACAGTTAGCAATTTATATAGAGTCAACTTTAATAGTTCTGTTACAGGAAATGGGTCCTGATCCAGACCCCAAGAGAGGGTTCTTGAATCTCACACAAGAAAGAATTCAGGGTGAGTCCATAGAGTAAAGTGAAAGCAAGTTTATTAAGAAAGTAGAGGAATAAAAGAATGGCTACTCCATAGAGCTGGTGGTTGCCCATTTTTATGGTTATTTCATGATAATATGCTAAATAAGGGGTGGATTATTCATGCCTCCCCTTTTTAGACTATATAGGGTAACTTCCTGATGTTGCCATGGCATTTGTAAACTGTCATGGTGCTGGTGGGAGTGTAGCACTGAGGACAACCAGAGGTCACTCTGATTGCTATCTTGGTTTTGGTGGGTTTTGCCCAGCTTCTTTACTGCAACCAGTTTTATCAGCAAGGTCTCTATGACCTGTATCTTGTGCTAACCTCGTATCTCATCCTGTGGCTTAGAATGCCTTAACCATCTGGGAATGCAACCCAGTAGGTCTCAGCCTCATTTTACCCAGCTCCTATTCAAGATGAAGTTGCTGTGGTTCAAACGCCTCTGACAGTTCTCAGAAAAATGTAACTTTACAAATATTTTCTCAGAGAAATGTTTCCCTCATTCCTCAGCCTGCTTCTCAAATGCTAATCAAGGTCTCCAATAATACTGGCTACACTGAGTTGGTTGACTGAGTAGAAAAACTGAAGGGTACATGCCCAGTTGAAAGGGCTGCCAGTTAATTGTTGCCAAGAGAAAACTCTTATGCATTTCAAACAAAATATTTCACCAGACCAATTTCTGCCTGCAGGCCACCTGTTTGCAACTTTGCCATACTGAGCACTTCAGTGGAAAAACAGATTTGAAATACTATGTAGTCTAACTGGCATCTTTACCAATCAATAAACCAGAGTTTATAAACACCTGCAGCTGTTTCCCTTAAACCAAAGTGACCTGGCCAGTGCTTCCTAGCCTTTACCCGGAGATTTTGTTGAAATACAGATTGAGCAGGTCTGGAGTGAGGCCTGAGATTCTGCATTTCTAACAAGTGCCCTGGTGATGCTAACACAGGTTCAGGGACCACACCTTCAGTAGATTTGACTAGATTTTTCTGCAGAAACAGGCAACTTAGTTGATTTGTTGATTATTATTTACTTCCATCAAACTGAACACATATAACTGATTGAGCCCTTTAATAAGCAATTCAGTATATTTTAAAGGGAAAATAATTAGAACATTGCGGTGTTGGTGACAGAATATAGAGAGATTACAATGGAACAGATCCTAAAAATTCAGAAATGGTCAGAATAACAGGTAAATTGTATACTAAGATAAAGTTATATTTTGAAATCAGCAGAGAAAGGATGCATTAGTGAATAAATAATATTGGAACAACTAGCTAACCATACATAATATACCAAAATAAAATAGAGGTAACCTAAAAATTAAATAGAAAGTTAAAACCATAAAATTAAAACTTCTAAAATTACTTGAAGGAAATAGGGACAATTAGTCATACAATCAACAAGAAAGGATTTCCAAGGGTTTCAGATAGAAGGAAGGTTTTCAGGACATTTAATCCACGATATTGAGGGAAATAGATGTTCTCAATTTTTTTCAAAACTTCTAATTTTCACTTATATAAACTACTTGGTTCTGTTTTTTCAAATAAGCCTTTTTTTTAAAAAAAAAATAGCATTTTGTCCTTTCATTATGGTTCCTATATCTTCTTTTACTCTGAGAGTTTTATGCATACTCATTTGATAGTGTCTTTCTAATTTTTCTGTTATCTCAAGTTCCTGGAGTCTAAAATTTTCCTATGCCTGTTGACTCTCTGTTATGGTGGGTCATTTCCTTACATAGTTTTAAAGTTCTTTTCCTCAATTTGTGATCAATGGAGACTGATTTTTCCCTGGAAGTCCATATTACCTGGGTCATAAAAGTATTCCTACAGAGAGTAAATTTAAAATATATTTTTAATGTAATAAAATTGTGTGTGTGTGTGTGTGTGTGTGTGTGTGTGTGTGTGTGTGTGTGTGTGTTTTAATAGAGACAGGCTCTTGCTATATTGCCCAGGCTGGTCTCAGACTCCTGGGCTCAAGCTATCCTCTTGCCTCGGCCTCCCAAAGTGCTGGGATTAGAGGCATGAGACACCATGCTTGACCCCTACAGAGTTTTGTGCTTCCTTGTGTTGGGGCCCAGGTGTTATTATTTCTCAGCGTGGAATTCTGCATGTGAATGCAGAATTCAGTCTCTGAATGTGATACAGTCTTGAAGTTTTGATTTTTTACGGGAAATTCCTTCTCCCCATTCTAAGCCCATGCTGCTGCTTTAGGAAAACTCTGGTGGACAGAGTTTTCCTAATTCTCTCTTCATGATTTGATGGTCCCAGCTTTCTTTAATGGTCTCCATTCCAACTTCCTTCCACAAAGTAGTAAGGCCCAAAGTCAAACTTTCTGTCAACAATTGGTCATTAAAAGTTGTCTCACTGCCTTATGATCAGTATCTGGGCCTCACATCCTCCAGGGAGTCATACATTAGCTAATTTCTTTGGTTTGAAGTTCCCTTTTCATTTCTGGTGGCACAATTTTCTTCTTTTCCTTGCCCTTTCTCCCCTACTCCCTCCCTTCCATCTTTCCTTCCTCTCTTCCTATCTCAGTTATTTACTAAAATTTTTTGTTTTATTTTTTCCATTGTGCTATTTCGCTAGCATCTTTAACAATTTTTGTATTACTTTTGTAATAAATAAATAGCTGGAAAAATGGGGGAAAGTATAGAATTCTACTTCAAGGTCTTTTTTTTGGCTTAAAATAAATACAGTCATTCTGTGGTATATACAAAGGGTTGGTTCAAGGAGCCCTGTATATACCAAAATCCACATATACTCAAGTCCCTAAATTGGGCCTGTGGAACTCACACATAGGAAAAGTCAGTGCCTGTGTATATGTGGGTTTCACATCCCGCAAAAACTGTGTTTTCTGTCCGTGTTTGGCTGAACAATATCTGCACATAAGAGGATCTGCAGAGTTCAAACTGGTGTTGTTCAAGGGTCAACTGTAGCTGAAATAAATATAACAATACCAAAGTAATTAAAAAGTTTTCCTTTCAGAGGGCAACAGAAATCTACACTAAAATTCTGTGTCAACTTGGGCTGGTAGCAATCTCATTTTCCTCATTTGTAAAATGAGGATTATAATCTATATTTTTAGGGTTGTTATAAACATTAAATAAAATAATGTATAGAAATATGGCTGAGCGAGGTGGCTCACGCCTGTAATCCCAGCATTTTGGGAGGCTGAGGCAGGTGAATCACTTGAGGTCAGGAGTTTGAGAGCAGCCTGGCCAACATGGCAAAACCCTGTCTCTACTAAAAATACAAAAAACTAGCCGGGAGTGGTGTACACTTGTAATCCCAGCTACTTGGGAGGCTGAGGCAGGAGAATCGCTTGAACCCAGGAGGTGGAGGCTGCAGTGATCCAAGACTGTGCCACTGTACTCCAGCCTGGGCGATGGAGGGGGAGTCTGTCTCACAAATAAATAAATAAATAAAATAATAGTTTAATATAGAGCCCAGTACATAGTAAGTACTCAATAATTAGGCACTAATACTGTTAGTAGTAGAATGCCAACAAGTATGGGAACCAAGGATAAAGTCAGTCAGTATCAAAGAGTATATTTCACATTCAAGAAAAGAAATAACATTTCCTTTTTATATTTTCCGATCAAAACAAACTTACCTTTTGCATTCCGTATGACCTTAGCTTTTAAAACATAAGAGTTTCCCAGATCAATGTATTTCACGATGTTGAGGGATGGTGAATCATCATGTTGAAACCAATAATTACATGGTTTTGAATATATTTTCCATGTTCGTCCATTCCTTTGCCCAAAGTTGTATAAGAACCATGTGCTCTTTAGAAAGGTCATATTGTTGGGTGCACTTTCAGGCATGGTAGCAATGGCTAATGCATTCTTATTATCTAAAATGCTTGTGATGAGGAAGCTGCTGTACCCGGGAAGCACTACAGTCTTCTCTATATCTGTATCTTCAAACAAGGCCTGAACAACTGGAGATTAAACAGAAGAGACTTGGTATTAAATCAAACATCCGATGTTTGCCAAACAAACTGATGTACATAGCTAACAAATACACTGTTTGAGTTTTTAAACTATCTCTTAACCAGAGAACACAGTTGCCAAATTTCAGTCATAATTCAAATTATTTTATAGAAAGTTTATCATAAATAGACCATGCACCTATGCTTTAATGTTTACTGTGAAACTATTGTATAAAATTTTTGGCAGTAAAAAACCATGTAGAGCTAAGTAAAGAAAGCTGATTTTTTTTTTTACTATGGAAATACTAAAAGCCTTAAAAACCTAAAATCTTTATTGTGATTCTACAAGAGAAGGATAATGTAGCCAGTTTCCCCAGTACCTAAAGATGTGCTTATTACACAGAAGATACTCAATAAATATTTGTTGAATGGATGAGTGATTGAGTATTTAAGGAGAATATGAAGATTTAGAAGAAAAGAGGTTCTTGGGCAGGACCTTAAGGAACATCATCATTTAAGGAATGGAAAGGGAAAAAGATCCTCTCACGGAGACGAAGAAGAAATGATTGGAGAAAATCAGAGAAGACATCAATGAAGCCAAGGAAGGCTGTTGAAATGAGAGGGAAGTAATCATTATCAAAATATTTTTGATAGGTCATGAAACATGTCATCAATACTCTCTTACTCTAAAATAAAATAGAAACAGTCAGAAGAGGGCTTCATCATTGCCTTAATTATGCACACATGCTCCAATTTCTCCCAGTTCAAACCGACCAACGAAAATCCTTTCCAATATTCCCTCCAACCACCATGTAATTTCTCTTTCCCTTTATAGTAAAACTTCCTGAAAGAGTTACCTTTATTCACTGTCTCCACTCTCCTCTCATAATTTTTCGAACCCATTCCAATCAGACTTTTGTCTACATGACTCCAGCCAACAGCTTTTTGTCAAAGTTCTCAATGACTTTTTTTTTTTTTTTTTTGATATGGAGTTTCGCTCTTGTCACCCAGGCTGGAGTGCAATGGCGCAATCTTGGCTCACTGCAACCTCCACCTCCTGGGTTCAAACAATTCTCCTGCCTCAGCCTCCCAAGTAGCTGGAATTACAGGCACCTGCCACCAGGCCCAGCTAATTTTTGTATTTTTAGTAGAGACGGGGTTTCACCATGTTGGCCAGACTGGTCTCAAACTCCTGACCTCAGGTGATCCACCTGCCTCAGCCTCCCAAAGTGCTGGGATTACAGGCATGAGCCACCATACCCGGCCAGGGTTCCCAAGGACTTTCACACAGATCCACTGGCCAATTTTCATTCCTTATCTTACCAGACCTATTGGCGTTATGCAACACGGGAGAGGGGCCTCTCCTTCTTGAAACACCTTCCTCACCTGGTTTGACACACTCTTAGTTCTACTCTGACCAGGCCACCCAATATCCTTTAATGATTCTCCTCCATCTCCCTGAACACTAGATATTGCCCTGGATTAGACCTCAAGCCTCTTCCCTTCTATAACACCACTCATTTTCCAGGTGTTCTCATTTGGTCTTATAGCATTAACTATCATACATATGCTGAAAGTCCTCAAATCTGTGTCTCTAGCCCAGCCATCTTCCCTGAACTCCAGACTTGTATTTCTAAGTGCCCATCTTATTTCTCCACTTGGATGAGTAACAAGCATCTTTAAGTTTAATATGATCTCTCACTTGATTATTGTAATGGCCTCCTAGCTGACTTCTCTGCTTTCCTCCTTGCTTTCTCTCCATCACCTGCCCAGTCTGTTCTCATCACAGCAGCCAAAGTGATCTTGTTGAGAGCTAAGTCAGATCATATCACTTTCTGCTTAACCCTCCAGTGGCTTCCCGTTTAGTCAGAGTAAAACCTAAACCCTTAGAATAAACTGTACTAACTTTTGCTGTGAATCAATAATCCTTTGAGATAGAAACATCCTATAGAACATTGATTCAAAATTATTTTGTTAAAGTGAGGCAAAATCTGCAGGAACTTCCCATTTTCTTTCATTTCTTCTGATCACTCTTCAAGACAAAATAATCTCATAGGAATAAATAATAGGCACTACTATTGATGAAATATCAATGAAGTTATAGCTATATTTTATTATATTAGAAAAAAAAATCTTGGGCAGAGTGTGGTGGCTAATGCCTATAATCCCAGCACTTTGGGAAGCTGAGGCAGGCGGATCACTCGAGGTCAGGAGTTTGAGACCAGCCTGGCTAACAAGGTGAAACCCCGTCTCCTAAAAAGACAAAAATTAGGCCGGGTGCAGTGGCTCATGCCTGTAATCCTAGCACTTTGAGACGCTGAGGTGGGCAGATTGCCTGAGCTCAGGAGTTCGAGAGCAGCCTGGGCAACATGGTGAAACCCCATCTCTACTAAAATACAAAAGAGATTAGCTGGGCGTGGCAGCATGCGCCTGCAATCCCAGCTACTCGGGAGGCTGAGGCAGGAGAATTGCTTGAAGCCAGGAGGCGGAGGTTGCAGTGAGCTGAGATTGCACCACTGCGCTCCAGGCTGGGTGACAGTGCGAGACTCCAAAAAAGCAAAAATTAGCTGGGTGTGGTGGCACATGCCTGTAATCCCAGCTACTCGGGAGGCTGAAGCAGGAGAATCGCTTGAACCTGGGAGGCAGAGGTTGCGGTGAGTCGAGATCGCGTCACTACACTCCAGCCTGGGCGATAGAGCGAGACTCCATTGCCAAAAAAAAAAAAAACAAAAAACTTTCAGGAACCCAAATATATGTAAACTTTGGTAGGTTGCCAGTTGGACTAAAATTTGAAATCTATTGCTCTATAAATAAGCATTAAAATGCCTTCACAAAAGATAATTTTTCATTTTTTTCTAGCCATCAGAGATGTATGATATTATTATACCTACCTTGTGAATCAAGAGTGAGTTTATAGACATTTCCAGCTTTATTAATCAAAAGGGAACTAGACAAACAAGAGCTCTCATTCACTTCTTCTAATCCAAAGGGCTCTTTCATTTCTGCAATAACTGAGGACAAAAATCCTTTAGGAGTCGTATGTTGCAATACCTTTCTTATGTAAGCTCTTCCAGTTTTCCTAAAAACAAATAAAACCATTAAGCAATTTGGATAAAACAGTGGATTAAATGAACCAATTTATGAACAAATAATTTACAAAGAAAGTATACCACAAATAACTAACAAATATTTGATTAACATTTGTTCAACCCCATTAGTAATCAATGAAATGGCAATTATAACAATGGGATACAATTTTTAACCTCTAAAATTAGCGAAGATCTTTAAATGACAGGGTTCAGTAGTGGTGGGAATTGAGTGAAGATAGGCATTCATCCACTACTGATGGGATTGTAAATTAGAACTAGCTTCCTGGAAAGCAATTTGACATTATGCATTAGGAGCGTGCTAACCTTTTCCCTGCTCTGATTCCATGTCTATTATTATGGCTCTATCCTAAGGAAAGAACTTGAAACAGAGGGGTGGGGGAGAAAGCTTTCTATACAAATATATTCATTAGGGTAAAATTTAGAAATGAGAAATGTCAATAAAAAAACTAAGTGAATGATATTACATGATTTACTTAGAGAAAATGCAATGATTAAAAGGGTGTTTAGAAAGAGTTTTTAACAGTGTAGGGAAAATGATCATATTATAATGTCCAAATGAAGAAAGCAAGTGGAAAAATGTTAAAATGCATATAAAAAGGACTAATTGGCAGTTCATCAAAGTGTTAACAGTCATAATTTCAATTATCTTAATATTTTTCTGCCTTTTAGGAAATTTCTATACTGAGCATGTATTAACTTTATAACCAGGAAAACAATCTGTTTCTAAAATGTTAGCCTTGCATATCCACATGCAAAAAATTCAATCTAGACACAGATCTTACAATCATCACAAAAATTAACTCTAGGCCGGGTGCAGTGGCTCACACCGGTAATCCCAGCACTTTGGGAGCTGAGGCAGGCAGATTGGTTGAGCCTAGGAGTTCAAGACCAGCCTAGGCAACATGGTGAAACCCTATCTTTACTAAAAATACAAAAATTAACCAGGTATGGTGGCACATGCCTGTAATCCCAGCTACTCAGGAGGCTGAGGCAGTGGGATCACTTGAGCCTGTGAGGTGGAGGTTGCAGTGAGCTGAGATAGTGCCACTGCACTCCAGCGTGGGTGACAGAGCCAGACCCTGTCTCAAAAAAGAAAATAAAGAACTCTAAATGGGCCACAGACTTAAATATAAAATGTAAAACTATAAAACTCCTAAGAAGATAACATAGGAGAAAATCTAGATGACCTTGGGTATGGCAATTACTTTTTTCCCTCAATTAAAAAAATTATGTTAAAATATATGCTATGGTTTTAATGTATTCCTCAAAGTTCATGTGTTGAAAACACAATTTCCAATGCAAGAGTGTTGAGAGGTGGGACTTTTTTTTTTTTTTTTTTTTTTTTGAGACAGAGTCTTGCTCTGCCGCCAGCCTGGAGTGCAGTGGCGCCATCTCAGCTCACTGCAACCTGAGAGGTGGGACTTTTAAGGGGTGATTAGATCATGAGGCTTTGCCCTCACGAATGGATGAATGCCATTATTGCAGGAGTGGGTTAATTATTGTGTGAGTGGGTTCCTGATAAAAGAATGAATTCAGTCCCTTCCCTCCCCCTGTCTTTCTCTCTCTCTTTTGCACATGAGTGCTTCATATGCGTGCTCACATGTGCTCACCCTTCTGCCTTCCACCATGGGATGACGGAGCATGAGGCCCTCACCAGATGTGGGCCCCCCAGTCTTGGATTTCCCACCCTCCAGAACTGTAAGAAATAAATTTCTTTTCTTTATACATTACCCAGTCTGTGATATTCTATTATAGCAGCATGAAACAGACTAAGAAGATACACCTAACAAAATTTACCATCTTCATGCAATGACTGTTGAATACAACACCAAAGACACAATCCATGAAAGAGAAAATTGATAAATTTCTCTCCAGTTTTCCTAAACACAAGTAAAACCATTAAGTAATTTGGATAAAACAGTGGATTACATGAACCAATTTATGAACAAATAGTTTATAAACAAAATATACCAAAAATAGCTAACAAACATTTGATTAACATTTGGTCGACCTCATTTGTAATAGAAGAAATTGCAATTACAACAATGGGATACAATTTTTAACCAATTAGTAAAGATTTTTAAATGACAGTGTTAAGCAGTGAACACTGAATTTGTGTTAAAAATACATGCTATGGTTTGCATGTATCTCTCATTAGTAATTGGTACCTTACTAAAATTACAAACTTACACTCTGAAATATCCTGTCAAGAGAATTAGAAGACAAGCCACATACTAGGAGAAAATATTTTCAAAAGACATATAAAGGACTGTTATCCAAAATAAACTGTAGGGGAAGGGAGAAGAAACCTCTTTTTCCTCTATTCTCCTTGGTTCTGTAACTGAGACCCTGACAATTATACTGACAAATACAGATTAACAAGAGAAAAACAGGTGGAATTTATTAACATGTGCATTGTGCTTACATGCAGGAAAAACAGCAGTGATGAGTAGCTAAAAAGGGTAGTTAGAACATGGGGCTTCATAACAAATTTTTAGAGAAGTGACAAGACAAAGAAAAATGGGCTTAGGTTTTTAGGGTCAGCAAACTGTGGAAGGTAAATAAATGGAGGGAACTAATGGAAGATAAGGGTTGTTTTGAGAAGGTTTCTTCTGTAAATTCTTTGTGTCTCTGGGTTTATTAATAGTCTAGAGTTGCTTGTGCCTGTAATCCCAGCTACTCTGGAGGAAAGCCTGAGGCAGGAGGGTTGCTTGAGGCCAGGAGTTGGAGACCAGCTTGGATGCAACATAGTGAGATCTTGCCTCTAAAAACATTTAAAAATAAAATAAACTAGCTGGGTGTGGTGGCACATGCCTGTAGTCCCAGCTACATGGGAGGCTGAGGCAGGAGGATTGCTTGAGCCCAGGAGTTCGAGGCTGCAGTGAGCTATGATTGCACCACTGCACTCCAGCCTGGGTAACAGAGTGAGAATCTGTCTCTAAAAAGAAAAAAATATATATTTATATAGTCTAGAGTTATCTTCAGTGATTAAGAATCATTCTGCCCTTTCTGGTGGGAGGGGGCAAAGAGTTTTTCTTGTGCTTGTTTTTCCTTAATTTCCTTCAGCTCAAATAATCTTTATGCCAAAGTGGCATATTCTTTGTTTTTTTGTTTTGTTTTGTTTGGAAATTGGAGGTCTCACTATTTTGCCCAGACTAGGCTTGAACTTGAGATCCTCCTGCCTCAGACTCTGTAGTAGCTGCACCTACAGGCACACACCACTGCATGGTTCTGGGTTGGCATAATCTGATCTCCTACAATACAAAAATCTCTAATAATATAACAATAAGAAAGTGTACAACCTGATTTAAAAAATGGGCCAAAGACCTTAACAGATACCTCACCAAAGAATATATGCAGATGGCAGGTAACTATAGCAAAAAATGTTCTACATCATATACTGATATGGTTTGGCTCAATGTCCCCACCCAAATCTCATCTTGAATTGTAATCCCCACGTGTCAAGGGAGGGACCTGGTGGGAGGTGGTTGGATCATGGGGGCGGTTTTCCCCATGCTGTTCTCATAACAGTGAGGGAGTTCTCATGAGATCTGATGGTTTTAAAAATGGCAGTTTCCCCTGCACTGTCTCTTTCTCCTGCCGCCATGTAAGACGTGCCTTGCTTCCCCTTCATCTTCCACCATGGCCTCCCCAGCCATGCAGAACTGTGAGTCAATTAAACCTCTTTCCTTTATAAATTACCCAGTTTCAGGTATTTCTTTATAGCAGTGTGAAAACAGACTACTGCATATGTCATCAGGGAAATGCAAATTAACAATGAGATACCACCACATGACTATTAGAATGGCAGAAATCCAAAACACTGACAACCCAAATACTGGTGAGTATGTGAATAATAGGAACTCTCGTTCATTGTTGATAGAAATGGAAATGATACAGCCAGTCTGGAGGACAGTTCAGTCATTTTTTACAAAACTAAACATACTCTTAGCATACAATCAAGCAAAATGCCTTGGTATTTACCCAAATGAGTCGAAAACTTATATCTATACAAAACCTGCAAATAGGTGTTTACAGAAGCTTTATTTATAATTGCTAAAACTTGGAAGCAACCAAGATGTTCTTCAGTAGGTAAATGAATAAATAAACTGCGGGATACTCAGATGATGGAATATTATATGATTCAGCACTAAAAAAGAAATGAGCTATCAAGCCATGAAAAGACATGGAGGAAATTTAGATGCATATTACTAAGTACAAGAAGCCTCTGAAAAGGCTATATACGGTATGATTCAAACTATATGACATTCTGGAAAAGGCAAAATTATGGAGACAGCAAAAAGATCGGTGGTTGCCAGGGGTGAGGGGAAGAGAGAGTTGAAGAGGCAAAGCATAGAGAATTTTTAGGGCAGTGAAACTCTTCTGTATGATATTGTGATGATGAATACTTATCATTATACATTTGTTCAAACCCATTGAATTTGCAACACTAAGAGTAAGTCCTAATGTAGGTACGTACGCTGGGTGATAAATGATGTGTCAATGTAGGTTCATGAGCTGTAACAAATGTACCACTTTGGTGTGGGATGTGGATAGTGGGGAAGGTTTCGTGTGTGTATGGGACAGAGGTATATAGGAACTCTATTTTCTGCTCAATTTTGCTGTAAAACTGTAATTAATTTAAAAAGTTTATTAATTAATTTTAAAAAGTTAACCTCTTTGTATCTGAAGTCAATGGCCAATGGTCAGGCAGCTACCTTAATTATGAAAGCTGTCTCCCCACTTCTTCCTACTATTGCACATGGGGGGTGATTAAGCACTGCTGTTCCAGAAGAGGAGAGAAATCAGCCTTTAAAAGAGAAGGAAAGGGGATTTGTGCAATGGAGAATGAATCAGTGAATTTTAGAGGTGGAGAGGAACAACTGTTGAGTGGAGAAAACACTGCAAAAAGACAAATATCATCAAACTAAGCTACCTATGCATTCTAAGCTCCCATTCCAATGCCTGTGCCATTTCCCCAGCCCAGCTGATCCCTTCCACTCCATGCCAATGAAACTGTTTTCATCAAGGTTACTACAGCCTAGAATGGTGCCAAATTCAAAGGTCACATCTTTATTCTTATTTTACTCAAGTCTCTGCAGCATGCATCACAGTTGATCACTCCATACTTTCTAAACACCCTCTTCTCTTGGTTTATATGGCCCCACATTTTCCTGTGTTTTTTCTACCTTACTGGCTGCTCCTTCTCATCCTTCTTTGCTAGGGCCTTCTTCTTAGCCCAGGCTCTCTTCCTGGAGCACCCCAGGGCTTTTCTTCTCTACATACACCCTCCTCTGCAGGTAGAATCACCCATCTGTATCTGAACAATTGCCAAATGCCAAGTTTCCACTCTGACTTTTCTGAGCTATGAATTCATACATCTAACTGCCAACTTCACATCTTCACTTAGATACCTAGCACACATTTCAAACTGAACATTTCCAATGTGGAACTCTGAATTACCCTGCCTGATACCTGCACTTTTCGTCTCGGAAAATGGCGGTAGCGTCCTTCTAGCTACAAACCACAAACCTAGACAATTTTTGATCACTTTCTTGCTCATATCCCTAACAGGCAAATGCATCATCAGATCCTGTCTTCACTCAACTGCACCTGCTCCAGCACCATAATCTGTCACCTGTATTACTTTAATAACTTTCTAAGGGGCTTGGCAGCTTCTACTCACACCCTGTCCCACACTTTTCACAGCAATCAGAGTGATCCTTTCAAAAATGTAAATTGGATTATTTAAAAATAATCCAATAACATTCTCCAATGGTTTCTGCTGACACCAAGAAGAAAATTTACACTCTTCCTGCATCCTATAATACCGTCTATGATCTGGCACTAGCTGACCTCCTTGCTGGCCTTTCCACGACACCATCACTGTGCATCATCTATACTGGCTTTCTTCATGTTTATTAAACACATCCCAATTTTTCTTGCCTCACTGTATGCAACTTCTTTAGCCTGGAAAGCTCTTTCATTGGCTCTTTGCTCTTCATTCTTGGGTCTTTGCTTACCCTTCTTACTCCCTCTGTCACCATATTTACTTTCTTCAAAGCACATGTTAGATATGAATTTGTTTTGGTTTACCTGTTTATCACCTGTATCTGTTTATTAGAATGTCATCTCCATGCAGGGAAGAGTCTTGTCTATCTTGTTTACCACTATATTCCCAGTGCCTAGCACAAGACTTGATATGTAATAGGCACTCAAATATTCATTGAATGAATGAAGAGCTTTACTGAAACCTTTGTGTGTTGATGATACATTCCTTCTGAGCAATTTAGTAAAAACATGGACATTAAGTTATCACTATTAAGATTTTGTGAAGATTCAGGGCCGGGTGCAATGGCTCATGCCTGTAATCCCAGCACTTTGGGAGGCCGAGGCGGGTGGATCACCTGAGGTCAGAAGTTCAAGACCAGCCTGGTCAACATGGTGAAACCCCGTCTCTACTAAATATACAAAAAATTAGTCAGGCGTGGTGGTGGGCGTCTGTAATCCCAGCTACTTGGGAAGCTGAGGCAGGAGAATCGCTTGAACCCAGGAGGCGGAGGTTGCAGTGAGCTGAGATCGCGCCATTGGACTCCAGCCTGGGCAACAAGAACAAAACTCCATCTCAAAAAACAAACAAAAATAATAATAATAATAAAAAGGCCAAGAGGGATTTCTTCAAGGGGACCACTTCAGAAACTGTAATATTTCTTCTGAGGTTTGAGGAACCGAGGGACCAGAATTGGACTCATTCTTGAGAAATATAAAGGGTAGATACTGACTAGACACCCAGAGTTTAATGATTACATATGGAATGGGAAAGAGATAAAGTTATTAAGTAACTTTAGACTTTTTAAGTTAACACACAGTAAAAATCTTGGATAACATGAAAAAGCAAAATAAAACAGGGTGTAAAAGTCCCAATCAAGTAGAAGAAGAAAAGAATGGAAAGAGGAGAAAAAAGAACCTTAAAATAAGGTAAGCAAGAAGAGAAGACAAAAATGAAACATAGAAAAAGGTGGGACAAATAGAAAGTACAAAAGAAGATGGTAGGAATGAAGACAAATATATTAGTAAAAATAATAAATGTAGTTGAACTAAACTCTCCAACTAAAGGACAGAAATTGTTAAATTGGCTAAAACCACAAAATTCATTTATGTCTTTTATGACAGATATACAAAGCAGGTGAAAGTTAAAGGATTGAAATAGTATACCACGAAAATATTATCCAAAGAAGGCTGATGCCATGTATCAATAACAAAAAAAGCTACAAACAAAAACAAAACATTGAAACTCATAACAAAAAACCCCTGATTTAAAAATGGGCAAAGGATTTGAATGAATTTAATGCTACAGAATGGTACATCTTAAAATGGTTAAAAAAAGCATAATAAAAAAGCCACGGTCATGCAAAAAAGCATTATAATGATAAAAATAGTCACTAAATACCAACAAAATGTTCAACTGATCATGAAGATGTAACAATTCTAAACTTATATGTACCTAATAACAATCTCAAAATATACAAGGCAAAATTGACACAACTATAATTTTAAAATGGACAAATCCAGTATACACAGTAGGAAAGTTTAATACAGCTTTCTCAATAATTGATAGATCAAGCAGAAACAAATCATTAAGGATACAGAAAATTGCAATATCACAAGGAACAGGATTAATCTAACAAATAAATATTAATACTGCATTAAATAGGAAAGCATTCAGAACACCCCAAAATATCTGCTCTAGCCCACTGATTGAGTTAAAGTCACTTAAAACACACACACACACACACATACACACCAGCAAATGCAGAAAGGACACTGTGACCTACCTAAAGGCAGGAGATAAAACTCCCATGTGGAAGGTGTCCTCCTTGCACCTGGAGAAGGACATTGTTTTTATTACTAGAGATGGGGAGCCAAAGCCAAGAGAAATTTGTACAAACAGACCTTGTTAAACTAACCCTTATCTTCCTAGCCACTTCTCCACAGTTAACTACCCTAGCCCAAGCCCCCTTGCCTTGTCACATTTTCACAACTTACTACTTTTTGTTCAACCCAGTATATACATGTTCAACTCTAACTGCTTCTTCAGGGGTCTTCATTTCTTCAGGAGGACTCCTATGTTACACAAAACTTACATTAAGTAAATGTGTATGCTTTTCTCCTGTTAATCTGTCTTATGTCAGTTTAATTCTCAGGCCCAGCCAAAACACCCTAAGAGGATAAATGTAAAATTTTGCCTCCCATACAAAATATTTACTGAAATTGACCATAATGAATGGCCTAGTCCTAGGCCATAAAGTAAGTTTCAAACAATTTCAAAAAACAAATTTTCAAGGAACAAAATATTCCAGTCTTAAACTCTTCCAGAAAATTAAAAAAAAAAGAAAACAATTGTCTATGAGGCTAGTACAATCTTGTTAACAGAACCACAGAAGGGCAATATGAGAAAGAAAAATTACAGGTAAACTTCCTACATGAACATAGATGTTTAAATCTTAAATATTAGCAAACCGAGTCCAGAAATGTATGAAAACAGGTAATATACAATGTCAAAGATAGGTATATTCCAGGACTTTAAGGTTGGTTCAACATTAAATCCACAATATAATTTACAACGTTAAATAAAAAGTTAAAGGAAAAAATTCTATAGATAAGCTCAATAGATACACGAGAAATATTAATTTAAAACCCAAACTCTAAATCTCTTAAACTAGAAAAATAGATAAATTTATTTAAATGATAAAGGGTTTAAGAAAACTATGAAATGCTTAAATATATATATATAGAGAGAGAGAGAGAAAAAGAAAAAGAGAGAGAGAGTGTCAGGAACAACAATAATTCCATTATCTTCTATTTAACAAAGTATTGGAGGTCCTAGACACTATAACAGGAAAAAGCTATAATATGCTAAGAAACATTAAGGAAAAAACAAAAAAAATTATAGTTGACCCTTGAACAATGCAGAGGTTAGGGATGCCAACCTCCTGTGCAGATGAAAATTCACATATTACTTTTAATTCCCCCCAAATTTAACTACAAGTAGGCTATTGTTGACTGGAAGTCTTACCAATAACATAAACAGTTGATTAACACATATTTTGTATGTTATATGTCTTACATGCTGTATTCTTACAATAAAGTAAGCTACGGGAAAAAATGTTATTAAGAAAATCGTAAGAAAGGGAAAATATATTTATTATTTCTTAAGTGGAATGGATCATCATAAAGATCTTCATCCTAGTCATCTTCTTGATTAGGCTGAGGAGGCCTTACTGACTCAGGGGTGGCAGAGGCAGAAAAATTTCCATGTATAAGTGGACCTGCACAGTTCAAACCCATGTTGTTCAAGGATCAATTGTACTGGCAGGTAATAAGATTATCTACTTAAAAATATTTATACAGTATGGAAATTTCTCAAAGAACTAAAAAGAGATTTACCATTAGATCCAGCAATCCCACTACTGGTTATCTACCCAAAGGAAAAGAAGTCATTATATAAAACAAGACATCTGAATACATATGCTTATTGTAGCATAATTCACATTTGCAAAGATATGGAATCAACCCAAGTGCCATAAACTGATGAGTGGATTTAAAAAATGTGATATATATATATATACATACACACACACACACCATGGAATACTACTCAGCCATACAAAACAATGAAATAATGTCTTTTGCAGCAAAAGCTGCAAAAACTGCCTCACGGTGCAAGGTATTGTTAGCTGTGGGACAAGATATGTATTGACAGCCCCAAACACATATAATATACAGATTCCAACCTGGTATAAGAATAGAGTCCACCACTTGGAGACAAGGTTAATATCTTAGTCTATCTGGGCTGCCATAATAAAATACCATAAACCAGGTAGCCTATAAACAGCAGAAATTTATTTCTCACAGCTCTAGAGGCTGGAAAGTCTGAGATCAAGGTGCCAGCAGATTTGGTATCTGGTGAGGGTCCACTTTCTGGTTTATAGATGGTGTCTTCTACGTGTGTCCTTCCATGGTGGAAGGGCCTAGCTGGCTCTGTCCTTCAGTCCTTCGTGGTGGAAGGGCCTAGCTAGCTCTCTGGGGTCTCTTTCATAAGGACACTAATTCCATTCATGAGGGCAGAGTCCTCATGACCTAGTCACCTACCAAGGGCCCCACCTCCTAATACTACCACCTTGAGGGTTAGGATTTCCACATATGAATTTTTGGGGAAAACAGATATTTAGACCACAGCAGTGAGTTTCTGGTAATCTGAAATTGTTGAAATTGTTTCTTTTTTAGTTGGTAGATTTGGGGGTTATATAATTCATATTCTTTTTTTTTTGAGACAGAGTCTCACTCTCTCACTCAGGCTGGAGTGCAACGGCAATGGCACAATCTTGGCTCGCTGCAACCTCGGCCTCCTGGGTTCACGCAACTATTGTGCCTCGGTCTTCCCAGTAGCTGGGATTACAGATGTGAGCCACCACACCTGGCTAATTTTTTTTATTTTTAGTAGAGATGGAGTTTCACCATGTTGGTCAGACTGGTCTCCAACTCCTGGTCTCAACTGATCTGCTGGCCTTGGCCTCCCAAAGTTCTGGGATTACAGGTGTGAGCCATGGCACCCAGCCAGAATTCATATTCTGAATAAGAGTTATTAGGCCTTAAAGGTAGCTTTAAGGGTTATTGACTCTTACTGTAAGCATTTCTGAGAATTCTGTATATTGTTCAATGCAATATTTCATAAAAGATAGCCTCCACTACATTAAATGTGTTGGTCTCTAGGATATACAAGAATTGTCATTTGAGTAAACTCAGTGGATAGGAAGTATCCAGTGTTGTCCAGAATATTTTTGATACTCACGAAACACATTTCTATAGCTTGGCCTGATGGCACTGATATAAATGGTCCTAGGTTTCTAAAATTGGGGCAGCATGCAAGACATCTAGGAGTTTATAAATGTATTTGGCCTTGTGGGGTGTCAAAAAAATACTTACTCTATTTGACCAAGAAAATTATTCAAAAAAGTAGGCCCAAAAATTTAGATTCTATTGGCCAGCTGCAGTGGCTCACACTTGTAACCTCAGCAGTTTGGGAAGCTGAGGTGGGTGAATCCCTTGAGCTCAGGGGTTTGAGACCAGCCTGGGCAACATGGTGAAACCCCATCTCTACAAAAAATACAAAACTTAGCCGGGCTTGGTGGTGTGTGCCTGCAGTCCCAGCTATTCTGGAGGCTGGGGCCAGAGCATTGCTTGAGCCTGGGAGATTGAGGCTGCAGTGAGCTGTCATCGCACTACTGCACTCCAGCCTGGATGACAGAGCAAGACCCTATCTCAAAAAATTTAAAAAGTAGATTCTAGAAACCAATATGCCATCTAAATAAATGCATATCACTACCCAGAGTGTATCACTTTTCCATAGTGTATATTGCCGAACTTCTTGCTGTAGATCGTTTCCTGGGGTTCGTTCTCAGGTACATATGCAAAAAAGATAATTTCATCTAAGGAGGTGTGCTGTGGGGCAAGCGCAGTCTCAAAGCCCATATCTGGAGGCTGGAAACAGAGAAAAGAAAATATTATATTTAAACTACTTTATACTTCAATTATGACAAAATTGAAGTCACAGATTTATTTCCAGTTCACATTAAAACAATACTGGTTTACTTATCAATTGGAGAAATAAGTCAACGTGTTCTGTTGGAACATCCATGTGTGTGCAAGGGAAGATGTATTTTCCTGTTAAGGAGGAATGGAAGTTCTGATGACTAAGATGTGGTGTAAGATTCCTATGCCCTTCGTGGATGGTTGGAGTGAAAGGGTACATGGAAACTTGACTCACATTGTGGGTGTGTGAGGAGCCTGGAGATGCAGATTTTAGAACTGGGTTCTTATTTGAAGTTTTATTTAGGAAAGGGCCCGTGAAATCCCTGTCCTCACTTGCTGCTCCTGATCTCGTGCTAGAGACTCTGGACAGCTGCTGTCTGAGTCTCCCAACTGGCAGCATAAGCTGTTCTCCTTTCCTGACTCACAGACCTCCCCTTGCAGTCTACCCAGGCACTTCTGGCCTAGATTTCTGATCTATAGGTCTTTCTTTTCAACACACCTTTCTCTAATCCTGACCCTGTCCTGCTTGGGGAACTTTTAGGGGAGAGAAGAGAGGTAGGGACCATCCCCAAAGGGGCTGCTGGAGTTGACTTTGTTGCTATGAGACAAGGTGTGGGTGGTAGATCGTGCAGACTGGTTGGGGACACATCTGTCCCATAGTGCCTCCAAGACTCATCTTCTGTCATGCTTTTTTTCCTAGTTACTGAATTTTGGGAGTGCACTGAGGAGAAATGGGAAATAGATGCCAGGAAAATCAATGTGGGATTGAGCCAAATGGCTTGAGGACTCTTGAAAATCACTGAAATGGCTAAACATCTTTAGAATTCTGTATGACACTGTAGCCTGGGAGTGGCAAGTGTATCCTAGGGAAAGTGTATGCAAGTCCAATGAAAGGCAGCAGGTGGCTAAGAGCACAGGCCCCGGAGCCAGTTGCCTGGGATAGATGTCTAATCCCAATAACTAACCAGCCTGTCTGTGCCTCGCTTTCTTCATAAGTGAAATAGGAATAAATCGTCGTTATAAAGATTGAGAGCTCCAATACTGTAATAAGAGCCAGCGATTATTTTTATCCAGAGAGAATGCATGCATAGTTTGTGGAGAGGGAAGTGATATTGCTGAGTATGGCTTCGTCAAACTTGTCCTAAGTATACAAATACCTGTAGGGTTTTTTTTTCTTTTAATAATTTAAACTTTCACATAAGGGAACTAAGAAACTTTCTACAAATTGTGAAGTTGGTGAAAAATGAGGTAAATGCTTTTTTTTAGTTAGTTCTACCCTCCTGCTCACATCATTCGCTTTGTATAAATGCGGAATTCACACCCCAGACTTGGGCAAAGACACAGGGAGTCACATGTGGCATCTTAACTCTCCCAAGGAAGTTCCTGCCCTCATTCTCTATGCATGTCTCAGAGAGGGGAAGATAAACACCATCCTCTCAACTGCAGCCTTGGCCTGGTAATTGGAATGATCTTTTAAAACCAGATTCATCTTTTGTTCCTTTTCCTTTAAGTCAAAGGGCAGGTTTTACTAACCCCAGTCAAAAATGTTTGATAATTTGCTGATGGTTTGAGAGTGTCCAGTTTTGTAACTGGTGCCCAAGGATGAGCTACCTTCACAAGCAGCATATTATACATTAAACTATTATAAAAACCGGTATCAAGTGTCATCTGTAAAGAAGATAACTCCTTTTTTTGTTGTCACTAGAAAAAGAAGAAACCAGGGAGAAGGGTTAATAGGAAAGAAGAAAGGTAGACCACAGCTCATGTTCCTTTTTTTTTTTTTTGAGTCAGGGTCTTGCTCTGTTGCCCAAACTGGAGTTCAGTGGCACGATCACAGCTCACTTCAGCAGCGTGATCGCAGTTCACTTCAGCCTCAACTTCCCAGGTTCAAGTGATCCTCCTGCCTCAGCCTCCCAAGAAGCTGGAACTACAGATGAATGCCACCACACCAG
This sequence comes from Homo sapiens, assembly GCF_000001405.40. NCBI lineage: Eukaryota > Metazoa > Chordata > Mammalia > Primates > Hominidae > Homo > Homo sapiens. Next base: position 91,638,583 of record NC_000014.9, read on the forward strand.
GCTAATTTTTTAATTCTTTGGTAGAGATGGGGTTTCACCTTGTTGCCCAGGCTAGTCTCCAACTCCTGGGCTGAAGCGATCAACCCACCTCAGCCTCCCACAATGCTAGGATTACAGGCATGAGCCATGGCGCCTGGCCTCACAACCCATGTTTCTTCAGGGACAACCTTAAGAGGTAGAGAATCAATCCTACCTTGGCCTGGGTTGGGAGTAATGGTTCTAGCTTAGAAGTAATGGTTCTAGCTTAGAATGTTTAGTGGTGTTCTGCTGCGAAGATATTTGCATGAAGATATTCTAGGTGGAATTGAAGCTATATAATTCCATATGGGACTTGGAAGAAGATTTGGAGATGTTTGTGGCACATGGAGGTTCTTCCTTTAGTTAAATAGAGCAAACTGCATTAATGAGTTTGTCCCAAGGAAAATACTTTCCCATTTTCCCATTATTCTATGTATTGAATGTGGCATCTATTCTTAAAATAAGGCAAACTGTTTCAATGCATTATATACTGACCTGTCCAAAAAGATTTCTAGAATTTCCAAAGGCTGTGGGTGGTCCACTAGCTTCAAAGCGACCCAGAGTCAGCTTATGTAGGAATCCCAAGTGATCATAGTATAATGTGAAAATTCTCTCAGTAACACTTCCGACTGCACTGTATCTTCCCATTCCTATTAGGAAATACAGAGAAGTGTCTTGATACTGATGTAACAGAAGTCGAAAAACTTTAATATCATACCTTGTAAAGACACCTTCATTTAAACTAAGAGGTGGAAGTAGGGCCCTGAGACTCCTGAATTAGGAAAATGCATGTTAGTTTTTGTTAAGTCCCTGGAAAGCCTTTTCCAGACTCCATGTCACTACAGAATCTGTTCACTGAAGTAGGGGAAGAAACAAACAGAGGGGATGTTTAATTAAGAGATCTAGAGGAAAAGCGGTTAGGTCTCTCTAGTAGTGGTTTCTCTTCCTATTACCAGCAAATCAGATTCCTGAAGAGGTAAAAGTCAGCAAGAAAACAATCCTTAGGAAGGCAAGGCGAATCATCAGTAGACATTGGTCATTAAATTATACTAGGATTAATATGTTGAACCAAACTGGGCGTCCTGTGGTTCTCTCATCCTTAGGGCGCCACGTTGAGAGGCACTGTCAGTAATCAGATGGTGCCGCAGCATTCACTTAGCCAAACAGACACTGGTCCTGAGACAGGGTCCCCTCCCTTGGAAGGAGCTAGAGTGAAAGATCATGGCTCAGGATGAAAAAGACTAATTTCTGCACACTGCATCCCACCCAAACCCACCCAGTTAGCTCAGGCTCTCCTAGCTCATTCTACACATTGGAGTGTCCAGGACTCAGTTTTTAGATTACTTCTCTCACTATCTTTGGAGATCTCATTCAGTTTTAGGATTTTAAATCCATCTTTAGATGGATAATTCCCAAATTTAAGTCTACCATCTAGTGCTCTTCCCTGAAGTCTAGGCTTATGTAGCTAACTGCCTTCCAACAGCTTCATTCGATGTTGGTTAGGCCTCTCAAAGTGAACTCATTCCAGACTGAGCTCCTGATCCTCACGCAAACCTCCTCCAGCCCCAGCCTTCCTCACCTTCATTAATGGCAGCTGCATTATTGCTGTTGCTTAGCCCAAAAACCTCAATGTCATTCTTTTTATTTTTTTATTTTTTTTTTATTTAAGTTTTAAGGTACATGTGCACATTGTGCAGGTTAGATACATATGTATACATGTGCCATGCTGGTGCACTGCACCCACTAACTCGTCATCTAGCATTAGGTATATCTCCCAATGCTATCCCTCCCCCCTCCCCCCACCCCACCACAGTCCCCAGAGTGTGATATTCCCCTTCCTGTGTCCATGTGATCTCATTGTTCAATTCCCACCTATGAGTGAGAATATGCAGTGTTTGGTTTTTTGTTCTTGCGATAGTTTACTGAGAATGATGATTTCCAATTTCATCCATGTCCCTACAAAGGACATGAACTCATCATTTTTTATGGCTGCATAGTATTCCATGGTGTATATGTGCCACATTTTCTTAATCCAGTCTATCATTGTTGGACATTTGGGTTGGTTCCAAGTCTTTGCTATTGTGAATAATGCCGCAATAAACATACGTGTGCATGTGTCTTTATAGCAACATGATTTATAGTCCTTTGGGTATATACCCAGTAATGGGATGGCTGGGTCAAATGGTATTTCCAGTTCTAGATCCCTGAGGAATCGCCACACTGACTTCCACAATGGTTGAACTAGTTTACAGTCCCACCAACAGTGTAAAAGTGTTCCTATTTCTCCACATCCTCTCCAGCACCTGTTGTTTTTAATGATTGCCATTCTAACTGGTGTGAGATGGTATCTCATAGTGGTTTTGATTTGCATTTCTCTGATGGCCAGTGATGATGAGCATTTTTTCATGTGTTTTTTGGCTGCATAAATGTCTTCTTTTGAGAAGTGTCTGTTCATGTCCTTCGCCCACTTTTTGATGGGGTTGTTTGTTTTTTTCTTGTAAATTTGTTTGAGTTCATTGTAGATTCTGGATATTAGCCCTTTGTCAGATGAGTAGGTTGTGAAAATTTTCTCCCATTTTGTAGGTTGCCTGTTCACTCTCATGGTAGTTTCTTTTGCTGTGCAGAAGCTCTTTAGTTTAATTAGATCCCATTTGTCAATTTTGCCTTTTGTTGCCATTGCTTTTGGTGTTTTGGACATGAAGTCCTTGCCCATGCCTATGTCCTGAATGGTAATGCCTAGGTTTTCTTCTAGGGTTTTTATGGTTTTAGGTCTAACGTTTAAATCTTTAATCCATCTTGAATTGATTTTTGTATAAGGTGTAAGGAAGGGATCCAGTTTCCCCAGTACCATTTATTAAATAGGGAATCCTTTCCCCATTGCTTGTTTTTCTCAGGTTTGTCAAAGATCAGATAGTTGTGGGTATGTGGCATTATTTCTGAGGGCTCTGTTCTGTTCCATTGATCTATATCTCTGTTTTGGTACCAGTACCATGCTGTTTTGGTTACTGTAGCCTTGTAGTATAGTTTGAAGTCAGGTAGTGTGATGCCTCCAGCTTTGTTCTTTTGGCTTAGGATTGACTTGGCAATGCGGGCTCTTTTTTGGTTCCATATGAACTTTAAAGTAGTTTTTTCCAATTCTGTGAAGAAAGTCATTGGTAGCTTGATGGGGATGGCATTGAATCTGTAAATTACCTTGGGCAGTATGGCCATTTTCACGATATTGATTCTTCCTACCCATGAGCATGGAATGTTCTTCCATTTGTTTGTATCCTCTTTTATTTCCTTGAGCAGTGGTTTGTAGTTCTCCTTGAAGAGGTCCTTCACATCCCTTGTAAGTTGGATTCCTAGGTATTTTATTCTCTTTGAAGCAATTGTGAATGGGAGTTCACTCATGATTTGGCTCTCTGTTTGTCTGTTGTTGGTGTATAAGAATGCTTGTGATTTTTGTACATTGATTTTGTATCCTGAGACTTTGCTGAAGTTGCTTATCATCTTAAGGAGATTTTGGGCTGAGACAATGGGGTTTTCTAGATATACAATCATGTCGTCTGCAAACAGGGACAATTTGACTTCCTCTTTTCCTAATTGAATACCCTTTATTTCCTTCTCCTGCCTAATTGCCCTGGCCAGAACTTCCAACACTATGTTGAATAGGAGTGGTGAGAGAGGGCACCCCTGTCTGTGCCAGTTTTCAAAGGGAATGCTTCCAGTTTTTGCCCATTCAGTATGATATTGGCTGTGGGTTTGTCATAGATAGCTCTTATTATTTTGAAATACGTCCCATCAATACCTAATTTATTGAGAGTTTTTAGCATGAAGGGTTGTTGAATTTTGTCAAAGGCTTTTTCTGCATCTATTGAGATAATCATGTGGTTTTTGTCTTTGGCTCTGTTTATATGCTGGATTACATTTATTGATTTGCGTATATTGAACCAGCCTTGCATCCCAGGGATGAAGCCCACTTGATCATGGTGGATAAGCTTTTTGATGTGCTGCTGGATTCGGTTTGCCAGTATTTTATTGAGGATTTTTGCATCAATGTTCATCAAGGATATTGGTCTAAAATTCTCTTTTTTGGTTGTGTCTCTGCCCGGCTTTGGTATCAGAAGGATGCTGGCCTCATAAAATGAGTTAGGGAGGATTCCCTCTTTTTCTATTGATTGGAATAGTTTCAGAAGGAATGGTACCAGTTCTTCCTTGTACCTGTGGTAGAATTCGGCTGTGGATCCATCTGGTCCTGGACTCTTTTTGGTTGGTAAACTACTGATTATTGCCACAATTTCAGCTCCTGTTATTGGTCTATTCAGAGATTCAACTTCTTCCTGGTTTAGTCTTGGGAGAGTGTATGTGTCGAGGAATTTATCCATTTCTTCTAGATTTTCTAGTTTATTTGCATAGAGGTGTTTGTAGTATTCTCTGATGGTAGTTTGTATTTCTGTGGGATCGGTGGTGATATCCCCTTTATCATTTTTTATTGTGTCTATTTGATTCTTCTCTCTTTTTTTCTTTATTAGTCTTGCTAGCGGTCTATCAATTTTGTTGATCCTTTCAAAAAACCAGCTCCTGGATTCATTGATTTTTTGAAGGGTTTTTTGTGTCTCTATTTCCTTCAGTTCTGCTCTGATTTTAGTTATTTCTTGCCTTCTGCTAGCTTTTGAATGTGTTTGCTCTTGCTTTTCTAGTTCTTTTAATTGTGATGTTAGGGTGTCAATTTTGGATCTTTCCTGCTTTCTCTTGTGGGCATTTAGTGCTATAAATTTCCCTCTACACACTGCCTTGAATGCGTCCCAGAGATTCTGGTATGTTGTGTCTTTGTTCTCGTTGGTTTCAAAGAACATCTTTATTTCTGCCTTCATTTCGTTATGTATCCAGTAGTCATTCAGGAGCAGGTTGTTCAGTTTCCATGTAGTTGAGCGGCTTTGAGTGAGATTCTTAATCCTGAGTTCTAGTTTGATTGCACTGTGGTCTGAGAGATAGTTTGTTATAATTTCTGTTCTTTTACATTTGCTGAGGAGAGCTTTACTTCCAACTATGTGGTCAATTTTGGAATAGGTGTGGTGTGGTGCTGAAAAAAATGTATATTCTGTTGATTTGGGGTGGAGAGTTCTGTAGATGTCTATTAGGTCCGCTTGGTGCAGAGCTGAGTTCAATTCCTGGGTATCCTTGTTGACTTTCTGTCTCGTTGATCTGTCTAATGTTGACGGTGGGGTGTTAAAGTCTCCCATTATTAATGTGTGGGAGTCTAAGTCTCTTTGTAGGTCACTCAGGACTTGCTTTATGAATCTGGGTGCTCCTGTATTGGGTGCATATATATTTAGGATAATTAGCTCTTCTTGTTGAATTGATCCCTTTACCATTATGTAATGGCCTTCTTTGTCTCTTTTGATCCTTGTTGGTTTAAAGTCTGTTTTATCAGAGACTAGGATTGCAACCCTTGCCTTTTTTTGTTTTCCATTTGCTTGGTAGATCTTCCTCCATCTTTTTATTTTGAGCCTATGTGTGTCTCTGCACGTGAGATGGGTTTCCTGAATACAGCACACTGATGGGTCTTGACTCTTTATCCAATTTGCCAGTCTGTGTCTTTTAATTGGAGAATTTAGTCCATTTACATTTAAAGTTAATATTGTTATGTGTGAATTTGATCCTGTTATTATGATGTTAGCTGGTGATTTTGCTCATTAGTTGATGCAGTTTCTTCCTAGTCTCGATGGTCTTTACATTTTGGCATGATTTTGCAGCGGCTGGTACCGGTTGTTCCTTTCCATGTTTAGCGCTTCCTTCAGGAGCTCTTGTAGGGCAGGCCTGGTGATGACAAAATCTCTCAGCATTTGCTTGTCTGTAAAGTATTTTATTTCTCCTTCACTTATGAAACTTAGTTTGGCTGGATATGAAATTCTGGGTTGAAAATTCTTTTCTTTAAGAATGTTGAATATTGGCCCCCACTCTCTTCTGGCTTGTAGGGTTTCTGCTGAGAGATCCGCTGTTAGTCTGATGGGCTTCCCTTTGAGGGTAACCCGACCTTTCTCTCTGGCTGCCCTTAACATTTTTTCCTTCATTTCAACTTTGGTGAATCTGACAATTATGTGTCTTAGGGTTGCTCTTCTCGAGGAGTATCTTTGTGGCATTCTCTGTATTTCCTGAATCTGAATGTTGGCCTGCCTTGCTAGATTGGGGAAGTTCTCCTGGATAATATCCTGCAGAGTGTTTTCCAACTTGGTTCCATTCTCCCCATCACTTTCAGGTACACCAATCAGACGTAGATTTGGTCTTTTCACATAGTCCCATATTTCTTGGAGGCTTTGCTCATTTCTTTTTATTCTTTTTTCTCTAAACTTCCCTTCTCGCTTCATTTCATTCATTTCATCTTCCATTGCTGATACCCTTTCTTCCAGTTGATCGCATCAGCTCCTGAGGCTTCTGCATTCTTCACGTAGTTCTCGAGCCTTGGTTTTCAGCTCCATCAGCTCCTTTAAGCACTTCTCTGTATTGGTTATTCTAGTTATACATTCTTCTAAATTTTTTTCAAAGTTGTCAACTTCTTTGCCTTTGGTTTGAATGTCCTCCCGTAGCTCAGAGTAATTTGATCGTCTGAAGCCTTCTCTCAGCTCGTCAAAGTCATTCTCCATCCAGCTTTGTTCCGTTGCTGGTGAGGAACTGCGTTCCTTTGGAGGAGGAGAGATGCTCTGCGTTTTAGAGTTTCCAGTTTTTCTGTTCTGTTTTTTCCCCATCTTTGTGGTTTTATCTACTTTTGGTCTTTGATGATGGTGATGTACAGATGGGTTTTTGGTGTGGATGTCCTTTCTGTTTGTTAGTTTTCCTTCTAACAGACAGGACCCTCAGCTGCAGGTCTGTTGGAATACCCTGCCGTGTGAGGTGTCAGTGTGCCCCTGCTGGGGGGTGCCTCCCAGTTAGGCTGCTCGGGGGTCAGGGGTCAGGGACCCACTTGAGGAGGCAGTCTGCCGGTTCTCAGATCTCCAGCTGCGTGCTGGGAGAACCACTGCTCTCTTCAAAGCTGTCAGACAGGGACATTTAAGTCTGCAGAGGTTACTGCTGTCTTTTTGTTTGTCTGTGCCCTGCCCCCAGAGGTGGAGCCTACAGAGGCAGGCAGACCTCCTTGAGCTGTGGTGGGCTCCACCCAGTTCGAGCTTCCCGGCTGCTTTGTTTACCTAAGCAAGCCTGGGCAATGGTGGGCGCCCCTCCCCCAGCCTCGCTGCTGCCTTGCAGTTTGATCTCAGACTGCTGTGCTAGCCATCAGCGAGATTCCGTGGGCGTAGGACCCTCCGAGCCAGGTGTGGGATATAGTCTCGTGGTGCGCCATTTTTTAAGCCGGTCTGAAAAGCGCAATATTCGGGTGGGAGTGACCCGATTTTCCAGGTGCGTCCGTCACCCCTTTCTTTGACTCGGAAAGGGAACTCCCTGACCCCTTGCGCTTCCCAGGTGAGGCAATGCCTCGCCCTACTTCGGCTCGCGCACGGTGCGCGCACCAACTGGCCTGCGCCCACTGTCTGGCACTCCCTAGTGAGATGAACCCGGTACCTCAGATGGAAATGCAGAAATCACCCGTCTTCTGTGTCGCTCACGCTGGGAGCTGTAGACCGGAGCTGTTCCTATTCGGCCATCTTGGCTCCTCCCCTCAATGTCATTCTTAATTCCTCTCTCTCATACCCTGCATCGAATCCATCAGAAATCCTATTGACTCTAGCCTCATGATATATGTAGACTCCATCCACTTCTCACCTCTGTCACCACTATCACCCTGTACAAGCCACTGTCATCTCTCTTGTGCCTCCGAATTGGTCTCTGTGATTCTGCCCATAGCTCCCTTCAGTCTGTTCTCAAAAAAGCATCCAAAGTAACACTTTCAAAATGTTAAGTCACTTCATCCACTCTCCTCATCAAAACTCTCCATGGCTTCAACCTCTCTCTCAGTAAGAGTCAAAATCCTTGCAATGCCCTCCAAGGGCCACCGTGGTATGAATTCCAGTCCCTCTCTGACCTTATCTCCTATGACTTTCTGCAATGCTTACTCTGCTTCAGCTACACGAGCCTGAGGTTGTCTATCTCCACAATTAGATAATCTGTTACAGGAATAGCTGGGCTCCTTCCTCTCCAATCTCACACTTTTAATATATTGTTCTTGCCTGTCTAGACTAATTCAGCCCTCCAATACAATGATGAATAGAGGCAGTGGTAGATGACATAGCAAAAGCTTTTGGTGTGTTATTAGAAAATATGATTGGATATTTGCTATAGCTTCTTTCCCCCCTAGATACTCTTAATCAAGAAGTTACATTCTATTCATGCTTTAATAAATGTTTGTTTAAAAAATCATGAATGGCTGGGAGCAGTGGCTCATGCCTGCAATCCCAACACTTTGGGAGGCTGAGGCGGGCAGATCACCTAAGGTCAGGAGGTGGACACCAGCCTGGCCAACATGGTGAAACCTCATCTCTACTAAAAATACAAAAATTAGCTGGGTGTGGTGGTGGGCACCTGTAATCCCAGACAATGCAAATCAGGGCTGCAAATCTCACAGGGGCCTTCCAATGGCCATAACCTCTCAGACAGGTTTTTTTCTCTCTTTTTCTTTTCCTACTCACTTAACAAGACGACTTTGTTGTATTCCTTGGGGATATGTGTGAGTGTGTATGGATTTACCTCTGATTAATCTTTATCGTAAGGGTAGAGCCCTCAGGGGTTCTGGTGTATGGTGGGGCACACCATCTATATTCTCACTACCTGGGTAGACTCAGGGCCATAACTCTTCATTAGTCCACCAAATTCAAAGTCTAAGTTTGCAGGAATTTGTAAATCTCTTCAGGTCAAAAGGACTTTGGTACTGTGTGCCCTCTTTACCTCTCCAAGTATATTAGCCTGTTTGCATGCTGCTAATAAAGACATACCTGAGACTGGGTAATTTATAAAGGAAAGAGATTTAATTGACTCACAGTTCCACATGGCTGGGGGAGGCCTTACAATCATGGCTGAAAGCAAATGAGGAGCAAAGTCACATCTTACATGGTAGCAGGCAAGAGAGCTTATGCAGGGGAACTCCTTTTATAAAACCATCAGATCTTGTGAGACTTATTCACTATCACCAGAACAGCACGGGAAAGGCCTGCCCCCATGATTAAATTACCTCCTACCAGGTACCTCCCACAACACATGGGGATTATGGGAGCTACAATTCAAGGTGAGATTTAGTTGGGGACACAGCCAAACCATATCACCAAGGTTTTGTTTTCCCTTAGAGTTTGGCCTGGTTGTTTCTATTAGCTTTTCAGGTTATCAATTTAAAAAATAATTTATCTAAGTATTTTGTTAAATTATTCTCAGCAGCAAACTGAAGCCACAATTGGAAATGGAAGTCCCTTGGATACTGTGTTCTACGGATGATGTTCATCATATCATTACTCATCCAGTTGCCCTATGTGTAACTCTTGACTATACACACTTCCTCCTATTTCACAGCCAATCCTTCACAAACTCCCACTGGTTTCATTCATAATTTGCCACTGTTTTCTTCATACTTGTGGCCACTTTTCTAATCCAGACCCTCATCATCACATTTCAGCTTTTAAAATAGCCTCTTATCAACATATCACTTGGCCAAAAATCTTACATTTTCCAGTATATTCCCCATATGATCTTTCTAAAATACAAATATGATTATGTTAATAATCTTTTAATGGCATGATGAAATTCTTTAGCTTGACTCAAATGGAAAACTGGGTTCAGTTTACCTGCTTGGTCTTATCATCAATAAGTCATCCCTAGGAAATTTAGCTATAGTATACTACATGTGCCCTATATTTCAACACAACATCTTAATTCCTCTACATGGAATGTTCCCTTATAGTCTTATCTTGATCTTCATGTATTAAAGATTTAACACTGTCAATTTCAAATGTATTCTACTTTGGCACTTCAGTTGATTCCTTCTCATGTTCCTTATAGTTCATTTTTGTATATTTACATATCTTGTATTCTTTTAGAGCATTGACTCAATATGATATATTTGTACTATTTATATTTTATCACAGAAAGAACTTTGTTTATTGAATACTTTCAGCCTAAAATTCCTGCTCTGTGTGAATATGAACATTACTGCCTCTGCTTTCTCTCCCAGTGTGTTTCACATACTTGTTCAAATCTTTATTTATATTTTTTTCTCTCCACTTTAGCTTTAAGTTTTTCACTCCTGGCAATATATTTCAAGATTTTAAAATCCAAAATAAGACTCTGTCTTTAATGGAGAAATGTAGATTACCTCGGATATCTGCTCATTCCCTCATCTGCTTCAAGGCCGCTCACCCAGACCACAATACATGCTACACCACACAACGCAACACACACTTCACCTGGCACTTCCCATTCACCTATCTTGCTTTTTTTTTTTTTCCTGTGTAGCATTTATCTTACATACAGCCTATTTTGGTTTATTTGTTAATTATCAGTGTCTTCTGACAAGTGTGTAAGTTCCACAGGAAAAGAGACTGCTGTACCCTTAGTGATTGGAACAGTACCTGGCATATACGAGGTACTCAATAAATGCTGCTGAATAAATGAACATTTATGGTGATAACTGTAGACCAGCTCTACTTTTGGTTATTCTATTTTATGCTTTGTACATTTTCTGCTATGTCTTTTCTCTCTTTCATGTCTATTTTTATGGGTTATTCTGTTTCCTTTGCTTTAATACATATACACAAACTTAAATGTATACATATATGTGTGTGTGTGTGTGTGTGTGTGTGTGTGTAGAGATTGTTGCCCCGGCTGGTCTTGAACTCCTGCGCTCAAGTGATGCTCCCGCCTTGGCCTCCCAAAGTTCTGGAATTACAAGCATGAGCCACCACATCTAGCCTTCTTTTGCTTTTTAAGACTTGTATTGTACACACTTTTTTTTTTTTTTGAGACAGAGTTTTGCCTGTCACCCAGGCTGGAGTGCAGTGGCACGAACTTGGCTCACTGTAACCTCCACCTCCTGGGTTCAAGCGATTCTCCTGCCTCAGCCTCCCAAGTAGCTGGGATTACAGACGCCCGCCAGCATGCACATTTAAAAAAATTCCATGAATGATCACAATAAAGGATTCCAAAAAAATTCCTAACTCCATGTAAAGTTATACTCAGATAAAGAGATAGTATTTTGGATTGCCTTTTAGGGATGGCAAAACCTTGGCTTTTTAGTTTTAACTTTTTGTTATTCCTCTTGTCTTTTAAATTCTTGATTATTTTATCATGTGGTTCTGAGAGACTCTCACTGTGTTTTTATTTTTTGTGTCAATAATATTTATAATTATTTCCTCTGAATCACATGTAGTCAGGCTTTTTCTTATGCTCCCGTGAGCTTTTCAGTAGCAAAACTTTGCTGTTGTAATTGCTAAGGTTCAATATGCCATATTTTGTGGATAAATATGGCAAGAAATGCATGTTTCACATGTTAACAGCTTGGGAATTGAGACACGTCTTATAATTGATGTGTCTTACAATCATTGTCAGCCAGAGGGCACTGAAACCATAGTGGTCAATTGCCTACCCATGCATGTACTTTGTCTCAGTTATTTATAACTTTATAAATATTTATAAATCAGTTATTTATAACTTTTATAAAGTGTCATCACTTTAACTGAGCTTCCTAGATCATTGGTGCAATACATGTTGAGTTTTATTGCTGCTTAAAATGCTTTCAAACAAAGTTATTGTGTGTGCAGAGAAGAAAATAAAGCAATAGGACATATGTTTATCAGTAAAACCAGTGTCACGGAAGGAATCACCATAATTTGTTGTAGAAGAATTCTATGTTTTTCTTTTAGAAAATGAATACGAATATGAATAATGAGTTGAGTTGGTTCCAAATTCTTAGGTGAAACTAATTTTTTTGGAGGTTCTATATTAGAATATGCAACAGGCATTGTTGCAGCAGAAGAATCCAAGGCTGGCTTGATTTTTGTTTCTTTAAAATTGACTTACATTTCCCATTTCGAAGAGTGTTTCTGCTTTTAGTGTTGGTTTGTTTTGCTTTTAGTTAAAAAAATTAATGTCATTATTGATTTTGGTTTCCTCTGTTCTTTCTGTTTTTTGTATTTATCCATCCATCCATCCATCCACCCACCCATTTCTATCAGAGGGCTATACTATGCCAGAAACTGTAGATAAAAGAGAGAAACATACAGCCACAATTTTTGTTCATCACTAGAAATCCCTACAATTTTGCAGTTCCTGAATCTTTAGCATCTATATTTATTATTTTAGATTTTCTCCACTTATTTGTTCATTTTACATCTGGGTATGTTTCTATAGTTTATATTTATAATTTTTAATATTCTATAATTTTTATTGACAATTTAGTTTTCTTAGGTGTTATTTTTACTGTTTCCAACATTATCTTGCTAGGTCTATTTTGGTTTTTATTTCACAATATGTGCTGTTTATTCTCTATTTGGCCATTCCTCCAGATCCACTCTCAGACTTTCTCTTTCCTGTTTGGTGCAATGGAAGACTGATTTCTATGAATTGCAATCTTTGTGCTGTTTCCAGTTGACTCCTGATTGGGCTTGGCAAATGAAATGCAGCAGCAGGAGTTAAGAAAGGAGAAGGAGACAGAAGTTAAGGTAGTTTTCATCCTCTTTCTTCTTGCTTTGGTGGTGTGGTTTTGTGGTGGCTGTGAGCTTCCTAGATTACACCTCTTAAAGGGTGGTCCCTACTCCATTCCAGCTTTGACTGGGCTTTAGTAATGCCATCTATCTATCTTATCCCCCCTCTAAGCAAAGAGACTGTAACATCTTTCTTCCATTGCTAGTCTCTGGATATTTTACTATCACTGTTGCTCCCTTTAACTATGTCTGCCCTCTGCAAATAGTCCCCTTGTAAAGCTTCTTCAGGTAAAACACCTGAGAGGAATTACGTTTCCTGCATGGTCCAAAACTGATATAGTGTTTTTACCTACAGTGTCCCTAAGGCATAGAATATAGTGGTGGGATTCTGGGACTGAGTTGCTTACACACTTAATGAGTGAACAGATGACCACTTATGCCTGGCAAACCATAGCAAGCAAGGGCTTCACAATTACTCAAATTATCTCTGTGGCGAGTGTGGGATGCAGTGTCTGTGGAGGGCAAGACTTGAGGTGGTCCATTGGAGTAGCTGCAGTTGATTACAGTGACAACCATAATTTTTACAAAGATTGTGGGGTGGCATGACTTCTATGGATATATTGGAGAGCTTACAAAAGCAGAAAGAAAAGCTTGGGATGAATATTCAATTCAAGGCCAGAGTAGAGGCTCTGGTAGTCATACAGGGAAAAAAATGAACCTCACTTCATGACATATACAAAATTAGAGATTTTACTTTGATCTGTATATAAAATCTAAAACAACCAATTTCCAGAAAACAGGAGAATATCTTCATAGCTTTGGGATAGGCAAAGAATTCTTAAATAGAATACAAGAAGTAAAAAGTGCTAACCATAAAAGGAAAGATTGGTCAATTGAGCTTTCAAAAATTAATAATTTTTGTTCAAAAGATACCATGAAGAAGATAAATAAGACAAGCCACTAATTACAAGAAGATATTTCCAAGACATATTTCTAACAAAAAATCATATCCGTAATACATTAAAATCTTATAGAAATCAGTAAGAAAAGTAACTCAAATCAAAACTTCATTCAAAAAAGACTTGAAAAGAATTTACAAAAAAGGATATAAAAATGAACACATGAAAATATACTTAACATTATTACTCATGCAAACTAAATCTTCAGTGAAATACCATTAGGCTGGGCACAGTGGCTCATGCCTGTAATCCCAACATTTTGGGAGGCCTACATGGGCAGATCATTTGAGGTCAGGAGTTTGAGACCAGCCTGGCCAACAAGGTGAAACCCTGTCTCTACTAACAATACAAAAAAAAAAAAAAAAATTAGCTGGGCATGGTGGCGGGTATCTGTAATCCCAGCTACTCGGGAGGCTGAGGCAGGAGAATCGCTTGAACCCGGGAGGCGGAGGTTGCAGTGAGCTGAGATCATACCACTGCACCCCAGTCTGAGCAACAGAGCAAGACTCTGTCTCAAAAAAAAAAAAAAAAAAAAAAAAAAAAAAAAAAAGAAATGCAGCAAGAGGCAAGAGGGAGCTTTCTGGAATACTGGAAACGTTCAACATTGTGCTCCTAACAATATTCACAATTACTTTCATTTATTTCACAATCATATAAAGTCTGATCACCAGAATCTTAGGTTGACACAGCTGCTGTCTCAACACATGATTCAGACATACAAACCACATGGATTAATCTTGATACTGACATAAGTTAAACAAAAGCTTTATTGACAGAATAGAGAATAAATAAACTGAGTGGTGAAGATCTGGAGAAATAGCATCAGGATTTTGTGGTCTGTCCTTATTCTCAAACAAGGAAGGACCAATAGAGGAGATTGTATAACTGTAAAACTGCTTTTGCTGGTGAACATCAAGGACAAAATATTGAGGCCTGCAAAACCATGCTTTTTGAAGTTATATCAGAAACTTCGTCATTTAAAATCGTATCAGAGACTGAAGATCAGAAGAAACTGGAGATCAGAAGAAATTTTAAACTATACAATAAAAAATGCTGTGTGTTAAAAACAACAAACAAAAAAACACAGCCTCTGTCTTGTCTTGGTGACAGTGTTTTTCTAATTTCTGTTAGACCTAATAAGATATCTCCAAGTCTACCTCAATCTCAAAAGTTACCCAATAATCTATAATAGTTCATTGTTGAGGCAATATTGAGAGAAGGAAGGTAAATCAACAAAATCCTGAAGGCTCTCGGTTATACCCTTCTAACAAGTAAGAAGGTGTATTGGTCCCTTTTCATGCTGCTGATCAAGACATGCCCGAGACTGGGCAATTTACAAAAGAAAGACATTTAATTAGACTTACAGTTCCACATGGCTGGGGAAGATCTCACAATCATGGCAGAGGGTGGAAGGCACTTCTTACATGGTTGCAGCAAGAGAGAAATGAGGAGGAAGCAAAAGCGGAAACCCCTTATAAACCCATAAGATCTTGTGAGACTTATTCACTATCATGAGAATAGCACAGGAAAAACCAGCCCCCATGATTTGATTACCTCCCCCTGGGTCCCTCCCACATGTGGGAATTCTGGGAGATACAACTCAAGTTGAGATTTGGGTTGGGACACAGCCAAACCATATAAGAAGGTGACAGTGGATGAGAAGATATCAAAAGGAAAAGTAAAGGGAAAAATCAAGCCCTCATAAGTGAAGCCAGGTTTACCACTTTCCAAGGCACTTTACTGAGTTGAGAAAATGGGTCCAAGTCCTATCTAAATGAGGTGAAGCAGATGGGTCTCAAGAATAATTCACCTACACTATGTTAGAGCAAATAGAAGATCTGACCAGTGCTGCACCTTTAATGATGAACTTGATGGAAACAGGAAGAGTGGGAAGAACAGAAGAAGAAGGAAGGAAAAGGGATAAAGAAGGAGGTGGGTGAGTAGAGGAGGGGAGTAGGGAAGATTAGAAAAAGAGGGATTATAGAGAGGAGGCAGAGCAAGATGGCTGAATAGAGCCTCCAGTGATTATCCACCCCTGCAGGAACATCAAATTGAACAATGATCCACACAAGAAAGCACCTTTATAAGAACCAGAAATCAGCTTGGGTACCAGCTTGGCCACAGTGGACAATTCACGAAGTGGGCTCCTGGGGTCTCTGATTCCAGGACTTGGCTCTTGTGTGGCATTTCTAAACCTGCCCTGGGCCAGAGTGGGGCCACTGCCCTGAAAGGAGAAATCCAGGACTGGCAGCATTCACCAGAAGCTGACTGAAGAGCCCTTGGACCTTGAGTGAATAGTGGCGGTAGCCAGGGGGTAATTGCCATGGGCTTGGGGTGGTGGTGGCCATGGAGAGAGACTGCTCTGCTTCAGGATAAAGGAGGGAAGAGTAAGAAAGACTTTGTCTTGCAGCTTGGGTGCCAGCTTAGCCGCAATAGAATAGAATACCACATAGACTCTAAGGGTCTCAACTTCCTTGGCTTCCAGATGGCATCTCTGGACCTAGCTGGGGCTGGGGGCAACTCACTGCCCTGAAGGGAAGATCATAACCCTGGCTGGACTCATCACCTGCTGATTATAGAGCTCTTGGGCCTAGAGTGAACATAGGTAGTAGCCAGGCAGTGGAAACTGTGGGCCTTGGGCAAGACCTGGTGCTGTGCTGGCTCTGGGTTTGACCCAGTGCAGTCCTAGTGGTGGTGGCTACAAGGGTGCTTGCATCACCCCTCCCCTAGCTCCAGGCAGCTTAGCACAGAGAAAGAGACACTATTTGTTTGGTGGAAAGTAAGGTAAGAGAACAAAAGTCTCTTCCTGGTAATACAGTCTCTTCCTGTAATACCTGGTAATACAGTCTCTTCCTGTAATACCTGGTAATACAGGTAATACAAGTTCTCCTGGATCTTACATAAGACCACCAAGGCAGTACTTCTACAAGTTGGCAATAGCCAAAGCATTACTGGGCTTGAGGTACCTCCTAATGCAGATTCAGCTGCAGTGAGCAAAGACTTAGATCACAACACTCAAGTCCCTTTGAATACTTGGAAAGCTTTCCCAAGAAAGACAGGTACGAACAAGCCCAGACTGTGAAAACTAAAATAAATACCAAACTCTTTAATCCCCAGACACCAATCAATGTCCAGAAGCATCAAGACCATCCAGGAGAACATGACCTCACCAAAGGAACAAAATAAGGCACCAGAGACCGATCTTGGAGAGACAGAGATATGTGACCTTTCAGACAGAGAATTCAGAATAGCTGTTGTGAGAAAACTCAAGGAAATTCAAGATAATATAGAGAAGGAATCCAGAATCCTGTCAGATAAATTTAGCAAAGAGATTGAAACAATTAAAAAGAATCAAGCAGAATTCTGGAGCTGAAAAATGCAATTGACATACTGAAGAATTATCAGAGTCTCTTAATAGCAGAATTGATAAAGCAGAATAAAGAATTAGTGAGCTTGAAGACAACCCACTTAAAAATACACAATTAGAGTAGATGAAAGAAAAAAGAATAAAAAGGAATGAAGCATGCTTGTAAAATCTAGAAATTAGCCTCAAAAGGGCAAATCTAAGAGTTATTGGCCTTAAAGAGGAAGTAGAGAAAGAGATAGGGATTGAACATTTATTCAAAGGAGTAATAACAGAGAACTTCCCAAACTTAGAGAAAGATATCAATATCCAAGCACAAGAAGGTAACAGAACACCAAACAGATTTCAGCCAAAGAAGATGACCTCAAGGCATTTAATAATGAAACTCCCAAAGGTCAAGGATAAAGAAAGGATCCTAAAAGCAGCAAGAGAAAAGAATCAATAACATACAAAGGAGCCCCAATATATCTGGCACAGGCTTTTCAGTGTAAACCTTACAGGCCAGGAAAAAGTGGCATGACGTATATTTTTTAAAACTTTTATCCCAGAATGGTATATCTGGCAAAAATATCCTTTAAACATGAAAAAGAAATATTTTCTGAGATAAAAAAAGAAACCTGAGGGATTTCATCAACACCAGACCTGCCATATAAGAAATGCTAAAGGGAATACTTCAAGCATAAATAAAAAGATATTAATGAGCAATAAGAAATCATCTGAAGGTACAAAACTCACTGGTCATAGTAAGTACACAGAAACACACAGAATATTATAACATGTTAATTATGGTATGTAAACTACTCATATGTTGAGTAGAAAAACTAAAAGATAAACTGATCAAATATAATAACTACAACAACTTTTCAAGACATGTCAGTTTAAAATAATGGGTTATAAGATATTATGGTAACCTAGAATTTAAAAACATACAACAGATATGCAAAAAATAAAAGCAAGAAATTAATAGAAGAATTGATCAAGCGGAATAAAGAATCAGTGAGCTTGAAGACAGAAATTAAAACATGCTACCAGAGAAAATTGCCTTCACTAAAAGGAAGATAGGAAGGAAAAAGAGAAGGAAGAGAAGACCACAAAACAATCAGAAAAAAATGAAATGTCAGGAGTAAGTTCTGACTTATCAATAACAATATTTAATGTAAATGGACTAAACTCTCCAATCAAAAGACATAGAGTGCCTGAATGGATTTTTTTTAAAAAGTCCCAGTGATCTGTTGCCTGCAAGAAACACACTTCACCTAAAAAGACACACATAGACTGAAAATAAAGAGATGGAAAAATATATTCCAGGCAAGTGGAAACCAAAAGAGAGCAGAAGTCACTATACTTATATCAGACAAAATAGATTTCAAGACAAAAACTATAGAAAGAGACAAAGAGGGTCATTATATAATGATAAAGGGGTCAATTCAGCAAGAGGATATAAAAATTATAACTATATATACACTCAATGCTGGAGCCCTCAGATAGAGAAAGCAAATATTATCAGAGCTAAGGAAAGAGATAGATCCCAATACAATAACTGTTGGAGAATTCAACAACCCATGTTCACCTTTGGACATGATTTTCTGTCTGGACAGGTCATCCAGACAGAAAATCAAAAAAGAAACATTGGACTTAATCTGCACTGTAGACCAAATGGACCTAATAGATATTTGCAGAACATGTCAACCAATGGCTGCAGAATGCACGCTCTTCTCCTCAGCACATAGATCATTCTGAAATAAATAGAACATATGTTAGGCCATCCATATCCATATGCAGAAGATATCCATGTGCAGAAGAATGAAACTAGACCTCTTTCTCCACACACAAAAATCAAAACAAAATGGATTAAAGGCTTAAATCTAAAAACTATAAAAAAAAACTATAAAACGACTAAAAGAAAACTTTGAGGAAACTATCCACGACATTAATCTAGGCAAAGATTTCTTAAGTAATATCCCACAAACACAGGGAACCAAAGCAAAAACGGACAAATGGAATCACATCAAGTTAGAGAGCTTCTGCACAACAAAAGAAACAATTAACAAAGTGAACAGACAATCCACAGAACAGAAGAAAATATTTGCAAACTACCCATCTGACAAGGAATTAATAACTAGAATATATAAAAAGTTCAAACAACTCAATAGGAAAAAACTAACAATCTGATTTTAAAATGGGCAAAAATCTGAATAGACATTTCTCAAAAGATGACATACAAACGGCAGACAGGCGTATGAAAAGGTGCTCAACATCACTGACCATCGGTGAAATACAAATCAAAACTACAATGAGATTATCATCTCATCCCAGTTAAAATAGCTTTTATCGAAAAGACAGGCAATAATGAATGCTGGTGAGGATGTGGAGAAAAGGGAACCCTTGTACACTGTTGGTGGGAATATAAATTAGTACAATGGAGAGTACATTAGTACTATGAAGAATAGTTTGGAGGTTCCTCAGAAAACTAACAATAGAGCTACCATATGATCCAGCAATCCCACTGCTAGGATATACCCCCCAAAAAAGAGATCAGTACATTGAAGAGATATCTACACTCCCATGTTTATTGTAGTACTATTCACAACAGTGAAGCTTTGGAAGCAGCCTAAGTGTCCATCAACAGATGAATGAATAAAGAAAATATGGTACATATACACAATGGAGTACTATTCAGCCATAAAAAGAATGAGATCCTGTCATTTGCAACAACATGATTGGAACTGGAGGACATGATGTTAAGTGAAATATGCCAGGGACAGAAGGACAGAGTTTGCATGTTCTCACTTATTTGAGGGAACTAAATATTTTAAAAATGGAACTCACAGACATAGAGAGTAGAATAATGGTTACCAGAGGCTGGGAAGGGTAGTGGGGCATTATGTAGGGGGAGAATGGCGATGGTTAATGGGTACAAAAATATCATTACATAGAATGAATAAGATCTAGTATTTGACAGCACAACAGAGTGACTACAGTCAATAATAATTTATTATATATTTTAAAATAACTGGAAGAATATAATTTGAATGTTTGTAACATAAAGGATAAATTCTTGATGTGATGGATACCCCATTTACCCCGATATGATTATTACACAGTGTATGCCTGTATCAAAATATCTCATGTATCCCATAAATTTATACACCTACTATGTACCCACAAAAATTAAGAATAAAATATTTTTAAAAAAAGGAAGGGAAGAGAAGGAAGAAACTAACAGCTTGTAAAAGATAAAAAGAATCAAGTTGAGACAAAGCACATCCCAAGATAGGAGGTAAATTTACTTCCATATTCTGCCTCAAAAAATCTTAATAAATTAAATTCAACAAAACAAGATCTCAAAGACTCAATAATAGAAAGACAAAATAAAATGAAAGTGCAGGTCGCAAACATACAGAAATAAATTGAGAATCATGTCCCTTTATCACTCTAGGGTCCTAGGCTGGTTAGCAAAATTCAACTGAGTTGGAAAGGAGTGGGCAACTATCATTAAGGTCAATCAATATTAACTGTTTTGAGATTTGCTAAAGGGTTCAAAATTACAGCCAGATAGGAAGAATAAATTTTAGTGTTCTATACCACTGGAGGATGGCATAGTTAACACTAATATGTTATATAGTTTAAAATAGCTAGGAGGAGGATATTGAACATTCCCAACATAAAGAAATGATAAATGTTTGAGATGACAGATATGCTAATTACCCTGATCTGATCACTCTACATTATATGTGTCAAAATAGTACTTTGTACCCCATGAATATGTAAAATCAATATTTGTTAGTTAAGAAATAAAATTATACTTAAAAATTAACTACTTCTTTTGCTATGCAAACACTGATAGGAGCTATATAAACTTGATCAATGAAAGCACAAGATTACCAAATGAAAGAGATGAGAGCAGTGTATCATTCACACAACTCCACCATTACTGGTTGTGTGTCAGTTGTATCAGTGTAATCAGCAAAAGTAAGCTAACATTACCTACTTCAGCAAAGTTGTTCTGAATATCAGATGAGATGATATTTGTAACATGCTGAGCACAATTGTAGCTTGACAAGTGGTAGCTGTTATTATTTGGCTTTTGGGACAGTAAAATATCTCTGAAATGGTAAATGAGAACATAGCATGGTGACCTAGTGTTGCCTTTCTTTAGGACTATCCATAGGATCCTACTTCTGTAGATCCTACAAATCCATCACCCCTAATAGTTTTGAGGTCTTAGGATTAGTTGATTAATACGGCAGGTTTTTCATATATCTTCTAATCCTGGGCCACATGTAATGCTTACACCAGTGAAAGCAAATTTCTTACCTGCCTTTGTCGAGTAAACCTTTCCACGTTGAGAAACAAAAGTAATAGCTGATGTATAAAAACTATGAAAAGTCTTCTTTATGATATCATCATGAAAGTTAGCTATTAATTGAAAGGTGTTGCCGCCATCAACTGAAAGCCATATCTAAAGGAATAAAGAGATAATACCTTACTAAAGGGCTGCCATGCAACAGTTGGCAGTTACCTATCAGCCTACATGAGAATAGCCATGTGGCATGATCTTTTCCATATGCCTACATTCATCTCTCTCTCTCTCTCTCACACACACACACACACACACACACACACTCGTATACAGACTCCTTATCTACTTTGTCTACCTTCTATTTCCATCCTAGAGTGTGTATGAAGGTGTCTGTGGCAGAGTACCGGTCTACACAATATGCATAGTGATTGTATAAAATAACAAAGTTATTCCTATGATCTCCCAAATAATTCCGTGTTCATAAAAGAATGGAGTGCTGGGTGCATTTGGATCTGGGGGAGGGGTTTACCCCATATTGACATAATACTTCATGTTCTAGGTGTCTGGCAAATATATATGCACACATATTTTGCATGGAAGAGCCCCTTGTCATTTGCAAGGGATGTGTCCTGGGACCTTTGTAGATCCTCAAATCACTTATCTCACTGTATAGTTATATTAGTTTATTACTATAGCATCTTAGTTTCTCTGTTTCCTCATCTTTAGGTAAGAGTTGTTTGAGGATAAAACAGATCAATTCTGTATTATGATTCCCAGTTGCTACCGCTTTTAATAGCCTGAGACTCATTCACATGAAGATTTCTGTTGTTTGGATTTTTAAAAAATTAATTTTAATAACAAGTTATACAAGAAAATAGGCTTTTCTTACATTTCCAACTTTATAAATATGGCTGAAGAATCTGAGACCACCATCCAAACAATTCTCCTTTTATGCCTCATCTAATATAATCAATCCTAGTCTCCTCTATCCCTTCCCATAGGTGACCAGTTAATCGGTTTGAAAATTCGAAGCATTTACATTCATATGTATGCAGATACCAATAGAATATGTACAGTACTGATTTCATTTTTATGGTAGGGAGGACAGAAAGGCTTTTAGACTTGGACAGGAAGTAACTTTGCCCTGGACTGCTTGCTTACTGGGCCTGAATATTACAAACACATACAGGAAACATACTGAATACACATAGGTGCTTCTGTTACTCAGGATGCAGCACTCATTGCTGGCATAACACAATCCATGATCCAAAGCATATGGTATGTGGACCTCAATTTTCACTCTTGCTTTGGGCCCTGCAAACATTACTGGTGAGCAGGGAGGTAGTTAGGTGTCTAAGGAAGGGCACCTTGAACAATAGGCTCGAACTTGTATCATATTGTACCTGTTTTTCTATAAGTTACATTTGTCACGCAACAATGTATCTCAGATCATTTTATGTTAGCTCATGTGGATCAGCACATTCTTCTACACTGTCCTATAGTCTCCAACTTATGGATATACCATACTTGAGATAGTCTACTTTTCTACTATACTACTGAACATTTAAAAGTTGTACCCAAATTTTCACTGTTGTGAATAATACTGCAGTGAACATTCATTTATCTGCCTATTTGTACTAACGTTACAGTGTTATCTTTAAAGAAAATACTGAAAAATTAAGCTGCTGAGTCAGATGCTATCATATATATATATATATATATATATTTAAGACAGGGTCTCACTCTGTCACCCAGGCTGCAGTGCAGTGGCACAATCTTGGCTCACTGCCACCTCTGCCTTCTCAGCTCAAGCCATCTTTTCACCTCAGCCTCCCAAGTAGCTGGGACTACAGGCATAAGCCACCATGCCCGGCTAATTTTTGTAGAGATGGGTTTTTGCCATGTTGCCCAGGCTGGTCTGAAACTCCCGGGCTCAAGCGATTCTCCTGCCTTGGCCTCCCGAAGTGCTGGTATCACAGGCATGAGCCACTGCATCTAGCCACATTTCTACAACTTTAATAGAGACTACCCAAGTGCTCTTCAGTTTTGCTGAACCAGATTACAGTCCCACCAGTAGTGTATGAGAGTATCTGTTTCCCCAAACCTCACCAATACTTGATATGACCAAAAATTTATTTTTAATTTTTACTCATGATCAGAATGAAAAATGACATCTCATTGTGTTTTTCCCTAAATATTTTAAATTATTTATCTATACATGGCTCATTTGTATTTTTCCTTATATTATTTAATAATATAATGAACTGTGTGAACTGAAAACCTATGAATCGGCATATTGCTAGTAATTTACATCTTCCTGTTTCTCCCCATTCCTATCCCTCTGCCTTTCCTGTTACATATCCAATATCCTGAATTTTGTGTTTTTTCATTCCCTTGGTATTTAAAATAATTTAAGCACATATGTTTAAATAACATAATGCTTAATTTTACTTATTTTTGCTCCTTGTAAAAAGGGCTATCCATACCATATATTGTCTTCTATAACTTACTTTCCCTCAACATTATTTACTTAAATTCATACATGTTGCATACAGCTCAGTTCATTTGCTTTTTCATTTCCATATAATAGTTCATTAGGTGAATAAGATGTAATTTACTTATTCATTTTCCTATTCATAGACATCTGGATTACTTTTAGTAATTTGATGTTATTACTAGCAGTACCCATGACAAACATTTTAAAATGTCTCCGGATATATGTGTTTCCCTTGCTGAAAAGTGAAATTGGTGGGACATAGGATATGCAAATATTCACATTTACAAGATAATAATAACAATGGCAGATTGCTTTCCAGAATAGTTGTAATAATTTACTCTCCCAGCAGCAATATATAAGAAATCGTGTTGACCTACACTTTCAACATTTTGTATCGACAGAATTTATTTTGCCAGTTAAGTAGCTGAAAATGATATCGTCGTTCATTCCTGATTTGTATTTCCCTGATTGCTTGTGAACTCCATCATCTCTTCACGTATTCATTCCACTTGTTTCCTTTTCTGTGATATGCTTATTTGTGTGTTTTCTCCTTTTTGCTATTAGGTTGTCTTTTTCATATTGCTTTGCAGAAATTCTTTATATATTCTTACTTCTATAATTCTTTCTTAGTTAAATGTATTGTAAATATCATCTCCCAGTTTGCAGATTGTTGTTGTTTTTCACTTCTTAGTATATCCTTCATGAAAAAGTCTCTTCCTCTTTCTCTCCTTCTTCTTTCTTTCTCCTTCCTCCTCCCTCCTCCACCTCCTTCTCCTCTTCTGCTTCCCCCTCCTCCTTTTTTTAAAAAGAGGATGCAGAAAACTTTCTTTAGGTAAAAAGTGAAGTTAAGAGACTCTGTGATCTGATTCGGGGACCTAACCAAATAAGAAAACTGACTGCTAAATGGCTGACTTACAGGTGAGATTTTGGCCCATATCACCAGTGTAACTTAAGATCAGTCTTCATTTCTTTTATTATTTTTCATTTTGAATGTTTAACTTGACCCAAATTATAAGTCATTGCCAAATTACTTTGGAAATATCCTTTGTCTTGATTGTGTTATTGCATATGGGTGGTGCTCAAACGGAGGCTGAGGCAGGCGGATCACGAGGTCAGGAGATCGAGACCATCCTGGCTAACGCGGTGAAACCCTGTCTCTACTAAAAATACAAAAAATTAGCTGGGTGTAGTGGAGGGCGCCTGTAGTCCCAGCTACTTGGGAGGCTGAGGCAGAAGAATGGCGTGAACCCGGGAGGCGGAGCTTGCAGTGAGCCGAGATCGCACCACTGCACTCCAGCCTGGGCGACAAAGTGAGACTCCGTCTCAAAAAAAAAAAAAAAAAAAAAAATTAATTCAGATGTTTTCAATTTTGTGAAGAGATGGCGGATATTTTCTAGGTCATAATACAAGAGTGTTTTGTGATCTAACTATTGGTTATTTTATAATTTTTTCTTTTTTATTGAGGTAAAAAACACATATCATAAACTTTATCATGTTATCCATTATTAAGCATACAGTTCAGTAGTGTTACGTATATTTACATTGTAGTGGAAGAGTTCCCCCGCACATGCATAGTCTCCCCCATTACTAGCATTCCCCAACAACTGATGAACCTACACTGATACATCATTATCACTCAGAGTCCATAGTTTACATTAGGGACCATTCTTAGTCTTATACATCCTATGGACTTAGACAAACGTGTAATGGCATGTATCCACCATTATAGTATCAGACAGAAGAGTTTCACTGCCCTAAAAGTCCTCTGTTCTCGGCCTATTCAACCTCTCTGCCCTCTAATCCCTGGCAACCACGGATCTTCTTGCTGTCTCCATAGTTTTGCCTTTTCCAGAATGTCATATATTGGAATCATAAAGTTTGTAGCCTTTTCAGATTAGTTTCTTTCCCTTAGTAATATGCATTTAAGCTTCTTCCATGTCTTTTTTTTTTTTTTTTTTTTTTTTGAGACAGAGTCTCACTCAATCACCCAGGCTGGAGTGCAGTGGTGCAATCTCGGCTCACTGCAACCTCTGCCTCCCCAGTTCAAGCGATTCTCCTGTCTCAGCCTCCTGAGTAGCTGGGATTACAAGCGCCTGCCACCACACCCAGCTAATTTTTGTATTTTTAGTAGAGACAGGGTTTCACCATGTTAGCCAGGCTGGTCTCGAACTCCTGACCTCAGGTGATCCACCCGCCTCGGCCTCCCAAAGTGCTGGGATTACAGTCTTCCATGTCTTTTACATGGCTTGATAACTCATTTCTGCTTAGCACTGAATAATAATCCATCATCTGGATATACCAAGTTTATTTGTCCATTCTCCTAGTGAAGGACATCTTGGTTGCTGTACAACCCTCACATCCAACTGGACCATTTTGTAAGCTCTATTAGATTTACATCTGTTTTAGCTATTGTTAATCTGTTTCCACAAGAGTTGTTCCAATTCCTTGGTCTTTCTAAATTTTTGTTCAACTGTTCGTTCTGTTTCTTAGCTTCATTTCAGAGGACACCATATAAACCCTTTATCTTTAATTCTGACTATTTATTGTCCACAATCAAAACACACATAAATTGATTTTTGTGTGTGTGTGAGATCAGGTCTTACTCTGTCACCCAGGTTGGAGTGCAATGGCACAATCTTGGCTAACTGCAACCTCTACCTCCCAGGCTCAAGGAAACCTTCCACCTCAGCTTCCTGAGTAGCTGGGACCACAGGAACGTGCCACCACACCTGGATAATTTTTTTTTATTTTTTGGTGGAGACAGGGTTTTGGCATGTTGCCCAAGCTCGTCGCGAACTCCTGAGCTCAGGCAATCCACTCACCTTGACATCCCAAAGTGCTGGGATTACAGGTGTGAGCCACTGCACCCAGCCTGAATTTTTGAGATGTATAAAATACTGGCAAAATTTTTGATCTACACACTTTTAAACCATTAAGTTCAAGTATAATAACTCCTTACATCACTGTTAGTTTCCAATCCATGCGCCCTAGGAATTCTAGAACAAAAGACAATGAAGCAACCACTTTTTCAAAAAATGACAGAAAATGAGTAAATAAAGTCATAGGATTCTACTCAGTTGGAGAAATACAGAGAAAAAAACACAAGATGGAGACTGGGGGAAATGCAGGCCCAAGAACTCTATTTAGATGATCGCCTGTTATATATGTGGAGAAACCTGGACACCACCAAATGCAAATTGTGTTCCTCTTATAAGGGGAACAAACATTCAAGGGTCAAAGAAGAAATTAGAGATTTTAAACTGATATTGGCTGGGTGTGGTGGCTTATGCCTATAATCCCAGCACTTTGGGAGGCGAAAACGGCCAGATCACTTGAGGTCAGGAGATAGAGACCAGCCTGGCTAACATGGTGAAACCCCCTCTTTACTAAAAATACAAAAATTAGCTGGGTGTGGTGGCAGGTGCCTGTAATCCCAGCTACTTGGGAGGCTGAGGCAGGAGAATCACTTGAACCCGGGAGGTGGTGGTCGCAGTGAGCCTGGGCGACAGAACAAGACTCCGTCTCAAAAACAAACTAACAAAAAAACCCACAAAAACCCCCAAACGGATATGGTTAGGCTTTGTGTCCCTACCCAGATCTCATCTTGAATTATAATCCCCATAATCCCCAGGTGTTGAGGAAGGAACCAGGTGGAAGTGATTGGATCATGGGGGCGATTTCCCCATGCTGTTCTCGTGATAGTGAGTTCTCATGAGATCTAATGGTTTTATAAGAGGCTGTTGCCCCTTCACTCTGCCACTCTTCTCTCAGCAGTCTACTCTAGATCTCTTGAACTTTCTAGCTAATCAAGGGTACAAGGCATCTAGGTCGAAGGCCCAGCTTTGCCTACAGCAGGTCAAATATCTAGGCCTAATCTTAGCCAGAGGAACCAGGGCCCTCAGCAAGGAACGAATACAGCCTATACTGGCTTATCCTTGCCCTAAGACATTAAAACGGCTGCGGGGGTTCCTTGGAATCACCGGCTTTTGCCAACTATGGATCCCTGGATAGAGCGAGATAGCCAGGCCCCTCTATACTCTAATCAAGGAGACCCGGAGGGCAAATACTCATCTAGTAGAATGGGAACCAGAGGCAGAAACAGCCTTCAAAACCTTAAAGCAGGCCCTAGTACAAGCTCCAGCTTTAAGCCTTCCCACAGGACAAAACTTCTTTTTATACATCACAGAGAGAGCAGGGATAGCTCTTGGAATCCTTACTCAGACTCGTGAGACAACCCCACAACCAGTGGCATACCTAAGTAAAGAAGTTGATGTAGTAGCAAAAGTCTGGCTTCACTGTTTAAGGGTAGTTGTGGCGGTGGCCGTCTTAGTGTCAGAGGCTATCAAAATAATACAAGGATCCCACTGTCTGGACTACTCATGATGTAAATGACATACTAGGTGCCAAAGGAAGTTTATGGCTATCAGACAACCGCCTACTTAGATACCAGGCGCTACTCCTTGAGGGACTGGTGCTTCAAATACGTATGTGTGTGGCCCTCAACCCTGCTACTTTTCTCCCAGAGGATGGGGAACCAATCAAGCATGACTGCCAACAAATTATAGTCCAGATTTATGCCGCCCGAGATGATCTCTTAGAAGTCCCCTTAGCTAATCCTGACCTTAACCTATATATTGATGGAAGTTCATTTGTGGAGAATGGGATACGAAGGGCAGGTTATGCCATAGTTAGTGATGTAACTGTACTTGAAAGTAAGCCTCTTCCCCCAGGGGCCAGCGCCCAGTTAGCAGAACTAGTGGCACTTACCTGAGCCTTAGAACTGGGAAAGGGAAAAAGTATAAATGTGTATACAGACAGCAAGTATGCTTATCTAATCCTACATGCCCATGCTGCAATATGGAAAGAAAGGGAGTTCCTAACCTCTGGGGGAACCCCATTAAATACCACAAGGAAATTATGGAGTTATTGCACACATTGCAAAAACCCAAGGAGGTGGCAGTCTTACACTGCGGAAGCCATCAAAAAGGGGAAGGAGAGAGGAGAACAGCAGCATAAGTGTCTGGCAGAGGCAGGGAAATACCAGCAGAAAGGAAAGAGACAAAGAGACAGAAAGTCAGATAGAAAGAAAGAGAAAGAGAGAGACAAAGTCAAAGACAGAAGGAAAGAGAGAGATAGAAGTAGTCAAGAAAAAACAGCGTACCCTATTCCTTTAAAAGGCAGGGTAAATTTCTGTCTACCCAGCCAAGGCATATTCTTCTTATGTGGAACTTCAACCTATATCTGCCTCTCAGACAAGTCTGCAAGAAATAATGAAATCTATCTTTACTCTACAATCCTAAATAGACTCTTTGGCAGCAGTGACTCTCCAAAACCGCCAAGGCCTAGACCTCCTCACTGCTGAGAAAGGAGGACTCTGCACCTTCTCAGGGAAAGAGTGT
This sequence comes from Homo sapiens, assembly GCF_000001405.40. NCBI lineage: Eukaryota > Metazoa > Chordata > Mammalia > Primates > Hominidae > Homo > Homo sapiens. Next base: position 91,667,719 of record NC_000014.9, read on the forward strand.
TGTTTTTACACTAACCAGTCAGGGATAGTAAGAGATGCTACCTGGCGTTTACAGGAAAAGGCTTCTGAAATCAGACAATGCCTTTCAAACTCTTATACCAACCTCTGGAGTTGGGCAACATGACTTCTCCCCTTTCTAGGTCCTGTGACAGCCATCTTGCTATTACTCACCTTTGGGCCCTGTATTTTTAACCTCCTTGTCAAATTTGTTTCCTCTAGGACCAAGGCCATCAAACTATAGATGGTCTTACAAATGGAACCCCAAATGAGCTCAACTAACAACTTCTACCGAGGACACCTGGACTGACCCACTGGCCCTTTCGCTGGCCTAAAGAGTTCCCCTCTGGAGGACACTACAACTGCAGGGCCCTTTCTTCACCCCATCCAGCAGGAAGTAGCTAGAGCTATCATCGGCCAATTCCCAACAGCATTTGGGGTGTCCTGTTTAGAGGGGAGATTGAGAGGTGAAGCCAGCTGGACTTCCTGGGTCGAGTAGGGACTTGGAGAACTTTTCTGTCTAGCTAGAAAACTAGATTGTAAACACACCAATCCACGCTCTGTGTCTAGCTAAAGGTTTGTAAACGCACCAATCAGAACTCTGTGAAAACACACCAATCAGTGCTCTGTGTCTAGCTAAAGGTTTGTAAACGCACCAATCAGCACTCTGTGTCTAGCTAAAGGATTGTAAACGCACCAATCAGCACTCTGTAAAATGGACCAATCAGCACTCTGTAAAATGGACCAATCAGTGCTCTGTAAAATGGACCAATCAGCAAGATGTGGGTGGGGCCAAATAAGGGAATAAAAGCTGGCCACCCGAGCCAGCAACGGCAAGCTACTCGGGACCCCTTCCATGCTGTGGAAGCTTTGTTCTTTCGCTCTTCACAATAAGTCTTGCTGCTGCTCACTCGTGGTCCACACTATCTTTATGAGCTGTAACACTCACTGTGAGGGTCTGCGGCTTCATTCCTGAAATCAGCAAGACCACAAACCCACCGGGAGGAACAAACAACTCTGGACGTGCCACCTTTAAGAGCTGTAACACTCACTGCGAAGGTCTGCAGCTTCACTCCTGAAGTCAGCGAGACCACGCACCCACCAGAAGGAAGAAACTCTGGACACATCTGAACATCTAAAGGGAAAAACTCTGGACACACCATCTTTAAGAGCTGTAACACTCACCGCGAGGGTCCGCAGATTCATTCTTGAAGTCAGCGAAACCAAGAACCCACCGGAAGGAACCAATTCCAGACACAATGATTGTAAGTTTTCCAAGGCCTTCCCAGCCAGGCAGAACTGTGAGTCAATTAAACCTCTTTTCTTTATAAATTACCCCGTCTCGGACAGTTCTTTATAGCAGTGTGAGAATGGATTAATACATAAACATTTAGTGTGAAAAACTAAAATATGGAAGAGAGTTTTAAGAAGACCTAGAAACAGGGTATCATCTTTAAAATCTCTAAATTTTGCACATAATATAGATATTTGAGAAACTGAATTAGTTCCTTCTTTGGAAGTCATTGCAGTACTTTCTTAGTTCCAAAGTTTGCTTAATGTTTCATAATCTGTGGCCCTTACTTTTTAAAACTGTCAGATGCTCCATAGATGGTATAACTACTCCTTTACCAAGCTTTCAGTGTACTGATACAGAACTGACTGAAGGAGCAGCCAGAGGGTGGAAAATGCTACTAGGAGGAACTTAAAGAACAACAGAGCCAGAAAGTCAAGCTCAAAGTCAAACAGAAAAAGGCAAACATTAAATGCTGGAAACACCAGTTAGAAATACACTTTTGATGGGATTAGTGGCAAAATCTAAGTAATTCAGAGCTGGAAAGACAGGTATAGTAATTGGCAACATTCAAGCTAACTCTGATGTACCCATGGCTCATTTTCATCAGCCAATGAACTACCTGAAAGGTAAAAACTGATAATGGACACCAAGCTTAGTATACAATAAATAGTCAATAAATATTGTCTTCCCTCCCACTGCCATCTCTAGGTCATCAGAGAAGCTCTGTTCTTAATGTACAGCCATGCAGCATACAGTAGGTGGATGATTTAACTCTAACACAGACTGAAGTTCCATGTGTACGCACCTGATTGCCATAAGCATACAAAAAGTGGCTTCGGGGATGAAATACCATTCCAACGGGAGAAGAGAATGATGAAGGAAACCGAAAAATTGGAAATTTTGATTGTGAATTTGGTTCATTATTTCTCAGGGTGCTCACAGAGGCAATGGCAGTTTTCCTGACCTAGGTAAACAAAGAATGAGCAAGTCATAAGACTAGTCTGTGTTACAAATTTTAGAATTTCCTGTTACTTGCATTTTGATTAAGAGAGAGATACAATCACTAACACAACATAGAACTAGAAGGATTAGCAGTAATTGTTACCTCTTTACTCCACCACTCTGGCCCCTGCCACACACCCATCTTATAGTTGTTGAAAATGAAGTTTAGGAGATTAAATAACTTGTTGAAAGCTCTATAATTAACAGCAAAGAGAGGTTTATTATAGAATCACTGCTGAACTTGCCAGACAGACTCCAAAGCCCATGCTTATGACTATCATGCCAAAAGTGTGGATGCCTAAGCCACACCCCAGTTCTATTCAACCATTATTTTAAATGGGATCAGAATATGACACCTCAGGCCAGGCGCAGTCTTCAGCTTAAAATTATCTTTATATAAAAGTGGCTTGTAATCTCAGCACTTTGGGAGGCCTATGTGAGAGGATTGCTTGAGCCTAGGCATTTGAGAACAGCCTGGTCAACAAAGTGAGACCCAGTTGCATTAAAAAAAAAAATTAAAAATTAGCCAGGCATGGTGGCATGAACCTGTAGTCCCAGCTACTAATCAGGCTGGGGCAGAGGATCGCTTGAGCCAGGAGTTAGAGTCTGTGGTGAACTATGATCACACCACTGCACTCCAGCCTGAGTGAGAGTGAGACCATCTCAAAAGAAAAAAAAAAGAGATATGAAACCTCAAAATATGCCACTTTTGGCCAGGCGCAGTGGCTTACGCCTATAATCCCAGCACTTTGGGGGGCCGAACTGGGTGGATCACTTGAGGCCAGGAGTTCGAGGCCAGCCTGGACAACATGGCAAAACCCTGTCTCTACTAAAAATACAAAAATTAGCTGGCGTGGTGGCACACACCTGTAATTTCTGTTACTTGGGAGGCTGAGGTGGGAGAATCTCTTGAAACCGGGAGGCAGAGGTTGCAGTGAGCCAAGATCGCTCCACTGCACTCCAGCCTGGGTGACAGGGACCCTGTCTCAAAACAAAAAAATGCCACTTTTATATAAGGATAATTTTAAGCTGAAGACTGTTGAGATTCAACAGATGCAGAGAAAAAACTTTGGAGCCTTTTGTGTCTGACTAAAAGCAGGAACTGCTGGGAAATGAGGCTGACAGAAATTCCTCCTTGGGGCAGATCTACTCCTAGAAGGAAGAATGTAAATAAAACCTGTCCCAAATCCCTTCTCCAGAGGAGTTTTATACCCCTGAAGGAGAAGGAAAGACCACTCATACCTAGATTTACAAACATTATCAAAAACTTTCATATCTCCTGGCCAGGCGCTGTGGCTCATGCCTGCAATTCCAGCACTTTGGGACGCCAACGTGGGTGGATCACTTGAGGTCAGGAGTTCAAGACCAGCCTGGCCAACATGACAAAACCCCATCTCTACTAAAAAATACAAAAATTGACCAGGTGTGGTGGTGGGCACCTGTAATCCCAGCTACTTGGGAGGCTATGGCAGGAGAATCGCTTGAGCCTGGGAGGCAGAGGTTGCAGTGCGCCGAGGTTGCAGTGAGCCAAGATTGCACCATTGCACTCCAGCCTGGGCAGCAGAGCGAGACCCCATCTCAAAAAAACCCCAAAAAACCAACCAACAAAAAAAAATCGTATCTCCTGTTTGCTGTCCTGAAAACCCATTTATCTTTTTTTCTTTTTTTTTAAAAGCAATTTGTTTTTCCATAAATGGTTTTCTCCCTTTCCCCTTCACCTATTAAGATGGTACCTAACCGTCCAGGCTCGGTGGCTCACGCTTGTAATCCCAGCACTTTGGGAGGCCGAGGCGGGCAGATCACGAGGTCAGGAGATCGAGACCACGGTGAAACCCTGCCTCTACTAAAAATACAAAAAATTAGCCAGGCATGGTGGCGGGCGCCTGTAGTCCCAGCTACTCGGAGAGGCTGAGGCAGGAGAATGGCGTGAACCCGGGAGGCGGAGCTTGCAGTGAGCCGAGATTGCACCACTGCACTCCAGCCTGGGCAACAGAGGGAGACTCTGTCTCAAAAACAACAACAACAACAACAACAACAACAACAAAAAGATGGTACCTAACTTCCAAATTTTAACCTCATCACTGAGTTTCCCATGTGTGCACACTGCACATGTAAATAAACTGTTTTCTCCTATTAATATTTTTTTTTCAGTTTAATTTGCAAGGCTCCACTCATTGAACATACGAAGATGGAGGAAAGAGCTTTTTCCTTCCCTACAATCTTGACGATAGGGGCCGAACTTATGGTTTTATTTGTTTGTTTGTTTTTTTGTTTGCTTGCTTGTTTGTTTTCTCAGACTGGATTTTGCTCTGTCACCTCACCTGGTGTGCTGGAGTGCAGTAGTGCCTCACTGTGGTTTTGAAATCCTGGCCTCAAGCCTCCTGCCTCAGCCTCCCGAGTTGCTGGGATTACAGGCATGAGCCATCACAACTGTCAGTTTATGTGTTTTTTAATGGCTCTAAGAAGAATTCTAATTCACAGGTAGGGTTAAGGACGTTTGGAAGAAAAAAATATAGATCTGTGGCAATTACTTCCATTTTTTTTTCTGTTTAATTAACCATTTTATGGAATCTTAAATTTGTATAGAAAAATCCCAGCTTATATTCTTTAGAGAATTAGCAAGGGAGAATCACTATGCATACAGCATCACGTTTTCCATTTTCATCAAAATGAATGACGACCAGGTGAGAAATCTCTAAAGTGTCAAGCTATATTATTGATTTTAAATAATTTTGCTATAGCCAATTTTATAGGTTCTATTGCCAGACATAACAAGAACTTGAAAATAACTTTTGCTAAGGTAAATTTTTATTGTTGTCATGTCAAGATAAATTCCCTCTGGGATATAAGGCCTACCTTGTTATAGAAGAGGTAAACTCCAGTACCACGCTCTTGGTCAACAAGAAATGTTAGCACAGTTGGAAAAATTTTTATTCCTTTAAAAATGTGAGGTAAGCAGGGTACCCATTCAAGAAATGGTTCCTGACTATAAAAACAAGAGCTTGACTATAAAAAAAAGAAGGGAAAAATTAATGCTGTTTTTGAAATATAAGTTCTAATTCTCTTAGTGAAACTAGCCCACTTGTTCATAGAAGTAATATTTACAGTTTTTTGAACAAACATAGAAATTAACCTTCCCTCCCTGGTCTTAAAACCCACTGGTCTTTAAACTCCCTGGTCTTAAAACGTTTTTCTCATCTGAATTCCTTCTTTAGGAAATCGACCCTTAGGCAAGGAACTGAAACTCAACGGATCACTGCACCCAGATAATGAGAAGTCAGACTCCTCATCCATCATGATTGCTTCTTCACCCATCTCTAATTCCTGTTTTCCTACCTTCCTTTCTGTGTAAATCCCCCAATTTTACTCAGAGAGACAGGTTTGAGATTTTTATCTACCATTCTCCTTGGCTGCAGCACCTGATTAAAGCCTTCTCCCTGGCAATACTTGTTGACTCAGTGACTGGCAGTCTATACAGCAAGCAGCAGGACCTAGACTGAATCCCTGGTGTTTTAGTAACAGTAGGAAAATAAATTAACAACCATAGTGTTGCTCTGACTGATCACAATTGTTTTTTAAAAAATCCTTAATGTGGCTGGGTTTGGTGCTCACGCCTGTAACCCCAGCACTTTGGGAGGCCAAGGGGGGTGGGTCACGAGGTCAAGAGATCAAGACCATCCTGGCCAACATGGTGAAACCCTGTCTCTACTAAAAATACAAAAATTAGCTGGACATGGTGGAGCGTGCCTGTAGTCCCAGCTACTTGGTATGCTGAGGCAGGAGAATTGCTTGAACCTGGGAGGCAGAGGTTGCAGTGAGCCAAGATCATGCCACTGCGCTCCAGCCTGGAGACAGAGCGAGACTCTGTCTCAAAAAAAAAAAAAATCCTTAATGTCTGTGCCTCTCTTCTGAGGGATATGAGCCCAGAAAACATTGCAATGCATGTCTTTCTGGTACGAATTGTTTTTCTAGAACCATTGCTTAGGTCCTGATTAACATAATTAGGTAAGTACTAATAAACCCAAGTAGAAACACCACTGGGAGCAAAGAGTGATTGTGAAGCCTTTCAGTCTGTAGAATTGCCATTTTTTAGATTAATCCCAATCCATGAAGTCCCCAATCCCACAACAAAATTTCTTAACTTATAAAATATTCAATATCATACCTCACTTAGGGTTCTGTTTCTCTCAAAGGTAACTGTAACATAATCAACTGTGAAATAAATACAAGGGTACAGGAATTATGAGCATATCTGTATTTCTAAAACTGGAAGGGTTAGTCTTAATAGTCTTCATGAAAATCATAGAAATTATTTTTGCAAGTAAACTTATGGTAAATGAAAATAATAATAATAATAAAAGTTATGTATCATCAAGTAATGTATACTCAAATCTAATTTTCTTATCCCTATTTCAAGTGTACCTATTGTCTCAGATTTAAATTAGAATGTTTTTTATTTTAGGCCATTAACTTATATAAAGCAAACTTGTCTTTATATTTTGTTCTAGTTTTATTTTATGTCATTTTATTTAATCTAGTTGTAACTGAGTAGCTTAGATTCAAAGTGCATTTTAAAATTTTTTTTATTCCTTTCTTGATTTTTGCCTTGAAAACATACTTTGGAATTTTGTTTCCCTCCCTTCCCACTCGACACTCCATGCACTGCTGGCTTATCTAATTATGTTCTTGCTTAGAAGTTCCAGGGGCTAATTTTGAAACAAATCAGACATGGAGACTCAGTTGTAAAATTCCAGAGATTACCTCAAGGAGGTTAGTCTACAACCTGGCCATCGTGAAGATGACACCAGCCTATGTTCCAGGTGGAGCATGACTCAAGATAGCCACTGGGACAGGACACACAGACCTTGCACCCAGCATCACTCCTGAATGCCTCCCACCCCAAGTTCCCCCTTCTAAACTCCTCTCCCCAGCCTAAAGTTTGGAATGGTCTTTTAAAGGCGTGAGCCTGGCCACTCTCCCAACTGCTGGCTTTTGGAATAAAAGTCACTTTCCTTTCACTGCATCTCATCCTTGTTCATTTGGCTTTATATGTGGCAAGCAGCCAAGCTTGCATTCATTACAAATTTGGTAGTCCCTTTAGGGAGTCTGCATTTTGAGTGGTCTAGTCTGTCAACCTGGTTTGCAACGAGTGGGGCAATTGGCCGCAGCAGTGTGTCAGGGCTTTCCTATTCATGCTACTGGATGGGACAAGAGTTGCTCATGAATATTAGCTGCTGATGGCTAGCTGACCCTGCAGCTGGGGCTCTGGGCATTTTCCTGGCAGCTGCTGAGATACTTTAGTCTCAGGAAATCTCCCTTCTCTCCCTGTCATGGCGTTAGCTGCCTACTACACTTTGCTGGTGCAGGGAAAGTGACAAGTGAAGAAGCTAACAGACTTCAGAACTGGATAAGTCAACTGGAATGCACCCAGGTCTCCTCTGTCTCTTCTGTGGTAACACTTGAGCTCTGCTCCATTTGGATGTAGCTGCTTGCGACATTGTCTGGGCAGGTACATCATCTTTATCTGTGGCACCACTTGAGCTTTGTTCTGTTTTGACCTAGCTGCTCATGGGGCCATCTGAAGTTGAGACAAGGTTTCAGGACTTTTATCTAGTCCCCTTGATGGGGAATCAGCCTGGGAGTGCACCATCTGAATCTGTGTATGTATGTGATCTACATTTGGGCCCTTATCTACTTGCAACTTTCTTTCCTTCTTTCTCTACCCTTTAAGGCAGCCTGTCTAAGCCCCCCACTCAATCTAGGGATCCAACCCTGAAGTAGAACAGCTTTTGTCACCCTGGTTCTTGGCTGGGTTGCTCTTTCTCGGACCCCAAAGTACTTCTCAGAGCTGTGCCAAATCTTATGGGGGAAAGAAGCATGTGAATTCTTCTGTGGGTTATCTAAATGGGCCTGTATCCCACTTACGGTTTTCAATGTTATTTGTCGGAAATACCTGGGATAAATGTTTAAACAGTCCCAACTCCAATTCTTTTGCCCTTTCTGTCCACTTGTTTTGCCATCTCATTTGTTGCCCTTCCATTACTGCTTACTGGGATTGCAGCAGGACCTGAACTTAGATTAAGGTTGATGTGTTAAAAAAAAGGCTATATTGGTCATCGCCAGTCATTAGACTGTTGGGGAAATTAATTCTTTTACATGTTTGGCTCTCCTGACTGTGTGGCAAAATTTACACAGGCATGCCTATTGGGACCATGAATGGTACCATCAACACTGGTTGTGTAAAATAAGGAGGATTCACCCAACTCCTGGCAATCTAGTTGCAGGGAATTATTGATACAGAGGCAAAAGCAAGGCATCAATATAGGCTGCTCCTCTGCTCACTAAAGGCCCCTGATTTTGTCATCCTCTTTGGGACTCCAGCTGGTCACATATTATGGTCCATTTCTGTGCACATTTTAAACTGAGGGGCAAGTTATAGCAAAAAAAATTCAGAGCTCACATGGTTAATTTGCAACTATAAAGTTAATCAGAGTTCTAAAGTTCTCTATCTTCTTTTTTTTTTTCTGCCTGCCTTGAATCTGCTTTGAATCTGCTTTTACTAAGCTGTGGTGCTAAGACTCATTATTTATGTTCTAACTGAAATGTAAACATTGGAAGCTCATTTGGAATGGAAGAAAAAAAGGATAAAAGAGACTTTTAAAAACTGAACTGCCACATGAAATTTAAATTAGTTTTTTCAAATTCTGTAAGGAATGTCAATGGTATGGAACCAAAAAAGAGCCCGTATAGCCAAGACAATCCTAAGCAAAAAGAACAAAGCTGGAAGCATCATGCTACCTGACTTCGAACTATACTACAAGTCTACAGTAACCAATACAGCATGGTACTGGTACCAAAACAGACATCTAGACCAATGGAACATAACAGAGACTTCAGAAATAACACCACACATCTACAACCATCTCATCTTCGAAAAACCTGAGAAAAACAAGCAATGGGGAAAGAATTCCCTATTTAATAAATGGTGCTGGGAAAACTGGCTAGCCATATGCAGAAAACTGAAACTGAACCCCTTCCTCACACCTTATAGAAAAATTAATTCAAGATGGATTAAACACTTAAATGTAAAACCCAAAGCCATAAAAATCCTGGAAGAAAACCTAGGCAATACCATTCAGGACATAGGCATGGGCAAAGACTTCATGATGAAAACACCAAAAGCAATTGTAAGAAAAGCCAAAATTGACAAACAGGATCTAATTAAACTAAAGAGCTTCTGCACAGCAAAAGAAACTATCATTAGAGGGAACAGGCAACCTACGAATGGGAGAATATTTTTGTAATCTACCCAAGAATCTACAAAGAATCTACAAGGAACTTAAACAAATTTACAAGAAAAAAAATCCCATCAAAAAGTGGGCAAAGGATATGAACAGACACTTCTCAAAATAAGACATTTATGCAGCCAAGAAACATATGAAAAAAGAGTGCAACATCACTAATCATTAAAGAAATGCAAATCAAAACCACAATGAGATACCATCTTATACCTGTCAGAATGGTGATTATTAAAAAGCCAAGAAACAATAGATGCTGGCAAGGCTGTGGAGAAATAGGAACGCTTTTACACTGTTGGTGGGAATGTAAATTAGTTCAGCCATTGTGGAGACAGTGTGGCAATTCCTCAAGGATCTAGAACCAGAAATGTCATTTGACCTAGCAATCCCATTACTGGGTATATACTCTAAGGAAAATAAATCATTCTACTATAAAGGCACATGCGCATTTGGGCCCTTATCTACTTGCTACTGTATTGCAGCACTAGTTACAATAGCAAAGACATGCAACCAACCCAAATACCCATCAATGGTAGACGGGATAAAGAAAATGGGTACATGTACACCATGGAATACTATGCAGCCCTAAAAAGGAATGAGATCATGTCCTTTGCAGGGACATGGATGAAGCTGGAAGCCATAATCCTCAGCAAACTAACACAGGAACAGAAGAAAACCAAACACCGCATGTTCTTACTCATAAGTGGGAGTTGAACAGTGAGAACACATGGACACAGGGAAGGGAACAACACACACCAGGGCCAGTTGGCAGGTGGGGGGCAAGGGGGGAGAGAGCATTAGGACAAATAGCTAATGCATGTGGGGCTTAAAACCTAGATGACAGTTGAAAGATGCAGCAAACCACCATGGCACATATATACCTATGTAACGAGCCTACACGTTCTGCACTTGTATCCTGGAACTTAAAGTAAAATAAAAAACAAAACTGAACTGCCGTAAAGACTGCTTTAGCCAAATTTTGGTCCATTGCCTTTCTTGGATTACCTACTAAGGCAAACAAAGTTCAGCCATGTGAACAGATTCCAATTTTGTCACAAAAATAATTCAGATCCAGCTATCTTTTATAAAATGATGAGATTATATTGCTATCTTGTGGCTAGAATTCTAAGGTAAAAGCTATTGGATATTTGTGTGTGCATATACATGTTTAGATATATTTATGTGATGTTGATGTATTATGTGATATGTCATATCTGGCACACTACCAAGCTGGCTTATAAGTAAATGAGTACTCATAAATGAAATCCAAAAGCTCTTCAAGTGCACATGCATCTTTGATAAATAAAACTGGTTTTAAATATGATTAATAAAATTAACATAGAAATGTCTTCAGAAGTGTCAGCATACATTTTTGTCTGAGTTTACTGATTAGATATGTTTTGTATTTGCCTCTGCTAGATAGATTAAGCTGTCTGGATTTGGCATAAAAGTTATAAGGCTATAAACCCAGCCAAAAGCAGAATGATCTTTGTTTGTATGATTTTTTTTGATAAATAAGACTAATGTAATATTGGTGGTTCAATAAAAACAGCTGAATCTTCTAAGTTGTCAGCAAAATGCCCATGTGTTTAACTTTAAGGTTCTTAGGTGAATCCCTGATGTTTACAAGCTTTAAAAATGGTTAACAGGAAAATAACTTTAAATGATGACTAGTGCTGTCTAATATCTCCATTTTCAAAAGTAGTCTAGATAAATGATTAAAAATGAAAAAATCAAGTTACGTGTAAATGGGGTAAATGCTTGCAGGTAAACTTTAAATGAAATTTAAAATCTTAAAATTATTTTGGATGCTTATTTAGATGTCTGGGTCATTTCCAACTAAAAACGGGTTATGATGTGGGAAAACATGTTTATAAAACTTGTAGAATTATTTCATCTATAAAATGTTAACATCTGATAAACAGTTCAGGATTTCTTGCTTCCTAAGCTTTCACTAAAGTTTAAAGTTATTAAAAATAAAAATACTAGGTAATATATAATTCTGTAAGTTGTGTTCTTATTAAAATAATTTTGTATGAGGAAATATCTTATATGGTAAATTTCTGTCCTAAAGTAAAATGGTTGTTTAGGAAAGAGATAATATAGGACAAGATAGAAAGTCTAAGCATGCCATAGATGGCCTATGTCATATGCCATATCCATGGATGGCCTATATCAGATGTAAGATTTTACATCTTATCAAGATAATTTCTATGTTGTCTTTATTAGATTTTTGATGGCTTAAAAAACCTCAGATTTAAAAGGGTTAAGGTTTTTACAGCCACATAACCTTCTATGTTGCCCTTAAAGTCTTTTGATTATCACTTTGGTTAGATGAATATTGTTTTACAATGACCTATCATTCTATTTTGACCAAATGTTTTGAGCCTTTTAACATCTTTCACAAACGTCCTTGAAATCAAATCCTAAATTAAATCTCTGACCTCTTTCTTGGGCTCATCAAAGCTATAAAAATTAATCAATGCAAGTCTGTAAATCTTTTTATGGCTTCCAGTCAGGTCATAGACTCCAGTATCACCATCTCCAGCCTCTTGAAAATGTCCTTAACAGGTGCCATTAACTAATCCATGTGCTGTTAAGTTACAGGGCTTTGACTCCTAGATGGACATACCTCATCTAAAGAAGACGCTGACTCTGCCAGTATCTGATACCAATCTCAAGTCAACCAAAGCCTCATCTTTAGACCCAGACAAAGGCAACAATCAAAGTATACTGCCTTAATAGGACACAGGACAAGCCTGTATTAAAAAACATTAAGATTCATTTACTAATTCTGCCCCATCTGAATTAATATAATTTATTCTGTGCCTTAATTCTAAATAATTTAAATGTTTAGCTACCTGTGAGCTTCCTTTCCTGTCATTCTCAGAATGAGGCAAGGCTTATGACCATTTTGTTTGAAATGTTGCCAATTATGTTTTACTTTACCTCCAAAACTGAAACTATCCAATCCTTCTAGGCCCAGGGACTATTGCAGAAGTGGTGGTCATGTGATATTATAAGGGCTGGTTTTGAGGCATAAACTTAGTTCAGAACCTCCAAATCAAGGACAGGCACACAGATGCCTAAACAGCTAAACAAAATGCTTGTGTTTTGTATAACTAATTGCTACAAGCTAAGACTATAGCAGCCCAATGCATAAAATATATACATAAGTCAATTTTATAACTTTGTTTTTGGCTTTTGGTTTTCAGCTCTTATGCTGTTTAAAAGGAATTTTAAGGGTTAATGAGTGCCTGCCCACCTCCATTCTAATCTGGCCTGAAATGTTTAATTGGCTATAAGTCTTTTGACTCTAAGTTCCTTGGCCATAGGTGTCCCACTGGAGGGCATGACAGACCTGGGAAAGGTAGTCATACCACCCCAGCATTAGTATGGGACAAAGTAAAACTTGGCCATTGATACTGCCTCTGGCATATCTTTACCAAAAAAGAGGAAATATAAACCAAAAAATAAAATACTGAGTCCCCTACCAACTGAACAAACCCTCCCCCTTGGCCAAGGGAACCCCAAGAAAAACCCTTAAAAACTTAATCCCCAGCCATGATGGGATGGAAAGTCAGGCATGCCTCATTATATTCCCTCCATTTTATGATTTAGACACTACTATTGACCACTATTAATTATCATAAGACTGACAGAACAGGTTCTTTATGGCAATAAGCTATCAAATTATAAACAGGACCTAAGCCCATGCCAGAAAACGATTAAGTCTCCCCACAAGGTAAACGGAGTCATATGTTATATGCATGTTCGTTCAATATGCATGTGTCAGGACCACTTTCATAAATATTCATAGGTCCTCCTATAACTTGTTCAATTCGTACGTTTAGCCAACGTTTCATCATGTCCCCACAGGACCCCTGAGCATAATGGACAATGGAGAACAAACTTACTTTCTTATTGATATGGGGGGCTATATATTCTATAGTTAACATCTGCCTATCCTCTGATTCAAAAAAGACTGTGATGGTTGCAGGAATGTCAGGGCAAACTGTGACTCACCCCTTCCTACAACTTGTAGATTGTCATCTGAAAGACCACAATGACAGGAAAAACTAAAGAGAGAAGCCACACTCTAAAAAAATTGCATTGCCAAAATATGTCAAGAAAGTAATTTGACTTGGGATGAATTTTTCCCATTGCCTTACTCTGAGTCAAGGTAACATCCCGAAGTGGGAGCAGGTTGAACCCTTTTGAGATTGTTTATGGGAGACGCTCCCTGGGAGTCCCGCCTTTAGACCTAATAAATGAATTAAGAATTAAACAATACATACACCAGTTAGGACAGACATTACTAACCATGCATCAGTTTTCTGCTTCCAGGTCCTCATACCCTAGGGGCAAGCCCCTTCACCCTTTCCACCAAGAGTTAAGGTACTGCTAAAAAGTCTTGGAAAAAAACAAGGACCTGACTGGCAGCTAGTCAAAAATGGATGGGACTTATGATGCACTGCTGACCATGCATTCATCTGTCAAACTGGCTGGAATTAAACCCTGGATACATCACACTCAGGTGAAGGCTCATCCTCAACCTGATACCTCAGACAACCAGCCTGCCTGTTCATGTGTGCCAAGAAAAGACCTAAAGCTGTATTAAAGAAAAAAAACACACAGATAAGTACTATCCTTTTCTTAACATGAACTTAACAAGTTTTGTAGTCATGAATACATTATTTATCTCTGCTGAAACTAACCTTTTTGCTGAATGGGCACAAATGGTGGCTTCCCTCCAGAATAGAACAGACTGCTGAGTCTGTGGGGAATTGCCCTTTCTTCCACTGCAGGCTTGCCGTGGTGCGTGCAAGCCACCAACCTAAGTACTTGGAGTCATTTCTATACCTGGTATGGGGCAATTCACCCATTTCCCTTTCATGGCCATAACTCATCTCATCATAAGCCTCATGAATTTCCTATTTGCCAGGAAATCAGGAAACATGTTTTTCAACTAAGTTGCAACCAGGTCAATGTCATCTCCACCTTGGGATATGCTGTACACAGTGGTGTCAGATGGCTGACAGAGGTACAAATACAGGTAATAGGTCAAGCACCACTGTGCACTGAACACCACAACCGCAGCACACCTCAAGCTAACACCTGTAACATGGGATGGTTACCTCCCCAGGAATGTAATCAAACTCTTCAACTGACTAGCAACTATATGGCTGGGGTAGCAAAACAGCTCCTTCTCACATGGAGTCAACCCTTCCCCCGGGGCTGCTTATGGGCCTGTGGCACTCACAGTTGGCCCTTCCTATCCTTTGATTGGACTGGCAGATGCATCTGGGAGCACCCTTACCTACCAGGATGAATCCTGTTCCATCTAGACTCTGCCTGCCAACTGGGAAAGCACAAACGCCAGACACCACTGTCAAAAATGGGCATCCTGGTGGTTTTACCCACTAGCCATCTTTTTCCCCCAGGCAGTGACCATAGATGTAGAATTACAAGTAGAGGCCCTGGCTAAGCATATGGCTGCTGCCTTTAATAACACCCACCATGCCATCACTCTTCTTACTGAAGAAACTTCCAGATTAGGCAAGTGGCCTTACAAAACTATATGGCTGTAGATATCCTGACTGCAGCCTAAAGTGGCACTAGTGCATTAAGACTGTTGTCTATATATACTAGATTATTCTCACAATATAACCTAACCTATGCATGCATTGGATACTCATATTCTGCTATAGATACCTTCTCCCAATAACGGATTGGTTTAGTCAGCCCCTTAGTGCAGGGAAGACTTTCATATATAGCACGATTGGTATTTTGCTCATTGTCCTCTTCGGCTGCTGTGGATTTTATTGCTATTATATACTCTGCACAAGGATGCAGGAAAGATGTTCTCAGAAACTCCTATGTCCCTGCACCATAATGCTCCCGCAAATTCCTACTGCAAGTCTAGGAACTCAAGAATATTTCCAACTCCAGGTGGACAAATTCCATTCTGGTACCTCCTAACTATGGCCCTTCTCAGCGGGAAATAGCCAGATCGACTATGCCACCCACTTTCCATAGAAATGGAATGGAATTTCACAATGGAAAGTTGCAACTGAGTGGCTTAGGTTAAAAATGCATTTTTGAAACTGTTTTTTCTTTTCTTGCTTTTAGCCTTGAAAGCATACTTTGAAATTCTTGGTTTCCCTCCCTTCCCACCCGACACTCCCTTGTACTGCTGGCTTATCTAATTATGCGATTGCTTAGAAGTTCCAGGGGCTAATTTTGAGACAAATCAGACATGGAGACTCAGCTGTGAAATTCCAGAGATTACCTCAAGGAGGTTAGTCTACAACCTGGCCATCGTGAAGATGACACTAGCCTATGTTCCAGGTGGAGCATGACTCAAGATAGCCACTGGGACAGGACACACAGACCTTGCACCCAGCATCACTCCTGAATGCCTCCCACCCCAAGTGCCCCTTTTTAAACCCTCCCCAGCCTAAAGTTTGGAATGGTCTTAAAAGACCATTCCAAAGGCTGAGCTTGCATTCAGTTACACATATATGTAAAAGTCTCTTAATACAGTATATCTTTAACCAAAATTTACCTTCAAAGTGCTCTCTGTTAGCAAAACATCTTTCATTATACCACAGTTTTCCTTTCACATAGTCAACCTACATAAATAAATAAAATATCACTTAGCCAATATGTAGACTTAAGATATCTTAAGATATAAGATAGAAAAAACTAAAAAATTTCAAAGTTTGATAGTTCAGGAATGTGAGGCAAAGAGACAAAAATTGTATGCAAATAAAAGACTGTAGAATGAGGACAGGAAACAGGAATATACATTTTGAACAATGCACAAAAAAGGCATAAAGAGAAAAGAAATCACACATGAATTAGCATATGTTAATGGAGGATGCCCTTGTCTATGAACTGTCTTTCAGAAGCTACCAGAAGCCATTAGTCTTTCAGCACAGTTACAATGGGTCACATATTTATCTTTTATTCCTCATTAGTGGCAGCTGGGTTTAAGGAGCATTCCCAGAAGCCTGACAGCAGCAAGAAGAAACAGGAAAAAGGTTTTGAAAATTGGTCATGAGAGACAAGCTTCAATATATTGAATATGTTGGATATAAATGTTGGATATTAATTAAATGCAACAGTTTGAGATTATTTTATTATAGGAAGATTCTGACCTTCAAATTTCTGTTGGGATGTAAGAAAGACTTTTTTACATTTTTATAGACTAATAATAAAATCTGTATGATCTGTGTGCAAAAGCCTTTGCTGATATCTAATGACAAAACTTGAACACATGAGGAGACACTTCTTTTTTTTTTTTTTTTTTTTTTAAATTGAGAAGGAGTCTTACTCTGTTGCCCAGGCTGGAGTGCAGTAGCACAATTTCGGCTCACTACAAACTCCACCTCTCAGGTTCAAGTGATTCTCCTGCCTCAGCCTCCTGAGTAGCTGGGATTATAGTCACACGCCACCACGCCTGGCTAATTTTTTTTGTATTTTAGTAGAGACAAGGTTTCACCATGTTGGCCAGGCTGGTCTCGAACTCCTGACCTCAAGTGATCCACCCCCCTCGGCCTCCCAAAGTGCTGGCATTATAGGTGTGAGCCACTGCGCTGACCGAGGAGTCACTTTATTTATTGATTGATTGATATGGGGTCCTGGCTCTGTCACCCAGGCTAGAGTGCAGTGGCATGATCGTAGCTCACTCCAGCCTCAAACTCTTCAGCTTAATAAATCCTCCCGCCTCAGCCTCCCAAACAGCTGGGACTACAGGTGTGCACCACCATGCCTGGGTAATTTTTTAATTTTTTGAGGGAAAGGAGTCTCACTATATTGCCCAGGCTAGTCTAGAGCTCCTGAACTTAAGCAATTCTCCTGCTTTGGCTTTGTAAAGCACTGGGACTATAGGCATGAGCCACTATGACTGGCCGCCAACGAATTTTTTTAAGTATCTACATTGTGCCATGTACTGTACTGAGATTTTTCATATGTAATGTTACTTAATCACCTCATTTCTAAGAGGTAGATATTGTTATGCTCATTTTAAAATGAAGAAATTGAGGTCCAGAGAGTTATACAACTTGTTCAAAATTTTATGTTACATGGCTGATAAGTTAGTCCAAAATTTGAATCCAGTCTGTCTTCATTTATTCACTCATTGACTCAATAAATATTCATTGAGACTGCCTATGTGCAAGGCCGTGTGGTAATTTATCGGGATACAATAGTAAATAAGATAGATCTTGACCGGAACCTAAAATCTTGTGAGGCTAGTCTGGGGGCTCAACAGACAAAATAGGGTGATAATGATAGGAATTTGTGCTGAGAACTTGGAGCATGCACAGGAGGAGCACCTTGGTGGTCAGGGAGGGATTTCTGAAGAATGAGTTGAAATTCTCTAAGTGAAATAGGAGGAAGCAGTGCATGCTAAGAAGACAAAACATGTTATGCAAAGGAGTCGAGGTGTGAGAAATGTTAGCACATTCAGGGAAGGTGAGTGGTTTAGCATGGCCAGGCAGGATGGCTGCAGTAGGGGCAGGATGGCTGCAGGTAGAGGCAGGCACACTCAGGCTGAAGCAGTAAGCATTTTGTGTGTCACAAGAATTTTAATTTTATCCTTAAAGAAGTGATCCATATTCCTTGCTGTTGCCACTAAACAGATTTTGGTGGATAACTAACAGATTTTATCTCATGCCAAATCCCTAATTTAGGGATCTTATACTTCCTATTACCTTTGACTGGAAATGCTGTGTCAAAATAATTATTCCAAGTTACTCAAGTTTCTGCTTAAATTTCATCTCTTTGAAAAGGCCTGCTTTAATCACCCTATTTAAAACAGAATATTATCTTCCCCTCACTCTTTCTCTTACTCTGCTTTAATTTCAACGAGCACTTATTACTATCTAAAATCACATTATGTATTTGTTTGTGTATTTTTTAATGATCTAGCCCCCTCAGTTGAATGTTAAGCTACATGAAAGTAGGGACTTTGTCTCGTTCACTATGGAATCATTCTTGTCTGAATAAGCATGGAATATAGGAAGTGCTCAACAAATATTTGTTGAATGGATGAGACTTACTGAATGAATAAATCATTAAGTATTCACATGTTCAACTACCTGTCTAAACACCCACATATATCTCATTCTGAACACCTTTGCTTCAATCATTAGTAAAAGAGGTCTTATTTAAAGATAGATCCTTAAACTCTTAAAAATAATTTCACTTTTTCCCCTCCCTCCACTCCCCAATCCCAGCACCCTTCTACCTTTGGAACACTGTATTTCCCCTCTCCCTCATCACTATCAACCATCAATGAGTTTTACTAAGATATTTTAGTTTAATAGGACTTATTATAATATCCTTGCTAATTATAAAAACTTCCATGAAGGACAATTCGTGATTATTTTTTAAAAGTGCATAAGTATTTATCCCTTGATCTCCCAATCAAGTTCTAGGATGTATTGTATCTATATGTCTGGACACATAAAATTTCTAGGTACAAAATTATTCATGGGAGCATTGTTTGTAATAGCAAAATATTGGGAAATTACCCAAGCATCCAGCAATGGATGATAATTTAAATAAACTCTGGCTAGTTCATACAATGGAATACTTGTAGCTGGAAAAAAGAAACAAAAAACAAAAGAAAAAGAGGCTATTCTCCATTTACTAATATGGATTTTTTCCTATGATAATTATTGATAAGTGAAGAAAATAATTTAGCATACTTTGTATATAGTATAATAAAAGGAAGAAAAGTATATATATTCATTATATTCATAATTATTTGAATTTCCATTAGAAAATGCTGAAAAGATATAAAATAAAAAAAGATTACCTGTAAGGGACAGGGAAAAATCAGGGTGAATATACAGAGAGGTGGGATAGAGACTTCTCAGTCTATATCTTTTTGTAACTTTTTTAGTTTTTAACTATGTGAATGTATTACCTATTTGAACATCATAATTTTTAGGTGTTGAAAATGCTCATTTCCCTTGCAACATGTCCTTTCTTGCTATAGGCTGTATGGGAGGGAGGTGGGGCCTTTGGGAGGTGATAAGGTGAATGGAATTAGTACCCTTATTTGATGTGGGGGTGATTCAGTGAATCGAATTAGTCCTCTTATAAAAGAGAACCCAGGGAGATCCCTTGCCCCTCTGCCACGTGAGGGCACAGTGAACAGATGGCTGTCTATGAACCAGGAAGGCAGCCCTCACCAGACACTGAATTTGCCTGTGCCTTTATCTTGGACTGTCCAGGCTCCAGAACTGTGAGAAATAAATTTCTGTTCTGTATAAGCCACCCAGTCTATGGTAATTTTGTTATAGCAGCCCACATTGGCTAAGATGTCTCTGTTCAAAAATCCTTATCTAAGCTGGGTGCGGTGACTCACGCCTGTAATCCCAGCACTCTGGGAGGCCAAGGTGGGTAGATCACTTGAGGTCAGGAGTTTGAGACCAGCCTGGCTAACATGGTGAAACCCTATCTCTACCAAAAATACAAAAATTAGCTGAGCGTGGTAGAACACACCTGTAATTCCAGCTACTCAAGAGACTGAGGCAGGAGAATTGCTTGAACCCAGGAGGTGGAAGTAGCACTGAGCCGAGATCACCACTGCACTCCAGCCTGGGTGACAGAGGGAGAGTGTCTCAAAAAAAAAAAAAAAAAATCCTTATCTAGTACTCCATTTTGATTTATATGGATAGACAGAAAACACACGAATAAATATGAGATAAAATGAGAGAAACAGCCAAGCATTTCTTATCACTAGTCCTCTCCTCATTTTCTTCCCCTTTATTGAAATGTCTGTTCTTTTTCATTTGTTTTATTAAAGTTCTTTCTTGAGTATTTTCCTTAGTTGGGATAACCAGGTCATAAACTTTTTTAATCTGAAAGATGAATAATCTCTTGTCTGGAAATAGAAATTCTGGACTTTGGTTCTTTTGTCTTAAGTAGACGGTAGATGTTGATTTCACGGTCTTCAAGCTTCTACTGTTGTATAAACAAAATCTAATACCAGTGAGGTGTATTTTGCTTTTGCTCTTTCTGTTTGGATACTTGTAATATTTCCCCCTTAACCTTAAAACTGAGGAATATATTCCTTGGATATGCCTACATTTTTTCAGTGCTCCCTGGAATTTAGTGGATTGTAATATATAGCCTTGGAATTTTCTTAATCTCAGTTAATGTTCTTTCATTTTTTTTTATTATTGCCTGTCTTATATCTGTTCCTTTTTAAATCCATCTGAAAACTCTTTTGCTCACCTGTTAGCCCTTCTGGATCTCTCCTCAAAGGCTCACTTTTGCCCTTGTGATTTCTAGTGATGTTCCTTAGATGGTTTGAGAAGTTTCTTCATCTTGATTTTCCATGCCACTACTCTGCATTTAAACAGTGGCCATTCTATCTTTCAATTTTTTCCATTTTTAATGGAAATTTTGGTATTCAGTCCCAGGAAGTATTTTTATGCTGCACTTGAAGCTCTTTATTGATATTGACTGTGTTCTTGCTAATACCTCAGTGCCAATGATGGTAATCACAGAGTAGGTGCTCACTGGGTATCTGTGAAATGATTTTATTTAAAAATGTTCTCGTTCAATTGTTGCCTTATCCACCAGCGACTCTAGTTTTATTCTAATGATCTTTGCTCTCAGAATGCCAGGCTACCTTAAGTGTGCTTTGAAGAGAGGGCTCAGGTATGGTTTGTGGAGCACCTCGAATTTTGACAATTGGAATAATAGATGGCAAAGTGGTCTCTAGCCCTCTGGGCTGCCATGCCACCACCTTGGAAACAGAAGGGGTTCCCCTCTTTCCAGGTCTCCTTCAACCTGCCTACCTCAGGCACAGGGAGAATGCAGCTCTCCCGGTAGGCCCATCTCTAGCCTTACTCTCAGCCACACTCCCAAAACTGAGAAAACCCTTCCCTAGGATTTCGCGGAGCTCTGCCAGCCAAACTCCCTCCAGAATCCTTCCCCTTCCCAGTCCTCTACTCCCCGCTCTGTGTTGCCAGCACTTTGTTCTCAGGTAAACCATGAGTGAGGTAACGACATGCCAGATCTCCTCAGTGAGATTCCTCAAAGCAGGCTCCCAGTGAGCCCAGCTGTCCAGTGGCCCCAGCAGCCTTTTTTGACTTAGCAGGGCAGGTAGGCTGAAGATGAAAGCTAAAGGGAGTTAAAGGTCACAGTCTCCTCCATCCATTTATGTTACTTTTTGTGTGATTCTTCTTTAGGTGTAACTTTTTAAAATATATATTATCTTTTCTTCAGTTTCCTATAATGTTCCTTTCCACTTATTGTAATTGCTGAGATATTTGGATTTATTTCTACTGTTTTACCTCATAGTTTTTCTATTCTTTTACCTTTATCTCTCCTCTCCTTTCTTCCTTTTTGTAGAATAGATGGATTATTCTTTAATCTTGTTTTCCTTCGTCTGGTGGTTTGGAAGTTTTAGGTTATATTCTTTTTGTCTTATTTTAGTTTTTTGGTAATTATCCTTCAATTCTTAACATATATGCTGAATTGCACATTTTTCTAACAAATTCTTAACTTATTCCCCATATTGGTTCTCCTTACAAAGATCTTAAATACTTTATTATCCACTGAAAACTACTGCCATTTCTCCTTGTTATATTGTCTAGAGTTTTGGTTCCATCCAATTATTAAACACAAAATGTATAACTTATTTTTAATTTAATTTATTTTAATTTTTATTTTGAGACAGAGTCTAGCTCGGTCACCCAGATTGGAGTGCAGTGGCACGATCTCGATTCACTGCAACCTCCGCCTCCTGGGTTCAAGCAATTCTCATGCCTCAGCCTCCCGAGTAGCTGGGATTACAGGCATGTACCAACATATCTGGCTAATTTTTGTATTTTCTGTAGAGACAGCATTTCGTCATATTGGCCAGGCTAGTCTATAACTCCTGACTTCAGGTGATCCACCCGCCTCAGCCTCCCAAAGTGCTGGGGTTACAGGCGTGGGCTATCGCGCCTGGCCATAACTTATTTTTTATACCAATTCCATTCTTTGAACACATATTTACTAAGTGCATACCTTGTGTCAGGTGCCATTCTAGACACTGGGATCTAGTAGCAAACAGCATAGACAGGGCTCCTGCTCTCCCAGGTCTTAGAACTTACATTCCAGTTTTCCTCACTGTTTCTGGCATCCTACTCCTTCATGGGAATTTCTGGATGGTAAACCCTCCCAATGTCTTTGGGTGTGAACATTCTCTTTTCACTCTCATTCTTGAGATACATAGTTTAGCTAGGTATGGAATTCTATTTTGACAGTTATTTCCCTCTATTCTTTATAATGCAAATCATTTTTGCCCATCTGGCTCTCTCAGTTATCTGCTCTACTTGTCCTCTGATTAGTATGACAATTAGTCAGTTCTATTTGCTTCCTGAGAAATAAATGTTCCTTTCTCATAGACAGTGTGAATGTGGGTATATGTGCACATGCACATGTGCACACAGACTGGAGCCTGCACAGTCCAAGATAAAGGTGCAGGCAGATTCAGTGCCTGGCGAGGGCCACCTTTCTGGTCCATAGCCATCTGCTCACTCTATGAGGACAGAATAGGGAGGGCATATGGCAAATGGCTAGGAACACTCATGATTTCATTTGTGGTTTTCCAACCGAAGCATGCTTATATGCTGATGGGAATGACCTAGTTCATTAATCACAAAACTTGACTTTTTAACATATAAGGGAGATAACTGATGGAACAAAATCCCCCAAAAGGCCAGAAGCAGACCAGTGACTAGATTATATGACATTTTTTGTAAGTTAGAAAAGGTACCCCTTTCTCGAAGTAGAACAGACTTACACTGGGGTAGATGGATTGAGGAGTAAAGTGTTAGCCAGACCCCACCACCTTACTCTCTTCAGTCAAGTGTACTTGTGCAGAATCCAAACTGAACAACCATAGCTAGCCTGGACATAGCATAGGAAACGGGGTGGGGGTGACCTCTGAAACAGGGAGGAGCACTTCTTCCTTTGAAGCAGAAGAGGTGAGCACTGCTTAATGGTTGCTACGAATATATGTATAAATAATATATGCTACAAATTCATATATATAAAAAAATATATATTTTGTTTAAACTATAAATAATATAGTAACTGGAATAACTTATATTGTGAATTATTGTCTTGCATCTCATCTCAAGTTACCAAGTAAACACATATCTTCTAACCAGCCCTGGGAAATATAAAGCTTCTTACCCTTTCAAAACCACAAAAGTCTGCCCTGGAAAACTAGAAGAAAAGAAGAAACTTTAATTTTTGCTTGCATATCAGAAGGCCTAACAAAACATAGCAATTTAAATTATACTAAAGGAAATAAACCATATAAATTCGTTGAAACAAAATTATAACTAAATTATATGTTTTTTCTATCCTAGCAGTTAGGATAGCCAAACACTAAAAGCAAACTCTGATATAGTTTATACAATATCCAGGGAATTTCCCCATCAGTCT
Organism: Homo sapiens; assembly: GCF_000001405.40. Classification (NCBI taxonomy): domain Eukaryota; kingdom Metazoa; phylum Chordata; class Mammalia; order Primates; family Hominidae; genus Homo; species Homo sapiens. The sequence continues at coordinate 91,691,778 of NC_000014.9, forward strand.
TTGCCTCATTTCATTATTTTATTAATTTACTTATACTTTAGTGTGATTCCAGAAAGGATTTGAGACGAAAACCATGCCTTTTAATGATTTAAATGGAGGAATTAAGAAGTGTGCAGGTGGGCCTGGCACGGTGGCTCACACCTGTAATCCTAGCACTTTGGGAGGCCGCGATAGGCGGATCACGAGGTCAGGAGTTTGAGACCAGCCTGGCCAACATAGTGAAACTCCGTTTCTCCTAAAAATACAAAAATTAACTGGGCGTGGTGGTGCATGTCTGTAATCCCAGCTACTTGGGAGGCGGAGGCAGGAGAATTGTTTGAACCTAGGAGGCGGAGATTGCAGGGAGCTGAGATCACGCCACTGCACTCCAGCCTGGTAACAGAGCGAGACTCAGTCTCAAAAAAAAAAAAAAAAAAAAAGAAGAAGTGTGCTGGCATATGCAAGTCTGCCGCCCATTTGGGTTTAGGAAGGCACACCCTCAACCTATTATTTTCTCCTTTGCCACTCTGTTCCTTCTGCCCAGGCCAGAGCAGTCCAGAGGTCAGGACTTACAATATACAATCCCCGTCTACTTCTCTGCACTTTGATTTTAAGCCATTGTAGCGTTCCTGGTTTCAACTCTCTGTTTTAGCAATTATATAATAAGCATTTTAAAAACCCCAGATCCCCTAGTCATCTGAGCAACAAATGGTACTTTCTCAGAGATGGTGAGGAAGGCTCAGGTATATGTGAATATTCTTATACCTGAAGAAAGATAATAATTACCATGTATAAGAAATATCTGTGTCTCAATCAATACCATTTCCCCTTCTTTACTTCCCTCTATCTTTTCTCCTACCGATCCCAAGTCTTTATTGCTTGTCTCATCTCTGTTGTGGTAATTTTTGAGAGGTACTTGTTAACATGTTTAAGAATTTTATGGTATGCATATTAACAATCTTCACCTAAACGTGTATTTCCCTTCGCTCAATCCCAATACTTACTTTTCACTTATGTTACTTTGTAATACTATATGTGGCTTTATAAATTACCTTAAAGCATTTGGGTAACATATATAGCTATAAATAAATGGATCAATCAATAGGTAGGTAGACAGATCTTTTCTGCATGTATACATTTAAAACTTACTATAAATTTGTAGAGCAATACAACTAGCACCACTTCCAAATTATATATTCAATACTACGAGGTAAAGGAAAAAGTTACTGTATTATGCCTTTATGTTTTTCGAAAGAAAGAAGCATTTCAATTTTAAGATACACCACACATAACTCAAGTATTAAATATTTCTTTTTGTGTCACAGAAGATATTTAAGATTAGCTATTAGTTACAAAGCAATTTACATACCGATAAGCTGTGGCGTGATGGATAACGAAGATCTTCACTTACAAAAAGGCCCAAAGAGGTGAGGATAACTAAAAAATGATTCGTTAAAACCATATCCACCAATGAAAGGTCTTCATATTCTAAACGAAGAAATCATACCATGGATTAAAAAGTAAGAAAAAAGTGAGTTCCTTACTGAAGCAAAGACATTTTATAGATATTAATCAAATATTGATGTAAGTAAAATGCTCAAGATGAAGGCAATGTTAGAGGAGTTACCTTCTTGAAGTTGGGAATAGATAGTCTGTGTCATGTTAAACCATGTGGTATCATAATCATGCCAGAATCCACCAAAGGTTATGCCTATGTAAACACCTACCATGAAACAAAAGGAAAATTAAAGCCAGGCAACTTTACAAGGTGAGTCACCTTCAGGGGCAAGAGCCCAGAGTCCGTTCCAACTCCCTCTCAGCACTATGACTCTCACTTCCCAAAGCATTGGAAAGATGAAGTAACTTCAAGTTACACCACATAATATTAGCCAACCATCTGATTGACTCCTAGAATGATTACTGCTGGGAATAATATGCCCTTAAAATCAACCCTCTTAAGGTATTGGTTCATTCTCTTAAAATATCTTCCAAATTGTACTGTATCTTTTTTTACGTAGAAGGGCATCAGAATATGCCAAATATGCCACTTTAGTTTAAGGATTTTTTTTTTGACCTGAAGGCAATTGAGAATCAATAAGTGCAGTCTCTGCCCTCCCTTTATCTGCTTAAAAGCAAAGCATAAATTGCTCCTTTTACCAGAAAAAGAAGAGCATTTTTATCACTGGAGATAGGGAACCCTTATCTGCCATTAGTTCCCCTATATATTTTCTAGTCACAACTTCCTTACAGCTAATTGTTCCTTGATTCCTAAATCCACTTCCTTTGTGAAAATGGTATATAATTTCCTGATTTAACCACTTGATCTTCACTTCTATTTGTGAACTGCCATGCACATAAATAATAAAAAAAAATTGTGTGCTTTTTATCCTGTTACTCTGTTATTTGGGCTGGGCATGGTGGCTTACGCCTATAATCCCAGCACTTTGAGAGGCCAAGGCAGGAGGATCACTTGAGCCCAGGAGTTTGAGACCAGCCTGGGCAACATGGTATAACCCTGTCTCTACAAAAAATACAAAATTAGCTGGGCATGGTGGTGCATGCCTGTAGTCCCAGCTACTCAGAAGGCTGAGGTGAGAGGATCGGTTGAGCTTGGGAGGTCAAGGCTGTAGTGAACTATGATCATGCGACTCCAGGCTGGGAGACAAAGAGAGACCCTATCTCAAAAAAAAAAAAAAAAAAAAAAAAAAAAGAAATCTGTTGTGTGGATTTAATTCATAGAGCCCTATTCACTAAGCATAAGAGAACAGAGGAAAATTTTTCCTCCCTAACAGTACCCTTCTAAGCATAAAGATGCTCCTATTTCAGGAGTACAATTTTAGTTAATAATAATTTTTAAAAACTCCAAAGAAGAAAATTAAAATGTAAACTCCAAGACAGGAGAAACTATGATTTACTTTTTTATTTGTGATTTTAAAAACAGAGAAAACTTTTGCTAAAGTTTCACTAAAACCTTGTAAATGAAGAAGATTGAACACATCACAAATCCTAAAGTACTTTGTTCCCCAACCCCACCTTTTCTTGGTCATAGGTAGGAATGTCTAGAGTCTTTTGTGTTTTAAATGTGAGGTGCTGATCTGAAGTTTTGTCAAAGGACATAACTACTGGGCTGGGGAGGAGGGGAGGCTAAGGAACCTTGGCAATCTAACGCATATACTTTATTTCCAAAAGAGGACATTTGTAGAACGAGTCATATTTTGAAGTGTGAGTTTTAACTCTCAGCTCTTTTCTGTTTAAGGAAAGCTGTAGAAGGAAGTGTTATTTATTATTGTATACTTTTTCCAGGAAGAGGAAAACTAAAGACAAACTTTGCCTTTCTGAGAATTAAGTTTAGTTTTACAGATAATGGTGGGAATTTTTTTTTTTTTTTTTTTTGATAGAGTCTCACTCCGTCATCCAGGCTGGGGTGCAGTGGCGCAATCTCCACTCACTGCAACCTTCGCCTCCCAGGTTCGAGCAATTCTCGTGCCTCATCCTCCTGAGTAGCTGGGATTACAGGTGTGCACCACCATGTCTGGCTAAATTTTAGTATTTTTGGTAGGGACAGGGTTTTGCCATGTTGGCTAGGCTGGTCTTGAACTCCTGATCTCAAGTGATTCGCCCACCTCAGCCTCCAAAAGTTCTGAAATTACAGGTGTGAGCCACCACCCAGCCTAACGGTGGGATAGTTTAAGTGGGAATAATTATAGATGTCCAGCATGCTATCACATGACCAGATTCTTGCAAAAAAACACTATTTAATGGAGACATCATAAAATAAACACTTTATGCTGGTTAATATTTACAGACTAAAATTAAGTTACAGGCTACTCTCTGTGACAAACTATCCCAGGGCTTACAGAAGCTGATGCAGACCATTGTGAAAAGTTTAGCTTTTATTCTATTGGCAAAGGGAAGCCACAGGAGTGTTGGAAGCAGGGAAGTGATGTGATCTGGTTTATACTTGAGAACATCACTCTGGTGGGTGTATGGAGGCTGATTTGTATTGGCACAAGAATGGAAATAGAGAGACCACTTAAGAGGCTAATTAGTCTAATAAAAAATGTTGACTTGACCTAAGATTTTAGCAGAGAAGTGAGGTGGTCACATTGGCGATGGACCCTGGAGACAGCACAATCGGGGAATGTTGTGAGGGTAAGAAGCAGTCAAGAATGTGTCCTAGATTTCAGTTCTGACCAATTTAATACTAATTGGGATGAGAAATACTGGAGAGAAACAGATTTTTTGAGGGAGATGGATCAAGAGTTCTGGATCAGACTTGCTGTATTTGAGATGCTTATTAGCCATCAAGAAGAAATGCGTAATAGACAACTGAAGAGAGGAGTAGTTTTGTTTCAAAGGAGGGGTCAGCAGCAGCAATATAGATTTGGGAATCATCAGCCTGAAGATGGCATTACTGCCATCAGACTGGATTAAGTCTTCTGGAGGGAGAATGTGGTAACTTAAGGAAGGACAGTCAAAAACAAAGCCCTAGGTTTGCATTTAGGGGTCACACCAAAAAGGAGCCCTCCTAGAAAACTAAAGAGTGACCAATGAGAAAATATAAAGAACTTGAAAGTGGTATCAAGAAAGCTAAAAGAAGAAAGTGTTTTGAGCAGAGACTGGTCGACCCTGTTAAATGCTGCTGGAAAGGAAAGTAGAATGGGCATAAAAGACTGGCTGTTGGAACTGGCAATATGGAAACTGTGAGTGGCCTTGAGAAGAAATGTTTTAGTACGGTGATGGAAACCAGAGTCTGATTTGTAGTGGAAAGAAGATAAAATGGGAGGTGGAAAAACAGCATCATCTGCATTAAATTCTGGCCTTAAATATTTTTTTTTTGAAAGGGAACAGAGAAGTGGAGATGGAAGTAAAGTGAGATAAACGAAGGTTTTGTTTAAGATGGGGGATATTAGGGTATGTCTCTATCCTAACGGATACAATCCAGTGAGGAGGAAGAGTATGATGATGTTGGAGAGAAAGATGAGAATTGCACAACAGATGTAAGAGCAAGGTTGTTCAGATGGCTGCAAGGAATGGGATCCAGAACACAAGGGCTGAGGGGTAGCCTTTGATTGCAGCAGAGATATTTCTTACAGTGCAACAGGCAGTAAAGGCAAAGCATACAAATGCAGGTATGATGGCAGATTTCCAGTTGCAACAGTGGGGTTTCTATAATCAATCTTTATTTTCTCTGAAGTATTATATAAAGGCACAGCCAAGAGTAAGAGGGGAAGAGTATTTGAGGAGTGGAAAGAAGTGTGATAAATTTTGCAGAGTGGGAAAATAAATATACAAGCGAAGAGTGATAGGATTTATAGGCAGTACTCTTTATAGGGAGTACTGAGTGCCCACTTAAGATTCATGATCATGAATTTAGAGTGAGACTGGTCAGTGAAATGTCAAAATGAGACTAGCATGCAATTTTTCCCCAGCAATATTCTGCTCTTGCAGGGCAGGAGCAGAGATGGTTTTAGAGTTGGGGTTGGGCAGGCAAGGAGGAAAAAGAAGGGCAAGGGAGTTACAGAAGTATTTAAAAAGATGGGCTCTGAGAATTATGGTGAGAACAGAGGAAAATAAGGATGTTGGGTAGTGAAAAAAGTGATAGTGAAAATGGATTAAGGTCTCAATGAGATCAAAGAAATGTTGGAGTGTGAGTACTAGAACAGACAAAGAATAAGAGGCAGTGGACAGAGTGTACGATGCAGATACTACGGATTTCAGAGCTAATGACATTAGAGATGACAAGGTCAAGAGTTTAATCATTTACATCTTTACTCCATCTTGAGTTAACTTTTGTATATGGAGAAAGGCAAGGATCCAGTTTCATTTTTCTTTTGTGTATGGCTAGCCAGCTACCCCAGCACCATTTATTGAATAGGGTCTTTTCCCTAATGCTTATTTTTGTTAACTTTGTTGAAGATCAGATGGTAGTAGGGGTGTGGCTTTATTTCTGGATCCTCTATTCTGTTCCATTGGTCTATGTGTCTGGTTTTGTACCAGTGCCATGCTGTTTTGGTTACTGCAGTCTTGTAGTATAGTTTGAAGTTGGGTAATGTGATACCTCAGGCTTTGTTCTTTTTGCTTAGGATTGCTTTGGTTATTTGGGCTCTTTTTTGTTCCATATGAATTTTAGACTAGTTTTTTCTAATTCTGTGAAAAATAACATTGGTAGCTTGATAGGAATAGTATTGAATCTGTAGATTGCTTGGGCAGTATGGCCATTTAGATGGTAATGATTCTTCCAATCCATGAGCATGGACTGTTTTTCCATTCGTTTGTATCATCTATGATTTATTTGAGCAGTGTTTTGTACTCCTCCTTGTAGAGATCTTTCACCTCCTTGGTTAGATGTATTCCTAGGGGTGTGTGTGTGGTGGGGGGTATTGTAAATGGGATTGTGCTCTCGATTTGGCTCTCAGCTTGAATGATTTTGGTGTATAGGAATGCTACTGATTTTTCTACATTGATTTTTGTATCTTGAAACTTTACTGAAATTGTTTACCAGTTCTAGGAGCTTTTTGTTAGAGTCTTCAGGGGTTTCTAGGTATAAAATCATATTGTCGGCAAAGAGAGAGAGTTTGACTTCTTCTGTTGGATGCCTCCTTCTCCTATTTGGATGCATTTTGTTTCTTCCTGTTGCCTGATTGCTCTGGCTAGGACTTCCAGTACTGTGTTGAATAGAAGAGGTGAGAGTGAGCATCCTTGTCTTGTTCTGGTTCCCAAGGGAAATGCTTCCAGCTTTGGCCAGTTCAGTATAATGTTATCTGTGTGTTTGTCATAGATGTCTCCTATTATTTTGAGGTATGTTCCTTCAATGTCTTGTTGGTTGAGAGTTTTTAACATGAAGGGATGTTAGGTTTTATCAAAGGTTTTTTCCACATCTATTGAGATCATTATATAGCTTTTGCTTTTAGTTCTATTTATATGGTAAATCACATTTTTATGTTATTCAAAAAATATCAATAGCTTTTGGGGTACAAGTAGTTTTTTGTTACATGGATGAATTATGTAGCTGTGAATTCTGAGATTTTAGTGCAGCCATCACCCAAGTAGTGTACATTGTACCTAATGTGTGGTTTTTTTTATCCCTAGCTCCCTCCCAACCTCCTCCTTCTGAGTCTCCAAAGTCCATTACATCACTCTGTATGCCTTTGCTTGCTCATAGCTTAGCTCCCACTTATAAGTGAGAACACATGGTTTTTGGTTTTCCAATCCTGTGTTACTTCACTTAGAATAATGGCCTCCAGCTCCATCTAAGTTGCTGCAAAAGACATTGTTTCATTCCTTTTTATGGCTTAGTAGTATTCCATGGTATATGTATGCCACACTTTCTTTATCTGTTCATTAGTTGATGGGCACTTAGGTTTGTTCCACATCTTTGCAATTGTGAATTGTGCTGCTATAAACATATGTGTGCAAGTGTCTTTTTCATATAATGACTTCTTTTCCTTGGGTAGATACCCAGCAGTGGGATTGCTGGATCAAATGGTAGATCTACTTGTAGTTCTTTAAGGAATCTCCACACTGTTTTTCATAGAGGTTGTACTAATTTACATTCCAACCAGCAGTGTATAAGCATTCCCTTTCCCCCACATCCATACTGCCCAAAACTATCTATAGATTCAATGCAATTCCCATCAAAATCACAACATCATTTTTCACAGAATTAGAAAAAAAATCCTAAAATTCATATGAAACCAAAAAAGAGCCCAAATAGCTAAAGTATTCCTAAGCAAAAAGAATAACATTTCTTGATTTGCATATGTTGAACCAATTTTGCATCCCAGGAATGAAGCCTACTTGATCATGATGAATTAACTTTTTTTTTTTTTTTTAGATGGAGTTTTGCTCTTGTCACCCAGGCTGGAATGCAATGGCGCGGTCTCGGCTCACTGCAACCTCTGCCTCCCGGGTTCAAGAGATTCTCCTGCCTCAGCCTCCCGAGTAGCTGGAATTACAGGCACCCACTACCACGCCCTACTAATTTTTGTATTTTAGTAGAGATAGGATTTCACCATGTTGGCCAGGCTGCTCTTGAACTCCTGACCTCAGGTGATTTGCCCACCTCAGCCTCCCAAAGTCCTGGGATTACAGGCATGAGTCACCGTGCCCAGCCTTGAATTAACTTTTTATTTTTACTTTTTAATTTTATTTATTTATTTATTTTAATAATATTCATTTATTTATTTTATTATACTTTAAGTTCTGGTATACATGTGCAGAACATGCAGGTTTTTTGCATAGGTGTACATGTGCCATGGTGGTTTGCTGCACCCATCAACCCATCATTTACATTAGATATTTCTCCTAATGCTATCCCTCCTTTTGTCCCCCACCCCTCGACAGGCCCGGTGTGTGATGTTCCCCTCCCTATGCCCATAGGTTCTCATTGTTCAACTTCCATTTATGAGTGAGAACATGCGGTGTTTGGTTTTCTGTTCCTGTGTTAGTTTGCTGAGAATGATGGTTTCCAGCTTCATCCATGTCCTGCAAAAGACATGAACTCATTCTTTTTTTATGACTGCATAGTAATACGCTGCTGGATTCCTTTTGCTAATATTTTGTCAAGAATTTTTCTGTCTACATTCATCAAAATATTGGCTTCTAGTTTTCTTTTTTTGTTGTGTCTTTGCCGATTTTGGTATCAGGGTGATGCTGGCTTCATAGAATGAGTTAGGGAGGAGATCCTGCTCCTCAATTTTTTGGGAATAGTTTCAGTAGGATTGGTGCCAGCTCTTCTTTGCATGTCTAGTAGAATTTGGCTGTGAATTCATCTGGTCCAGGGCTTTTTTTTGTTCATAGGTTGTAAAGACATGGAATCGACCTAAGTACTCATCAATGGTGGACTGGATAAAGACAATGTGGCACACCATGGAATACAATGCAGCCATAAAAAGAATGAAATCATGTCCTTTCCAGCAACATAGATGCAGCTGGAGGCCATTATCCTAAGTGAATTAACACAGGCAACAGAAAACCAAATACCATATGTTCTCACTTGTAGGTGGGAGCTACTCACAGACCTGAAGTATGGCGACAATAGACACTGGGGACTACTAGCTGGGGGAGGGAAGGGAGCAATGGTTGAAAAACTAACTATTGGGTGCTATGCTCACTATCTGGGTGGTGGGCTCATTCATATTCCAAACCTCAGCATCACACAATATACCCATGTAACAAACCTGCACATGTACCTCCCCTCAAATCTAAAATAAAAGTTGCAATTATTAAATTAAAAATTTTAAGAAGAATATTGCCATAGGAGTAAGATAGGGGAAAGATCATTGGAGGACAGGAAGCCTTGAAGCTAGGTACTGCATGGATCATCCATATGGATGGTGAAGTCACCAAAAATAGTGACAAAAGTCAAGTGGAGAGGAAGGCAGGGACCCAGAGATTAAACTTGTAAATGAATGAATGTGAGCGGTGAGGAGGTCACCAAATGCTGGCAACCAAGAAAAGTTAGAGGGAGGTAAAGTCTGAGTTCAAAAAAGCTCCATGTTTCAAACAAGAGGACAGGAGTAGTGATTAAGCAGTAATCCTAAGGAGCAAAGACAACAACCCTCACCCTGGGTTTTGAAATATGTGATATGTGGGAGGGCTGAGGGGAAAGAATGTCATCTGAGGATGACCCAGTACTCTTTATGGAAAGAAAGTTAAGGGACCATTCAGAGAAAAAGTGAGTGATATGGGGGAATTTGTTAATGACAGGCCACAAATTCTAATGAAAGGATTTGGGTGGATAGAGCGGGATAAAAGTTTGAATCAAATTAGAGGACATTCAGAACTGTATGTGGGATAGGATAACCAGAAATGATCTGCGGAAGCTTATGTTCTGGTAACTGATGGGAGGCCTGATGGTTTATGTCTTAAGAATATCCTAGAGGAGGAAAGGGGGTAATAAGTCCAAATTGGAGTACATGGGGCTGCTGCATAGCTGTTCCCACCATTAACTCCATGTGGTATGAAGGCCAGGAGGACAAACAAGGCCTCGCAAAGGAACTGCTAGTTGGGTGTGGTGGCGTGTACCTGTAGTCCCAGCTATGTGGGAGGCTAAGGTAGGAGGATTGCTTGAGCCTAGGAGTTTGAGGCTGTAGTGAGCCATGATTGTGCCTCTGCATTCCAGCCTGGGCAACAGAGAGAGACCCTGTCTCAAAAAAAAAAAAAAAAATTGCTGATTTAGGCAGTTGCAGCTTGATACTGTGAGAACTTCCTTTATTGCTTCAGCACAGTGGTGACCAGTTGGGGAAAAGGTGCTTTCACCTAAAGAACCTGTTGCTGAAGTTGTTTGTTTTCTTGAGAGGTTGAGGTGGCCTCATGAGTGTGATCCCAAGGAATTAAGACTGGCGCTTCTCTCCCATGACTTTCATTTGTAAGGCAGAATCAAGCATGAGGAGTTCAGAATGACCGCTCTCCTATGGCTCACAGAAGTAAGGTAGGTATTGGTGTTTGGATAAAGACGAGGAGGAGGAGGTCCTGGCTAGGACCTATTCACAGAACAACATAAGAAAAGGAGCCAAGTTTCTATCTGGATTGACATAGTGTAGAATATGACAGCAGAGAGTGGAAAAAGACACAATTATTAGGTTGGTGCAAAAAAAATCGCGGTTTTTGCCATTAAAAATAATTGCAAAAACCGCGATTACTTTTGCACCAACCTAGTAAAACTAAAGGAATTCCACAGAAGCAGACTATAAGCCATTAGGAAGTCAAAGAGATTTGGGCAAGGTTATTTGTCTATCCCTATACTGATGCATACTGTTTTAATCTATTGCTTTATAATAAGTCATGCTAGGACAAATTTTTGTTTTGTTTTTTTTCTCTAAAATTATGTTTGTTATTCATGGTGTATCATTCTCCCATATGAATTTTGTGTTTGGCTTGCCAATTTCTACACCCTCCCTGACACAAAAAAGAAAACACACACACACACACACACACACACACACAAACCAAAAACATTGTTATAATTTTTCTTGGAATCATATTGAATTGATAAATTTGTAATACATTTTATTTGTAATAAATTTATTTATAAAATAAATCTTTATAATACCAGAACTTCCTGCTTATAAACATGAAATCTCTTATTTATTTTGGTCTTTTTTTATGACCTTCATTAGTTTTATAATTTCTACACAATAGGCCTTGCAACTCCTTTTTTTATTCCTGGGTACTTTTTGGGATTTCTTACCTTAATAGGATTTTTTAAATTATAATCTTTAATTAGTCCTTGGTGGAGTGATTTTTATACATTGTTATTCTATCTCACAGCCTTCTAGCATACCCATATTTGTTCTGAGTTTTTCTACAGATCTTTTTGGATTTTTTTGTAGGTATACATATTATCTACGAGTAATAAAATTTTGTTTCTTATTTTTTAAGTTTTAAATATATTTTCCTTTATATTCACTGAATTTGGGGTCTAGGAGGTCATCAATTAGCTAGGAACAATAATTAAAATAATACTATTAGTAGTTGAAATGTGTAATGACATTGTGATATTGTGATATAACGAGAAATACGTATTTGGTTTTCGTCCCTGGCTCCTGATAGAGAACTCCTAAAACCTCCAGAATTTCCTGCATGATGGAGTGCTAGGAACATCCTTTGTTATAACATTTGGTCTTTGGCCCCAGTTCCTGATACAGAACCCCTAAACTCCTTGGAATTTCCTGGGTGATGGGATTGTCTTTTGTTCTAATGAAGCAACTCCTGACAGACTCCCAGATACCTTTAAGATGTGGGGTGGTCACCAGTAAAAGCAAGCCACGATTAGAAGCTTAGAGCCTTCAGCCCCACAGTGCATCTCCCAGGAAGTGGGGAGGGTGTGGAGACTGAATAAATAATTGATCAATGCCTATGTGATAAAGCTTCTCCTTACAGTGCAGGTTTTGGAATGCTAAAACACATCTACATACCAGGGGTGTGGCGTGTCACAACTCCACGGGGACAGAAGCTCCTTTTCTTGGGAATCTTCTGGACCTTGCCCAACTGTTTACTGTATCCTTTGTTTTGACCTTTATAATAAACTGGCAAACCTAAATAAACGTTCCCCTGAGTTCTGTGAGTTGTGCTAGCAAATTATTGAACTCAAGGAAGGATTTGTGGGACCTCCCCAAATTATAATTAGTTGATTAGAACTACAACCTGGGACTTGTGACCGGCATTTGAATTGGGGGACAGTCTTGTGGGACTGAGCCCTTAATCTGTTGTTGGCTGGAGAGGGGGGTCTGTGCTAACTCCAGATAGCTAGTGCCAGAATTGTATTAAATCATAGGACACCTACTCGGTCATCCACAGAGAACTGGAGAATCACTCGGTGTGGAAAATCCATACATTTGGTATTAGAGTGTTATGAAATGGATATAGAGAGAAACAGTTGTTTCTTTCCCTATATAGATGCTCTCAGATATTACAGTAGTAATGAAAAAAATGCAAACATAAACTAAGTAATGTGGTATTTCAAGAACAAAAATACCTATTTATACATGGTAGGAATAGCAGATAATCTCTGGGAGAAAGTAACATATTAATGGAGGGCATGGGATAAATGAAATTAGGAGACACACTAAAGTCACAATTAACATGGCAAAAAGTCACAGTAAGAAAACATACTTAGTATATCATACTTGGAAGTAGACAAGATACAGTATTGAATAATAAATTTTTAGGTATTTTTAGGAAACAATTTTCCTTCCCTATGTCTATGCATTTATTTCTGCTGCCAGTTAAACATTACTGTTACAAAATATAAAAGGCCAATGTCAACATTTAATGAAGCTGTAGACCTACCATCAACTATTGTATCCACAATGAAGCCTAGTAATGCCACATCATTGGCACAGGGGCATTTTGTCACTTTGAGATCTACCACATGTGGATATAATTTACTGATTTCACTTTCTGGAATCACATCCCCAGGAGTCCACTGAAGAATCGGTTCTGTGGAAATCAAATTTGGGTGTTTAAATTGTGGGAGCACCCTTGAAAATGGATGCTACTTTCCTTTAAAGGTTTTAAAAGAACTATGTAAAGAAACTATTCTATAGTTCAAAAAAGGTGCATTACCTCACTCTGCATTGGTTAAAAATCAGTCAGTGACTATTTTCCAGGATATAAGGAGTAAAGTCTAATTCCCCTTGGTGGGGGGCTGGCAAGGTTACATTGCAGAAGAGCATGTGGAATGAGAGAGATTGCTTTGGCCACATTTGAAAAATACCATTTGCCACAGGATCTATCCCTAGAAATGGAATTGCTGGATCACAGAATACGCACATTTATAACTTCTGAGCCCACTCATTTACTTTTTGTTCTCTTCCCAATCCCACTGAAATAGCAGTAGATATATAAAAATGGGAATAAATCCAGAGTAGCAGTGGAGAACAGGGACAGTTATCATTAGTGGCCAAGAGACTGAGAGGGATTTCTGGAAGGTAGTTGAAAAATACTATTTGCCACAGGATCTATCTGTATAAATGGAATTGCTGGATCACAGAATATATTTATAACTTCTGCTTCTAGAGCCCACTCATTTACTTTTTGTTCTCTTCCCAATCTCATTGAAACAACAGTAGGTAGATGAAAATGAGTAAAATCCAGAGTAGCAGTGGTGAACAGGGACAGTTATCATTAGGGGCCAAGAGACTTAGAAGGATTTCTGCAAGATAGAAGTTGGGAATGAGATGCAGAAGAGAAAGCAATCAGAGGTGAAGCATCTCCAATGCAGCACAGGCAGAATAGCAGCACTAGTGGTGAATAAGGTCTTTCACGTGGCAAACCAGGCCTTCCAGAATCTGACGTCCTCTTGGTTCCTCAGCTTTACTTCTTGCCAGAACTGGCCTCCCATTACAGGCTCTAGTTTGTGGGGCTTTGAATATCTGTTTTTCTCACAACCCTATTTTTCAGTCCTCAATGTGAATGTCTCCCTCTTTGGGAAGCCTTCCATGACGCCCTAGAATGAGTGAGGCTCTCCTCCCAGGTGCTCCAATAGGACTCTGCACTCACTGTAACTAGAAGAATCAGGGTACACTCTTCCTCACCAGACCAGGGTAGACAATGAGCCTTTCGAAAGAACGTCATCAGACAAGGCGTCACAAATTTTAAAACTTAAAATATTACTTTTGGATATGCAAAGGATTGGAGCTAAAGTCGAATTTTCATGCATTAATAAAAGGGAGGGTTTTTTTTCTTTTAGAAAAAAATGAGAAAAAAAAGAGTACAAAAAGTAAGCCAGGGCAATTTGAAAGACAACTGCTGTCTGAATTTCAAAAATAGTCAAAGGACTTTTAAAAGCAGAGATAACTGATAACCAGTTATTTAGCTATTTACATTCTCCTCTGTCTCCCCAACTTTCAATAAAATCTGCTACAAACCCAAAGACTTTATGTGATATTTTTTTCACTTTGTGCAAAGCAAGAAAACAAGCTAACTTTTCATCTGGGTTGACGTAGTGCAGCACAAGGACAGCCAAGAAGGGAAAGAGACACAATCTCTAACTACACTAATTCACCAGGAAGTCACTCCAGAATTCAAAGAAATGTGGGGCAAAGCAGCTGACGTTGCAGGGTATAATATTTGTTTGCAGACCATTCACACCCAGGTCAGGGAGATTTCAGCTTACCACTGGACATCACGGAGCTGACAATGCCCCCCTACTTATATACAAGTTCCTGAAGTCAGGTAGTATATCTTAAGCATTTTAAGAACAAGGAACTGATTAAAAGTTTTGACTGCTACTAAGAAGCTAAAAAGGGGACAGAAAAGTGACCAATATGAAGGTCACTGGTGACTGTGATTAGCAACAGTTTGAGTAGCGTGGAGGAGATGGAAACAAATGAGTGGTTTGGGGTGTGGATTGGATATGAAGAAATAGAGACAAGGTTTTACACTCTCTTTTGAGTTCAGTAGTGAATAAAGATTTCTAACTCTAGCCTTAACTCTTGATTCCTATTTCCCAGTGTCTGCTTCTCCTGTCTTCAGCATTTTGGTGAATGATATCATCCTCTACTTGAATGCTTGAGTAAGAAATCCAGGCATCATCCTTGTTAATTCTGTTTTCCCCCATCTTAGTCCACCAAGAAGCCATAGCAGCTCTACTTTCAAAATCTATTCTGAAGGCTCTGCTCACCACCTCCACTGCTAATGCTACTGTCCATCTACTCCAGACCTTCTCAAGGGGACTATTGCAACAACTGCTACCAATTTCCTTTATTCCATTCTTGCTATCCTTCCTCAAGAGTTATTCTCTACATAGCAGCCAAAATGGTCTTTTCATTATAAAAGATAAATCAGAATTTATTAGTTCTCTGCTTAAAATACCCCAATGGCTTTAAGTTATAATTACAATAAAGTCCACACTTTTTACCAAGATTCCTGCCAGCTTCTCCAAACTCATGATCCACCACTCTGTCATTTACTATGCTTCAGCAACACTAGTCTCCCTTTAGTTCCTCAAACAGATCAATCTCATCTCCACATCTGGAGCTTTCAAAGATCTACCAATTTGTGAAGCTTTTTGCTGCAATTATACCTCAGTACATTCTAAACAAATGTAAGTTAGCATTTCAGATCTTTTAAAAATTGATATAACAATTTTATATTGATATTTCAGTAGTTAAAAAGTAGCATAGGATATCAAACTATCAGAGTCCCAAAGACAGTATTGCAATTACTATTGAATAATTAGTAACATTTTTTTTTTAATTTGGAAGCTACCTAAAAAACTACTTACTTTTTTGGAATAAGTAAATATAATCAACTTTATAAGCCATTGTTTATAATGACCCTCAATGTGGCCACAGTAAAATATGTACTTCCTTTTTTTTTTTTTTTTTTTTTTTTTTTTTTTTTTTTTTTTTGAGACACAGTCTCACTCTGTTGCCCAGGCTGGAATACAATGGTGCAATCCTGGCTCACTGTAACCTCTGCCTCCTGGGTTTAAGCGATTCTCCTGCCTCAGTCTCCCAAGTAGCTGGGACTACAGATGTGCATCACCATGCCTGGTTAACTTTTTTTTTTTTTTTTTTTAAGTAGAGATGGAGTTTCACCATGTTGGCCAGGCTGGTCTCAAACTCCTGGCCTCAAGTGATCTGCCCACCTCGGCCTCCCAAAGTGCTGAGATTACAGGCATGAGCCACCATGCCCAGCCTGTATTTCCACATTTCTATAGCACTCTTTGCAGATCTTTGTTAATAATTTATCCACATGTATTTAATTCTTTATCCTATCAGATTGTGAGTGCCTCAAGGGTCATGATTATCTCCTATTTATTTATTTATTTTTAATCTCTAGGACCTTAGCACAGAATCTGGCATATAGCGGATGTCAAAGTTTGTTGAAAGAATATATGAATTCCATTTTACTTCTGTCTGTTGGCATTTACCTCGAATAACATCCAATAGAGTTCCTTCAGTAGCATAAATATTTAGTCCATGATGTAAAGTGATTCTTACTAACCATTCTTCTACAGCTGCAATATCTGTTTGAAAACAAAAGGCAAATAATCAACTATTTTTTCATATGTTGTGTTTGGTGAAATTTAAGGATATGTGAACATTACCAACAATGATAGCCTTTCCTTTTCCAACCATTTTGTTGGTATTTATATGTGAAATTTCATACGTTTTCCCTATAAACATTTTGCTCATAAAATAATGGAAAAAGAATTATGAAGTGATCTTACCACCATAGCAATGAATCTAGATACTAATATTTATGTCATAATTTTTCTCCTAGAGCTGTAGGGGCTTGATAAAAAGCAAATTGTGACTCTTCTTGTGAAGCAGACCATGATTAATTAAAATGTATCATACAAACCCTAAGGTGAACAACAAAAAAAGCTTTTAAGGTATAACTAATAAGCCAATAGTGGAGATAAAATGGAATCATAGAAAAGAATTAATATGAATGAAGACAGAAAAAGAGGAGAAAAGCAAAACAGAGAAGATTGAACAAATAGAAACAACCTGCAAGGTGGTAGATTTTAATATAACTATCCATATCAACAATTACATTAAATGTAAGTGGTCTAAAATATCATCTAAAAGACTAGATTTGACAGATCAGGTGTAAAAATCAAGATTAAACTATATGTTATTTATAACAAACTTATTTTAAATGCAAAAGCATAAATAAGTTAAAAGTAAAAGAATGGATAGGGCCTGTGGAAGCCAACAGCAGTAGCTTTAGCCTGGGAGCTGCTGAAGTGGCTGTAAGCACAGGCCAAGGCTGAGGTCGAAACTGAAACGGGGGTTCACTCATGAAGAACACACCTGGTCAAAATGGTCTGGCTGCACAGGCCCTCATGTCCACCCAGGCATCTAGGCAGGTCTGTGCGCTGTCATGGCAAGGCCATGGCTACACTGGTGGCTACTAAAGCAGCCAGTGCCCAAGTACATCAATTGCTATCTGTGCCTCTTGCTGTCACCACTCTCCATCAAGAAGTTCCTGGACTTTGGGAGAGATAATGGCTACAGAGAACATCATATATGATTTCACAAAAGGAGATTCCCGTGCTACTGGCTAACACAGTGAATGAAGCCAATTTTCTGCTGGGTAAGTGGTTTAACAGGCCTTCAATGGGATTGGTTCAAAGTTGGTATATGCAGAACTTTCTTGAAGTTTTAGAATAGAAAAATAAGGGCCAGGCATGGTGGCTTATGCCTGTAATCCCAGCACTTTGGGAGGCCGAGGCGGGCAGATCATGAGGTCAGGAGATCGAGACCATCCTGGCTATCATGGTGAAGCCCGGTCTCTACTAAAAATACAAAAAAAAAAAAAAAAAATTAGCCGGGTGTGGTGGCAGGCATCTGTAGTCCCAGCTACTTGGGAGGCTGAGGCAGGAGAATGGCGTGAACCCAGGAGGTGGAGCTTGCAGTGAGCCGAGTGAGCCACTGCACTCCAGCCTGGGCAGCAGAGCGAGACTCCATCTCAAAAAAACAAAAAAAAAGAATATAAAAATAAGAGCCCTGAAGATCCACAGGTCTTAGATAACTTTCAATAAGTACTGATGAAAGCCAGAAAAATGTGGTTTCTATAGTGGTACATGGAGTGATTGAACATAAGAAAAATTATGTGTTTGAGTCTTTTATTAGCAGTACAGCCAGTATCTTCCAGAATGGTTTTGTCCCAACTCCATTTCTTCCCACATGCTTATTAACTAGCATGCACTTCTGTTTGATGGTGACACTATCCCTGCTCATTCTAAACACAGAAGAAGTATTGATCTCACCTGTAATGTGGCTGATATAGTGAACAATGTATATGAAACAGCCAAGAGGCTGTGTGAATAGTATTAGCTGGTAGCTCCAGAGGTGGAATTTGAAGAGTTCAATGCCAAAGCTCCAGACAAACCTATTCGAGTAGTTTATGTGCCGATACATCTGTTATACATGCAATTCAAGAACTCAACGAGAACAACAGTAGCACTCCATGAAGACAGAAAATAGAGATACTTGGCTGTTAAAACCTTTGTTATTTGGGTTAAAAAAAAAGATTTCTTCATTAAGTGACTGAGGTGGTGGTGTCTCACTTTGAAAATGTATCTTTTTTAAACTATATGTATTCAAATTCTAATAGATATAGCTGTAGCCCATAAGAGTTGTCCCTTTGGCTGGATTCAGTTAAAATTCACCATTTTTTTTCATCTGCATGCCGTATATTTTTAAGGAGATCTAATACTATGTGATGGAATGAATGGGTATTGGTGCTGTCTCTTATTTAAAGGCTGTTTTAAGTGAATCATTTGAGAGACTTCCAGTTTTTAAGACCTCTACTTGGCACTATTACAAAACTACACCTGATGATTGATGTGATACTAGCAGTAAACCCAGAGATGCTTCAAAATATAAGACTAAACAGGAAAAGGTCAGTACTGATAGAACTTTCTAGTCCTCTATGTGAAGAAAGATTGTCTTTTGTAAGTCAATCAGAGAGAACGCCTTTCTCTACCAACTCTTGAGCATGGCACCATAACTACTCCAGTGGCTGAATGTTTATTTCCTCCATGCCAGCTGGATATTTTCATGGAGCCTTTCCTGTAGCCACTCTGGCTCTTCCATTAAACTAGTAACTTGAATAATTTTTTTTACCATATCTTGCTGTGGTGTGGTTAGTGACACAAAGAAAGAGCTTCTCTAGAGCTCTAGCATCCTCATAACCTCCACCTCATTATTGTAGAGTTGAGTGTCTACAGTCTCCACAGGATTCTGAACTTTCTTCCCATTCTGGATGTAGCATATACCCACTGTGACCAAATATAATGCTTGTCTCAAACCACTGATTAGGGGCTCAGCGTATGTGAAACTTAAAGACATCAGCTGAGTCCATCTGATAATTCAGTGCCAGGGTCCTTCCTTCCTCATATGCATATCTCCTCCACTGTCTTAGACTTTTGTCTTCCTCCACCTGATTATATTTTCATCATGAGTTATGGGTACTTTTGTGTTAGAGCTTACTCACTGATGCACTGGTTTTATTTTATTTATTGATTTTTTGAGACAGAGTCTCTGTCTCCCAGGCTGGAGTGCAGTGGCGCCATCTCAGCTCACTGCAACCCCCACTTTCTGGGTTCAAGTGATCCTCCTGCCTCAGCCTCCCAAGTAGCTGGGATTACAGGCATGTGCCACCACACCCAGCTAATTTTTGTATTTTTAGTAGAGACAGGTTTTCACCATATTGGCCAGGCTGGTCTTGAACTCCTGACTTCAAGTGATCTGCCCACCTTGACCTCCCAAAGTATTGGGATTACAGGCATGAGCCACTGCACCTGGCTGGTTTTAAGATTCATTTGTGCACTTCCATTCTGCTGATGAAAGTGTTCCAAAAGTTGTTTTGAATAAAAGGTGAAAGGATGAAAAAATATGACACTAATCAAAAGAAAGCTGTAGCAGCCATATCAATATCTGACAAAGGAGAGTTCAGATCAATGCAATATCAGAAATAAAGAGGGACAATACATATGACAAAGGCATGATAACCCTAAGTGTAGACATGCTTAACAACACAGCTTCAAAATATGTAAATCAAAAGTTATGTCAAGAGTACATGGGGCATCTACTAAATAAGCCATAAAACACATTTTAATAAATTAAATTGCTATCACATGAAATATGCCCTCTAAACATAATGGAATAAGCTAGAAAAATCAATAACAGAAAGACATCTGAAAAATTCCCCAATATTTGAACATTTTACAACACACTTCTAAAAAACCATGTATCAAAGAGAAAGTGCTGTGGGGAATTAGAAAATATTTTTAATTGAAAGAAGAGGAAAACACAACATCACAATTTATTGGATGCAGATAAAGCAATGCTTAGAGAGAAATATATAGCAGTAAAATACTTGCAGTAGAAAAAAGAAATCTCAAATCAATTACAGTAAGTTCTCACTTATAATCATCAATATGTTCTTGGAAACTAGGACTTTAGGCAAAACAATGTATAAATAATGAATATAATTGTATAAATAATGAATAGAAACCAATTTCACAACAGGCAAATTGATATAAACAAGAGTTAAGTTTCTATGGCATATATCTGGTCACAAAAGCATCACCAAACTTCTAAATAAAGACCCCAAATTCTTCTAATATTAAATATTAAAATAAATGTGAGCTATGCATAGATTTTAAAAAGATTAATAAAAACAAGTAAGATAATTACTTACCCAATTTTTGGTGAATCAGTAAGTAATGGTAGTCATAGCGGTGGTGGATTAAATAAAGGAATAAATGTTTGCAAAGCAAAAACTGTAAGGAGCATCCTCTACCACTTGCAGTTATAAAACAATAACAAACATGGCAGGCTAACTGAGGGCTTTTGTATTGCATCGTTTACTGTCATGCATTTGTTTGTATGATTATCGTATACTTAATAAATTTTTACTTTATAATAATTTGTAAGTATTCATTCATTCATTTTCTAGCCTGCTTATTTCAGTTCAGAATCAGGGGAGCCTACTCCAGCAGCTCAGGAACAAGGCGGGAACCAACCCAAGATTGAACGCCATTTCTTCACAAGGTGCACTTACACACACACCCAAGCTCAGTCATACGGGGACAATTTAGACACACCAATTAACCCAACATGCACATCTTTGGCTGTGCTAGGAAACTAGAGTACTCAGAGAAAACCTACGCAGACATGGGGAGAACACGAGCACTCCACACAGACAGTGGCCCTGGCCAGGAATTGACTTTTCTTCCTCATCAATATTATAATGAAATGATGTTGAATGAAATGAGGTTATTCGAGGATCTGCTGTATATGAAGCAGGCTTTGGAAGATAGTAAAGAGTTTGTAAAGGGTCAGATAGTAAATATTTGGGGCTTTGTATGTTATATGATATCTGTTACACTACTTCAACTATACCACTGTAGCATAAAAGCAGCCATAGAAGACACATAAATAAATGAGCATGATTGTGTTCCAATAAAATTTTATTTACAAAAATAGGCAGTAGGCAGGATCAGGGGTCAGTACTTTGCTGACCCCTGATCTAAAGATTCCCAACTTAACAAACTAGGAAAAAAAAAAGAAGCAAATTAAACCCAGTGCAAGTAGAAGGATAAGATAAAGAGTGACAACTGATGAAATTAGGAACAGAAAAACAATATACACAATTAATGAAATCAAAAGATGTCTCTTTGAAACATAAAAACCGATGAACCCTTGCAAGACTAATAATTTAAAAAATACAAATAACTCATGTTAGAGATAAAATAGGGAACACCACTACAGACACTATAGATATTCTAAGGATAAGAAGGGAATATCACAAACAACTCCGTGTCCGTAGATTCAACAACTTAGATGAAATGGACATTTTCTTTGAAAGACACAAACTGTCAAAGCTCACTTAAAGAGAAACAGAAAACTTGAATATTCCTAAATCTATTAAGGGATAATGAATGTGTATTTAAAATCCTTTCACAAAGAAAACTCCAAGCCCAGATACCTTCACTGGTTAATCTCACCAAACATTTAATGAAAGGGTGACACCAATTCTATAAAAACTCATCCACAATATAGAAAAGCAGGGAACTCATCCCAACTCATTTTATAATGACAACCTTACTCAGATACTAGAATGAAATAAAGACATTCCAAGAAAAGAAAATAAATCTCCATACTGATAACCTAGGAAACCTACTAGCCAAATGAATTCAGGAATATATAAATAAGATAATACATCATGACCAAGTGTTGTTTGTCCTAGGATTCCAAGACTGGTTCAAAATTCAAAAAGGAATCAATGTAATTTATCATATCAACAGACAATTGTAAGCAAATCCTTATAATCATCTCAATAGATGCAAAAAATCATTTAACAAGATTTGACACCAATAATAAAAACTCGGCAAACTTGTAATGAAGGAAATTTCTTCAACCTGATGAAGGGCGCCTATGTAAAACATGAATGTTTTTTCCCTAAAACTGGAAACAAGGCAAGGATGTCCTCTCTTACTATTCCTTTCATACTGGAATCATACTAGAGGTCCTACCAGTACAATAAGGCAAAAAAAAAAAAAAAGAAAAAAAGAAAGAAAGAAAATGAATACATACTGGAAGAGAAGAAATAAAATTATCTCCATTCCTAAATGAGTGATTATCCATGTAGAAAATCCTAAAGAATATATTAAAAGCTATTAGAACCAATAAGTGAATTTAACAAGATTGCAGGATACAAGATCAATAAACAGAACTCAATCATTCTTCTACATATGAACAATGAACAATTGGAAATCAAAATATTAAAAAGTACCACTTACAATAACACTCCAAACCATAAACTACTTTTTTTTTTTTTTTTTTTTTTGAGATAGAGTCTTGCTCTGTCACCTAGTCTGGAGTGCAATGGTGCAATCTTGACTCACTGCAACCTCTGCCTCCTGGGTTCAAGCAATTCTCCTGCCTCAGCCTCTCGAGTAGTTGAGATTACAGGTGCCCTCCACTGCGCCCGGCTAATTTTTGTATTTTTAGTAGAGATGGGGTTTCGCCACGTTGGCCAGGCTGGTTTCAAACTCCTGACCTCAGGTGATCCACCCGCCTCGGCCTCCCAAAGTGCTGGGATTACAGGCCTGAGCCACTGTGCCTGGCCCAAAACCATGAACTACTTAGGTATAACTTAAAAAACAAAAACCAACAAAATAGAAACCACTCAAACTGCATTCTCTCCCTCTTCCTCTACCACAGGAAGAGAAGAATGATCATCAATGGCAAATGGCAGTTGCGGCCAACCAACACCAGGAGCCAGCTTCGCGCTTAGGAGAGAATGCTGAGCCTTTGCCTTGTGGTTTCCGGTGCTCTACACATTCACAGAAGCTTCTCTAGTAACAAACTATAGAGATGATTGCTGAAAGTATAATTTTGGTATACTTTTTTTTTTATGTGCAAGTTCTCTAAGCTGAAAGCCACAAAACCTGGGTGAAATAAATTTTTAAAAAGATGTAAACAAATGGAGAGACACAGTGTCTTCATGGTTTGGAAGACTCATTATTTTTAAGATATTGACTCTCCCAGCAAGGCATGGTGGTTCATGCCTATAATCCTAGCACTTTGGGAGGCCGAGGTGGGTGGATCACCTGAGGTTAGGACTTTGAGACCAGCCTGGCCAACATGGCGAAACCCCGTCTCTACTAAAAATACAAAAAAATTAGCCAGGCGCCTGTAATCCCAGCTACTGAGGAGCCTGAGGCAGGAGAATCACTTGAACTCGGGAGGCGGAGGTTGTGGTGAGCCAAGATCATGCCAATGCACTCCAGCCTGGGCAATAAGAGTGAGACTCCATCTCAAAAAAAAAAAAAAAAAAAAAAGATATTATTGACTTTCCCTAAACTGATCTATAGATTCAATGCAATACAAAATTAAAAATCACTGCAGGATTTTTGTAGAAGTAAACAAGTTGATTCTAAAATTTACATAGAAAGGCAAAAGAACTATAATAACCAAAACAATTTTGAAAAAGAAGATCAACATTGAAGGACTAACATGGCTTACAAGACCTATTATAAAGCTAAAATAATCAAGACAGTATAGTATTGGTGAAAGGATACAGTCCAGAAATAGCAATTCAATGGAGATAAAAAGTTTTCACAATGGTACTGGAATAACTGGGTATCCATATTCCAAAAAATTAACATTGGCCCATATAACTTATAAAAATCAACTCAAAATAAATCATAGACCTAAATACACAAGCTAGAAGTGTAAACTTCTAGAAGAAAATATAGGAGAATATCTTTGTGAACTTAGGCAAAGATTTCTTAGCTGTGATATCAAAAGTACCATCCATAAAATAAAAAGCTGATAAATTAGCCTTCAGCAAAATTGAAAACTCTGATCTTCAAGAGATACTCTTAAGAGATGAAAAGACAACCCCAGACTGGGAGAAAATATCTGCAAATCATATGTGGTAACACCCATATCCAGAATATATAATAAACTTGTAAAACATTTGAACAGATACTAAGCCAAATGGCAAATAAGCACAAAAAAAGATGCTCAATGTCATTAGTTGTTAGAAAAATGCAAATTAAAACCACAATTAGTCTGGGCACGGTGGCTCACGCCTGTAATCCCAGCACTTTGGGAGGCTGAGGCCAGTGGATCACCTGAGACCAGACTGCTCAACATGGCGAAACCCTGTTTCTACTAAAAATACAAAAAATTAGCCGGGCCTGGTGGTGCGTATCTGTAATCCTGGCTATTCAGGAGGCTGAGGCAGGAGAATCACTTGAACCCAGGAGGCGGAGGCTGCAGTGAGCTGAGATTGCACCACTGCACTCCAGCCTGGGCAACAGAGCAGATTTCGTCTCAAAAAAATCCAAACAAATAAACAAACAAACAAACAAAAAACCACACAATTAAATGCCACTACACTTTTTTTTAGAATGGCTAAAAATTTAAAAAATATGTCTATACATACTTATATGCATACATATTTACAAGCATACACACACACACACACACACACACACACACACACACAGACACACACACATACACTAAGTTCTGGCCTGGATGCAGATCACCTGGTGGTCAGAATGCAAAATGATAAAGCCACTTTGGGAAATCGTTTGACAGTTTTTCTTATAAAGTTAAGCTTATACTTACCATACAACACAGTAATCCTACTACTTGGTATTAGCTAAATGCAACAAAAATTTATGTTCACACAAAAACCTGTATGAGATTGTTTGCAGTAGCTTTATTCATAATTGTCAAAAACTAGAAAAACCCAAATGCCCTTCAACAAAATTAACTATCCACACCAAAAAACACTACCCAACAAGAACACTAGAGAGACTATAACATAGACAAATCTCCAATGAATTAGCTAAGTGAAAGAAGCCAGACTCAAAGGCTGTATAGGTTATGATTCCATTTATATGACCCTGGAACAGACAAAACAACAGGAACAGAGAACAGAACAGTGGTTGCCAGGGACTGGGAGATGGAGAGGGGTTGATTATGGGTGGAGTGACTTTATTGCCTGATGGAACTGTTCTATGTCTTGACTGCAGTGCTCACGGTTGTATACATTTGTCAAAACCCATAGAACTGGACACCAAAAAGGATGTTTCATAGAATGCAAATTATACCTTATTTTAAAATGAAAAAAAGGGGCAAATTATGTAGTGTAAATCAAGGAGGGGCTGTTTACTTTCAACAATTATATGTAGTTCACACTTCAAACTGCTTTCACCACCCAGTCATCTCTAAATTTCCATACAACTCCATAGGCCTCAGTTAAATCATCTGAAAATGAAGATAGTAATAGTATCTACCACATAGTTAGGAATAAATGAAATAACATAGATAGAGTGTTTAGAGCAGTGCTGACATATAATAAGAATTCAATAAATGCTGCCTGCTATTTCTACTGCCACTACAATGACTATTTTACTACCTTTGTTGTTGATGTTGCCTAACCTACTTTTCCCAAGATTTTACATACACTCAAATATATTCCCAAGATTTTACATATACTCATAATACTCATATTCATGCCATAGCAGTAAATAAAGTATGATTAAGGAGGAAAAAGTGAATGAATAAATATGATCTCCTTACCTCTGAACATTTTTCCCCTGATTTTTAGCATATTACTATCTACATAAACCATCCCCTCCTATTACAGTACTAGCACAAAGATATTTCTTTTTACTCAGTCAGGGGAGTTGTATCAGGAGAGGAAGAGCTAATTTGGTCTTTTTCTAAAATCCTTAAGTTCTCGTATCATCTTTGTTCCTGTCTGGGTGACTTTAGAATCAATGCTTTTCTAAAATTAAAGTTTGTAAATAAAGAGTAGAAGTAAAAATAACATGTGATCTTCACTTCTTCAATGGTCAAATGAATGTCAATATTATGCAAAGCTTCTGGAATAACACTCCATCATTATATTAATAAGAGTTAGGCTACATCGAAAATAAGTACAGTTTTCAAGATAAATTCCTTTAAAAATCACAGATAGCTCCAATAAGAAAATTAATTTGAAAAACGTTGAATAAAGGGTAAAGAGAGTGATACAATCTATGCCAGATGTTATGGCACTGGCGCATCTATTGCAGACTTTTATCTTTGACACTTTTTTTATCTATAGAATCTTTTCCATCATCTCTAACTTACCCTCACCTTGCCTTGCCTTCATTCTATAAGACACAGTTTGGAATGTCCTTTACTCCAATACCAAGAGGGGTTGGCCTGTATGGTTCCCCCATCCCACTCTCCCAATCCATATTTGCTTGGTGCACAGGTGGATGCTGGATCAACAATGGGTCAACTGAAGATACTGTCCTGGGAATTTGGAATTGGGCTGACCCATAAGAAAGATATATAAAATTCAACTGTAATGAGGCAACTTTAGAAAGCCTGTCTACAAAAAAAGAAAAATAAATATAGATTTACAGAAAATACAGATAAGACAGACAAACAGGGTGAAAGTATTCCCTCAGTTCTTGATGGTTTTCCATTTCTTATTTCTAATTCCTTCCTATAAGATGGCGCATTTTTGTCTTTGGGTTCCATGACTAAAATAAATTTCTTCTTTTTCCTTAAGTGAAGTCAAGTTGGTTTTGTTTAACGCACCTATCATATTAAAACAACAAATCTTCCACCATTTTTAACCTCTGGGAATGTGTCTCATGCCTACAGATCTACTAGGTCAGTTCACTAGATCAATACTCACAGTTCCTGGAATTTGACTTTTCTCCTCTTTTCATCTAGGTACATACAGTAGCATATGATGCTACACTGCCACAAAATACTTAATAGATTCCATAATAAAATAACACATATTTATAGCTTATAACATATTAAAACTAATGATTCATCTTCAGTAAAATAAATTAGTACCCATATTAATACTACAATTTCCAAGTTCTAAGAAATGAATTTATTTTAAATAAAAGATAATATAAATGTTGTATATGTCAAAACAATCTACCTATAATATGACTGTCAGGTAAAATACAGTATCCCAGTTAAATTTAAAATTCAGATAAACCACAGATAATTTTTAGTAAGTATGCCCCAAATACCACATGGGGGATTTACATGACATAACAAATCACTTTTAAGATAATAAATTCTTTTTGTTCTTTTTATTTGATAAATCCAGACCCAGGGGTAAAAGAATTAATTCAGATCACTCTTACCTGTGCTTTGTGTGATGTTTTCTCTAGGAATATCAACCAACCACAAAATCCGATCACTGAACTTGAATAAAGAAGACATCAGAAAACAATGTTTTACAACATGAATAACAACACATCACATTCTATGCTATATTTTTAAAAGAGAATTAAACAAAAACATCCAATGCATATACCTTTTACCTAGAAATTTCACTCTTAGGAATTTTTCCTACATTATGCTCACATATGTGTGAAATAAAATGTGTTCAAGAATAATTTTGCATCACTGTAATGGCTGAACATTGGAAATAATGAAAATATTCATCAGTTATGTATAATATAGCCACATAGTGGAACTCTGTACAGCCAAGCTTATGTAGCACATAGTTGAAGTATTTACTCATGACATGTCAGAGACAGAGCTTGAGGTTGACAGAGCATTTGGGATATTAAGAGGAAAATTCCAGGAATAAGGAAACTGCAAGAATGGTAATCTCTGAGATTTAAATATAAACTGTGACCAAATTCTTGGGCAATAAAGGTGCAAAGGACACCCCCAGAAGACCAGTTTGTAAAAACTAGCAGTGCAAGCTAAAAGAATTGAGTAGCGATTTCAGCTGCCAAAACCACAGGTAAGATCTTAGAGACGTGTGGTACAATTCTTCTTTTGAAGAAATAATGGCTGGAAACATTCCAAATTTGCTAAACTTACAATTCAAGAAGCCCAGGGAACCTTACTTGGGTAAATCCAAAGAGAAAAATCTTAAAAGCATCCAGAGAAAAATAACATATTACATACAGGAGACAATCGTAAAATTAACAGCTGACTTCTTATTCAGAAGCAAAGGTGTCAGATGACATTAGTATAAAATATTCAAAATGCTGAAATAAAGTGAAGTCAACCAGAAATTTTATATTTGACAAAACTATGCTTCAAAATTTCAGTTGACCACTAAAAACCTGTTAGATCTTACAAACAAGTTTAGCAAGGCTGCAGGATACTAGATCAACATATAAAAATCAATTATTATATTTCTATGTACTTGCAGTGAACAATCTGAAAATGATATTAAGAAAGCAATTCCCTTTAAAACATAAAAAAGAATAAAATATTAGAAATAAATTTAACAAAAGAAGTATAAAACTTATACTCTGAAAACATAAAACATTGTTGAAAGAAATTAAAGATCTAAATAAATGGAGAGACATCCACCCTGTTCATAGATTGGAAGACTTAATATTAGTAAAATGGCAATACTACCCAAATGTATCTACAGATTCAATACAGTCCTTATCAGAATCCCAGATGGCTACTTTGTAGAAATTGGCAAGCTTATCCTAAAATTCATATTATTTTATGTAACTCAGACTAGCAAAAATAATCTTGAAAAAGAACAAAGTTAGAAGATTCATGCTTCCTGATTTCAAACTGTAGTACAAAGCAACAATATCAAGACAATATGATATTAGCATAAAGATAGACATGTGGATCAATGCAATAAAATTGAGAATCCAGAAATAAACTGTCCCATTTATGGTAAACTTATTTTCAACAAAAGTGCCAAAACAATTCAATAGAAGAATAATAGTCTTTTCTACAAGTCATGCTAGGATGGCTGGATATCCACATGCAAAAGAATGAGTAAGGACCCTTATCTCACATCAAATACAAAAATGAACTCAAAATGGATCCAAGATCTAAATGTAGAAGGTAAATTATCAACCTCCTAGAAGAAAACATGTGGGATAAAATTTCATAACCTTGAGTCAGGCAATGGTTTTCTACACATGACACCAAAAGCACAAGCAACAAGAGAAAAAATAGATACAGCCGACTTCATTAAGAAAAACTTCTGTGTATCAAAGGACACTATAAAGAAAGTGAAAAGACAACGCATAGAATGAGAGAAAATATTTGCAAATCATATGTCTGATAAGAGACTTGTATCTAGAATCTATACAGAGCTTTTACAAATCAAAAACACGAATACCCAAACTAAAAATGGGCATATAATTTGAATAGATATTTCTCCAAAGAATGTATTCAAGGGACTAATAAGTACATGAAAAGATACTCAACATCATTAGTCATTTGGGAAATTAAAATCAAAATGATAATGAGATAGCACTTTATACCTACTAGGATGGTTATTTTAAAAAAGATAAATAAAGGCCAGGCATGATGGCTCATGCCTGTAATCCCAGCACTTTGGGAGGCCGAGGCTGGCGGATCACAAGGTCAGGAGATCAAGACCATCCTGGCTAACAAGGTGAAACCCTGTTCTCTACTAAAAATACAAAAAATTAGCCAGGTTTGGTGGCGGATGCCTGTAGTCCCAGCTACTCTGGAGGCTGAGGCAGGAGAATGGCGTGAACCCGGGAGGCAGAGCTTGCAGTGAGCCGAGATCGCACCACTGCACTCCAGCCTGGGTGACAGAACGAGACTCTGTCTAAAAAAAAAAAAAAAAAAGACAAATAAAACCAAGCCTTGGTAAGGATGTGGAGAGACGGGAACCCTAACCCAGGTGTGCTGGTGTGCACTTGTAGTCCTGGCTACTCAGGAGGCTGAGGCAGAACTTCTGGGCACTTTAGCCCAGGAGTTCAAATCCTGCCTGGGCAACACAGCAAGACCCTGTCTCTAAACAAAAAAGAAAGAAAGAAAAGAAATTGGAATTCTAACAAGCTGCTAGTGAGAATGTAAAATAGTACAACCACTTTAGAAAACAGTCTGGCATTTTCTCAAAAGGTCAAACATGGAGTTATCATATGATCCATCAATTCCATCCCTGGCCATGTAGCTAAGAAAAATGAAAATATATTTCCACACAAAAATTTTCACACAAATGTTCACAGCAGCATTATTCAGAAGAGCCAAAAAGTGGGAATAGCCCAAAGGTTCATCAACTGATAAATGGATAAACAAAATGTGGTATTTATACAATGCGATATTATTTGACCATATTATGCTAACTGAAACATATGCTAACTGAAAGAAGCCAGTCATGAACACTACATATATATGTTTCATTTACATAAAATGTTCAGAGTTAGAAAATCTATAGAAACAGAAAGATTAGTGGTTGTCTAGGGCTGGGGAGTGGAGGGGGGATTGGGAGTGACTGCTAATAGTTATAGATTGTCACTTTCATCACTTTTGGAGTGACTAAAGTATTCTGGAATTAGTAGTGATGGTTGCACAACTCTATGAATATACTAAAAACTATTTAAGTGCACACTTTAAATGAGTGAACTGTATGGAATTATATCTTAATAAAGTTGTTGCCAAAAAAGAGGTGAAATAAAGACATTTTTAGAAGGAAAAAACCCCAGAGAATTATTTGCCAGCAGTTCTGCACTGTAAGAAATGCTAAAAGAAATTGACATCAGATGGCAACTTACATCTACAGGAAGGAATGAAGGACAGTATAAATAATAAATATGTAGGTAAAGGGTACAAATAAGTATTTCTTCTTCTTTAATTTATTTAAAAATATATGACTGTTTAAAGCAAAAAGTGTAACACTATCAGTGGGCTTAAAACATACATAGATGTAATATTACTCAGCTACCTATTTTTTAAAAAATACATCCTATAAGGAAGAGTATGCTTCTTGTTAATAACATATCACAGAGTAAGATAAAATGTAATTACCAACGTTAAATTAAAGTGGAAGATGCCATTATATGTACTATTCATGATTCCCAAGCTGGGAGCAAGTCCTCCTGATGTGAACACACTTAGCATTGCTTTTGATGCAATTTCATTTTCAGTTTGGAAGAAACACTGGATTTTCTTTAGGAAAGCAAGAAAAAAAAAAACAACTAATAACCACTTGATGCAGACACACAAGTTAGTTAATCTAAAAGTGATTAGTAATTCCAGTCTCTAGTTAGGAAAAAATATATATATTTATACAAGTATACTTTCAGAACTCAGTAACCTATTATGCTAGCATCATAAAGGTTTCATCTTAATAATAATCTTTTCTATCATAGAAATGGTCATTATTATTACATGTAGTAAACATAGACTCAAAGCAATATGTTATCACAAATAGAAATTCCAATTTTATTAAAATTGTTATTTTGTGTCTAAATAAAAAAGGAAGCAACTATATAAAGCAAAGCCTATTTTACTGCATCTTTACTGGATATTTCCTAGTTTTGAGAAGGCATATGAAAATGTAGCGATCAGAAATGGTGGATTTTCCTGAAAACTAACATGAGACAGATACCAAGAGCTTTATTTCAATTAATTCTCCTAGTACTTAAGATCGCTTTGGGCAAGTTCCCTATCTGAGTTTTAGTTTCCCTAATCTAAAAAATGGGGAAATACATTCATTCCAAAAATATCTACTGAGCCCTTCCTATGAATGGTGCTAGGAATGTAGATGTGAATAAAACAGACAGAACTCTCTGCCCCTGTGGAATTAACATTCTAATGGAGATTGGCAAGTAGACAAACTGGATGGAGAGATTGTTGGATGGATTGGTAGAGAATGAAGGAAAAGATAGAAAAAATGAAATAAATATAGAATACATTATAAGAACGAGGCAGGGAAGGGAGGTTGAGAGTGCAGGAGTTTGGGAAGGCAGTACAATTTTTCACAGGGTTATTAGCGAATAAAAAACAATATTTTCCTCACAGAAGATTAAATGTATAGATTAAATGTCATAATGAACATTAAACTTTTTTTTAAAATGCCTGATACACATAAACTCTTTATAAACGTTAGCTATCACTTCTAATACTACTGCTGCTAGAACTACTATACTACAACTATCCAAAAAGTAGGTTATAATTCCCTTTTTAGAAGAAGAACTGAGGGTTAGAGAGTTTAGGTAACCTGCCCCAGGACACACAGACCATAAATGGCAGAACCAAGACTGGACCCCAGCTCTGTAAGTCCGTCTTCTTCCAAAGCCCATACTTTTTCCATAACATATAACAACAAATCAGAAATGCATTTTTAGCTCAGAGAGCATACACTTCTCAATAGTTGTATATACAAAGCTTAAATATATATTTAAGCATATCAAGAGGGAATTGTGGCCTAAGTCAAAGCAGGCTTAGGAATACATGCATTTGCTCTCATGGAGTCTTTTTCTTTGTTTTTATTATATATATTTATCATAGATTTTTAGACAATCTGTGCATTTTTTATTAATGTATATTTTTGTTAGTATTTGCTGCATGATCTTGATAGCATGCTTTATTTTACTCCGTTGTGTGTGTTTTTAAAAAGTCTCCCATTATTTGAATCAAAGGATCATATCATTCCTTACCCAAAATGACAACTTCAATGTGGTACTTGTTATACAAAGGCAAGACAGATTTTCAAGGTCATGTGAGGTAGCTTTCCTTCTCTAATAGGCTACATCTGTCAGACTTCAAAAGGACAAATCAACTCCACTAAAAAGGGGAGGGAGGAGGCATCATTTTAAAAAAGAAAGAATAAAAGCAAAAACACCCAGGATGCTCTATGGCTAAGTGAAGTATTTTACCTGCTCCAAGTAGACATACACTAGCAAAGATAGAAAAAATTATTATTTATATAGAATTTTCCCTCCCCAAGACTGAACATAGTAGAGGGTATTTGGAAAGAATACAATGCTATTGGTTTTACACATGGATTTTAAAGGAACGTGAAGGGTTATAACACATGCTATTAGTGGACCTTACCAAGTTTTCTAAGAAAAGATACAACTTGATTATTTCATTCTCTTGAGGGAACCCTTTGTTAGAACATGCAAAGCGTTTCTCTGTATCATCTAAATAATAAAAAAAATACATATATTAGATCACTGATAGAAGACTGTCCATAAAAAGTACCATGTTTCTAAAACTGACAAAATATTTTTAAGGAATAAGAATTATAATTGCACATTTTAAATTCACTTTAGGTAAAATTCAAATTTTCCACCTTGTTTTTCTTTTTACACATATGCTATAAGGTATGTTTAGAAACGGAAGGTTTGGCTGAAGCACTAATATAACTCATGCTAGACCATGACACAAAATTTTTAGAGGTAGACAAAAACCAGTTCTTGACACTTCAACGCCTCACCTTGAGGGTATAAAAGGATCCAGAATCAGCAACTGCAGAGAAAATTTGTGTTTTGATAGAGAGGTACTGAATGAAGATGTTAGGAGACGGACCCCTTCTACTTACTTACCTTGTGTCTGAGGCAAGAGGGTCTGTTGGGCACACTAAAAAAAGTAACATGTATCCCTGCAGTTTGGGGCACAAACTCAGACTCCTGCTTAGAAAATCTAGAAGGCAAGAGATGATTTGGTGGAGAGAACAGGATACGGTTTGTTGAGAAAGAGATGGGTACGTTAATGACACAGACAGAAGACAGAAATACTGGGTAGAAGAGGCAAAGGTCCCATCCTCAAGCCTGGAAACCCACAGCCCTAATGAAAACAGGCATTTCTGTTTTCGTGCCCAGAAGTTGCCTTTTGGCCCACCATGGCCCCTATCCTATACCCATATAAACCCCAGACCCCAGGCCTCAGAGCAGACTAGTAGGTAAGCAAGGATATGAACAGAAGAGCAAAAGAACAGCAGAGAGAAGAGAAGGAGCATCTAAATGCCAAGAGGAGCTCCTCTGGGGATGGTCGGAGAGGCCAAAATCCAGGGGAAGATCATCTTCCCACACCATCCCCCTTCTAGGTAGCCATCTGTCCTGCTGAGAGACACCTCAGGCCATTCAGTAAAACCCCTGCATTCATCCTTCAAGTCCATGTGCAAACTGATTATTCCTGGATGCTGGACAAGGACCTGGGTACCAAGAAGGCACTGAGCTGGTAAACACTTAAACCGTCCGTGGACAGCAAGGCTAAGATGGTGCACTGTAACACACACCCACTTGGGTTTCAGGAGTCACAGGCTCCCACCCGTGGATGCTGCCATGGAGCCAGAGCCCAGGCGTGCTCGTCCGGCTCCTGCACCTGCCCATCTGCATGCTCCCCATCCCGTAAGGGGTTCGAGTGCCAGAACAGCCACACCTCTGTATGTCCTGCAAGAGGGGCCAGGGAACTCTCCCGTTTCATTAAGAGTCCTGCACAACCAAAATTTACTGGGGCAAAAGATGGATGAATGCTTCCTGTGGTCCAGATATAGGTCACTGGTGAAAAAGAACTAGCTTAGGGTCATCTAGGTTCCTGTCCTCAAAGGTCTCTCTGAGCGGCAAATGGCTCTCAGCAAAAAGAATTTGAAGGCATAGACAAAGAAATAAGTGACCAGTGGGAATGAAGAAGTTTTTGCCTTTGTTAGAAGAACTGTAGATGAGAGATTCCCAGTAATGTGAGGGAGGGGAAGGGGCTATGAAGGACTCATTCAAGAGCCCAGAGATCAAGGGTCAGCTTTACACATCTGCTGGAACTTGAAAGTGCAAATGTCAGATGGTCCCCTCAGAACCAGCTAGGGCAGAACTGTGCTTTCCCTCCCACTTCTCCCTCCCTTTCTACAACGCTGGAGCAGGAAGGGTCAAAACCTAAAGTTGATGAGACAATGAAAAGGAATCTAAACACTAAGTGGAGAGAAGGAAAAGTTGACCTTAGCTTTTCTTCCTCACCTATAGGCTTCCCACCAGCACAGGCCCAGATAGGGAACAGGGAAGAAGCTTCAATTATAAAATAAGAGTTAAATTTGACTTGTACATGGGCTTGGATATCTTAATTACAACAATTACAATGCAAAAGTGTTTTAAAATTTCAAATGCTCAGAGAACTGATTTTTGGCTCAAGGGGAATATGTGCAGGTTTGTTACAAAAGTATATTTTGTATGCTAAGTTTTGGCGTAGAAATGAATCTGTCTCCCAGGTAGTGAGCACAGTGCCCTCCCTGATCCATTTCTCCTGTCCCTCATATTCCCCAGAGTTTATTGTTCTAGGAGAACTGTGTGAATCATCCAATTGTAACCAAAAAAATCTTGGTTCTGGCCCAAATATTCATCCAGTGACAGAGGAAGAACCATGCCAAAGATTGGATTTAAATAGGAGGCAAAAATAAATTTAATTTATAATTGAACGTTACTCATTCTGTTTGTATAATGTAATGATTTCAATGCTATTCTTGAAATTCTATAAGTAAACATATCTTTACAAATATCACAAATATGCAAAATATACAAATATTTCTGGAGGTTATAATGTTAAACAGTTTTCAAAGTACTTTCAACTTATGCAGTCACTTTGCCCATACTTGACA
Organism: Homo sapiens; assembly: GCF_000001405.40. Lineage (NCBI taxonomy): Eukaryota > Metazoa > Chordata > Mammalia > Primates > Hominidae > Homo > Homo sapiens. The sequence continues at coordinate 91,727,613 of NC_000014.9, forward strand.
ATGCTATCAGACCTATTTTTTAAAGCTATAATTTGATTGTGAAGTCCAAATCACTTCTCTGTTTAAAAATCTTCACTGACACACCCTTACCTCATGAATTAAACTTCTTAAATGGTGAGACACTAAACAGAAGGAAACTAACTCCTTTGAATAACATACTCTGAGCCATTAAGGCTCAAATGGGTTGAGCTGGATTTAGATGTTATTTTATGAAATTCCCACAATACCTTGTGCCACATATATTACTGTCTCCTCTTTAAAGAAGAGGAAATCAAGCTCAAACGTCATATAACTAACAACAGTGGGCCAGACTGGAACCAAGTTGTTTCTCTAAGGGACATCCTCTCTTTATCCCGCTAGACACTCTTTCAATAGTTAAGCCCATTTTTTCAGTCTCCCCTGCAGACAACCTTGTCTATCACCTCTGAAATGCATGGGCTTCTCTCTACTTCATTTTCTGCCTCAAATTTTAATACATTTTAAGATCCAGTTCAAATAGAAATTTGTTTTTGTTTGTTTGATATAGGGTGTTGCTCTGTCACCCAGGCTGGAGTGTAGTGGAGTGATCTTGGCTCACTGCAACTTCTGCCTCCTGGGGCTCAAGTGATCTTCCCACCTCAGCCTCCTGAGTAGCTGGGACTGCAGGTGAGCACCATCACACCTGGCTAAATTTTGTATTTTTTATAGAGAAGAGGTTTTGCCATGTTGCCCAGGCTGGTCTCCAACTCCTGGGCTCAAGGTATCCTCCTGTCTCAGCCTCCCAAAGTGCTGGGATTACAGGTGTGAGCCACTGCACCTGGCCAAAGAGTTTTTTCTAACACTTGTCTCATTGCAACTAATTGATTTGTCCTCTGCACTTTGGTATCATTTTGTGAATTATGTACTCATATCAACAGGATCTTCTGGGCTTGGGTGGTAAAAACAGAGGCAGAGATACTGTGAGGAGAGACAGAGAAACAATTTCAAACTTTTCTAACTTTCCCTCCACGGACTGCTTTGCCTAGAAATTCTCAGATTATAGAGTTTGCTAGATTCTGTTATAATAATAAAACACAGAAAATTACTCTTTCGCAAGCTTCTAAAGGAAAGATGTGCCAGAGAAGTTATACTTTCAACAGCATGTGACTTCTTCAACAAGAATCATGATATAAAGGGAAACCACACAAGTGTAACCACCAATGGAATGCCTGCTCTGACTACCATAAAAATCCACTGTGGGACAAACGTACAGAAAAAAATGCCATTTATGAAATTCATTCATTGCCCTATTCACAGTTATACAACCACAACAGTCCCCCTTTTTCTGTGATCTCACTTTCCACAGTTTCAGTTACCTGTAGCCAACCATAGTCTAAAAACATAAAGTGGAAACTTTCAGAAATAAGCAATTTGTAAGTTTTACATTGTGCACTGTTCTGAGCAGTGTGATAAAATCTCATGCCATCGGCCAGGTGTGGTGGCTCATGCCTGTAATCTCAGCACTTTGGGAGGCTGAGGCAGGTGAATCACGAGGTCAGGAGTTCAAGACCAGCCTGGCCAAGATGGGTGAAACCCCATCTCTACTAAAAATACAAAAATTAGCCAGGCGTGGTGGTGGGCACCTGTAATCCCAGGTACTCGGGATATTAGAAGCCTCTAGACCAGAGTATAATTGACAATATTGGGAAACAATTGGAAGATAAGATAAAGAAGAAATACTAAAAGAAAAATTTTTTACTGTAAATAAGGAAGAGACACAAATAAGAACTCCTGAGAAGGAAATAGAGAGTAAGATGGTCTGAAACTTACCTTTATTATATACTATTCCTGATGAAAATTCAAATATGTTCAAAAGCAAAACTGAAACATATATAAGTGGCGATTCCATCTGTTGGAATAAATAAGAATTATTTTCACTCAATTTCTGAACATATTTTTGAATTCCTTTTGCTATAAACAACTACAAAGTAGTAAAGAAATAATCTCAATATTCTTAATATTTCACACTGTGTGACAAAAGCAGACAACACAACAGTTGCCTAAACTCTAAATTTACTCCCTACTTGGTATTAAAGGTAAATTTATAGGTATAATTATTACAAACTAGAAAAAGAGATGTGGCTCAGGTTTTCCTTCAGTAGGTAACCTTTAGAGAGGTGAGATCAGTTACACAGCTATGTAAAACAGAGCCTGAACTGATGAAGACTCTGAGGATGATACAGCTGTAACTTAATCTAATATTTTGACAACGTTGCTTTTGGGGAAGACAATTCACATGGTCCTGAGTTTCCCTGCACATTCTCGTTGAGTGTGCCAAGAATGCAAGGCCCTGGATGGTGTTCATCTCAGGCTTGTGTTTTGTAGCCACCAGCCTTGAGGGATGAGGTAAGGCACCCTGGACAACAGCAGGCTTGTTTCCATGGTGAATTGCTTAATCTCACTGTACCTCTCCTGTAATGCACTCCACTACGTGTATAAGCATCCATTATGGGCTCAATTTTCTACCCTCAAAATTCTGAAGTTGAAATCCTAACCACCCTTACCTCAGAAGGCAATCATGTTTGGAGATAGGATTTTTAAACAGGTGATGAAGTGAAAATGAAGTCATTAGGGTGGGCCCTCATCCAATAGGACTGGTGTCCTCAGAGAAGAGGAAATTTGGACATAGGCAGGGTGAAGTGAAGACACAGAGGGAAGACATTCAGAGGGAAGATGAAGGGAAGACACAGGAAGAAGACAGCCAGCCACCTATAAACTCAGGAGAGACGCATGAACAGTTCCTTCCTCATGGCCCTCAGAAGGAATTAACCCTACAGACACCTTGATCTCAGATTTCTAGCCTCCAGAACTGTGAGAAAATAAATTTCTGTTGTTTAAGCCACCCAGTGTATGGGCCTTTGTTATGGCAGCCCTAGAAAACTAACACAGCATCCATGATGAATTTCACCTCTAAGGAACTTGGGGGACAGGAGGTACTGGAGTGAGCAACCTGTGGACACTCTGGCTACTGCTTTTGCTATTAGTAATAAAGTCCTTCGTCTCTGACCTAGGAGTCTTGTGTCTTTTGCCAGCATCCAAGAAAACAGAAACATACTAATTTGCCAACTCTAAGTGGAATAAAATCTCAGAACTTTGTGCAGTTCCTGACAACTGCTGAGTAAATTAAATGTAACTGGTGTTTTTCCTTCATCAAAACTGACTTGCTTATTAAATACATTTAATTGACAATAGAAAGCTCAAACAGTTTGATTTTTTTGAATTCATTCTTATCACATTAACAGGGGAGAACTGAAGGTTTTTAGTGCATTTTTAAAAATCATCTGAGAAAACAACTTGTTTTCACAAGGTAAGAGGAAACAAATGGTAGATTAAAATTCTGTCGGCATGGTGCAATGCTCAAGTATATTTTTGGTGTAAGAACGAATTTAACATTAAGTGGAGACATTATCACAGTTAAACTCTGAAAATAGTCCCTTTACCAGAAAAATCTTATATCACTTTGCTAAACATTCAAATTAAATGATACAACACCATTATTAGAATCTTTATGCCTCTTCATGGGTCACCTGTGCAAACTCGAGAGAGTTAGTATGAAGCACGTGGTGGAAATTCTGGTTTTAATGTCAGCAAGCTTGTTCTGCAAGCTTTCTTATCTGCCATCCTGCAAGCTCAAGAATTTCTGCTACCTACTGGTTTCTTTAATTCTTTGGGGCATAGTTCCAGTCTCATTCTTCTTATTTTCCCTTCAATATTACAACTTTTCCTTATTTGATACTATCTTCTTTCAACTTTCAGCTCATAGTTAGAGTAAAAACATAGACTTTAGCCTAAGACGAAGTCTGTCCATCGAAATATTTGATTTTTAGCAAGCTATTTAACTTCTTGGAGTTCATATTCTATTCAGTAAAATGGGGATAACAGGCACTTCACAGTGTTGTTGTGAGAATTAAATGAAAAATACCTTAAAACATCTAACATATTCTATACAGAATAAGCACTTGACAAGTATTACTTCTGAATTCCATATCTCCATACACTGCAGCAACTTCTTTTTCCTCATCACACTCCCCTACTGACCTACTTAGCAGTTAAATTACCCCCAGTTATCATTCCTTTGTAATTATTATAAGTTTTACATAATTACTGGATACAAGTCATGTATCTGGGCATTTTCTCTTCTCTGGCACTAAATAAACATTGGGAATTGCCCCATTGAAGGAAGCTATTTCCTCCCCCAGTTGGTTCATTTATAGTTACTCCATTATTATGGAATAGTGATCACATTATAAATTCATACTCCAGCAGGGTCCTTATTTTAATATTTTTTACTGTAATTACCTCTTTAGGAGATGCGCAACTAGTTGTGTTCTTCTTTTTTATATTTTTTCTCAGTTTTCTTCCATATAGACTGAGAAGAAAGACCCAAAGTCAGGAGCCAAGTTTTCCCTGTTGACTGGCTTAGCACTCTAGTCACCTTTGGTAACAGCCAATCAGCAGCTACCAAGTACAGAAGCATGCTTAGAAAATCTAAAGGACAGGCAGTTGGAATTTCCAACTAACTGCCTCTTTCAGAGCACCACAGGCCATTTTCTTTAAAAACCGATGAGAGGTGGAGGTTCTCCAAACCTTCCATCTTTAATATAGCATTTATCTAGGAAGGATCAGAAACCTACATATGATTATCTATAAAACACTTCAATGATCATACGATCATTGAATGCCTGGGGAAAAACATAAATGCTAAAAGCTCATGCTAACTGCATATAATAAGGTTTAAAAGGAGGCAATCTCTCAAAGGGGAGGAGCTTCATAACTGGGTCTTTAAGGAAGACTGGGACTTAAAAAAAATAGAGAAGGCCTTATTGACAGGTAAACAAGACAAGCAAATACACAAAGCACAAAGTTAGAAATGAGCTGTGGACGCATGGAAACAGTGAGACCAAATGGCATGCCAGTTTGTCCTCCGTATTCATGTTGTGTGACTGTCCTTGATGTGGTTGTATGTGCTCACTAAGGCTGCCTTTGACTGAGTACCGAGTGAGCTGAGCTTGAACCTTTCTGTCTTACCCAGCGCCCTGACTAGTCATGAATGGTCACAGAGGCTGACACATACTTTTTGATAATCATGATAATAAAACGTGTTTTATACTCAGGTTGTCCTTCAGAAGTCCCTTCACATGGCCATGTAAAACCTGCTTTACCCTCATATCCTGAAATATGTCTGGTATCTGGGTTTAATCTATTCCTGGAAGAGCCCGCATCAGAAATATATTTCTCTCACCCTTTCTGGTGACCTTGACCTAAAGAAGAACCTGAAACAGTGTGCAAAACACAACAAAATATATTTCCTTATAAAGACTCAGTTCCCAGAAACTTGGAGCTCTCTTTTTTTGTTGCCTGTTTCCCACTAGGGAAGGCAATAAAGCTTTTATGGAAGAAGATGTAGCTTTCAGTTACCATAGCAACACTGCTACACATTAAAAAAAAGTCTGAGCAATACTGAAGGTACACATTGAGAGCTCTAAAAAGAATGATGAAGCAGGTGACATTTGCCTTCTTTCTCCCCAGCAACCTCTTAGTTTTCTTTTCCTCATTTGCCCCCACATTTTGTTTCCTAACTTACGAAAGAGTAAAGGATCTGTTTTCAATCACAGTCACTGATGAATTACACTTTGATGTGAGTACCAAGACTACTCCCACAGTAGGTGATTCATCTGTAACAGTGGAATGAAAGGGGTTCTTCTGCCTGAAAAACAAATTATGCACTGGGCTTCCGTCTAGTCAGGAGGATAGGGGGCAAGGCAATGGGCTGATTGAAAGAAGGATGACTTTGACTTTTTTTGTAATTTTTTGCTGGCTATAACAGGGCTTATTATGTGTGAAAAATGAAAACAAGTATAGAGAAATCAATTACGCATAAATCAACAACCAGATATAACCACTGTGGACATTTTGACATTTCTCGAGTCTGTTTCTTCTGCATTTATATGTCCTTCTTTCAGTCATTGTTAGTCTGACCATTTTCTCGTGTAACTCAAGTGTTTTATTTAAGTCTTCGCAGTTGTAGATCTAAAAATAACGGTACCTAATTTACTTAAACATAAAATATTTTTCTATTTCCAGTGTTTTCCTTTTTGAGAAATGTGGTAATGAATAATCCTGAACAAAATTATTTTCCTACATTTAAAAATATTTCCTTAGGATATGAACATGTTTAAGACTCTTGAATGTATGTTGACAAATTGCTTTCCAGAAACCCAGCAGTGAAAATTAGATATAATCTGAAATAATTTGATACATTAAAAAATCTTGTTTTACTTTTTTCAATATTGGTTCAACTGAACACTTATAAATATGCTTGTTTGACATTTTTTTCTTCTATAAATTATCTGGGCATGTTGTTAAACATTTTCTACGGGAAATTTAGTGTTTTGCTTGTGAAATGGTAAAATAACCCCTTGCAATATTTAATGTAAATATTTAACTCAATTTGTCATGTAACAATTTTATTTATAAATTTTTCTTGTCTTTGTTTTATTTATTAATTTATTTATTTGAGATGGAGTCTCATCTCTGTCATCCAGGCTGGAGTGCAGTGGTGCAATCTTGGCTCACTGCAACCTCCGCCTCCCGGGTGCAAGTGATTCTCATGCCTCAGCCTTCTGAGTAGCTGGGATTACAGGCGTGCGCCACCACGCCCAGATAATTTTTGTATTTTCAGTAGAGACAGGGTTTCACCATGTTGGCCAGGCTGGTCTTGAACTCCTGACCTCAGGTGATCTGCCTGCCTCGGCCTCCCAAAATGCTGAGATTATAGGCATGAGCCACCGTGCCCAGCCTTCTTATCCTTTTTATGTGAGAAATTTTAAAGACTCAAAAAGTTCAAAGACTAAGATAACGAGGATGTTTCAGTCATCCAAGATTAAAATCACCCTCAGTTTTTAATAACTTTTTATTATGGGATGTGCCAAACATTGGGGGAAAAGTAGAGAGAACTATACATTATATATATGTAAATAATATATATATTATAACATATATATTCTATTTTGTGTAATTGCCTACCTTCGGTCTTGTTTCATCTATACTCTCTTTCACTCACTTCCTCCTCTAGTATTATTTTGTTGTTTTTTGGTGGTGTTTGTTGTTTTTTCTGAGGCACAGTCTCGCTCTGTCACCCAGGCTGGAATGCAGTGGTCTGATCCCGGCTCACTGAAACCATCCACCTCCGGAATTCAAGAGATTCTCTTGCCTCAGCCTCCCAAGTAACTGGGATTACAGGTGTGCGCCACCACGCCCAGCTAATTTTTAGTAAAGATGGAGTTTCTCCATGTTGGTCAGGCTGGTCTCAAACTCCTGGCCTCAAGTGATCCATCTGCCTTGGCCTATCAAAGTGCTGGGATTATAGGCATGAGCCACCGCATCCAGCCTGCAGGATTACTTTGAAGATATCCTAGACAACTGTATATATTTCAGTATGTATTTCTAAGAGAAAATGACTTTTTTTAAAGAAAAGAAAACCACAATACAATTTAAAACCTAAAAATAATAGTAAGTCCCAGATATCTACCCAGTGACTGTTTATATTTCCTCAGTTACCTCATTCACAAAATTTTTTATAGTTGTATGAATCAGGATTCAATAAGGTTCAAACTTTGCCACTGGTTGATGTATCTCTGAGGTGTCAAAATCTACAAGTAATTTTCCTTTCACCTCTCCCTTCACCCCATCATTTTTTTTTCTCTCGCTTTTTCCTTGAAATTCATTAAAGAAGAAGTTAGTTGTAATGTGTTTCCCATGGTTTGGATTTTGCTGAGTGCATCATTATGGTATCTTTTTACATCATAAGTTTATCATATTGTTCGGTAAATTGTTAAGTAGATTTAGAGGCTTGATCAGATGCAGGTTTAATTTTTTTGTCAAGAACACTTCATAGGTGGTGTTGGGTACTTCCATCAGGAGGCACCTAAGGTGTGGTTAGCTCTTTTTCTGATGTAGCATCTATCATTTATTGCCTAAATCTGTTAAATTCATTAGAGGCTGCAGAGTGGTGATGTATTATCATTTCTTCTTTGCTTATTAGCTGGAATACTTTTATAAAGATAACTTTTCATGCATCAACTATTTGTTTACTCAGAGGTACAATTCCTAAGAGAAGACAAATGCTTCATTCTTTTCCTTCGTTTACCATTTTGAAAATAATGAATTGATTCCCTAGCATCCTTATAGAGGCAACCAATAAAGTTCATTTTTGCTATCATTATGAACTCACAGGTTTCCATTTAAATATATTTAATGTATTTCTATCATTATGGTTATTATCCTTATTGATGCTCAAGGTGTCTAATTTTAACAGGTATGGTCCCTCCAAAGTTCGCTTCTGTCTTTTTGACATGACTCTAGTCATTTTTGACAGTTTCCTTCCTTCCTTATAAGACAAGATACTCTAGGCTCACCTTCTACATTTCCTGCCCCAGACATGGACTCAGTCATTTCTCTATATAATTCTGATTCCTTTTACTGGAAAATCGTATTCAGAAGCCATAGTTTTGGGAATTTGGCCAGTCTTTTTTTTTTTTTTTCTTTAATAAATATAGAAAACCTGGCCAGGTACAGTGGCTCACACTTGTAATCCCAGCACTTTGGGAGGCCAAGGCAGGCAGGTAACTTGAGGCCAGGAGTTCAAGACCACCCTGGCCAACATGGTGAAACTCTTCTCTACTAAAAATACAAAAATTAGCTGGACGTGGTGGCACACGCCTGTAGTCCCAGCTACTCAGTAGGCTAAGGGCAGGAGAATCACTTGAACCCAGTAGGCGGAGGTTGCAGTGAGCCAAGATCATGTCACTGTACTCCAGTTTAGGCAACAGAACAAGATCTGTCTCAAAAAGAAAGAAAGAAAGAAAAAGAAAGGAAGGAAGGAAGGAAGGAAGGAAGGCAGGCAGGCAGGCTTATGTAGGCAGGCTTATGTAAGATAGATGGTGGCCACCTAAAACTTAATTTCTCCACATATTCTTTTAAAAGTCCTATAATAAGAGGAGAATTAATAAAACAACTCATAGCACAACTGGGAGGCGGAGATTACTAACAACTTTAACTTACATATAAGTAGGAAAAGAAGCATATGAAACCAGAGGGATCAACTCCAGAGTCCACACCAAAGTGAAGTCAGGTAGAGGTTGTGTGGAAAAGAACAGAGGACAGCAGCAGTGGAGCAGCGGTGGAATCCGGATTAAATCTTCTCTAACGGAGTTCTGCCTAAAAGAGGAAATATACTGACAATGGGGTTGAGAACTGGTGGACTAGAACACTGCCTTGAAAATCTTCATGCAGTTTAGGAAACCATCGTTCTAAAGGAGAGGTAGATGTTTTGGAAGGGGGAGAAATTTTTGGATGTTTGATGGTGAAGAAAAAAGCAAGCAAGCAATAAAAATTAAAGGTCATACAGAAAGAAAAGAGAACCAGACGCTGGGAAAACACACCTACTCCACCCACAAAACTTCCATGTATAAAAATTGAACTTTACTGTAACAACAGAAAAGGATGCCTTTGAATTAAGAAGCCTAGGTACACACTCAAATTCTACCCCTTCAGGCTTCTCCAAAACAAGAGAAAACAGTGGCATTCCAAAATGAACACAAAATAACAGGCAATATCATACAAAGCTATTAGAGGGTAGAAAATGAGGCTGGGCACAGTGGTTCATGCCTGCAAATCTCAGCACTTTGGGAGGTCCAGGTGGGAGGATCACTTGAGCCCAGGAGTTCAAGATCAGTCCTGGCAACATAGCGAGAGTCCATCTCTACAAAACAGTTGAAAAACTTAGCTAGCCGGGTGCGGTGGCTCACGCCTGCAATCCCAGCACTTTGGGAGGCTGAGGTGGGTGGATCACAAGGTCAGGAGATCGAGACCATCCTGGCTAACATGGTGAAACTCCGTCTCTACTAAAAATACAAAAAATTAGCCAGGCGTGGTGGTGCACAACTGTAGTCCCAGCTACTCAGGAGGCTGAGGCAGGAGAATCACTTGAACTTAGGAGATGGAGGTTGCAGTGAGCCTAGATCGCACCACTGCACCTCAGCCTGGGCAATAGAGCGGGACCCCGTCTGAAAAAAAAAAAAAACTTAGCCAGGCATGGTGGTACACGCCTATAGTCCTGGATGCTTGGGAGGCTGAGGCAGGAAGATAGCTTGAGCCCAGGAGCTTGAAGCTGCAGTGAGTCATGATCACACCACTGCACTTCAGCCTGAGTGACAGAGCAAGACCCAGCTAGAGAAAACTGACACAACACTTCAACCTGAATTAAGTACGTTAAAATAATAATATTCATATTTTTTAAATCACCTTGAATAATTAGTTCAAAATAACTCAGACTAGAACATAGAACAAATAGGAAGATATGGAATGAGAGTTGACCAAACTCAGGAAATGGAAGAAAAAGACAAAATAATCTTATTAAATAAGATAAAGATTAAATATCAAGGTGCCCAAAAGAAAATAGTTTCGACCACAAACGTAATAAAGATCATGAAGGAGAAGAATGGCAACCATCAAGAGAACACAATTAAATAAGGAAAAAGATAAAAGTATCAGAGGAAAAAGTAGTACGTACAGACAACAGGAAAAGAAAATCCAACATCTTCCCCAAACTAAAGAAAGCACAAGTATACAGACTGAAAATATTTAAAGAATGCCAACATGAAGAATGGAAAAAGTTCATACCGGGTCACACCTTATGAAATTTCAGAACAAGGATAAAGGTTCTCAAAAACTTCTAGAGAGAAGTTCCTACTAAAGGAACAGAATCAGACTGACATGAGTCCTTATCCGCAATATTGAATGAAGGAAGAAAATGGGAGCAATGCTTTCAGAGTCCTAAAGGAAAAATAAATGATTTCAGTCTATAATTCTATAATCAATCAAAGAAAGTATGAGAATGAAATAAAGACATTTTACCCAAGCAAAGTATAATGACCATATGTTGTATTTTGGCTGATCAGCATCCATTCCACCAGTCTTTGACAGTAAGTTTTTTATTTTGGGGGACTTGCCCTCCCTTTGTAGTCTCGTGGGACTGTTAATCAAGGTACCCTGCCTTTCCATAGCCAAGTAGCAAGCATATGATCCAAGCCAGACAATAGGGTCCCCTCTCCTGGAGCGGGAATCCTGAGCATGGTGATCAAAAGACTGATGATAGTGAGAGCTGATTCTTGCGGCAGATTCCAAACAAGATTAATAAGCACTTTTTGCTATATCCCCCTCTGGAGCTGCCTAACCTTTATCTTTTCTGAACAGGGTTCATCCATAATTTCTGAGTCTGTGAGCACCCCATTATCTTTCAAATAAATTCCTTTTTAAAGTCTACTTTTACTGCATTATCTAATTGATACTACTAGGACTTAGAAATTTATATCCAATGAATTATTCTTGGGAAGTTATCTGAGGAATTCCAGCAAAACAAAAGACATGGAACCCAGAGAGAATTGGAGACAACCCAGAAGATAGTTAAATTCTGGGAAGACAAGAGGGTAGCAAAACTAGAGAGTAACCAATCTAGACTGGAACAGGATGACAGAAAGCTCCTGTTGAAAAAATAAACAGAAAAAGAAAAAAAAATTCAGTATAAAGTACGACTGAAAAAAAACAGAAAAACTTGAAGATATAAAAACACATAATTTTTATAAAATTCAACATTCCTTCATTATCAAAAATAACCATCAACAAATTAGGTATAGAAGGAATGTTTCTGCATGGTACTGGTACCAAAACAGAGATACAGACCAATGGAACAGAACAGAGCCCTCAGAAATAATGCTGCATATCTACAACCATCTGATCTTTGACAAACCTGACAAAAACAAGAAATGGGGAAACGATTCCCTATTTAATAAATGATGCTGGGAAAACTGGCTAGCCATATGTAGAAGCTGAAACTGGATCCCTTCCTTACACCTTATAAAAAAATTAATTCAAGATGGATTAAAGACTTAAACGTTAGACCTGAAACCATAAAAACCCTAGAAGAAAACCTAGGCAATACCATTCAGGACATAGGCATGGGCAAGGACTTCATGTCTAAAACACCAAAAGCAATGGCAACAAAAGCCAAAATTGACAAATGGGATCTAATTAAACTAAAGAGCTTCTGCACAGCAAAAGAAACTACCATCAGAGTGAACAGGCAACCTACAGAATGGGAGAAAATTTTTGCAATCTACTCATCTGACAAAGGGCTAATATCCAGAATCTAAAATGAACTCCAACAAATTTACAAGAAAAAAAAAACAAAATCCCACCAAAAAGTGGGCGAAGGATATGAAAAGACACTTCTCAAAAGAAGACATTTATGCAGACAAAAGACACATGAAAAAATGTTCATCATCATTGGCCATCAGAGAAATGCAAATCAAAACCACAATGAGATACCATCTCACACCAGTTGAATGGTGATCATTAAAAAGTCAGGAAACAACAGGTGCTGGAGAGGATGTGGAGAAACAGGAACACCTTTACACTGTTGGTAGAAATGTTTCTGAATACAGTAAAGGTAATACGAGCCACACCCACAGCTAACATCATACAAAATGGTGAAAAGTTGAAAGTTTTTCCTCTAAGATCAGGAAGAAAACAAGGATGTCCACTCTCATCAGTTTTATTCAACATAGCACTAAAAGTCCTAGCTAGAGCAATCAGGCAAGAGAAAGAAACAGAAGGCATCCAAACTGGAAAGGAAGAAGTTAAAATGTCTCTGTTTGCAGATGACATAATCTTATATTTGAAAACCTTAAAAATTCCATAAAAAAACTGTTAGAACTAATGAACAAATTAAATAAAGTTGTAGGATAAAAAATTAATAACAAAAATCAGTAGCATCATACACTAACAAAGAAGTATCAAAAAATTAAGAAAATCCCATTTATAATAGCATAAAAATACTTAGGAGTAATTGAACCAATGAGGTGAAAGATCTGCACACTGAAAAGTATAAAACATTGATGAAAGAAGTTCAAGAAGACACAAATGAATGTGAAGAGATCCCATGTTCATGGATTGAAAGAATTCATATTGTTAAAATGTCCATACTACCAAAAGTGATCTACAGATTCGGTACAATCAATGTCAAAATTCCAATCACATTTTTACATAAATAGAAAAAAAATCCTAAAATTTCTATGGAACCACAAAAGATCCCCAATAGCCAAAGCAATCTTGAACAAAAAGAACAAAGCTAGAGGTATCACATTACCTGATTTCAAAATATATTTAACAGTAATCAAAACAGCATGGTACAGCATAAAAACAGACACATTGACCAATGGAATAGGATAGAGATCCCAGAAATAAACTTACACATTCATGGTCAATTTATTTTCAACAAAGATGCCAAAAACACGCAATGGGGAAAGAACAGTTTCTTCAATAAATATGATTTGAGAAACTGACTATCCACATGCAGAAGAATAGAATTAGACCCTTCTCTCATCCCATATATAAAAATCATCTCAAAATGATTAAAGAATTAAACATAAGACCTGAAACTGTAAAACTACTAAAAGAAAACATGGGGGAAAACACTACATTTATCTGGGCAATGATTTCTTGGATATGACCCCACAAGCACAGGAAAAAAGGAAAAGTAGACAAATGGGATTACAACAAAAATCTTCTGCACAGCAAAAAAACAATTAACAGAGTGAAGAGACAAACTTCAGATACGAAAATGATATTTGCAAACCATACATCTGATAAGGGGTTAATATCCAAAATATATAAGGCATTCAAACAACTCAATGACAAGAAAACAAATAACCTGATTTAAAAATGGTCCTGGGTACAGTGGTGCAAACCTGTCATCCCAGTTACTCAGGAGAATGAGGCAGGATTGCATGAGCCCCAGAGTTTGAGTTCAACCTGGGCAATATAGCGATATTCCGTGTTAAGAAGAAATTTCTTTTTAAAGGGGAAAGGGCCTGAATAGACATTTTTTCAAAAGAAGACATACAAAATGGCCAACAGGTATATTTTAAAATGCCCAATATCACTAATCATCAGAGAAATGCGAATTAAAACTGCAATGAAATATCACTTCATACCTATTAGAATGGCTATTGTTGGTGGGAATGTAAATTAGTACAGATACGTACATTTTGTATTAGTATGCATACATTTTGGTAAATGGTATTAAGGTTCCTTTAAAAACTAAAAATATAATTACCATATAATCCAACAATTCCACTTTTGGGTATATGTATGTGTATATATATATATATATATATATACACACACACACATATATATATCCAAACAAAATGAAATCAGTATGTAGAAGCGATATCTGCATGCCCATGTTCACTGCAGCACCGTTCATAATAACCAAGATATGGAAACAACCTAAGTGTTCATCAATGGATGAATGGATAAAGAAAATGTGGTGTATATACTGTTTAGCTTTAAAAAGAAGAAAATTCTGGCAGGGCGTGGTGGCTCATGCCTGTAATCTGAGGACTTTGGGAGGCCGAGGCAGGCATATCACTAGAGGTTAGGTGTTCAAGACCAGCCTGGCTAACATGGTGAAACCCTGTCTCTACTAAAATATAAAAATTAGCCGGGAATTAGCAGAGGTTGCAGTGAGCTACGATCACACCACTGCACTCCAGCCTGGAGACAGAGCAAGACTTTGTCTCAAAGAAAAAAAAAAAGAAGGAAATTCTGTCATTTGCAACAACATTGATGAATCCAAAGGACAGTATGCTAAGTGAAATAAGTCAGGCACAGAAAGACAAATACCTCATGATCTCATTTATATGTGGGATCTAAAAAAGTCAAACTCATATAAGTACACCATAGATTGATAGTTACCAGAGGCTTGTAGGGGGTGGTGGCAGCATGGACAGAGAAAGGAGAGATGTTAATAAAAGGGTATAAGGGTACAATATTCCTTTGTCCTTATTTTCCAATAAGTCTTTTATTTTCAGAATGTGCCTTTTTATAGATTCTATTTTTATTTCATGTATGTAGTAACATTCTTTTCTGAGACTTAATGGCAGGGTTTTGGTTTTTGTTTTACTCTCCTTGCAAAGTTTGATTCTGTAAGTCATTTTTCCTTTTTATTTTTTCTGGTTTCAATCTTTCAATTTTGAGGCTTCTTAAACATGTATCATAATCCTTGGTTTTCTATTCAGATTTAAAAGCAAGTTCTAAGAAGCTTATCTGAGGCGCTGGATCAAAGAGAGGCCTATCTACTGTGAGTTTCACTGTAGCACATTCTGGAGTTGTTTTACTGGGGAAAAATCTCAAGTAGGTCTTTTCTCTTTGGCTTCTCAAATTCCCTGGGTCTTCCATCTCCTTCCCAAAGAGTACAGTCTTGGCTGCTAGTATTCTGAGATGTCAATATGCAGTATTTCATCTTGTTCTCCTGTTTTCAATAGGCACCCACATTCTCAAATGTTCTTGATATCTACCAGGCCACAGACCCTCTGTTTTACCCTCTCCCAAGAAGAAACTTCCAACTTCTCCCTGAAAGGGGGAAGTGCAGCTGGTAGACTGTAGAGTACTGGGGAGATAATCTAAATACTTCTTACATGAGTATTCAAACAATCCTACTTTTGACCCCACTTTCATTTCCACTTCAAAATCTACTTAGTGCTGTGAAGTCCTGAGCCCTTTGGGGGGTTCTAGAATACAAATCACATTGCTTTTAGTCTTTTCCAAAAGCCAGTTTAGGATTCTGGCTTTCCTACATCTGCTAATTTAGTTATCACTTAGCCATTTGCTTTCTAGCTGTCTAAATTTTGTTCCTACTGTCAAGTCTCCAGTTCTCTCTGTCCTTATGTGTTTACGCCACTTCAAAAATTCCTTTAGTGTGTAGTTCAGGAGTGAGAATACCTGTGTTCAAAGCCAAGAAACAGAAATTCTAAATGTGTCATGAATTTAAACAATTGATGGAGAGGGCTATGGTTTGAGTGTGTCCCCTCCAAAATTCAGGTGTTGAAACTTAACGGCCATTGTGATAATGTTAAGAGGTAGTGCCTTTATGAGGTCATTAGCCCATGAGGGCTTTGCCTCAAAATGGGATTAAGACCCTTATAAAAGAGGCTTCTTGCAGCGTTCTGCTCCTTGCCCTTCTGCCTTCTGCATGGGAGGGCACGGCACTCTTCCCCTCTGGAGGATGCAACAACACAGGGCCATCTTGGAAGCAGAGAGCAGCCCTCAAATCAGTGGGAGACTTGACCTACAACTACCCAGTCTCCAGAACTATGGGAAATAAATTTCTGCTTTGTATAGATTACTCAGTCTCATGTATTTTGTTAAAGCAGCAGACTAAGACAGAGGATAATTAAAAAGAGATCCATTTGATTTTGATGCTGGGAACATTCTCTTTTTGATGGCCTAGAGGTCATGACATTGGACCTCTAAGAAGGAGGAAATATGTTTCCTCCATTGGACCTCTAGGACCTCCACTGTTCCTCCACTGGACCCCCAGGAAGGAAGAAGATCAAATCCAGGCCAGATAGTGTGCCAGGATTATATTTCCTCCTCTAGAGGAGGAAATAAACAGTATTTACACAGTCATTGTGGCAAACATAACCCAAGGTGACCCACAATGATTCATGTCCTTGTATAATCCCCACCCCTTGAGTGTGCGTGGGACCTGTGACTTGCTTCTAACCAATAGGATATGGTAAAGATTATGAGACGTCACTCATTTAATTAGGTTATATTACATGACAGAGGTGTGGGATGTCACTCCTGTAATTATGTTTCATTACTTAAGAAGTCTTATCAGACTGCAGGGAGCCTCCTGCTGGTTTTGAAGATGGAAACAGCCATGTTGTGAGCTGCCTGTGAAGAGGGCAGGGAATTGCAGGCAGCTTCTAGGAGCTAAGGGTGGCCTCCAGTTAGAAAAATCAAGGACTCAAGGAAGTAAAATCTGTTAACAATCTGAGCTTATAAACAAATTCTTCCCTAGTTGAGCCTTCACTTGAAAAATCAGTCCAGCCAACACCTTGACTGCAGCCCTGTAAGACTCTGAACAGAGAACCAGCTAAACTTGTGTCTGGACCTATGAAACTGTGAGATAAAAAATCTGCACTGTTTTAAATCACTGTGTGTGATAACTTATTATGCAGTAATAGAGAACTAGTATAGATTATAACACTTTTTTGGAACTCCAAGTTGAGACTGCTAACTGGCCACTTTGGCCTCTCATACATCTTTGAATCTACAAACAAAGAAAGAGGTTACTGTACTGGCTAGACTGATGGATTATTTTTTTTTGAGACAAAGTCTCGCTCTGTCGCCCAGGCTAGAGTGCAGTGGCGCAATCTCGGCTCACTGCAAGCTCCACCTCCCAGGTTCACCCCATTCTCCTGCCTCAGCCTCCCAAGTGGCTGGGACTACAGGTGCCCACCACCACACCTGGCTAATTTTTGTATTTTTTAGTGGAGACGAGGTTTCACCATGTTGGCCAGGGTGGTTTCAATCTCCTGACCTCATGATCCACCCGCCTCGGCCTCCCAAAGTGCTGGGATTACAGGCATGAGCCACCGCGCCCGGCCGAGTGATTGACTCTGACTACCAGCGGGTAACTGGGTTGGTACTACACAATGGGGTAGACAGGAGTATATATGGAATACAGGAGAATCCCCCAGGGAATTGTTTAGTCTTGTGATTAAAGTCAATGGAAAACTACAACAACTCAATTCAGGCAGGACTGCTAATAACCCAGATGCTTCAAGAATGAAGGTATAGGCCATACCATTACACAAAAAGCCTACAACCAGCTGAGGCGCTTGCTGAGGACAAAGGAAACATGGCATGGATAGTAGAAGAAGGTAGTTATAAATATCAGCAATGACCACATGGCCAGTTGCAGAGGATGGTAATAGTTATGAGTATTTCCTCCTTATTTGCATGATTATGTTTGTGTATATAGTAACCAAATATTTTTGTGGTTTTCCCTCTCTTGTTCCCTTATGATCTAGCATGTGATAATAATGACTAATTTCATATCTCAGTATTTATGTTACAAAATATCAAAGAAGACTCAACATCACCCAGGGATTTTGTATCCTCTTCTTTGGAAAGAGTTAGCCTGTTACAGTTGTGCATAGAAAGTTGTATCATGTTAGGCAGAATTATGACTTTGCTATTGTCTTTATTTGGACATTAAGTATGATATAAGCAGATGTATATGGGTGCCAAGTTGACAAAGGGTGCACTGTGATGGCTTTGTGATGTGCCAGCTTGGCTAGGCTGAACTACATTCCCCAGAATTTCCTTCCTAATATGTTCATAGTTAGGCTGAACTACAAGGGATATTTTCTTGCAAATTGGAGGACAAAAAGGGAGGGAGCAGCTATTTTGTATAAATCACTTACCTTCTCCCAGTTATTATTCAAACACTAATCTAGGTCTGCTGTGAAGGGATTTAGCAGGTGCAATCACCCTCATCAGTTGGCTTTAAATTAATTAAAAAAAAGCAAAGGATCAGATTGCATATGAGCCTAGCTTAGTCAACTGGAAGGCTTTTAAAAGAGGGCCTAGGCTTTCCCTCAGTTCAGAGACATCAAGCTTCAGCCTGTGCTCAAGGGTTGCAGCCCACGTGTGATCTTTCCTTTCTGACTGCCTGCCCTACAGACTTCAGGCTTGCTTAGTTAGTCCTCACAATTGTATAAGCTAATTCCTTATAATAAACAAATAAACTGGAATGTATGTACATATATGTAAATATGTATGTATATTTTTATATATTGATATTATATACTTTGTACATTTATATAACATAATACTATATGTAATAAATAGCATTTACATGATTATGACTGTGTCAGAGTTCAACCGGAGAAGCAGAAACATATATATGTATGTGTGTGTATGTGTATATATATATATGTATGTGTATATATATGTGTGTGTGTATGTGTGTGTGTGTGCATACATATATATGTGTATATATGTATATATATATGTGTGTATATATATATGTGTGTGTATATATATATATGTATATATATATATGATCTCCTACTGGTTCTGCTTCTCTAGTTGAATTCTGGAACAGCCATAATAATGTAAACACCATTTACTGATTTTTAACATTTAAACTAAATTTAATAACAAAGCATGTGTTGGCAAGTCAAGAAATAGAGAAATTAGCATATTTTATAATCATTAGGACATAGAAACGGGTAAAAGAGGATACCTCTGCAAAGTGAGACTAAGGCAAGAGCTGATTGGAGCTCGAAACTGTTGCTTTCACCATTAGTTTTTCTGTCCTACTTTGTTTGTTCCTATGTGTATATCTCCAAATAAAAGAAAACAGCTTTAAAAAGATACACTCTTTCCTCCCCACTGGACAAAATAGATTAGTAAAGAGTAGGGATTCTGCAGTTAGATTTCTTGGATTCTTATTCCTGTGGTCTTTATTAATGGTGTTACATTGAAAAGGTTACTTAGCCTCTTTAATCCCAAGTTTCCTTATCTGGGGGATAATACTGCCACTTACCTCACATTGTGTATGAGCGCGTGTGTGTATGTGTGTGTGGGTGTACACACATATATAGACTTTCACTTTGCTTTACTTAAATTGTAGCTTACTATACACCCTATTATTTTCTTTATTTTGAGTCTAACAATACATGTTGGAGATTTTTCTTATAGCTGCCCCATTCTTTTTATCAGCTGCCTGTTATTCCATTGTGTGGATGTTCTATAATTTATACAACCAGCCATCTATTGATAATCTTTTGCTATTACAAAAAGTATTCTCCTATCATTTCATATGTATAATATAGCTATAAAATAGATTTCTAAGAATAAAATTGCTGGGTTAAAAGAAATATGCTTTTAAAATGTTGATAATATCAAATTGTTCTACACTGCTGCCGTGGAGTCAGTATGCAAGAGTGTGTTTCCCCATACCCTCACCAAGTGCTATGAGATCTTGAAAACATTATATCATCATTAACTTTGCATTTCTTATATTATCTACTTCCTTTCTTCTGAACTGTTTGCTCATAGGTTTTGCCCATTTTTTGTAGGTTGTTGATCTTTTTCTTATTGATTTGTAAATGTTTTTATATGTTAAGAAAATTAGCCCCTTTTCTGTAAGTTGAATTACAAAAAAAATCCTCCATCTGTCCTTTGTCTTTTGATTTTTAAAATAGTGATGTGATATTTTTTCTTGTAGTTAAATAAATGGATTTTCTTTTTTATCTTCTGGTAATTTATTGTTTTATTTTCTTCATGTTGTATCTTTGATTCATCTGGAAGTCATTTTGGTATAATCTATGAAGCAGAGATCCAACTTTTTTTTTTTCAGATGTCTACTCAGTTGTCCCAACATAATTTACTGAATAACCCATTTTTTCTTCACTGCCTTAAAATAAAACGTTCATTTAATTGCAGCATATATTTGGATCTATTTCTGAGTTTTCTAGTCTATTTCTGTGAATTGTTAATCCACTCATGTGCCAGTATCTCATCTTCATTATTGTAGAACAAGGTGGGTTTTTTTGTTTTTTTTGTGTGTGTGTTTTTTTTTTTTTTTTTTGCATCAGCTTGTCCAGTTCCAAACAAAAACAAAAATAAAAGTAGCCTGTTGGGGTCAGTTAGGTTAACTTAAGGAGAATTCATATCACGATGATGTTGCATTTTTCTATTCAAATGTGGCAATGCCTTTACATTTCTTTAAGTTTTCTTTTTTGTTTTCTCCATGGTGTTTTATAAGTTTCTTCATATAGATTCTGTTTGTTTAGTTTTGAGACATTCAAATGTTTCATGCTGTCTATTCCTTTATTTTTATCTTTTTAGTAGTATCTCCGCCTACTGGGTTCAAGTGATTCTCAAGTGATTCTCCTGCCCTTAGCCTGTCTCAGTGACCTTACTGAATAATTCTACTAGTTGGCCTTTCAATTGATTCCTGGGTTCTGCAAATATTGGTATGATTTCCTTTTTTATTATCTAAATCTGTATTTTAGTTTTTAAATTTTTTATTTTTTAAATTGACAAAATTGTATATATCTATAGTTCATGACATGATTGTTTTGGTATACATATACATTGTGGAATGACTAAATCAAGCTAACTAAGATAGGTATTACCTCACATACTTATGTTTTTGTGGTGAGAACACTTAAAATCTACTCTCTTAGCAATTTTCAAGTATAAACAATTCCATATTGTTATTATGTACCACAGATGTACCACAGATCTCTTGAACTTATTCCTACTGTCTGTCTAACTGAAACTTTGTGTCCTTTGACTAACAAATTGCCAATCCCCTAAGCCTCAGCCTGTGGTAACCACCATTCTCTGCCTCTGTAAGTTCTACTAATTTAGATTCCACATGTAAGTGAGATTACGCAGTATTTGTTTTCTGTGCCTGGCTTATTTCACTTACTGTAATGTCCTCCTGGTTCATCCATATTGTCACAAATGATAGGATTTCCTTCTTTTTAAAATAGCTGAAACTGGACCCCTTCCTCACACGTTATACAAAAATTAACTCATTCAAAAGCTAGCAGAAGGCAAGGAATAACTAAGATCAGAGCAGAACTGAAGGAAATGGAGACACAAAAAACCTTTCAAAAAATCAATGAATCCAGGAGCTGGTTTTTTGAAAAGATCAACAAAATTGATAGACCGCTAGCGAGACTAATAAAGAAGAAAAGACAGAAGAATCAAATAGATGCAATAAAAAATGATAAAGGGGATATCACCACTGATCCCACAGACATACAAACTACCATCAGAGAATACTATAAACACCTCTATGCAAATAAACTAGAAAAATTAACTCAAGATGGATTAAAGACTTAACTGTAAAACCCAAAACCATAAAAACCCTAGAAGAAAACCTAGGCAATACCATTCAGGACATAGACAAGGGCAAAGATTTTATAATTAAATCACCAAAAGCAATTGCAACAAAAGCTAAAATTGACAAATGGGGTCTAATTAAACTAAAGAGCTTCTGCACAGCAAAAGAACTAGCATCACAGCAAACAGGCAACCTATGAAATGGGAGAAAATGTTTGCAATATACCCATCTGACAAAGGTCTAATATCCAAAATTTACAAGAAACTTAAATGAATTTACAAGGAAAAAACTCCATCAAAAAGTGGGCAAAGGATATGAACAGCCACTTTTCAAAAGAAGACATTTATGCAGTCAACAAACATGAAAAAAAGCTCAACGTCACTGACCATTAGAGAAATGCAAATCAAACCCACAATGAGATACCATCTCAGGCCAGTCAGAATGGTGATCATTAAAAAGTCAAGAAACAACAGATGCTGGCAAGACCGTGGAGAAATAGGAGCACTTTTACACTGTTGGTGGGGATGTAAATTAGTTCAACCACTGTGGAGGACAGTGTAGTGATTCCTCAAGGATCTAGAACTAGCAATACCATTTGACCCAGTAATCCCATTACTGGGCATACACCCAAAGGAATATAAATCATTCAATTATAAAGATACACGCATGCATATGTTCCCTGCAGCACTATTTGCAATAGCAAAGACTTGGAATTAACCCAAATGCACATCAATGATAGACTGGATTTTAAAAATATGGTACATATACACCATGAAATACTGTGCAGCTATAAAAAGGAAAAGATCATGTCCTTTGCAGGGACATGGATGGAGCTGGAAGCCATTATCCTCAGCAAACTAACACAGGAACAGAAAACCAAACACTGCATGTTCTCACTTATAAGTGGGAGCTGAACAACGAGAACACATGGACATTGAATGGGGGACAACATACACTGGGGCTGGTTGGGGGGCTGGGGAAAGGGAGAGCATCAGGATAAATAGCTAATGCATGCTGGGCTTAATACCTAGGTGATGGCTGATAGGTGCAGCAAACAACCATGGCAGACATTTACCTATGTAACAAATCTGCACGTCCTGCACATGTATCCCGGAACTTAAAATTAAATTAAATTAAATTTTTAAAAATCATTTAATAATTACATTGGTAAGATATTAACATTTGTATAAGGGGAAAAAAGAACTCTATGTCACTGCTTAATTTTAAATTTTAAAAATAATCTTCATTCATTCAAAAATATTTATTAAATGTGTGCATACCTCATTAGGGTCTTGGAATAAAATATCGACGTGTCCTTGCATTCATAGAATTTATAGTATAGTGAGGGAAAAAGACAAAAATAAGTAAAAATTTGAGTAAATAAATAAGAGATCATGAATAGTATTGTGCAATAACCAAGAATAATGGTGTTAAGAGGTATGTGCTACTGGGGGAATGCATTTGAGCATTGAGAGGTATGCATGATTGAGGGAATGCCTCTTTGAGATGACACCTAGACTAAAAGATGAGAAGGAGACCTTCTGGTGAAGAGTTGTGTACTTAAGGGGTGGCACTAGAGGGAGTGGTTGTGGAGGGCAGAGAGAATAGCACATGAACTTCTAATGACTTTTCCTCATCACGTGATTCAATATTTCAAGGTAGGATAAGGATGTGTGTAATGAGAGTACATAAAGTATAAAAATGATCTTGTTGGGATAGGGAAGGCTTCCTAGAACTCTTAAAGTTTGTGCCTTCATTTCTATGAAAATCTTTAAAAACAGAAACATTTTCTGCACCATTTGGATTATTCCATATAACTAAGAACTACCATATAATTCTATTGCCCAAGTATGTGTTCATAATTTTTGTGTTTAACTTTATTGTTCCAAGCTTGAATAGAAAGAACAATTCGCAGTATTCCTTTCTCTTCCCAACCCTCAATTTTGACTTTTGTTACATTGACCAAAAGCATGGGAAATAGCCCATCATCTGAATGTCCTTTTCTGGTTTCTCCTCATATCTTTAAGCTCTTTGTTTTAGAGAACCCCGGGGCTGAGACCTTGGTATTCCTCTCTATCTAGACTCATTCCCTAAGCAAGTCTGTCCAGGCTCTTGGCTTTGATTATCATGTGTATACAAATGGCTCCAAAATTTATATTTCCAGCACAAATCTGGTCTCTGAACTAAATCCTATATATCCAGTTGCCCTCTTGAATCTTTGGATGTCTCACACTTAAAGTTCAATATGATCAAAATGGAAGTTTTCATCCTGTCCTCCTACCACAATAAACCTTCTCCTTCTCCACAGTTCCTTCATCTCATCACCTACCCAGTAGCAAAAGTAAAAAAACTTGGGAGTCATTCTTGATTCTTTCCTTTATCTCATCCCTCCATCCTGTGCTTCCAAAATTTATATCACCTCTCTTCCTTTCTTTCCACTTATGATGCCACCACCCTAGCCAAAGCAATCAGCATCGGTGTTAGTCCATTGTTGCATCACCACAAACAAATACTTGAGGCTGAGTAACTTATAAAGAAAAGAGGTTTAATTGCCTTGCCATTTTGCAGACTGTACAAGCATGGTGCTGGCATCTGCTCAGTTTCTGATGAGGTCTCAGGGCACTTTTACTCATGGCAGAAGGTGACACAGAAGCAGACACGTCACATGGTGAGAGGAGGCAAGAGAGAGGTGGGAGGTGCCATACCTTTAAACGACCAGATCTCACATGAACTACCAGAGCAAGAACTCACTAATCACCAAGAGGATGGCGCTAAGCCACTCATACAGGATCCACTCCAATGATCCAAACACCTCCCACCAGACCCTGCCTCCAACAGGGGAATTACATTTCAACATGAGATTTGGAGGGGACAAACATCCAAACCATATTACCATCTATCAAACTACTACACTGCTTTCTTGATTTCTCTGCTCCCATTCTAAACATTGTCCATATGGGAATGACAATTATCTTTTAAAGACCTAAATCAGAGCGAGTATTTTGAAATTTGCTTCAATGGCTTCCCAATGCAGTTAGGATAAAATAAGAACTCCTCATCACGGCCAGCGAGGCCATTTATTATGATCTGGCTCCATACTGTATTTTGAAGTTTTCCAGCTTCATCTCACGCTGCTTTCATTCTCCCTTCCCTCTATCTCTATGCTTCCGCCACCCAAACTAGTCTTCTTTCAATTCCTTAAACATATCAAGTTCTCTACCTGAGGGATTTTCCATATTCTTCCTCTGCCTAGAAGGCTCTTGTTCTAGATCTTCACGTGATTTGCTTTCTCAGAGCTCAGGTCTCAGCTCAAATGTCACTTTCTCAAACAAGCTTTTTTGATCACTTGAATAATCCGAAGTACCTGGCACATCCTTTAAATCTGCTTTTTTTCTTTGTAGCACTTATGTAGGTTTAAAGACAAACTCCACATTACATAGCATGGGTTAAAGATATACTTTATTGGGGAAAGAGAAAACTTACAAGTAAAATGCCACGGTTAGTGAGAGAACAAAAGATATGGGTATCTCATTCTCCTCCTACAAGAACCAATACTATGGGGATTTGCTTCTAGTTAGAGAGACAATGGCCTCTCTGCTATTCTCCCTGTTTATACAGCCTTAACATTGGAGGAATACACTTGGTGCCAGGCAGTCTGACTTTGACAGCCCAGCAGGCTGCTTACTGGAGTTGTTTAAGAATGCCAGCTTTCCTGCAAAGTTGAAATCACCTCTGCTGGGAAGACAAAGCCACCAGTCTCATAAGATTTGAGCACAGCCCCTCCCATGACATAGAAGAGAACTCCCCCGTTCTCACAGTCCAGGAAACCTAGAGTGAGAATTCAAGGCTATTTTCAGACAATCCTGCTCCTTGAACTGTAACTAATTTCTTGTCTTTCTCCCTTACTAGACTGGAAGTTCCATTAATACAGCAACCATCTCTCTTTTGTCTCCTATTGTATTCCTATTACCAAGCAAAGCGCTGGGCACATATTAGGCACTCAGTAAACACTTTTTGAATGAATGAATGGTAAATTGGGCACAGCAGGTACAACAAAAATAGATTCAAGATTAGAAAAACACAGCCAAAACACATTGATTTTCTGTCATTAGAGTGAAACAAAAATCAGTAAGTCTAGTCTAGCAGGAATGGTTCCAACTTATGAAATTCTTTCTTGATTCAGGTTTCTGATCAAACTAATTCCACAGAGCTTAAAATTAGCCTCAGTGGAGAGGTATTTATGGTGTATAATGGCAACAGTAGGATGAGTCAGATACTGCTCTAGTGGCACTGACTATAACATGTGGCACACTGGGTTGACTCAGTCCACCAAAAGCCCTTCAAAGAAAACTGTGCCTTTATATCAAATATGCTCACATGGCTGAAAAGGAGAAATTTAATAAGTCAATATACAGGTAGCACATGATATCAGCACTCCAACCATAGCTACTGGAATTCATTAACCTTTTCACGCACATGGCTCCTGGTGTGCTTTCACCCCCACAGCCAATGCCAGTGTCAGTCAGAGGGCTGCTCTTAAGCTGCCAAAGACCATTTTGCCTGAGTAAATTTCCTGGAAATTTACATCTCCCCAGGGACACTTAAACCAGTGGTTCTGAATGAGGACGTGACTTTGAGCTCCAGGAGTCAAAGTGTCTAGAGATACTTTTGGTTGTCATAACCGGGCCGGGAAAGGTGGCTGGGAGGCTACTGGCATCTAACACATAGAAGCCAGAGATTGTAGCCAGACAGCCTACAATGCGCAGGACAGACTCCCAAGACAAAAAACAAAAACAAAAACAAAAACAAAAACAAAAAAAACCAAAGAATTACCCCCAAAATGTCAATAGTATCAAGGCTAAGAAACTCCACCTCAAACAATGACTGATGGGCAGGGAAGTATGCACACTGTAGTTTTTTTCTCTTGTACCTGATTGGAACAGTTCTGAGATATGATCTACACTGTCTCCAGGGCTCTCCAGGGGGACTGAGCTAAAATTACTTGCTTGGAAGTTTGCCTGACATTGTACCATTGTTTTGTTTCCTTCTCTTCCCTGGCCACTTCCCCACTCCTCTACCAATTTTTCCTGAGAACACCTCCTAATAAGCCGCTTTTACACAAATTCCCATTTCAGGATTGCTTCTGGGAGAAACAAGCCAAAACAATATGTACAAGTGGATATTAAGGAGAACTACAGATTTTATGTGCATAATGTGGAGTAGGTTACTAAATGGTTAGCTATACTGTAACAGAACTCATAGCTGGACAAGCCCATAAGTAGGGTATCAGAGCATCTTAAACCAAGAAAGCATGGTGTGTTAGGAAAAAAACTAACAGTGAAGTTAGGAAACCCAGGTTCCAGTCTCACCTCTTAAGTGAGATCTCAAGTAAATCACAGCCAAGTGGAAAAGAGAAAATAAAAACTGGACAGTTATCTAACATTCTATGCTGTCTTAGAGCAGTGGTTCTCAAACAGGGGCAATTTTGACCCCTATGGAACATGTGACAATGTTTGGAGACATTTTTGGCAATCATAACCGGGAGCAGGGTGCTACTGGCATCTAGTGAGTAGAGCCCAGGCATGCTGCCAAACATCTATCTCATAATGCACAGGCAAGTCCCCCCTGCTCCCCACCAGCAAAGGATTATCCAGCCCAGAATGTCAATAGTGCTAAGGTTGAGAACTGCCTTACAGAGAAAATTAGATTAGATATTAACCTAAGAAATTTCTGAGGCTTAAAGTTATTAAAAATAGGTAATGTATTATTGAAGGAGACTACAACATAGTCTCTATATCCTTAAAAACAGCATATGGATGCTTTTCTGCATAAGATTGGGAGGGGTTATTCTAAACAGATCTTGAAATGTTATGTGGGAGAACTAAGCACCTATCCAAGTAGCTAGAGACAGAGGAGAGAGCAGGGGCCTGAATCTTAGCAGGTTTGCCATAGTGCTGAAGACTTGACTCTCACCCATGTACTGGGATTTAAATATATTATGAGCATATCTCCAGATCCATCCATCTCCCCTGCAATCACTGAAGACAACCTCCCTCACATGTTTAATAACTTTTGTATGCAACTTTGGGGACCAATTTTTCTCCACTAACATTTTCCTGGAGGGAAAAAGATAGTTTCTCCAAATTATATACAGGTAAAGATAAAACTATTTTATAGTTAGCTTATCTGAGTTAATAAAAACACTTAAATGTATAACATATTTGCTTATGAATCCGGGTTTATTCATGTGACAGGTGGTAAGATGATGCCATACTTAACTTTGACTTCACATTCCTGTTGGTCAAAGCCTCTCACACCCTTTTTAAACAAAGCTGGCAGTAAAATCCAACATATTGCGTAACTAACCAACGTTACATATTGCTCAGAAAACTCTACACTCCCAACAGGAAATTCCAGGAATGAAAGGATTTCTGTTTCATTATCAGAAAGGTGCCTTGTACTAGTAACCACAATAGGTAGGGTAAATTAAAAGATTTATTCCTGGATTGTTAATTTCTCTGAAAGGACTTAAGAACAAACTTAAAACTTTTGAGGTAGGTCTGACATAATGAATTCTCTTTCATCTGTGATAATACTTTTAAATGTGTTATCAGAAACTCTTCAAAGGTGCTTAGAACTTTGAAAGGCTAGCTGCTGTCACTTGAAAGTTAGGGTGACAGCTGAGACAGAGCCCAAGGTTTTCATTTGGGTAACTTGCCTGTCATGGATAGACCTAGCAGAGGCCTGTTTTCTGCACTTCACTGAAGTCTTATTCATCAGGAGTCAGGCAATAAGAGGCACATTTTCCTCTCCATGGTCTTTGGTAGACTCACTCATTAGAGGAGGACGTAGATATCATCTATTACAACTTCCACCATAAGGCACTTTGACAACCTGCTGTCAACTGCCAGATCAATACATGTTTAACAGAAATGCAGAGTTTTAGCTTTTTAGATCCAAGGTCTCAAAGCTGAGTATTTGCTCTTGATGATACAATTGTCAGTGTTATAGTCAGTAGCAAAGCATACATTTTAAGTTGATTTGTACTGTTCAAAGTCACTAAATGCAAAATTTAAAAAACTAAATAACAGTGATTTTTTGTTACTCCCATTATCATGTTTTAATCTTGCAGGGACATTGTATATCATCAAAGACATGAAATTAACATTAATTAAGATTCTACTCCAAATTTTCCAATATGTTTAAGTAAGATGCATTTAACTATTGAAGTGGTTGGGGGTGGTGGGTAACTGAAGGTACCAATTTAAATGAAGGCAACTTTACTGTCATTTGTGGTATTTAAAAAATAATAAACCTAAAAATGAGGTCTACTTTTATTCTTTACAGATTTGACATGTCAATCTTTATTTAAGACAACAAAAGTTTGTACACCCTCATATTAAGATATATTTCCTTTCTAGTCATATTAAAATAATCTCATTTTGTTACTCAAAAAGAATACATAGGGAAGAGAATGAACATAATTCAAGTAGATAGATTTCTAATTGGTTAAAACAGGGTTAAACAAATGATGTTCAAAATATACTTATTAAAGGGAACAGCACCTAGAAATAGGCAGTAGGGCAATGTTCACTTTAAGAATTTTATCAATAACTAGGGCAAAGAACAAAATCATTATCAAATTTTGAATTACACAAAAGCAATGGCCTATTACCTTGTTAACATTTGATATTTCTATATATCTTCTTCTCTAGTTGAAATGGGTAATGACTTGTATTACAAGGATGTTACACATTCTAAAATGATTTAAGCCAAAAGATTATCTTTAATACATTACTTCTAGATATAATATGTACTTGATGTCTGTTGCATCAAAGACTACTAAACTAGGCATCAAGAAACATGAATCCTTGACTCAGCTCTGTCATTAATTACCTTATAAATCTATGTAAGTCATTTATTTTGGACCCGGTTTGTTATTATAAAATGTTCATTTTAGCTCTGAGGTTCTGTGGTTCTAAGATAAATCATATGGGTTAAGTAACTAATAACATTTTAAAATAGCAATTGTTATGTGAAAATCCACGTTAGGTTAAATGCCATCAACCACTGAAAAACAGGATTGCAAGAGGAAGAAGAAAACTGGCCTAACAATAGCTCATTTAGAGAAAAAGACCTAGTGATAAACCGTAAAGTTCAAAGAGTGATAAGTCCAGAGGTAAAATGAATGAAATCTTGAGTCACATTATTAGAAATATAGCAACCAGACTACAGAAGAGAATAATCTTGTTGCAAGTGCTATGAGCTGGTCACTTCATATCTGGAATACTCAGTATAATTGCAAACCAGAAACACAGTATTTTTTTTTCTTTTTGAGATAAAGTCTTGCTCTGTCACCCATGCTGGAGTGCCATGGTATAATCACAGCTCACTGCAGCCTTGAACTCCTGGGCTCAAGGGATCCTCCTACCTCAGCCTTCTGAGTATCTGAGACTACAAGCACATGCCACCATGCCTAGCTACAGTTTTTTTGTTTTTTTTTTTTTGTAGAGACAGGATCTCCTTATGTTGCCCAGGCTAGACTTGAACTCCTGGGCTCAAGGGATCCTCCTGCCTTGGCCTCCAAAAGTGCTGGGATTATAGGTGTAAACCAGTGTGCCTAGCCTACAGTTTTTTAATTTTATAAAATGTTATTTCTAATTTTTCTCCAAAAGTAAAAGTGGCATTCCAATGGCAATATTAATTCAGGTATCCAGAACTCTTAACCTAAATTTGGGTGAGATGAGGAAAAGTGTATTGTTAATTTTATGTGTCAACTTGGAAGGTGTTTCTGGATGGGAATAACATTGACACTGATGTCCTCTGAGTAAAGAAGATTGCCCTCCATGATGTATGTGCACTTTATCCAATCAATAGAAGACCTGAGTAGAATGAAAAGACCACCTTCTCCAAGCCAGAGGAAATTCTCCAGCAGACTTCTGTGAGACTGGAACTGCACCATCAGCTCTCTTGGGTCTTGAGCCTGCCAGACCACATTGCAGATTCTTGGACTTCCCAGTTGCCATAATCACATATGCCAATTCCTTATAATAAATGTGTGTGTGTGTGTGTGCACGCACGTGTGTTTGTGTATTCAATCACATATTAATAGCTTTTATTTTTTGGTTTTGATCCCACCAAGACCAAAGCTAATGATTTCAGGTATTGAGGTTTGTATCTGAGTCTGTCTCTTCTTCTGTATCCCAAGAAAAGGAGAAATAAGCATTCCCAAAGAACATGGATTTACATATCATCGAATTCTCTTTTTCTCAGGACAGACTGTTTCAAAAGACTGGTGGCAGGTAATTAATCTCTTTTGATTAATGTTAACTATTTCTACTTGAGTCAGATTCAGTTGGGAAGATTGCCAAGCATTAATGGTCATTCAGTTGCACAAAAATCAGCTGAGAGCTTTCTCCTACCACTTTCTCATAGACATGCATGTAAGGCTGTATATCAATGTATGTTGAATAATGAAAAACTAAAAATTTTAAATGACTGGCACAACTTGGTATGGTCATAAGGCTGATAATAGGTTTCAAATGAATCATAGTACTATAAAACAAAAAAAAATACAAAGAAACAGTCTTCTCTGGATTCCATATATAATAGACACTCAATATACATTAGTTCATTGAAAACTACATCTAGCTTAGATTAATTTTAAAGCATGTATCTATTAAGACAACCATTTCTGTTTTTCTCCCCAACATAGCAGAATAGTGGCTTTGCCAGCTTGCCTCATGCATTTGGAAAAGGCAAAATAATGTGTAGAGATTCATACTGTGAAATTTTATCCAAGAAAGAACACGGGAGTTCAACATAAAAGTGAAAGAAACTTTGGATACTCTGAAAAATAAGGCAAGCAGCAGCCTGCGGGGTGGATCTGGTGGGAAACTGTGAGTGAATCCTCAGTGTGTGAGACGGGGAGAAACTGTCTCTGTGATACACATTCCCACTGGACAGCCAGGCAATCCAGGCCATGGAGGAGCTTCTTGACTTTACCAAGCCCTGATCTGACTCAGGGAGCAGTCAGGAGACCATGAGAAGGAACGGCACTGGGAAGTACCCCACACACACTCCCAAACATGGGTGCTGATAGGAGAAAGCCATTTTTGATGCTAACTCATAGTGGGTTGTATAAGAACCTGCCAACAAGCATGGGTTGCAGTCACTGATTTGGAGAGTCTCTGGATGGGAATTTGCAATCTAGTTTTGAGTAGGAGAGGTGAGTGGCATGGGCTCCAGCCACAGGTGTGGGAGTTAGATGCCTGATATGGATTGGATCTGTGTCCCCGCCCAAATCTCATGTTGAATTGTAATCTCTAATGTTGGAGGTGGGGCCTGGTGGGAGGTGATTGGATCATGGAGGTGTTTCTCATGAATAGTTTAGCACCATCCCTTTGGTCCTATTCTTGTGATAGTGAGTGAGTTCTCATGAGATCTGGTTGTTTAAAAGTGTGTAGCACCTCCCCACTGGATCTCTCTTGCTCCAGACACGCCTACTTCTGTTTTGCCTTCTGCCATAATTGTAAGCTTTCTGAGGGCTCCTGGAAGCTGGGCAGATGCCAGCATCATGCTTCCTGTATAGCCTGCAGAACCATGAGCCAATTAAACCTTTTTTCTTTATAAATTACAAGTCTCAGGTATTTCTTTACAGCAATGTGAGAACAGACTAATACAATACCCTCCCTTTGTGGTACTGAACTGGGAGGGTTTTAGTCTGATAGCCACAATTTTGACCTAGGCAGGAAGCTTTACAGCTTGAGGCAGTTTCATGGTCTGAAGACAAACTTCTTGTGACTTGCTGCCGGTGTTGGACTGCAGGAGAGAGCCTCACTGGGTCAGGAGCACGAGAACAAAGTGGATCCCACTACCACATCCCACCCCTCCTGTTTCAGAGGCATATCATGGGACCAGGACTACTGAGAGTTCCATGGCCCTACCCATCATCTGAAATGCCCAAGAACTTCTCCCGATTAACAAAGGTCAAGCATAAACTCTATTGCCACCACCACAGCTGGTTCTCACTTTTAGGTGCTACCTCCTGTCCTAAAGGTTGATCTACACAGTCCCTTACAACATCTGCCGACTCAAGAGCACAGAGCTCAAGAAGGAGACAAGCTTTGCATTGCCTCTGTTACCATCATTGCCCACGCCACCCAGGCTACTCAGGAGGCCTTGAGCCCACTCACCCACCCAGTACATCACTACTACACTTGGCATTTGAGAAAGCTACCACACAGGTTACTTATAACCAAGGAAATCATACAAAATCTATGCCACTGAATGTACCCAGAAGCAAAGCCAAATGACCCTACTTAACAAACACCATAGTCGCATCCTCAAGAAAAAAAAGTCCCACCCTAATGAAGGTAAAATTAAAAATAAGAAGCAGCAACTGGGCTGAGCACAGTGGCTCATGCCTGTAATCCCAGCACTTTGGGAGACCGAAGTGGGAAGACTGCTTGAGGTCAGGAGTTTGAGACCAGCCTGGCCAACATGGTGAAACCCCAACTCTACTAAAAATATTAAAAAATTAGTCAGGCATGGTGGCACACACCTGTAATCTCAGCTACTCAGTAGGCTGAGGCACAAGAATCATTTGAAGCTGGGAGGTGGAGGTTGCAGTGAGCCAAGATTGTGCCACTGCACTCCAGCCTGGGCAACAGAGCAAGACTCTGTCTCAAAAAAAAAAAAAAAAAAATTCTGGAAATGAAAAATTCATTGAAAGAATTACAAAATACAGTTGAAATATTCAATAATAGACTAGACCAAACAGAAGAAAGAATCTTAGAATGCAATGACTGGGCTTTTTTTCTCACTGAATTAATCCAGTGAGAAGAAAATAGAGAAAAAAGAATTTAAAAGAATAAGCAAAGCCTTAAAGAAGTATGGGACTACATAAAACAAGCAAACTGATAAATCACAGGCATTCCCAAGGGAGAAGAAAAAGCAAAAAGTTTAGAAACACTATTTGACTCACGCCTGTAATCCCAGAACTTTGGGAGGCCGAGGTGGGCGGCTGGCGGATCACGAGGTCAGGAGATGGAGACCATCCTGGTTAACATGGTGAAACCCCGTCTCTACTAAAAAAGTACAAAAAATTAGCCGGGCGTGGTGGTGGGCACCTATAGTCCCAGCTACTCAGGAGGCTGTGGCAGGAGAATGGCGTGAACCCAGGAGGCGGAGCTTGCAGTGAGCCGAGATCGCACCACTGTACTCCAGCCCAGGCGACGGAGCAAGACTCCGTCTCAAAAAAAAAAAAAAAAAAAAAGTATTCGAGAAAATAATTGAGGAAAACTTCTCTAGTCTACCAAGAGATTTAGACATTCAGATATAAGAGGCCCAGTGAACTCTAGGAAAACATGTTGCCTCACGACAACATATAGTCATCAGATCATCTAAAGTTAACATGAAGGAAAAAAATCCTAAATTCTGCAAGAGGAAAGCAGCTAGTCGCCTGATACAGTTTGGATGTTTTCTCACTCCAAATCTCATGTTGAAATATAATTCTCATTGTTGGAGGTGGAGCCTAGTGGGAGGTGTTTGGCTCACGGGGGCAGATTCCCCATGAATAGCTTTGTGCCCTCCCTGAGATAATTAGTGGTGATGGATTCATATGAGATCCGGTTGTTTAAAAGAGTGTAGCACCTCCCCTATCTCTTTCTTGCTCCTGCTCTTGCCATGTGACACAATAGTTCTCATTCACCTTCCTCCATGACTGTAAGTTTCCTGAGGCCTCACCAGAAGCCAAGCAGATTCTGGTAACATGCTTATACAGACTGCTGAACCATGAGCTAAATACTTTATAAAATACTCAGCCTTGGGTATTTATTTATAGCAATGCAAAAATGGCCTAACACATCACCTATTAAGGAAACTCCATCATACTAACAGCAGACTTCTCGGCAGAAACTTCAGAAGCCAGAAGAGATTGGGATTCTATTTTCAAAGTGCTTAAAGAAAAAACTGCCAACCACTAATCTTGTATCCTGCTGGAATAAGCTTTATAAATGAAGGCAAAATGAAGTCTTTCCCAGAGAAGCAAATACCCAAGGAATTTGTTACCACTAGACCAGTCCTACCATAAATGTTAAAGGAGTTTTAAACATGGAAGTGAAAGATCAATATTTGCCATCATAAAAACATATGACAGTATTGTCAATGAAAAGAGTTAAACTCTGTAAAATATTTGAAGAAACTTATTCTGAGCCAAATATGAGTGACCATGGCCCATGACACAGCCCTCAGGAGGTCCTGAGAACATGTGCCCAAGGTGGTTAGGATGCAGCTTGGTTTTATATATTTTAGGGAGACATGAGACTTCAATAAAAAAAATTTAAGAAATACATTGGTTTGGTCCAGAAATGCAGGACAACTTGAAGTGGGGGCTTCCTGCTTATAGGTAGATTTAAAAACTTTCTGATTGACAATTGGTTGGGTTTATCTAAAGACCTGGGATCAATAGAAAGGAACGTCTGGGTTAAGATAAAGGATTGTGGAGACCCAAGTTCTTATTTGCAGAGGAAGTCTTCAGGTACTAGGCTTCAGAGATCATAGGTTGTAAAATGTTTCTTATCAGACTTAAAGTCTGTGTTGATGTTAATGCCAGAGAGGTATAATGAGGCATAACCAACCCTCATTTCCCATCATGGCCTGAAACAGTCTCTCAGGTTAAATATTAAAAGAGCCTTGGTTGAGGAGGAAGTCCATTCAGATGGTTGAGGGGGGGCTTAGTATTTTATTTTTGGTTTACAGTATAAAACTCATAGGTCTTATAAAACAATCACACAGAGAGGACAGGGGAAGAAATCAAATGACAAAACAACAAATGACCAAATCACAAAGACAGATGGACAAAAAAAAAAAAAACCAAAGAATCTACAAAGAAACTAGATAACAATTAATAACATACTAGAAACAAAACCTCACATATCAATATTAACCTTGAACGTAAATGTATTAAACACTACACTTAAAATATATAGATTCATGGAATGGATTAAAAAAAAAAAACATGAACGAACTATATGCTGCTTACAAGAAACTCACCTTACTGATAAAGACACTTACAGTAAGGAGGTAAAGTGGTAGAAAAAGATATTCCATGCAAATGGAAACCAAAAGTGAGCAGGAATAGCTATACTTATATCAGATAAAACAGACTTTAAATCAACAACAGTAAAAAAAAAACTACCAAAAAAAGTTATTATACAATGCTAAAGGGATCAATTCAATGAGAGGATATAACAATCCTAAATATATATGCACCCAATGCTATAGCACCCAGATTCATAAAAACAAATATTACTAGACCTAAAGAGGGTAATAGACAGCAATACAATAATAGTAGGGAATGTCAACACCTAACTCAGCACTAGAGAGATCATCAAGACAGAAAATTAACAAACACTGGACTTTAATTGGACTTTAGACCAAATGAACTTGACAGACATTTACAGAAGATTCTACCCAAAAACAGCAGAATGTATATTGTTCTCATCAGCACATGGAGCATTCTCCAAGACAGTTCAAAGAAGAACTGGTACTGAACCTCCTCAAAATGTTCCCCAAAATTGAGGAATCCTTCCTGACTCATTCTGCAAAGCCTGTATCACCCTGATATCAAAGCCAGACAAGGACATAACAACAACAACAACAACAAAAACTATAGATCAATATCCCTGATGAACACAGATGCAAAAACCCTCAACAAAATACTAGCAAACTGAATCTAACAGCACATCAAAAAGATAATATACCACAATCAAGTAGGTTTTATTCCAGGGATGCAAGGAGAGTTCAACAAACACAAGTCAATAAATGTGATTCACCACATCAACAGAATTAAAACAAAAACCATACGATCATCTCAATAGATGCAGAAAAAGCATTTGATGAAATTCAGCATCCCTTCATGATAAAAGTCCTAAAAAAAGAGGTATAAAAGATCATTATACAAAATAATAAAAAGCATATATGACAAACCCACAGCCAACATCATACAGAATGAGGAAAAGTTAAAGGTATTCCCCCTAAAAACTGGTACAAGACAAGGATACCCACTTTCACCACTCCTATTCAACATACTACTGGGAGTCCTAGCCAGAGCACTCAGGCAAGAGGAAGAAATAAAAGGTATCCAAATTGGAAACAAGAAAGTTAAATTATCTGTTTGCTGACAATATGAGCTTATACCTAGAAAAGCCCTAAAGATGCCTCTAAAAGGCTCCTAGATTTGATAGATGGATTCGGTAAAGTTTCAGAATACAAAACCAATGTATAAAAATCAGTAGCATTTCTATATATCAAGAATGATCAAGTTGAGAACCAAATCAAGAACTCAATCCCATTTACACTAGATTAAAACATATATCTAGGAATATATTATTTAATGAAGGAGGTGAAGATCTCTATAAGAAACACTATAAAACACTAATTTTTAAAAAGTATTAACAGATGACATAAACAAATGGAAAAATATTTCAGGCTCATGGAATAGAAGAAACAATATCATTAAAATGATCATACTGCTCAAAGAAATCTACAGATTCAATGCAATTCCTATCAAAATATCAATATCATTTTTCACAGAATTAGAAAAACCAGTCCTAAAATCCATATGGAACCAAAAAAGAGTCCAAATTACCAAAGCAATCCTAAGCAAAAAGAACAAAGCTAGAGGCATCACATTATCAACTTCAAATTAGAAGAAAACCTGTTAGGGAAAACTCTTCTGGACATTGACCTAGGCAAAGAATTCATGACTAAGACCTCAAAAACAATTGCAAAAAAAAAAAAAAAACACACACAAAATAGAAAAATGGGACTTCAATAAACTAAAAAGTTTCTCCACAGCAAAAGAAATAATCAATGGAGTAATTACTTGAAAAATCAGATAAAATATCTGCAAACTATGCATCTGACAAAGGATTACTATCCAGAATCTACAAGGAACTCAAATAAGTCAACAACAAAAATACAAATAACCCCATTTAATAGTGGGCAAAGGATGTGAAAAGACATTTTTCCAAATAAGACATGGAAATGGCCAGCAAGCATATGAAAAAATGATTAACATAATCATAGGAGAAATGGCAAATTAAAAGCACCATGACATATCATCTCACACCAGTTTAAAAGGCTACTTTTTAAAAGTCAAAAAAAGGCCCGGTGCAGGTGGCTCATGCCTGTAATCCCAGTACTTTGGGAGGCTGCGGCAGGCGGATCACCAGGTCAGGAGTTCAAGACCAACCTGGCCAACATATTGAAATCCTGTCTCTACTAAAGATACAAAAATTAGCCAGGTGTAGGGGTATACGCCTGTAATCCCAGCTACTTGGGAGGCTGAGGCAGAAGAATAACGTGAACCCGGGACGCGGTGATCACACCATTGCACTCCAACCCCGGGTGACAGTGCAAGACTCTATCTCAAAAAAAAAAAAATTGATGTTAATGAGAATGTGGAAAAAAAGGGAATGCTTATATACTATCAATAGGAATATAAATTAGTATAACCTCTATGAAAAATATGGAGATTCCTCAAAGAACTAAAAATAGAACTACTATTCAATCTAGCAATCTCATTATTGTTTAATTTACCCAAAGGAAGTCATATTAAAAAGTCATATAAAAAAGATACCTGCACTCATAACTTTATGGCAGCACTATTCACAATAGCAAAGATATAGACTCAACGTAAGTGGTGTCCATCAGCAGATGATTTGATAAAGGAAATATGGTATATATATACCACATCTATATACATATATATATAATTATACATATAATTATATAAATGTGCTGAAATGTGTCCATATATACACATATTAATATACTTACATATATAGTTACATAAAGACACATATATCTATTTATATATAATTATATATATAAAAAGACACAAGGAAATTGTTATAGTAAAATACCTGTTTCTTTCTTTCCTTCTTTTTTTTGAATTTTTATTGGTAGGGATGGAGCTTCGCTATGTGGCCCAGGCTGGTCTCAAACTCCTGGCCTCAAGTGATCCTCCCACCTCAGTTCTCTTAAAGTGTTAGGATTACAGGTGTGAACCACCACATCTGTCAAAATACCTGTTCTGTCTTTATATGCTCCTCACATTCTCTAGGAAGTTTTCCATTTTTATTACAGGGTCACTGGAAAGTGTTATAAATGCACTTTTGATACTATCTGGCATCAGATAAAATGACAATTTATATATACGTATGTACATATTATAAATATATGTTATATATTATATTGTATGTATTATTATAAATACATATAAATATATAATCTATATAAAAATGTATATGTACACATATAAATTGTTGTTATAAAATACCTGTGGACAGCCGGGCATGGTAGCTAACACCTGTAATCCCAGCACTTTGGGAGGCTGAGGTGGGCAGATAACTTGAGGCCAGTGTTTGAGACAAGCCTGGCCAACATGGTAAAACCCTGTCTCTACTAAAAATTCTAAAATTATCTTGGCATGGTGGAACATGCCTGTAGTCCCAGCTACTTGGGAGGCTGAGGCAGGAGAATTGCTTGAACCTAGGAGGTGGAGGTTGCAGTGAGCCGAGATTGTACCGCTGCACTCCAGCCTGGGTAACAGAGTGAAACTCTGTCTCAAAATAAAATAAAATACCTGGGGTATATTACACACACACACATACACACACACACATATATATATACAGATATACACACACATGTATATATACATATATATAAATATAATATACATAATGGAAAAACTACTCAGCCACAAAAAGTATTATCATATCTTTTTCAGCAACATGGGTGGAACTAGAGGCCATCATCTTATGAGAAATAACTTAGAAATAGAAAGTCAAATACCACATATTCTCACTTATAAGTGGGAGCTAAATAATGTGTACACATGGACATAGAGTGTGGAATAATAAACATTTGAAACTCAGAAGGGTAGGAAGGTAAGAAGAGGTGAAAGATGAGAAATTAACAAATACTCATTATTTGAGTTATGATTACACTCAAAGCCCAGACTTCACAACTGCATAATATATCCATGTAACAAAACTGCATTTGTACCCCTTACATTTATACAAAAAATATAAACTATTTCTCATGTGCTTATTATTTTCTTTGGGTATGGACATTAAATTAACCTCTTCAAATGGACATGATTTTACTTATGACCAATTGGCTTCGTAACGGTACCTGATGTTTCACTCTTACTTTTCTCTATTCCTAAAAACTTGAACTTTGTCTATATTTGTTTTCTCATTATTACTGCCATGACAAAGTTATTTGGAATCTTAACAGATAAAGCCTTTTCCATGAGTGTAAATTTTCAGATGTTTTTTATAGGTATACTTTGGTAAACTCCCCTCCAAAAAAACATTCTGGAAGGTTTCTATAATTGTGACTATATCCTAGATACAGTAAGAAGAAAAGATAAACTCAGATTAAGTAAATTCTTGAGTAGCTTTAGCTCTAAGAACTTGTAACTTTCTCTAGCAAATACTACTGTAATATGCTAAATTGATGGCAACCATTCTGCCACAGTGGTTAAAAATGCAAATAAGTTACTTTTACATGACTTGTTAGCACCACCAACCCCCTACAAAAAGGGGAAAGACATGACTGAATGAAAGAATCTTAAATTTTAGATTACACTGTGAACATTATGAATCTCATAATGAAGAAACCCTACTTCTGAAACTTGTAAAACATATTGTGACCTTACAGAGAATCAGCAAGTCTTTAAAATATAATACTGTTATAAGATTGTATTTCTTTCAAATAGCAGTACACCACACTTGACATGAAAAATCTACTTCTTACTATTTTCTTCCTAAGGCAAAAAAAAAAAAAATGAGAAAACGTTGTCACTTTTGGATAAATACAGTGATGTCAGATATAATAGTATCAAAAGTGTATTTATAACACTTTCCAGTGACCCTGCAATAAAAATGGAAAACTTGCTAAAGAATTTGAGGATCATATAAAGACAAAAACAGGTATTTTAACAGATGTAATCCTTGTAATCCCAAAACTTTAAGAGGCTGAGGTGGGAGGATCACCTGAGGCCCGGAGTTTGAGACCAGCCTGGGCCACATAACAAGGCTCCATCTCTACCAAAAAAAAAAAAAAAAGTAAAGAAAGAAACAGTTATTTTATGACAACAATTTCCTCCTGTCTTTAGAAAACACATCACTGGTTAGAATCTCTCAGTTCCAGGCATCCAAATTCCAAACTGACATACTCTTGGGGTGCAGATTCACATAACTATGATGATGACCTGAAACAGTCTTTGACAAGCCAGAGAAGAATTCTACGCTAATAATTTTCTCTTACTTTCCTTGTGGTCCGAAGCTTACCAATCAACTACAATATAAACCCTGTTTAGCTTCCTTACCCTTTGAATGATAATGCCATATTTGCCATGCAGCTAATACAGTAATAAAGGAACCCCCACACCCCAAAAACAGTTTCTCAAAAGTGAAGAAATGTGTTAAGGAAGGAATAATCGAGTATGTTAAATACTTCAAATGCTATTGATAGACGAGATTTTGCAAACCTAGAGGCTTCAGACATACATTTATTTATTACCAAAGAGTGGAGAAAGTTCCTAAAACTGCACTTCAGATGACCCGGGTATAATGTCTGAGAGACATCGTAAAATGGGATTTTAACTTAGCAAGCTGAAATCTCATCAATTAAATGATAACTTGTCTGGCCAAAGATTCTGTAAACAGGTGGGGATGGTCAGAATGAAATATAGCAAATGGGACGGTCAAAGAAACGGTATAAACAGTGTAAGTCCTGTGCTCTCCAGGAGAAAGACACTAAATCTGGGCATCTGACAGTAAGGATCTTCAGCAGACTCCCGCTTGAGGCAGGATGTTACACTGGCCGCACCGTGGCCTGGATTATACCTCTGTCTACAATCCACTTCCCTTTGCTTTGATTGCATGCTCCCCAAACAATTACCTGGCTTCTAAAATTCAACTTAATGCATGCCCTGACACAATACAGAGATGCTGTAAAGGCAGACATAAATATTTATATCATTGGAAGGGACTATCTTCCATTTATAAATTAGTAAACTGGTATACAGTTTGCACATCAGACTTTGGAAAGTTTTATTAGCTGAACTAATTCCCCTAATTTATTAGCATCCTGATGAAATTAAAATTCAAGCCTGGTAAAACTGAGGGCCTAGACTTAAGGAATGTGAAGCCATCCTGAGTTGTTTTGGTCTTCCCAAGTTATTCTCACCTCCCTTCTCAAACAACAACCAAATTTACGTACCTCTCTTACAGCAACCAATCACAATCACGCAGGGTCCTGAAAAGAATTATTATTTCTGCTTTACAAATTAATATTTTGGGTGGTTAAACCGAAGTTTTCCAAATGTGGCCAAAACCAAAAGATTAATATCTTCCAACATCCTGATTTAAAAAAATGAAATAAGTATATCTTGTTCATTTTCCTTACTCCTAGGGCACAGAAATTATCTAGGCAATAAGATTAATATGGAAAAAGTGATTAAGAAATTCAAAAGAACAGATTACATTTTCATGTGTGAACTGCCTCAAGATAAAACTACATAGACTAGGTATGTGTTTGCATTTCACTATGTTCTACCTCCTTCAATAATTGGGGGCTTTAAGATTCACAAGCTAGGTGCAAATTATTGCTAGTGTGACTCACTATTAGTGATGGAAATGTGTCATACCCTTCAGATATGCTGGGAAAGAAAAAAGGTCAAGAACTATTTTCTTTCATATACCCAGGTAAATCATAAGG
The DNA here is from genome assembly GCF_000001405.40 of Homo sapiens. Classification (NCBI taxonomy): domain Eukaryota; kingdom Metazoa; phylum Chordata; class Mammalia; order Primates; family Hominidae; genus Homo; species Homo sapiens. The sequence goes on from NC_000014.9 coordinate 91,770,217, forward strand.
GAAAAAAATTTTTTAACCTTATCAGCTTTCAAGAAGGAAGCAGGGATAGAAACTCCTTGAGAATTCATCATTTATTACCACATAGCTGAGACAGAATGTGAGACACAATGAGCAGATCCGGCTCTGTACAACCATATATAACCTAAGCCAAAGACTCCATGGCATTATCCCAAACACTTTACTGTTCTGTTGTGTCTACAACTTAGTTTATTCTGGACTAGGAAAGGGAAAACTTCCTTATTTGTCAAGCTTAGTTTTTTTCTGGACTGGGAAAAGAAACACACTTGACTGTGATCAAATCTGTTACAATATTTCCACCACTCTTCCTACCCCGTTGATCATTTATTTCCCTCATTTTCAGGAAAACATGTCATTTTTCTAATTCTACAAGATAAATGGCATGTGTATTGTGAGCTTGGGTATATGCACATACACACACATTATCATAAGCCAAATCCTACCACTTACAGTAATTTTCTTGACCCTCGATGTGGCCATTCCCCTGTAAAAGCCCAGTATCTTGGGGCTGGGCACGGTGGCTCACGCCTGTAACCCCAGCATTTTGGGAGGCCGAGATGGGCAGATCACAAGGTCAGGAGATTGAGACCATCCTGGCTAACACGGTGAAACCCTGTCTCTACTAAAAATACAAAAAAATTAGCCAGGCGTGGTGGCAGGCGCCTGTAGTCCCAGCTACTCTGGAGGCTAAGGCAGGAGAATGGCGTGAACCTGGGAGGCGGAGGTTGCAGTGAGCCAAGGTCGTGCCACTGCACTACAGCCCGGGCAACAGAGAGAGACTCCGTCTCAAAAAAAAAAAAAAAAAAAAAAAAAAAAAAAAAAAAGAGCCAGGCATGGTGGCACGTGCCTGTAGTTCCAGCTACTTGGGTGGCTGAGGTAGAAGGATTGCTTGAACTCAGGAGGTTAAGGCTGCACGTGAGCTATGATCACACCACTGCACTCCAGACTGAGTGACAGAGTGAGACCCTGTCTCAAGAGAAAAAAAGTAGCTCAAGGAAAATAATATCTTTAAATATTCCTCTTTAGGTGGGGCAAAGGACATGAACAGACACTATTCAAAAGAAGACATACATTTGGCCAACAAGCCTATGAAAAAGTGCTGAACATCACTAATCATTAGAGAAATACAAATCAAAACCACAATGATATACCATTTCACACCAGTCAGAATGGCTAGTATTAAAAAGTTAAAAAACAACAGATGCTGGCAAGGTTGTAGAGAAAAAGGAATGCTTATATACTTCTGGTGGGAATGTAAATTAGTTCAGCCGCTGTGGAAAGCAGTTTGGTTATTTCTCAAAGAACTTAAAACAGAACTACCATTCAACTCAGCAATCCCATTATTGGGTCTATACCCAAAGGAATATAAATTGTTCTACCATAAAGACACGTGCACACTTAATGTTCATCACAGCACTATTCACAATAGCAAAGGCATGGGATCAACCTAGATTCCCATCAACGGCAGACTGGATAAAGAACATGTGGTACATACACACCATGGAATACAATACAGCCATAGCAAAGAACAAGATCATGTCTTTTGCAGCAACATAGATGGAGCTGGAGACCATTATCCTAGGCAAACTAATGCAGGAACAGAAAACCAAATACCATATGTTCTCACTTATAAGTAGGAGCTAAACATTGAGCACACATGGCCACAAAGAAGAGAACAACAGAAACCAGAGCCTACTTGAGGGTGGAGGGTGGGAGCAGGGCAAGGATCAAAAAACTACCTATCAGGTACCATGCTTATTACCTGGGTGAGGAAATAATCTGTACATCAAACACCTGCAACACATAATTTACTATATAAAAAAACTGCACATGTGCCCCTGAAACTAAAAGTTTTTTAAAAAATAAATGTATCTTTTTTTGGGGAAAAAAACCTGGATAATAATGCATTAGTACATTATTAACATGAGCATTTGAAGACAGAGAGAGATTCAGTGACGAAGATTGGCATATAGAACAGTCATATAGAAGGAAAGACCAGGAACAGACTTTCTGATTTTCTATTTGTTCATTCATTGCATGAAACCCATCAAATTTTAGTTGAAAATATTCTGTATATTCTGATGTATTCACTAAAATACAAGCTCTATGAGGGCGGTGTTTTTTGGTCTATTTTGCTTAGTGTTGTATTCCTAGCACCTGAAATGAGCGGCACAAAGTAGGTGCCCAATAAATATTTGTTGAAAATAAATATTGCTATGTTCTAGTTAGCTGAGCATTTACAGTAGAGAACTCTTAGGGTCTTTTCCAGGCAGGAGAGCCAGTGATTTTTATTACCACAGACCAAACTAGTTTTCAGATTTTCCATCAGGAAAGCAAAACATAGAGCAGGAGTTTTGGCAAATAGCAGGGATTGGAGAGAGAGGGAAGAAGGAGGGCAGGAGGAAAGGATGCAGGAAAGGAGAAGAGGAAGGGGTAATATAAGAATTTTGTATATATTCCTCTGAAGGAAATCTGAATTACAACAAGACAACTTACGTAAAACGAAAATGCATATAGTATTAGGAAGCATATAGGGTCACTATACAACTGCACCCTTACCTTCTTACTTTTCCATCCTTAACTATTCTCCATAAACTTCCCTTACTCTTAAAGGCCTCTATCTGGTTGTCCATCCGTCCTTCCCAGGGTTCTTTTTCATTATGACTTAAGAAAACGTTACTCAGCAATCTTTTTCACCTTCTTTATCTGCAGACCTATTATCTGTCCTTCCTGGATAAGGAGAGGTAGAGGAAACTGTCCCGAGTACTGAGATGTACATGGGATGAGGCCTGCTTCTCTTACAGCCTCTTCCCTGAATCCATTTCCTAAATTGTATCAGGAAGGGTCTCCAAAATTCTCATTCTCTCCCTCCAGGAGTAGAACTATCATCTAACCGATTTTCTACGCTCGTCTTCTTTCCTACAGAAGTCTTATAAATCCTGTTTAGGCCAGTAGACAACAACTACAGTACTTGTTTATGTAGGGTCACTTAAACATGTTAGTTACATCTTATAAGAAAATTTCAAAGCTGGACACAATCTAAGTATTGTTCCTACTTTATACAGAAATCAAATTTAACTCATTCCCTGCAAAAAATAAATGTTTTAAATAAATAAATATAATTTTTGTTCTTAGTAATGATATACATTAAGCTGCTAACATGTAATGATAAGGCAAAATCGGATAAAGATCTCAGCAATCTACTAAATTTAGCATTATGTGTTATAAACACTTTAAAATTTCAGAAGTTTTTTGTAAGCTTGATAGTATGAGTTAGATATGAAGCTATTATATTTCTTTTCTCTGATTAAGAAATGTACTAATGAATTTTAAAGTAAATATGGTAATAATGTATTATACAGCATTATCTCTTTCAATAAGAAGATATTGGCCTTAACTACCACTTTACTGAGCCATAAAACCTAACTCTATGTGTTCATTCATTTTTTTGTTGGTTCACTGTTAAATCCCTAACACTCAAAACATTGCCTATCGGTTAAATGTGTAAATGAACAAACATTGACTATGTACCTCTTATAGGCCAGATACTGTACTAGGTTCAGGAATGCAGCAATAAACAAGACCCTGCTTTCATGGAAATTACAGTCTAGGAGAGACAACTACGTAAGTTAACTATTTAACCATAATTCTGATAAAAGCTATAAAGAAAAAGCATAAAGTATATGAAAATAAGACCTAATATTGCTTGAAAAATCAAAAGAGACTTTTCTGAGGAACAGATATTTAAGCTGGCACCTTCAAAAAGAGAATAGGATTTAGTAAAGGGAAGAGTAAAGAGAGAAACTATTCCACATAGGTGAAACAGGATGTGTGAAGATCCAGAGGAAGCTAGGTGTGTATTGTCTGTCTTCCAAGAACTGAAAACAGATCAGTGAGATTAAAGAGGAGAATTGTTAAAAATAAGGCTGGAGTGGAAGGCAGAGCTCAGATTATACAGGGATATTGTAAATTTTTAAAACTTCCTATTTTCTTGATGCCTCAACATTCCCACAAACAGGCTATGAACACTATGTCTGGGCAATCAGGTGCACCAGTGTGAGAAGGCTGGTTCCTGCCACAAGTTCCCCTTTTTGTTATTCTGAGTGTGATCTAGTGACATTCAAACACTCCAATGAAACACTCTCATGCTTTTTGCTTATATACTGTACCCTGACCACCAACAAAGGCCCTTGTCCATAGGTCCTTCCCCCGACCCTCTCTCTCTCTGCTCCCCACCTGCTTGGGTGAGCTCACTCCCTGGGAGTTCCTCCCACATGCCCCCTGCATGGCATGCCATACCTCCCTCTTCTAGGACCTGCCAATATAATAAATCTCCTTCATTTTCATATGCCTCTCCATGGTGTTATTATTACATGTCCACATCTGACCGATCATCAAAAAAACAAACAAACAAACAAAACCCAACCCATTTTAAGTAACATAATTATTCCTTACAACACAACAGGAGAAAGGGGATCAGGATATGTCACCTCAAAGTATGCCACTTTGGCATAAAGATTTTGAGCTGAAAGCAACTGAGAGTCAACAGATGTAAGAAGAGTTCTTTGCCGTCCCCTTAACTGCCTAAAAGCAGGGCATAAATTATGCTTTGTGAAGGTGTTCTCCATACTCTGTGGACCAGGAAGAGGAGTGACTTATCACCGGAGATGGAGAGTCAACACCGAGATGAGTTTGCACAAACAGACCTAACTAAAATAACCCTTATCCTCCATTAGTTCCCCCATGTATTTCCTAGTCACTTCCCCACAATTTATCTCTTAAAGTCCAAACCTCCTTTCCTTTATTAAAAGGGTATATAAACTCCTAATCTAATTACCTCTTTGAGTTTCACTTTTCTGTGAATACTTATGCATGTAAACATTAATAAAAATGGTGTCTTTTCTCCTGTTAATGTCATTTGTTAGTTTGATTCACAGACCCCCATTCATTGAATATAAGAGGGTAGAGGAAAAGTGGGTCATCCCCTACAAGGGCCTTGTAGGCTGTGTTAAGGATTTTGGACTTCATACTAAGAGCACCGAGAACCAAGGTGTGACAATCAGATTATAAGGAAAGTACAGTACTACAGGTGGGATATGATTTTGCCTTTGATTAGAGAAGTTGAAGTGGAGATGGAGAAGTGGGTGCATTCAAGATCTATTTAGGATATATATATTTCTGAACAGGGTGACTTGAGTATGGGAGATAAGAGAAGAGTTCCAAGGTGTGATATTGATATAACATAGATTTGGTCTTTGTCGTTGACTCCTGGCACAGAGCTCCTAAAACCCTTAGAAGGCAGCTATGCTCACCACTGTACCATCAACACACCTAAGACCCTTGGAATTTCCTAAGCAATAAGTGTGATGAGGCATCTTTTCTTATATTTGGTTTTTGTCCCTGGCTCCTGAAATAGCTCCAGAGCGATGAAGGTGAAAGTAGCATCTTGTGTCATTCCTAACAAGCCCCTTTCAAACACACCCCAGTTTATGTTAATGAGGTGACTTTTGGAAAGCCGTCAAGAATGAGGGTCTTGTTGCCAGGAAAACAAAAATATAGTTAAGAGGGTTGGAATTTTCAGGTCCATCTCCCAAGCCCCCTCAACCTCTGGGGAGGAGAGAGTGGGTAGAGACTGAGTTCAACCACCAATGGCTAATGACTTAATCAACCATGCCTATGTAATGACATCTTCATAAAAATCTTAACTGAAGTCCAGAGGGCTTATTGTTGGTAAGCATATCGAAGAGCCTGCAAGGTGGCACTCCCCGAGTGGGCAGGGAACTTCCACATCCCTCCCCACTGGCTTGCCCCATGCATCTCTTCCATTTGGCTGTTCCTGATTTGAATCCTTTATAAAAAACTGACATATGTACATAAACTGTTTCCCTGAGTTCTGTGAACAATTTTAGCAAATTATCAAACCTGAGGTGTCATGAGAAGCTCCAATTTGTAGTCAAGTAAGACCAAAGTTGTGGGCAGCCTGGAGACCTGCCACTTATGATTGGCATAGGAAGTGGGGGGCAGTCTGTGGAACTGGGCCCTTAATTTGTGGGGTCTGTGCTAACTCTGGGTAGTGTTGGAATTAAGGTAAATTATACAACACCCAGTTGGTGTCCACAGGGAATTAAAGAATTGCTTGGTGGGAAAAGCCCACACATTTGGTGTCAGAAGTATTGTAAGAATAAAGAAACAGCTTTTCTTGTTTTAATTTCCCCCCCCCCCCCCAGCACAACCAGAATACAGAAAGAGAAATAGTTTTTCCATTTACATGTGTTAGTAACTGGTAGAAAATGATTCCAACAAATTTCTAAATAATTATTAGAATTTAAGTGTAATTAACTCAATGAATAGGTTTCTGGGATGACCAACTAGGTGGATGACAGTGCCTTTTACTCAGATGGGGAAAAGTGAAGATCACACTTGTGGTAGGAATGGGAAATCAAAAGTTTGATTTAGAACACGTTTAAGAAAAGATGTCCACATTAGCTATATGACAGTGGAACTCATAGCAAGATTTGGGTAGAGATGTAAATTAGACAGTAGATAGCATTTCAAGCCATGGAAATAGATGACGTTGCCCTGGAAAACAGTGTGGAATGACAAGAAAAGGTGGCCTATGACTGAGTCCTAAAGAACTTCTACTTTTTAAAGTCAGGTGCATGAAGATGAGCCGAACAGAGAAGAACAGACTAGGAAGGTTGTTAAAAAAATAAGCAGAGCATAATGACATGAAAGCCAGAGGAAGAGACGGTTTCAAGGAGAGAGGCAGGGAGAGACAGAGAGAGAAAGAGAGAGAGAGAAAGCTATTGTTAAGAAAGTTGATGAGAATAAAGGAAAAAAAATAGCTGAAAAGCATTTATTAAGACTTTAACATGAACTTTGGTGGAGTGGTGAGGATGGAAGATTGAAGAGAATGGACTAAGGACAGAGCGGTTAGAAATTATCTATAAAGAGGAGAACAGATAAGGCAGAATCTAGAACAGGAGAGGAAGTCTAGGAATATTTTTTTAAGAAAGAAACCACAGAGAAAGGTGACCTAACGGATGCTATGCTGAGAAACCAACCTTCCTATTCATTGAGTTAGTTACACTTAAATTCTAATAATTACTCAAGAATTTGTTGGGATTGTAGACTACCAATTACTAACACTTGTTGAGCAAGCAGACATGAAGGCTATGCTTGGGAACAGTCGGGTGGAAGAAGGAAAGTGAGGAAAGAAACTCCTGTGAGAATGAAAAGAGCTTCTGGTGCTGAGAATCTTCACTGGCTATGCATAGACTCACCCGTAGCAGTCCAACCCAGGGAAAGCTTTGGGGACCTCGGAAGACACACCTCTATGGGGAGCATGCTGCATTGGCTCCTGCTTTATGTAACGTTTCTTAGTCCATTCAGGCTGATATAACAAAATACCATAAACTAGGTAGCTTACAATGAACATTTATTCCTCACAGTTCTGGAGGTTGGGAAGTCTAATATCAAGATGCCGGCAGATTTGGTTTTGGGTAAAGGCTTGCTTCCTCATAGAAAGTCATCTGTTCACTGTAACCTTAGCTGGTAGAAGGGGCAAGGGATTTCTTTGGGTCTTTTTTATAAAGGCACTAATCCCTTAACAGCCTAATTACCAATGCCTTAACGACCTAATCTTTTCCCAAAGGTCCCACCTCCTAATACTATCATCTTTGGGGTTAGCATTTCAACATATGAATTTTGGGGGAACATAAACATTCAGTCCATCGGTGTTTACACGGGTTCCTTCATCAATACAAAAACCTAACCCCCAAAACTGTATCCGTAGGGTTCTTTGCATCAAACACATCACCAACCAATTTTGATACAGCCACACACCAGAGGTTTCAAAGATGAAACAAAGAATCCAGTAGAGTGAGTGGGAATGGTTCAAAAATAGGAGAAAATGGGCATAATAAATGGAACGAAATCCCAGAGAATGCGGAGAGGACTGGGTTCAGAAGTCATGAGGAAGGACTGGCTTTCCAACATAATGGGGGAAAGGATGTATATGGGTAAAAACAAGTTTGTGGATATGGTGGTAGGAAGTTGGAGGAAAACCTGACATTATTTTCTTTGCGAATCATGACATAAGGTCTTCTACTAAGAGCAAAGAAAGCAGCAGGCAGGCTAAAGGTTAGAAAAGAGTGAAAGAATGTATAAACTGTTTTTCACAGTGAGTCAGCTGACAACACAAATGAAGTAGGATGGCTAGGGAGGCAGAGTCAGTGATCATGAACAGCAGTGCTTGGTTTTGTGTGTTTCAGGTCAGGGACCTACCAAACCTTTCCTAATTCCTTCCGCTGCATTAAATTCTTTCTTTATTTGAGCCTCTAAAGCATTTTGTTCATACCTTAAAACCTGCTTTCTACTAGAATCTTGCTTTATATTATTTCATTTACCTACCTAAATATAAAATCTCAGTGTAAACAATGGCTTATTCATTCTTGTATCCCTGAAAGCACTAAGCATGGTTCTTTGTGTGAAGTACTAGATTTTTTTTGCATTTAGTTATTAAATATATCATATAAAATGGCCCATTTAAAAATGTGGTTTCGAGATTGACTTCATACATTATATAATCAAGAAAGATGAAAGACTCAGAAATTAAAAGACAATTTTAAACCACAGTTAACCAAATTTATTTCTGCTAAAATAAGTATCCTATCCTGAAGGGCAGACATTTTTATCATCCTACTGCCTCAGAAACTAAAGGCAGCACAGTGGCTTGCACCTGTAATCCAAGCACTTTGGGAGGTCGAGGCAGGTGGATCACCTGAGGTCAGGAGTTCAAGGCCAACCTGGCAAACATGGCAAAATCCTGTCTCTACTTAAAAAAAAATACAAAAAAATTAGCCGGGCATGGTGGTGGGTGCCTGTAATCCCAGCTACTCAGGAGGCTGAGGCATGAGAATCGCTTTAACCTGGGAGAGGGAGGTTGCAGTGAGACAACATTGTGCCACCGCACTCCAGCCTGGGCGACAGAGTGAGACTCCATCTCACAAAAAAAAAAAAGGATGACCCAGAAACAAATCCCACAGCATAGAATATGAAGATCAATACTGAATAAACATCATCACCATTTAAAAGTCATATTCTCATTTGGTGATTTAGTTTAACATAGAATCAGATAGCTTTCTATTGTTTCAGAAGACATACAAAACTTTTTTTTTTTTTTTGAGACAAGAGTCTCGCTCTGTCACCCAGGCTGGAGTGCAGTGGCGCGATCTCGACTCACTGCAAGCTCCTCCTCCTGGGTTCATACCATTCTCCTGCATCAGCCTCCCAAGTAGCTGGGACTACAGGCACCCACCACCACGCCTGGCTAATTTTTTGTATTTTTAGTAGAGAACGGGGTTTCACTGTGTTAGCCAGGATGGTCTCCATCTCCTGACCTTGTGATCCGCCCGCCTCGGTCTCCCAAAGTGCTGGGATTACAGGCATGAGCCATCGTACCCCAGCCCAGAACTTTCTTTCTAGACATCTACTGCCATTATGAGAGTCCTACAGTTTAATATAATTATTTATTGTAATCATGGTTTATAGAAATCACATTTTTTATAGATTAAAAAACTTAAAACTAAAAAAGTACTAAGTTAAAAAAAACTCCACTAGGAGATTACTAAAACTGTAGGCCACATTCATCTTCCTACAATTCTTCACCCACAAAATAAAATCCAATTTAGGAGGCTCCATTAACTCTTTTAATATATTTCTAAATCTTAAATCTATATTTCAAAATGAACATGGTACTTCATATGGGCCCACTTTTCATAATTCTTTCAACTCAATGTTTTAGCCAAAACTGCAAACATTTGAAATTTAATTTTGAATAAAAATTACAGCTTATGCACCAAGATAACATTAGAAAGTGTCTTCAGACATTTTATCAGGTATTTTCCTCATTACACCCAACCAAACACAGAAAGAAATATATATTTTTGAAATGTCAATTACTGCTATGCTATCAAAAGCTGACATTTATTACAAATTTCTGAAATCCTTCATAAGCAAGTATTTGATTAAACAAAAATGGAAAATGTTACTAGGAGATATAGTTTATACCTGGCTGTTGAGTACATTAGTATCAGAGAAATTCATGTAACTATATTTAAACAGAACTTCAGTTTAGGGTCTTTTCAGACCACAATTATATAACTTGTTCAAAATCCCACTAGTTTCTTCTTAACAGTCTTGGTAAGAGATGAAACTGATATACTTCAGAGGCCATTTCCCTAGGAGTACTGCTTTTAAAAATCATGCAAAACAAAAGCCAAATAGTGATGTTATATTTTAACCCAGGCTGCAGCTATTTGTGTTGATCTGAAAGCTTACAAGTAAATCCACTGTTAGGAATGAGCACTGTAAAAGCTATCAGCTATCAGCGTGAACCCTTCCATGGTTTCCTTTGATCACATGACATCATTATGATTTCCTTCTCCTTGCGTAAGTGGGTAAAGGTCAAGAAATGCCTAGGCAAATATGAAGAGAAGTTATTTTGGCATAGAATCTCATTTTTTACTACCAGCTCCTAACGTTTTTCTCACAATATGCATACCTATTAGCAGGAGATTGGATTTTTATTTATAGGTCCACATAAAGCTTCAAGGAAATAACCAGCATTAGTACCTCCTCACCTGAAAAAGGCTTAAGTAAACACTAATTAAAACATTTAGGATCTTAGTTGTATCAATACTTCTGTACCTGAAAGCTCTTTTAAATGTAAGGGTTTTCTTTTTATTGTTTTATTTACCTAGGATTCTAAGAAACTGAGAAGTCATAGCTTTCCCTTAAATTATACATCATACATACATTGTAAGAATATAGAAAATTAAATAAATCAAATAATTAAATATTAAGTTAAATGCATGACTACATATATTAAATTTGGAAATTCAAAGCATTAATAGAACAGAGAAACCAGCTAAAACAAATTGTAGCTTTTAAAATAAACAATAAAGCCCGTTATTTATTATCTAAAAGCCAGTAAATACATTTACTTCTTTGGTACCCATTAAAATAGTTGCATTTGCAGAGGATGTTTAGGGCAGCGAAACTATACTATATTATAATGATGCATACATATCATCATATATTTGTCCTCTAGCATGTATAACACCAAGAGGGGACTCTAATGTAAACCATGAACTTTGGATGATAATGATGTTTCAGAGTAGGTTCATTGATTGTAACAAATGTACCATTGTGGTGCAGGATACTGATAGCCTGGGAGGCTGTTGAGGGCTTTGTCAGGGGAGAAAGGAAATCTCTATCTTCCTCTCAATTTTTCTGTTAACCTACAACTGCTCTAAAAAAAAAAGTCTATTTTTAAAAACAATTTTTAAAAGTTGTATTCGTCTCAGATTCAAAATATTATCACACAGGTGATTTATCTTAAAAATCCATGTGAGTACTGACCTATATGTCATTTTTTGCAAATCTAAAACAAAAATATTTCAAAATGTTCAGTGGCAGAGAGTACTGGTACCACAAAATCAGAGCAGTAGAAGCAAAGGGGATATAAGATGTGGACATTTTGTAGCTTGAGGAGATGGCACCTAGGGAAAAGAGAATTAAGTGTTTATTTGGGAAAATGTTAATGATATACACAGAACATAGGAGCTGGAATAAAGAAGGCATGCTTAGGTTATAGCAAGGTATACTCCTGGCCTAAAATATCACCATCTTTCTCTGCATGCCTGGGACAAAGTAAGAATGGGGGCAGAAAAAAAGGGAAGACTGAGAACACAGAGCACTTAGTCTACTTATTAGCAAAAATAAAGTGAGATTTTCTAAAATCAGGTATAATGTCATCTGCCTCTCCAAAAAACTGTTCTTTTTGGCCACAGTTCTTATGGTCAATTAAGCTGAAATTATTTCCAAATACTGAGTTCTAATAAGTACTGGAAAGAAAACTGCAATAGAAAATATTTGTTACACAGTATAATCAGGTATGGTTATGAAAAAAATGAGAAAATACTCAAACACGGTAAATTATAGAATAATCTAAATTTTAAAAACTAAAAACGAAGTGATTATCATAAAATACTGAATTTTCTATTTAAGCTCATTTAATTCTGTGAATTAGGATGGACCATATGGATGATACTCTTATTTTAACTCCAAATAAAACAAATAGTAAAATATTTGAGGGAAGAAAACAGCAAAGTATGTATATTCTGGGTTTCCAATTAAACTTCAACCTTCTGGTGTTTTCAATTATTCCTGCCAAAATGTAGTTTTCTATTTCTGAAGTTTTTTGGAGATAAGTAGCTTACAAAGGGATAATGTGATGTCTTATGGGTAAAAAAATTATAAAACACAGGGCACAAACTTTCTCCAAATATAGAAAATAGTTGAAATGGTTCAATTCATTTTTACCGGGAGAAAATACATAGCAAGAGGTAAACAGTGGAGCCAAGACCTAATCAATAATGCCTAGCACTGAAATAATGGTAAAGTCTTCTAAATGCCAATAGTACTAACAGAGACTTGATATACCAGGTTTTGAATATCTAAGTAAAGCTTAAAATACAAAAGCGAAAACATAATATAGAAAGAACTATCTATGGTTGATATTCTCACAGACTTTATAATTTATTTAGTCATCCTAATAATACTTTGATTTTACTGTCTGTGTCTCTTGTTGCAGTTTTAAAACATTTCCTTTACTTTGGATATCTGATAAAATTCATTACATTTTCTTATCAAATTTTCTATCAGATACATTATATACCATAATTATAGCCCCCATAAATTGACAAATTTGTTGATTTGCCTCTTCTCATTGGTAGCAAATTGAAATCATAAGTCTTCTAAAAGAATGTCAAGTTCTTCACCAAATTAATGTGTGAAGTCTTCAAGATGGATTTAATTTGTGCCACCTGATAACAACCTTTTCTGGATTTATTACTGTCTCTTTCCACTGGTTCACTGCTTCAATGTTATTACTGTCTTCACTTATCCAAATCTGTAAAGGAAAGTATGTACAATCATTTAACTTGACACAATAATAATAACTACATTCAGACAGTTAGTTACTCTTACTGATGGAAGAAATTTGGAAGTTTGCTTTACATATTTTAAATTAAACATCTTTCTTTTTTCCAAAAGTCAGATTGATTTCTCTATTTGACATTTAAATGCTAAAACATTTAACCTGCTTAGTCATTCTGAAGACTAGTTTATAAGGTTCAGTTCAAAAATTCAAGGTGAAATATTACAAAATCATTTCCCCTAGAACAGTTATTAGTATCCTTTCCTATTCAACAAATCTAGGAGCTCAACTTAAAACTGATCCCAACCACTCAAAAATATTTTTGTAAGGATAATTAAACTGAGGCTAATCATGATTCAAATTAGATTGGTAAGGAATGTGCATTTTAAATCACCTTTTACAAGAAATAAAGTGTAATCTTAATTAAAATCTAATAGTCATTCTTGATCAATAGTAATTTCATAGTACCCATCACTTATGTAACTTAAATACTACATGTGAATGTATACATAGTATTATGCAAATTGTACAAAAGACATCACAATAATTATATTATTATGAAGACAAGGAATAAAAAAACTTGAATTTTCATCTTACCTCTAGCACTAACAAATGCTTTTACCTTGAAGTTAACTTCTCTGAGATTCAGTTTCTAAGAGATTGGAGCAGGTCATTGGTTTCAACCTTTTTCCTTTTCTTTCTTGGTCTAAAGAACCTTCCTTTCAAATGAAATCTTACAAATAATCCCAGTATGTAAAACAGACATTAGAGTACTTTCGTTGATACAGGGGTGGAAGACCTTGAGTTCCCCTTTGGCTACCCCATCATAGTTCCTCCTAAGGCTATACCAGATAAGCCATACGGAGCAGATGACCAGCAAGAACCTTTCCAGAATTATTATTCTAACTAGAATCTTAGCCAAGAGAATGGAATCACCACAAATGTTATCATGAAAATCATCTCAAGTAAATTTCCTATTCCATTCATACCGTTAAGTTGAGGCTCGATGATATACGAAAACTTTAACTGAATTGACTTCATAAAGGCTTAATGGTCTTCAAAATTATGCTGGTTATATGAATTCTTAAATTCAAGCTCTTTTCCAAATAATAAATGATAAAACAACATTTTAATTAGTATTTTACGTAAAAATATATATTAAAAAGTAAATCAAGGAGCTGATATCAATGTTTGAAAATTCATATATAATTTGAGGATTTCATGTAGACTGTTAATAATATCTTGTCAAGTTGAAGCTTTTAAACCAATAATATAGATTTTGGAATTTAAATGTGGTTCAAACAATCGTAATTAAGGTAAAAGATAATGGACAGCTACCACTAGTCTATTCAGAGTAAGGAAAGGAAACAAGTTCCTAGAGGACTGGCAAGTTAACAAGTGTTATGTTGTTTTATACAAATTGTACCAAGATTTTAAAATAATCCAGACAGTAGTATTAACTAAATAATATCACAACCACTGTTAAAATGGACATGTTCTAGGAATTCAAAACTAACTCAGGTAAGAGAATATAAAAAGTGCCCATGTTAAACATTAAATCAAAGATTAAACAAAATAAATTTGATACTCGAAGACTTAAGAAATTGATTTAAATACTTAATGTTCCCTCCTTCCACAAGGAACAAGTCAGTAGTACTGAAAAATTGATAATTCTCATCGTTTTTGAAGTAAAAAAGCTCAGAAAAAAACATATTTAAAGATAAACCTGATTGCTCAGAAATTCCAACTATTTGTATTAAAGCAAAAAGTCTGACAAGTTTCGATTTTTGTAGCAATTGAATTTTGATTTATGATGCTGAAGAACTGTACTCTATTTGACTTTAATATTATCCTGTATTCCCTTTGTTAACTGACTGTTTAAATGCATAGAAAAATATAAGGAAGGATAAAAACTCCTACTAACCTGGCCCACAAAGTGTTTTCTTCTTACAGAGCTTCGACTGTAAAGCTTAATGAGAAAAACAATTTCTTTTTCACTCTGTATAAGTGGAAAAATCATAGTCTCTCCCCACTTGACTCTTCCATTGGAGGCCTTCAGTAAGCGTGTCTTTTTCTTATAAATCAACTCTCCCGAGCTAAACATTCCCACCTTCACGAAAAAACCTAAAAAATTAGAAATATTGGTTTATAAAATGTTATTCAAAATACCATATAAAGATGTGTATATACACATCCAAGTTGGAATATATATATATAACATTTATTGTAAAAAATATAGATAAGTCACTTTTAAATGTTTGATGAGCTACGACCATAACAGAAAACAGTTCTAATCAACTTTATAACTTTGGCCATACTTTACTACTGTAACTTTAAATGAACTTAATCTTTCTGTGGCTGAATGCCATTAAAGACTGGAAATGGAGGCATAAACAACAATCACAGTAAAAGAGTGCACACTGAAAAGGATCACACTAAAGAGAGGTACCAATCTTTTGGACAGCTGGAGGTATTTATTTCACAATTATATAGGTAAAATATAAAAGACTCCAGGAGTTAAGTATATGCCCACTAGATAAAATCTGTACTTTAAATTTGAGATGTATAGAGCTTCCAGTAATGGCAGAATAGCTTGTATAAACTAACCTTCCCATAAACAACTATTATAAACTTTGGAAAAAAATTTTAAAACACTAAAAGCAGAAAGAAACTGGAGGGAAGTCAACTGGTAAAAGACGGGAACTTCACTGGGTAAAATTCAGGTTGATATAGCTTTTCACCTAAGCATACTCCCCTATCTGACTGACACACAGTGCCTACAGCTCAAGCAGAAAGTACAGTCTGACTAATTGGAGGTGACAGAGCTGGGGTGCCAGGGAAGCAAGAAAGTGAGAACTCCCAGAAAGGTGGGAGCCACAGTGAGGGCTGAGATCCGACCGTCAGATTGATAGAATGAAGAGTTGTGGTCATCCTGATAAGCTGTTTTAAGGGAAGCCCGTCATAAACAGCATCTGTTGTCCTTGTTTCCTAGAATTAATTATATATAGTTCTGATGATTTATTCCAAGTTAGGTTTTATTTGCTCATTTTTCTTTTAGGATTCTCCATCTATCTACACAGGTGACATTAGTCTATAATTACTTTTTGTGTGTGCTATCCATTCTGTTTTAGTATCAAGAATATGCTGACCTCACAAAATTACTTTTTCCATCTTCTTTTCATGCTTTGGAACAGCTTATATACAACAGAAATTACATGTTCCTTGAAAATTTGGTAGAATCTCCCAGTACAATTACCTTGGTCTAGTGCTTTTATTAGAGGCAGTTCTTTAACTACCTTTTCATGCTTATTCTTTTATTCGGATTTTCTTCCTCTTCTTAAGATTCTACTTTCAACTGCTGAATTTCTCAGAAAGTCATTTATTTTACATAGATACCCAAATAAATCGGTATAGCTATATATGGTATTGCTTTATACATGATAGAATCTCTTCTGAATTTGAAATTATATCCTCTTCATTGCTCAGAATATCATTCATGTTTTCTCTATTTTTTCACTTGATCTCACCTTCTATAGATGTGTCTATTTTAATGATTCTTTCAAAGAAGCAGCTTTTAGTTTTATTGATTATGCCTTTTGTGGTTGTCTCCATATCTGTCACCTTCAACTTTAGCTTTAATACCTTACTCTAATTTCTTTGGGTTTGTTGTTTTTCTAGCTTCTTGAATTGAATGCTCAGTTTCATTTATTTTTAGTCTTTCTAGTTACGGTGAACATGCATTGCTTTTGCCTGCCCCCATACAGTTCCCTTCTTTTAGTAGGGAAAAGGGGCACTTCTGCCCACTCAAATCTCTGGGACTAGACAACCAAAGTATCACAACTCCTGGTTGTAGACAAAACACAGGGAGAGAAAAGTGTTTCTAGGTTTGTTTTTGATATATATATTTTTTACAATTAAGTTTCTAGTTAGCAGGGCATTCCACAAAGGGCACAGACCTAGAGAGAGGATAAATCATTTCAGGTGGTAAAATATAACTGAAAATCCTCTAGACATTCAACCTGTATGAACTGATGAGCTAAATAAAAAACAGTATCAAAGGCAGAGAGGTCATAACTGGATAACACTCAAGAGACCACTGTATTAAGGTAGACACAATGGCTAAAATTTGAAATCTTATAATTTTAAATTTAAAGTAAATAAGTTAAATAATAAAAGTTACTAAGATTTTAATCTCCATTGTAAGAAATGTAAAAAAAATACTTTCTATTACTAATACTTTCTGAAGATTCTACTTTGAACCACTGATATACTTACTCAAAGTCAGAGGTGTTGATGAGCTTGGAAGGTACCGTGCCTCAAGAATTTGTAACTGAATTCTGCTATTTACTGCTTGAAAACAAGTCCCCAATTCAAGTTCTGCATGGCAAACCTGCATATCAAAAAAGTGTCATTTGGTAGTTAAGAATAAAGTTTTTGAAACAATTCAAAAATTAAAAGATAAAAAGCTAAGGTTAGAAATTTTGAAAGTATTCCTTTCAAATGATATTCAAAACTATAAGTTACAAGACAAAGTTATGAAGATAAATATCATGAATTCTTTAAAGTACTCATTTGCATGGTTTCTGAAAATACAGGTTATATCTATGTACTGAAACTTCAAAATCTGTGACACCTAGAGCCAATTCAAATTAAAAGCAAATTAAATTAATAAGCAGTATCACTGAAGAAAATGCCAGTGAAATTAACACAAAAGGAATACACTTTCAAAACAACTAAATGTAGTCAAATTATTTTTAGAGAACACACGAAATATGATTAAAAAGTTACATATGAAAATCATCATTATTTTCTAATTATGGAGATCAGAGTAGGTGCTACCACAATCAGAAGACAGCAATAAACAGATCTGTGGATTAAGAGTGAATTACTATGCTGAATGGAAGCAAGCTAAAGAAAGCTGGCAAGAAGGAAGCTAGTCAAAGTGATGAGGCAGTAAATAATAAGGAAAAGGTCAAAGAAAACCTGAGGCAAACGGCAAAATGAAGGAGACTTAGAGAAGAGGAAAAATTAAAATGTGTTCTTCAGTACTGCTGACCAACAGCAGAAGAAAGTTGGTTATTTGTCTGTGAAATACAACACAAGCCAGACTACTTAGGTGGATTCCAAGGTCCTTGGACTGAAAAATAAAAGGGAGAATGGTTGTCCAAACACAAAAACACTATTGTTTACATGTTGAAAAGAGTAAGAATAGGAATAAAGTAGGAACATAATGTTCACAGATCATACTAGGGCTCAGCATAGACAGACACAAAGTCTTTGTTAGTACTGATTCCAATAAAGTTACAGAACAACTGAATGACACTTGATGAAGACATTTATATTTGACATTGCTCAGTATTCCCCAATAACTGGCTCATAGCTCATTGGGAAAAACAACAACAACAAAAAAACAACAAAAACTCCAACCTCTCCATATACATAACATTGACAGAAGCTTGGTGTTTTCTTAAAATATGATTCTGTATTTCAAACCAGTCATGCCATAAGAAATGAAGAGATAG
Source organism: Homo sapiens (assembly GCF_000001405.40). NCBI lineage: Eukaryota > Metazoa > Chordata > Mammalia > Primates > Hominidae > Homo > Homo sapiens. The sequence continues at coordinate 91,788,760 of NC_000014.9, forward strand.
AAAAGGAAAAGTGAATTGCTTAACAAGTACAAACTCAACTGTTGGAATTTAATTTCCCCTTGAAAAGGTCTAAATTGATGATAAAACTTGTTATTTGGCAACAAATGCTGACTTCTAATAAATAAGTTAATTTATTGCTTTTGACTGTAATCAGAATGAGAATGAACTAACAACTTTTCACATGAACTAATTTGGTAGCCATAAAAAAAAAACCTTTGCTGATTGAAAAAAAATTGCTGTCCTTGGCATTTAAAAAATATATTTTAAAAGATAGAGTCATACTGTTTATAAAACACAAGGGAAATCATGGTTAAATTTTTTTATTATTTTTTATTACAGTTTTGTACCCACAATGTAATAACACTTATGAAAACACGTAAAGGTGGCAAAACGTCTCTTATTGTTACACAATTGTAGAGTTCACTCTCATAAAACAGAGCAGCATTTGGCAATAGGCTTACCATTTCCCACTTGCCAAGGTTATTTCACAAATTCAATTCATGTTCCAGGACATTAATTCAGATCATGAAAAACTGTTCAAAGAGTTAAACTATTGGCCAGGTGCGGTGGCTCACGCATGTAATCCCAGCACTTTGGGAGGCCGAGGCAGGCGGATCACGAGGTCAGATCGAGACCACCCTGGCTAACACGGTGAAACCCTGTCTCTACTAAAAAAAAAAAAAGAAGAAGAAAAAGAAAAAATTAGCCACCCGTGGTGGCTGATACCTGTAGTCCCAGCTACTTAGGAGGCTGAGGCAGGAGAATGGAGTGAACCCAGGAGGCGGAGCTTGCAGTGAGCCGAGATTGCACCACTGCACTCCAGCCTGGGCGACAGAGAGAGACTCCATCTCAAAAACAAAAAACAAAAAAAAAAAACAGAGCAGCATTTGGCAATAGGCTTACCATTTCCTACTTGCCAAGGTTATTTCACAAATTCAATTCATGTTCCAGGACATTAATTCAGATCATGAAAAACTATTCAAAGATTTAAACTATTTAAATCTCATAATAACCAAAAAATTAAAATTCCAATCAATTAGCAGTTATGTATTGCCTGCATTTAATAAGCACAAAACTGCTCCTGAATAATGTATCCTTTTATTCAGAAAAGAAAACATTGTTAGCCTTCCTGGAAGGGTTGAAATGAAATGCTGAGCATCATTAGAGAACATCACGATCTGGTGATGTTTGAGAATATCTTCTTAGCGGGGCAATACATGGTAGAGTTAAAAGAGCTGGGTTTGGAATCAGACTGCCTCCATTCAAATCCTGACTCCCCAACTACTGGCTGTATAACCTCAGGCAAGTGTTCCCCTGATCTCCACAAAACGGATAAAGAACAACACGGTGATAATTAGATCATTAGATCACGTAGCATTGAGGCAGCCGTAAGATAAATCTCTGTAAATGCTAGCTATTTCTTCAGGAAAACGTATTTCTTCCACATTATTCAATACCGAAATTTGAGATGTGAAGTAATTATTTACATTACTATTTGTCAAGGTCAAGGACTCTTTATTGAGTAAAAACCCGAAAGTTGTGCTGTTCATGGTGAAACAGTTGTCAGTGTGGATGGGAAAGTACGGCTCTTTAGACATCACTATTAGAATATTTATTTTCCTCTTCAACACATTAAAACAAAGCATACTATTATTGCTTTAGCCAATAATATGAAACATTCACACTTATTAACATAAACTCACTGGTCCAGCATAGCCCAAACACTCTTCTTTCAGGTTATCAATCTATAACCCTAGCACCTGGCATTCAGAAAATACACAAATATTTATAAAATCTCTGATACATGAAATATGATTTAGTAGAAATTTAGCCATAATTATTCATTCATATTTTCCAACGCAGATAATAATATCTTAATTCCCCAGAAAATCCCTGAGTTCTCTTCTTATATACTCTGTTTTTAAAGTTTTAATATATGAATTATCTATTTGAATAGTCTATTTGTGCCTTCTGTAAACTATGGCTGCAGATTACTACCTACTAAGCTAGTGTCAAAAATGCCAGTGACAAACTCCTGTCATAGTTACAGAACAGCACATTGGGGGTTGAGATAAAGAATAATAGGCAAGGCTGGGCGCAGTGGCTCATGCCTGCAATCCCAGCAAATTTGGGAGGCCGAGGCAGGAGGACTGTTTGAACTGAGGAGTTTGATACCAGAAAGGGCAATATAGCAAGACCCCTTATCTCTACTAAAAATTTAAAAAATTAGCTGGGCATGGTGGTGTGCCTGTAGTCCTAGCTACTCAGGAGGCTGACATGGGAGGATTGCTTGGTCGGGGAGATGGAGGAGGTAGTGAGCTGTGATTGCGTACCATACTCCATGCTGGGCTACAGAGCTTTCTGTCTTCCTCAAAAAAAAGGGGAAGGGAAGGGAGGGGAAGGGAAGGGAAGGGAAAGGAGGGGAGGGGAGGGGAGGGGAGGGGAGAAGAGGGGAGGGGAGGGAAGGGAAGGGAAGGGTAGATACATGTTTCTGCCCCATATCCCCCAAAATTCTAATTTTTTTTAGTTTATGTATGGGCATTTTTTTAAAGCTCCCAGATGATTCTAATGTATACCCAGAGTTAAGAAGCACTTCCAGTCACCTTAAATATTTTTGGAAACAGGTAAAATATAAATCCCATACAAATTTAAAACCGCATATAGGTTTGACCTTACAAAAGCTTAAGACTGATTTTTATAAACATTATCCTAACATTCAATCTATACAATTTAATTAGAAATTCCTAAACAATTTAAAAACAGTGTTCAGTTGGCTGAGAAGCAAATAGCAAGTCCCAATCAGCACCATTAGGTAATAAAGCTTTTTACAGAAAAAAAAAATCAGCTGTAAAAACTTCTAATCAATTTATGAGCTGCTGTATAGCTTACTCATGGTTAAAACAACTTTCCTAATCTATTTCAGGGCAATCTCTGATTGAGTGTGGAATTTATGATTCTTTCTTGTTTTTCCTAAGTTATCAGCTACCTAAAAAAACTTAAAAAAAAAAAGGTTATTCATACTTCAGAGTTATTTCCCTTGAAGTATAAAACATTAATAAGAAATGTGCCAGGAGAGGCCAGGCGCAGTGGCTCACGCCTGTAATCCCAGCACTTTGGGAGACCGAGGCGGGCAGATCACGAGGTCAGGAGATCGAGACCATCCTGGCTAACACAGTGAAACCCCGTCTCTACTAAAAATACAAAAAAAAATTAGCCAGGCATGGTGGTGGGCGCCTGTAGTCCCAGCTACTCGGGAGGCTCAGGCGGGAGAATGGCGTGAACCCAGGAGGCGGAGCTTGCAGTGAGCCGAGATCGCACCACTGCACTCCAGCCTGGGCGACAGAGCGAGACTCCATCTCAAAGAAAAAAAGAAAAAAGAAATGTGCTAGGAGAAGGTAACCCTGAGGTTATTTTCCAATGGAGAAAGAAAACAGTTCTGTTAACATTTTATCAATAATTTCTAAATATTTGAAAATAATATTATTGCTACTTGAGAGCCTTCCAGATCCTCTAATATTCTATTCAGGCTATTCTCTAACAAACAAAAGCCCATCCACCAACTAATTCTAAAAGTATGAAATACTCTTAACATACTATTATCGCTTACAGAAATTTTTGAAGGTGGTGTTATATCCAAAGAGTAATCCATTTCCTGTGTGCTAAGGGTTCTGAGTGACATTGAGCATTCTCCAATGGTTTTCTTCCTGGGAGTCTGGGTTTGAATCTTAAATACAAGTCTTACAGTTTGTAGATTTTGAAGTTTAATAGCAAATACAAACGTTTCCATAAATTCAATAGCCTTAAAAAAAAAACAAGAAAACATAAAATATATAAATAAAAGGCTTATATGCCAATACAAAATAATATTTTATTTTATATTTAGGAAAGGTATATTCAATTCTTTTTACAACAAAACATCTTTTTAATGTGAATGAAAATAAGAATGGCAATGACTTGTTTTTCTAGAGTTTATCCTGGGTTCTACCTTTCTTAATTTCACAAATCATCCTTTAAATTATTTAGGAATTCAGGTCATATTAACACCATGCTCACCACAATACAGCTTTTTCCCTTTTTGAAAATTAATTGTTTTTCCATCTTTGGTTCTGGCATCTTTCCTGTTATCAATACCATTCTTCAACAGTTCAGGAGAGTGGTGCAAGAATCTCATATGCAAGCACTCTCTTGTTCATAGTATCTAACTTGTTCACATAAAGAGACTTGAATTGTTTCTTTAAAGGAGTTATTTTTTGTCTAAAGAATCTTCCCATCTATCTCAGGCTTCAATTTCTCTTTTGGTGACATTTATTCCACCCTTTCCGATCTGAAAATCTAACTCCTTGATAGAGAAGACAAAGGAAAATATGAATTTAAAATTATATCTTCTCTCCTAAGCACCCATCTCAGTCAGCAAGTCACTGTTTTCTAGCCTCAGAACATTTTTAAATGCTCTTGTTACTTTTAATATTTTTAAATCGTTGGCTTACTATGGGCTAACATATTCTTGACACTAGACGGTTCTTTGCCATACACTTCCTTCTTTCCATCTTTAATGCATCCATTTAGAAAGGAGCTTTTATTCCTTTTGAAAAGGCAAGATATCTGGGCAACTAGCATAAATATTTTGAATACAGGCATACCTCATTTTACTGTACTTTGCTTTAATGTGCTTCATAGACATTACATTTTTTAAAAATTGAAGGTTCGTGGCAACACTGTGTTGAATAAGTCTATCAGTGTCGTTTTTCCACCAGCATGTGCTCACTTCATGTCTCTGTCACATTTTGGTAATTCTCATAATAGTTCAAACTTTTTCATTATTATTATATCTGTTACGGTGACCTGTGATCAGTGATCTTTGATATTACTATTGTAATTGTTTTGGAGTGCCACGAACCACACCTATATAAGATGGGCAACTTAATCGATAAATATGTGTGTTCTGACGGCTCTGGCAACCAGCTGTTCCATCTCTCTCCCTCTCCTCAGGCCTCCCTGTTTCCTAAGACACAACAATATTGAAATTAGGCCAATTAATAACCCTAAAATGCCCTCTAAGTGTTCAAGGGAAAGGAACAAACGTACATCTCCGACTTTAAATCAAAAGCTAGAAATGACTAAGCTTAGTGAGGAAGCTATGCTGAAAGCCGAGACAGACCAAAAGCTAGGCCTTTTATACCACTTAGTCAAGTTGTGAATGCAAAGGAAAAATTATTGAAGGAAATTAAACATGCTACTCCAGTGAATATACAAATAAGAAAGTGAAACAGCCTTATTGCTGATGTGGAGAGAGTTTTATTTGTCTGGAGAGAAAATCAAATCAGCCACAACATTCCCTTAAGCCAAAACCTAATCCAGAGCAAGGTCCTAACTCTCTTCAATTCTATGAAGCCTGAGAGAAGTGAAGAAGCTGAAGAAGAAAAACTAAAAGCTAGTAGAGGCTGGTTCACGAGGTTTAAGGAAAGAAACAGTCTCCAAAACATAAAAGTGCAAGGTGAAGCAGCAAGTGCTAATGTAGAAGTTGCAGCAAGTTATCCAGAAGATCTAGTTAAGAAGGTGGCTACATTCAACAACAGATTTTCAATGTAGACAAAAGAGCCTTCTGTTGGAAGAAGATGCCATGTAGGACTTTCACAGTTATGGAGGAGAAGTCAATGCCTGACTTCAAGGCTTCAAAGGACTAGGCTGACTCTCTTGTTAGGGGCTAATGCAATCAGTCACTCTGAGTTGAAGCCAACACTCACTTACCGTTTTGAAAATCCTAGGGCCCTTAAGTATTATACTAAATTAACTATGCCTGTGCTCTATAAAGGGAACAACAAAGCCTGGATAACAGCATATCTGTTTACAGCATGGTTTACTAAATATTTTAAGTCTACTATTGAGATCTACTGCTCAAAAAAAAAAAGATTCCTTTCAAAACATTATTTCTCATTGACAATGCACTTCGTCACCCAAGAGCCCTGACAGAGATGTATACAGAGATGAATGTTATTTTCATGTCTGCAAACACATCCATTCTGCATCCCATGGATCAGGGAGTAATTTCAACTTTCAAGTGTTATTACTTAAAAACTAAATTTTGTAAGGCTATCACTGCCATAGATAGTGATTCCTCTGATGGACCTGGGCAAAAGCAATTGAAAACTTTTTAGAAAGGATTCAGGATTTTAGATGCCATTAAGAAAATTCATGATGCATGAAAGGTCAAAAAAAGGACATTAGCAGGAATCTGGAAGAAGTTTATTCTAATCCTCATGGCTGACTTTGAGGGATTCAAAATTTCGGCAGAGGAAGTAATTGCAGATGTGGTGGAAACAGCAAGAGAACTAGAATTAGAAGTGGATCCTGAAGATGCAATTGAATGGCTGCCATCTCATGATACAATATGAACAGATAAGGAGTTGATTCTCACACATGAGCAAAGAAAGTAGTTTCTGGAGATGGAATCTACTCCTGGTGAAGATGCTGTGAACGTTGTTGAAATGAATTCAGAGGATTCAGAATATTACATAAACTTAGCTGAAAAGCAACAGCAGGGTTTGAGAGGATGGAATCCAATTTTGAAAGAAGTTCTACTGTGGATAAAATGCTATCAAACAGCATCACATACTACAGGGAACTTTTTTGTGAAAGGAAGAGTCAATAGATGTGGCCAACTTCACTGTTGTCTTATTTTAAGAAATTGCCACAGCCACTTCAACCTTCACTAACCACCACCCTGATCATTCAGCAACCATCAACATCAAGGCAAAACCTTCCAACAGCAAAAAAATTACAACTTGCTGAAGACTCAGATGATCATTAACATTTTTTAGAAATAAAGTATTTTAAATTAAAGTATGTAAATTACTTTTTTTAGACATAATGCTATTGCACACTTAATGGACTACAGTATAAAGATAACTTTTGTATGCACTGGGAAACCAAAAAACTCATGTGACCTGCTTTATTGCAATGTTCATTTTAGTGTGGCAGTCTGGAACTGAACCTACAGTATCTCCGAAGTATGCCTATACTGTGCCCAAACTGTTACTCTTGTTGTAATAGCTTATGTCTGTCTGTACAGCCAGAACTGTCTTTCTGAGGGTCTCACAACTACTGAGCTATCTTTTTCTTTTAGAGTCTCAAGTCATAGAATCACACCAATTATATATTACACACAAAATGTTTAATGAGCTTACAAATTATGCAAGTGTGATGCTTCATTTCACACTTTCTGTATTTTGCCAAATAGGAGTCTCCCAAACAAATTTATATATAATAATAAAATTGTAAAATGAAAGATTCCATACAAGTTTTAATATGGGAACATTTTTCCTAACTTTTCCTAAGTTAAATTAGCTTTATTTGAAAATCAAAAAGTAAAATTGTTTAATTCAGAAAGTATTCATCTATGAGTGTCAAGGTTATAATGAGTTAAGGTTTATTTCTAGCTAGACTTTCAATGATACATATTTTCATAAAGTAAGATCCCAATATATATATACATATATACATATACACATACATACATATATACACATTCATACACATATACACATACACACACAACCCAATTTTGATCATTGTCTTTTTCATTTATTAAAAATGTTTTTCCAGCTCCTTAAAAACTCTTCCTAAACATTAGTTTTCATAGTTACCTAGTTTTCTATCACATGGTGTTATGGGATGAATTACACCCCCCTAAAAAAGATATGTTGAAGTCCTGAGCCCCAGCATCTCAGAATGTGAACTCATTTGGAAACAGGGTCACTGTAGATGTGATCAGTGAAGTTAAGAAAAGGTAATACTGACATAGGGTGGACCCCTAATGACTGGTATCCTTTAAGAAGATGGCCATGTGAATACACAGAACACAGGTATAATGCCATGTGAAGACAGAAGCAGAGACTGGAGTGATCTACAAGCCAGGGAATGTCAAGGATTGCTGGCCATCACAGTAGCTGGAAGAGAGGCATAGAACAGATTCTCCCTCAGAGAAGGAATCAACACTGCTGACATTTTAATTTTGGACTTTCTCCAAAGCTGCAAGAGAGAAAATTCTGTTGCTGTAAGTCACCCAGTTTGTGGTACAGTACTGTTATGGTAGCCCTAGGAAACTAATACACATAGGTACACCATTAGGTTTTTCAACCATTCCTCTGTATGACACATTTGAAGTTTTTTCAATTTTTCTTCAAACAAAACTTCCAAGAGTATTTTATATATTTTTGTATTTTAGATTATTTCCACAGAAATAATTTCCAGTTTCAAAGTAGAATTACTGTTTAAAAGTATAAATATTTTAAGGTTTTGACATGTAGTGTCAAGATAATTTCTAAGAAGTTGTATGTTCTAGAATACCTGTAAAAGTTTTCCTAATTCTAAGAAGAAAGCAAAGAAAGAAAGAGGAAGAAAGAAACAGAAAGCAATACACGCAATTTAAATTTGTATTTCTATGATTAATAGTGAGAAGAAACTTTTTATATGTTTATTAGTCATTTGAATGATATTATTTTAAAATGATGTCTTTTAGAAGATATCTTTTCATTTGCATAGAAAAACAATAATCTTTTAACCTATAAAAAGTGACAGAAATGAAGATGTATTTAAATTAATGTAAAATCTAGGATCTACAAAACCAAACTCAGGATCATAAGTCTTTCTGTTATACTAATTGGAAATATTTAAAAGAAATTCATTGCAATCATGAATTTATTTTTCAAAGCCAAAGTGGGTTGGGGGAAAGAGAAGCCAAGATTTATTTCCTTTCACACAAGAAAAGTAAACAGGTTTCTTAGATATTGTTAATCTTCTATATATTTTAGTGAATAAGATATTCTTTTTAAATGCATCTTAATACTAGACAATGAAATATCAAATATTTTTCAGACTCAAAGTTGCCTTGAAAAAGCAATAATACATAGTTGTAGTTTCCCTAAGATAAAAGACTTTCTTATTCTGACTTGTTTACATGGGTAAAAGTGACAAATATAAAAAAAAAAAAAACAGAAAAGAAATTCAAATACAAACAGCCACTTACGTTGGAACCTTCCTTGGCTGAAGATTTGAAATGCACTGGTTTGGGCAATGTAAGTATTCCTTTTATAGAAACAGTAGGAGTGTCTCCATAACTAGAGGGCCAACTTAAATCTCTGCACTAAAAAAATTAAAAATACAGTTTGAATTTTACAAAGGATCCAACAATACAAACATTTGATGTATTTCTTGAGGTACTGACTTTAGATAAAAACTGCAAAAAATAAACTTGTCTACTGAGACCTCATGTTGCATCCACATTAAGCAAATTTTGACATATAATATTCTAGATGTTATGTCAATTTCCCTCTTGAGCTTAAAAACACACATACTTCCATCATACTACAGATTTTTTTCTTAGATGCCTTATTAAATACTATTTTCTGTAAAAATATTAAAGAATTCCAAATGTCAAAGGTGGCATTGGCCCATTCCCCAGAAAAGGGCAATAGTCAGTGTTTACAATGTCTAAATATTCAATTTTGTAATAAAAGCTGGTATTAACTATACTAATTTACCTGTAAAACTGTGATCCAGATCTGTTCTACTGAAGAATTATAAAACAATTTCACATTCAGTCTCCCAAAGTCCCTTTCATCTCCTGATAGAGTAATTGTATCTGAATTATAAAAGGACAAAGATGTTTCAAATGCCATGCAATCCTTCTAACCCAATTAAGCTTTGACACAATCCAATTTTAAGAGCACAATTTTAAAATGCTACAATTATTTTTTAAAGTTCACAATCTAAGAAGACAAAAATCACACTTTAATATATTTATTGAAGCACTAGAGGGAAGATATATACTATAAAAAGGTCTCATGGTTTTAAAAACTTAACCTAATTGCAGTGAGGGATTTAAATTAAAACTAAGAGAAATCTTTCCAAATAACATTTATATGGCCTTAATACTGTATTCTTCTGGAGGCTCCTTCACTAGTACACTTTAATACAAACAAAAGATATTCAACTGCTTCATCACTTTTTAAAAAGCCACACTTGTACCTGAACACTGAGAAATGGACCATGTGATCTGAGTATCCATATGCTGATAACACTACCAACATAGTTTTATTTAGACTTAATTTATTATATCAACATAGTAGATACAATCATCTAGAGTTTTTCACCTTATATACACTTTCAAGTTACTACTGAGTAGAAATAATTATCTTAAGAGTATAAAAGTAGGATACTTTATTCCTTACCCAGGCTTCTGTTACTCCCCTGAGAATTTTTCCTTGAAGAAGAACTACTGGGTACACTGGACAATGAATCATGTCTCTATAAATAAAATTATTCTTTAGTCAGAAATTGCATATGAAACCTTAAGGATTCTGATACATATGCCTCAATATCCATCCTAGTAACAAACTGCATGCTAACTATTTTGACAGTGTTACAGGTCAGAATTTCCCACTTACAGGTAGTGGAAAAAAAAAAAAAAAGCTTTTGGCATTTGTTAGGAATATCTTAAATATCTTACAAGATGATATACTGGAAAGCCTTTGCTGTTTTGGTTTGGTTTTGTAATAAGGAGAAAGATATTACTGCTTAAGTTTCATACCTGAGAGTATTAACGAAAATGAGAATTTATTTAGAAATAGCCTGCTATGGAAAAACTTGTAAAGCAGCAATTATCAAAGCATAGTCAATCTGGACCTGCAGAAACAGTATCATTTGGAACTTGGTAGCAATACAAACTCAGGCCCTACTGCAGAGCTACTGAATTAAGAACTCTGAGGATGAAGCCTGTCATCCTGTGTTTTAACAAGCTCTCCAAACAATTCTGATGTGTGTTAAACAACTGCTGCTATAAAAAAATTAAATCTATAAAAAGTTAACTCACTTGAGGATTAAGGATTATCTAGAATATATTTCCATTTTAAAAAATATATGTACATATATTCACATGGAAACAAGACCATGAGTACACATAACAATATTTTCACATTGCACTTACTCTGAGTTATAGGAAATATGGGAATTTGTCTTTCTACTTTGCTTACTTCTATTTCCTAATTTTAAATAATTACAGTTTACTTGTAATAAAAAAGAAACATTTTTTAAAACATCAAAATAATTCTCAATTCCTTTTCAAAACCAGGAGGATGCAGTGTTAACATCAGTGAATAAAGTCCTACATCTCAAAAGAAATATAATTTTTAAAACTAGCTGGTTATATTCAGTAAGAAAAGCTAAATTAATAAGCACTTTTAATTACACCATTTTAAATACCAACTGTTTCAAGGTTCCCTGAGAGCATACCAACTGAGATATAAAATTTATTGAAAAAAGAAAAACTACTGCCTTTTAGCAATCAAATAACAGCTTTCTAAAATAATATACATGGGAAATATCAATTATTTATTCTTCAGATATCAGAACAGATACATCTACAAAAAATATACAGCATATTCCTAATGTAATTCATACATTTCTGAATTTTTAATTTGAAAGGAAATTATCACATATAATTAAATTTATGTAGATAATTCACCTGGATGAATCGCTGAGATGAGTTTGTAAGATCAAACATAGATTTGCTTAGCCCAGGGGAACCGGGAAGTTTGTTCGTCCTTAAATCACAAACTACAAAGGGATATGAGAAAAGTATATATTTTTAAGAAACACTGGAATTCTACTTAATTACCATGAACTAAATCTCTGTAGCAATACATCATGAATATTTTGTGCAAATCTACAGAAGAGATAAAGCCTTCTAATAAAAATTTTTTAAACTTAAAAAAATTTTTTTCAGTTATTTTATTTTTGTTTGAAACAGAAATCAACACAAATCAAACAACACATTTTCACATCCACATCAATTATCAAACAGGGAAAATTACTTTTTTCTTTACATTCCCCATTCCTTGATCCAATAAATATAATCTAAGAGTAAACACTCTGTATTAAGTGTAGTGCAACTATTTATTATTAATAAGCATGTATTACTTTTAAAAATCAATACTCAATCCCATGTGCTCCTATATTTCTAGTCTGTATTTTTAGTTTCCCTCCTACACTGTAAGATCTGTGAAGAAAGGAACTTTGTATGCCAATTGTATATTCTAGCACAGTAGTGAACGTAAGGCAGGCCCTTAAATAAGCATTTCTTCTTTATTTTCAGTACCTCACCCTAAATTCACTGGTTGAGAGAGATATATATATATACACACACACATATGTATACATATATACATATATATACACACACATATGTATACATATATACATATATATACACACACATATGTATACATATATACATATATACACATACATATATATGTGTGTGTGTATATATATATATATATCCTGAAAAACTGAGAATTTTGTGAATCACAGACGAACATGATAGACTATAATTCACACAGTCTCAAATATGAAACTACAAAAGCTCTATAATCACTTAAGCAGTTTGTTTATATTTCCCATCACACCATGAGTTTCTAAATTCATCATTTTCACTGAATACAGAAAAAAATGAAAAAAATATTACTGTATTTAGTACAACATATCTATGTACAAATAGCTGTTGAAGAGTTTATGAATATACAGGTGACAAGTGAAATGCATACAAAATAATCTGGGCTGGTGTAGTGGCTCATGCCTGTAATCCCAGCAATTTGGGAGGCCAAGGCAGGAGGATTGCTTCAGCCCAGGATTTTGAGCCTAACCTGGGCAACATGGCAAAACCCCATCTCTACAAAAAAATTCAAAAAAATTAGTCAGGTGTGGTGGCACACTTCTGTAGCCCCAGCTTCTGCGGTGGGGCAGGGGTGATGGGGAGCTGAGGTGTGAGAATCACTTGAGCCTGGGAGGTTGATGCTGCAGTGAGCTGAGATTGCACCACTGCACTCCGGCCTGGGCAACAAAGTGAGACTCTGTCTCAAAACAACAACAACAACAAAAAGACAAAATAATCTGAAAACAAAACTTCTTTCTTCTTTATGTTTTTTCCCTTGTACCTGGTATGTAGCTAACTTCTTTCTCTTTTGTTATATGTATTTATCATGAACAACATAATGCTTTAAAGTATATATACATTGCAGAATGATTAAATCTAGCTAATTTACAAATGTATTACCTCACAGTTATCACTTTTGAATGATAACAAAAAGTGTTTTGAGAACACCTAATATCCACTCTCTTAGCACTTTTCAAGAATATATCATAATTAACTATAGTCTCCATGTTGTATAAAAGATCTCTTGAACCAAAGCTTCTTTCAAAAAAGGGAAATTAAATGGAATTTAGAACTACCAACAGATATAACTCATTAATCTTTCAATTCTTATATTAGATATAATACTACAGAGATGTCATAACGTTTATCACATTTATGAAGCTTGTTTTCTTATTTTTAAAATGCTTTTAATAGTAAAAATCATTTATTCCCATATCTTACATTTGATTTCTAAATTTCTTAAAGAGAAACACAGAGAGGAAAAGCACAAAAGATCTTCATACCCGATCCATACAGTCTCTTCACTTCTGAACGGGGAGGAAAGCGTCGACTCAAATCAGGTGAAATGTGCTGATACATATAGAATGGGTTATACACATCATAGCTAGGTCCGTGCTGGGATGAACTGGAAAGTTCTACCTTTCGATCTCCAAAAGATGCTCTGGCAGATCCTGAAAGCAAATGTTTCTAAAAGTTTATAACATCCTTTTCTTGGAGTTATTAGCCAACAGCTGGTACACCCAGGGTAAAAGAAAAAATATTTTGTCTCAAGTAATACTAAATCACATGTCTTTGATAGCTAAAAAGATCAGCACATATTTAGGGAGTTCTGTGTGAAGTATTATGCCAAGGATCAGCCATTAAGCCTGCATTTAAGACAGTCTGGTATATTTCTGGCATTTTTCTTTGCCCCATAGACAATTCTGTATTGTGTGATCTGAGTTTCCTCTTATTTTTCTACTTATATATAGAACATCTTTTAAATTACAAGATTGGGGGGGGAGATACATCCTTTTCAAGAAGACGTAGAACATTTATTAAAATTGACCACATGCTGAGATACACCGAGAAACTCTCAAATTTGGAAGGACTGAAATCATACAAAGTACGTTTTCTTACTACAATGCAATTAAGTTGGAAATCAAATAGCAAAAATAAAAATAAAAACTATTTATATGGAAACACTAAAGACCAAGAATAACCAAAAACTTAATCTTTAAGAAGAAAAACAAGACTGAAAGATTCGCTCTACTGGGAATTAGGAATATAATATTGGTAAGTGATAGAAAAAGAGATCAATAGCAAAGAAAAGAAGGCCTAGAAATAGACACCCGTTTCATGAACACTTACTTTATAATTAAGGTGGCACTGCACAAGAAAGAATGATCTTTTCACTAAAAGGTGATAAGACAACTGGATATCAACAGGGAAAAAATAAGCCTGCATTCAACTAAAGATATTCACAAAAAAATTAGTTCCATGGGGATTGTAGATCTAAATGAAATATTACAGACAAACCAATAAAGCTTCTATATTCAGGTTAACTGATAAGAAAGTTTTCATGACCTTAGGACAGGGAAGCATTTCTTAAATGGAACATAAAGAGCATTAATCATATACATACATATATACACACACACACACACACACACGTACATACATACACACACACACACACATATATATATATAATTTTATTTATTTATTTATTATTATTTTTGAAGTTGATTCTCACTCTGTTGCCCAGGCTGGAATGCAGTGGCATGATCTCGGCTCACTGAAACCTCCACCTTCTGGGTTCAAGCTATTCTCCTGCCTCAGCCTCCGAAGTAGCTGGGATTACAGGCACACGCCACCACGCCAGCTAAGTTTTTGTATTTTTAGTAGAGATGGGGTTTCACTCACCATGTTGGCCAGGCTGGTCTTGAACTCCTGGGTTCAAGTGATCCACCGCCTCAGCCTCCCAAAGTGCTGGGATTACAGGCATGAACCACCACGACCAGCCTAATCATAGACATATTTTAATAAACTAAACTACATTAAAATTTAAAATTCCCATTTGTCAAAGACTATTTAAGGTAACCCACAGAGTGAAAGAAGATATGTGCAACAAGTATAACTGACAAAGGGCTCATATGCATCCAAGTACTAACCAGGCCCGACCCTGCTTAGCTTCTGAGATCAGATGAGATCAGGAGCATTCAGGGTGGTATGGCCATAAAGGGCTCATATCCAGAATACATGAGGAACACCTACAAATCATAAGAAATCAATAAGAAAAAGACAGACGAGACTATACATAAATTGGCTTAAGACATTGATAGGCACTTCAGAAGACAATCAATCTCATTAGTCATGAGGAAAAAATAAGTTGAAAACCCAAGGAAATACCACTACACACTCACCAGAATGGTTAAAAGCAAAAAGACGGACAATAGTACGTGTTGGCAAGAAAGTAGAGGAATGTAAACGATCATACTCTGCTAGTGGAAATGTAAATTGATATAATCACTATGGAAAAAGAGTTTGGCAATTTCTACTAAAGCCGAAGATATTTATATTCTATGACCCAACAAGCCATTCTGAACATATACACAACTGAAGTGCTTGTACATGTGCACCAAGAGATAGGTATAAGAATGTTCGTAAGTATTATTACCCATAATAGCCAAAAAATTGGAAAACTCAAAATTCCATCAACAGTAAAATAGATATAGTATATACTTACTACATACAAATTCCTTATAATATGCTACACAGAAACACTACTGTACACTATGCCATTTAGAATACAGAACGAATTATAATATACACTTACTGTACAGATACAAAAACAAACTAAAACTACTGACAATTACTTGAATTAATCTAAAAAACATAATGTTGAATGAGAAAACCATAAACAAAAGAATACAGACTGAATAAATTATTTATATTAAGTTCAGAAAACAGAAAAAATTAAACTACAATATTCAGGGATATGAGCTTAGGTGGTAAGAAGAAAGGCAAGAGAGTCATGATTGTAACAATGGTGACACTGAACACTCTAGGGTGACTGAAAGGCAAAAAAATGGAGAGAAGCTATGGGGTTACTAGTACTACTCTATGTCTTTACCTAGGCTGTACCTACATGGGTATTCTGCTTTGTAATAAATCACTGAGCTGTATGTTTCTGTTTTGTGCATTTTTCTACGTGTATAATATTTCATAATTTAAAAAAGAAAATATAGGTCAAATTCCTTTCAAGGTTAATAATCATGTTGGGAATAATATGTAGACATAAAGCTAAATTCTTCAAAGGTTTAAATTATTGTAATTCTCTGTATAACAACATTGTGGTCAACTATGGACCACATATACGACAGTGGTTCCATAAGATTATAATGAAGCCAAAAAGTTCCTATGGTCTAGTGACATGGCAATGATTGTCATCAAGATACGTAGGCCTAGGCTAATGTGGATGTTTGTGTCTAAGTTTTTAACAAAAAAGTTTAAGAAGTAAAAAAAAAAGTTTTTAATAGAAAAAAGCTTATAGAGTAAGGATATAAATATTTTTGTATAGCTGCACACTGTGTTTATATTTAAGCCAAGTATTATTACAAAAAAGTCAAAAGTTTTAAAATATTTAAAAGTTTAGGCCAGGCATGGCGGCTTACGCCTGTAATCCCAGCACTTTGAAAGGGCGAGGTGGGCAGATCACGAGGTTAAGAGATCAAGACCATCCTGGCCAACATAGTGAAATCCAGTCTCTACTAAAAATACAAATTAGCTGTGTGTGGTGGCCCGCGCCTGTAGTCCCAGCTACTTGGGAGGCTGAGGCAGGAGAATCGCTTGAACCTGGGAGGCAGAGGTTGCAGTGAGCCAGGATCGTGCCACTGCACTCCAGCTTGGTGACAGACTGAGACTCCGTTTCAAAAAAAAAAAAGTTTATACAGTAAAAAGTTACAGTAAGCTAAGGGTGATTTATTGTTGAAGAAACAAAAATATATTTAATAAATTTAGTATATCCTAAGGGTACAGCATTTATAAAATCCACAGTAGTATACAGTAATGTCCTAGTTTTCACATTCACTCACTACTCACTCACTGACTCACCCAAAACAACTTACAGCCCTGCAAGCTCCATTCATGATAAATGCCCTATACAGGTGTGATATGGCTTGGCTGTGTCCCCATCCAAATCTCATCTTTAATTGTAGCTCCTATAATTCTCATGTGTTGTGGGAGAGACCTGGTGGGAGATAACTGAATCATGGGGACAGTTTCCCCCAGACTGTACTTGTGGTAGTGAATAAGTCTCAAGAGATCTGATGGTTTTTTTAAAGGGGTTTCCCCTTTTGCTTGGCTCTCATTCTCTCTTGCCTGCTACCATGTAAGATGTGTCTTTCTCCTTCCACCATGATTGTAAGGCCTCCCCAGCCACGTGGAACTGTGAGTCCATTAAACCTCTTTTTCTTTATAAATTACCTAAACTCAGGTATGTCTTCATCAGCAGCATGAAAATGGACTAATATAGTAAACTGGTACCAGGAGTGGGGTGCTGCTGTAAAGATACCCAAAAATGTGGAAGCAACTTTGGAACTGAGTAACAGGCAGAGGTTGGAACAGTTTGGAGGGCTCAGAAGAAGACAGGAAGATGTGGGAAAGTTAGGAACTGCCTAGAGACTTGTTGAGTGGCTTTGACCAAAATGCTGATAATGACATAGACAATGAAATCCAGGCCAAGGTGGTCTCAGGTAGAGATGAGGAACTTGTTGGGAACTGCAGTAAAAGTGGCTCTTGCTATGTTTTAGCAAAGACACTGGTGTCATTTTGCCCCTGCTGTAGAGATTTCCGAAACTTTGAACTTGAGGGAGATGATTTAGGGTATCTGGTGGAAGAAATTTCTAAGCAGCAAAGCATTCAAGAGGTGACCTGGCTGCTGTTAAAAGCATTCAGTTTTAAAAGAGAGCATAAAAGTTCGAAAAATTTGCAGACTGTCAATGCAATAGAAAAAAAAAACACATTTTCTGAGGAGAAATTCAAGCCACCTGCAGAAATTTGCATAGGTGACAAGGAGCCAAATGTTAATCATCAAGACAATGGGAAAATGTCTTCAGGCTATGTCAGAGACCTTTGCAGCAAGCCCTCCCATCACAGGCCCAGAGGTCCAGGAGGAAAAAGTGGTTTCATGGGCCAGGCCCAGGGCCCCCCTGTTGTGTGCAGCCTAGGGACTTGGTGCCCTGCATCCCAGTTGCTCTAGCAATGGCTAAAGGGGCCAAGGTACAGCTTGGGCCATGGCTTCAGAGGGTGGAAGCCCCAAGTCTTGGCAGCTTCCACATGGTTGAGCCTGCAGGTGCATAGAAGTCACAAGAATTGAGGTTTGGGAACCTCCTCCTAGATTTCAGAGGATGTAAGGAAATGCCTGGATGTCCAGGCAAACGTTTGCTGCAGAGGTGGGGCCCTCATGGAGAACCTCTGCTAGGGCAGTATGGAAGGGAAATGTGGAGTTGAAGCCCCCACAGAGTCTCCACTGGGGCACTGCCTAGTAGAGCTGTGAGAAGAAGGCCACCATCCTCCAGACCCCAGAATGGTAGATCCACCAACAGTTTGCATTGTGCACCTGGAAAAGCCACAGATACTCAACACCAGCCCGTGAAAGCAGCTAGGAGGGAAGCTGTACCTTGCAAAGCCACAGGGGTGGAGCTGCCCAAGACCATGGTAACCCACCTCTTGCATTAGCATGACCTGGATGCGAGACATGGAGTCAAAGGTTATCATTCTGGAGCTTTAAGATTTGACTGCCCTGCTGGATTGTGGACTTGCATGGGGCCCTTAGCCCCTTCATTTCAGCCAATTTATCCCATTTGGAATGGGTGTATTTATCCAATGTCTATACTCCTATTGTATCTAGGAAGTAATTAACTTTTGATTTTGCAGGCTCATAGGCGGAAGGGACTTGCTTTGTCTCAGATGAGACTTTGAATTGTGGACTTTTGAGTTCATGCTGAAATGAGTTAAGACTTTGGGGGACTGTTGGGAAGGCATAATTGGTTTTGAAATGTGAGGATGTGAGACTTGGGAGGGGCCAGGGGCAGAATGGTATGGTTTGGCTGTGTCCCCACCCAAATCTCATCTTGAATTGTAGCTCCCCTAATTCCCACATGTTGTGGGAGACACCTGGTAGGAGATAATTGAATCATAGGGGCAGTTTCTCCCATACTGTTCTTGTGATAGTGAATAAGTCTCAGATCTGATGGTTTTATAAGGGGTTTCCCCTTTTGCTTGGCTCTCATTGTCTCTTACCTGCTGCCATGTAAGACATGCCTTTCACCTTCTGCCATGATTGTCAGGCCTTCCCAGCCACATGGAACTGTGATTCCATTAAACCTCTTTTTCATCATAAATTACCCAGTCTCAGGTATGTATTCATCAGCAGCGTGAGAACAGACTAATACAAGGTGTATCATCTTTTAACTTTTATACCATATTTTTACTGTACTGAATACTGTATTTAGTATAGTATACAGCATAGTAACATATTGTATAGGTTTGTAGCCTAGGAGAAATATGGTATCCATATAGCCTAAGTGTTTAGTAGGCTACACCATCTAGGTTTGTGTAAGTGCCTCTACACTGTCCATGCAATTATAAGATAGCTTAACAACAACATTTCTCAGAACATATCGCCATTGTTAAATGATTCCTGACTGTGCTTGCAACACAATTTTAGTCATTATTGATAGCAGTCTGCTCTATTCACTCAAAATCTTCTCTTTTCTCAACCCATCATTCACGTGCATACATACATACACATATTTAACTTCTTTAATTAGGTACCACCTTACTTTCTTGACTCTAATAAAAGTAATTTTCTCTTTAATATATACAAATCAGATGGTTTTACCACTTCTTCAGTGAACCTATAATTTAGGAGTTAACCAATTTCTTCCTCATTCAACTCAAAAAGCAATGTTTTCTAGTGAGCACAATGTCAAGAACATAAGAAAAACTATCACATATTTCCAGGTGGATATTTCTTACCTTTTTTCTGATTATGAAAATAATAGAGTAAAAACTCAAAATTATTTAAGAATAGAAAATTCATTAAAAAAATTACAGTATGTCCATATGAAGAAATACTATGTATTCATCAAAAAGCAACAAATATGAAATGTTCACAACATATTATGTGGATGAAACAACTTACAAGGCTGCATGGTTTAATCCCAATGTTGTTAATAAGTATGAAAAAAAAAGAGAAAGATCAATTGATTGGGTATTCTGTAAGCCAGAACTTTTTAAAACTATTTTTGAGAAACACTATTGATATGCGCAAAGTAAGATGATAGGCCAGGCACTAGGTTCATCTTTTCTTTTCTCTAAAAAATTAAAATTGGGCCAGGCATGGTAGCTCACGTCTGTAATCCCAGCAATTTGGGAGCCCAAGGTGGGTGGAATGCTTGAGAATAGGAGTTCAAGACCAGCCTGGCCAACATGATGAAACCCCATCTCTATAAATACAAAAACTAGCTGGGTGTGGTGGTGTGCACCTGTAGTCCTAGTTACTCAGGAGGCTGAGGCATGAGAATTGTTTGAACACAGGAGATGGAGGCTGCAGTAAGCCAAAACCATGCCACTGCACTCCAGCCTGGGCAACAGAGTGAGACTCTGTCTCAAAAAAACAAATTTTAATTTAAAATTTAAAAAATCACTCCTACCAGACCCAACTCTCTTGTAGGTAACAATAAACTCTAGACCAAAACTAAAACAAAGCAAGAAAATAAAAACCCTGAAGGCAATGAAGAGTAAAGAAAAGTAATACAGATCTGGACAGGAGTTGATTCTGGGGAAAAAGGTAATGGCACAAAGTGAGTTATCTGTTTTTAATGACTTTTAGCCTGAGTACACATCAAAGTTGGCAACACGCAGGGTATATAAAACCCCAATAGAAAACTCACAGTCTTTCTAGCCTGAAGAACCACAGGGTACAGTTCAAGAAAATCAGAGCTGCAGGAAAGTAAGGTGGGAATCCTGGAAAGGAGAGATTCCCAAATTCTGTAAATAAAGCCTTTTCAAATATCTGTCTCATCTCTGAACTACCACCCAAGAGCTGCCACCCAAGACAAAATCTGTAGTTTAAGTCCAACCAGTTTACTTGTCTGGTAGGAGGGAGGAAGAAAGAAAGGAAGGAAGGGAAGGAAGGTGTGTTAGTCTGTTTGTGCCACTATAAAGGAATATCTGAGGATGGGTAATTTATAAAGAAAAGCAGTTTCATTTGCTTGCTGTTTTGTAGTGTGTACAGGAAGCATGGTGCCAGCATCTGCTTCTAATCAGGGACTCAGGAAGCTTACAATCATGGCAGAAGGCAAAAAGAGAACAGGCACATCACACGGCAACAGCAGGAGCAAGAGATGGGCAGTGGAGGTGCCAGGCTCTTTTAAACAACCAGATCTCACAGGAACTCAGAGCTAGAACTCACTTATCACCAAGGAGATGGTGCTAAGCCATACATGAGGGATCTGCCCCCATGATCCAAACACCTCCCACCAGGCCCCACCTCCAACATTGGGAATCACATGAATTTGGCGGGGCCAAACATCCAAACCATATCAGGAGGGAAAGGAGAAAGGGAAGGAGGAAGGGAGGGATGAAAGAAGAGAAGTAGGAAGGGAGGATGGGAGAAAGGGAGGAAAGAAGGAACCTTTTCAGAAGAATGTAACTGAATCTAGAGTCTCCACAACATAACATTCAATATTTTTGATATTGATATCAAGAATACAACCCCAAATTACTCCATATACAAAGAAACAGGAAAATGTGATCTATTTTCAAGAAAAAAGACAATCCACAGAATCCAAACCTAGATGATCAAGATGCTGAAATCACCAGATAAAGATTTTAAAGCTTAAAAACATAAAAGAAAATAGGTTTGCAATACTGTAAAAATAAGAAATTGCAGTAGAGGAAATCTATAACAAAGAACCAAATGTAAACTCTAGAACTAAAAAATGCAATGTCTAAAATAAAAAATTCATGAATAGGCTTAACAGCAGGCTAAAGATAACAGACGAGACAGTGAACTTGAAAAAAAGATCAATATTATTGAATCTAAAGAACAGAGAAAAAAAGATACTTGAAAAAAAAAAGTCTCAGAGACCCATAGAACAATATCAAAAGGTTCAACATAGGTATAATCGGAATCCCAGAAGCAGAAAAGAGAGGGGATAAGACAAAAAATATTTGGACAAATATTGTAGATCTTGATAGAGATTTGGATTACACTGACATATACTTTTGTCAATATTCAACAAATATACACTTAAAATTCAACAAATACACACAAAATTCTACAAATACTCACTTGGGCAGCTCACTGTGTGTAAAATTTATGCCAAAAGAAGAAAACTGTAAAGAGATCGTTGAACCCAGTAAATGATATATATGTTTAAGTGTTTGCAAGGAAATATATTGGTGTCTTCAATTTACTCTGAAATTCATTCCTCTCCAAAAAGTGGATTAATAATGGATAGAAGAATGGATAGGTAGACAGATATTTGCTAAAGCAAGTATAGTAAGTAATCTTAATGGCAGAATTTATGTGGTGGACATACAGGTCTTCACTATTAAGTTTTTTTTTTATTTTCCTGTATGTTTGAAATTTTTCTAATAAAATTTTGAGGGTAAAAAAGCTATTGTGACTTACAGTGTTTCAATGGACTAATACAAATTGTTTTTTAAAAAAACAAGACAAGAGCTACATGTTGTTTCATCTTCTCTCTAATAATTTGGCTTCTACATCAGCCAAATTCTGCCAATGGATCTACCTCATTCAAGTAACTATTTAGACTGGGAAGTACAACCTGGTAGAAGAAAGAAGAGAAGGAAAAGTGATTACTAACCAAATATTAGAAATTAATAAATAAGAAACATGTTTTCTACATTTACTAACTCCTTTACTTTTTCATTCTAGACATGTGACGGATAACTGAGGTATTCTAATTACAGTTATCCCTCAGTATATGTGGGGGATTGGTTCCAGCCCTCTATGGATACCAAAATCCATGGATGCTCAAGTCCCTTATATAAATGGTGTAGTATTTGCACATAACCTATGCACATCCTCCCATATGCTTTAAATCATCTCTTGATTACTTATAATACCTAACGCAATGTAAATGCTACTGAGATAGTTGTCATATTGTATTGTTCAGGGAAAAAATGACAAGAAAAAAGTCTGCACATGTTCAGTACAGATGCAATCATTCTTTTTTTTTTTCTGAATATTTTTGAGGTGCAGTTGGTTAAATCCACAGATGTGGAACCCAAAGATATGGAGGGCCAATTACATATTATTTCTTGAAAAAAGGCCAATTCTACATACAAATTATTGTATTATGATCAGATTTCAAAATGGGACCTTTCAAAACTACTGTACATTAAGTTCTTCTACAGAAAGAGCAAAATATAAAAAGTAAAATAAAAAAATTTTATATGAATTTTGTATTAAAAATATAAAAGTAAAATAATAGCACTTAAATGCTACATATCGATTTTTAAATACTGCTATTTTATTGTTTACCTTCAAGTTCTTCCAGATGTGAAGGAGTTTCTTGTGTCCTGGGTTGAATGTAAGATAACTTAAACTTGGGCACCACAAATGGTACTTCTTTGCCATCAGATGGTAATTTGGAAAGCAAATAATCCTCAGTACAGCCAAGCTGAGGCTTTACAGAAACAGAAGTCAATGGAGGTACAGAGATAGTAGCATTTTGACTATTTGGGACTGCTGCTTTAAAATCTCTTTCCACAGAAACTGCATATAAAAGAAAAAAAAAGTCACAAATATGAATATAGGTTACATATAATAATCTAAACCTAGCATACTTTGATATTTATTTAACCATTTTAGAAGAAATTCCTGACACATAAACTACTCTTGGGTCTTACCAAACACTTCTGGAATCTACATTAATTTTGTCCAGACGATATTTGAGCAATTAATACACTACTGTTAAAGTGCATTAACTTATCATAATGGTAAAAGCAGCTTTAAAGAGTCTTATTCCCAAAAGAATTCATAGATGGAAAACAATTTTATTTTGTAGTCAGTTATATAGTGCTTTCAAGTAAAAATCTAGTCATTTAAAACTACTGTCAACAAAAGCAATTCTTTTGTTGCTGGCAGCTACCCCAGTCGTAGCTTCTATGACCCATTTTATTCATTCTTTAGAATCATATGTGATTCCTAAGCTACATGATTTAAGATGGGAGGTAAGTTATTCTTTATATATATATAATGCTATCTGTAGACTGAAAGTACAAGTACTATTCTGTAGAAATTTATGAAATGTTTTAATGTAAAAAAGAAGGCTTCATACTCAAATATACTATGAAGCTCTGCTGTAGATTAGGAAATAAAAGTGCCAGAGAAGAGATAAGGGAGCCATGCAATAGAAAAAGAACTCTCCAGGGGTCCTTAATAAATGTGAGTCTTCATAGTTATGAGTCTCTTCCCCATTGGTCATTCATTCATTCAAGGCATTTTTAATGTTATACACATATTGTAGATTGTCTTTATTTAAATCAAAACATTGGTCAGAATATGTTGTCTCCCAAACATACTTCTCTTCCCTCCCTGTCTTTGCCTGTACTATTTCATCCACCTGTAATGCCCATGTCCAATTTTCAGTTTCTCTTCCTTCTTCCCACCCAACTTGCTAAAATCCTATTCAGATTTCCATAGCAAATGCAATTTTCTTTATGGTAATATCTTACGAATCCCCTGGGTTGAATTACTCTCTCTCTCCCCTATGCTCCAGACTACTTGAAGTTATGGAATATTTACTTAGTGTGCCTTATGTTTCTGCCTCCCCTAAGAAGTTGGAAAACATGCCTAATTCTTTATATTACAAAATGCCACAAATGAAGAAGATGCTACATAAATGTTACTGAAGTCAAAATAAAACTCACAGTTGTGTTTTTCTGTTTCACCATAGAAACATCCTCCACAGCAACTCTTTATAAATTCTGTTGCCATTACATTCAATTTCCAATATCCAGCAAAAGACACAAACTTCCAATCTTAATATTAATCTGTTGGTAGAATAGAAAACAAGTTAACCTGCTTGTCATGCTTAATACCATTAGATATTACTAAATAAACCACATTATCTGTCTTTCTAAGACATAATGAGGATTCTGAAGCAAAAATACTTGAGGAAGATAGATTTTTGTAACCATATGAAATTCTGTATAACTTATTTGTAAGTTATTAAAATTATGTTTAAAAATTACTAAATGAACAATCTCAATGTTAAAATCTGGAAAAAAAAAGAAAAATTCCATTCTTAATTTTCTTTCACGAAAAATAAGATGGAAGATTGAGTGAAGAGATATAGAGTAACAAGAGGGGTGTGTTTATGAGAGAGAGAGAGAGAGAAGGGACAGTGTGGAAAAAGAAGAGCAACATGGAAGAAATACAGAAAAACAAAGAAAAAAAGAGAGAAAGAAGAAAAAAGAAAGAGGTAAACTAGGACATGTGCTGATAAAACAGCAAGAAACCTAAGACAAGAGCACATAGAATTAGGAAGAAATGTTTGGGAAGGGAGATGAAAAGGGAAAGGTCAAAAAAAAAAAAAGTCAAGGGCAAACCTAGAAATAGAGAGTGGAGACTAGACAGCAGGAGAGACAGAGTGAGCTGAGGCACAGAGAGAGAAAAGAAATAAAGAGGAGAAGAGTAGAATGAAGCGGAGAGAGAGGGAAGGAGAAATGAAGATGACAGCAAGATGAGAAGTATAAAAGGGCAGACAAATCAAAGAAAAAGAAGGATGGAGAAAGAGGTAAGAAAAGGAGAGGGGAAAACACAAAATGTAAAAGAAAAGAGATGAAAAGAAAAAACATTCAAAGAAACAGTGAAAGTTAGAAACTGAAAAAAGGAGGAAAGATGAGAAAAGGGGAAAAAGATTGAGATAGAGAAGCAGAGTGAATTTAGGAACATTGGTCAAAGAATACAAAATTAGTTTTGATAAGAGAAATAGGTTGAATAGCATTACTCCATGTGAATATAGCTAATGAAGATCTGCAGTACTCTTGAGAGATGCTAAGGCTGGATGTTTACTGTTCTCTCCACAAAAATAACTATGTCAGGTAATGCAGATGTAAGCTAGATTTAATCATTTCACAATGTATAGGCACTTCAAAACATCACATTGTATACAATAAATACATACAATTTGTTCAATTTGAAAAGTAAAGAAAAAGCATATTTAAAAAAAAGTAAAGAGTGGTAAAGGAGACAGGGTTAGAGAGGTAGGAGAACACAGGGATAAATAAAAACAGACTAGGAGAAATGGAGATGAAATTAAAAAGCTGATAAAGAAACTAAGTATCTTAAAGGAAAGTTTATTCATTATTATACTCTAATAAATACACATATAGTATAACTAAAACAATTTTTCTCTTTCACCTGATCTATCTAAATCTATGTTCAAGCAAAAGTTAAAAGAAAACATGGCACCCCATAAAAAGTGTGAGAAAACATTCACTTCCTCCAGATCAATTATTCTGGTAATTCAAAGGCCCTATAATGGGCACCAATAAACAAATAAACTGCATACTTCATGAATTATTTTAATCTTTAGAGTTATACTAATAGAAAAGTATACCTTAAGCACTACATCACATACACACAAAAAGACACCACAAATAAGATATAGAGCAAATAAAGGAAGTCTATTTTACATTTACCAGGAAATTAAATTGTATAAGAACTTCATGTCCAATTTCCTATTGTCCTTGGTCTCAGTGCCTTTGTTCTAAATGCACTGCCTTCATTTATGCCTACTTAAACTCCATACGTTTTTCACAGGAGGTTTTAAACATATGCGAAGAAGTATAACAAAACCCTAATCACTCAGATTAAAATAATTATCAACTCATGGCAAATCTTATTTCATCTCTGCCTCCCCATATACCCTGTCCTTTGGATTATTTTGAAATAAATTCTAATCATATAATTTCATCCATAAACACATAAATAATGATCTCCAAAAGATGTGGCAAAGGACTTAGGAGTTAACTTCAAGGGGCTCTCACTGGCTGAAGGTGAATCATTTCAAGTATTAATACAAACAGTATCTGTAATGAATGGTAACATATCAAACATTTCTAAAATGTTGCTCTTTTTAAACATAACCATAATAGTATTATCATGTGTAAAATAATTAATGTCATCAACTACTTGTTCACTGTTCAAATTTCCCCTATGGTCTCAATTTGTATAGTTGTTTTGTTGAAATTCAGATCAAATTTTAAATTGTTTCATCTTTTGTTATTAGAAGTAGTGCCACAGTAGCTTTGTGCACACATATTTCTCAGATATTTCTCAGTATATATCTGTAAGATAGATTCCTAGAGATAAGACTATGGGGCCAAAAGGTGTATATGTGTAATTTTGCTTGTATTGCCAAAATTCTCTCTGAAGCACACCATTTTGCATTCCCAATAGCAATATGTAAGAGTACCTTTTTCTGTTACCAACAAAATACACTGTCAAACTGATGCTTAATACCATGGACTTTTGCCAGTGTGATAGGAAAGAAATGATATACTGTGTTGTTTTAATTTATATCTCTCTTATTATAAGTGATGTTGAGCTTCTTGTCATATAAGATTAATCTGTAATTGTTTATATGAATTCTATTCACTGTCTCCTGCCGACATTTTCATAAAGCTGTTGGTCTTTTTCTTCTCCAGTTTTTGAAGCTCTTTAGATATTTGAGAGATTAACACTTTGTCCATTATACAAGTGGCAAACATCCTTCTGGTTTGTCATTTATCTTTTTACTTTGATTATGGTGTTTCTGCTATGCCAAAGTGTGTGTGTTATACAAATCATAAAATAATTTACCCATGTTTTCTTCCAGTACTTAGTACAGTATTATTTTCTATACTGACATCCTGTTATACAGTATGAGAAATGGATTCAAACTTTCCTCTTCCCAATTCGCTATCTCATTAGCACAAACACCACATATTAAAAATTCCATATTTTCTCCACTTACAGGATGCTCCCTTTAGTACACATTAAATTTCCATATGCAATTGGGTTTATTGTGTATTTTCTATTCTCTTCAATTGTTCTGTCTATTCCTGTACCAATGGTATATCATTTTAATCTTAAATTCTTATATCATGTTATAACATGTAGCAAGACAAGTCATCTTTACCCCTCTTCACTTTCTGCATTTTCTTAGCTATTCTTGCTTGTCTGTTCTCGAAAATGAACTTTATAATCTGTCTAGCCCTAGGAGGAAAAATCTGATGGTACTTTCATCAGGATCATATTAAACTTCTAAATTATTTTTTTAAAACTGACATCTCTAAGAATATTGAGTCTTCCTACACAGAACATAGTATATCTTTATATTTGTTCAAGTTTATGCTTATACCTTTAGGAGTTTTTAGAGTTCTCATAAAAATTCTGAAGATTTCTCATTAAGTGTATGCCTGTATAATTTGCTTGGCTATCATAAATGGTATCTTCTCTTCCATTACATCTTGTGACTATTTCCATTTTTAAAATGTATGCGTTTTCAAAGGCCCTGTTCAGCCCCAGCATATCAGAGTAAAATACTCCGTAACCACCCAAATCAAACGAATAGTCTCTCATCTCTAAATGTCTAGTGTCTTTAAAAAAAAAAAGTTTAACATTTTTCTTAACATTTTATGAGATCTTGTTCTGTCTCCCCTGTTAGAACATAAACTGCTCAAAAACAATATTGTACTCACTTTCTGCTTAGCACTCAGCACACTACATGATGCTGGGAATATAATTGGAACTCAGCAAATACCTAGTTGATAGATAAGGAAACAAAGTACAACTATCTCCCATAAAAACTAAGAATATATTCATCAAACCACATCTCTGACCCCAATCAGTTTGCAAATATTTAACATTAACCATGACAGGAATGTGGTAGAATTGGTTAAAAATGACTGCTACTTCAGGGGGAAAAGTCCTCAACATTGATGGCCTTGAGTCATCCAAAATGAGTTGGGGAAGATGGAGGAAGGTAGTAGAAAGAGAGAAAAGTTTATATGAATGAAATGTGAAATCTAATTAAAATGAACACCCAGTAATACACTACAGGAAAGACAGTTAAAAAACACATGGATATTTTACTTTTGTACAAAATAGAGTAACAGAGACAGATTTATCCTACCACCTGAAAAGCAAATAAAATATATGGAACAGCAATTTTCAAGACACTGGCTATCAGACAGCAAAGAACTGAGAAATAGGAACTAAATGAGGTAAGCCTTCCACCTTACTCCCTTGAGGGAGTTTCCAGGCCATGGGAAATTACCCAAGCAAAGCCGAGAAGATTTTCTGAAATGAAGAGACAAAGCTGAAAGTATGTGGAGAATAAGGCAGCGAGAGTTTGCATAACAGACTACTGTAGAATAAAGAGGTACATACAGAGAACAATGGAGATCAGCAGAGGGTCCCACTCAAGTATTCAACAGAGTACTGATCAGCACACACACAAAAAAAGGAAGCTACACAAGACTGCGGGAAAAAAACACCAGAAAAATTTACAAAAACTATACATAACTGGTATTCACCAAGGTCAGGAGTGATGCTTGTCCCCACAAATCAGACTGGAAAAGGGATCAAATTGTTTACACAAAACTTAACTGTGTCCCAAAGCAAATTTACAGAAATCCAAAAATATCCAGCATTCAAGGTAAAACTCACAATGTCTGGTATTCAATTAAAAAAAGTACCAGGTATACAAGGAAGCAAAAAAATATATAGAACCCATAATGAAGAGGAAAAAAAAATCAATCAATTAGAAACAACCTAAAATTGAGACAAGGCAGTTGAGGACACTAAAATAGTTATAGCTGGACTCAATATGTTCAAAAGGTTAAGTAGAGATATGGACGATATTAAAAAGACCCAAATCCAATTTCTAGAGATGAAAACTATAATGTCTGAGATGGAAAATATACTGGATGGGATTAATACCAGATTGGATATTGCAAAAGAAAATATTAATGAACTTGAAGGCATAGTAAGATAAACTAACTAAAATGAGACACAGAGAAAAGACTAACATCAAAATGATAAAAAGCATCTGTGACTCATGGGACAATTTCAAGTGACCCAAAATACATGTATTTGGAGTCCACAAAGAAGACTGGGGATAGGGGGGAGGGCATATTTGAAGAAATAATGGCCAAAATTTTCCAAACTTGATAACTACAAACCACAGATCTAAGAACCTCCGCCAACACTAAGGTCAGGAAACATGAAGAAAACTACACCAATGCACACCACGCCATAATAACATCATTCAAAAACAGTGATGGGAAAATCTTAAAAGCACCCAGAGAAAAAAGACATGTTATGTACATCAAAGCAAAGATTAAGAATAGCAGCATATAGTTGAGCATGGTGGTGTGTGCTTGTAATCCCAGCTACTCGGGAGGCTGAGGCATAAGAATCACTTGAATCTGGGAGGCAGAGGCTGCAATAAGCTGAGATCATGCCACTGCACTCCAGCCTGGGTGACACAGAGAGACTCTGTCTCAAAAAATTAATTAATTAATTAAAAAGGATAGTAGCATAGCTCTCAATGGAAACAAAACAAAAACAGTAGAGCAAGATCTTTAATGTACTGAAAGAAAAAAACCCATCAACCTAGAATTTGACACTCAGAGAAAATCTTTCAAAAATGTAGGTGACATAAAGACTTCTTCAGACATACAAAAGTTGAAAGAACATATTACCAACAGAGCTACACCACAAGAAGTGTTAAATGATGTCCTTCAGGCCAAAGGATAATATCTGATAGAAATATGAATCTACACAAAGGAATAAAGTGCACCATAAGTATAAATACATGATTTATTATTATTGGGATTTCTTTACAAGTTTATTAAAGCTTAGACAAAAAAATTATACTGAGACAAAAGGTTTGTAACATATGTAAAACTAAAATGTATTACATCAATAGCACAAAGGCCGGGGGAGAAATAAAAGTAAAAATGTAAATAATTATAGTATATGTGATGTGGTATCATATCATTTGAGGACTGACTGTAGAAAGTTAAAGATATATACTATAAACCCTAACACAACCACTAAAATAAGAAAACAGAGTTACAGCTTATAAGCCAACAAAGGAGATAAAATGGAATAATTTTAAAATACTCAATTAATAAAAGAAAGCAGAAAAAGAAAGGGGGAACAAAGAACAGATAGGATGAGTAGAAAACAAATAGCAAGATGATAGATTTGAACTTAATTATATCAAGAATCACAAGTGTGAATACTTTAAAATATGCCAATTAAAAGGCAGAAATTGCCAGACTGGATAAAGAAGTATGATACAAGTATATGCTGCCTACAAGAAACATTTTAAATACAAATAAGTTAAAAATAAAAGGATGGATACCCCTTGAGAACATACACCCAAAATCCTCAATGAAATACTGGCAAGCCAAATCCAGAAACGTATAAAAGATTTATGTATCATAACCAAGCAAGATTTATCCCAGGATTGCAAGATTAGTTTAACATCTGATAATCAATTCATGTAATGCATCATATTAACAGAATAAAGGACAAAAACTATAGGATAATCTCAATAGATACAAAAATTTGACAAAATCCAATATTCGTGATAAAAATACTGAGAATAGAAGAGAATCTTTCAACATAATAATAAACAGCATCTATGAAAAAATCTATAGTTAACATCACAGGAACTGGTGAAAGATTGAAAGTCTCCCTCTAAAGCCAGGAAAAAAAAAAAAGATTTCTACTCTCTCTACCTTTATTCAACACTATATTTGAGATTCTAGCTAAGCCAATTAGGCTAAAAATATTTTGTCAAAGGCATTCATCTTGGAAATCAAGAAGTAAAACACTCTTCATTCACAGACAACAAGATCTTGTAAATAAAAAAAAAAAATCTAAGAAATTCACTAACAAACTTACCAGAAGTTCACTAAGGTTGCAAGATATAAGAGAAATATACAAAAGTTAATTGCATTTCTATATACTAACCATGAACACTCCAAAAATGAAATAGAAAACAATTCCATTCATAATAACATTTTTAAAAACTTAAAATACAAATACTTTAAGAAATGAAGTACAAGACTTATACACTGCAAACCACAAGACATTACTGAAAGATATTAAAGAAGAGCTCAATACTTGTGAAGATATCCCATGTTCATGGATTGGAAGATGTAATATCATTAAAATGGTAATATTATTAATATTGCTAAGGTGGCAATACTCCCCAAATTGATCTACAGATTCAACACAATCTCTACCAAAATCCCTTCCAGCTTTTTTACAGAAATTGACAAGCTGATCCTAAAACTCATATGGGAACGTAAAGGGTGCAGAATAGCCAAAACAATCTTGGGGAAAAAAAAAGAACAAAGTGGAAAGACTAACTTCAAAATTTACTACAAAACTAGTCATCAGGACAATATAATATTAGTATAAGGACAGATAAATAAATCAATAGAATTAAATTCAGAGCCCAGAAATACACCCTTACATTTATAGTCAATTGATGTTTAACAAAGGTGCCAAGAAATTTTAAAGGGAAAGAAATAGTGTTTTCAACAAATGGTGCTAGGACACTGAATATCAATATTTATATCCACATTATATCCACATGCCCTTCCCACAAAAAAAAAAATTGGATCCCTGCCTCCCACCATATACAAAAACTAACTCAAAACTGATTATGCACCTATATGTAAGAGTTAAAACTTCAAAACTCTTAGAAGAAAACATAGGAGTAAATCTTTGTAAACTTGGGTTAGGCAGTAATTTCTTAGACACAACACCAAAAGCACACATGATCAAAGAAAAATTTGATGTACTAGATTTAATTGAAATTAAAAACTTTGTGCTTTAAAAGACACCATTAACAAAGTGAAAAGACCACTCGGAGACTGAGAGAAGATATTTGCATATCACACATCCAATAAAATATGGATTATATCCAGCATATATAAAAAACTATTACAACTTAATAATAAAAAGAAAAATAACCCAATTAAAAAATAGGCAAAAGATTTGAAAAGACACTTCTCCAAAAAAATCTACAAGTGGCCAAAAAGCACATGAAAACATGCTCAACACAGTTAGTGATTAGGAAAATGCAAATTAAAACTATAAAAAGACAACAATATACATTGATTAAAAAGGATAAAATTACAAAGATTGACCATTCCAAATGTTTATGATATGTGACAAGTAGTATTCTCCTATTCTACTGGTGGGACTGTAAAATGGCATGACCACTTTAGAAAACAGTTTGACAAGTTTCTAAAGTTGAACATATACCTGCTACATGATCCAGACATGCCATTACTACATATTTACTTAAGAAAAAAGCAATCACATGTTTACACAAAGAGTTGTACACTGGTGTTCATAGCAAATCTATTCAAAATAGCCAAAAATTGAAAACTATCAAGTATCTATCAACAGATTAATCCATTTAGAAAACAAACTGTGGCTCAATGGAACACTACTCAGAAATAAAGAAGTAAGCTGGTTAAACATGCAACAATATGGATGAATCTCAAAATAATTATGCTGGGCAAAAGAATGCCAACAAAAAGAGTATGTGCCATACAGATATGTGCCATATTCTCTTGCATTTGCTTTATTAATAACAAAGTCATATTTCAGTTCTTATTTTGTCTTTAATTTGGCTTTTCTAGCTATCTTATTAATACTGATTTGTAGCTGAACTCCACTGCATGATTCAATTTATATAAAATTGTAGAAAATGGAAATTAATCAATAGTAACAAAAAGTAGATCAGAGGCTGCCTCGGGACAGTGAGGAGTGGGGAGATGAAGCACAGAGAGGGACAGAAAGGAAGGACTTGGTGGGGCAGGAGGAAACTTTGGAGTGGGGGTAATATACTCATTATCTTTTTTTTTTTTTTTTTTGAGACAGTGTCTCGCTCTGTCGCCCAGGCTGGAGTGCAGTGGCGTGATCTCTGCTCACTGTAAGCTCTGTCTTCTGGGTTCACGCCATTCTCCTGCCTTAGCCTCCCAAGTAGCTGGGACTACAGGTGCCCACCACCACGCATGGCTAATTTTTTGTATTTTTTAGTAGAGACGGGGTTTCACCGTGTTAGCCAGGATGGTCTCGATCTCCTGACCTCGTGATCCGCCTGCTTCAGCCTCCCAAAGTGCTGGGATTACAGGCATGAGCCACCGTGCCGAGCCTATACTCATTATCTTGACTGTGGTGATGGTTTCATAGGTACATACATACATGAAAACATGAAAACATCAAATTATCGATTTCAAGTATATGTAACTTACTACATATCAATTAGACCTCAATAAACCTGAAAAAATAATACATAAGTAGAATTACAGAACATTAACAGAAAAAGAGGCCTCAAAAACATTAGCAGAGCCGAAGGCTTAGAAATCATTTTATCAGGGGCCAGGCATGGTGGCTCATGCCTGTAGTCCCAGCACTTTGGGAGGCCAAGGCGGGTGGATCACCTAAGGTCGGGAGTTCGAGACCAGCCTGACCAACCTGAAGAAACCCCATCTCTACTAAAAATAAAAAATTAGTTGGGCATGGTGGCACATGCCTGTAATCCCAGCTACTCAGGAGGCTGAGGCAGGAGAACCACTTGAACCCGGGAGGCGGAGGTTGCAGTGAGCCGAGATCACGCCATTGCACTCCAGACTGGGCAACAAGAGCAAAATTCCATCTCAAAAAAAAAAAAAAAGAAAAAAGAAATCATTTTATCAAAGTCCTTCTAATTTTACCCAAAGAAAATAATGAGTCAAGCAACTAGATAATGTTAGGTTTAGAACCAAACCCTAAGCTTCACAACTTTTTCTAATACACCACATTGCTTTAGGTAGGGTATGGGTAGAAGGGCAGGACCAGTCAGGTTAACAGACTATGTGCTGGCTATCTACATAGCCACATGTTTGCTTTTTTAGCAACAAGGAGAAACAAATATAAATGGTTAAAAGTATACTGCCTATGTTCCAATCCTGTAACTTTCACTTATTAGCTATATGACCTTAAATCTGTTACTTAACCTTTTTAACCTTCAACTTCTTCATCAATTAAAAAACAACAACAACAACAACAACAAAACACTTCTTAGGGCTATTGTGATGATCAACCAAAGTAATGCACATAAAGTATAAAACTAGTGGTAGGGCTGTTTTAAGAATAAATGTTTGCTGTCATCAGCGGCATCATTATTATATTTATTATCATCAGATCCCACTTACAACAGATCTGATTCATGCTAGGCACTTTACCCAATGCCAGAAATGATATGGGGACATTTAGCTAGAACATTCTAGTATGAGGACAGATTGTAAAAAGACTTAAATACTTCCATATCAATAGATAAAAGCTATAAACACCCTAGTCACTTTAACTCCTCCCTAGGCACCCCTGAGGTAAATGTCTGAAAAAGCAGGGGCCTCCATGACTCTGCTCCAATATTACAGTCAGTGCTCATGCACGACAAGTTGTTAAAATACTTTTAATATCACTTCCTTTTGAGATTCCCAAAGGGCTTATTTGCCTCTGCTGGTCTGACATAGTCTAGGAACAGCCTGTCTATGGTATTCTCACAAATAAAGGACAGTACATCATCACGACTTTCCCCTGCAAACCTGCTTTTCCTCTGGTATTTCCTACTACAGTGCCACTATCCAGCTAATTAACTAAGCCAGAAATACAAGTGCCATTCTTGAGTCCTTCTGCTCCCAAAATCCACACATCCAATTCATCCATTCACTTACAAGCATTTATTGAGCATCTACTATGTACTAGGCAATTTGCTAGGCACTGAAGACAAAATAGGGAACAAGACAGACAAGCTTTTGGAGCGCTTACAACAGAGGAGGGAGATAAACAGAAAAATAAACAAACACATGATACATTCAATCCAATGAGGAAAATTAACCAGGATTCAAAAGGAATGAATGTTAACTTTGTATAATCAGAAAAGACTTCTCTGAGGAGGTAACAATCCAGCTGGAACATAAACACAAGAAAGGATCAGCTAGCAAAGTTCTTGATGGTGGAGCATTCCAGAAATTGCAAAAATCTTGAGTTGTACCCACTTTGCATTATTTTGCAAGGTACTAAGCAACAGAAAGAGTAGTTAGCAGGTGAACTGTGAAATAGGCAAGGGCTAGAATTCTGTTGAGTAGAGCCCCTTAATCCTTGTAATTTTCTTTTTCTTTTCTTTTTTTTTTTTTTTTTTTTTTTTTTGGAGATGGAGTCTCGCTCTGTCATCCAGGCTGGAGTGCAGTGGTGCGATCTTGGCTCACTGCAACCTCCGCCTCCGGATTCAAGCAATTCCCTGCCTCAGCCTCCTGAGTAGCTGGGATTACAGGCACCCGCTACCATGCCCGGCTAATTTTTGTATTTTTAGTAGAGACGGGGTTTCACCATCTTGGCCAGGTTGGTCTTGAACTCCTAACCTCGTGATCCACCCGCGTCGGCCTCCCAAAGTGCTGGGATTACAGGTGTGAGCCACCGCGCCTGGCCATCCTTGTAATTTTCACACCTTCCTTTCTATTCTCAATTTGACTATTTTGATTCAGATGTTATGATACCCCAAATTACAGAGAGCCAGCTAATAGGTTTGCCTTTCAAATTCTTTTTATCCCCCCACTGTGCTGCTAAGGTCCTTCGTCTGCTTTAAGTAATGCTATATCTCTCTATCACTTTCAGGA
This sequence comes from Homo sapiens, assembly GCF_000001405.40. Taxonomy (NCBI): domain Eukaryota; kingdom Metazoa; phylum Chordata; class Mammalia; order Primates; family Hominidae; genus Homo; species Homo sapiens. The sequence goes on from NC_000014.9 coordinate 91,825,520, forward strand.
TAAAATTTATTCTGCTAAATACAATATGTGACCCTTCTCTTGCTCATCTTCCACTACTTCCTTCTGCAAATACCAAGCTTCAAAATATAACTACCTGATGTGCTAGAAACACACCATTCTCTTTTTTACTTTTGCACCTTTGAACTACGTTAGGGTAGGAATGCTTCTTGCTGTCTCTAGTTTCTTTGAGAAAGATTTGTCTGTATTAGAAAACCTACTTGCCTGCAGATACATGCCATATCTAAATTAGCTTTATTAATAACAAAGCCCTATTTCAGTTCTCCATCTGTCTTATTCTTTTGTTTTTCTTTAATTTAGATTTCCTGGCTATCTTATTGATATTGATTTGTAGCTGAATTCCACTGTGATCAGAGAAATTGTATACAATCAATGATATTCATAGTATATCATCAATTTTAATAAATGTTCCATGTACATTTGCAACTTTGAGGTGCAATGTTCCATGTACATCACTAAATCAAATTCGTTGGTCATGTTAAAATCTTCTGTATCTTGGCAGGGCATAGTGCCTCATGCCTGTAAATCCCAGTATTTTGTGGGGGCCGAGGCAGGAGGATCATTTGAGTCCAGGAGTTCAAGACCAGCCTGTACAATATAGGGAGACCCCTATCTCTACAAAAAATTAAAAAATTAGCCAGGCATAGTAGTGCATACCTGTAGTTCCAGTTACACGGGAAGCTGAGGTGGGAGGATCACTTCAGCTCAAGAAGTGGAGGCTGTGGGAAGCCGTGATCGCATCACTGCACTACAGCCTGGGTGACAGGGTGAGACCTTGTCTGAAAAAAAAAAAAAAAGCAGGAAAAAAATATGTATCTCTATTGATTTTTTTTTCTGCTTGTTTTATATAGTACTAAAAGAGATGCATCTAAAAAGAAAACTCCAACTATGACTGTGGATATATCTATTTCTCCTTTTAGTTCTATCAGATTTGTTTCATATATTTTTATTCTAATTTATGAGGTACATATAAATTTATTAATCTCCCTTTCAATCTTTAGTAATACTTCTAGAAGCCTTAATGTTGGCTTGTCTGATATAACTAGAATTTCTTTCAGTTAATATTTGCATGTTATATCTTCTTTCCATCATTTTCTTTTCAACCTTTCTGTGTTATGCTCAAGGTGTCTTTTATAAGTAGTATGTAGTTAGATTGTGTTCTACTATCCACTCTGACAATCTTTGTATTTATTTGTATTTTAACTGTATTTAGTCCAGTCATAAAGATTTAAAACTGTTTTAACATATTGGTGATTTAAATCTCTTATCATTATGGTAACTTTTTAATTTCTAGAAATGCTTTTACCCTGAAAACAATTTTGTCTGATAGTTATAGCTATGCAGCTTTCTTTTAGAAAGCATTTGTATGGAATATCTTTTTCTGTTTACTGTTTCCATTTGTTTACCAACCTTTCTGTCTCCTCATGTTTTAGATATGTCTCTTATAAATAGCATTTAGTTAAAGTGTTTTAGTCCAGATAAACAATCTTTGTCTTTTGACTGTAATATTTATTCCACTTATATTTAAGATAACTGGCTGATATATATATGAATTTAAACCTATATTTTATCCTGGGCTTTCTATTTGTCCTACTTGTTCTCTGTTTCTTTCCTTTCATCCTTCCTTGGATTGACTAAGTGTTTATGATCTTCATTTTTTTCCCTCCAATAGCTTGGATATTGTATTACTTTCCTATTGCTGTTGCAACAAATTACCACAAATTTAATGGCTTTAAATAAACTTACTATCTTACAGTTCTGGAAGTTTGAAGTCTGAAATGGGTTTCACTGAGCTAAAATCAAGGTGTTGGCAGGGCTGCATTACTTCTGGAGGCTCTATGGGAAATTCCATTCCTTTGCCTTTTCCAGTTTCTAGAAGAAACCTGCATTCCTTGGCTCATGGCCCCTTCCTCCACTTCAAAGCCAACAAGACAGCATCTTCCAGTCTCCCTGACCCCTGCTACCATTGTTACATCTTCTCTAACTCCGAATCTCCTACAATCTCTCTTTCATTTATAAAGACTCTTGCAATTACATTAGGCCAACCTGGATACTCCATAATCCAAGATAATCTCCCCATCTCAAAATCCTAAATCACATCTGTAAAGTCACTTTTTCCATGTGAGGTAACATTCACAGGTTCTGGGAATTAGGACATGGTAATCTTTGTGAGGCCATTATTCTGTATACTATAAATTTTATAAACTCAATTTCCTTTTATTTAAATAGTCACTCTGGTTGTTTTAATACACACACTTAACATGTCAAAGTCTAAAGTTAGTCCTTTTATATTCTCCTGTTGCATAGTAAAAGGACTATTAAAAGACTTTTAGCTCCTTTACATGCCAATCAATCCATGTGTGACTTAGGCATGATGTCATCATTGCACATATTTTGATTCTATCTTGTTAAAACCCCACAAAACATTATTATTCTTTTGTAAAATTAGTGTTCATTTGTATTTACAAACATATTTCACCAATTACTTTCCACTTCATTCCTTCTTACATTCCTTCCATTTCATTCTTTCTTGCATCGCCAACTGTTCATGTACAATCACATTCTTCTTGCTAATATCCTTTATGATTTACTTTAGTGAAGGTATGTTGGTAGAAAACCCTCTGTTGTTGCTGATCTGAAAATGTCCCTGATTTTTATATTTTTTTGTGAAAAGTATCAATAATATACAAAAGTATAGCAAATATAAAATAAATCCACATGGACACATTATCTAGCTTTAATTATTATCAACTCATAGTCAAACTTTTTTCCACAATATCCTCCCACTTCCAGAAATTTTGAAAACAAAAATCAAGATATAATTTTATCTGTAAATATTTCAGTATGCATCTCTAATATTTCAGTATGTATCTCTAAAAGACAATATTGAAGAACATCTAATACCAAATATAACTTTACATTTATGTTTATATTTATATTATATATCTCTTTTTTAATGCAACTACAGTACCATCACACTTTCAGAAAAATCTATAATTTCCTCATATTAGTATTCACATTTCCCCAATTTTCCTATAATTTTGTATAGCTTATTTGAGTGAAATAGGTTTAAATATTTCTTAAATCTCCTTTAATCTACAAGTTTCCTTGAAAGTATTCTGATGCTGAAACCAGGTCTCTTACCCAATAGAGTTTATCATAATAGGATTTTGCTGATTGCATTCCCATGGTGTCATTCAGCAAATCTCTGCCTATTTTTCTGTAAAATTATAGTTCAATCTATAACTTAATACAGATTTTTAGGTTTGACTTTTTATTTTTAGTAAGACTACTACATAGGTTGTAGGTACATAATGTTCAGCTTTTATTTTTTAACAGTGTTAGCAACCATTGATCATCACCCTGTATTACTCTCATTCTTAAAGATATTTCCTCTGGTTATGAATTCTAAATTATAAGCTATTTTCTTTAAGACAAAAATATCTTATTCCATTGTCTTCTGTCCCACCATTGTTATAAAGAAGGCAGCTGCTAGCATAACCACTGTTCTTTTAAAAAAAAAAAAAAATCTTTTGTCTAGGCCCTAAAGTAATGTTAAGATTTTTCTCTTTGCCTTTGGTTTTCTTCATTTCACTGTGATGTTTCTAAGTATGTACTTTTTCTTGCTGGAAATTCATTGAGATTCTTGAATATACGGATTGGTGTCTTTCCTCAGTACTGAAAAATTCTCATTCATTATCTCTTTAAATATTGTTTTTGCCCATTTCTTTTCTCTTTCTTTTCTTGCAGAAATTCTAGTTTATTAGACTTTCTCACTATAATTCCTCACTCTGATCACTCTAATTTCCATGTCTCTTCACCTCTTTTATATTTTCCATTTCTGTCTCTTTGAGTTATATTCTGAATGATTTATTCTATCTTCCAGTTCATTCAATCTCTTTGTGGAGTACATCTAATTTCCTAATTAGTAGTTAAGCTGAAAGATGAGTTTTATTACTGCATTTTTCATTAGTAGAAATTACATTTAGTTCTTTTTTCAACCTGCTGTGTAGCTCTGTCACTTTTTAGACTCCTGATCTCTGAACATATCTTTAAATCTGTCTTTTATTTACTTAAACTCAGCCCAGTATAGTTATCTTAATGATCTATGACTGGTTTTTCAAGCTTTTGTAGGTTTATTTCGAGGTTCTATCATTCTGCCAATTCTTGCTCAGGATGTCCTACTTCCTTGTACAGCTGGTTATCTTTGACAATGAATTATTCATTGACCATGAAACTGTACTGGTAGAACTTTTTAAGCTAAAAATGAAAGTATACTCCAGAGAATATCTGCATTTGTTTACCAGACCATTTTCAATTCATGCGTTGACAAATAACCCAATTCTAAAATGGACAAAAGAATTAGACATTCCTGCAAAGAAGACAGACAAATGGCCAATAAACACATTAAGAAGCGCTCAATGCCACTGATCATTAGGAAAATGCAAATCAAAACCATAATGAGATACCACTTCACACACACTAATCAAAAAGACAGACAAAAAATAAGTGTTGGTGTGGCTGTAGAGAAACTGGAACCCTCATAAATTGCTTATGAGAATGTAAAATGGTGCAGCTGTTTTGGAAAACACTTTGGCAATTCCTCAAACACTTCACACAGAGCTACCATATGACCCAGGAATTCTAATCCTAAGTAAATATACCTATGAGCATAGAAAACATATTTCCACACAAAAACATTTTACACAGATGTTCACAGCAGCAGTATTCATGATGGCCAAAAAGTAGAAACAAATCCAAATGTCCATCAATTGATGAATGAGAAAACAAAATGTGGTATACAGCCATATGATGGAATACTATTCAACCATAAAAACAAATGAAGTACTGATTCACACTACAACACAGATAAATCTTGAAAACATTATGCTAAGAAAGAAGTGAGACATAAAAGACCACATATTGTGTGATTCCATTTACATGAAATGGCCAGAATAGGCAAATCCACAGAAATGGAAAACAGATTAGTGGTTGCCAGTGACTGAGAAGGAAGAGGCAAATGGGGAATGGCTGCTAATGGGTACAAGGTTTTTTTAGGAGGGTGACAAGAGTGTTCTAGAATTATATAGTGATAGTTGCACAGCTAAATGAATATACAAAAAAAAACCCCACTGAATTGTACATTTTAAAGGGGTGAATTTTATGGTATGTTAGTATCTCAAAAAAGAAATGATTTTTTAAATTTACATCTTGAAATATTTTTGACCACCAAGGTAATATAAAACTTCTCCCCATGGTCTGTTTGGTGGTCACAACTTCCCAAGGACAGGATTTTTTTCCTTTCTTGTTTTACCTGGCATCAAGACAACTTTCCTTGCACTCCCTTCAAGGAGGTAGAGTGAGTTTTTCGCCCTTCTCGTGACATCACAGCCCTTTGTGGTCCCAGAATTAGCCTCTTAGCCTACATTGAATGAGCCCTGGGCTGACTTCCAACTATCCTTGGTGACATGCAAATATACCAAGTGCCTATTCAAATGCATCAAGTTTCCCCTGTTTAGCAAATGCTCTCAAGGCAAGTAAGACTTAAAGGCTCCTTTAGTCTCTCATACGTTTAGCTTTCTCTTAGATTTTGGCATGTTAATTCCTATCTTTTGAATTGTTTTTTTAAATACAGCATTCTTAGCTGTTCTCAGCTAAGGTTGTCCAATACCTCACAACTTACACTGTTCCCAAAATGCAAATCCTATATTTATTTTTCAAGTTAAAATTAATTCTAGTAAGTTAGGAAAGGATTTGCAGCCTGATATAGTCTACATTAGAGTAGCTTCAGTATTATTTATGACTTCAGGTGATTACAGTAGATATTTAAGAATTAAATAACACATTTTATTACTTTTTAAAAAGAAAAAAATTAAACATTAATTTGAGGAGCAGTCTAATTTAAAAGAAGCATGGGTGGATAACTTGTTCTCTCAAGTATCAAGGTTCTTTAAACAGCTAAAGTAAATAAGACTGTGGTAAGATACATAAACAGATCTGTTTTAGAAAGAGTAGCTTGGAAACGACCACACATGTATGGAAACTTGATCTATGATACTTGTAGATCACTGAAATGAAAAACAGAATATTCAGTTCTATAATGCTGGGAAAAACTGATTAGCCATATGGGAAAAAAAGAAACTGGACCCCCACTTCACACCATACAAAAATCAGTTCTACATGGATTAAGGACACAAATATGAAAGGCAACTTTTTAAATAGATTTTCTTTTTTAGAGTAGTTTTAGAATCACAGTAAAATTGAGAAGGTACAGAGATTTCCCATATACCCCCCTGCTTTTAGTAGAAAATATCAGACTATATTTTTATAATCTCAGGGAAGGTAAAGATTTGTTAAACAAGATGCCAAAAGCACAAACCATAAAACAAAAAGTTGACAGAGTCAACTATATTCAACTATATATAAAACGTGTTAATCAAAAGACACTATAAAGAAAGTAAAAGACAGGCTGCTCACTTGGAGAAAAAGAAATGTGCCACGTGCATAACTGACAAGGGATTCACATCCAGAATATATAAAGAGCTTCTATTACAGAAATCCATTTTTAGACCGAGTGCAATGGCTCATGCCTGTTAATCCCAGCACTTTGGGAGACTGAGGCAGGTGGATCACCTGAGGTCAGGAGTTCGAGACCAGCCTGGCCAACATGGTAAAAACCCGTCTCTACTAAAAATACAAAAAATTAGCCAGGCATGGCGGCATGCACCTATAATCCCAGCTACTCAGGAGGCTGAGACAGGAGAATCGCTTGAACCCGGGAGGCAGAAGTTGCAGTGAGCCAGGATCATGCCATTGCACTCCAGCATGGGCAATAAGAGCAAAACTCCGTCTCAAAAAAAAAAAAAATCTATGTTTTAAAGTAAAAAAACAACAACAAAAAAATGGCCAAAGACATAAACACCCACAAAACATAAACAATGAAAGGTTCAACATCATCAGTAATTAAGGAAATTTAAATTAAACCCCCAATGGGATACCATTTCTCACCCGATTGTCTAAAAGAAAAAAAATTCAGGTAATTACGAATGTAGAAGTGTCTTACATGTTGCTGAAAAAGGGAACAAAATGAACACTTACATCCCGCTTGTGAGGCTATAAACTGGTACAGCCACTTTATAAAACAATCCGGTGTTTTCCAGCAAAACTGAAGGTTTTTAAAACCATGAACACAAAGAGACATGAGTTAGAAGGGTCACTTAAAAACAGATTTTAATGGAAAAAAGTAAAAATTAAATTTAAAAGCAAAAAAATAAAAAAAAAGACTGAAAACATCCTAAATATCCATCCGCAGGATAATGGATAAAGAATGGTAAAGTCACACAATGAAATTATGCGCGGCAATAAAAAGTGAACAAACTACAACACATCAGCATGAAGGAATCTCACAGAATGTGCAAAAGCAAAGCCATAGGATTCACATAGTAGAATATCATTTATACAGAGTTCCAAAGTAGACTAAACAACACAGTGTTTGGAATGCATAGACATGTGGTAAAACCATATAGAGAATCAAGGAGAGTGGAAAGAAAAAGATATAATCAGGGAGAATACACAGGTTGGCTTCAAAAAATGTTGGTTATGTATATTTCTTAAGCAATACATAGGCACGGGGCTATTTATTTTATTTGTATTCTCTGAATCTGTAGATGTGTCAAAAGTACTATTTTGCACATATGAAATAATTTCTCATTTAAGAAGTAAATAAATACATGGTTGTGGTACAAAACATTAAAAATTCAGAAAACTATATGAATAAAATAAAAATTATCCATAATTATATTACCCTGAAATAACTATAGTATTTGAAGGAGGTAAATATACTTAAATGATGTGCCTTTCTTCTATTCTTTATTTTTATTTAATCTGTTTTAAAGCTTTACTGAGGTATAATTTACCTACAGTAAATTTCACATATTTAAAATGTATAATTAAATGAGTGACATACATACATATAAATACATACACACACATTGGTAGAAGCATCATCTCATCAAGAAAATGAATATATCCATCATCCCCTAAAGTTTCCTCATACTCCTTTTGGATCCATCCCTCCTTACTTTCTCTTTCCCCTACCCCCAAGTAACCACTGATGTGTTTTTCCATCACATTAGTTTGCATTTTCTAGAATTTTATTGGGTATATGTTTGGGCATAGCTTATGCATATGTTTTACTTTCGCAGACAATGCCAAAAAGTTTTCCAAAATGACTACACCAATTTACACTTCCACCAGCAGATTATGAGACTTCCAGTTGCTCCACATCCTCATCAACACTTGGTTGCCAGCCTTTTCCATTTTAACTATTCTTTTCATATTCCTAAGGAAAATACTCATAAAATGATTTGTCTGAACTCTTGAGCAACAAAAAAAAATCAAACTTTCAACGAAGACTGAAGTGAAACTCATTATACAGAAATTTTAATCTAAGAGCTTTTTCCCCTGAATGCATAATAATAATTGAAGCAAAGGCCCTAAATGATGTATGCCTCACAGATTCTGCTTTAGTCCCAACACCTGATTTCTACATAAGATTTTTAGAAGAACCATTGGGACATACGTAAAAGAACCGCATAACTTAAAAGCAAGTTGAGAACATCAACATATTGGAACTCAGGTAAAATAGAGTCCAACACAGTTTATATGTGTGACTTAAACACTATAACACCTGAACTCAATACACCAAACAAAACACCACTAAAATTGTGTTCATAATTTGGATGGGGCGGGGCATAACTACTTTACCACGAATAGTTCTTTTCAACATGCTCAGCTTCTTGCTCTCAGCTTCTGCTACTTAACCATGAGAGAGGAACAATGTTATGAAATGATGCACTTCGTTTTTAAAATTTGTAATTATTATGGATAACACAAAGGTAGTCTATCATCCTTATTTCTCTTTTTTCTTTTCTTTTCTTTTTTTAATCATCTCCCTAATCAATGGATCGCCTCTCCTTCTAACCTTTGTTTCTCAAAATACGGATTCTAAACTCACATTTACTTGTGAGTGCAGAATCACTATTCTCTCCTCAGATTCATTCAAACTTGGCTTCTACCCTTACACTGTACTTAAATTATGTCTGCTGAGGTTAAAGCCCCCATCCTAACTTCCAAAGACAATAGGCACGTAATCAGTTCTTGACTCCCAGATAGACTTCTCTCCTTGTTAAAACTCTCCTCTCCTGGCTTCTATGAGACCACTGCCCCCTAGATTTCCTCCTTTCCTGATGCTCTTCCTCAGACTCCTTGGCTGTCTCTACCCATCGCTTAATGCTGGTGTTCCCCATCCTTGGTCTTGCCCTCTTCTTACACTATACTTACTTGAATGATTTCTTACACCCTTACAGGATTAACCACCACAAATCCACTGCTGCTTCCAACATTTGTAAGTCTGATCTTGACTTCAGAAAACCTGATACCAATATATCTATTGGTATATATCCACTAGACAGCTATGCCAGATGTCCCGCCAGAATCTCAAACTCATTTTCTCTCCACCTGAATTAATCTCTCAATATTAGTTTTATTCGTAAATGCACAATTATAATTCATATGAAGTCAATAAAATACAAGATATACTTAAATTTTTCATGAAGGGTTAAACAAAGAATAAATTTGTATTATGGCCTCTTCCTCAGTTATGAAGGTAACTCATATTCATTAGCAAAAATTACAAAATACAAAAGAGATGATAAAAAGCAAATATCCCAGCTCTCAAAGGCAAGCAACATTACTCCCTCCTTCCAGAAAAAGCAATTTTTAACCATGCTGAAGTTACACATCAAAATATGAAACTGGTAAATGGATTTTGTTGTTGTTGCTAATTCTCAATATTTTCCAGGCTATGTTCTACAATATTAATCAGGGAAAACAAATTTCTATTAACTGCCTACCTAAAGGGAGAACTAGAATAATATTTCAATTACAAAAGCAATCCTTTTATATGCTGTATTTTAAATGTTCTAAAGAAATCAATGGTTTTGGCTTGGCATCTATCTTGTCTATACCCAGATGTCTATCGGTGTGCACTATAGCCCACAGTTCATCCACAGTATCTTCCTCTAAAGAAAACCATAGCAAAGGAAAACCTGGAAGAAATAGAAGTCAAATCTAAAACCTAGCTGGGTAGATTGTGGTTTGCAAACACCACAGTAAAGGGACACTTTTAACACCCTTTCGCCACTTCACAAAGTTTCAGAAACATCACAGGTAAAAACCCTCTGCGAAGCTCTTCTCATCAGACCCCGCCAGGGAAAGGAAATTCGCTTCTCTTTCCCCAGAGCCCAGAAACCACCTGGACGCGCCGTCGGAAGCCCGAGCACGGAGCAGGGAGCCGGGCGCCCGGCGCGCGGCCGTCCCCGCCTGGGCTGGGGTCTCCACCGTCCCCGGTCACGGGTCCCCCTAGGCAGAGCCGCCCACCTGGCCAGCGGGGACCTAGCCTCGCCCCGTCGCCCACCCCTGGTGCCCTCCAGACCACCGCGCTTCCAGCTGTCGCGGGGCCTAAAGCTCTCTCAGGCCCCCGCGACACAGGCGTCGCTGAGGAGACGTGGGAACAGCCCCTGGGCCCCACCACGGCCCCATTTTAAAGAAAGTTAAAGACAAAAGAGACAGAACTGACACTCACCTCCAGCCCGCAAGGCGGGGCCGCCCTCACAGGCACCCCCCACAGCCCTGAGCGAGCTGCCAGGTGGGAGAAGCGCACCTGAGCCAAGCCACGCCGCGCCTTTCCCCGCCCGGGTCCCGCCGCCCTCCTCCGGGTCTCCACGTCCCACGCCCGCGCTGGGCCGGCGCCGCGCGGCCGCGGCCGGTTACCTGCTGGAGGCAGTGGGCGCTCTGCTGTCGCCGCCTGCGGGAACTGTGACTCCGGTCACCTCGCGCGGCCGCGCCTCGAGGTCCTGCCTTTCCCAGGGCCTCCCCTACCCTATCACTTACCCCCTCCCCTCCACTTCCCTCCCCGTACCCACTCCCACACCACCCACCAGGGCCGCCCCGCCCCTCGGGACGGGCGCTAAGGGGCGAGGCGAGGCAAGGCGGGGAGGGGCGAGGCAAGGCGGGGAGGGGCGAGGCAGGGCGGGGCAGGGCGGGGAGTGGAGTGGCGCAGAAGGGCTGGGCGCGGAGGGGCGGGGCCTCCCGCGTACCTGAGCCGCGCTGCGCCTGCGTCCTCCGCGACTCCGCGCTTGGCAGCCCCTTCCTGGGAAGGTGTAAAATGCCGCCAGGTGTGGGGTGTGTTTTGGGAGAAGAAGGGAGACAAGCGGTAGGAGGGGGAAGAGAGGGGAAGCTATTGGCCTGAGGAAACTTCTCTGACTTGGGGAGGCAGGGGCAGTCTTTCTGGCGATGTTTATGCACACTTTACTTAGAAGCGGAGTAGTCATGTTGTTACTTGACTTTTAGAGTTTTTATAAAAAGTCTATAAAGTCTTTGAGGATCAGCCCTGCTCTCTGCTTTTGTTGCTATCTGCTACTGCCTTGCCATCAATGGGTGTCTTGGAAAGAATATTAAATGTATCCACCACAGCACCTCACACCCCCGATTCTATGAGGGATCCCCTCTAACCCTGGTAAAGCGGGGGGCCTGGCCCTTTTCTCTGGGCTTCCTTGGTGGAAATCTCAACACTGCTTGGAAATGAGTTTCCTAGACTGTCTGATGAAGAATGGCTTAGCATTTTTTGTTTGTTTTGTTTTGACAGAGGTTCTGTCGCCCAGGCTGGAGTGTAGCGGTGCGCCCGTGGCTCAGTGCAGCCTCGACCTTCGGGGCTGAAGTGATCCTCCCACCTCAGCCCCTCCGCCAAGTAGCTGGGAATACAGGCGCGAGCCAGCATGCCAGGCTAATTTTTTAATTTTTTGTAGAGATGAAGTCTTATTATATGGCCCAGGCTAGTCTTGAACTCCTGGACTCACGTGATCCTCCCACCTCTGCCTCCCAAAGTGCTCCACCTCCCAAAGTGCTGGGATTACAAGCATTGAGCCACGGTGCCAGCCTGGGTGGTGGGACTGTAAAATTGAAAGAAAGGTTCATACTTTTCCTTCTGGAGAGCAGTCTTTCCCAGAGTGAGTTCTGTCCATCTCAAGGTCCTAGAGATGCTGCAGTGGGAGTAGGGGTAGATCACCAGATCACATTAATGTGGGGGAGAGAGACACAAAATATTTGTTTTCCTTGAGATTCACAATGCATACTAGCATTTTACAGGCATAAGAACCATGTTTTACTTTCTTTGATCCTGCATCTCCCAAATGTGTTTGACCATAGAACTCTTTTCTTGAGAAAGGCCTGTTTCCAATCTTGGGCATTAGTGTTTCAACAAACACTTTGAAAACCACTGCTTTCAACTCCTAGTACGTTCACATTTAATAATGTATCACAAATGTTTGCAAAGTTGTGCACTGTTCACACAAAACTTTCATGAGTCATCTCATTTAATCCTGGAAATTGCAATGTAGCTGTTATTATCTTCATTTTGCAGTTGAAAATATTTAAAGGTCAGACAACCAGTTAGTGGTTGCCCAAACATACAGTCAAGATTTGAATCTGAACTTTGAACTCCAAGGCGTTTTAGACTAATATTCATTCTGTCTCTCTCTCATTTGTTCCTTTTTTTTTTTTTTTTTGGGCAGGCTCTCACTGTTGCCCAGACTGGATTGCAGTGGCACAATCATAGCTCACTGCTGTCTCAAACTCCTGGGCTCCAGCCATCCTCCCACCTCAGCCTCCCAAGTGTGCTGGGACTACAGGCACATACCACCACGCCTGGCTAAATTTTTAAATTTTTTTATAGAGACAGGGTCATGCTTTGCTGTCCAGGCTGGTCTGAAACTCCTGGCTTCAAGCAATCCTCATGCCTCAGCCTCCCAAAGTGCTGGAATTACAGGCATGAGCCACAGTGCCCAGCTTCCCTTGATACCTAAGGAGAGCACATCCTTGGTTAGAAATCACTAGATTCATGTGTTAGTTGAATCTTCTCAAGGGCAAGACCATAACTTTTACTTCCTTGCAGCACCTGACTTAGTGCAGGGCACAAAAGTGTCATTGAAATGTGCTGAATGAATGAAGGAGGAATGAATGCTCAATAACTACTAATTGAAGTGAGCTGATGCTTGGTTCCTTAAATGAACAACTTTAACAAACTCTTCACTGATGCAGAAGTACCAAGAGCAGGAGCTCCCCTAATTGTTCCTAGTTTTCTTCCCTAGTCCATCTTAAAACATTTTCCTAGAAGAATCCTCTCTATTGACAGATACAGTTCTTGTAAAATCATGAAGCCAATTCCTTTGTTTTCCTTGAAATGGGCCTCCTTCCTGTTCTATCTGAGGCAAGGCTACTTGAATGGAGGATATTGTACACCTTTCTTTGTGCTCTTATTTCTAATCTCTTCCCACAAAAGGATCGTCCTCAAAATACTATGAACGGGTTTTTGTTTATTTTTTAATTTAGCAATTTTATATTATTTGAGGCCGATCTAAGGAGAAAAATAGACTGGTCAATATGGATAACGTGGCTGCTTAGATATTACTGTGTGTATCAATTCTTTCATTTGATAGAGACAAATCGCATAATTCCTACTCTAAACCCCTATTCATTCTTTATTTAATGCAGTTTAGAAGTGCTTTGTGACTCAGCCCAAGCCTACCTCTCCAGCCTTATCTCCCAGTATTTCCATCACACCTTTTTGACCTACTGAAGGAATTGCAGTTCCATAAACTGTCGAATTTGCACACACCATTCCCTCTACCCTTCTCTTACAGGTATCAACTAGCAAACTCATGTTCATCCAACCAAGATACCACCTCTTCTAGACAATGAAACCCCACAACACCCATTCCTGACTCAATTAGGTGCCATTTCCCAGCATAACCACCACAATCCATCTGTATCTCTATCATGGTGCCTACATCATAGCTGTGATTACTGGCTTCTTTTCCCACTTCCCTCTAGATGCATTCCAAGTGAGTTACCAATGGGCAGGAATGATGACTTCCACCTCTATTTCCTGAGCACACAGCATAGCACTTGATATAGAAGGCACTCAACAGTTTGTTGAATAAATGAAAACAGCTTTCAAAGAGTATAAATTCCTAGAGTGCTTGTGAAATAATTTTACAAATAAATGGTCATGAATACATTGGGGGTACCAGACAGATTTTTGCTTCTCTCAAAATTATTTCCTTCCCATTTTCTGCCTTAGAACATAACAGCAGAAGCCTATACATATTCATTCATTTCATGTATTTGTTCAAAAAATATTTCTGAGTGCCTGCCATGTAACAGGTGCAGTACTAGGCACTTGCTTCAGAGAGGAAGTGACATTTCAAAAGTGTCATGGATGCTCACCAAACCTCAATTCCTCTCCCTGGGCATGAAGCTAAACTGCTTTGCCTAGCCACTCCCCTTGCATCTAGGTAAGGTCATGTGGCCAGTTCTGACCAATGGAATTTGAGCAGAAATAGAGTTTCACTTCTGCATCTAGGCAACTAAGAACAGGTGAGCCTTCACCCCACTGTCTCCCTCTTTCCATTCCATGACAACCTTGGACTAAACCATGCTAACCATTGCTAAAGCTCACAATACGACAAGATGGGAGAAATGTCTGGGTCCTTGATTGGCTTCATAGAACAAAGCTCTCTCCACTGCCCACTAACTTTGATTGGATGGTGATGTGAGTGAAAAATATATTTTATTGTGTTAAACCACTAATATTTGGGGTTTTTTTCTAACACCTGGATTTACTTACTCTGATAGGCACTGTCATGAATGATGACATATAGATTACATTAAACATACCAAAAAAATGTTTCTCATGCTGTAGGCATTCTATGGGAGACATAGAACATGAAAATTTATCAAAGAGCTTATTAAGGTCATAGAAACTTTAAGTTTGTCCCAAGTAGATAAAGAAAAATCTTTATGGATACATAGCTTTCTGTCTCTCAGATGGCCACCTTATCAGAATGCTGACATCTTGACCTGAAAACAAGCACAGAGTCACCATTATGCCTTCTTCATCATCTTTATCTGCACTTCTCTGTCTCTTTCATGCACTTTGAAGGGTTTCCCTGAGTGGGCTTCAGGAGATCCAGTGTTACTCAAAGTCTAGTATATATTCAGGAAAAGAGAAAAATAAAAAGGCTAGGCTCCAAAAGGTCTTGAATAGCTTACTAAGGAATTTGTCCATTAATCCACAGGATACATAGTTGAATAAGCTAGGAACTATTTGTAGTGAGAAGAGTTGCTTTTTTCTTTTTTCTTTCCCTCCCTCATCATCTTACCTGGATAACTGTTACCCACTAAACTAAGGTAACAATGGGATAATGGGTGGTCACAGATGCTCCACCAGGAGAACTAATCATGAGAGTCTCATTTCTCAGTGCCCTCCCACAAAGCCCTTCCTCAAAACACCCATCTGCCTCCTCCAAACCCCAATAATCAATGAAACTTCATAGCACTAAAAGGCTGACACAGTTGTATTAGAGGTGTAAATGAGAAATATTCAGCACCTAGAGCAGGAGGCAATAGCACCAGTGGGGTCAAAGGAAATCTGTGAAGGAGGAAACAAAGAGAGAATCCAAAAACAAAAGAAGGTTTTCCACCAACCACATGATCAACTCACCCAGGCTGAGTAGCTGGTCCAAAGAGGATGACAGCACATGAAACTGCTCAGGATTCAAGAACAAAGGCTCCCAGACTCACTGAGAAGAGCAGAGAAACATCTAAACCCCTATTTCTGTGACCTCTGTATGGACTGGAAGAAATGACTCAAACCTGAAGCAAATGACCCTGCATTCTTCTGGACCCACATCAGCTTGCTTAAGTTGGAACTCCATTTCCCCAAATTTATTTCCCTATATGGTTCCAAGTTAGGTTGGCCAAAAAGAAGAATTGAGGCAAGATTTGGAAGGTGAAAGTGGAGCAGAGCCACTCCCTCTGAAGATCCTCATGACTACACGTGGTGGCAGACACACACAGAGATTCTGGGAGGTTCTTGCTCATCCTCCTCCTCATGTCTAGCTCTTCTTCCCAACTCTAGTCCCTGCTGGCCAGAGGACCCAAGATGACTTGAGAGCTTGGTGGGAGACCTCCAGAAGTGGCAGCTATGTATGGACTTTTCCACAGCCCCCCTCCTGGGTACCACTCCAGCAGTTAGACATGTGCGGCTTCCTAGAATCATTGCAAGTTCTGGCCTTACAAGTCCACCTGTACAGGGCTTCAGGATGGCTGGCTAGTGACTTTTCTCTAACCCTTCAATTCCACTTTCAGACCTTTACTTCACCAGTTTCTCACATAATTCTGCAAGAGATTAGTCCCATTATCAGTAAGACTCTAGTGGTTCTGCTTCCCTGATTAAACCCCTCCAATACATCATTCATGTTCTTGGCTACCTAGCAATAAGATTATGCAGATTGTACCATCCATCCTTCCCTTCCACCTTTTTTTTTTTTTTTTTTGAGACAGGGTCTGGAGTGCAGTGGTGCGATCATGGCTCACTCCAGCCTCCACCTCCCAGGCTCAGCTGGTCCTCCCATCCCAGCCTCCTGAGTAGCTGCGAGTATAGGCATGCCAACACACCCAGCTAATTTTTTGTATTTTTTTGTAGAGACAGGTTTTTACCATGTTGCCCAGAGACAAGGTTTCACCATGTTGCCCAGGCTGGTCTCAAACTCCTGGGTTCAAGCCATCTGCCCACCTCGGCCTCTCAAAGTGCTGAGATTACAGGCATGAGCCTCCACGCCTGACCTCCTTCCCCTACACTATTAAAGGCCAAGTGCTGAAGTTATTTATCTATAGGAACTACAGAAATTTGGGTAAAAATTATGCCCTAGTAGTGGTCTCCCCATGAGAGGGTGACTGGTTGCCCACTGCCTTCACACTGAATTTACATAATAGAACAACTGACTTTCAGCTTTTCGAGCTTAGAAACTTGTTCCTTTTCTCTTTTAGCATACTGAGTAAATCTCTCTTGAAGAAGGAAGTTTGGTCAGGCTCACCAGAAGTAGACAATAGTATGTCTGTCTATTAATATAGAATGAGAAATAGGATTGTTGCAAGGCCCAAACATGTATCTTACTGCCAAAACACTATGCCCTGAAGAAATAGCTATCCAGGAAGCTAAATGATAACCAAACGGTTGCCTGATCAGGGAAATGGAATGAAAATTAGGAGAGTTGGGAGGAATATTGAGCGTTAGCGTTGAGATATGATAGCTACCATCAATACCACAGAAGGGACTAACCTGTCACAGTTGCAGATAAGCTATGTGGTTCCACTTACTGGAGCCACAGTCCTAGTCATATTCCTTCTTTTTAGTAGGTTACAGTATTGGCCCCAGGACTTCATCATGCACTGTATCCATGCCCTTTGCTACGACTTTGAAGTTCCTTCCACTGAAGGAGTGGAGTATATTTCCCTACCCGTTGATTTTGGGTTCAGCCACATGATTTGCTTTGGTCAACAGAATGAAATGGAAGTAATCGTGTTCAGTTCTGCACTTAGGCCTTAAGAGACTTCATGTGTTTCTGCTTGCCTTCTTGTACTTCTACCAATGCTAGAAGACTTCCCTGGGCCAGCCAGCTGCTCCAAGGAGGGTAAGACACCCTAAAGCAGAGTCATGCCAGGTAAACCCAGCTGAGAACAGCTAATCCCCAGCTGCCCAGCAAGCGTGAGAAATAAAAGATGATTTTTTTTTTGTACCATGGCATTTTGGGAATATTTGTTACATAGAAATAGTTACCTGACATGTCCTCCCACCATGATTTTCTGGAATGGAGAATATCTAACCCCATCATGACCCCAGAGTTCCAGACCAATGTGCCCAGGACTCCCCTCTCAAGTCACTGGGCAGCACCAATTTAGCCAATAGTAAGTTAGAGGATTCAGTTTCTCACCCTCAATACAATTCACTTGAAATTTTCTGTCCTTTGGGTTAGATATAAAATCTAAATATTTTTTAATAACAGAGATGAGAAAGATTTAACAACTTTTCAGAAAGTTACTGCTGAATATTAGTGATTGTACATGCCACTCAAAATCACTGTGTGAAATAACATTCGAAGCCTATCATTTGTAACTTCTGCTTTCATCAGAGTTTTAGGAAAACACCTACGCCCAGCAAAATCCCCAGGGAGTTTTAGGACGCCAAAGCTTTCCTCATCTGTTTTTAAACCCACTCCACATCCATAAAGATAATTCATGAATAAATGTGGTTGGCAGATGAACCCAATATTCAAGGACATCTTTTTTAAGCCTTTAGTTAAGACCTTTGGTTTATTAGTTTACACGTTAGTCTCTCTATGAATTAGAAGTGGAGGGAGGGGCTCAAAATGCTTTATAATCCTATTTTTTTTCAGACATTCCCTCTTTCTCCACCACTCCCAGCCTTTCACTATCTTCCTCCACCCTTCTAGCTTATGAAGGGACTAATGATGTTGGGATAGTTTTTGAGGAAATGTGGGAGCTCTGTAATCCATTTCCTACTTGACGTGGGTTACATTTTTACCAGAAGAAAGGAAAAAAAAATGCAAATATATTTCCAGCACAGTTGGGCGGCAGCTCCATAAAGTGGCTTTTAAAGAGTTATCCCATTGCCCTGAGAGTTGACAGCACTCCAGGGAGGGGACAGGGTCTGTGAGGGCCAGAGAGGCATACCCTTCCATTCCTAAGTAACATCCCCCCAGGAAACAATTTGGCGTTTCCTACAAAACATGAACTTGTTTGGCAGCCTGAGCAACTCATCACTCCTGTTCATCTCATATTGCTTGCCTGATTAATAACAATGACATAGTGAATACAACTTCAATAGGAAACGGGGGAGGAAGAGCCAAACAACATCCTTGCCAAACAAACGCACATGCCCACAGACTCACACACCCCAATATATAAAGCCACTCTTAAAATGTTGGGAAATATAAAAATGTTTCCATCAAAACCATCTTATGGGCCCAACGTGGTGGCTCACGCCTGTCATCTCAGCACTGTGGGAGGCCGAGGCGGGCAGATCATGAGGTTAAGAGATCAAGACCATCCTGGCCAACATGGTGAAACCCCGTCTCTACTAAAAATATAAAAATTAGCTGGGCATGGTGGCACATGCCTTAGTCTCAGCTACTCGGGAGGGTGAGGCAGGAGAATCGCTTGAACCCGGGAGGCGGAGGTTGCAGTGAGCCGATATTGCACCACTGCACTCCAGCCTGGGCGACAGAGCGAGACTCTGTCTCAAAAAAAAAAAAAAAAAAAAAAAAAAAGCCACCTTATGTTACTGGCAGGGACCAGGGTCAAAGATTACTTCCTTTCTCCCATCCAAATAGTACATCAACATACTTGGGGATGACAATAGCTGTCATTCTTCATGGACCTACTACGTGCCAAACACTGTGTTAATGGTCCATATAAGTAAGTGTGTATACATTGGCTGGGTGCGGTGGCTCATGCCTGTAATCCCAGCACTTTGGGAGGCTGAGAAGGGGGTGGATCACTTGAAGCCAGGAGTTTGAGACCAGCCTGGCCAACATGGCGAAACCCCGTCTCCACAAAAATTAGCCGGGTGACGTGGCGCACACCTGTAATCCCAGCTACTCGGGAGGCTGAAGCAGGAGAATCACTTGAACCCGGGAGATGGAGGTTGCAGTAAGCAGAGATGGTGCCACTGCATTCCAGCCTGGGCAGCAGAGTGAGTGAAACTCCATCTCAAAATAAATAAATAAATAAATAAATAAATAAATAAATAAATATGTTTATACGTCTAGTCTAATTCTTGCAACAACCATTTAAGAATTAGTAGGCATTATCTAGGCATTACAGATAAGTAACTTCTCCAAGATCACAAAGAAGTAATGGTACAGATTGGATTTGAACCCAAAGCTATGTGTGACTCTAAAGCTCAAGCTCCTTTTGTTAAGTCACAGATTTAGTTGGTAAATTGTAAAGCCTAGACTTAAGGTTGTTTCCTTACTCAAAGCCCATTGGAATTGTCATCTCTTCTGTGGGTCCTTGACTTGTTCTGGACAGAATTCTGATGGTTACAAGTAACAGAAAACCTCTCCAATTAGCTCAAGTAAAAGGCAGGGAATGGTATTCTATTCCTACCCTTACTTTGGGTAAGGGAACATATATGGGAACATATTCAGAGAACTGAACAAGCAGGCATCAGAAAGTGCAGGACCTAAGGTAGCCCAGACACCCCTCAGCCTCGCATTCCATGAAGACTGCTTCTTTTTGCACACCTGCACATCCCAATCAGCTTATCTGAGTCACCAGTCTCTCAAAGCTGCAGTCTACACCTGATTCTCTAATTACTTCCTCAATGGTATATCTATCCAGCCTCTGGGCTCAGGAGCCACCACCTTAGAAGTAAGTGCTTCTCCCTTCCCAGTTTTCTGGGAGAGGAATCTGATTTGCTCAGCTCATATTTTCCAGTCAGGCCACACACAAGGTACAAATTGCTGGCTAGTCTATGGTTGGGCACCCGTTGATCAGATGTTTACCCTGGTCCACTTCAGAGGTAGCTGGGGAGAAGAGGGTCAAGGGATCTGCTGCTGCACCTCTGGGCAGGGAAGTACCCTGAAATCCAACAGATAGACGCTCAGCTTTTTCTCTCCTTTCTTTCATAAGACTGTCACACCTGCATTAGGATTGGATTTTAAGTAGCCTCCCATTGCTCTCCAACTGCCCTCTACTTATTTTCTAGATTCTTACAGTAACATCTTATTGGGGTTCTATCTGCAATGGCCTTATCAGAGTGCTAAAAACACAGTGGACACTAAAAAATGATTTGTTGTATTTAGGTAGAGTTCATCGTGGAGAGGACCAAGACAGAAGATCAAGAAGAATTTTTTTTTTAATCTCTTCCCTTGTCCACCGAAAGACCATCAAAACTAGAGAGAGATTATCAAATGCCTGGTGACAAGTCCTCGGCTGCACTGGCTTCACAGGAGCTTATGTGGAGAAGAAAAAGAATTTGAGCCACAGCAACGAAACTCTAAAGTTGTTTCCAACTCTCTTACCAAAAGAGGCATCCAGCCCAACAGCTCTCAACCTGGAGTAAAGCTCCCACGTGCCCTGTGGAGCATCCTCGCTTTGATTCCATCCCTTTACTCCCATTCAGAGAATTCTACTTGAATTTAAATAAATGACTCTTCTGCTATTATTGTGGTAAGCTTGATTCTGCTGTGATTTGAAAAGAACAAAAAATAAATTATTGCAAAACCTTTGTATTAAATTACTGGTAACAAATTACTGGTAACTTTGCTACAATTGGCATTGTGACTGAGGGCTGTTCGTTAAGGACATTCTGCTGCCCATGGCTGAGGTGACACTAACTGTATCAACAAGGATGTTTTCAGCCCCAGATAAACAGAAAACCCATGAAAAAGGATGCTTTCAGCCCCAAATAAATAACAGAAAACCCAATTCGAATGGTCATAAAAACAAGGAGGCCAGGCGCGGTGGCTCACGCCTATAATCCCAACTCTTTGGGAGGCCGAGGCAGGCGGATCACCTGAGGTCAGGAGTTCAAGACCAGCCTGGCCAACGTGGTGAAACACCATTCTACTAAAAACTACAAAAATTAGCCAGGCGTTGTGGTGGGCGCCTATAATCCCAGCTACTCAGGAGGCTGAGGTAGGAGAATTGCTTGAACCCGGGAGGCAGAGGTTGCAGTGAGCCGAGATCACGCCACTGCACTCCAGCCTAGGTGACAGAGCAAGACTCCATCTCAGAAAAAAAAAAAAAAGGAAATGTTTTAGTTTCTGCAATGGTTTAAATCGTCCACAGTTCTTTGAAACTCCTTTCAACAAAAGCTGGAACCTGTGTCCTCTGAACTGCATCTAGGCTAACCATAGTGACTGGTCAACCAGCAAAGTAGATTGGAAATGATGCTATGTGATGGCCAATGCTAGGTCAGATAAGGTGATGCAGTTTCTACATAGTTATCTTTGTGTGCTTACTCTTGGAATCCAGCTACCATGCTCTAAGGAAGCCCACACAGTTTGTGGAGACCCAAATGAAGAGGGCCACGTAGAAAAGAATAAGGCCCATGACCTTCACATCTGACTGAGCCAGCATTGACTTTCCAGTTTGTGAGGGAGCCGTCTTGGAAGTGGATCCCCCTGGTCCTGGCTAAGCTTCCCCACCTGACCCCTTGTGGAGCAGATATAAGCCTTTCCCACTCAGCCCTGCCCACATTGCAGATTCATAAACTAAATAACGATAAAATGCTGTTGTTTTGAGCCACTGTTTGGGAAAGGTTTGTTGCACAACAATAGATAACTAATATGGTTAACCTATGAGGAAATCCAAAGATAGATCAGCCTTCAGAGTCATTGATTTGCAATTCAACCATTTAGCATTGAGTGTTTTCCTTCCCTTTTCTCTGTTCTGCATTATGTAAGTTTCATCCTAAATCTAGTTCCATTTGTGGTTGTAGAATGGCTACCAGGGGAAGACCCTCCTCCTTCAATTCAGGTGAAGAGAATAGAATGAATTCCCCTGGAATGCTCTTAAGAGAAAGTAACTTTCCAAGAAGCCAGCAAACCTCTTATCCCTTTGGCCAGAATTAGGTCACATGCTTATTTTTGAACCAATACTGGCAAAGAGGATAAGATATCATTTTGACTAATCAGGCCTATCCCTTAAATTGAGACCAATTTCCCAAACCACATGGCTGCTGCTTATGGGATAGAATGGATGTTGGGAAAGTCGCTTCACCAAGTTAAGATATCTGAAAGAAGGGACAGGTAAATGAGAAAACCCTCAGGTGGTGGCCAGCCCGGGCACATAACTAAGAGAAAACCCACAGGATTAGGAGTATCCTGGGTAAGCCAGTCGAGGGTCTAGCATGATACAGATTGTCTACTTTCAAGACCCATGTGACTGCAGACCTTCCCTTTATCCCCTTTTCTGGCATCTCCCATTTTTGTTACCTGTCTTACCTTCATCAGCCATCTGCGTATTTATTCCAGCTCCCTTGCAAGTGTCAGCCTAGTGGGAGGAAAATGCACTATCCAACTTCTGGTAACTTTATTCCAATTTCTCTCTGAAGAAAAACCTCCTGACATATGTAAGGGTTGGTGTCATTATTTTTCCCATTTTTGCCAATGAAATAGCTAAGGCTTTATGATAGCCTTGGGAAGATTACTTCTCCCTGGATCCGTCTACTCACATGAAAAATGAAGGGAGTAGACCAGAAGATTAATAACCTCTTGAGCTCCAGGAGTTTCTGTACTCTTACTCCTATCTTTTCCAAGATGACTACAGCCATGCCTGAAAATTCGTATCATTTGTTGCTGCAATGCTGTATGCCTAGCTCTTCATAGTCATCATCTCCCCAACATTCACTATTTTGCTTTCACCGCTTTGGGCCATCTGCAAATCCTGCCTTCCTTTTTCACTTTCTGGGCAGGATGTCACTAAAAGTAATGAGGATTCCTTAGTTTTACTACGTGGCTTTTTCCTGTTTCTACCTTTGACCTTGTGCTGCCACCTTTAAACACAGCACAACAGTGTAGTGGAGTTCAGCAAACATTTAATTTCCAGAAATTTAATAGGATATTTCCTGAAAAAACATTTGTGTGAATTAAGTGTAGGAGACTCAGAGTCGACATCTGCTTTTAGTCTCATCATGAGGACCACTCTTCCTCCATTCCAAAGTTGCGTGGCTGCTGTGATTTCCCACTATTTCACTTCCCCAGTAAGAGTTGATTGGTTCATGAGATGGTATCTAACCCAAGGCGGTCAATCAAAATCCTTCCCTAGAATTTGTTTTAAAACTGTAACTAGAAAAAAAAAACAGTCCTCTTTATAGTGACACAAGACACTTTGGTGGCCACGTTTCCCAGGTAGAACAGGTCAATCCATAATAAAAGACAGTGAAGTTGATGTGCTGAGAGAAGTAAAGATAAGAGATGGTGAAGGATTCCAAAGGCATTAGATTTCTTGGTTGCATTCTTGGTTGAATTCACCTCTACTTTTCCCCTAGTACTAGTACACAAATCACACCAGGTATAAGCCCATAAATAATATATTTTGCCTAAGTTAATACATGTTTAGTTCTTGTCACTTAAACACAAGAGATTTAATATGAGTACTCAGAAAACTGTGTCCCTCTAAGATTCTTTGGAACTGAGTCTTTAGCATTTTTATTCGACTATGATTTGCATAAATGTTTATTTTCTTTAATTGCTTGCCTCTGAGTATTTGTTTATGGCATTAAAGATGGGGTTTAGAGGCCAGGCACAGTGGCTTACCCCTGTAATCCCAGCACTTTGGGAGGCCAAGATGGGTGGATCACCGGAGGTCAGGAGTTTGAGACCAGCCTGGCCAACATGGTGAAACCCTGTCTCTACTAAAAGTACAAAAAATTAGCTGGGCGTGGTGGCATGCGACTGTAATCCCAGCTACTCGGGAGGCTGAGGCAGGAGAATCACTTGAACCTGGGAGGTGGAGGTTGCAGTGAGCCCAAATCACACCATTGCATGCCAGCCTGGGCAACAAGAGTGAAACTCCATCTCAAAAAAAAAAAAAAAAAGATTGGGTTTAAAAAATGGGATTTAGAGGCAGAAAACCTGAGTTGAAGTTCTGGCATTAATACTTTTTAAACATGGTGACAGTGCAAGAGCCTCCCTGAGCCTCAATCTCTTTCCTAAAAAAAAAAAGGGATAATTATAATTGTTGCCCTAGCAACCTCTCAGAGTCATGATGATAATCAAAATAAGAAAATGGGGAGGGATGGGGCCATATTCATCTTTGCATTTCTAATGTCTACTTTAAAGCCTAGGACAGTATAGTACATACTGAACAAATATTTGGTGAATGAAAGAAAAAACACAAAAGCATACACTATAAAGCGGGGGTCCCCAAACCCCAGGCCACGGATCAGTACCAGCCTGTGGCCTATTAGGAACCAGGCCACACAACAGGAGTTGAACAGCAGGTGAGCGAGTGAAGCTTCATCTGTATTTACAGCCTCTCCCCATCACTCATATTACCACCTGAGCTCTGCCTCCTGTGAGATCAGTGGCAGCATTAGATTCTCATAGGAGCACAAACCTTACTGTGAACTGCGCACGTGAGGGATCTAGGTTTCATGCTCCTTATGAGAATCTAATGCCTGCCCAGGCACAGTGGCTTACGCCTGTAATCCCACCACTTTGGGAGGCCAAGGCCGGCAGATCATGAGGTCAGGAGTTCAAGACCAGCCTGGCCAACACTGTGAAACCCCTTCTCTACTAAAAATACAAAAATTAGCCAGGTGTGGTGGCAGGAGCCTGTAATCCCAGCTACTCAGGAGTCTGAGAGAGGAGAATTGCTTGAATTCAGGAGGCGGAGGTTGCAGTGAGCCGATATTGCACCACTGCACTCCAGCCTGGGTGACAGAGCAAGACTCCATCTTGGAAAAAAAAGAAAAAAATATCTAATGCCTGATGAGCTATCACTGTCTCTCACCACCCTCAGGTGGGACCATCTAGTTTCAAGAAAACAAGCTCAGGGCTCCCACTGATTCTACATTATGGTGAGATGTATAATTATCTAATTATATATTATAATGTAATAATAATAGAAATAAAGTGCACAATAAATGTAATGTGCTTGAATCATCCCAAAACCATCCCCTCACCCCTAGTCCATGGAAAAATTGTCTTCCACGAAACTGGTCCTGCTGCAAAAAGATTGGGGACCACTGTTCTGAAGGACTATTTAAATGCGAATTATATAATGAAGACCACTTTACAATAATACAGGGTGTGTATAAATATTAACACTGGCAACTTACGTTGGTCTTGGGCTGAATGACAATTTCAGTGTCATGAACAGAGCTTCCTATAAACAAGCTGTAAAGTGAGTGGAATTTGTGGACAGTACCTCTCCAACCTTTCTTTGGTTGTTCTCCCTCTGTGTGGTCTAAATAGAGTGTCAAGGTGTGTCTGGTCCCAAGTTCTGTAAGTGGCCAGTGCTCTAGAGCTGTTTGATGCTGTTGCCGTAGCGTCGGAATGAAGAAGGAAGTTTTAAAAATCACCTAAGGCTCTTTCACTTATAATTAGCACATAAACTTACCTGTCCCTTTGAAGTATCACAATGGCTGAGGCTCTCACAAAATTCTCAGGCTGAAAATTGCCTATTTATAACTTCTTTTTCTCTTCCCAAATGCCTATGTAAAATTATTCAAAGAAGACATGCAGATCCAAGAAGCACACTAGCCTGGTGCCATTCAGCATATGGGCAAACAGACCTCCACACTGTATTATGCCACCAATGTTTATCCTGGATCATCATGAAGTAAAACTCTATACGTGGTGGAGTCTAGCTACTAAGACAAAAAGTGGTCCACACTTTATTTTTAGCATCCATCAAAATAACTAAAGTTATTTAAAGGTTTAGTGCTTCAAAAAGTATTTTCTGAATTATCTGAAGTACATTTCCCAAAATGATTCATTTTCTAACTATTCAAGATGGCCTTAGTTTTCAAGTATCATTGCTCATTCAATGCTTCAATAAGTTAATCACAGGTACTAGATTCCCATAATGTAAATTTCACAATCCTTAACATTGTACTTGTGAAAACAGACAGTCTCTCAGCAATAGGCATACTCTATTGGAATAAAAATGCGGCCAAGCGCGGTGGCTCACGCCTGTAATCCCAGCACTTTGGGAGGCCGAGGCGGGCAGATCACCTGAGGTTGGGAATTTGAGACCAGCCTGAACAACATGGAGAAACCCCGTCTCTAGCTAAAAATACAAAAACCTTAGCCGGGTGTGGTGGTGCATGCCTGTAGTCCCAGCTACTCGGGAGGCTGAGGTAGGAGAATCGCTTGAACCCAGGAGGCGGAGGTTGCGGTGAGCGGAGATCATGCCATTTCACTCCAGCCTGGGCAACAACAGTGAAACTCCGTCTAAAAAAAAAAATGCTCTGCCTCACTAGCCTTAACTTTTTCAATCGGGAAACCTGCCTTTGATCACATTTCCTAAAGCAAAGATTGTTGTGAAAGAATAGAGTATCAAGAATTTTTGAATTTTGTTACCCCCACCAATAGATCACTAACTGGTTGTTTAAAGCAAATGATCTCCCACTTTCCTACCTTAATAGATGTAATATAATGTGTGTGCTTTAATCTTAGCTTGACCAGTAAACCATACCATGTCAAGAAATTTGCATGACATGTTTGAGGAACAGTGAGAGGGCCAGACCCACTGGAGCAAGAGAAAGAGAAAGAGAAGGGTAGGAAGAGAGGGCAGAAGAACATGGGGTAGAGTTGGCCAGGCATAGTGGCTCACGCCTGGAATCTCAGCACTTTGGGAGGCAGAGGGGGCAGATCATGAGGTCAGGAGATCGAGACCATCCTGGCTAACACGGTGAAACCCCGTCTCTACTAAAAATACAAAAAATTAGCCAGGCGTGGTGGTGGGTGCCTGTAATCCCAGCTACTCGGGAGGCTGAGGCAGGAGAATGGCGTGAACCTGGGAGGCAGAGCTTGCAGTGAGCTGAGATCCCGCCACTGCACTCCAGCCTGGGCGACAGAGAGAGACTCCATCTAAAAAACAAACAAACAAACAAACAACGACAACAAAAACACAACATGGCTGTTATTAAACATTTGCTGCTACTCTAAATAGGCTGAGAAGCCATTGGAGAGTTTGGAGTTGAGAAATGACATGAACTGATTTCACCTTAGTACAGATCACTCCAACTGTTGGGTTGAGAATAGAATGGAAGGGACAGGGGCAGAGGTGAAGGCAGAGGGACCAGGTAACTGATTCTGCCTATAATGAAGGTGAGAGAGGAAGGTGGCTGGGACTCAGGGTGTAGGAGTGAAGGTGCCAGGTATGAGGGTTAAATGATATATACACAGCATAATAATTGGCACAGTCAGTCCCCAGTAGATGTTCACTGCGATAATGGCATTCTGAACCCCAAGACTCAATAGTAGATGGTTGGTTCATTGCATGGCAGACCCAGGTAAGTGATTACAAACTAGATAGTTGATGTCAGAATTAGAAAAGGAACTTTTTGAACATTTCTGCATGTATCAATTGAAGTGAAATTGAGTCAAAAGTAAGAGTTCATGCTGCCCTTCACTGAATTCTCTGCTTGGATTTTTTTTTTTTTTTAAAGTACACACACACACACACACACACACACACACACACACACACAATCTGTGATCAAAAAAGTTATTGAAGTGCTGCAGTTGCCCAGAATTCAGCCTGACCTTGCAGCACTCCTAGTTATTAAAAATCATTTCTATGGGCTTGCATTTTTTGGTTTAACAAGCACAAGAGGCCATGAACTCTTAATATCTGAAGCAAACGTGTTAAACATCTGGGATCTGGCATAAGCTTCTCCTGTGGGATGCATTGTTTGTGCAAACTTTTATTGAATTAAAAAAAAAAGTAAGTACTGAGTTTCAAAATATTCGTGTAACCTAGTAAGAATATTTCTCTGAATCCAGAGTCAAAATACAGAGTTTTAAAAACTGATTTATAAACTTAAATTTAAAAATAGGTTAGAAGTCTTAAAACACAGCGTGGTTTTGAAGTGGAACCAAACTTCAGCTCTAGCTCTAACAGGAGATGGCTGATCTAAGTTAAATAGGTTTTTCCAGGCTAAAGGCACAGCTTCTGACCACTCTAAGAAAGCCATAGGGTTTGCAGACAGGGTACTGGCCTAGAGTTTAGGGCAAGTTCTGTGGCTTAAACACAGATAATCTTGGGCAACTTACTTTACCCTGGGCTTGATTTTCCTTATTTCCTATAGAAACTGGAAGGAAAAATACTTACCCATGGGTCTTAGAAATGTACGAGGATAAGAAATAAAATAAAATAGCAAGTGACAGAACTTTTAAAAGCTCTACACATAAGATGAGGAGGAGGAGGAGGAGGAGGGGGAGGGGGAGGGGAAGGAGGAGGAGGAGATAGGAGAGGGGGAGGGGAAGGAGGAGGAGATAGGGGAGGTGGAGAGGAGGAGAAGGAGGTGGAGGAGGAGGAGGAGGAGGAGGAGGAGGGGGTAAAACATAAGAGATTCCTATTTGAAGATGCAAAAGACCAAACAAACTGAACAAAGCTTTTTAAAGAAGAAAGACTAAGGGTTGTCTTTGGAGTGTTCCTCTAGGGAGGGACAACCTCTTGTATTCCTTTAGTATCTCCTTGAAGCACCCAGGGAAGCATTCAGACACAGGGGACAGTCTTATCAGTCTAGACTAACTGACAGACGGACAGGTCCCTCTCCACTTCCACAATCCATACCCTGAATATTCTGAGGAGTAGGGGAGAGCAAAGCCTGGCTCAGCCCACCCCATTGCCTCTGCTAGACTGAAGGACAGGAAATAGAGAAGGAGCCAGTCCTCCCCAAAGAGGGATAGGGATAGCTTTTTAAACTCACCTCTCCCTTCTGAGAGGAGGCTGCTATTCCTTGCAACGTATTTTTGTGCAGCTGAGGATCTGGAGGGGTTCTGACCTGAACAATGGGCTGGGAGCTGAGTTTGGGAGCTGGAGTTCTGCATAATAGAGTAGGATGAATTTGGAGTTTGGGGACTGTGTAGAAAGAGGAGATGAAGAAACAAGTTGAGCAGGGGAAAGGAAGGATGGGTGGTTGAAGTGGGAACCAGTGGAACGGCAGGGATGGAGGGCTGAAAAGCAGGTTCGCTTCTGTCCCACCTTCCACTCCCAAATCCTCAGGAAATTTGCCTACAGACCCAAATGCAAATGCACTGTATTAATTTCTAGGGCTGCTGTACAATGTACCACAAACCGAGTGGCTTAAAACAACAGACGTTTATTCTCTCACAGTTCTGGAGGCCAGAAGTCCAAAATCAAGGAGTCAGCAGGGCCATGCTCCCTCCAGAGGCTCTAGGGGAGAATCCTTCCCTGCCTCTTCCTAGCTTCTGTTGGTCATGTAAATCCTTGAAGTTCCTTGGCTTATAGCCTCAAAACTCCAACTCTGCTTCCATCTTTGTGTGGCCGCCCTCTTCTCTGTGTATCTTTGTGTGTCCTCTTGTAAGGACATCAGTCATTGGATTTAGAGCTCACCCTATTCCAGCATGACCTTATCTTAACTTGACTAATTACATGTGCAAAGATCCTGTTTCCAAATGAGGTCACGTTCTGATGTTCCACATAGACATATATTTTCAGGAGGACACTATTCAACTCACTACAGTGTTGTTTATTTTTGTTTTTATGGAAATTGAGTAAGAGGTAGAATCTCATGTCAGGGCCAACTGGCAAGGGACGATTGGATGGTGCGGGGCGAGGGGAGTTGTGGCAGTGGTAAAAATGGCCTGTGAACCAAACGAATTCAAGGGAAGTGCCGAGGTTGGAGTCAGAAGTGACCATGAAAATAAAAGCTCCCTCCACTTCCTATGGGAGTTTTTAGAAGTGTGGGAAGACTTTGGAATTCTACAGGGCAGGGAGTAAGTTCAAAGTAATATCATCTAGATCTCAAAGGCCAGGAAACCACAGCTGACTTCTGGGTTACAAATAAAACAAAGACATATGAGAGAGGAGAAAAAAAGATGAAGCAGAAGGAAGGACAAAAGGTGGAGAGATGAGCATGAAAGACAGATGAGTTTTTGAAGAGAGACAAGGAAACGAAAAAGCACCAGCTCTTTGGGGTCAGGGTTAAGGCTCTAACACAGAATCTGGCATATAAAAAGTATTCAAGATACTTTTAAGGGCCAGGCGTCCTGGCTCACACCTATAATCCCAGCATTTTGGGAGGCAGAGGTGGGCGAATCACTTGAGGTCAGGAGTTTGAGACCAGCTTGGCCAACATGGTGAAACCCTGTCTTTACTAAAAAATACAGAAAGGGCATGGTGGTGCACACCTGTAGTCCCAGCTACTCGGGAGACTAAGGCACAAGAATCACTTGAACCTGGGAAGCAGAAGTAGTTGCAGTGAGGTGAGATCGTGCCATTGCACTCCAGCCTGGGTGACAAAGTGAGACCTTGTCTCAAAAAAAAAAAAAAAAAGACAAGTTTAGGGAAGAAAAAAGGAAGATAGGGAGGAGGGAGAGCTGTGCCTGGGAGGCTTCATGTGGTATCACTAACAATTTCCTCCGCTGTCCCCAGAGCTGTCTATACTGTGGCTGTTTGTTCATGACCCTAATTAATGTCAAAGCCCAGAGTGCCATATGGGAGCCCTCTCTGCACCACAGGCCTTTAGACCGAAGAGGCAGCAGTCCATCTTCCACCAAGGCCTCTGGATTCTCTCTATCCTTTTCCAGTGATGCTTATTCTATCTAAACTCTCATTTGAGTGGCCATATACCCTGGCCTCTTGGTGTTTTTTGCTGTCCCTAGTGCCACCAGAGTTTACCTTACCTTGAAAGGTCACAGAAGTGGTCTAAATTAGGAAATATCCTTCAACGCCAAAAGGCAAGGAGAGCCCCGTGGATTAAGCCAGCTGTTTTCAGATCACTTGAGATACAAGTAGTTACAACAGTTTAGGATTGGAAAGATCCTGTGGTTTATGAGAAAGAGCGCTAGACCAAGAGGTAGATCAAGCAAGAGACCCATCTGCCAATCTGCCACTCACTCCCAGCGTTCCCTGGAGCTAGTCAATGCCCCACTCCAACCTCAGAGTCCTCATTGTAAAGGCAGTTGGCCCTCATGACAGAATTTCTAGATCCTTTCAGTTGTCATGGACTATATTCTATACTTTTCTGGAAGCATTCTCAACAAAATATAATTAAAATTACCTCCCTGGTACACCCATAGTGTATTTCCAGAGGGAAAACGTTGCTAGAAACTCCATTCCCAGTTTGTAGAAAGTGGCCAGGAAATGGGTCTGATTTCAAATCTTTCTGAAATGCAACGAGAGGAAAGCACTGAGGGAATGCCGAAGTGGGGCCACTTTAGTCTCCCAAGTCCCAGGAACCGTTTATAAACCGAGTCGTGGCTTGGGTGAATGGCTTGGGTATTTGGAACATTTGACGTGAAGAAAGATGTAGGGGCACCTGCTGCTTTCTCAGACAATAGGGAAGAAAAACACCAAGCACCTCCACACACATCATCTTATTTCTCAAAACAACTGGAGCCGGTATTATTATCCCCATTTAACAGATGAGAAAAGTGAGGCTCAAAGAACCTCAGTAAATTAGTCCAGGTCACAAACTAGTAAGTGGCAGGGTTGAGACCCAAATTCAGGTCTATTCAACTCCAATCCCAGCATTCCTTCCACTATTGGCAACAGATTCGCACTATGATGTACAGTCGCCTGAACCACAACAAAATTCCTCTAAAGAACCAGAGTGGTACCCAGCCCACTTTTCCAAGTTTGGCATAAAGAACAGAGCCATGCATTGAATTGGGAGTAACAGCTGTTTGGCCAGGGACCACAGCAAAAAAGTGTTCATGCAGGGATATTTAACCAGCTCAGTGCCCAGAACAGAGTAGAAGCTTGAAGAATATTTGGGTTTTTGTTGTTGTTGTTCTTTGTTTGTTTGTTTTTTGAGATAGGGTATTACTCTGTTGCCCAGGCTGGAATGCATTGGTGCCATCATGGCTCATTGCAGCCTCAACTTCCTGGGCTTAAGTGATCCTCTCACTTCAACCTCTTGAGTAGCTGGGACCACAGGCATGCACCACTATGCTTGGCTGATTCTTTCTTTCTTCTTCTTCTTTTTTTTTTTTTTTTTTTTGGTAAAGATGGGGTTTCACTATATTTCCTAGGCTGGTCTCAAACCCCTGGCCTCAAGCAATTACCTGCCTCAGCCTCCCAAAGTGCTGAGATTACAGGCGTGAGCCATCACTCCCAGCCAAGAATATTTGTTGAGAAGTTGAGTAAATACAGGATTCAGGGTTGACATCGACATCTTCAGCAGGTTACAAAAGAAGGATCTGAGGCTCAGAGAGGCCAGATGACTTGCCCTAGGTCACACAGCAGAGAGAATTGGACAAAGAACCAAAGATGTCTAGACTTTCAGACAAGGATCTTCCTGTCACATCACCGTAACTCCTCTGGCCAGGAAAATTTTTCCTGTACCTTTAATTAAATGCAGTATACTTTGGGGTAAATGAATGCTAACCTCCAACTGAGAACATTTATTTTCCTAATGAGTTCATTAGCAAATGACTCTGCTGCTTCAGGATGCAGAGATAGCTTGGTTAATGCACGTTTCAGTTTTCATATTATGCTATGAGTCATTTTTGTTTATCTTAGAATTTCTTTCCTCATCTGTTGTGTGTGGTGGCCCTAGTCACCAGGGATAGGAGCTTTGTCACTCACTCAGGAAGTGATGGACTGACCCCCTGCGAGTGGATGAAGAAACTGCTCTCATAAGCGTGGTTATGCAGATCAAAGAGTGGGTCCTCTACACATGTTCCCAATTAACTGTGGCCATCCCATTCCATATCCCTTCTACTCGCCAGCATAGTTTCTGATCCTTTAATAGCCCAAACAACAAGAGGGAAGCCCAGCCCAGCCAAAACAAAAGCAGAAAACAGCCAAACGAAGATGAAAACATCCTAGTGATTAGTGAGAGAGCTCCAGATATCCCAGTATCTGGAGCCACCTCGGGATACTGGGATATTTGGAGCTTCTCACCGCAAGGGGTCACCTTATCTGCACCTGGTGTCACTTCCCACAAGGACCCCAGAGCTCGGTCTCTAGCACCAGACTCTGTGCTTTCATACACACTGCTGGCCATCTTCACAATACCTTCACCCAAATGTGGCCATCTTCAATTCAGCATGTTTTATTTGTCCAGCTGTGTAATTAATATCTATGCATTTAACTGTATGTAAATCTTACCTTAACAAAACATAAAAATTAAAAAAAAAGAAGTAAGTTTAAAATGACATTCACCTTTCCCCTCTACCAAAACTCCTCCTCCTGAGGTCTTTAGCTCACCTCAGGGTGTGCCTTGGCTCCCTAAGCCTCCGTACCCGATCAATCACCAAGACCTATTGATTCCACCCATTCCACTTCTCCTGAAGCTTTCCCCTTCTCTGCATTTTCCCATCATCACATTCTACTCAACCTATTGACACTGACCACCTACTATGGGCCAGGCACTGTGCTAGGCTGTAAGTCTACATTATGAACAACACACAAATAGTATCATGCAGGAGTTTGCATTTAGAACCCCAGGTGGAAACTACACCACAGGGGCACTGGTAATACAGCAGAAGTGACTCCCTCTACACAGGGGTGGGGGCTTGGTGGGCTGCACAGACCACAGAGGTCAGGGATGGCTCTGGAAAGTTCCTAGAGAGGCTGATCTCTGTGGAAAGATGAATAGGCATTTGCCAAATGGGCAAAGAGAAGAACTGCATTCCAGCCAATGAGAAGAGCTCAGACAGGAGCAGCTGGAGGGAGTACATAAGCCATTCTGGTTTGTTGGGGATGTGTTTGTTTCTCCAAGAATTTGGTCTAAAGGAGGGGAAAGTGGTAGGAGCTGGAACTGGAGCAGCAGGCAGGAACCAGATCACGGAAGGTTTTGTCAATCCTATTCAGGAGTTTGAATCTTAACCTGTGGGCAGAGGGAATGTCAGTAGGGTTCTAACTAAGGACCTAGTCAGTCTTACTCTTTAGAAAGATCGCTTTAGAAATAATGTCTCTTATGTGAACAACTGCAATTATTTTTCTTAATTCTCATCTCCCCTCCCTCCATACACCATTTCCAAAGTAGAAAACAAGATGATGTGTCTTCCCTAATTAAAAATCAAAACAAAATTAAAACCTCACCACAGCTTCCCATAGCAGACAGCAGCAATTCCAGACTCCAAGGAAAATTGTTCCTGGAGATGTTAAGTTTTGTTATGGGGGGCTGGGGAAGGGGGGAAATCATTTCCTTGCAAAAAAAAAAAAAAAGTTGGATTAACCTTTATACAAAATTAAGCAGGTTTTCTTTTCATTGCAGGACTTCTCAGAGCCTTCAGTTTTCTAAAATCAACTGTGACTCTTTAAAAAGGGGATTCAGCATTCAAATCCCCAACTTATTAAACAAGTGAGCTCCTTGATCTTGGAGCATTGATTAGCATCTTCATGGGCTAGTCTTCTGTGAAATGCTGACCTGCACAATATGAAGTCCAAACTCAACTAGGTGAATAGTCTTGTGAATAATCTAGCCTCAACTTTTATCCCTTCCTGACATACACACACACATCCTTGTATCCTCTGTTCCAACCACACTGGTCTTCTTACTGCCCTTCCCCTCTTTCTATGCTTGAGGAATTCTGGGTCATCCTTTAAGCCATAGCCAAATAGCAACTCCACTGTGAAAAAGTGGTCTGTAGTGAGGGTTGCAGAGATACAGGTTGGTCTGAATCAAGGCTACTGTCCATGAAACCCTCTATGCAGTACGTGGAAATTGTTTGGATGAATAACTCTGTAATCTGCGAATCTGTGAAGAGGGCTGGACTACATTTTACAAGGCAATTAAGGGTTCTTTGTGACTGGCAAAGAGGCTCTGGCCTCTGGAGACTGCACTGTCCTGTATTTAAAGAAACTTCAGTTTTTCCCAGCCTCTCTGCTGTAGATTACATGAAGAACAGAAGCATCATGTCAAGCCGCTGGATACCATAATGGAGTGGGACAAAAGGAGTGCTGGAAAGATGTTTTGAAGTCCATGTTTGGGAATGAGTGGAGGTAGCCTGGATCTCCGACAAGGGGTACTGGAATGAAGGAAATTGATTCTAGGATGGAGAGACTGGAAATCAGAAAGACCAGAGAATGAATCCTCAGAAGAACAGCCACAAGAAAGTACCATGTTCACATAAGTTGATACAGATACTTTCTTTTTTAAAGCCGGAACAGGAAGAGGGCAAGTAACAACAACAACAAAAAGCTATGGCTTTGCTCAGGAAGAGTTGTTCTAGAGACTGCTTCTGTGTGCTAAGGAGAGAAGAAAAGAGGAATTTAAGGCAGAAGAAGTAATAATGCATAAAAAGCTTTGTGCTTTGTCCCTTGGACCCAGCTTTGCTTTCACTGGACAGGACCTAACCCTGACTACTGCCTTCCAACTTTGGGATGGAGAACAGACGGAGGGGAAGGTGGGCCAGTGCAGAGAAAGAAAGAAGAGAGAGAAGAGAGGCAGGGGAAG
This sequence comes from Homo sapiens, assembly GCF_000001405.40. Classification (NCBI taxonomy): domain Eukaryota; kingdom Metazoa; phylum Chordata; class Mammalia; order Primates; family Hominidae; genus Homo; species Homo sapiens. The sequence goes on from NC_000014.9 coordinate 91,861,578, forward strand.
AAACAAGAGGAGGAAGTGGAGGGAAGCAAAGGGGTCACCAGCTCTTATGCAGAAGTAAACAGGAGCTGGACATGATGGCTGATGCCTGTAATCCCAGCACTTTGGGAGGCCAAGGTGTGTGGATCACCTGAGGTCAGGAGTTCGAGACCAGACTGGCCAACATGGTGAAATCCTATTTTTACTAGCCAGGCCTGATGGCGGGTGTTTGTAATCCCAGCTACTTGGGAAGCTGAGGCAGAAGGATCGCTTGAGCCTGGAAGGTGGAAGTTGCAGTGAGGCAATATTGTGCCACTGCACTGCAGCCTGGGTGACAGAGTGAAACCATGTCGTTGGAAAATATATATATATATGTATATATATGTTTATATATGTATATGTGTGTATATGTGTGTGTGTATATATATGCATTGCATCTGACTCAGCAACTCAATTTTGTAATTTTAACTCATTTAATCAATTGGTCTTAATTTAAATTATAGGCTGGGCATGGTGGCTCACACCTGTAATCCCAGCACTTTGGGAGGCTGAGGCGGGCAGATCACTTGAGCTCAGGAGATTGAGACCGGCCTGGGCAACATGGCGAAACCCCATCTCTACCAAAAATACAAAAAAATCAGCCAGGCGTGGTGGCGGGCACATGTGGTCCCAGCTACTTGGGATGCTGAGATGGTAGGATCGCTTAAGCCCAGGAGATGGAGGTTGCAGTGAGCTGAGATCACACCACTGCACTCCAGCCTGGGTGACAGAGTAAGACTCTGTCTCAAAAAAAAAAAAAAAAAAAGAAAGAGAAAAAGAAGTAAAGCATGGATTCAGAGTTTGAGCAGGCGAGGAAGAGGAAGAGAAAGAGAATCAGACCCATATCTGCCTTCCTCTTGGTTTTCACCTCAGCCGTCAACAGGTTTGTTGGTCTTTGTTGAACCAGCAAAGGAGCGGAGTGGGGCTGAGGGAAATCTGGTGAAAATTAAGATCAAGAGCAGCCTCGAGGCAATTTCCTAGGATGGAAGCCTCCTGCTGCTGCAGATCAAGTGTGAGGAGCACAAGGCAACTTGGCTCAGCATTTGCTGGAAGGAGCCACTTCCTCTCCTCCCTGCGGCCTGCCCCATCCCTGCAGTCACTCCAAATGAGGCAGCCTGCTTCTTTTTGGTGTGCCTTATTGTTCCAAAACTTCTTGGAGTACACCTGGGAACTCTTCACCACCTACTGATGAAAAGTCCCAGCTTTTATGGTGAAAAATGATGTCCCGGATTCTTTTCTTTAATCTCATTGAAGGCCCTAACAAGATAACACATTCCAAAGTTCCAACAGAACAACAACAACAACAAAAGCCAGAAGCAAAGGAGTCTACCTCTCTGTATGACTTCTGAGTTGAAAGGATCTCCTTGACTAATTATGGTTTTACTGAAAGATGTAGATGATGATTTTAATAGTGCCTTTGCTCAACAAAAATGTAGCTGTTACTGGCCCATAGGGCTGCTTCTTAGAAAGACTGGTGTGGAAAGACTGGCTTAGAAAGACTGGCTGTGTGGAAATGCCAGCCTTGGGGCGGAAACCTCCATGAGATCTTTTTAAATGTGGAACTAGAACAAAACAAAATAAGACAAAACAAAACTATGAGGTTACAGCATCACCATAAAGATCTAAGGTATCTACAAATATCATAGCTTGGTTTCAGTGACATTACCAAACCAAACTGGAGTGGGCTTGCCCAGCGCAGTAAGGCCAAACGTTCATACCAAAGTTTTATAGTGGGAGAAGGAAGGGGATTGATTAGCAAGACACCAAGCAAGGAGAATTGGGCAGCTCACGCCTAAGACCTGACCTCCCCAATGGCTTATAAGCAAGGGTTTCTAAAGGCAGGGGTAAACTTCAGGAAAGTGGAAGTTACAAGCAAAATTGTAAATCGATATATGGAGGTTATATACTGGTTTGGCCTAAAAAGGTGAGATAGCTTGAAGTGGGGGGCTTACAAAGTCATAGGTAGATTCAAAGATTTTTTGATTTGCAATTGGTTAAAGAAGGGAAGCTTTGTCAAAAGACTTGGGTTCAGCAGAAAAGAATGTGGGGTCTGGCCTGTGGGTGTGACTTCCTCCAGGCCCTTCAGGAAAAAGTTTAGAACAAAGAATGGAGGCTGGGCATGGTGGATCACAGCTGCAATCCTAGCACTTTAGGAGGCCAAGGTGAAAGGATCACTTGACGCCAGGAGCTCAAGATCAGCCTGGGCAAAAAAGCGAGACCCCAGACTCCATCTCTACAAAAAAAAAAAAAAAAAAAGCCTGACATGTTGGCACGTAGCTGTAGTCCCAGCTCCTCGAAAGGCTGAGATGGGAGGATCACAGGACAGGAGGTCGAGGCTGCAGTAAGCTATGATTACACCACTACACTCCAACCTGGGCAACAGAGCCAGACCCTGGCAAAAAAAAAGAAAAAAACCCAGAATAAAGAACAGAGGTCAGAATTCAGTCCTCAGAATTCAGTCCTCAGTTCTCCCTTACCTGAGGTCTGCATGCCAGGGGATCCATTTGGTGGGGGTCTGGGTTTCTGAAAAACAACTCAGGGATATATGTTAAGATGTTACCTTTAGTCTCTGGAGGGAACCAAACATCTCGCAACTCTAACTTCCCTGGCTATTGTTTTAAGCTACTATTACCTTCTTGTTTACCAAGTTGCTCCTTACTTCTCAGGGCTAGCTGGGTGCCTGGAATTTCCCTTGCAGGAACTCAAGATTTCGCTTTATTTCCATGCTTGTAGGGGAGTAGGGGGAAGGAGGCCCCTAAAAGGGGTCCCTGCTTCATCTCAATGTTGGCTTTTTTGGTAAGTTTTCAGATCAGGGGATGTAGAACGTTCACAAATAAAACAATCCACACTCGCTTTAGGGATAAATTATGAATGGTTCATACGTTAAAACTCCAAAGATGCCAAAGCACCTACCCTATTTTAAAGCATAGTAGCTATCGTGATACAAGCCAGTTTTGCAATGTCAAATTCATTCTGAGTAGAAGGTTGGAAACGAAGACTTAGAAAAAAGGAACAGGTTGAAACCAAAACAATCCTACCCAAACGAAAACTTCTTTTAAACAGAATCAAGTGATCCAATGACTCTGTGGCCTTAAATCAATGTTAATTAATTTCTCAAATCCTAATAAACAGGTATCATAATGGCACTGTATTTGTATGTGTGTACAATTTACCCTGCCTTCATCTTTTTTTTTTTTTTTTTTTTTTGAGACAGACTCTCGCTCTGTTGCCCAGGCTGAAATGCAATGGTGCAATCTCAGCTCACTGCAACCTCTGCCTCCTGGGTTCAAGCAATTCTCCTGCCTCAGTCTCTGAGTAGCTGGGATTATAGGTGTGTGCCACCACTCCCACCTAATTTTTGTATTTTTAGTAGAGACGGGTTTCACCATGTCGACCAGGCTGGTCTTGAACTCCTGGCCTCAAGTGATCTGCCCACTTCGGCCTCCCAGATTACAGGCATGAGCCCCTGTGCCCAGCCCCCTGCCTTCATCTTTACATTATTGCTCAAGAATATCCCAAATTCCTGAAAAAGTCACTGCCTGTCAACATGCAGTTCCCCTCTGAAAGAACACCAAAATGGCAATTCAGTAGATCACTCCTGTGTTGACACCTATTTTCTCACTTTAATGATTTATTTCTCTGATGGCTGCTGGCTAAGATTCATTATTAAGAACCATTAGTAAGTCAAACATTCTAACTGGAGGCTTTCATCCCCGCAAAAGCTACCAAAGTGATAAATTTTGCCTCTGTGCACTCCTTTGTCTTGGAGCCTCTTGGTTTTTTTTTTTTTTTTTTTTTAAAAAAACATCTTTTAGCTATGTTCAGGGATTCCAACAAAGATATCAGCCATTTGTTAAGTAACAGGACTAAGAAATTTGAAAACAAAAATATCAGCACAAGGAACAATCTGTATATTTGTTTGTAGTTTATAAGCATTGGCCAATTCCAAAATAATGAAGAGATTTGCTAAGTGCTCACGTTTTTTTTCAGATAAAAAAATATTGCATTTAAAGTAAACACAAATTGTATCAAAAAGAAAAAGTTTATCTAGCATTTATTAGTGTTTCCTTTCAAAATACTTAATAATTCTAAGCAGAGGCAACTTATTCTAAATTTCAAACACATGTCTATAAATTTTCATAAGAATTTTTCTTGTATAAAACAGATGTCTTAATAATTTTTAAAATCTAACTAAAATAATTTTGTGGACCCTGCTACTGCACCTACCACATTATATTCCAGTTTTGTCGTGTATGCTGCATAAACCCCTGGCTAAAGGTGTTATTAAAAAGTTATTAAAGTTTTAGATTAACTTTTTATAAAGTTTTAATAACTTTTAAAGTTATTAAAAAGTTATTAAAGGTGTTATTAAAAAGGTGTTATTATAAAGTTATCGGTGGACTGTCTATCCTGTTCATGTCTCTGAATCCAGCAACCGGCTTAACCAAAGTGGATTCTTAACCAAAGTATGTGATCCTCTCAAGACAAAGACCTTTTACAAACAATATTTCATCTGGCAAGAGGGGAGTAGAGGAGAGTTCCTTTGTCAAGTCTTCTCTCTGTGGGTGACCCCGTTGGCTCAGAATGAACAACTTGGGCACATTACAGTAACCACCCAGGCCACAAAAATGCGTTGAAACCACTGAAAATGAAATAATCAGACCTACTTAAATGTTTTTACCATCTGGGCAAATAACACCCCAAGGGCCAAGACTTACCTAAGAAAGTGTCTGAAGTATGTTACCCAAGCCTGAGAGGCAACAGGTAGGTGGATTTTGTGCCAATTAGAAAGTGTTATGATTGGCAAACCACTGCAAAACTCTGAAATTGCAGTGAAATGGAAATGCTGGCTGTCATCCCCAAAGTACATTTCAAGGAATCACAAAACTTCAGAATTAGAAGCAATTATTTAGGATGAACGTTTTCACCCACATGAAAGTTGGAAGATGAGGTGGTAACACGAGAGCTTTTGCAGGCGTCCCTACTCTTAATCCTGCGCCCCTTCCACCTTGGTACCCTTCATTCTTCAGGACCTGATGGAGTGGTACAAAGCAGAGGTCACTTGACAAGCTCAGCCCAGCTCCTGGATGGGGCAAAGCTGACAAGGAATAGGCACAGGGAGCCTGGAGATCTCAGGGTCCAGGAAACAGCCTGCCCCATTAGAACTGCACAGCAGAGCACAGCACTGGGATCAGAGAGCAGGCTCATCCCCAGTCTTGTACAAAAAATAACATTTGATGATTCCCAAGGGGTAGGTAAAGCAAGTAGCATTTGGGGTTCCAGCAGCCTCTAGAACTGTTTCCCAAATGTTTGGAGCTTGACTTTGCAGTATACACTTTGCCCTGGACTGTTTTTCTCTTAATTTTTAGGCCCAAGTGTATTTTAAGGTAAATGGATCCCACATGCCTCTGGTGCATTTACACTGAACCCATCAGACCACATTTTGAAAGCGCAATTTGAGGTCCAAGAAGCCCTTGGAGGCTGCTTTTATGAGCCTGAGTTTCTTTTCTTAGAAGCAGGAAGCCACATTTTGACATGAACAAATAAAACACAAACCTTAAAGACTCGGATCTGGTTCCAAATGTGGCACCTCTGAAACCAGTGGGTCCTCAAATCATCAAGACAGAAAGCTTCCCAGTTTTCTTTTTGAGAAGTTCATGGAGACTTACCCCTGTGTTCTGTTGAGCCCAGAGGCAGTGGTTCGGAGGCGCTCGGTGCAAAGCTCACGTAAACCTTCAGCATTTCTGATTCCATCCTTCTTCCCAGCCCCTGAGTCTCCCTACACAGCAGGGACCCAGGCTCACTGCTGCCTTCTGGCCTTTGCTTTTCGGAGCCGAGCTGAGTGAGTCCCAAGGGAATCACCCTCTGTTTTATAAGCTTTGAAACCAGAGCATCCTGAGCCATTTGGTGCTGATGTGATTGCTAACACCACTTGACCCTGACTGAAGAACCACAACTAGGCATGGTTTAGATGTGCTTAGTTAGAGAAAAAAATAACCACAGCCAACAGCAAAGTGAGGTGTGTGGTGTGGGTGTGAGAAATGCTCTTGGGGTGAGGAGGGAGGACTTGCAGCTTCTTGGATGCTACAGGGCGTGGAACATGCTGTTTCCTTCCACTGAAGGCCTAAGATACTACTAAGTGGAACAGGAGAATTCCCTGGCCCCCTCACAGGATGTGCAACAGGGGTGTGGCTCTCTCTTCAGCCACCCCAAGCTAAAACCCCTTATGGGAAGGGGAGCACGCAGACAGGCAGGTGCAGGAACCAGGGTGAGCACTTTTGGGCCCCAGCCCCATGACAGCATCCCGGGGTCGGTGTCTGTGACTTCCAAAGCCCGAGTAGGCACTGAAACAGTGCAGTCTTTCAGCCTTGCCATCCGTGGACAGCTTAAGCGTTAACCAGCTTAGTGGACCCTCTCCCTTTTTGCCAGGGCAGAGGGCCAGTGTGACAGTTTCCTGTATCCCGAGCTCTTGTCCAGCATCCCGGAGGGATCAGGTCACACATGGATTTGCAGGATGAATGCAGGGGTTTTATTGAGTGGTGGAGGTGGCTCTAAGTAGGATGGATGGGGAGCTGGACAGGGGATGGAGTGGGAAGATGATCTTCCCCTGGAGTTTGGCCATCCAGTGGCCAGTTTTCAGATCGTCTCCAGTCGAATTCCTCCCAATGTTCCTTCTCTTCTCTCCTTCTTTGCCGTGCTTTTCTGCCATTCATGTCTGCTCATCTTCTTGTCTCCCCGTCTGCTTCTGGAGCCTGGAGCCTGGGGTTCAGGGTTTATATGGGTACAGGATAGGGGACATGGCAGGCCAAAAGGCAACTTTTTAGGGATGAAAACAGGAATGGCTGTCCTCATTTAGGGCCATGGGTACCCAGGCTTGAGGGTGGGGCCTTTGCCAGGGAACCACCCTCTTCTACCCAGTATTTCCCTGTCTCCTGTCCATATCACAAGGATCTGTGGAATGCCTACTAAGACTAGGGGTCCAGGACACAACTCCTGATAGGCACTGTGGGGGTCCTTAATGAATACCTCACCAACAGGTAGGATGGGAGCACCCTCAGATGGATCTGTAGACTCCACCTCAGCTATCAGGGAGTGCACTTTTTTCCTGAAGCCTTGGGTTGATTCCTGGGATGGCACATAAAGACAGCCATCCCAACCTGTTCTCCTGTGACTTGCAATGTTGACTCTCTTGGCCCCTGCACAGGGTTCTAAGACTTGAAGGATGTCCAGAGGCCCTGACCAGGAAAAGAATAATGTATCCTACAATGAGCAGAAAAGACATTGAGGGCAAGGCAGCTAGGGCTCCAGCCCCATCTGTCCACCTCTCTTTCTAGGGTTTATAACAATACATTCTCAACTCTGGCTACATAGTCAAGTTTTCAAAAATCCTGATGGCCGGGCCCTACCTAAGCCCAATGACATCAGAGTGTCTGGGGGCATGTCCCGGGGAATCAATCTTTCCTCCAAAGTTCTACTGGTTATCCGTCTATGCAGCCAGGGTTGAAGGCCACTGGTTTAAAGTAACTTGAATACATTCCTGTTCTGCAGGAGCACCGGAAATAATCTACGTAAGAGAAGGATTGTTGGTTGTTTTCTAATCAGATGAAACAGGACTCAGGGATGATGCCTCCCCCTAACTTCCCCACGACCCCTATTTCTCTGCCCCACCGCCCCCCTCCCATCAATTTGCCAGAGTCACAGATAATGCCCTAGCTCTCTGGAGAGCTTTCTAAGCCAGCGCACAATAAACAGGTTTAAACAGAACTAGAACCCCAAAGGCTGACTCGTCTATGATGTCAAAATGAACCAAACACAAGCTCTCTTCAAATATTTAATCAGTTTGGAGACCTCTGCATTCCAATCCAATTGGGTAAAAATTCTAAAGAAAGCAAGATTAAGGGGTCCTCAAAGAAAACACTGGGCTAAAATGGAGAGGAGACTGGGTTTGGGAAGACAGAACATAGCATGTGTCTGAAGGCCTTTCGAAGGAATTCTACGACATATTTTTTAAAAATACTCAAAATGAACAAGACAGAATTAAACCGTTATACAAATTTAAGGACAACTGAAACTTCTTTTATGGTTGAAAATACCAGGCATGGTTTTGAAACACATTCTCTAAAAACCCTTCGATCCTGCTGTGGTTTGTTTACATAGCCTTCTCTGTGTACGCAAAAAGCAAACTAGCTACTCCCAGGGTTCCCCGCCAGCTCCCGGGTCTTTGCAAAGCAGTAACACAGTGAGAGAAGGAGTGGAAGAGGTGAAGAAGTGACAGCAAGCTGTTCACAGTCTTTGAACATAGACTCAGACCCCCGCAAACCTAATCTATTTTCTTTGAAAATAGTGGAAATAAACTGAAGGCCTTGAAAATTCACCAACAATCTTCTATCAGGGGAGCAATGATAATACTTTTTGATAACTGTGTCATAGGAACTGGGGGTGGCAAGTCCTGCAGGGTGACAGGTCTGCAATAGTACAGGTGAGAGTCAGGAAGTCGGGGCTGACTCTTCGGGGAAACGTTCAGCAGGAAATGCCTAACGTCTGTGTCGCTCTCATTCTCTCTGTTATTTCCTCTCTTCTCCTGTCCCTTGGTGCCAATGAGAGGCAGCGTCGGAGGCTCCAGCCCGAGGCTCAGAATGGGTACTGCGACACATATATCCGCAGTCGGATCACGGAGCTGCCTCTGAAGTTGATGACAGTGTTGACAGTGATCATTTCCAAGTCCAGCTGGATTTCCCGGGGCCCTTTGATGGGGCGTGTCATCACCAGGGTGGCACTGATGGGGCCCGTTTGCTATGGACAGAACCGGGGAACACCAGTGAGAAAAGGCCTGCATGGTGGCCCTGCAGCCCCACCTGGGCGCTCCCTTGCCTCCGTCAGTCAAACTGGCACCCCCTCGGTGCCTCAACTGTGCCATGCTCTTTCCCTGGCTTTGCCCACTCTCCACCTGGTTCTTTTCTGCAAACCCTTCAGGTCTCATCTGAAAGGTCACTTCCTAAGAGGAGCCTTCTCTGGTTCCCCAATCTAAGTCAGGTCCCCCTGCGACCTCTGACGCTGCAGCCTTTACTTTGTACAGGATGGAAAGCATTTATGACCATGTATGATTGTCCATACTGTCTACCTGATCCGTGTCTGATATCTAGGCTCCCACTAGGCTATGAGTTCTGTAAGAACAGGTACTGGGGTCAGGCTTTTCACCACTGAGTCCCCCTAGAAGCCAGCATGGTGCCTTGAACACAGAAGGTGTTCAGAAAACATATATTGAATGATGAACGAATCATTGATTGAAACTTCTGCATGGCTTAGGGCTGTCACTTCACCCCTCTGGGGCTCATCTCTCAAATGAGGGTTTGGCATTGAGTACATACACATGGACACAAAGAAGGGAAAAACAGGCACCAGGGCCTGCTTCAGGGTGGGAGGCAGGAGGAGGGAGGGGATTGAAAAACTACCTACTGGGTACTATGCTTATTACCTGGGTGATGACATCATATATACACCAAACTCCTACGACACAGTAATTTATCTATACAACCAACATGCACATGTACTCTTGAAAGTGGAATAAAAGTTTTAAAAAACGTTTTTGAGGAAAAATAAAATGAGGGTTTGGACCAGATCAGTAATTTAAAAAAAAAAAAAAAAAGGCATCAAAGGCTACTGGAACTTTTTTTGTTAAACTAACAATTCCAGGGGCCCATTCCAAGATTTTCTATGTCAGTATATTTTTAGGTGATGCCTGGGAAAGGTGGAATTTAAGAACCCCCCTCTAGGCACCCTAGAGTCATCTCCAGCTTCACCATTCTGTAACCTGATCACTGTGGTCCTAATAATTTCGCGTGAACTCTCTCCTCCACTGAGTCTTTTTCTAAAACTTTCAAGGAGGAAGGCAGAGAGGAATGACATCAACTGAGCACCCATCATGTGTGAGGCACTCTTCTAACCATGTTTATGTACATCTGCTTATTTAATCCTCATAAAATGGCCAGGCACCATGGCTCACAACTGTAATCCCAGCATTTGGGAGGCCGAGGTGGGCGGATCACTTGAGGCCAGGAGTTGGAGACCAGCCTGGCTGATATGGTGAAACCCCATCTCTACTAAAACTAGAAAAATTAGCAGGGCATGTTGGCAGGTGCCTGTAATCCCAGCTACTTGGGAGGCTGAGGCACAAGAATTGCTTGAACCTGGGGGGCAGAGGTTGCAGTGAATAGAGATCGCACCACTATACTCCACCCTGGACAACGGCGAGACTCCAGCTAAAAAAAAAAAAAAAAATTCTCATAAAACCCTGAAAGGCCTTGCCACTCAAAGTGTGGTCCCTGGACCAGCAGCATGGGCATCACCAGGGAGCTTCTTATAAATGCAGAATCTCAGGGCTAGGATCTACTGAGCCAGAATCTGTGGCTTAACACAATCCCCAGGGCTTTGTGTGCACATTAAGTATTGAGAAATATTGATCTAAAAGCACAGGACCCAGGTGGGGGGGCCCTGGCTGTCCTTGTCTAAGTGCTGTATGAAAGGTATGACTCATTACTTCCCCGTTTTATAAGTAAGCAAACTGAGGTCCCATGAGGTTAAATAATTGCTTAGGGTTACCCAGCTAGTCTTGGGCAGAACCAAGGGCTTCCATTCAGGTATTTCTGACCCCAAGCCCCAGGCTTTTTTCACTGCACAGCAGGTATCAGAAGAGGCTGATGTGTGTTTCACTTCTTCCTAGCACCCACCTAATGAGAGATGCTCGCGGTCAGTGCAAGGGACAGATATTGGCACTGTTAGAGGAAACAGTGTGAAGAAGAAAAGGGATGGGCTGGACAATCACTTCCCATACACTGCAGAGCCCAGCCCTGTGCCCAGAAGCTGCAAGCAACAGTCTCTGCAAAATAAAGGAACCTAGCTGGTTTAAAGCTACACTAGATGTTTTATCTGTCTCCATAAAAGGAGGGCGCCCCATAAAGTTCTGAACATCCCCAAGAGCCACCACAAGTAAGACAAGGGTGGGGCTGGCAGACAGGTGCAGGCCAGGCGCTGGGACCTCCCCTATCCATGAGGCTATCGGCAGCCTGACAGCCACACAATTTCCTCTTGGCACTGGTTCCTCCTGTTCCCGTCAGCATCCACGTTATTGGCACCTCCTCACGCAGATTTCTTGGACTTCCTTGTCAGCCCTTACGAAACCTGAGCCCTGGGCCAGGGCTTCAGAGGGTAAAGCCACACAAGGAAATGCCTGCAGCCTTTACATATACAAATATCTCACCAGCTTTCACTGCGTGAACAAAGACCAAGAGTTGAGAACCCTGAGCTAGGGACAGCCCTCCAGAGGGAGATCTGCAGAGCCCAAGGTCTGGAAGGGAGAAGGGGGCAAGTGCAAACTTCCAAGTTGTTCCTTTGGGCTCTCCTGGTAAATGTCTCCTGAGTACGAAAGAATCCTCAACTATCCCATTTGAAATCCTAGACTCTCCCATTTGGAAGTAACTGCAGAAGCTGGTGAGTCCGGCCTCCACCTGGGTCCACCCTACCCACAAGCACCTGGAAGAGCTCAAGTACCTGCCACAAGAGCTGAGGACAGCCACCTCCACATTCGGCTTTTAGGGCAGAGCCAGGGCATTAATGAAATAAACCCCTGAGAGCCCGTGGGCATTAGTAGGCTTGGTGGTGCGAAAAGATGAGGAGGAGGAGGATGGTGGCGACAGTGATGACGGTGGTGGTTATGATGCCAGGCATCTGGCTACAACCTTTCCTACACCTCTTAATTAATCTTCACAACCCTATGCTCTAAGTAGGTTAGGGATACTACATAAGGCCACCAAACTACTGCATGGTACTAGACTTTATGGCTCCAAAAATCATGCTTCTAACCACTACACTCTCTGATAAGGTCTCTGTACCTCTCCATTTACTCACCATCCCATGGGTCTTGACTTGACTTGAGAATCGCCACTTTGTGTTGTGTTTGCTAGGTTGTTTTCCCCCTCTCCGCTAAGGTGTGTGTGGGTTCCTCCAGGGCAGAGACCACATCCTGTTTGTTTCTCAACGCTCAGTGCCTGACTTGAAGCCTCATATGCAGTGGTGCTGAATGCACGCTGGTAACGGAAGAATGCACACGAATGACTGAACGCCAGTGGACTTGACCACGCTGGGAGTCGGCTGCCAACAGCCCACCAGCTGTGTGTCTTCTTGGCCCTGATCCCAAACACACTCAGGTTTATTCTAATCAACTTGTGGGATGGCATGGTCTGACCTGTGGCAAGCAGCCACGCTGTAGCAGGCCAGCTTCCATGGGCCCTGTCACTTGATCCACGTGTGTCATGGAGTAAGTGCACTTTGGCACAGTCTGAACCCCATGACCTTGCTCCTTCTTCTGGCCCTAATTATGACCCCCAAGCCACCTGGCCAAAGCCAATCATCAGTCCTCTTTCTAGGGCTCAGTGAGAGACAGGCAGCCAATAAGGCTTATGAATGGGCTTGTGTGTGTGTGTACACGTACGCATGTGGGCATAAGTGTGTGCATGTGTGCATGCAAGTGTGTGTGTGTGGTTTGCCTGCGGGGTGAGATGAAGCTCCTCCCATGTGGTTATAATCAAATCAATGAATCTCAGGGTGTGAGAGCCTGGATGGCCATCCAGCCCCACCTCCCACACGATGCTCCAGTCCCCTGGGTAGCATTCCCAAGCTCTCCATGGCCCAGCAGCTCCCAGCCTCCTTGCAGCAGTAGCAGCAACAGTAGCAGTGGCCACAACAGTATCTATACAATCATAACTGCTATTTCTGGAATACTTTCTATTGTAACTGGATGTTAGACTTTTCTTGTGATCTCCATTTCATCTGAGACCCCAAAGCTGGAAGAGTAGGTAAAGCATACCTCCCCATTCTGAAGAAAAGTATAACAGCACAGATTTTTGGTGCCAGGCTGCTTAGGTTCAAATCCTGCCCTGGTGCTTATTAGTTGTGAGACTAGTCGGGCAGGTTGCTTAGCTCTGTGCCTCAGTGCTCTCATCTGTAAAATCTGGACGATAAAACCATCCTATATCATAGGATTCTTGTGAAGATTAAAGGGTTACTGTATAGAAAGCACTTAGAATAGTGTCTGGCACATACAGGCACTATACACGGCTTGCTGCTGATGCTGTGTGTGGAGTTATTGGGGTTATACAGGACTTACAAAGCTGTGATCCAAAGCCAGATGTTTCCCTCATTCCATCACCCCCTCCAGCCTACATACATACTTTTTTGTTTGTTTGTTTTTGTTTTTAGAGACAGGGTCTCGCTCTGCCACCCAGGCTGGAGTGCAGTGGTGCAATCATAGCTCACTGCAGCCTTGAACTCCTGGATTCAAGTTATCTTCTCATCTCAGCCTCCAGAGTGGCTGTGGTTACAGGTCATGCCACCACACCTGGCTAATTTTTTAATCTTTTTTTGTAGAGACAGGGTCTCACTATGTTGCCCAGGCTGGACTTGAACTCCCGGGCTCCAGGGATCCTCCCACTTCAGCCTCCAGAGTAGCTGGGATTACAGGCATGAGCCCCTGTGCCCAACTCTACATATATTTTATTAAACACACTTACTAGCCTCCATCTCAATCAAGAGGGGTTTTCAAAAAAAGAAAAACTGTTTAGAGATGCAGGCCCCTGAAGTTCAAGGATGCAGAAAGTGGTACCAGACTGTCTCCAGGAGAAGTCTGGAGATGTGAGCCCTGAGCTGCCCCACACCATAGAGAGGAACGGGGAATGCAAGGAGCTGATGTTGACATCCTGAAAGGCCCTTGTGTAAGGTCTGCTGCCAGGATGCAGTGATACCCTCCACCTCACTACCACCACGGCACATCTGTATGAGACATAGCCCCAGAATTAGGGGCTGAGAGGTTTGGAGTAGCAGGTGACCAACCACAGGCCCTACTGCCCATATCAGGGACTGGTCAGTGTGAAGTCCTCAGGCAAATCTCCAAAAGACCCACAAAAGCACCCTGTGAGAGCAACAGCTTTGGGGGCTCTGCTCCTGAGGGAATACCAATGCCTGGTTACAATGGCTACAATCGGGGAGGAGCCTCACTCTTCCAGCCTTACCCTTTCTACCACCTGCTCCTCCCCTGCCAGCCCTGGAGGAGCCAGGGCCAGCACTACCATTACCGGGAGGGTGACAAGAGGACAGGGCAGAGGCCAACCACACCCCTTGCCTGCTCTGAACTAGGAGACAGGGAGAAACTTCACAGTGGGTAAGAGACAGAGAGGTTGAAGTTTCCATTTAAACTAGTACAGACTTTTGACGTGAGAGAATGAGACAATCCAATAGAAATGGAACATGCCTGTGAATCCTAGGGAATTGACGTGAGATGTAACCCAGGTGCTCACAGGTTTGATCCAACAGCGTGAGAAAAAGAAAAAGTCATTGACTGTTTCACCCCCACCACCAAACTCCACTTCTTTGATAAAAACTGTATTCCAGATAGGGCACTAAGTGGATAATCTCATCTAATCCTAAAGTAAACACTCATCTAGAGGTCCAGAGGTGTTAGGTCACATCACACAATTGTGAAATTGTTAAACTGTAGAAGACATGGCTCCAGAGCTCACATTAGAATGACTGAGTGGTTTCCCGGGGAGGGTCCCGCAGCTTCAGACAGCATGGACCCTCGGAAAGCCAGCCTTATCGGGAAGATTTCTGTCTTCCTGCCTTGTGGCCCATGACTTCATAGGGCCCAGTCTCTAATGAAAGCATATAAACGCCCATGGACCTTTTCAATATGGCTCCCCACAGTGACCCTGGAAGATCACAGCAGCATCTGTTAGAAATGCAGATTCCTGGGTGCAGTATGCTGGGTAGTAGCCCCCAAAAAGATGCAAGTCCTAAATCCTTGGAACCCGTTCCGTTATAAGGAAAAGGGTTTTTGCAGATGTGATTAAGAATCTGGACAGAGAGATTATCTGGATTGTTTGAATGGGCCCTAAATCTACTCGCAGGTGTTAATATAAGAAGGAGACAAAGGGAGATTTGATACACACAGAGGAGGAAGAGGAGGCAGCGTGACCACAGAGGCAGATATTGGAGTGATGCAGCCACAGTCAAGAAGTGCTGGCGGCCCCCGGAAGCTGGAAGAGATATGGAACGGATTCTCCTCTAGAGCCTCC
Source organism: Homo sapiens (assembly GCF_000001405.40). NCBI lineage: Eukaryota > Metazoa > Chordata > Mammalia > Primates > Hominidae > Homo > Homo sapiens. The sequence continues at coordinate 91,876,718 of NC_000014.9, forward strand.
AGAGGGAGCACAGCCCTGCTGACACCTGGATTTCAGCTCAGTGAAACTGATTTCAGACTCCTGGCTTCCAGAACTATGAGAGAATAAATTTCCTTTGCCTTAAGTCACCAAGTTTTTATTGTTTTTCAGAGATGGGGTCTCGCTCTGTTGCCCAGATTGGAGTACAGTGGTGTGATCTCAGCTCACTGCAACTTCGACCTCCTGGGCTCAAGCAATCCTCCCATCTCACACCACCTCCCCGCCACACTGCCCCAGGTAGCTGAGACTACAGGTGCCTGCCACCATGACCGGCTAACTTTTTTTTTTGTAGAGACAGAGTTTTGCCATGTTGCCCAAGCTGGTCTTGAGCTCCTGAGCTCAGACAATCTGTCCACCTTGGCCTCTCAAAGTGCTGGGATTACAGGCATCAGCCCCCGTGCCTGGCCTGCATAGGAGGTACTTAAGAAATACTTGTCACATGGGTTGGTTGAAAAGTGGAGACGTGAATGCCTCTCCAACAGAATATTAGGAGAAAAGAGACCTAAGATTGCATCTTGGCCTAACTTCCCATTTCACAGATGAGGATCCTGAGGCTCAGGAGGAGAAGCATCTTTTGCAAGACTACACAGAAAGTGGTGGAAACCAGGACCTTGAACCACACCCTCCACTCTTCTCTCTGCCTACCTGTCCCCCAGCCCCACTCTTACCTGCTTGCATACAGCACGTTCCTAGGAGAGACAGCACAAGGCCACTGTTACAGATGGCGTCCCCACTCCCCACTCCCTCTTACCCGCATGTAAAATTCTCTGCCCTCATTCCCAGATTTGATCTGGAAAATGTAATAGGCCCCAGGGTAGCGGGTCGTGGCTTGCATTTGGAAGATGTCAGCGGGAACGGAGCGTCCTGACACCACGTCCATGTCCCGGTACAAGATGGTAAAGGGCTGGTCTCTGCAGCCAGGGTTCTCAGCAGGACACATACAGCGGCTGTGGAAAGGGAAATCACGTGAGAACTCAAGAAATCCATTCCAGGTGCTGGCTGTGCCTACTTCCTCTCTTAAAACACTGAAAATGAGGCCACCCCATTTTTAGCATCCAAATGCCATAACTGTAGAATGTCTCTGCTCCTGGCTTGAGTCTAAAATCTCTCCAGCATGTAGGCGAGCTCTGTTTCCTAGAGAATGGACTTTTCTCACCAACCAGATGTTCTGGCTACTAAATAGAATACAAACCTTAGATCTCTGGTTTTCAGAACATTAGAACATTCTCCAAGATACTTTACATTTGCCACGTAGGCCAAATATGCCACTCCAGCCTGGGCGGCAGAGCAAGACCCTGTCTCAAAAAAACAAAACAAAAAAAAAGGAAGAAAGAAAGAAATTTTTAAAGTAAGAAACTGGATTAACAGGTCTTGGGGATCCTTGTACATTCTCTATTGTGCTCAGCCCAGTCTGCATGGAATGTTACTGAATCGAATATAATCAAATCTTGTCATTCGATAATTGATAAGCAAGAGTTAGAACTATGTACAAGATGTGACATTGGACATTTTGGAAATTCAATGAATAATAAGATCCTGACCTCAGATAGTTTACTTTCTAATAGGAGAAATAAACCACAGACACAAATATCTCTAATACAAAGCAACTATTAACAGAGTGCCCTAATATAAAATCACTGACTTTTACTACCAAAGAATGCCTGTTATAGACACCCCTTGATTCACCCCTAACACCCCCTTCCTCTGTCTCTGACCCTGCCCTGAGACTCCACCTAGGGGCCAGGGTTCACAATAGGATGAAGATGTCTGTTGAGACGCGCGGTGGTGGCCAACGCTAGGAGTCAACCTTGCTGTGTTTCTGCCACTAACTTCCAATCTATCCACAAAACCTGTTGGTTCTACTTCCAAAAGAGAGTCCACATCCAACCATCTCCAGTGCCTTCAATGCACTCTTGCCTTCTCGCCTTTGCACATGCTGTTCCTTCTGATCTTCCACTCTCTATTTAGTTAAAGTCAACTCATTTTCCCATTCCAGCCCAAGTGTCATTTTTCAGAGAGGCCTTTGGACTCCTCCATCTAAACCATCCAGCCTACTCTTCCTTTTTATAAATTTCCATTCATTCTGAGCAGAGTATGGTGTCTCATGCCTATAATCCCAGCACTTTGAAAGGCTGAGGCAGGAGGATGACTTGAGTCCAGGAGTTCAAGACCTCTGGCTTTACCAAATACATATATATGCCAGGAGCACTGGCACACACCCATAGTCCTAGCTACTTAAAAGGCTGAGGCAGGACGATTGTTTGAGCCCAAAAGGTTGAGGCTTCAATGAGCTGTGATTGCACCACTGCGCTCCAGCCTGGGTGGCAGAGCAAGTTTCATTTTTTTAAGGCTGCATCAAAATAGCCAAGTCAAAATGTCTCTAGTGCCAAAATGGCCACAATAAAGTATCATGTGCAGCATAGAAAATCATTGTTTCCTAAAAGAAGTTTGGAGGAGGGAGTGATGGCTCCCAGCTGAAGAGGACCACAAACAGCTGGGAGAGGTGGCATCTGAGCTGAAATCTGAAAGATGGGGCAGGACTGGCTATGTGGAAATGAAAGGAATGCCTTCCATATGGCCGGAAGTATGTGCACACAAGAAGGGAGGCTGGCCATTCCTGGGCACGGGTAAAGGCATGAGCAAGTCCTGTTCAGACTGGCAGGAGCACAGGACACCTGAACTGGACAAGGAGCTGGAAGGGGCTGCCGGAGTCTGACTGGACTGGAGCCTGGAGTGAGGGAGTCACGGAGCATTGTCAGCGTCATGCCAGAGACTCCACCAGTAACTCCAGCTCAGTGCTGCAAGCTGAAATGGGTCAGCTCCCCAGCCACAGACGGGGTGGCCTGGAAAAACCCAGAGAGAACCAGGAATAGAAGCTGGGAAGAGCAGCCTGGAGCTCTGCTCTGCCACAAACAGGCCTTACGTCGGGGGTCAAAGAGCCCTGTTCTAAAGGGTTGCTTAGTAGCACAGCTCTTAGCAACAAGTGAAGATGTCCCTAAAGGATCCGCCTGTCCCGGCATTATCCTCTCTTTTGCCAATTTGTTATCAAAGTGGGTACCACTGGTAAGCCATGAATTCCTCTCTTAGAGGCTGTATTCCGAGAGGGCAGGATGGGTGTGTCTGATTCATCCTTTCGTCTCCCATGCGGGGTTTGGTGTTGCTCAAGGGAAGTCGATGTGTGAACATTTGGAATATAGGAGGCCAAGGAGGAACTGAGATGGTTTAAAAAAGGGATAAAAGAGAAGGAAAAGGAACTCCTACTATGCCAGGAACAGAAAGCCACTGTCCTACTGCATTCACCTTTTGGAAGTTGTCTTCACTTTAATTCTCTCCTCAACTCTAATATTTGCCGTCTGGTGATTTAGTAAAATGTTGACCAAGATGACGTCAGAAACTTGATTAGCACCAACGAGAGAACTCTCCAGCACCTCAATACTCAACTGTCCAGCACCTCAATACTCAACTCTCCAGCACCTCAATATTCACGGAGCAGTCCAGGGAGATTGGAAGCATTCATTTCACCTGGGAGCTTGCCAGAAAGGCGGAATCTTGGGCCCCACCCCAAACCCACTGAATCACACTTTAACGAGATCACCAGGTGAGTCCTATGAGTGTTACATTTAGAAGCCAACCTCTGAAAGACCCCATGTATCCAGAACAAAGTCATTAGAGGGAAGAGGAGATTCTAGAACCCTGACTCAACTCTCGGCTTGGTTAGCTTTCTAGAGAATCTTTGCATAGCTCTGGCATGAGTAGCGGAGTGATAGAGAACTCTGTGGGAGTGTGCGTGCGTGTGTGTGTGTGTGTGTGTGTGTGTGTGTGTGTGTTTTGAGACAGAGTCTCACTCTGTCACCCAGACTGGACTGCAGTGGCACGATCTCAGCTCATTGTACCCTCCTCCTCCCAGGTTCAAGCGATTCTCATGCCTCAGCCTCCTGAGTAGCTGGGACTACAGGCCCGTGCCACCAGGCCCAGCTAATTTTTTTGGTATTTTTAGTAGAGATGGGGTTTCACCATGTTGGCCAGGCTGCTCTCAAACTCTTGAGCTCAGGCAATCCACCCACCTCAGCCTCCCAAAGTGCTGCGATTACAGTCATGAGCCACCGTGCCCAGCCTTGCATGTGTTTCTTACTGTGTGTTGTGGTCAAACATTTTGAAAAATAGTTCTTTCTTGTATATAGGGATGTGTTTCAGACCCTATAACTTGGAATGGAATGTTTTGCAAACTTTTTGACAACCTACAGTAACACACTTTGCACTGCAAACCAGTAGCACACAAAACTAAAAGATAAGTTTCAAAAAACAATATTGACTCTTGCTATGTGCAATGTACTCTGATATTTTCTATTCCAGTCTGTTCTATCTATTCTACTCTGTTCTATTCTACACACACACACACACACACACACACACACACACGCATGAGCACATGACGTAGGTAGTAGGCCAGGTCCCCTCACTTCCTGGCTGGTGCACTCTCTTTCACACCACACCTCCAACCTCCTGAGCCAGGCCCTCATCAGGTTTCTATTCCCCAGGGGGACGCCGTGACTTACTTATCACTGATCCTCAGATAAGGCTCCTCACAGCGGATGGGGTCAATGCATTTGAAGCCCCCTTGTAAATTGTAGCACGTCTGCTGCAGGTTGCACGTGTGGTTCCTGTGCTCACATTCGTTGATGTCTGAAATGCAGGGGAGACAAGAAGCGGAGGCAGGGCATTATTGGCCAGGCCAGACGCGTGGGGGTGGGGTAGGCTGGATCTTACTACAGAGCTGTACTATCCAATATGGCAGCAACAGGCCATATGTGGCTACTGAGTACTTGGAATGTGGCTGATCCAAATTGAGATGTGCTGTAAGTAGAAAATACACACCAGATTTTGATGACTTAGTACCAAGAAATAATGTGAGCCAGGCACAGTGGCTTACGTCTGTAATCCCGGTACATTGGGAGGCTGAGGCAGGAGGATCACTTGAAGCCAGGAGTTCAAGACCGGCCTGGGCAACAAAGCAAGGTCTTATCTCTTAATTTTATTTATTTATATATATAATTTTTTTTAATTTAAAAAAAGAATGTAAAACATCTCATCAATAATAATTTTTATATTGAATACATGCTGAAATAATATTTTGGATATACTGCATTAAAGAAAACATAGTAGTAAAAACAGGAGTTCAAGACCAGCCTGGCCAACATGGTAAAATACAAAAATACAGAAATTAGCCTGGCATGGTGGCATGCGCCTGTACTAAAAATACAAAATACAAAAATTAGCCCGGCATGGTGGCATGTGCCTGTAGTCCCAGCTACTTGGGAGGCTGAGGCAGGAGAATTGCTTGAACCCGGGAGGCAGAGGCTGCAGTAAGCCAAGATCACACCACTGAACTCCAGCCTGGGCAACAGAGTGAGACTCTGTCACAAAAAGAAAAAAAAGAAAGAAAGAAAAGAAAATATAGTAGTAAAAGTAATTTTACCCATTTTTTTCCTCTTTTAATGTGGCTAATAGAAAATGTAAAATTACATAGATGGCTCACATCTGTAGCTCACATGATATTTCTATTGCCTGGCACTACTACGGAGAATTCTTGCTTGGCAATGGGATAAGGCAGGTTCAAGGAGGCTGAGAATGGGTCAGTTGCTTCTGCAATGACCCCTCAGTGGGTGGAGCATGGGGCTGGAACCCAGGCTAAGCAGGCAAACAGGAGAAGGCCCACCCCTTTTACAGTCTGGGGTCCCAGCCCTTGCAGGAACAGAGCAGTCAGGTGCATGAGGTCTCCCTGGCAACCATGCTCTAGGAGATCACTTGGAGAAAGGCTAACCAAACTGCCCTCCAGGCCACGTAAGAAAGCCCGGGCTCTGGCCAGGCCATAAAAGTCCTGCTTAGCTCTGGAGCAGTTCTCAGAGGAGCCTCAGAGATCTGCCTGGGGAGGCAGAAAGCCACGCTTAGAGGCTGCCGTCTGCATCTGCAGAGTTCATTACAGAAGTTTAAGTGGCCAATATCCTGGCCAAAGGACGGGTTACAGGGAAGGAAGACAACAGGCCAGGCATCCTGCCCAGAGCTGCCACTATGAGAGCCACCAGCACCCACTCACACCCCCACCCCTGCCACCTTCCCAAAGCTGCACATGATTCCCCAGGTGAGGATATCCAGATGAGCCCCTGAAGCAGCTCCACCTCACACATACACCCCAGCCAGGCCCCTCCGGACAGCCTTACCTTGGCAGCTTCGGTTGTCATCCAGCAGGATGTAGCCTGGAGGGCAGGAGCAGAAGTATGTGCCGGGCTGGTTCACACACTCATGTTGGCAGAGGAACTCAGAGAAGCTGCACTCGTCCATATCTGGGGTGACAAGTCACACCTGCTGTTTGTAATCCCAGTCTACATGGGGATGGGAGCTTAGTGGCCATCTACTCCAACTCTCACACTGTCTTGATACATACAATGGCTTTACTGCCAAGAAGCTGTCAATTCACTTCTCCAGCACTTCTAGCAATGGAGAGCTCACTACCTACTGAGGATAACCATTGATATTTGTACAGCTCTAATTGTCAGAAAATTATTTCCTACATGGAGCTGAAATCCACCTCCATCGAGCTTTCAACATCTGCCTCTCACTCGGCTGCACCTTCCATTCATTATAAACCTATTTCACCATGTAGGGGAATCCACCCTCCGCCTCTGACCTGCCTAAGGGGCTGAGATTTCTTTGCCCACTGGGATTTTCTGGGGGTTTCCCAAAAAAACATTCCCTGGCCCTAGAGGGCCCTCTGAAGGGGCAACTTTCGCAATGCCAACTCCCCTCCAATCACCTCTTTCCCCAACTTCAGGAACAATATTGTTCCTAAAGTCACAATTAAGGGACATATCCAAAAGGCCAGGATTTTAATTATATTAAAACTTCACTGTGTAAAAAAAAAAACAAAAAAAACACACACACACAAAAACAAAAACAAACAAAAAAACTGCCTGAAAGAGAAAACTCCGGAGTGGTGAGGGATGGGCAGGGATATAATTTTTCTCTTTGTGGCTCGCCTACCTCGGATCCTCCCTGGGACAATGGAAGCAGCAGCTTCCAGCCAGCCTGACGTGGAGGGGAGCCCCTGTCCATGTGATTTACAACTCATCCGCATGGGCTATGGCGGTTGATGCAGATGCAGAAGCAGACGTTCCAGAAAAGCCAACTCTTCATCACACACAGAGTTTGGCAACAGAGCCCCTGTTTGAGCCTCATTCGATAAGCATGCCAAAGAAAACATGTTGTTCTTGCATTTGTTGTTTCCCAAAAACTTGCTTTCACTAGTTTCCCCATGTGACATGTCCTCGGATTACTCTCTCACTCACAGACCACTGGTGGCTGGAGTCACCCAGAGAGGGTGTCAACGCAAAAGAAGCTGCCTCTCCACCATCAGATAATTCCGGGTGTTACACGCCTTGTGCCTCTCACATCCCAGAAGGAAAAACTCCTTCCTGTCTCTCTCAGGGGTCCTCAGGTGATGGGTTATCAGCCAGCAGAATTAGGATGCTGATTTGAAAAGTCACGTGTGCTCAGGTAATATCTGATTTGGTTGTGCCTCCCCGCCTCCCCTAGAAGCCTTGTAGAGCCCCGGGTCTCTGGCTCCAGCCCATCATAACTGACTGTCCTATTTTATTTCCAAGTTTGTAGATTCCACTCATACTTTCAGTAGAGTAGTAGTGATGTCTGTCAATTCCTGAGGCTCCCTATATGCCAAGCAGTGGGTTAAATGCTTTACATGCCTCCTCTTATTTAATTCTCACCTCAACCCCATGAAGGAGGTGCTATCACTCTCCATATTTTACAGAAGAAAAACTGAGACTTACAGAGGTTAGCTGACTTGACCAAGTTCACAGATAACCAGTAAGGAGGAAAGCTGGGACTTGAACCCAGCCTCTAGATCCTACACTTAGAAACACGACACTGTAACGTCTCCCTGAGTAACTGTGCTGAGGGATCAGCGGAGCTGGGGAGCCCTGAGGTTGGGGCAAGCACCCAAGCAGGGTTAGCTCCAGGGCAGATGGAGAGCGTAGCACCTACTCCCAACTCCCACTGGGCAGGGAGGGGCTGTAACAGACCCTACTCGGTTTATCTTTGGGTCTGCAATTCCCAGACTTTGCTTAGGGCTGTGGCTCCACCCTCCAGTGGAAAGCTGAAATACAAGCCCAGTTTCTGGCAGGGAGCATGTATTAGGCCACTTTCACTCCTCCACATGAGAACCCACCATGGTTTCCAGGAACAGCTCAGCTTAGCAAATCCCTGAGAGACAAGGCTAGGAGGGGTCTGGGGCTACACGGAGAGGCCACCCCAGCCGTGATAACACAGTGAGGATAACAGTGCCTGCGGAAATGGAGAAGTGCAGAAAGGGGTTAAGTAGGAAGGTGCAGAAACAGACTCTCTCCATCACCCTGTTATCCTGGGCCAGTCTGCTCTAGAAAGCCTACATATCCCGGGGTCACACCAAGTCTTCAGGAGGGTGTGCATCATGGAGAACATGGAGGACAAGTTGGCCATTTGGGGCAAAATGAGTCAACTGAAAATCTTGGCCAAATCGGCATGGATGTAAGCTTCTCAAGAAGCCAAAAGTCTCTTACACCTACACTTAGGGAAGATAAATTAACATGTAATGACTAAAACTCCACTGTGTCCAAAAAAAACCTCCTTGAAAGAGAAAAGTCCAGAGTGTTGTGGGGTAGGCAGGAATATTTGTCTCTCAGTGGCCCGCCTACCTTGGATCCTCCCTGGGACATGGGAAGCAGCAGCTTCCAGCCAGCCTGGAACCAGCCTGGAGCTGGGCCACCCTCTGGGCCGTGCCAACTTATTTAATTTTTGACCACTCTATGAGGGTGGTTGGTTGGTTGGTTGGTTGGCTGGTTGATTTTTTTTAATAAAGGATGAAACTGAGACTCAGGGAGTGACTTGGTCAAGAAAAATAGTAAATGGCAGAGCTAGAATTTGAACTCAGGTCCTCCAGGGTCACTCTACCATATGGCCTATGCAGTAGGGCAATAAACGTCTGCGGATTAACGGAGGATTCTGGAGAAACAAATCATCTCACCACATAATGTTGGATTTTCCACACTTCTTAGTTCCTTGGCCCCAACTCCCCAAGGAGTGCCACGGAGGGAACTGAAATCTAGGAAGAAAGTGGCTTTTCATGCCTGAGGGTATTTTATTTCTGTTTCTGGGCCTTGTATTTAATCAGCCCAAGGCTCTCTGGAACTTCCTGCTTGTGGCTCTGACTGTCCTGGCCCTAGGGAGAGGTGTTCATCTGTTTCATGGGACGCTGTCCCCAGAACACTTCAGTTGTCAGTGAGACTATCACACAAGTTCCATTCATGACCTGGGTCAGTTCCTGTTACAATAAAACCCGGATTAGGAAACTTTCCATTCTGCAGGACAGAAAGATTTTTCACGCCCTAGTGTATGGCCCACTTATTTTGAAAGCACAGTGAAGCATTATTAATTTAGACTTTGCAAATTCACAACTGCTGATGATGCCAGAAGTGGCTGAAATGGAGTGTACTTTAATCTAACCTTTACAAAAAACAAGGCAAGAAAGGAAAAGAGAGAGAAAGAAAGAAAAGGAGTTGTGTGTGGCCCTATGTGGGATGCTACAGAGATAAATGTGAGTAAGAGGTGGTCCCTATTCTCAAGGAGTTTACAATCCAATAATATTTTTCTAACTAAGAAAAAAAATTTAACTTTCTAGGGGAAAAAAAGAGGGAGTTAATAAGAAAATTATAATAGAGTCCATAAACTAGTGTGGGCAGAAAATCTTATTTCCTTGGGCTTGGAAGGAATTTATAAAAGGTCAACTAACCCATCATATCTATGTTCTCACAACAAATTATTACGATTTCATTCATTCAACATTCAATCATTTATCCATTGATTCGAGAACTATTTTTTTTTGCATGTTCCCTGGGTGCCAGGCCTGGAGTGAGGCACTGATTATTTGTAGAGATTTCAGAAGTTCACAGAACATATGTGCTTCCATACATGTTCTCATTCATTCAATGTTCCCCCCAACCCTACCCGATAAGACATGCTATTATTCCTGGGTCACTGCCCTCTGTAAGTACTTTCTGTGATATCCCCAAGACTTGAGTCGGTGCTGGGTGAGGACAGACAGCTCTCAAACCAACATGCCAAATCGGGTGACTGCTCTCCCTCTTCAACCCCACCTCTGTCCTAGAAGGTAGCCCCATTAATTTTTGCATCAAGGGTCAGATGACAAGGAAGATGAGACTCCACCTCACCTTTTGGGAAGTGACTCATCTCTGTTCTGTGTGATTCTGACCCCACTGCCCTGGAGGATGTCCCAAACTGGACATGTGTCCAGGAAATGAGAGGAAACACCTATGAAGGAAGCCCTTGCCCTTCAACCCCTGCCCAGGCCCCAAGTACAGGTGGAAGTTTCCAATGCGAAAGCCCATTACCACTGCAATGAACGCCATCTTCCTCAAGTTCATATCCTGGGTCACAGCGGCAGATGAAAGAGCCGTAGGTGTTGACGCAGGTTTGCACGCAGGGGTTCTCGGTGGCACACTCGTTCACATCTGTGGAAAGCCAAGGCACATTGCTGACTGTCCTCCCAACAGAACAGCCACAATAACTAGGCAGAAAAAGCACCAGCAACGAAATCTACCACCACCAGGAGACCAGAGTCCCAGGTACCAAGGCTCTCCACCCAGGACCTTTGGGAGCATGATCTTAGATCCAAAAGTGTTCACTTAAGGACCGGGGCCTCCATCCACATGTCCCTTCTGGGGTCAAAAGTCAGGCAAAGTGGAAACCATATGTATACACATGATATAAACATATACACATATACACCTGCTGGTAAGTCTATGCTCCAACGCACCCCCCCAACCAGGAATTTCCAGGCAATACCTGCTCCTTCCATCACCGGTTGCATTCCATCAGTGAACACCCCTCACCCTCACTGACTTGGAAGTTTCAGGTTAACAAATAACCATGATGATTCTAATAATATATTTATTATGCATAAATAACTTTGCTCATTAGGGAAGGATCCTGCACTCACTTGATCCTTACAACGAGGACCATTGGCCCACTTTAGAGGTTAAGTAGGTTAAGGAGAAGACCACCAAGGGACACAAGGACTAATGGGAAATCCATTATCTTGAGTGTGGTGGTGGTGGTTTCATGCGGGTACACGTATGTCAAAATTAATAAAATCATGGTGCAGTTTATTATACACTGACTATGCATCAATAAGATTGTTTAAGCATTTTTGAAGGACCAGGCATAGTGGCTCATGCCTGTAATCCCAGCACTTTGGGAGGCTGAGGCAGGTGGATCGCTTGAGCCCAGGAGTTTGAGACCAACCTGGGCAACATAGTGGGACCCCATCTCTTCAAAAAATTTAAAAATTAGCCAGGTGATGTGGCACACGCCTGAGGTCCCAGCTACCCGGGAGGCTGAGGAGGGAGAATCACTTGAGCCTGGGAGATTGAGGCTGCAGTGAGCTGAGATCATGCTACTGTACTCCAGCCTGGGTGACAGAGTGAGACCCTGTCTCAAAAAAAAATAAAATAAAATTATAGGCTGGGTGCAGTGGCTCACACCTGCAATCCCAGCACTTTGGGAGGCCAAGGCAGGTGGATTACCTGAGATCAGGCATTCGAGACCAGCCTGACCAACATGGTGAAGTCCCGTCTCTACTAAAAAAATACAAAAAAATTAGCCAGGCATGGTAACAGGTGCCTGTAATCACAGCTACTTGGGAGGCTGAGACAAGGGAATCGCTTGAACCCCAGAGGCAGAGGTTGCAGTGAGCTGAGATCACGCCACTGCACTCCAGCCTGGTTGACAGAGCTAGACTCTGTCTCAAAAAAAAAAAAAAAATACATATATATATATATACACACACACACAGACACACACACATATACATATAATTGTTTTTGAAGATTGAGAGGTGTACCCAAGTCCACCAGCTAACAAGGACACACAGTGGGAACTGGAACATGAGTCAGGGGTTTTTCCACAAAAACCAAGATTCATTCTGCACAGCTCATCGTGCGGGGAGGGCAGGGAAGAGTCTCTTTCCCACTGGCATTGGTTGACCCATTGTAAGCACCATCCCACAATGCTCCATACACCAATGGCCAAAGTTCCAACTGAGAGATTTTCTATCCTCTTCCCAAGTCCATGTAAACCTCTTAGGCCTCTGAAAAGAGATGTCAGTGTTTTCAGAGCTAAAAGCCTTCACGGTGAGCAGACTGAGAGGCTTTTCTTACAGGGGAGGCTAATCCCATGGCCACAAAGTTCCTGCCTCCTAGCATCTCTGGAGCTCTCAGGGAGAAAACAAATAAATGAACAGCTGTAGAGAGAGGGTCTAGCAAGACACTGGCCCCCACCAGTGCCCGTGGGAGGTTGGGGTTTCCCCACCGGGGACAGGAGGGGGTAGGAAAATGTCCACTGTGCTAAGCCACTGAGTGCAAGTTCAGACAGGACAGTGCCGGCAAGTGTTAGGGCTGGTGGCCTCAGCCTCTGGCCAGGCGCTGGCCACTCGGAGGTGAATGAACTCATTCCACCCCCTCACCGCTCTCAGCTGCTTCTGAAGAGCAGGGCGACCAAAATGATTCTGCCCCCCTGGGGTTCTCACTGCCCTTTCCTGCCAGCCCTTTCCAAATGCCCTTCTGAATCTGCTGAGGGCACACAGGGCCCCACTCCAACCTGTTGGACAAGAAGTCTGGGCCCCTGGTTTTACTCTCAGATCTGCTACCACGTGGCTGTGTGACTTTGGCCAAGTTGCTTAACCTTTTTGAGCCTTTATTTCCTCAGTGAAGCAGAGCCACAAACACCTGCCTGCTGACCTCAAGAGGCTATTTATTATTTGGGTTCAGTGAGATGAACAGACGTGACAATGCTCTAGCGTGTACAGCACTCTTCCACACACGAAGAGTCAGGATTGCAAAAGCTCACCGGAGTATGCGACGCCCTGTGCTGCCCATGGGCCCTGCTGATGCAGCATCCCAGTGGCTGAGTGCCCATACCCAGGCCTGGGTGCCGGGCCTGCTGCTTTATTATGCTGTGGACTTGGCACTGCCAGGTGTATTATCTGCTCTTTGTCACACACCTGTCCCTCAGAGGCCTGAAAGACGCAGGCACCTTTTGGCTTGGGCATGGCTATGCCTCAGGAGGTACTGGGGGCACGGTGCCAGCCTGTGGCTGGCACCTCCAATCCCAGGCCTTGGCACAGAGAAGCCTGCATCTGCCCTAAGCTGCTTATCACAGCAGCAAGGGAGCCAGGCGCCCCCTCCTGCTCCAGTGGGAAGGAAGGGCCCTTGTTTATCCGCTTCCTCAACCTCCTGGCCTGGTGTCTACTCTCAGAAGAAAATGACCTCTTTTGGCGTGAGGAACACAGTCCAGAATTCTTGGAACAATTAGCAGAACAAGCTTTGGAGGAGAGACTTAGAAAGAATCCAGGGTCAAACTCTTTAACACTGATGCCTTCCTATTTACCGATGATTTAGATACAATTAAAGTAAAGGAGACCTAATAGCCTCCAAACTCAATGGCCAGGAGCCTGCCAGCCAGAACTCCAAGGGTGAATGAAACAAGGAAATGGGCCCTGCAAAGCCTGAGGTCTCCAGACAAAGACCTCATTCTGCGTCTGCAGCACTGCCTCCAACTCCAACCTGGGCCAAGCAGCTGCCAGGGGCTGGAGGCCTGGGCCGGGAGCTGGAATTTGAGGGGGAAGTCGGGGGCCAAAGCAGGATTTGCGCTAATTCCTTGGGTCTTAAGTCCCCCATTCACTTCCTGAGCAGAAGAAACCTTCAGATGGAAACCACAATAGGCATGCAACTTGTTTTTCTTACTTATCAGTATTTCAAATGATCATGTGAAAACCACAAAATGCCTTTGTTTCAGTCTGGTTTTGTGGGGGCACGCTGAGTAGCAGGGGATGTTACCACCACCACCAGACCCTTTGCTGAGGAACAGGCCATCCTGGCACAGGTTGGAGGGAAAAGTATAGCAAGAGACCTCAGAATCGCCCACGACACCCCTGCCTAGCATGGATGTGTTTATTTTATGATTCTTGGAGGGCCAGGGACCCTGACCAACCCTCCTCAGGCCTCAGGAACTGAACTTAGGCTACAGGACATGCAACCAAATTTCTGATTAGGCAAGAAAGCCAGCAAGGCTACTTCTGGATAGCAGACACAGAAAAGAAGCGAATCCATGAAACTGTACACTCCCAGCCAGTGGAGGATTGGGGTCCTACCCTCAGCCATATTCAGAGCACTTTTTGAGATGCTTCGCATAGCAAGGTTCAGGTCTCACGTTTCTGTAGTAATGGGGATGGGCGGGCAGTGGCAAGGAATGGGAATATACTGTAGCAGCAGTATTTCCCACAAACATAAGCTGCCAGGTGCTGAAGAAGGCTGCAGCTAGTGTCTCACATCATGTCCAAGTTATCATGCACGTCACATACCTTGGCAAGACCTTCCATCCTCATTGAGGGTAAAACCAGGGTTGCATGTACAAGAATAGGATCCAGGAACATTCGCACAGAGCTGCTGGCAGTAACCATAGCGACATTCATCAATGTCTGGAAACAGAAATGCAAGCAAAGTGAGACAGGTCTCCTCACTCAATGATGCCCCCACTAGCATGGCATGATTGCCTTGCTCTTCCCAAACAGGATCATGAACGGAAGCAAATGGGAACAGGAGCCAAGACAGTGCCTACTGAGTGTCACGGATGGTGATGCTGTCTCGAATACAAGGCTCAATCTCCCCACAATCTTTCCCCTCCTCGACCCATCTCAGTCCCATAAATACCTGAACCTATCCTAAAAGTTGCAGAAGAAATTTCTGCTTCGATTGGGATGTTGGGCAAAATGAGCTCTCCAATTTTACCCAGCTCTAAGATTCAACACTAAGGTTTATCCAAGATGGACTCTCCAATTTTTCCCAGCTCTAAGATTTGAGATTACCCAGCTCTTAAGATTTATCCAATGTTAAGATTCAACTCAAAGATTCCATATAGAGGCTCCACTGCCCAGGATTCTTCTTAACACGTAAGAAGAATCCATAGCATCACTCCAATAGGCTCCTTGCCAGCTCCATGAACAATGAATATGTCCAGCTGTCAGGAACAAGAGCCAGTTAGGCTGGGATGAGCTGGGCAGCATGACCCTGGAGACCCATGAATCCAGTAACATGAGGGCACTGGAATTCACCCTGAATCTCCTCCTTGCACCAGAGTGAACATAAAACTCTGGATAAACACATCTCTTCCAAGCCACAGCTGGCCTTGCCAGGGAAAGCGGCGGCACTGTGGGTGAATGGATCCTTTGAGCAGAGCTGGGCAATGTGACCTCCCTGTAATATGTATCCATCAATGGGGAGCCTGATGTCATTGGGAAAGCACTTCTCAACACCCCAAGCTGATGTGATAATGGGCTGGAGAATTCATTCCTGTGGGGTAAGGGTAGTGAATGAAATCACCGGCCTCCTGGCAGAGTCTGAGATGGCACCAATACAGGCTCCTGCTGTGACCAGTTGATCTGACTGTAGCTGGAACTGGTCCTTATCCCCACCTCCCCCAATCTAACCAGGTTTCCTCCCTGGTCCCCCTGTTCCTTTGGAACCAGGGGCCATCCAGGACTCTGGAAGCCGGCTTAGAGCCTCAGTCCTTGTGCCTGGTTTCTACCTACTGCCAGGAAGGACTCCACCTCCCAGATCCATCTTGATCCCTTACCTATTGTTCAGCCCTTCTCAGATTCTGTGCCCTGTCCTGTGATTCTGTTTTGTCTCTAAGTCCCGGCTACTTCTAACCTGGCCACTGCACTGCCCCTGAGTGCAGAGCAGCTCTTGCATAGAGGGCCCATTGGCTGTACAGTGGCTGGCCCTGACTTCTTCCCAGAGTGCAGTTGGGCACATCACCAAGGCCAGGCAGGCAGCAGGGGCTGGAGAGGGTACCCTTCACTACGGGTACCTTGGAAAAAAGGCAGCCCCCCTGACCCCTCATTTTTCTGCAAAAGCAGCATCTTCAGTGGTACACAGAACAGACAGTGTGTGGCTATGGAACTTGCATTTTGAAAGGGAAAGGTGAGTTTAGCCAGGGGAGGGCAGGAGTTCAGCCATAATTAGGCGACGTCTTCCTTTCAGATGTGAATATGAGTGGCTGGGCCACATGGTACCATGCTAGGCATCCATGAGCATCCTTTCCACAGCTCCATGCTCCCAGGAAGAGAACAACCCTCCCAGGTAGAGGAATGTCCGAGTTGCTGGCACCCCTCACATCAGAGGGTTTCTGTAACAGGGCTGGTATAGCCCGGTCTCCCCCTACCACTCCAGCGCCCCTTGTGGTGGGAAAAAAAAACTAGACTGAGACACGGGAGACTTGGAAGTTAGACCCAACTCACTTTGTCTAAAATGTTCTTTCTCTATGAGTCTCAGTCTGCGATGCTATAAAAGTTGGATGACATAATATTCAACATCCTTTCCAGCTCTGAAATTCGACATATTAAGTTCCTGTACAAATAACTCTCTGTCACTGATCTGCTTATGTTCAAATAAGTAGCATCAAATTTTCCATTATAGCAGAGGTTGGTTTGAATGCACAGTGACTGTCATATTCACAGACGCCCATGTGCAAGCCTGGAAAGGAGAATCAAGCCAATCTAGGCCTCAAGGATGCTTCGGACGGGGCTTGAGGGCAGACCTACTCAGCCTCAATCAAGAAACTTAGAAAGAGGTAGCTTTTCTTTGTTTCCATGATTTCGTTTGGATCTGTTTCTCAACTCCTCCAGGACTGACTTTCAGGCAACAGAATGGTGTCTTAGAGAATTTAAACTGGCAGGGCCTTTTCTAGAAAACACAGCATAGAAATCACACCCTAGAATTAGAAATTGAAGTGACAGCTAGAGTTTGCTGTGAATTCACTCACTTGGCTAAACCCAAAACTAGAGGGGAAGAAAGGAAAATAACCTTCCAGTAAAATAAACAGAAAGATCAGAGAGCAGATGCTAACTGCAAAGGCAGTTCTCAATTGGTGATGACTGACTCCTCAGGAGTAAAATGGAAGGCCATAGCCGGTGGGGTGGGTGTGGTGGTTGGTGGCGGGGAAGGGCAAAGACAGGGTGTTGAAAGGAACTGATGTAAGATCAGGATCTACTGATCCACATTCAAGACTTGCCACATTTCTGTGACTAAGCGAAAGTGTTCCCTTCTCTTAGCATTATTTCTAACTAAAGCAAAATCATCCTCACCTCTGTCACTTCCTGGCCTGGATATAAACTTCGTGAAGACAGGAAGAAAGTCAAGGTAAAATCAAACTTAAAAAATACATCCAAAACCATAGCCCTTAAAAAATATATTTGAGGCTGGGCATGGTGGCTCACACCTGTAATCTCAGCACTTTGGGAGGCTGAGGCAGGCAGATCACTTTAGCCCAGGAGTTCGAGACCAGCCTGGCCAACATGGCAAAACCCTGTTTCTACAAAAAATACAAATATTAGCTGGGCATGGTGGCACATGACTGAAACGCCAGCTACTCACTCAGGAGGCTGAGGCAGGAGAATCACTTGAACCCAGGAGGTAGAGATTGCAATGAGTCAAGATCGTGCCACTGCACTCCAGCCTGGGCAACAGAGGGAGACACCATATCAAAAAAAAAAAAAAAAAAAAAAAAACCGAAAAAAACCATTCAAGGCCGTGCGTGGTGGCTCACACCTGTAATCTCAGCACTTTTGAGGCGGGCAGATGACTTGAGCCCAGGAGTTCAAGACCAGCCTGGCCAACATGGCAAAAGCCCCATTTGTACAAAAAATACAAAAATTATCTGGGCGTGGTGGCACATGCCTATGATCCTAGCTACTCGGGAGGCTGAGGCAGGAGAATCACTCAAACCCAGGAGGCGGAGGTTGCGGTGAGCCGAAATTGCGCCATTGCACTCCAGCCTGGGGGACAGTAAGACTATGTCTCAAAAATAAATAAATACATTCAAAAACTATAATGATGACAAGATGGCGATGATGGCAATTGATTTTCAAGGGTGGTTACACATGTGAGTTCAATAGCCTTCCACCCCTCCCGCCCTCCCTAGCAAAGAAAAGCTTACTACCCTCAGGCAGCCAGCTATGCCCATACCTCAAAATGCCCCTGGCAACCGTTAACTTCCAAGAGTCCCTGTGACCCCCCCAGAGAGCTGTTACCTAAGCACTGGCCTTCCAGAAGCCAATATCCGTCGGTGCAGGAGCAGGTGTACCCGCCTTCAGTATTGATGCAGATCTGGGTGGGGTTGCACTGGTGGGAATCTGTTGCACACTCGTCCACATCTGTAATACAGACATAGTCCAAAGAATGTCACTCACATCCATCTAGAGCCCTGGAGCCACCAGGGGTGCCAGTGGCTCATCTTGGCTGGGAGGCAGTTAATAAGGTCACTAGGTTACACCCAAGGAGGTGGCAGTGCTTCCCCGATGGGCACCTCTAGGAGACACTGACCTCTACTGAAGGCTGAGCTAGTCTGCTCACCAGAAATCCACAAAGGGAAATGGCCAAGAAGGGAACCCTTATCCTCAGGAATCCTTCTGCCATCCTATGCCATTGCTCTTTGAAGGTGCATTACCTTGACAATAACCATTACTTGATTTAGAAAGCCATTTTGTATTAGGCTTGTTCATTCATATGTTAAACAGGGGTCTGCTGCGTACCTACTGTGTGCACAGGACTATGATAAACACCACTGAGAACAAAACAGAAGTAAAGGAAATGTCCCCAGCTGGGCATGGTGGCTCACGCCTGTAATCCCAGCACTTTGGGAGGCTGAGATGGGTGGATCATCTGAGCTCAGGAGTTCAAGACGAGCTCAGGCAACATGGTGAAACCCCGTCTCTACTAAAAATTAAAAATTAGCCGGGCCTGGTGGCATGCGCCTGTAGTCCCAGCTACTCAGGAGACTGAGCTGGGAGGATCGTTTGAGCCCAGGAGGTGGAGGCTGCAGTGAGCCGAGATCGCACGACTTCACTCCAACCTGGGAGACAGAGTGAGACCCTGTCTCAAAAAAAAAAAAAAAAAAAAAAAAAGTTCCCTGCCAACAGAAGCTGGCAGTCCAGTTGCTTAATGGTATTCACCCGTGAAAATCTTTCGGTCTGAAGCTCTCCAGTCTTCGCTCCACTCCATAGTTCCTGGG
Source organism: Homo sapiens (assembly GCF_000001405.40). Taxonomy (NCBI): domain Eukaryota; kingdom Metazoa; phylum Chordata; class Mammalia; order Primates; family Hominidae; genus Homo; species Homo sapiens. The sequence continues at coordinate 91,895,930 of NC_000014.9, forward strand.
GCTAATCTCTGTCTGTCCTCTGCTCACAGCAAGTCTCTCTATGCTGCTCTAGAGCCCACTGCCATCTGTCTGGTGGCATGAAGATACTTGCATCCACCTCGGTCCCTTCTTAACTTAGAGCTTCAGAGCACAGATATCGAGCCATATTCATGGTCATTCCCAAGCCATCTGGTGTGGACAGTCAGTGCTCAAAACTGTTTGTTGAAACTGAAACATCCTCCTCCCCTTTCTCCCCTGCACTGCACTTTAGGGGAGAGCGCCCAAGATCCTGAAATGGACCTCCCGATGCCACACTCTCACTTTGACCTAAAGGAAGAGACTTTTCATTAAATATTCACACATTAATTTACTCCACAAGGATCCACGGTGCCTCCTGGATCTGCCTGGTCCAGAGGACCCCAAAACCTTTTCTCCTTGTCAGCCCTGCCTTCACCTGCACCTTGGTGGGTCACCTTCCCTCCCCTCTTCATTCCTGCATCAGGGTTTGCTCATCTACACCTTTTCTCCACCTTCACCGAATGGACCATGGTGCAGTCGGAAGTAATACTGAAAGCTGCAATTCACTGAGCCTGTGTTATGTGCCTGACACCTACCTTGTTACTTGTATTTACTCTCACATCACCCTGTGAGGTGGGCTCACAATCCCCATTTTACAGATGGGAAAACTGAGTGGAAAGAGCTAGTAAGCACCAAGCCAAGAGCTGAGTCCAGGCCTCCCTGCCTGCCTGACTCTAAGTCTACTCCGTGCAGGTCTAACAGAGGTCATGCCACCCAGGACCAAGCAGATTCAGGGGGGAGCTGGCAGACTGGGCTGAGGGAGGGCTGAGCTTTTGTTGCTTTTTACTGACCCCACTCCCACGCTGTCTGCCTCCTGACACTGCAGATTGCAGACTTGATCATCATCCATTCAGTTGGCTTCTTTGAATACGTACGGTGGGGATGGGGGTGTCTAAGACCCAAAAGTGCAAGCTCCTTGAGGGCAAGGGCCTTGTGTAGCATAGGGCTTTGTGAGCTTCAGTAAAACGTTCAACTGGGTGAGCAGTGGTCCCTCGGCTTCAGGTGATATGGCTACAAATCCACCATCCACCTGCAACAGCCCAACACTAACAACGCTGATCAGTCCCCACCCTACCCCAAAATGACAGCTGTCTGGGAATCCTATGGAAGTGGCTTTCCCTCCTCTAAACATGAACGACCTCCAAGAACCTAGTGCCAAGATGACGGCAGCCTCCACTCCACCCTGATGTTAAGCATGTGCAGCCTCAGTGGCAAAGACCCAGCCCTGTTCTCAGCTGCAAGGACTCCAGCCTCCCCTTTGCCTCCCTTCCATGCAGCTCTGCCCACCGAGCACAGCCTCCCAGGGGAGCTGGTGAATAATGCTTGGCCAGAAGCTGCTCCTGCTCAAATCCACAGTGAAGTCTATGACAATAAATAGTGCCACTATCGGCTGGTGCGTATTTACATTTTCCCAGCAGGGAGTGATGGATGGCAATTGTGTGCTGGGAACAACACTGCCTTAGGAATTTCTGTTCTTTTTCCTGCCTTGAGGGGAATGAAGGGTGAGGGTGACCAACACAGGAGAAGAATCACTGGAGAGGCTTGGTGGCAGCAAGTTCCCAAGCCTCTGTGCTTGCGTAATTTGCATCCCACACAACTGTGCCTGCCAAGTCCTACAGAGAGAAACCAGACGCATGCCAGCAGGCCAGGCTGGACTCAGAAGGGCACAAAGGGCCCCATCGTGGGCATGTGTGCGAAGTATTCAGGCCGAAGATCAAAATCCTTGAAGTTCACTCTTTTAAAAACTCCAGCACTTTTACTGAACTAAAGAATTAACTCAGCCAGGCGCAGTGGCTCATGCCTGTAATCCCAGCACGTTGGGAGGCCAAGGTGGGTAAGATTGCTTGAGTCCAGGAGTTTGAGACCAGCCTGGGCAACATGGCAAAACCCTGTTTCTACTAAAAATACAAAAAATTAATCGGGTGTGGTGGCGCATACCTGTAGTCCCAGCTACTCAGGAAGCTGAGGTGGGAGGATCACCTGAGCCCAGGAAGTTGAGCCTATGGTGAGCCAAGACTGCACCACTGACCTCTAGCCTAGGCAACACAGCAAGACCCCATCTCAAAAAATAAAAGAATTAACTCAGTTATACGACACTTTTGTATTTGTTTTGTTTAAAATACAGATTTTAAAATTAAAATTTTAACTTTCACTAACTTGTTTAATGAATTGTCAATAGAAACTATATTTTGAGACGTCAATAAGTCCCTGAAGTTTTTTTTGGCGGGGGGGGCGGAATCTCTCACCTTTATAGCCTGAAAACACACCTGGTGTAATGCTGTGTCCCTGGTAATGTTCAAGAACTATTGAATGAATGAACACATGAACGGCAAACATCAATCCCTCGCAGCCCCCAGAAAGGTTTTTCCAGCCAACTAGCTGACAAGCCCATTTGGGTGTGTGTACTTTAAAAACAGCCACCACCACGCCAACCACTGTCAGCTTACACACCTGATGGAGCTAAAACTGGAAGTGTTCACACGGTGGGCTTTCTCGGGGGGAGGCTGAAAGACTCATCACACATTCCAGCTCACAGCGGAACTTCTTACATTAAATACATTTGACTTAAATCACAGAAGGAAAAATACATTGAATCACTCCAAGGACATTCTTTGGCAGGGCCTCCCTTTCCGCATCAGTGGAAAAGTACAAGCTATGACAACCTGAGCAAGGGTCAGTATCCTCATGGGCAAACAGGGTCTGCTTTCTTTTCCTGTGCAGTAGTCAGGAAGAGTCCCCTAAGAGAAAAGAATGCTGGGTGCATTCAATCCTTTATTCATTCACTTGCTCACTCATTCATTCATTCATTCTTTTTTTTTTTTTTTTTTTTTTTGCGACGGAATCTCGCTCTGTCGCCCAGGCTGGACTGCAGTGGCGCAATCTAAGCTCACTGCAAGCTCTGCCTCCCGGGTTCACACCACTCTTCTGCCTCAGCCTCCCGAGTAGCTGGGACTACAGGTGCCCACCACCACGCCCGGCTAATTTTTTTGTATTTTTAGTAGAGATGGGGTTTCACCATGTTAGCCAGGATGGTCTCTATCTCCTGACCTCGTGATCTGCCCGCATCGGCCTCCCAAAGTGCTGGGACTACAGGCATAAGCCACCGTGCCCGGCCCCCATTCATTCATTCTTTATGCTCTACAGCGGCTGTGTGTTCGTGTGTGTGTGTGTGTGTGTCCTCCCCAGCCTCCATGACCTTTGGAAGAGCTGGCATCAAGCATATTCCCTCCCGCTGTATGGTACCCAGAAGCAGACTTTACTGGGAGTTCTCTCATCTCCCTGCTCCCTCCTGGCTGCTGTCACACCAGTCGGGTGCCTGGGCACTTGGAGGATTCTGCCACAGCAACCATAGCTTGGCTCCCCACAGGTGAGGCAGTGACTATCTGCTGCCCAGATGACCAGCACCCTGGCAACTGGAGGAAAGCGCTCACCAGCTCTCCCAGAACCTGGAAAAGCCCAGCACTGCCCCTGCCAGGAAGAAGTCGTCATCTGCATCAAGCAGCACAGCTCTGGTGACCTTGCAGTCTCACCTGCACTGGCACCTCTCCCTTGAGACATCCACAGAGTGGCCTTCTCAATCTGAAACAACTGCTCACTTAGGAAAGTCATCAAAACCCATCAATATCACCTCCTCGATGCCTTCCAAGGAGGCCATAGACAGAAAGGGCTTTCAGGCCCCAGGACAGTGGCCTACATATTTGGGAAACTCTTTTAGGATTTCATACCCTTAGCTATGTCTCACATTCCCCAGCCAGACAGTAAGCTTTACGTGGGCAGATATGCAAAGACAAGGGGAATAAAGGGATGTCCCTCAGGCTGGTGTGTTTTAAAGGAGTAAAAGAATGTCCTTCAAGTACAGAAAAGATCTTACAAAGGCACCAGATGAAGAAACTGGCCTCAACACATCAAAATACAACTGTCCAACAATCTCGGGGACAACAAAATGAACAGAACCTTCCATTGTGACTCACGGACAGCACAGGAAAGGGCCACAGCCCACACATCTGCTGACCGTTCCAGTCCTTGGAGCAGGACTCTGCAGAGGAAGCCAGTGGTGATTGGCACTCCTCTCCTTCACTGTATGGAGTTCTCAGACAGCTTCGTGGGTATTACATTGTTGATTTATGCCCATTTTATGTCCTCCCCTTGGGAGTGGGCTGGTTCTCAGAAAACATCACACAACCCACTTTTCTATCCCATATAAAAGTAATGGTTCCAAGTATGATCTTAGTATTAACTCACAGATTATTAAATAAAATCTCTATAGGCAGTTATAACAGACTTAATATATCACATTAAATATGCATAAATATGTTCAAATATAAATAACATGCATATGTATGATAGCTATGTGTTATATTTGAATGCACATATTATATACATATATGTATTTACAGTTCAGCATTTATTCCTGAAAGTTGAAAATACTTTGTTTTCATAACACAAATTCTAACAGAAATAAAATGTCCTTTAAAAACTGTACAAAACAAAACAAAACACTAATGGTTCCCCATGCCCATAGGGAGAACATTTTCTAGGTCATTCTCCAAGCACCAAAGTTTAAAAGAAAAATACACCAAAGGGCTGAGAACTCCCCAGAAAAGACTAGCAGGTTAAAGAATAAGAACTTTGGGAGCAGACAGAGCTGGGTGTGAATCCAGGCTCCCACATTTGGTAACTAAATAAGGCAGGGCAATTTACTGGATCCTTGGGTGTTCTGCAACAGGGCTGATGTAGCCTGCCTCGTAGGTAGATGTGAGAGTTCATGAATTAACAGGAGCACAGGTGCCAGCCTGACTGCCTGGCACATAGCTCCCTTCCCCGGGGAGGTGCTGTTTCTGACAGCTGTGGAAGATAGAAGAAGGTTGGTCTCTGCCTCCTGCAGATGCTGTTCTAGAATTCACTAAAGACACCAGGATGACAGCCCAGGGGTTTCATGGGCTATAAGCATGGTTAGTTCTGTGATTCAACTACAGCCAAAGCCAGGGACTTCTCCCCCTTGAGCCCCAGGCATATGGCGGGAGATCTGGACAAGAGGTAAGGAAAGCCAGGGTACATTCCTTCATGGAGTCTCCATCTCCACCTCTGCACCCAGGCATCTCTGGGCCCATCTATGATTCTATAATTGTAGGCATCCAAAAGCATAAAGGTACGTGTGCCTAATGGCCATGTATGATCAACCTTTTCACAATCTGATTCTTGCCTCTTCCCATGCCTTCTTTGCTCCAATACTGTGAACAGGCAAGGTCTGACTTTGTGAGCCTGTGTACCTAACGTCGGCTGAATATCTCAGTTCTTGTGTGAGAACGGCCATCAGCCAAAGGGAAACATTCTCACTGGGTGACACTGGGAGAAGCTTTCCAAGAGCCCTTGGAAGACACACCTTTCCAAGGCCTCCACTCTTCCTTTTTTGGATATGGCAAAAATCATTTCCTTGGTAGTAAATTTTTACCCAGTGAAATAACATGTTTTCCCAGCCCATTTTTGTTCCTTCCTTGCTCAAGCTAATGGGGCTTGATAAGAAAGAAGAAAACAACAATGGCACATTCCTACACCTCCAAGTGAAGCCAGTTTCAGGCCTGCTGCTGGGCTGGGTCGGTGCCATTTTTCAGCAAGACGAGCCCAGCCAAGGCTGGAAGCTACACAGGACCTACTTCCCAAACACCTGTTTAATTAAAGATCTCAGCGTTGGAGAACTCGCTGTCGAATTCCTAGGGCATCTGCACTCCATGTGTCTTACGGTCCTGGCCAATCTCTAGGAGCCAGATCTTTCTGTGTTTACAGCACTTTCCCCAGCACTTGAGATTAAGCATGGAATACAAAGTTTGTTCATTTTGCGCCTCTGATTAGGCAACAAATATGTGATCCATTTTCCAAACAACAAAATATCCTTCCCTCTTGAATGAAACCAGCTGGAATCCAGGTCCCAACCTCTCCATGGATTCTCTTTCTCTATCCCTAAAGCGAGAGCTGGAGGAGAGTTCTGAAAGGCCCCTTCAAGCTATGATCTTCTACAGAGACAAACTATGCAACTAATGGAGATCACATTGTTTGGTTCTTGGGTAATTACTTTCATCCCCAGAGCACTTGGTAAACATCAGCTGACTTTAGTTGCTTTCAAACTGGGCAGTGAATTGGCCAAGCCCATTCAACTTTTGCCAGTGTATGGTCCCTGCCACGGGGCCAGGGGAAACACATGTCCTCTTGAGCATCATGCATCAAGATGTCCTGAGAGGAAGGGGACAAGTCATGTCTAATGTCAATCTAGACATGGGTTTTTTTGTTTGTTTGTTTGTTTTTTTTTTTTTTTTTTCAAAAAGCCATGAGGCTTTGGCCATTATCATGAATGTAAAGCAAACAGACGTGGAGTTCAAACTAGATTTCCATTTACTAAAATTTTTGCCATTTGTCTATCGACAGAAATTTTGGAATCTTTAGAAGCCAGTAGTTTCCAAACCTGGTTACCCAAGAGAATTGCCTGACTAAATCAGAATTTCCAGGGCTGAGGCTTGGAAAGCTGTGTTATTTTAATGACACATTTTACCTAAATGAATCCAATGCAAAACTGTATCTAAAATCCACTGTGCCAAATCAATACTTCTCAAACTTTAATATGCGTATGACTCAGTGGGGATCTTGTTAAAATGTAGATTCTAATTCATTGGGTTCTACAATCCTAACTAGCTCCCACATGAGGCCAATGCTGCTGGCTTAGGGACCACACTTTGAGTAACAAGGTGCTAGACTGTTCCAAGTGGGATTTGGTTCTGTATCCATGCAGCCTGCTCAGAGTTTCAGAAACTATTAGGTTGGTGCATAAGTAACTGCAATATTTAAGAGAGTCTAAGAGGGAATTTAAGTTTTCAAAAATCAAGCAGCATGTTCACTTATAAGTGGGAACTGACCATGAAGATGGCCACAATAGACATTGGGGACTACTAGAGGAGGAAGGGAGGGAGGCATGGGTCAAAAAACTAACTACTGGGAACTATGCTCAGTACCTGGGTAATGGGATCCATCATACCTCAAACCTCAGCATCACACAAAATACCTAGGCAACAAACCTGCACATGTACCCCTGTATCTCAAATAAAAGTTGAAACTATTTTTTTTTAATGGGGAAAAAAATCAAGCAGCGATTCTTAACTGGATTCTTCTCTCTCTAAGATAAAGCCTGCTGGTTATAACAGAGTTGTTATTTTTGGAGTCTTATTAAAGACTCTAGCACAGTCTAGCCAAAACAGAATGCTTTTCTGGTGTACGGACAGAGCCTTTCTTTAACTCCACCCTGTAGTAGTTGGGTGCCTATGGCTGCAATGCCTTGGCCAGGGCATTGTGTGCTTCCAGAAGGTTCTCCTCCCTTGATCACTGGTGGGGTTTTGATTTCCTATGAACTCAATTCCCTGACTACCCATAAAGAGATAACAAAAAGTACAAAAGATCCCAGTGAGGAGAAAGGACAACATACTTCCTCCAACACAGAGCATCCCTTTTTTAACTGAGTACTCATGAACATAGTTTCTACATGCTGTGGATCCTGACTCCTGTAATCTCCCCATCTCCCCGAGGGCTCCTTCTTCTCATTCCCTCTGAGCCTATTCCTCACCCATCCTGACCTGTATCATAGTCTGTGAACTCCTTGCCCCTCCCACCTGCTCCCCACACCAGCGCTCCATTCCCAGAGCCCTGTCTCGGTTAACAGTGCCACCGTTTTCCAGTGGCCCAGGCTAGAGACCACAGTCATCCTTAAATCTTCCCTTCACGTCCCACTCTCATACAATTGCCATGGCCAGGCAGTTCTTCTGAAAATCTTGCAAATTTCCTACTTTCCTTACATCCCCTACCCCAAAGACTCCAGGTCCCCACTGTCTTTTCTCTAAATGATTGTAATAACCTCATCAGTTGTCTGGCAGCTCCAATCCCTCCCTGGTGAAAGTACACTAAATATTAAACCTCCAGAACCACCTCAAAACACAAAAATGGCAAGTTTACATTTCCTCCCTAGAACCCTCAAGGCATGCGCTTTATACTTTGGCAACACTGAGAGTTAAGCCTACTTTCCTACTCACATATGGGCAAAGCACATCTAGTTTTATAGCAGTTCACTTCCTACAATATACTTAGCCACGTGCATCGGAACCTCCAGTTTCTTGAAAGCAGGAAAAGGGCCTTATTCACAATCATAGCTTAAGCACCCCACACAGTGCCTGGCATACTAGAGAGTATTAAAGCGAATTATACTGGAAATGAAGATACTTGACTCTAAGACTCTTCCGAAAGCAAGAGGGAAATTCAGTTAAGCCACCAGACACATCGGAAGAGACAAGTCCACCATCTACCTTATTGTGGCCCGTCTCTCATTCCCAGAGGATGAAGAATATCTAGTGGACATTGGCTGACAATTCCAAATCCCACAGAGCCTCAGGCTGAGGCTCACAGTGCCTGGAGGCCTAGTCCCACCCTAGCAATGGCCCAGGGCTGATTTGAAAGCAGCCTCAACTTCCAGAAGTTCTAAAATACTATGCGTGTCTTAGTCCTGTGGGGCTGCTCTGACAAGAACGCTATAGACTATGTGGCTTAAACACGAGGCTTTTATTTCTCCCAGTTCTCGAGGCTGGAAGTCCAGGGTCAGGTAAGCAGCACAGTCAGGTTCTGGTGGGAGCCCTCACAGGGCGGAGAGAAAGCTCAGGGTTCTTCATCCCCTTATCAGGGCACCAGTCCCAACGTGGGGGCTCCACCCCTGTGACCTCATCCAAACGCAGTCACCTCCCAAAGGACCCACCTTGTAATAACGTCACATTGTGGATAATGGGCTTCAACATATGGATTTGGGGGGATACAAATGTTCAGTCCATAGCAAAGTGCTTGGCCTGATGGAGTAAGTGATGTTTCCTCTTTCCTCCTGGGACAGCTTGACATCCCAGATGGGAAAGAACTTTATTCTCAACAATCATAGGAGGGAGGAGCATCATAGAAGGGAAAAGATACACCTTCCTGGCCTGAAAATTGACATCAACAGGACCTCTCAGGGGATACCCAGGAAATCTATTTTTCAAGCTGGCCGTGAGAATACCCAGGTGTGCAAATTCAGCCCTTGGACTCAATCAGTCCATCAGCAGCAGCAAACATTCCCAGCTGGGTCACTCTCAGAGCATGATCATGAAATACGCACGTGCACCCTTCCCATGCCTGCAGTGAGAAGACCCTGCCACCACTTCCGATCCCATCACAACTCACCAGGGTGATCTGGTACACATCAGTGACCTTCTGCATGGCAGCCTCCTTATGTCTAAAATGGAACTCCTATCACCTGCCCCCCTAGAGCTTGCAGGCAAGAGAGGAGGGCAGATGTGGCACACAAACAAGCATGTGAGGGCGCTGCAGAGGGCTGGGAACACACAACAGGGTGTGTCATGAAGCTGCTAACAGGTGAGAACAGGTCTAGACACTGACGATGACCTAGGGGAAGGGGCCCCTCACATACACACATTTCTGGAGCCCAAAACCTCCTAGGACAAGGTGCAGAAGTGCCAGCTGGCTCTTTCACAATAACAAGTTACGAGAAACAGGCCGGTAGGTAACTAAGAATATGAGCTTTTTTTTTTTTTTTTTTAGATGGAGCCTAACTCTGTCGCCAGGCTGGAGTGCAGTGGTGTGATCTCGGCTCACTGCAACCTCCACCTCCTGGGTTCAAGCGATTCTCCTGCCTCAGCCTCCCGAGTAGCTGGAATTACAGGCACATGCCGCCATGCCCAGCTAATTTTTGTATTTTTAGTAGAGATGGGGTTTCACCATGTTGGCCAGGATGGTCTCGATCTTCTGATCTTGTGATCTGCCCGCCTCGACCTCCCAAAGTGCTAGGATTACAGGTGTGAGCCACCACACCTGGCCGAGTTGTTTGTTTGTTTGTTTGTTTTTTCACACAAAGTCTCGCTTTGTCACCCAGACTGGAGTGCAGTGGTGCCATCTTGGCTCACTGCAACCTCTGCCTCCCGGGTCAAGCGATTCTTGTGCCTCAGCCTCCCGAATGGATGGGATTACAGGCATGTGCCACCACACCCAGCTAATTTTTGTATTTTCAGTAGAGACAGGGTTTTGCCATGTTGACCAGGCTGGTCTCGAACTCCCAACCTCAGGTGATCTGCCTGCCTCAGCCTCCCAAAGTGCTGGGATTATAGGCATGACCATGCCCGACTGAGAATATGAACTTTTTGGTTACAGACCAACCCACTCTGCCAATCCCCTGCCCTCTCCCCACGCTTCTACCCCAGTAGGGTCCAAAGCTTCCTGCTCCTCATCTCTAGGAGACGACCCCAGAGTAGCAGAAAATAGTGTGGAGGCTACGACCCAACAGGAACTGGAAGCCCAGGAAACGAGGGGAAGAGGCTAAAGCCTGCTGGGACCATAGAGGTGAGGGAGAGGGAGCAAGAGAGAAAGAGCCCTGAAACATACCACCTCCCAGTTGAGGGGTGGCCACATGCCCTGGGAGTCTAGAAGTGCGGGTCACACCCACAAACAGTGCAGGGCTGAAACAGCCACACCCTGCTCCCCATCACCCTTTGGACTTGGTAAGAGATACAATGACATGAACCTAAAATAAATATTTGGATTAAACACTTTTCAGGATTGCATGTTTACCTGGCTGAGGAATGGGGCTGCCCTTTCCCAGCCACCCCTCTATGGGCACCAGCAGCTTCCTGGATGTCTCCAGTGAGGAAGGCAGGGAGGCGAGGGAGCTACATGTGGGGCCAACCAGCTGGCTGACCTGCCAGACCACCCTTGCCCTCCCTCCCACCATAAAGGCACAGTGCCCGAGTCCCACTGCCCCCAATGCCTCTGCTCAGGAGTCATTTATGCTATACCAGTGCGGCAACACTGGTATCGGTACTAGGGATTCAAAGATAAATGACACACAGGCCCTGTCTGTTTACAGTCTAGTTGAAAACAGACAAGGGACGAGGTAATCCCAACTCAGGATGGTGAATGTCATGCTGGAGAGAAGAATGGGGGCACTCCCAGGTGAAACAGCCTTCCTGGAGTAGAAGACACCACATGGATCTAGAAGGATCCTGCAGCAGAGACTATCATCTGCCAATATCTATTCTCCCAACCAAAGACTGCATTTTTAAGCCTCTCTCACAGTGAAGTGTGGCTATGTGACTAAGTTCTGGCCAGTGAGATATAAGTAAATGTAATATGTGCAATGTCCGGGTCATGCCTTTAAACAGAATTGGTGCATAGTCCCCTTGTCCCTTCTCTCCTCCTTCTAGTTGGGATGCAGATGTGATGGTAAGAGCCAGAGCAGCCATTTTGGAACCAGAGCTGAAAACTACACATTGAGCCTCCCTACCAGCCCGAAACCACCTGCCTCTGGACTGCAGCATGAGAGAGAAATAAAATTCTCTCCTATCTAAACCAGCGTTTTCAAGGTCTCTTTGTTACAGTGGCTTAGTGAGTACCCTAATACAAATGAGTAGGAGTTCGCCAAAAGAAGAAGGTAGGGAACAGCACGTGCAAGAGCACAGAGACATGAGAGGCACTGTACAGTCAGAGAGCCGGGGGGAGCTTCACTGGAGCAGTTAAAACACGTAGGAGTGCACAGTGAGAGCTGGGCTGGGGGTGGAGGATGAGATGGGAGCCCATCTATAAAGGCATCGTGTGCCAAGCAAAGGAAGCAAAAGAGAACGAGGAGGATAATGGAGGCGGAATGGATCGTAAAGAGGAAAATAAAAGAAAAGAGATGGATGAAGAAGGAAAAGTAGAGAGAAAAGAAGGAGTAAAAACACAGCCATCCTCTCCTGCATGTGGGAACTGGTACTGGTTCTCAGTCTTAGGAAATGTTTTCTCCAGTGAGATGCCCCCCACACACTAGTCCTAGCCCCTTGTAGTTCAGCAAAAAAACTGGCAATAAGTTTTATGCTTTAATAATGTCTCTGAGTTAGCTTCAATCAGAACAATTTGACTCTCATATTAAAAAAAAACCAAAAAACCCAAATGCCATAATAAAGTAAGCTCCCCAAAATATATTCACTGACACTAAAGGGTTGCGTCAAGAGTCTGCTCATAAGTGCCTGATCAATTGGGTTCTTAATAAATGCTTTTCCAATCAGTGTTAGCAGTAGTGGAGGAAATTCTAATAAAAAACAACTGACGCAATGTACTTCACACTTCTCTGCACTCCTCTGCCACAGACTTCCCAGAAGTTGCTGTCTATTGTCACTGCTCTGCCTGCACACCTCCCGTTCTTGACTCCAATCAGGCTTCCTTCTCTTTTATTCCATTAAAGCCTCTCTCATCAAAGTCACCAATGGCCTCCTCAATGACAAATCCAACAATCCTTTCTCATTCCCAGTCTTCATCCTTCACCCCTTCTTAGCAGCATTTGGCACAGTGAACCTCTCTCATCTTCTACAGAGACTTTCTTCATTAGGCTTCTATCACCCTCTCTTGGTTTGGGGACTTCTCAAAGGTTATCCTGGTAGTCAGCATGAATGAGTCAGGATACGAACTCAAGGCCGCCTATTTGAGCCCAGTCTTTTCTTGACCCTCACACCCTGGCTGACCCAGAGCCCTGAAAGGAGGAGACAAGTCAATAAATATTTGCTGAACTAAAAAAATGCTGCTGGGGGCAGAATTTTACATCTGGAAAGAATTTAGAAATCACCTAGTCCAGTGTTTCGCCAAATGTGCCTTGACTGTACATTTGAATCACCTGGGAAGTTCTAAAACATAGGAGCCCATCCCAACCCAGTTAAATCAGAACCCCTGGGAGGAACCCAGAAATTGATTTGAATGTACAGCCAAATTGAGAACTACTGACCTAGCCCAATGGTGTACATAAGAGTGTCTTTGGAGGCTTGTTCTAAAAATATAGAGCTCTTGATTCAGGAGGTCTAGAAAGAGTCCTGGGAATCAGTACTTTTTTTTTTAATTAATTAATTATTTTTTTTGAGATGGAGTCTCACTCGTCGCTCAGGCTGGAGTGAAGTGGCGCAATCTCGGCTCACCGCAAGCTTCACCTCCCGGGTTCACGCCATTCTCCTGCCTCAGCCTCCCGAGTAGCTGGGACTACAGGTGCCCACCACCACGCCCGGCTAATTTTTTGTATTTTTAGTAGAGATGGGGTTTCACCGTGTTAGCCAGGATGGTCTCAATCTCCTGACCTCGTGATCCGCCTGCCTCGGCCTCCCAAAGTGCTGGGATTACAGGTGTGAGCCACCGCGCCCGGCCAGGAATCAGTACTTTTACCAACATCAAGCTGATGCTAGCACAAGTGTTCACACCCACAGAAACACTAGCCTAGCCATAAGACTGTGAGTGATGCGAGGGCAGGAAACACACTTTATCTTTGTAGCCCCTACTCCAAGCACAGTGCCTAATACAGAATATTAATTTAAAACCCAGTCACTCACCTCATAACTGTTAGGATGACTACTGCTATGGTTTGAATGTGTCCCTCAAAGTTCATGTACTGAAATTCAGTTGCCACTGTGACAGTATTAAAAGTGTGGGAAATGCAACTAAAATTCTTAGGTCGATTACAGCTGGAGCTTTTGGGAGGTAAATAAAATTAGATAAAGTCATCAGGATGGGGCCCCCATGATGGAATTGGTGGCTTTCTAAGAAGACAAAGACAGACCCGAGCTGATATTCACACTCTTGCTTTCTGGCCACATGATGCCTTCCACCGTGTTATGACACAGCCAGAAGGCCCACCAGATGCTGGCACCATGCATTAGGACCTCTCAGCCTCCAGAACCATGAGCTAAATAGGCCTCTATTCTTTATAAATTACCTGGTCTGTGGTGTTCAGTTATAGCAACACCAAAGGGACTAAGACAGCTGATATGATTTAAAACAACAATTAAAAACAAAAAACAACAACAAAAAATAGAAAAAAACGTGTTGGTGAGGACGTGGAGAAACTGAACACTTGTGGGAATGTAAAATTGGGTAGCCACTATGGAAAACTGTATGGTGGTTCTCCAAAAATTAAATACAAAATTACCACATGATCCAGCAATATTACTTCTGGATATACGTACAAAATAATTGTAAGCAGGATCTTGAAGTGATACCTATACACCTATGTTCATAGCAGCATTATTCACAATAGCCAGGAGGTGGAAGCAACCCAAATGTCTATTAGCCGTTGAATGAATACCCAAAATGTGGTACATTCACATGAGGGAATATTGTTCAGCCTTAAAAAGGAAGGAAACTCTAGCACGTGCTACAACATGAATGAAGCTTGGGGACAGTATGCTAAGTGAAACACGCCACTCACAAAAAGACAAATACTGTATGAGTCCACTTATATGATATATTTAAAGAGGTCAAATTCATAGAAACAGAAAGTAGAATGGTGGTTATCACGGGCTAGAGAGAAGGGGAAAGAGAGAAAGTTGCTTAATAGATACGGAGTTTTTGTTTGGCAAGATGAAAAAGTTCTGCGGCACAACAATGTAAATACACTTCACACTACCGCGCTGTGCACTTGAAAACGGTCAAGATAATACATTTCTTGTTACGCATTTTTACTACAATAAAAAAGTGAATATCTGTAAATCAAAACATATTTCTTCATTGATTGCATTCTAAGTTCTATAAACTGTTCCCACTGAAAGAAATAATCGATCTGTGATCAAAAACAAAACCCCATAAAGAAAAGTCCAGCAGCCATCCTGTGCTCCTGAGAAACTTAACTCCACCCCAACAGCCCACATCTCTTCTGTAACCCCATCTCCACAGAGGAATTAAAATTCAAGCATCACGGAATCAGGGTAGAGTGCTGGGGAGAAAGGGATGGCGGGGAGAAAGATGAAGGTAGAGAAGGGGAGGCAGGGAAGGAAAGAAGCAGGAACAAAGAGGTCTGGACTATGACGTGGGCATCTTGAGCCTCTAGTAACTCGATTCAAAGGACAACACAGGCAAGTGGGAACACCAGCTTTGGGGTCGGATCTGGTTCAAATTCTGCTGCCCTCATTTTTTTAGCTTTGTAATTTTTTTTTTTTTAATACAGAGTCTCACTCTGTCACCCAGGCTGGAGTGCAGCGGCACGATCTCAGCTCACTGCAACCTCCACCTCCTGGGTTCAAGTGATTCTCCCGCCTCAGCTTCCCAAGTGGCTGAGAATACAGGTGCATGCCACCATGCCCAGCTAATTTTTGTATTTTTAGTAGAGACGGGCTTTTCACCAGGTTGGCCAGGCTGGTCACAAACTCCAGACCTCCAGTGATCCGCCCACCTCAGCCTCCCAAAGTGCTGGGATTACAGGCGTGAGCCACCACGCCTGGCCAGCTTTGTAATTTTAAACAAGTTTTTTGGTTGGTTGTTTACTTGCCCCTAAAAACCTTCGTTTCCTCGTTTGTGAAAGGAGTTGATAATGATGGTAGTTAATTCATGGGGTTTTGTGAGAATCACACATAACTAAAGCTCTTTACACAGTACCAGGCACAGAATTGGCCCTCAGTCAAGACTGGCAATAGCTTCATCTCAAGAAGTAGGAGGAGGAAGAAGAGGAAGAGAAGGGAGTGTGAGGGCGGGGAGCCCACCTCCTAAAAGAAAAAATAAAGAAGGAACTGAAAGTCAGGTTCTAGTCCGGAACCTTCCACTAGCTCCGCAGTGGCCTTCCAGCAAGTCTTTCTCAGCTCGTTTGAGAAAATAAGGCCTCTGAGGTCTCTTCTATCTGGAAAGGTTGGTGAATCCAAATGCTCTGGGGCCCAGTTGAGCTCCCTGCCCTCACTACTCACTGCCTAAACCTCTTACCTCTGCAGGGCTAAGGAGGCCCTCTGGAGGATGCAAAAGGAAAAGACGGAAAAAAAAAAAAAACGGCTGGGAGATGCCCACGCTGTGCCTCGGCACACAAAATGAGGGCATGACCTTGTAGACCTATTAGCAAGTAGGAAGAAAACTTGCTAAGAGGGTAACCTGAAAGCGGAAGACCTCCTCATCTGATGTTACTTTAAAAAGCATTTAGGAGCACAATTATTTATTTTCCAGTTTGTCTCATGTCATATGAATATTACACTGTGCATCATTGTTACATTGTATACATATTAGTTTAATGCACAAACATTGTTATAAATGTTGTTGTACTATCTAAATGTTATAATGTATAAACACTGCCATATTTCCTGAGATTTGCTCTAAAATAAGGAAGTTCTAACATTTCCCTTTGGACCTCTTTCAAGACTTTTTAAGTAGGCATCTTCAAAAGGCCCTTCGGGGCTGGGTATGGTGACTCATGCCTGTAATCCCAACACTTTGGAAGGTTAAGGTGTGAGGATCACGTGAGGCCAGGAGTTAGAGACCAGCCTGAGCAACATAGCGAGACCCTGTCTCTACAAAAAATAAAAAATAGAAAAATTAGCTGGGCAGGACGTGGTGGCCCACACCTGTAATCCTAGCATTTATGGGAGACCGAGGTGGGCAGATCACTTGAGGTCAGGAGTTCAAGACCAGCCTGGCCAACGTGGTGAAACCCTGTATCTACTAAAAATACAAAAATTAGCCAGGCGTGGTGGCACACACCTGTAATCTCAGCTACTTGGGAGGCTGAGGCAGGAGAATCAATTGAACCCAGGAGGCGGAGGTTGCAGTGAGTCGAGATTGTGCCACTGCACTCCAGCCTGGGTGACAGAGCTAGACGATATCTCAAAGAAAAGAAAAAAATTAGCTGGGCATAGTGGTGTGCACCCGTGGTCCCAGCTACTCGGGAGGCTAAGGTTGGAGGATCGCTTGAGCCCGGGAAATCGAGGCTGCCATGAGCCATGTTTGTACCATTGCACTCCAGCCTGGGTGACAGAGTGAGACTCTGACTCAAAAAAAAAAAAAAAAAGCAGTTCTTAGGGGCTCAGGAAAAGACTGAGACACTTTTCTTCTTTAATATGCTAAAGAGGTTGTTGATCCAAAAAGCAGAAAATGTACTCATCAAAATAAGAGCTGTTCACTCATCCATCCATTCATCCATTCATTCATTTAACCAATATGTATTAACCAATGTGTATTAACTCAATATGTACTCCATATTGAGTAGTGCAGAATGGATTCGTATTTTTCATTATTTGTCTTCAAACGCCCTTTTACAAGTATAATTCAATCACAAGTTTTTATCTACCTCTATTCCCTTAGGGAAGTCTAAGGTGTTACTACCCTGTCATTATAAGTGATAAAAATGAGGTGGAGATGGTTCGTGTACAGAACAAAAAATACACATCACGAACCCAACCAGCCCCTCCACTAACTAGCTTTATGTCCATTTCCCCATTTTTAAAATGGGAATATCATGCCTGAATATTTTGGAGGATTCAATGAGATAAGAGATTCCACTAGAGGAAATGCCACCTAAAATGTATTAATAGAGCCTATTACTATTAAAGAAGAAATGCATTTCTCTGGGTCATATAAGAAATAAGAGGGAGAACCGTTACCTAAATCTATTATGTATGAGACTGGGTGTGATGGTCTCACACTGCCAGTTTTACTATCCTCTCACTCACCCACTCAGTGCCTGTTTTCCAGGCCAAAGGAGGAAAGGAGTGAGCAGCATAGAAGACAATTTTGAGGGGCCATTATATTTCCAGTGCCCATTTGTGGAGTTATTTTGGAATATCAAGTAGCTGGAAGGATTGGACAATTTGAGCAGAGATAATTCTTCTAACGCCTGGTCAATAGATGTTCACTCAACTATCATTCAATTATATCAGCAAATACTTACTAAATGACATCTACATTCTTGGCATTGTGCTAGGCATTGTGGATACCAAAGTGAATAAATCATGAAGACCCTATGTCCTGATGACAACGCAATTAAGTTATAAATCAATAACAAAAAGATAATTTAAATCCCCATAAATGTGTAACATTCAGAAACTCACCACTAAATAAATCATGGATAACAAGAAGTGATTACAGGGAAAATTAAAAATTCTTACAACTTAATAGCAATAAATACCATACATCCAAACTTATAGGTCACACCAAAAAATATGTAGTCTTAAGTGCTGACTTAATGAAAGAAGAAAGGCTTACAGTTAATGAGCTAAGCAACCAGCTTAAGAAATTAGAAAAGGGGCCATGCACAGTTGCTCATATCTGTAATCCTAGCACTTTGGGAGGCCAAGGCAGGCAGATCACTTGAGCTCAAGAGTTCGAGACCAGCCTGAGAAACATGGCGAGGCCCTGCCTCTACATAAAATACAAATATTAGCTGGGCGCAGTAGCTCATGCCTGTAATCCCAGCACTTTGGGAGGCCGAGGCAGGCAGATCACGAGGTCAGGAGATCGAGACCATCCTGGCTAACACAGTGAAACCCTGTCTCTACAAAAATACAAAAAAATTTAGCCGAGCGTGGTGGCAGGCGCCTGTAGTCCCAGCTACTCAGGAGGCTGAGGCAGGAGAATGGCATGAACCCAGGAGGCGGAGCTTGCAGTGAGCCGAGATCATGCCACTGCACTCCAGCCTGGGCGACAGAGTGAGACTCTGTCTCAAAAAAAAAAAAAAAAAAAAAAAACAACAAATATTAGCTGGGCAGTATAGTACATACCTGTGGTCCCAGATACTTGAGGCCCAGGAGATCAAAGCTGCAGTGAACCATGATCATGCCACTGCATACAGCCTAGGCAACAGAATGAGACTCTCGAAAAAATAAAAAAAGAAAAAAATTTAAACAGAAACAAATCCAAAACATAGAAAGAAAAGAATAAAAAACAGGAATTGATGAAATAAAAGCAAAAGGAAAAGAAAGAGATCGGGGAGAGCAACAAAGCAAAATATTTCTTTTTGAAAACAGCAAACTGATATGACTCTGGCAATATCTGTGTGGTTTTTTTTTTTGTTTTGTTTTGTTTTGTTTTGTTTTTTGTTTTTTAATTAAAGAATTAACACAAGGCTGGGTGCAGTGACTCACACCTGTAATCCCAGCACTTTGGGAGGCTGAGGCAGGCAGATCATCTGAGGTCAGGAGTTTAAGACCAGCCTGACCAACATGGTGAAACCCCATCTCTACTAAAAATTCAAAAATTAGCTGGGTGTGGTGGCGAGCACCTGTAATCCCAGCTACTTAGGAGGCTGAGGCAGGAGAATCACTTGAACCCAGGGAGTGGAGGTTGCAGTGAGCCAAGATCGCACCACTGCACTCCAGCCTGGGCAACAGAGCAAGTTTCTGTCTAAAAAAATAAAAAATAATAAAAAAAAAAGAGTTAGCACAATATTGGGAATGAAAATACAACAGAACTACAAAGTCAGCAAAGATCAAATAGATAACACAAAGAATGGTAAGAAAAAGCTTATGCAAATGAAGCTAAAAACTTATTAAGTAGACAAGTTCTTAGAAAAAGGTAACTATGTAAAACTGACTTAAGAAGAAACAGAAAGTGCAAACAGTCCCCTAACTTTAAGAAATTATATCGTAGCGGCCAAGCACGGTGGCTCACGCCTGTAATCCCAGCACTTTGGGAGGCCAAGGCGGGTGGATCACGAGGTCAGGAGATCGAGACTATCCTGGCTAATATGGTGAAACCCCGTCTCTATTAAAAATACAAAAAAATTAGCCCAGGCGTGGTGGTGGGCACCTGTAGTCCCAGCTACTCAGGAGGCTGAGGCAGGAGAATGGCATGAACCCGGGAGGCGGAGGTTGCAGTGAGCCGATATCACGCCACTGCACTCCAGCCTGGGCGACAGAGCAAGACTCCATCTCAAAAAAAAAAAAAAAAAAAAAAAAAGAAATCATATCAGTAGCTAAAAATCTTCCCACTCACACACCCAAAAATACCAAATCTCAATGATCTTATAGGCAAATTCAAATAAACTTTCCATGAATTGAATTTGAATAAAATTTCCATGAATGACCTAAGGTTAGACCATTCTAACTTTCCAGAGAATAGAAAAGGAACAATATCTCACTCTATCAAGCTTATATGTGGACACCAAAACTAGTAAGAGTAATATTAAAAAAGAAATGTGGCAGGTCATTCTACTTTATAGACATTAATGACAAAAATCCTAAATAAAATGTTAGCCAAACAAATCCAGCAGTATATTGTAAACAAATCATACTATAACATGACCAAAGATAATGATGGTTACATATGGTAAAAATCTACCATTCTTTGCCTTTTATTTTTTGTTGTTCCTAAGGGCAGGATAACAAAGAACAGCTCAAAAGAATTCAGGTGGCCAGGCACGGTGGCTCACGCCTGTAATCACAGCACTTTGGGAGGCCGAGGTAGGTGGATCACTTGAGGCCAGGAGTTTGAGACCAGCCTGGCCAACATGGTGAAACCCCATCTCTACAAAAAGAATACAAAAATTAGCCAGGCCTGGTGGCCGGTGCCTGTAATCCCAGCTACTCAGGAGGCTGAGACAGAGAATCGCTTGAACGTGGGAGGCGGAGGTTGCCGTGAGAGGAGATCGCACCACTGCACTCCTGCCTGGGTGACAGAGCGAGATTCTGTCTCAAAATCAAACAAAAAAGAATTCAGGTGAGGGACTAGGCATTTCTTCAGATGTTCTGTAAAGAGGATTCATGGTATTATCTACCTGATAACTTTCAATGAAAGGGAGAGTTAGTTTTCTTTGGGGGCAGTATCAGTACTTGCTTACCTGAGGACAGGTGAGCAGCTCAGATGGCAGCTCTAGGCCCCTACTTTTGTTACTAGTGACCATCCCCCAATGTCATGGAAGGGTGTGTGTATGACTGAGATAGTGCATCCTTTAGTGAGTGAGTGCATCCTTTGTTATCTGTCACTGTGGGCTCAGAACAAACTTTGGGTCCTTCTGTTTCTTCTCTTTCCATGCAAAAGTTAGGATTCCAGGTACAGCTCTTGCCCTCCCACCATCCAAACTTCCTTCATCCGGTAACAGCACCCTAATTTTCCTTTAAGGAACTGCCTTTCTGCACTTTTGGTCCATGCACGGCAGGTAGCTTTGGACCCACTGCTGGTTCCGGGGTGGGCTTGTGATGTAGGCTTGCTAAATCAAAGCCCATGGGTTGCTAGTCATTGTGACGAACTCAGGGATGGGCTTGTGACCCATGCTGGCTACTAGAGCCCAACTATGACCTTTTGCCAGAGCTCGAGATTAAGGCAATCTCTCTGGGTTGTTAAACTAGAAAGACATAAGCCTGGAGCTGCCAGCGGCCTCCACTTGAGAGATCCTGCCCTGAGAATGAAGAAGCCTATGTTTTAGAGATAGTCATTGGAGAGAGAGAAAAAAATGAAGGCCATATGACACTACTTAAGCCCTTGCCCTCAGGCATGTCTGAAGCTAGTTCTACTTCTCAGCTTTCAGTTATGAAAAAACAAATTAGGCTGGGTGTGGTGGCTCACGCCTGTAATCCCAGCACTTTGGGAGGCCGAGGTGGGTGGATCACAAGGTCAGGAATTCAAGACCAGCCTGACCAATATAGTGAAACATGTCTCCACTAAAAATACACACATTAGCTGGGCATGGTGGCGTGCAACTGTAGTCCCAGCTACTCGGGAGGCTGAGACAGGAGAATTGCTTAAATGCGGGAGGTAGAGGTTGCAGTGAGCCAAGATCAAGCCACTGCGCTCCAGCCTGGGTGACAGAGTGAGACTCCATCTCAAAAAAAAAAAAAAAAAAAAAAAAAGAAAGAAAGAAAAAACAAAATACGTTTAGGTAGTTTATTGTTGTTTTGCTTAAGCTACTTGGAGCTGGGTTTCTGTCAGTTGCAATCAAAAAGTCCTGATGACTAATACACTGAATTTAATCAAATTTCCCTATAGCTTTATGGAGACACAGAGTCCTAATGTTGGCATTTGCTTCATCAAAAGCCACAGCACCAAGAGTAACAAGTGAATGTATTTCACTTTAAAAGGTAAATGAGAAATTTGCTCTATGTTCCTAGAAATCTCTGCAGAGCACGCCAGTCTAAAGTTGCCCTTCTTAACCTTTTTCATGTTGAGGCACACATAGAACATTACACAAGTGTGTAAGGTACAATGGAATGGGCAAATTGGCCCAAGGACTAAGCCTCCCTCTGAAGCCCCTGCCCCCCAACCCAAGAGCTGAAGAGATCAATATCCAGGCACCTGTACCACCCATGAACCAGTTGGGAGTGTCACATCTAGAATAAGGTAAAGGTGGGAGGTCAGGGAAGCTGTTTCAAGGGACAGTCCTCAAATGAGTCCTCTCATAACAAGATGGGTGACCTGCCTCATCTGATGGTACATTCCTCATCCTCCACATACCATTTGGGAACAAAGTGCTTCTAAGTGATTCGAAGCTTTTCAGAATCAGCCTGCCAAAACCCAGCTGTTTCTGCATAGTCAGGCTTTCTGGAGTGTGTGGCTCTGGATTTGTGGGAAGGACCCCAGCTCTGCTGAAACTGCTCTTGCTCTCTACAGCAGACCCAGATTTTCAGCCAAGAAACAAGAGGGCAGAAGGTCAGGGGACTGGGGGCGGAAGGAGGAGTATCCATAGAGCTGAGCCAAAAGAATGCCATTATTTAAGATATGATTGAAGAGTCTCTCCAAGACTGGCCAAAAGAGGAATTCGATTTGAACTCTGGGGGCTTAAGAATGCTGAGCACCCAGTTTGTAGATTCTTCTGTTGACCTACTGGGGCCAAACAAGGATGGAAGGATGGAAAGAGCATCTTTTCTTTATAAATCCAGTAGCTTGACTTTGTCTACGAGTGCACAAAATCTAAGGAAAGGCATGTTGCTGTTGCTGTTTTCTAACAACCTCATCTTCCTGTTTATCCAGCACTTATTACCCAACTTTCTTGGACAGCTGACCTATCAACAAGCCAGCAAACATTATTGACCCTGTTCTATCTGCAAGACAGGAGATAGGGGATATGAAAGAGACATAAAGATAACAGGACACGAAGCTTTAATGAGTAAGTGGCACAAGCACATTCCTAAGTCTAAGGTAGATGGTGAGAAATGTCCCAACAGAGGCACAAGCACAGTGTTTTGGGAACTCAGAGAAGAGGAGGTTCCAATGGGCTTGGGATGAGATCAGTAAAGATCTAAGAAGGCCTCTGGGAAGAAATCACAGATTAAGGTCATTAAGGATAAGAAAAAAGAATGGCAGCCGGGCACTGTGGCTCATGCGTGTAATCCCAGCACTTTGGGAGGCCAAGATGGGTGGATCACTTGAGCCCAGGAGTTCGAGGTCAGCCAGGCCAACATGGTGAAACCCTGCCTCTAGTAAAAATACAAAAATTAGCTGGGCATGGTGGCATGCACCTGTAATCCCAGCTACTTGGGTGGCTGAGGCAGGAAAATGATGTGAACTTGGGAGGTAGAGGTTGCAGTCAGCCGAGATCACACCACTGAACTCTAACCTGGGTGACAGAGCAAGACTCTGTCTCAAAAAAAAGAAAAAAAAAAAGAAAAGAAAAGAAAAGAAAAGAAAAGAAAAGAAAGAAAGAAAGGAAGGAAGGAAGGAAGGAAGGAAGGAAGGAAGGAAGGAAGGATTACCAGGGGTCTCTGACCTCAAAAGGGTCCCCACTGGAGGAAGAGGGCTGTGTCCTGTGTTATAGGGTGAATCGTGTCCCTCCAAAATTCATATATTCAAGTCCTAACCCCCAGTACCTCAGAATGTGACTGCAATTGGGGACAGGGTCTTCAAAGAGGTAATTCAGTTAAAATGAGCCCGTTATAGCGGGCCCTACTCCAAAATGTCTAGTGTCCTCCTAAGAAGAGGAAACTGAGACACAAACACCCACAGAGGAAAGACAAAGTCAAGTAAAGGAAAGGAAAGACACAGGGCCAGCTATAAGCCAATTAGAAAGACAAGGAACAGATCCTTCCCTTGCAGCCCTCAAAAGGAGCCAACTCTGCCAACATTGTGATCCCAGACTTCTGGCCAGCAGAACGAGGAGACAATACATTTCTGTTGTTTAAGCTGCCCAGTCTGTGGTACTCTGTTATGGCCACCTTAGCAAACTAGTACATTGTGTGGGCTTTCCCCCTGGCCCTGAGCACCTCCCAAGCTTCCAGAGGGAAGTAGACTGCCTTGTCCTTCTCCCTCCCCTGTCTGGTTTCAGAGTTCTTGTTGACTAGAACTTATTAGCGTGCGTGTGGCTCTTGGGGCTTGACTTGGAGTCCCACACACTCTTCCCCACGGTCAGTAGGCTGTGCTGGAATGCAATCCTGGCAAGCCTTCCCTCCTCCTCAGAGTCAAAAGCCAAGTTGCACTATCTCCTGTTGTCTTAATGACTCTATTTTATTAACCCATTTGTGGCTTGTCTGCCTGCTAATGCACCAGGGTCTCCTGCCCCATATTTTCTGTCTTTGGAAAGAGATGATGCTAGCAGTCAAATTCATTCAATGTACAACTATTTATTGAGCTTGAATATGGAAAGAATAGGGCTGTATGATTTACAAAGAGGACTGGTCACTTACTATCCCCAGTGTCTCGAAATGAATGAATTATCTAAACGAATCTTAAAGATCATCCTTCAACCACGGAGAAGTGACTTGCTCAAGGTCATTCAGCTGCTGAATCTGATCTCTTTGCACAACTCATGATTTTTGGAGATTAAGAAACCAGAGACTTTGGGCTTTATTCAGCGCTGCCAATGGCCTGCCAGGTGATCTTGGACAAATCCTGTCATATCACATACCTATCCTCCAGATTTCTCAACCAAACTATAAATGTCCCTCCTTGGTAAAGACTTCCTCAACCCCCTTGGGCAGAATCAGCTGTTCCCACGATTCTCAGTCCATAGCAGCCTTGTGGTGGTTTATGCAGGAGTTGCCAACCCTCCTCCTGGCAAGCCTCCAACCCACATACTCCATTGCCTGTGGCCCCCAATGGTAGCACGAAGTATGGACCAGGTCAGCCCAAGCCTACCCTCAGCACTCCCTTGGCCAAAGCAATATCTTCAGGGGATCTATCATTAGAACTGGTCTTCAACTCCTCTTTGTCAGGGAAGATAGATAACATTTCATGGTTAAAACCCAACTCCAATCTGGCAAAATTTCAACTTTGTTCTTCTGAAGCCAAAGGCTAGTAGGCCTGAGACACAGAGGGTTCTGAAAGTACCACATTGGGAATTCTACGAGGTGTTCTATGCAAGCCAGTCACGACATTTTAATTCTCTTACCCAGATGTCCTGCGGCTTCGTTGGAATTCTGAACCCAGAAAGTAAAATCCGTCACCTGGGATTTTATGAAAATTATCCATGTAATCTTTACCCAAAATTAATAATGACCCTTAGAAAAGGCTCAAGCATGAAAAAGTTAAAGAAAAAGGTAGTAAAGCAGAGAAGAGCTGAGACCAAGTAGCTCCCAGAGTTTCTGCCAATGCTTGTCCTTCTTCCCTCTCAGGTGCAAGACGATTGATTATGAAGCAAGAGGTTCCAGCTGAGCCTTCAGCCAATAGCCAGCTAACAGGTACTTAGCAAGCACCAACTATGGGCCAGGCAGTGGGGATGCAGCAGGTTACAAGGCAACGTTTCTTCCCCTCTTGAAGTTTACAGCTAAGGGATGGGAAAATCAACAAACAAATACATAAAAAGCCACCAATCAGTGGCTCTCAAAGTGCAGCCCCCGGGCCAGCAGCGTCAGCATCACTCAGAAGAAAAGACCCCACCCCAGACCTACTGAGTCAGAAACTCGGCAGCAATCTGTGTTTGAAGGCCTCCGGTGGATTTAATGCACGCTGAAGACTGTGCTGGAAAATGATAAGGCTGTGATTGGGAGTAACTGCGGTGTAATTTCAGACAAGGCAGCCTGAGTAGGACTCTCTAAGGGGTGCCATCTGAACTGAGCTGAAGCCAGAGAGGAGAATGAGCCCGCAATGTGAAGAGCCAGGAGAGAGTTCCAAATAGAAGGAAGAGAAAGTGTGAAGGCCCTGAGGTCCAGAAGGGCCTGGTATATTTGGGGTAGAGAAAGGAGCTGGCATGGTGCCTATGACCAACCAGGGCACGTCGTGGGATGGCCTAAAAGGGCCTAAAGCTGGCGGGCCCACATGCTGGTCAGCCTAAATCACAAGCAAACTCTGGGATGTGGGACAGTCATGGAGCCCTTCCACATATTCTCTAAAATGAAGGGGCAGACAGGCGCGGTGGCCTGTAGTCCCAGCACTTTGGGAGGCCAAGGCGGGCGGATCACCTGAGGTCAGGAATTTGAACACGGCCAACATGGCAAAACCCCATTTCTACTAAAAATACAAAAATTAGCTGGGCCTGGTGGCAGGTGCCTGTAATCCCAGTTACTCAGGAGGCTGAGGCATGAGAATCGCTTGAACCCAGGAGGCGGAAATTGCAGTGAGCCGAGATCGCACCACTGCACTCCAGCCTGGGTGACAGAGCAAGACTCTGTCTCAAAAATAATAATAATAATAAAGTAAATAAATAAATAAATAAATAAATAAATAAATAAATAAATAAAATGAAGGGAAGAACATTCCTAGGCCTGCCTTCCTCCCTGGGCTATTTTGAGAATTCCATGAGCTGGTGGACACGAAAGCATTTGGAAAAGCGAGAAGCAGTGTTCCAGTGGGAATTACTACAATGAAAGGACTCATGGCAGTAACCGCAGGACCCAGCCTCCATGGGGAGAAGTGGAGACCACAACAGACCACAGGCCAGTGCCACCTGGCCCCCAGCCACTGTCTGCTCTCTGGAGAGAAATGAGATTGAGACAATCCTGGAAAAAGGATCTGTTGAGGAGGTCTGAGGTCTGAGGTGGGATTTTCCAGAGACGTCTGATGGTGGGATCGCTTACATCTCTACCTTGTTGGTCAATCTGGGAGGATTCTTGGCTTCCTAAGGAGCTTGTGTTTTGCTCCAGCTGCTTGCAAACTTCCCCCAGGAATTATAAAGGCAGTGTCAGATTTCTCACAGGACCAGGCCAGGCCCTATCATCACAGTGAGAGCCAATTTCATCCATCCACTGATGCCCCTTTTTCAGGGGTCTCGGCAGAGGGCTCATCCCTGTTTTAAGCCTAAAGGAGACTTTGACCAGGACCCTGAGAACATGGAGGTGATGTAATTATGAGGTGACCCAGTAATTAGCCCCTACAGCTTAGACTACATGCAAAATCAATGCCTCAAATGAGAAGATACCATCTCCGAAAGCTGCCTGTCTCCAGAAGCCACCCTTCACCTGGTTGTCATAAGCATCTTTGCATCCTGAGTGGTCAAGGCTGGAGGAAGCCTCACAGATAATGGCCCAGCCCCTCTCATGCAGATGTGAACTGAAGCCCCAGAAAGAGAAGGAACTGGAGCACAACCACCCAATGAGCTTGTGGCAGTGCTAAGACTAGGCTAAGCAGAAATCTCCAAATAGGCTTGTAAACATTTCACTCCCCTGCTCAAAAACCAGTGTTCACAGAATAAAGCCCAAGTCAACTGCATGGAATTCAAGGCCCCACAATCTGGTGGGGAATCTTGAGTGCCAACCTTCTAAGCCTCATCTCTTATTCTGTGCCTGCCCTGCCCACAACATGTGTCCATGCTGCAGCCACACTGGGTGTCATAAGTGTGCAGGTGACCGGTTGACTCATGACCAAGACTGCTCAACATGCAGTGAACTTTCTTGTCTCCATGTCTCTGCCCATGCTGTTCCCTAACCCTGACTGCCCTTCCTCGTCTCTGACATGGAAATCCTATTCAATCCTGCAAAGACTTGCTAAAGGCCACCATATGCATTCACATTCCTCGTGGGCACTCCCATAGCACCTGGGACATATTGCTCTCATCAGTCACATCTGACACTGGCTCATGAAGAGAATCTGATGAGTTATGTACACCCCCCTCCAAAACCCCCACTCACACCCACTCAGCAGAGAGATCCTGAGGGCAGGGACAGCATCTCGTTCATCCTTAGACCCTCCTAGCCCTTGGCAGTGTCTGACACAGAAAAGTGATCAGTCAATATTGTTTAATCAAATGGACGCACAGATATGCAACCCTGTCTTTAGGAAAGCTTCTGTGACCACTCCAGCCAGAGCCAACAAAGTGTCCCATACCTACGTTCGTTGCCATCCCATTTCACTGGGCTACATAAAATTATTTGGGTTTCATATTTCCTGCCAAACCACCCGACTCCCGCCAAGAGGCTGTGAACTCGCCAGGGGGTGATGATATCTGATAAATTATGCCTAGTGTTCCATTATTGGAACGCTAAGCATGTGGGAGTTATTTATATTCTCCTGTTCAAGGTCATCACCAAGGTCTGATTGCAAAAATTTTAAAAATTGCAACATCAGGCATAAATGGGTTAATCTTTACATGCACAGCTCAGACCTCAACACATAAATGGTAAATGGATAAATGAATTCCATCAGTGGTCATAAGTTAACCTATGTAGAAACTGTACCTAATATATAATCCATTTCTCTTTCTCATTTGAATCCCACATATATAATTCACTCATGTAGCTTTTCTGCTTATTTAACAAATATTTATCAGGCACTAGAAAAATACTATGGTGAGACCGCGTGTGGTGGCTCACGCCTGTAATCCCAACACTTTGGGAGGCAGAGGTGGGCGGATTGCCTGAGCTCAGGAG
This sequence comes from Homo sapiens, assembly GCF_000001405.40. Taxonomy (NCBI): domain Eukaryota; kingdom Metazoa; phylum Chordata; class Mammalia; order Primates; family Hominidae; genus Homo; species Homo sapiens. The sequence goes on from NC_000014.9 coordinate 91,924,483, forward strand.
TTTGAGACCAGCCTGGCCAACGTGGTGAAACCCCGTCTCTTCTAAAATACAAAAAAATAGCTGGTAGCACACACCTGTAGTCCCAGCTACTCGGGAGGCTGAGGCACGAGGATTGCTTGAACCCAGGAGATGGGGGTTGCAGTGAGCCAAGATAGCACCACTGCACAAGAGAAAAAGAAAAAGAAAAAAAAAATACAATGGCGAATAAGACAGAAAGCTCTGTTGGGTGGAGAGATGTTAAATAAATAATCACAAATGTGTATTTATCACAGCTATGGAGTGTGAGCTGGAGAATAAGTACAGGGTGCTGTGGTCACCCCTGAGTCCACTCTGAGCTCTCAGTTGCCCCAGGAGTCCTGTCCCATCATACTTCATCCCTGTCCCCACGGAGAAGGCCACCCCTCACTCAGCTCAGATGCAGAAAACAGATGACCCATCTTTTTCCCTAATGGAATGAAGCAGAGTCAGGGTTTTTTGTGTCTTTGCATTGTTTCATATAATCTCCCTCAAATTCTTAAACCCCTCCTCCCATGGAAACTGTTGAAGATGCCAATTTCATACTGATTCCGGATGCAAAGTCTGTTCTGTCTGACCTCACTGATTCCTGGGGGACGTGTTAAGACCTGTGAAATATGTAGAGCTCATAAATCAACTCTGGCTAGATTTCCACAAATGTTTTAGTTTGAAAGAAAGTCAGACAGCATTGACAAGACCCCAAGTATTCTGCTTCCCCGGCCCCAACATACCCGCCGGCCCCAGAGTCTGTGGATGCTGGCTGCCTGCAGCAGGGCCCAGCACTGGCTGTCCCCATCTCCCCTCTGGCCCGGCTCCGACAAGCTGGAGGGGAACAGGCGGTCAGTCCTTGACATCTAGTCTGTTGTCTGAGGCCCTCTGGAGGGAAGGAATCCTGTGAATGTCCTTTCCCTGCCAGCCCCCAAGGAGATGGCCCAGAGACCCTTCCCCAAGCATGCTCCTCTGTTTCCAAGACAAACAGGAGCCTCGGGATGGTTGCTGGGCTCCAGGGGGTGCCAGTGACATGTAATACAATTGAGTGGTGCCCTCTGGAGTTGTGCAAGGAGCTGGCGCTGGCTGGTGGTGAAGCCCTGGGAGCCAGTCTCCCCCATGGCAGGAAAACAAAGCTGTGGCTTCAAGGTACGAAGGGCACAGCCTCCCACAGCGTTTCCCCTTAAGGAAGGGGACAGTGGACGTGGGTTTCTTTGCAAGTTAATCTCACTGGAAGGTTCTTCACAGGCATCTTTTTCCATTAGCCCGTCAGTGCTTCTGTACATTAGATTGCATCTAACACTCACTGAGCTGCCGTGGTACCCAGCGTCTTGCTGGGTGCAGGACAGCCACAGCGACCATGGCCCCAGCCCACAAGGCGCTTAAGGAACAAGGAGACTCTTGGTCACCTTAGTCCCTGCTTGACACCCAGTACAGTGGGAGGAGTCAGCAGAGGGTGTGCTGGAGGTGAGTGCTGGGAGACTGAGTGAGGAAGGCAGTGGCGCTCCCCTCTGGCTAGCCTGGGTTCATCGGTGCCCGCACTCTTCCTTCCGCCATTCATTCATTCAAAAATCACTCCACGAGAGCCTCACTCTGCCAGATGCTGTGGATAAACAGTGGAGGCTGGCACTGTGCCTTTGTCTCAGGAATCCCCCTGCCAGGCACCCCACCCACTTCCCTGAACCCCCGACAGCCATGCCCTCCATTATGAAAGACAAGAGCCTGTGGGCACCTGCCTGCCCTCGGTGCCCACACCTGGGGCTGCTGGGAAGCCCTGGCCTCTGTGCCTCCATGCTCAAGGCCCAGGGCTGGCTGCTGGAGGGAGGCTGTCTGGCTCATGGGTCTCTCTGATGACGGGTCAGCCCAGTACCACCAGCACTTCCCCAGTCCCAGCCTGCCAGGCCTGGGCACCGCGTGGCCTGTGTGGTACATGTGTCCACAGAGGATGGCAGCCCAACGGATAGGAGAACGAAGGTACCCAGGTAGCTCTTCAGCACTCCCAGAGTCTAAGAGGGCCCCAGAGAAAGGCTCGAAAGCTGCCTCTGTGGCCTGTGTGAGGTCAGAGTGGAGACAGAGGGGGTGAAGTGTCAAGACATGATCACGAATTGAAAGAGGTCCCTCTTCTTCTCCCTCCCCAACTAATGCTCCTTCCACATACTTCCCCACTTGAGATAAGCAGCCAACAAGCACCTGCCACGTGTCTGACCCTATGACTGGCAGGGACTGCTAAGATGTAAAGCAAACAGAGTTGCTGCTCCTGTGAGATAAAGAGCTTGCAGGTACGTGGAGTGGATCGGGGGGAGTGGACGGGGGGCAGTGGACGGGTGGGAGTGACAACGCGATTGCTTAGAGGGTGAAGACCTGACTATCCTGCCTTCACTAAGCCTCAAAACATTCCCGGAAGATAAGCATCATTGTCCCATCTTGTAGCTGGGACACACTCAAAGGATTTAAAGGCTTTGTAACGGTGCAGTGATAGGATTCGAACCCACGTCTGTGTGAATCTAAGCCCATGCTCGTTCCACTGCATCACACTCTCTACCACTAGTGCCTGGCATCATTGAATTGCTCACTTCAGATCCTTTGAGAAATGAAGATCTCCATTTTTCCCCACAAAAGAAATAGCTTGGGCCTATGGGATGATATTTACATGAAGCTGTTGTCGTCAACATCAAACAGGATTCCTCATTTATTGTTTCAATCCGTTTTATCCCACTCAGGCACACACTCTCCATAAAATGAATGCCTTGCATTCATATGGTATTTTTACTTCTTTCATTTAACATCCCTGATAACATAAACATCTCCCAAATCCCCCAAATCCCTCTGTTTCTTGCATTACAGCAGGGTTGGGGGTGTGAGCTGCAGATGCTATGCAGACACCATCCACATAAACAGATAAGAGCCGCGGAGAACATCCACAGAACATCTGCGAATTTCTGTACAGAACCTATGTGAGTCATTCTGTTCTAGAGTCCTCCAGTGGTGGATTCAACCCACTTACATCAGAAGGATTTTGAAAAGAAATCTAAAACTAGCCTTGACAACAAAAGAGATGGTGTGATCACCTTGCTCCATCTCAACACATTTAGAATGACTGCACTTCTCTAAGGAGTATCATAGCATGCACCTCCTACTAACTTAAAAGACATGTGCTAAACAGTCAGCTCAGCTCTGGCCCTGGCATTCGAGGCTATTTGCAACCTGGCAGGTAACTTCAACCTCCTGCCCTCCAGGCAGTGCTCTCTGGAGACTTGGTAATGCAGCCACTTTTGCCAGACCAGAGCTGAATGGTCCTGCCATTAAAAAGTCCACACTTCATCCCTCCTCTGCAACACCACTCGCTTTTCACACACAACTGGCTAATTCCAGAGTGGAGTAGAAATAAAAGTAACATGACTAGACCAAGGAACATAAGATGAGAGCCAAGAAAAACTTGTAGGTCATTGAAAAGACTGCCACGCTAGACACTGGGGAAGTGACCTACTACACAAAGGCACCAAGGGCTGGGCATGGCCCACCAGTGGGACCCCACCCAGAACATGAGGCCAGTCAGTGCACTGAACCTCACCAGACCAGTGCCAATAACCAAAGCCATCTACCACTGAGGGTGGAAGGGACTTCCTCACAAGTGGAGACTTGGTAGGGTCCCGGCAGGTGTCAGCAGGCATGTGTGCTGTTAAAACACACGCAACAGAGAAGAGCCACGTCACCTAGGCAATCCAGGTGGGAAAGGGCTAACGCAAAAAATTATGTTTCCTAAAGATTGGGAAGATTTAGAATAGTAGAACATTCTTGAGTTGCAGGAAACCTGAGAAATCATCAGAACCAGGGAATTTAAACTTTTCTGTGTGTGCCTTGAACCTGTTTGGCAGACTGCTAAAGCCCATGTACTCCCTTCTCAGAATAATGCCCTAAATTGCATAAAATAAAACTCAGAGGATTACGAAAGAAAACAATTGTATTGAAATGCAGCTATCAAAATATTTAAAAAACGAATGTATGGCTGGGCATGACAGCTCACACCTGTAATCCCAGCACTTTGGGAGGCCAAGGAAGGAGGATCGCTTGAGCCCAGGAGTTAGAGACTAGCCTGGACAACATAGCAAGACCCTGTCTCTACAAAAGATACAAAAGTTAGCTGGGCATGGTGGCATGTACTGGTAGTCCCAGCTACTCGGGAGGCTGAGATGGGAGGGTCACTTATGCCTGGGAGGTTGAGGATGCAGTGAGCAGAGATCATGCCACTGTAATCCATCCAGCTTGGATAACAGAGCAAGACCCTGTCTCAGGCCGGGCGCAGTGGCTCACACCTGTAATCCCAGCACTTTGGGAGGCACAGGTGGGCAGATCATGAGATCAGGAGATCGAGACCATCCTGGCTAACACTGTGAAACCCCATCTCTACTAAAAATACAAAAAATTAGCCGGGTGCAGTGGCAGGCGCCTGTAGTCCCAGCTACTCGGGAGGCTGAGGCAGGAGAATGGCATGAACGTGGGAGGCAGAGTTTGCAGTGAGCCAAGATCGTGCCACTGTACTCCAGCCTGGGCGATAGAGTGAGACTCCATCTCAAAAAAAAAGACCCTGTCTCAAAACACACACACACACACACACACACACACACACACCCCACACACACACATGATACAGTGATATAGATACTTGTTTATCAGTGCATTAAAAAAAAATTAGGCAGATCTAGTATCTTCTATGATTTTGAAGGTTTCAAAACATTTCAAAATACTTCCAAGTATTTCAAAATAACTGCCACAGCTGTAATGTGATATGTAAATATCTGATTCTCTTGTCAATACCATCCCAGGTACTGCTAATAGTCCTGTGGCCTGTTGCCTACAATGGACAGTAATGCTAAATCTCAATTCAAAGTTAGTGGGGAAAAATATGACGATAGATCCCTTGATTTATATCCACAGACCCCAGATTACGACCCTTAGTATAATACCATCCTTTCTTTTCACAGATAATAAAACTTAGGCCAGAGAGGCCAAGTGGCTTTCTAAATGTCACACAGCTAATAAGTAGCAAATCTGGGATCAAAATCCAGTTCTTACTAATGTCTCATCTCATCCCTTTACCACTACACCATGCTACCTCAATCTAGGCCTTAAAATCATTTCTTTCCAGTTTGTGTTTTGTTTTTAAATAAGTAACACATTCTTCTAACAAATTCAAACAATATACAAATTGCATGAAAAAAATAAACCTTCTACCTTTCTTTAAACACAGTTCTGTCGAAAAATAGACAGATGAACTAGGGCCTTGCTAATTAAAGGGTGTTCCCTGGACCAGCAGCGTGGCATCACCTGGGGGCTTATAAGAAAATGCAGACCCTTGGGGCCCACCCCAGACCTCTTGAGTCAGAACTGCATTTTCCCCAGGTGATTCATGGGCACAGCTACTTTTGGGAACAGCTGTCCTGGACAACTTCCTGGAGTCCTGTCTGTGTTTGTGTCTCCCTGGAAGCACAAGTTAACCCCAACTCCTACTGCTGAAAATTGGCAAGAATTCAACTTTCAACTCCCTAAACGACACACACTATTAAATCTAATTCCCAGAAGAAAGAATAAAAAATAATGGAATAACAGGACTAGGGGTTTGGAGCAGGAGAAGTCATCACGGAATGATGAGATTTGAGATAATGAAAACAATAATTACAGTAACGAACTTAGGAAGCCCCTATGATAAGCCAGCCTCGATGTTAGACAATTTGCATGCATATCTCACTTAATTCTCCAAATTTCCTGTGGCAGTTGGTACTGTTATCCCTGTTTACGGGAGGAAAATCTGAGGTTTAGAGAAGTGAAGCCACTTGCCCATCATCCCAGCAATGATAGGGAAAGACTTGCAGCAAGGTGGGAAACCTGGGGAGGCCATGCCCATGAACAAGCTTGCTGGGGCCAATTCACAAAGACATCTGAGCGAACCCAGCTGCAGAACCCCCACCTCAATGCGATCCCATTTCCTCTCTGGGCCTGCGTAGTCCCAATGCCCTCAGCAGCTAAAGAATCGGTTTCATGGTTTCACGCATTTTCCTCCAGATCTGTTTCACGCATTTTCCTTCTGGTCTCAGCCTGAGGACTGAGTTTCAAGTTACAGACCAAGCCAGAGGACTGTATAAAAACTAAGAAAAGTCTGTTGGAGTGAAGGCCGCCTTCTCCTCCCTAGTTTTTGCTAACCACAGTCCTGTCAGCATTAGGGGCTGAGGTTCCTACTTGCCCCGGCCTTTATGCCACATTTGTTCCCACTTCCCACTTTTCTGTCTCACAATTTAAATAATCCCAGGTTCTGCTGCCATTTCCAAGCAGATTCCGAGTGAAGCCACATCAGGCTTAGCTGGGGAAAGCCGTTCGAGGCCTGCAAGGTAAATGTGTACTAGGCTCAGTTTTAGGTCATTTTAAAGGTTTTGAAGAATTAGACGTTTGATGCATTTTCAGACTCTGTGACTCTTCCCCTGGGTTATCATCTCAAGACCCTAGCAGCCTTCTCCACAAATCTTTCCCAGTTAACGTTTACTATGGGATACTCTGCGTAAACACTGGGCAAGGTGTTTGCACATGTTATCTGTGAGACAGGCATTGTTATATCCATTTTACAGATGAGGAAACCAACCCCCGTCCTCACAGGTAGGAAGTGGCCAAACCAAGGTGAGACTCAAAGCCTGTCTGACTTCCCAGTTCCAGTCCCCTCCACCCCAGAAGGCTTCTTATCTCTGCCTTCTTTTTATACCATCTCAGGAACTCATCAGAGGCCGTCTTGAATTTCAGCTGCTTGTGCTTGTGTTGCGTTTAATCTCCCTTCCTTGTCCACAAGCTCTAGAGAGAGCTCCGTGGCCATGCAAAACTCCACATCCCCCTCGGTGCCTAGGCCAGAGCCTGGCACCAACAAAGCACTCTGTACACATTGGTTGACTGAAGAAGTACTGGCTGGCTTTCAGGAAAAATAACTCAAGAGAAAGCCTCAGACCAACACCACCCACCTTCCAAAAGGATTCCATGTGTTGCTCTCTGCCTGTTCTCAGATCAATAACAATAACAAAAATCCTGGACTAGAAGAGAGAATCAAGATATTGCTTGTAATTTCACAAATGGCCGGAATTTCTGCAGTCCCCGGAGTAGCAGGGCTCTAGTAAAAGGCTGCTTTCTCAGCCGCAAAATATTTCACAAACATGAGTTACTGATGGAGTCTCTACATTTGCCACTGAGCCAAGCTGGTTAGCAAAGCTAGAACTTGGAATGTCCACCCAGAGAGATGACAAGTTGAGCCCCCAAGGGAATGAGTTGACAGAGTTGAGTGGCGGCCACGTTCAGGGACCCGGTCTTAGAGGCAGCGTGCCATGAGAGGAAGGTTCCTGAATGGGAGTCCACATCTTGGGTGCCCCAGCCACTCGGCACCAGCTCACCCCACCCCCTGAGGCTTCAGCACCACACCATCCTCAGCCCCACACCGTCCTTCTCTGGGATGTCTATGTGGCCAGCTCAGAACTCTACGTATGTGTTTGATTTGGCCTCTGTCTGGGTCTTGATTGTGAGCTGTTGGGTGAGGCTCTCCTTCAGCAGCCCCTCCCTGCTTACCCGTTAACCATGTCTGTCTGGCTCTCCCTCCCCTGAGAATCTGGTCACCAGATCTCCCAAGGGTCCAGGATCTGGGTGACACACTCTAATGAGCCATGAGTCCCATCACTGTCATGCCAAGATGCCAGTTTTCTGAACAACACAAAACTTGCTTGGCTCGTGGACTATAATTCCTAGGTCACTGTTCACTGTGTCTGCAGAAATGTCCCAAGTGCACACCTAGGGGCCTGTGGACTCAAACCTAAGGCCAAACATTGTTCCAAAAGGACAGGGTCTAGTCACCTCCAAAGTGGAACCAAAAAGAGAAAAATTGAGGAGGAAGCTCTGAGGGACTGGCCACCCAGGTGCTGAGCCCGGCCCCGCCCAGCCCATGGAAACAGCATGGCTTCATGCGGCACCAAGGGATGAAGTGCTTCCTTGAAAGTGGGTCCAAACCCTAGAAAAAGTAAACCGCCGTGAAAGGGGATGCTCATTTGCCTCCCCAAGGCAGACTGTCTTACACTTTGAGAAGAAATCAGTGCATGAAGAGGGCAAAAGATCAAAGATGCTACCTGCAAAATAGCCTGCCCAAAAATTTAACCTGAATTGGATCAAGTCCCTAGATCTATGAGCAGCTTACAAGAAAATATAGGGGACGAAGGAATAAGATAACCCGCGCCCCGGCAAGAGTGCAATCAGCCACCTCCGAAACGTATGAAATTCTACAGAACAAGCAGCTCAGCCTCTTCAACAAATAAGTGGCCAGGGAAACAGTAAAGACTAAAAGACATTTAAGAGACTTGTCAACCAATGCAATTTGCAGAATTTGCATGGATCTGATTTCAACAAACCAACAGACAACAGGCTGCTGAGATGGCTTCGTATGCATGGCCCCTTTGGGGCTCAGCTTGTCATCCCTCTGGGTGGATATTCCAAGTTCTGGCTTTGCTAACCAACTTGGCTCAGTGGCAAATGTAGGGACTCCAATAACTAATGTTAGTGAAATGTTTTGTGGCTGAGAAAGCAGGATTTTGTTAGAGCCATGCTACTCCGGGGACTGCAGGGATTCTTCTGGCCATTTGTGATGAAATTGCAAGGCATTTATGAGACAATCAGAGAGATTTGAACACTACCTGGATATTTAATGATAAAAAGAGATTATTATTGACTTCTGTAGGTTTGATAATGGTATTGTGCTTTTTGGAAGTTTTTTTATTTTAATTTTTTATTTTTTTGAGGCAGAGTCTTGCTCTGTCGCCCAGGCTGGAGTGTAGTGGCACGAGCTCGGCTCACTGCAACCTCCACCTCCTGGGTTCAAGCAATTCTCCTGCCTCAGCCTCCCGAGTAGCTGGGAAAACAGGTGCATACCACCACACCCAACTAATTTTTGTATTTTTAGGGGGTTTCATCATGTTGGCCAGGCTGGTCTCGAACTCCTGACCTCAGGTGATCCACCCACCTCGGCCTCCCAAAGTGCTGGGATTACAGGCATGAGCCACCGTGCCTGGCCTTAAATTTGTTTTTGTAAAGAATTTCTTTATCTCTTAGAGATAATTCTGAAGTCTTTAAGAATGAAATTATATGATGTCTGGGATTTGCTTTAAATTAATGCACTGAGTAGAGTGTAAAGAAGAAAGGAGATTGTGCCCGTGCTGATAACTACAGAAGTTGGGTGATAAGTAGGTAGGTGCTTACTATGCTCTTTCTACTTTTGACTAGGTTCAAAATTTTACAGAGCAAAAAGTTTCATTATGAAAAAAAAAGAGAGATAGCTGGGTGCCACGGCTCACACCTATAATCCCAGCATTGTGGGAGGCCGAGGCATGAGGATTGCTTGAGCCCAGGAATTTGAGACCAGCCTGGGCAACATGGCAAAACCCTGTCTCTACCAAAAAAATACAAAAATAAGCCAGGCATGGTGGCACATGCCTGTAGTCCCAGCTACTTGGGAGGCTGAAATGAGAGGATCACTTGAGCCCAGGAGGCAGAGGTTGCAGTGATCGAGGATCATGGTGGCACATGCCTGTAGTCCCAGCTACTTGGGAGGCTGAAATGGGAGGATCGCTTGAGCCAAGGAGGCAGAGGTTGCAGTGATTGTGCCACTGCACTACAGCCTGGGTAACAGCCAGACCCTGTCTCAGAAAACAAAAATAGCAAGAGAAGGACCTTGTTTTTAATCCTGACTTCAGCACTGACTCTGAGCACCCTCGAACAAATCTATACCTCACTGAGCCTGTTTTCTCATTCAAAGCCTGAATGGTTCAAATCATGGCTCGGCCCCTCACTTGCTGTGTGACTTTGAACAGGTTTCTTAGTTTCTCTGCTTCGGTTTCCTCATGGGTACAATAGGAATGATAATAGTTTTACCTTGTAGCTGGTTATGAGGATCAAGCGCATTAATTATTGTAAAGGTCCTAGCACACGAGTTCTATCCAAGTGTTTGATATTATTACCACTGCTGCTGCGGATGTTACTGTTGATCGCTATTCTTATTTTGATGAAGAGGACAAGACACCTTTGGAGATGTTTCCTCCTCTCCTAGAACACTAAAGTTTCAGAAATGTTTCCCAAGTCTCCCTGACTTACCCACTGCTCATGCAATGCCTCCTCCACAGGATCAGAGCTGTGCTCTGGAAAACACCCACATTCTCTGGGCAGTGACACCTCCACACTCACCTCCTTGTCTTTTCTCAATGATCCCCCCATCTGGTTTCCTTCCCTCCCACCTTCCGCCACGGTGCCTTGCTTCCCTTCCACCTGCTCCCAGGCCCACCTCTCTTCCATCCCAGTTCTTGGAAGGAGCGGTAGGTAGAAAGAGCCTCCCTTTCCCATCCCTTCTCTTACTTCCCCCCACCCCCACAATGCCAGCTCTTTACAATACGCAGAGGGACCTCAGCGAGGGCCATTTGAAAGCCCTGTGTAAAACCAGGAAACCATGGGGTGGGGTGAAGGGAAGTTAGAAAGAACTCAGGACTTATGAATGCATAATGCTGAACTTTTTGGAAATGGATGGGCCTGGTGCCAGTCCTCACTAGGGCTCCTAGATTGTATTCTCCTTACAAAAGGGCCATTATGAAAGTTCCGCATCTCCCGTGTGACAGGTTCAGAGCCATAAATGGCATGACGTCAGAGGGACCAGGGGAGGAATAGGTTTCCCAGCCATGTCCTCATTGTCAAGGGCACTGGGACCCTGGAAAGAGGTTTAGGGGAAGGAGGGAGACACTTTGGAGAAAGCCGCAGCAGTTCCCAGCCGTTCTGCAAAGGAGGCCGCTGAGCTTGCCCGAGGCATCAGCTAGACCTGTCTGCACCACGACCACCCAAGGCCCCCTGCCAAAACCGCAGAGTGCCTCGAAAGAATCATTACACCCTCTTCCTCACCTCAAGACACGTAAGGGCTGATCACTTGGCTTATCCAGCCCCCACGTGACATCCTGGAAGAGCAGCACCTCCCACCTCTATCTCTGCATTTTCTTTTGGGATCATTTCTTTTCTACCAGATAGGAGAGGTCATTTCCTATAGTTAGGAGATTGTAGACAGGGGAGAAGTTAGGGGAGCTGGACTGGCATCCTACCTCTGTAATTACCTAACTGGTTGGAGTCCACACTCTCCTTTCTACAAAATGAAGAAGTTGAAGTTAAAGATTGGTAAAAAAAAGTCCCTTCCAGTTACAAAGGTCTTTCCTCCTGATGCTGGTTATAAGGAAGCATGTTACCATCTTCTCCACCAAAGTTGGCTTGACCGGACCCTGCGCTCATTCCCTTTGCACAGTCATCTACGTTTAAGGTAAACATTAACCAGCTCTGTCTTTCTCACTCTTTCTCTCTCCCCACGCCAACACACACAGAGACCACACGCCTTGAGACCAGCGAAAATGCAGAAGTTTGGGTTCAAGCATACCCAGTGTTCCCTCATAGCTCTGAAGACACTTGTCTGCAATTATTGTATTAAAAAGAGAATGCACACTCCTTCATATAAGCATATAGAAGACACCTTAAATTAACCAACACAGCTTCCCTAATAGTGGGTTACAGCTCAACACTCCAGAGCCCTGAAATGGGACAACAAAATCTTGGGACAAACAAAAATGGGAAAAACAAAAAACAAAATGGGACAAACAAAAATCTTGCTAGACCAATGGTCTCTCAAACTTTTGGGGTAGAGGAAAAAAGTAATAAAACTTCAATTCATATATATTTTTTCTTAAGAGACAAGGTGTCACCATGTTGCCCAGGCTGGAACGCAGTGACTATTCACAGGCGCGATCACAGCGCACCTTGGTCACACCCCTTGCCAATTCCTTTGTGCCTGCTTCTTCCCGGAGGTCCATTCTTGCTGTGAGTTCCTATCAGTGAGGCTCCTTTTGGTCACAAGCACATTAGTTCCAACCCAAGTAACCTAATTTTCTTTCCAGAACAGTTGGCCGTGCCCTTCAAGGCTTCTTGTATTGCAGAAGCACATGTTCCAATCAAGGGTGCGGGGGCTGAGGACAGAGCTTTGGCCCTGTCTAGAACTTCCTCTGAGATTTACTTACTGTAATAAGTCTGACCAGATGTATTGGTTATTTGAGAAAATATTACCTTGGTCTTTAAATATATAGATGAGTTATAGATAGATAGATACAGATAGGTAGGTAGATAGATGAAAGTAAAATAAAGAAAAAAATTGGTTTTCTGGAGAACTGTGAACAAAACAGCAAAATAACCTCCCTAGTTGGGCAGGAACCCAGAGATACAGGCTGCTAAGAGTGAAATAAGTATGCAGAGAGTAAGTCATTGTTTCACTGGTGCATTGAATGGCAACTAACAACCCATTTGTGGTGAGCATGCCAGATACAGACGATGTCTTCACCAAAGCACAGCGGAGAGGAACAAAAGGCCGGGCTACTCACCCACACATTGGTTGCTTTCATCCATCTGGTATCCAAAGCGGCATATAAGAGGCCTGGAGATCGTGGGATAGTTTGGAGCTGAGAGTGGTGGGGCAGCTGCTGGGTACGGACCTGAGTAGGGGGTCGAGTAGGGGTTCGAGTAGGGCCCTCGATACACAGGGTTTGTCCGGGGAATGCATAAATACCCGCCATTTTGGTTAACACACATCATGTCTCCTCGGCAGGCCTCGGGGATGGTTCGGCATTCATCAATATCTGAAAGGCACAGAAAGGGCGAGCATTAGTGGCACCCCAACTGCCTTGTGTCCGGTGCATATTTAAGCAGAACTCGGTACCAGGCGTGGAGGAAGCACTCCCAAACACCTAGGGTGGTCCCAACTCATCGCGGTAAGGTACCCCAAATGTTGGCTGAAGTGTATCAAAGTAACCAGTGTCACTCAAACATCAGCCTTTCAAATACCACCATCATGATTTTGACCATATCTACAAAAACCTTGCTATAGTTTGAATGTCCCTCCAAAACTCATATTGAAACTTAATCCCCAGTGTTGCAATATTGAGTGGTGGGGCCTTTAAGAGGTGATTGGATCCTGAGGGCTGTACTCTCATGAATGGATTAATCTACTCATAGATTAATGGGTTAATGGGTTATCTTGGAAATGAAACTGGTGGCTTTCTAAGAAGAGGAAGAGAGACCTCAGCTAGCAGCCCAGGCCCCTCACCGTGTGATGCCTTGCGTACTTCGGAACTCTGCAGAGAGCCCCCACCAGCAAGAAGGCCCTCACCAGATGGAGATCCTCAACCTTGGACTTCTCAGCTTCCACAATTGTAAGAAATAAATTCCTCTTCTTTATAAATTACCCAGTTTTAGGTATTTAGGTATAAGCAACAGAGAACGGACTAAAACAAACCTGTACTATCATTTGCACATACTCTTTCTTTAAGTAAGCCCATATTTGAAGCCCAAATAAATGTATATTTAAAGTCTTACATGACTACAGCAAGTGAAAACTAGCATAAGTAGAAGGTAACAGTAAAAATAAATATACACTATTAAAATAAAGAGTGTTTATCTGCAGATGTACCATCTAATACATCAAGGATCCTCGTGTGCACATACTATACTCTGAAAATACTGGGATGGGCCTAACAATTGTCTCCACTTCTACTTCAAGTAACAGTGGTCAGGGGAGAAAGAGTCTCTTGCATCAGGAAAAGACAAGGCTTAGGCTGGGCACAGTGGCTCATGCCTGTAATCCCAGCACTTTGGGAGGCCGAGGCAGGTGGATCACCTGAGGTCAGGAGTTCAAGACCAGCCTCCCAACATGGGGAAATCCCATCTCTACTAAATACCAAAAATTAGATGGGTGTGGTGGCACATGCCTGTAATTCCAGCTACTTGGGAGGCTGAGGCAGAAGAATCGCTTGAACCCGGGAGGCAGAGGTTGCAGTGAGCTGAGATTGCGCCATTGCACTCCAGCCTAGGCGACGAGAGGGAAACTCCATCTCAAAACAAAAACAAAAACAAAAAAAAGAAAAAAGAAAAAAAAGAAAAGGCTTGACTGACAGCTAGTTGCTTGTTAAGAAAGCAGAGCTTTGCTTTCAAGTCAGCTCTGTGCCAGCCAACAATTTCTAGCCAGGCTGGGCTCTGCTTGTTATGTCTGGAAGGGGAGAGGTGGACTCTCTAGAAAATCAGCCTTGCTAGGGTACAGACAGGGGAGGCCTGAACTGTGGCTCCAGCGAGCAGTAGACATGATCCCGTATACCGAGCCATGTCAGCAGCCTTGGAGTCTGCTCTGTGCGGGGCTAGAGACTGGAGACCACATGCCTGCACCCGACAACTCACCCCCAGCATCTCATCTGAGAAACTCACACCCAATCCTACCAGAGGTAAAAGCAATGGCAAGGTGCAGAATGCAACAGCCTGTTCTCCAGCTTGAAGCCTGAAGCCATCGCTGAAATGGGGGGCCAGAAAAGAAGGCCACTGCTCTACTCTTGATTCCTCATCAAATCTTCAAATCAAAACACCTTATTTTAAAATCAAAACGTAAGCCCAGATTTCCCAGGACAGGGTTTTATTCCTCACTGTTCATCGATTTTTCAAACCATCTATCTCCCCTCTGGAGCATGGTGACGTTAGCTCAGAGAAGACAAATGATTTTGCTTAAATTAAATATAATTTAAAAGCTAAATACTTCCCCTAAGATGGGGGCAAGTAGGGCTGTCTTCTTCCGTTCATATGCCCTATGCTCTGTCAACAACAAACTATTCCATGCTCTGAGTGTCCTTTCCACACCTGGTCCTTGTTAATGCTGTTCCTTCTACCTGGAATGGCATTTCTTAGGATCCTATTCATCTTTCAATACCCAATTCAAATGTGACCTCCATTAATTTTTTTTTTTTTTTTTTTTGAGACAGAGTCTCTCTCTGTTGCCCAGGCTGGAGTACAGTGGTGCGATCTCAGCTCATTGCAACCTCTGCCTCCCAGGTTCAAACCATTCTCCTGCCTCAGCTTCCTGAGTAGCTGGGGCTACAAGCACATGCCACTACTCCTGGCTAATTTTTTTGTATTTTTAGTAGAGACAGGGTTTCACCATGTTGGCCAGGCTGGTCTCGCACTCCTGCCCTCAGGTGATGCACTCGCCTCGGCCTCCCAAAGTGCTGGGATTACAGGCGTGAGCCACCGCACCCGGCCCCATCGATGCTTTATTGACCCTGGACATAAGGTATTACTTTCTCCTCTTCTTTTGCAGAGTCCATTGCAAAAGATGGCATGCTAAGAGAATGACCCCCACAAACACTCCAAAATCTCTTCCTAGTCCTCAGAACCTGTGAATAGGTTGGGTTACACGGCAAAGGGGAATTAAGGTAGCAGCTGGAATTAAGCTTACTAAGCAGCTGACCTTGAGATGGGGAGGTTATCCTGGATTTTCTGGGTGGGCCCGATATATTCACAGGAGTTCTTAAAAGTAGAAGAAGAAGAGGCTGATTGGTCAGAGAGATGCTACAACAGAAAAAGAAGAGATTCAAAGTGAGAAACGCTTGACTCGCTGTGTTGGCTTTGAGGATGGAGGGAGGAGCCACCAGCCAAGGAAAGCAGGAGGCTTCTAAAAGGTAGGAATTGCCCTCCACTGACAGTCAGCAAGGAAACAGAACCTCAGTCCTACAACCACAAGAAACTCAATTCTGCCAACAACCAGAAGGGAATAAAAGTCTCCCTTAGAGCCTCCAGAAGAGCACACAGCCCTACTGACACCTTAATTCTATTCTGGTGGAGACTCAAGTCAAACTTCTGACCTACTGAACTGTAAAATCATACACTGGTGTTGTTTAAGCCACTAAGTTGGTGGTAATTTGTTACGGCAGCCCTAGGAAACACCAATCCAATAGAAACCTTCAAGAGAACAGAGATCAATTCTTTCACCCCTCTCAGTGCTTAGCTCAAGGCCAGGCACAAAGAAGGTGATCAATAAAAGGGCACCACTGACTTCAGTCATTCCATGTCACTGTATTCTCCCATGGGCATGGCTAATCATTGAACAACAGAGAAAGAAATAAATAGCACTGCAACTGGGCTGAATGCCTCCACCCCAATGAAGGATCCACAGTGGCTCATACCTAAACACTGTCCTGACTGGCGATCCAGGTCAAAGCCATTCGTGCACTGTGCCTGCAGGGAAGGAGAGAGGAGAAACAGGCAAGGTCATTTCACACCATAAAAGTCTTATTGCTGCAACACAGAAAGTTGGGGAAATGGAGCAAAAAAGAAAGGCCTCCAAAATACCAATACCTGTATTATAACCCCTATTTGTTCTTCTAAAATTTTTCCTTGTAATTATTTTATACTTAGAACTACTTTCTAAACTCCCCACACCAGGCCAGGCGCAGTGGCTCATGCATGTAATCCCAGCACTTTGGGAGGCTGAGGAGGAAGGATTTCTTGAGCCCAGGATTTTGAGACCGCCCTCAAGACCCCATCTCTGTGTTTTTAGAAAAACTTTATTTAAAAAAAAACTCCCTGTACCATTGCTTCATAGCTCCCATTTTTAGCAGACAGGTTTCAGGGTTTTTAATGCTGTAGTTGTGAAGAGCAAGAGGAATCATATCTGCTGAGCCTAATGTGGCATGCTCCCTGTTCATCCCCTTTCTGGGAATGAATAAGACTGCTTTTAAGGGCAATGACTCTTTCTTTAGGTGCTACCTCGCCTTCAGAGTGTCGAATATGAGTTATTTGCCCCCATGAAATCCTCTACCTGATTTTGATGTCTGTACATAAATAAAAGCTACACAGAGATGTGGTCAGTTTTCTAAGAAAAGTTGAATTGAGTAAATTTCTCCATTTCAACCTCAGCAAGATGACGACATAAAGATGCTTCCAGAAAGAGATAGATCTCAACAATTCCAGAGGGTTGTAGCTTTTACATACAACTTGAGCTACAAATGTATGTACTTAAAAAAAAAATGTGTTGGGTGGACTCTTCAGGAAGACCCCAGGGCCTGACATTTTCTAGGAGCTCCCATCCCTGGCCTTTTCTACAGCTTCGGAGGTTGGGCTTCGCTGAGCTGTTGGTTGATTTGCAGAGATGATGTATATGGCCTGCACTCCCGGGAGAGGGTTCAGGGGTCCCAGGGAGTTGGGGCAAAGGAAGTGGAACAGACGAGCCAGGAAGCTGTGCCGGGAAGCTGGGAGGCCAGGAGATCCAGGTTCCAGCCCTGGTTGTCAAGGACTGGCATAGGTTCAAGACTGCTGGACCAGGGCATGGCTTCAAATTCTCACTCTAGCCCCTACTCTCTGCGTAACTTTTCTATGCCTCAGTTTCCCCATCTGTAAAATGGGGGGGTATGTACGTAGTTCAAAATGGTGGTAAGGACGATGTATGTTAATCTATATAACGTGCCTAAAGTGCAGTAAACACGACCCTGAACCTCTGCCCTTGGGGCCTACCTGTCTTCATGTGTACACCATGAGGCTGCCTTAGAAAACCGCAAGGTCTAAAATTCTTTGTTACTCCTCCCAAAATCCTTCCCATTGCCAGTGGCCTGAATATGCTTCAAAATTCTTAATATGAAGAGAGAAAATGCTCCCCTACCTGCCTGCAGCCCTCAGCCTGCTCAGAGATAGGGCTTCTCTCACTTCTTTCCTGAGCCAGAGACACAGAGAGGCCACTCGGAGTTTTCAGGAGGGATCTGCCCACATTTCAGGGCTGACACACAGGGGTCCATCTCTCCTGTTGCTTAAAATAAAGTCCAGGATGCTGCAAGCTTCTTCCAGAACCCCTAAGGCCCTGAGCCTGGCCTCACCCACCCCCTTCTTACTCCTCTGAGGGGTTTCAGCCCAGGGATGGGCCCTCCTAGGTTTGGAGCTGAATTATGCAACACTACATGCTGGGATGTTTGGGTAACACCCACTTCCTCTCCCACCTCCTCCAGGAGGGGTGTGTCTGTGGCAACACATGCAGACCCGTGGGGGTCCTCAGGTGCCATTGCCCAGAAACACTACAGCATATTTTACTTTTCAACACTGAAGGTAGGTTGAGGCCTGCTGTGAGGGGCACAAATGAGGCCATGTGATCTGATTAAAAATGGATGCTGGGCTTAATACCTAGTGATGAATTGATAGGTGCAGCAAACCACCATGGCCCACATTTACCTATGTAACAAACCTGCACATCCTGCACATGTACCCTAGAACTTATAATAAAATAGAAAAGAGTCTTGGACTGGGAGTCAGGAAACTGAGTACCAGCCCCAGCCTTGTCACTTACAAGTCATGTCACCTGGGCCAAGTCTCACTTTCTCTGAGCTTCCACTGTTAACCTCTGAGAATGAAGAGCTCAGATGAGGTCAACTGTAAAGCCACTCCCACCCCCACAAACCTAGGGTTCCGTAGCGCAAGGCTGGACTCCCTCACCCCGGATTTTAATACGCTTGTAGATATTTTTTAAAAATAAAAATCTTACCTGTGCATTCCCAGGGCTTGGAAGACAGAGAGCCAGAATGGTAACAGTGAGTATCCTGTGGAGGTGAAAAGTCAAATATAAATGCCCAAGACAGATTCAGGTCTAGGGGAGTGTGGGTCGCATGCGGCCCGTGACGTGTAACGGTGATATCACCTTGGGCTTGTATGGGGTGGGGTGTGCTCCAGGGAGGTCATGGTGGTTCCAGACACCGCGACCACCCAAGCAGAACCACACCTCTTCTACTTGCCTCCTGCATTGGGATCATGTGTTAGATCACACTTTTTAATAAAGGGTTTGGCTGCTTCAAAAAAAAAAGCTAAGGTCAGGTGCGGTGGCTTACGCTTGTAATCCCAGCACTTTGAGAGGCTGAGGCAAGAGGATTGCTTGAACCCAGGAGTTTGAGACAAGCCTGGGCAACATGGTGAAACCCCATTTCTACAAAATTAAAAAAAAAATTAACTGGGCATGATAGCACGCGCCTAAAGTCCCAGCTACTCAGGAGGCTGAGGTGGGATCACCTGAGCCCAGGGGGTTTGAGGCTGCAGTGAGCTGAGATCATACCACTGCACTCCAGCCTGGGTGACAGAGCGAGACCTTGTCCTCCCCCCACCCCCCAAAAAAGCTAAAACCTCCCACTATGGTATTAACCAGTTCCTTGGTCTTTATTCTTTATGCGAGATGTGCTTGACTTTTGAACATCTTTATGCTGACATGATTACAGAGTGAATAAGCCATCATCATGCCCTCAAACAGTGAAAGGAAAAGAAAGTGAGAATGTGAGGCACTTTGAGTGGCACCAAAGAAAGGTGTCACAGGAAGTCACTGAACCAGAGCATTGAGTCCACATGTGTGAAAATCCCCCATCAGTGGATGGGTTGGGGTGGCCCTGTCCCCTGAAGAGTGTGGCCTGCGGGAACTGCTGCCAGCAGGTCCTGATGGAGGAAAGGACTCGGGGAACCTGCACAGCCCAGGGAAAATGAAACCCGCGGGAAAACAGGAGGAGGAGTCACGCACCCTGGGCTCAGTTCTGCCATGCACAAGACAGTGATGCTCTGGGAGTCTGCAACTCTGCCCTTCGCCACGCACAGGCTTTAATCCAGTAAGATTGTGGCCAGCAAGATTGCTTTAAAAATACAAAAGCAGCCGGGTGTGGTGGCTCATGCCTGTAATCCCAGCACTTTGGGAGGCCGAGGCAGGAAGGTCACCTGAGGTCAGGAGTTCGAGACCAGCCTGGCCAACATGGTGAAACCTTGTCTCTCTACTAAAAATACAAAAATTTGCCAGGCATGGTGGTACACGCTCTGAGACAAAGCGAGACTCTGTCTCAAAAAATAAAAACAAAATAAAAATACAAAATCTCTACTACTTCACACTCATGAGGCTATTAAAAAATGGAAAAGAGCAAGCGTTAGGGAGGATGTGGAGAAAGTGAAACTCCTGTGCACTGTTGGTGTAAATATGGTGCAGTCTCTATGGAAAACAGTATGATGACTCCCAAAACACTAAACATAGAATTTCCATGTGATCCAGCCATTCTACTTCTAGGTATATACCCTCAAAAAATTAAAAGCAAGGACTTGAAACAGGTATTTGTAAACCTGTGTTCATAGCAGCATTATTCACAATAGCCTAAAGGTGGACGCAGTCCTTCGATGGATACATGGATAAACAAAATGCAGTCTGTACACACAAGGGAATAGTATTCAGTCTTAAAAAGGAAGGAAATTCTGACACATGCTACAATATGAATGAACCCTGACTGTATTATGTTAAGTGAAAAAAGCCACTCACAAAAAAGACAAAGTCTGCATGGGTCCATTTATACGAGGCACCTAGTGTAGTCGAAATTACAGAGACAAAAAGTGGAATGTTGGTAACCAGGGGCTTAGTGGGAGGGGAAGATGGGGAATTGTTTAATAGGTACAGAGATTCAGTCATGCAAGGTGAAAAGAGTTCTGGAGATTGCACAGCAATGTGAATGCAGTTAACACTACTGAACTAGACTCTTCAAAATGGTTATGGTAGAAAAAAAGACAAAATCAGGCTGGGCATGGTGGCTCCCACCTCTAATCCCAGCACTTTGGGAGGCCGAGGTGGGTGGATCACCCGAGGTCAGGAGTTTGAGACCAGCCTGGGCAACATGGTGAAACCCCGTCTCTACTAAAAATACAAAAATTAGCCGACTGTGGTGGCAGGCGCCTGTAGTCCCAGCTACTCTGGAGGCCAAGGCAGACAAATCACTTGAACCCAGGAGGCAGAGGTTGCAGGGAGCCGAGATTGCGCCACTGCATTCCAGCCCGGGAGACAGCGAGACTCCGTCTCAAAAAAAAAAAAAAAAAGAAAATCTAAACAAAAGCAGAGCGTTATCTAGTACTATTATTCAGTTCAACAGCAGTTTATCCAAGCAACTACTGCTTGTGGGTGTGGATGCCAGATGGAGGAGCTACAGAACTGTGAAACAACCACTACCCTTGAGAACCAGTTGGGGAGCCACGACAATGTCCATACACCTTGGCAAGGGCATGGAAAGAAATACCTATTGGGTGCCATAACAACCAGGCTGTGGGTAGCAACAAGACTTCCTGGAGAAGGTGATCTTGAAGGCTTCTTCAACAGAGCAGTGAACCTGGGGACATGGCTGAATTCTGGGGCCCGTTACTACAAACGTGCACCACAACAATATAATCCCTCCCTTTCAGGACACATGGCCCATCTGCATCAGCAACCCTGGGTATTAGAGGACCTGGAGTTAAGCTGACATCCAGAGGGAATAGGGCCCTGATACGATCTTAGGAGATGCGAGGCCATTTCCTTTATCGAGTCCCCAATCCAAAAAATAAGGACGCTGAGAGTCCACAAGTTTTCATGTAAGTGCCTGGGTGAGCCAGATTCTAGAACGCTGGAGACAGCTCTGACCTTATAAAGTGCAGAGCCAAATCCCAGGGCTTTTTGATATTTGCCATGGCCAGATTTATATCTGGAAGGAATGAAAGAACAATAACAAATTTATTTTCCAGTCTGTGTATTATGAATTTCAATGTTTTCCTGTTTCTTCACATGAAGTTTCCTTTCAGTTGGTTATAAAACCCTGTCTCGTTTATGTTGGAGAAAGAACAGGCTGACTGCAACACAGTGGACTTCAAGAGCTAGTTGAAAAGGCATGCTAACCCCATCTTTCCCCCTACTCCCCGCAGCCCCATTCCCTTTGGCTAGAGGCAGCCCTGGGACAGGTCTTGCCTCAAGCCCAGCCTCTTGGAAGAGCCACAGCTGAGTCCTGGGGGCCAAACAGGTTCCAGGCTAATAGGATTTTCCTAAAATGAAAGAATACCCAAGCACTACTGCCTCACAGCATCACGAATAGCTGCACCTTGTGATTAAAAAAAAAAAACCCTGGAAACTCCAAAAATGAACTAACTATAAGAATAGCTGGGGGGAGGCAGGTTGGTGCTCATAACCGGTCCTGGGAACTTTCTAAAGCAGGTGGGTTCGCCGGTGTTGTGCCTCAGCCTGAAACACAAGGAAAGCCGGAGAGACCAACCAAATACCAGGACTGCCTGTCACAGAAGTGCTGGTCCCCAATCCAGGATGACATTGTTACAGCTTAGTTTTCAGCACACACACACACACACACACACCCCACAGACACATACATACGCACACAAGGTTAATTTGTTCAAAGCAGTATGTTTTCAAGAGCTCGCTGAATAAAGACTGTGGGTGTCATTTAGGTAAAGTTCTCCAAGACTTAAGGATTACTTAACTGTAATTGCAATTTCCTTAAAGAATAGCAAAACATTTGCTTACATGTATCTCTGTCTGCAGTTCCCACTTCTCATTGGCTTGAAACTTCTGTGAGAATCCCACACAAACATAGAGCAAATCCAGCCCCGCGGTGTTCAGCTAGCCTGTCTGCTTGTCTATCAGCCGATGCGGCGCAGTAATTGCTAGTGAACTAGTAATTGGCCTCCCGAAATTTAAAAAATACATACAAAAATCCCTTAAAACGACAAAGTTGCTGCCCTTTCCAGAAAAGAAAGAGGAATGAAGCGCTGAGAATTTCGCAGCCCTCTCTGATGCTGGCTTTTGAAACTGTATTAGAAAATACCCACTCCCAAAAGAACGCTTCAAGATGGAAATTACAGAGGCGCAGCTTTTTATAATTAACAATATCATTGCATCACTAGCTCATGCCTTTTCCAATATCCTGACACCGCCTGAATCGCAGCCATAACCATTTTCCACCCATCGGATTTTTAGCAAGGCTTCCAGACCCTGGAGAAAGAAAAGTCCAGCGCCGAGAACCCACCTTTTTATTCCTGGCATGTCCAAGACGCGCGAGGAGGAGATGCGAAGGCGAGAAGAAAGCTCGCGGGCGGGACCCCCGGAGGAGCTCGGGCACGTCGGCCTCCTCTGGGCCCTCGGGGCTCGCGGGTGTTTTATTCCAGAGGGGCCGAGCGAGTCGTGGAGAGGACACGGGGAGAGCGCCGGGGTCCTCCCAGCCACTGCAGAGCCCTCAGCGCAAGCACCTGGTTTTGCTTAGCCCTCTTCAGTAATTCAGCATTAAACCAATTGGAGGAGGAATGTTAAAAATGAACACTTCATTTTCTAAGTATGTTAAACAATGCAAATGGGGCCTCAGTCTGGACACAGCTGGTTCAGATTACAGCGCTCACCAACTGGCTAGACTCCTCACAACAATCTTGGGGCGTCTGCCAGGGCCCAGTGCTCGGCGCTGGGAGGAGAGCCCTTCCCCGGCCGCGCTCGGCTGCGAGCGCCCGGGCAGAAGGCGAGGGGCGGGCGCGCGCAGGGGTGCGGGGGCTGGGAGGGCCCGGGCCCCTTGACCTTCCCACCCAGGGGCGGGGCGGGGCTGGCAGCGCGGCCCGGCGGGGAGGGGCGTGCACGCCCGCGCTGCGTGGCAAGGGGACCCGCGAGAACGTTGTCGCCTCCGGAAGGAAAGGGACTTGAACTCACGACCCACGCAGCTCCAGGGACTAGAAACTCACGATCGATTGGGAAACCAGAACCTACGAAGCAGAGGCTTGGGGCGAGCGACGGGAGAGTCGCGATCTTCCCGAAGAAGGGGTGGGGAGCAGCGGGGTGGGGTGGGGGGGAAGAGGATGGAATCCCGCTGGTGCGAATTCCAGACTTCAGCTTGTGCAATGCAAGTCTTAGGACGCTTTTCTCTCCCCGCCCTCATTCCCCGATTCTCCCTGGCATTTTCTCGCTTTCCTGGAAAAGTGTCCCCTGGCTCGAAAGTGATTTTAACAAGTTAAACGGTGATTTGAAGAAGGGACAGTCTGGAAAAGCAGAATGGTGGAGACAGCACATAAGACATGCTGAGTCCTTTGCATTCATTCTAGTGGAGGCTTCAACCTGTTTCTTTTTCCTGTTTGTTTGTTTGTTTGTTTGTTTGTTTTTAAGCCATTGGAGTACTTTTGTCAATGAAATCTTACAGAAGGCACTCACTCTATAAAACGCCAGTGGATGGACTGTGGCCTATCCCATCTGCTTCCACCTGCATCTTCCTACCTGCAGCCGAAAAGCCCTGATCCAGGTCCCCTGTCCTCACCACCACTCTAAGCAGTAGGAATGATCATCTCCATGTTATTAGAGGTGAAGATAAGAGAGGTTAGGTAACCTCCCCATAGTCACGCAGCTATTCATTGGTACAGCTGAGCCTCTGGAGTCTACATATTTAGCCTTCCCTAAGGCATTTTTGGGGGTAAGTAAATGGAATTCTACCCAAAGGAGAATAACAGAATGTGGATAGTTGTTGAAGCTGTGTCCATTATACTAGTCTAATCTATTTCCTTTTACGTGTTTGAAATTTCCTGTAAAACACTTTTTTAAATACCTTATGTTTATAAGGTTGTTCATCCCCCCATTGTTTGTAAAAGCAAAAGATTATAAACACCTTTAAGGTCGATCAGCAAGGCACCAATAGGGTTAAATAAAGTAAGGGGCTTCCAAAGGGACTATTGTGCAACCAATTAAAACCTAGACACTTAAGAGTCCACATCAAACGACTCCATTTATATAAAATTCAAAGTCAGATAGTGACTGGGAGGCAGCCCAGCCCCTTCTGGGTGCTGGTAATAATCTAATGATTGATCTGGATGCTGGTTATGTAGGGGTGTGTACATTTAATATTTGTGAAGTCTTATGTATGTTATATCTTATTTTGAAAAAAAGACTGAAACAGCTCCGTATGCACTGCTATTGAAGGGTTTCCAATATATTTTGTGGGTCAAAACAGTAGAATATTGGTAATTTCACATAGATTGATCTAATATAGTAATAAATGTAAAAAGTAAGCTGCAGAACTGTGTGTAAAGCATGCCATCATTTGTGGGAAAAAAAATAAATACATAAGTTCTTGCTTGTACACGTACAGAAAAGACATCACCTGAAGGATGCACAAGAAACCATGAGTATTATTGGTCTTAGCTCAGGCTGCTATAACAGAATACCATAGACTGGGTGGTTTATGCAATAACATTTATCTCTCCCAGTTCTGGAGGCTGGAAGTCTGAGATCAGGGTGTGGGCATAGCCAGGTTCTCATGAGGGTCCTCTCCTGGTTGCAGATGACTGTCTTCTTGCTATGTCCTCACATGATGGAGAGAGGGAGACTAGGGTTCCTTTTTTTGAGATGGAGTCTCACTCTCTCGCCCAGGCTGGAGTATGGTGGTGTAATCTCGGCTCACTGCAAGTTCTACCTCCCAAGTTCAGGCAATTCTCCTGCTTCAGCCTCCCAAGTAGCTGGGATTATAGGCACGCACCACCGTGCCTGGCTAATTTTTGTATTTTTAGTAGAGATGGGGTTTTGCCATGTTGGCCAGGCTGGTCTTGAACTCCTGGGCTCAAGCAATCCATGGGCCTCGGCCTCCCAAAATGCTGAGATTACAGGCTTGAGCCACCGCGCCTGGCCAGAGACTGGGATTCCTTTTATAAGGGCACTGGTCCCATTCGTGAGAGCTTCACCCTCATGATCTAATCACCTGCTGAAGGCCTCATCTCCTAGAGCCATCACCTTGGGGATTCAGATTTCAACATATGAATCTGGGGGTTTAAACATATGGTCTGTAACCATCTCCTAGGAGGGAAATCAGGCAGACAATTGGAAAAGAAATAGGAGAGGAAAATTCGCTCCTCATTGCTCACTTTTTGGCATAACTTGAATTTTGTACCTTGTACCTGTATTACCTATTCAAAATATGAGTAATATTCAAAATAATAAAACTTAAAATATCTGATGTAGAACTAGTTGTGGGGGTAGGAAGAGTTTTAAGGGACTCAGTCCATTCACCTCGCAGATACTGTCAACCTTCTTGAAGAACACGGAAGGAGAGGAAATCAATATACCTGTTTCCTACATAGGCAAATTGAGACCGTTGGAAGCAAAACTGTCCCGGGACCCATCTTGGATGAGAGATTGTTTCCATCTTAAAATTGTAGGGTTGGAAAGGGGGAGAAAACGAAGACTGCCATAAAACACTTGGGTCCAAGTCTTGGTTTTTCCTCCTACCCTCTCGACATCTCAGTTTTCTCATCTGCAAGATGGCGATGATAACATCGCCAGGGTTGTTGCGGGAATGAAATAACAGTTATCCTCTTGATTTTCACTGTGTCCACGTTCCCATTCCCTACACAATGCCCTCCAAAATATCCTTAATAAATAGTAAATTATCCACTTCTGTGGACGAGGAAATCACAGCGCCACAAAACAGCCCATCTCACTATTGAATAACTCAAACTGTTAGAAAATTCTCTCTTCAGTTGAACCCAAATCCACTTCCCTGTATGTAATTACTGTTCATGGAATCTAATTCTCCCCTCTAAAGCCAGGGGCCCCCCAACTTGGAAACAACAAGCTTCCTATTACCCTTCCACTCCTCGCCCACGCTACTATTCTCATCTCCAGGCTGAACATCCCAGGGGCTTTCAGCTGCTCCTCATGTGCCCTGTGACCCCAAGGCAGCCTGTTCATCTCCTCTGGCAGTTTCTGTCTCTTGATTCATACTGAATTTGCACCAACAAAAGCAACCTGTAATGCACAGGCTACGTAACAGCATCTCCTCCACCCTGTACTTGGACTGCAAATTATTTTTAAGCAAGCACAAGGTTTTACATATGTCCATATTACATTTTTATCCACTGTTTAAGATCTTTCTCTCGGCCAGGCTCGGTGGCTCACGCCTGTAATCCCAGCACTTTGGGAGGCCGACGCGGGCGGATCACGAAGTCAGGAGATTGAGACCATCCTGGTCAACATGGTGAAACCCCGTCTACTAAAAATACAAAAATTTGCTGGGTGTAGTGGCGTGCACCTGTAATCCTAGCTACTCGGGAGGCTGAGGCAGGAGAATCGCTTGAACCCGGGAGGCAGAGTTTGCAGCGAGCCGAGATCGTGCCACTGCACTCCAGCCTGGTGACAGAGCGAGACTGTCTCAAAAAAAAAAAAAAAAAAGATATTTCTCTCAACATGAATTGTTGTCTAAAGTACTAAATATCACTCTCAGCTTTGACAAATACAGAGCTGCTGAATGTGACTTCTTTGACTTTATCACAGTTATCAATAAAAATGCTACTGGGAGGCCGGGCGCAGTGGCTCACGCCTGTAATCCCAGCACCTTGGGCGGCTGAGGCGGGCGGATCACCTGAGGTCAGGAGTTTGAGACATAATAATAATACAAAATAACACTAATACTAATTCTAATACTACTAATAATACAAATATTAGCTGGGCATGGTGGTGGGCGCCTGTAATTCCAGCTACTAGGGAGGCTGAGGCAGGAGAATTGCTTGAACCTGGGAAGTGGAGGTTGTAGTGAGCTGAGATTCCACCATTGCACTCCAGCCTGGGCAACAAGAGCAAAACTCTGTCTCGAAAAAACCACAAATAAATGTTACCGGGATAGTTGGAGTGCAGCAATCCATCCAGATTGGCACTAATCCCTTCTCTTTCTTCACTATTTTGGGGTCACTGCCCATTGTCTGACTCCAGGCGAGACCAACTTCTCTCACAAAAGAGCTGGTCTTTTTTTTTTTTTTTTTTTTTGAGACGGAGTCTCGCTGTCGCCCAGGCTGGAGTGCAGTGGCGCGATCTCAGCTCACTGCAAACTCCGCCTCCCGGGTTCACGCCATTCTCCTGCCTCAGCCTCCCGAGTAGCTGGGACTACAGGCACCCGCCACCTCGCCCGGCTGATTTTTTGTATTTTTAGTAGAGACCGGGTTTCACCGTGTTAGCCAGGATGGTCTCGATCTCCTGACCTCGTGATCCGCCCGCCTCTCTTTGTTAGAAAGTTCTTTCTTGAGCTGAACCCAAATCTGCTTCCCTGTATGGAACTAATGTCCATGGCTTCTAATTCTCCGCTCTGCAGGGACAGATTCCTCCCTCTTCTGCATAACGAGCTTCCTATCCATTAAAACGGTTCCCCGTGTCCACAAAGACTTCGTGAGACACTTTGTCAAGTGTTCTGCTAACATCAAAACACGTTACCTATAGCATTTCCTGATCTAGCAAATCTATTTTAAAAAGGAAAAATGTTCCTTTGGCATGAACTGCTAAATGACCCTTGCTGTCTTCCAGAGATCATCGCTTCCTCTTCAAAGTGTTTTTGCTGGGCCAGGCACAGTGATTCATGCCTGTAATCCCAGCCTTTGGGAGGCTGAGGCAGGCGGATCACCTGAGGTCAGGACTTTGAGACCAGCCTGGCCAACATGGTGAAACCCTGTCTCTACTAAAAATACAAAACTTAGCCGGGCATGGTGGCGTGCAGCCTAGTCCCAGCGACTTGGGAGGCTGCGGCAGGAGAATCGTTTGAACCCGGGAGGCAGAAGTTGCCGTGAGCCAAGATCACGCCACTGCACTCCAGCCTGGGCAACAGAGAAAGACTCTGTCTCAAAAACAAAACAAAACAAAATCGTTTTTGCTTTTTCATTTGCAAAATAGGAATCCTATCATCTGCTCCACCTCCCATCATCAGAATCAAACACAATCAAAACTATAAAACAACTTTACAAAATGCAAATTGTAGCATAAATGTAAGAGGTTATCATCCGCTGAATGAGATCTTCCTGGTTCCAGTGAAGCCCAATTTCTTCACTCTGCCGCTGTGGGTTGAAAGACAAATAAGCAATTTTATTTTTTTTGTAAAGCAGTGTGTCAAATTGGGGGAAAACTCACAAAATTATAGATTGAATGATATATGTTGACTATTAATATTAAATCAGAGCTGGGCAAGGTGGCGCATGCCTGTAATCCCAGCAACTCGGGAGGTTTAGGCAGGAGGATTGCTTGAGGCCAGGGGTTCAAGACCAGCCTGGGCAACACGATGAGACCTTGTCTCTACAAAACACTTTAAAACTTAGCCAGGCAAAGTAGTGTGTGTCTGTAGTCCCAGCTACTCATTAGGCAGAGGCGGGAGGATTGCTTGAGCCCAGGAGGCCAAGGCTGCAGTAAGTCATGATTGTTCTACTGCACTCCAGCCTGGGTGACACAGCAAGACTCTATCTCAAAAATAAACAAAACTTTTATTTTTTTACTGTCCAAAAATAGTCATATTGTAATGCCTTTTTATGAGCAAATGTAAAACAGGGAGGGGGTGTTATTGGATGTCAATGATTATGTTAGATGCTACAGCTCCTCTCCTTTGACCCCCACAATAACCCTGTGAAATAGGAAACCCTCCGTTTTGCAGATAAACAGGTGCAGGGACATCAGGGCCATGCAGATAATCAGGGGTCCAAACTCCAGCCCTCACCAGCCTGTTGGATTCTAGAGTCCTCCTTCCTTCCAGTTTACCAAGCCTGCTTTCTCTACTCACAGCTTCCCTGGCTACTTCCCTCCCTGTCTCAGCCCCCCAGGAATATTCCAGAACTCCATGGGCCCTTCCATCATTGCTCTGTCTCGCTCTCTCTCCTTTTTCTGAACGCTAGTAAAGCCTTTGGTTTCATATATTATCCAAACTTGGCCCAAAACAGTCAGAAAACTAAAATGACAGCCAACACGTGAGGTTCAGCATTGGGCAGAGGCTCCACCCCACAGTTCTGCCCATCCTGCCGTGAGGGTAGGGGAATGTCTGTTGGTCCTGATGCTCCCAGAGGCTTCCTCTCTCCTCCTCCCTTGGTCAGACTTCTCACTGAGTACTTGTCTCAGCCAACTCCTCACCATCTAGTCCCACCTTAACCTGCTAAAATCTGACTAAGTTCCCACCATTCACCCACATAATGCTCCCTAAGTTGCCTAGTGATTCCTCCTGGCCAAATACGATGCCTTTTCTCCACCTCTAATTGTTCCTGTGTCTCTAGTTGATGATGCATCTTCTCTCTTTCATCCATGGCTTTAAGTTTTCCTGGGTGTTTACCCCTACATTTTTTTTTTTTAGAGACAGCGTCTCACTCTGTCACCCAGACTGAAGTGCAGTGGAACTATCATAGTTCATTGTATCATCAAACTCCTGGGTTGAAGGGATCCTCCTGCCTCAATCCCTGGAGTAGCTGGGACTACAGTTGTGCACCACTATACCTGGTTAATTTTTTAATTTTTTGTAGAGACCAAGTCTCGCTATGTTGCCCAGGCTGGTCTCAAACTTCTGACCTCAAGCAACCCTCTCACCTCAGTCTCCCCAAGTGCTGGGATTACAGGCATTAGCCGCTGAGCCCGGCATTTCCCTCTGTAATTCTGATTATGTACTTTTTTTTTTTTTTTTTTTTGAGATAGAATCTCCCTCTGTTGCCCAGGCTGGAGTGCAGTGGTATAATCTTGGCTCACTGCAACCTCCGCCTCCTGGGTTCAAGCAATTCTCCTACCTCAGCCTCCTGAGTAGCTGGGATTACAGGCGCCAGCACCACGCCCAGCTAATTGTTGTATTTTTTTAGTAGAGATGAAGTTTCGCCATGTTACCCCGGCTGGTCTCGAACTCCTGACCTCAAGTGATCCACCTGCCTCGGCCTCCCAAAGTACTGGGATTATAGGCGTGAGCCACCGCACCTGGCCTGTACTTTAATGTAACCGACTGGTTTGAGAATGTCAGGATTTTCTAGACATACCTGGAATTTCCAGGAAATTCAGCAAATCATTAAAACACCTGAGCTTTTCTTATTGTTTTAGCTGACTGTGGTTTTGACATATAACCATGTGCAAAATGTGGGCTCTGTCCTAGAGACTTCAGGCAAGCAGACTCTGCCGGGGAGCCCCAGAGTTGAGGTCAAAAACTGGTAATGACCTGCTTCCACCTGCCATCTCTGTTTTGTTCTTGTCAATTTGTTTTCTGACATTTAATATGGATTGAGATTTTGGGCAACCCTAACATATTTACTATGACTGTAAAATGGTAAGATGGTCCATTTACCTCATTTCCTACTTACAATCCACATAAGATAGACTGTATTAGTGGCTCCCAGATTCTTGAATTTACCAGACTAGTAAAGTCAACCACCTTGAAAATAGAGAGAATATTAGGTGCCAATTTTTAATTTTGCCAGTAAAAACAAAAGAAAATACAACCATCATATATCACATCATCATATTTCATAAGAGAAAGAACTTTTAACACCACATGTAGGAGAGACAGGATCTCATATCTTGAATGTTTGGTCTTGAAGACAGTTAAGGCTGTCTTAAAACCGAGGTTTCAAATGACAGAGTGCAACAGAGTCATCTGAGAGCTTGTTAAAATTAATAAACTAGGCCTTACACCCTGAGATTAAAGGGGTGTGGGGGTGAGGAATCTGTGTTTTACAAACACCCTCAGGTGATTCTGAGGAGAAATTGTTACTTTCTCAGCAGCTCTGAATGATTTTTAAGGAACAAGTTCTCCCAACACAAGCCTTCTCTATAAGTATTCTTGCCTAAAAGTATTGAACTTGAATTTAATCAAGTTTCTAGAATGGCAACGTCAAGCTGAACTTTCTGCCATGCTGGAAATGTTCTGTATCTGCCCTGTCCAATGTGACAGTGACTAACCACTGTGCCCACTGAGCACTTGAAATGCGGCCAGTGCAAATTTTTTGTTTCATTTAACTAATTTAAGTTTACTTTTTTTTTTTTTTTGATACGGAGTTTTGCTCTTGTTACCCAGGCTGGAGTGCAATGGCAAAATTTCGTTCACTGCAACCTCTGCCTCCCAGGTTCAAGTGATTCTCTTGCCTAAGCCTCCTGAGTAGCTGGGATTACAGGTGCCCACCTCCACGCCCAGCAAATTTTTGTATTTTTATTAGAGACGGGGTTTCACCATGGTGGCCAGGCTGGTCTCGAACTCCTGACCTCAAGTGATCCACCTGTCTCAGCCTCCCAAAGTGCTGGGATTACAGGCGTGAGCCACTGCGCCCAGCCTAAGTTGACATTTAAATAACCACATGTGGCTGGTGGCTCTCATATTGCCCAGCATGGCTCTCGATCTGACATGACTGCCAGTTTGCAAGAAGTATAGAGAATAGAGGAAAAAATTAAAAGACCCTCGAGGAAGAAACAATAGCAAAAAAGAATAAAAAAAGGGAGAGAGGGTGTAAAGAAATAGAAAGGAGGGGAAAAGCCTTTGTCATTCAGGACCTGTCCAGGAAAAAATAGCCTGTACCAGGTAGTTTGGCAGAGGAATTTAACACAGCGAACTAGTTTCAAAAGAGCTGAAAGAGCTGAAAAGCCAAATGGAATGTTGAGGCAACCCAGATCTATGCTCCTTCAGAAAGCCACCACCTCCCCTAGAGCTGGAAGGACTAAGGAAGAAGGAGATGATGCCACCAGAACC
Organism: Homo sapiens; assembly: GCF_000001405.40. Taxonomy (NCBI): domain Eukaryota; kingdom Metazoa; phylum Chordata; class Mammalia; order Primates; family Hominidae; genus Homo; species Homo sapiens. Next base: position 91,956,657 of record NC_000014.9, read on the forward strand.
CAGGAGTGGGGGCTACCTACAAGAATTGAATCAGGTGGAGGTTGCTGGAGGGCTAGAGAAGTGGTCACTGTCAAGAGGCAGAGGCTGGAAGAAATGCCCTGGCTTTTTCCCTCCTCCCATCCTTTGAGTCTCCTCCGTGTACTTCCCATTGGCTGAAATCAACACGAAGCCAGTGGCAAAGAAGCTTGAGAAGAAAAATGTGCAGGGAACCAGCAGAACAAGTTGGAGACAGGACAGTTAATGGATCCAAGAGCAGAGGCAAATGACTGGTACTGAAACAGAACAAGCAAATGCAACATTTGCATGGCGTTTGGGTCCTGATTTGCGTTAACCAAGTGTGTGTAAAGACGCACCTTTGATACAATGAGAGAATTTGAATATAGACTAGGTATCAGAGAATAAAGAATTATTGTTAATTTTGTAAGATCTGTTAATTTCTAATGTATCTTTATCACTTAGAAAGGCCTACTAAATTAATGGAGCATAAATGAAATGAGATCAGCAAAACCGTGTTAACTATCAAAGCTGGAATATGGGTTCATGGACGTGTATTAACTCCTCTTTCGAGTTTTCTGTTTGTGAAGAATTATGTAACAATTTAAAAATGAGTGTCAATAGATTTTTTTCCACTTTATCATGTGTGATAAAAGTCTGACTTTCTTTTTTTCCCCTCTCCCTTAACCCATTCTCCTTTCCTTCAGGATACCTGTGAAAATTATCAGTAATACTTACAGGCATGGTGAGTTTTTTCACATTATCCTCCTTAATCTATGGACATGATCTCTAATTACTCCTGGGACTCCTCTAACAAACATTCTATTGTAAAATCTCAAATCTAAAGCTGCATTGGACATTGGTTTAGAATGAGAAATTGTGACAGCAAAAGTATGATAATTTAATTTCGAATTAGACTTTTTTGAGTCTACGATGAGACAACAGTCTTGAAACACAGGCTTTGCTAGAAGAAACGTTTCCTAAGGTCATAGGGTAGAGAAATTTAATGATACCAGAACAGCTTTTCTGTACCCAGGAAAATAAATGTGGGGCAGAAGTCAGGAAGTAGAGAGGATCAGAAGATGAAAGCAGAGTAAGAAACTCCCTGGGTTCAACCCAGGAGGTGAAGGTTGAGACTGTAGGATCGTGTAAGAGCCCTAGATAAGCTGAAGGAGAATCAGAGAACACCTGGGCTCCACTTCCCTGCAGCATCCAACTTAGCACCAAAAGAATGGGATGAGTGGTGAGAGGAGCCTCTGGAGATGGCTGGAGTGACGCCATTGTCCTACTGCCCTGAGCTTTGCACGTGACAGGTGCACAAGTTCCTGCATTCCTCTAGGGCAGTGTGGACACTGATCAAATAGCAGTTCACTTCAGGGCAAAGAGGGTGCAAAGTACAGAGGCCCCGGCTCAGGTCACAACCACAGAGGGTAGCACAGGGTCCAGGATCCGTCAGGAGACCCCTCACACCCTAACTGGCCCAAAGCCATGTAAACTTCTCTGTGTATACCGATGGAATGTCAGATTTCAATAACATTCCTGTACCAGGCCAGATACGGTGGCTTACACCTGTAGTCCTAGCACTTTGGGAGGCCCAGTCAGGAGGATTGCATGGACCGAGGAGTCTGAGGCTACGGTAAGCTATGATCGCACCATTGCACTCCAGCCCGGGTGACAGAGACCCTGTCTCTAAGGGAAAAAAAATTATATAAGTAATTTTAAACAATTGGTCTTAATTTAAATTATAGGTTGGGCACAGTGGCTCACGCCTGTAATCCAAGCGCTTTGGGAGGCCAAGACGGGCGGATCACTTGAGCTCAGGAGTTTGAGACCAGCCTGGACAACATGGAGAAACCCTGTCTCTACCAAAAATACAAAAAATTATCCCGGTGTGGTGGTGTATGCCTGTGATTCCAGCTACTCGGGAGAATGAGGTGGGAGAATTGCTTGAGCCCAGGAGGCAGAGGCTGCAGTGAGCCGAGATGACATCACTGCACTCCAGCCTGGGCGACAGAGTGAAACCCCCCATCTCAAAAATAAATAAATAAATAAATTATAAAGGCATTTTTCTTTTTTTGGCCCATGAAGTCCTACATATCATTTACATCTCCAATAAAGGTATTAAAATATCTAGGAATTTTTAAAAATCTACTTATGCAAAGAGTATGACTAGAAAGAAAAGTTTTTGTACACACGTGAAAATTTCTCGTGATTTAGTCTTTGAGCCATTGTAGGTTTGGTAGAAAATCAGTGCCATTTAAACTTCTCTCAAACATTATTCCATTTTGAAAAATGAATGAAAATACTGAACATATTTTAGGTAGATTAATTTACATACAGTTGGGTTTCATTTATAGTTCTGAGTTTTGAGAAAATCTGGATGAATTGAAAATAAATGGAGAATTTTTTCCTTTTTTTTTTTTTTTTTTTATAGATGGGGTGTTGCCCCGTATTGCCCAAGCTGGAGTGCAGTGGCTATTCAGAGGTGCCATCATAGTGCACTACGGTAGTCTTGAACTTCTGGCCTCAAGTCATCCTGCCTCAGCCTCCTGAGTAGCTGGAACTACTGGTGCACACCACCATGCCTGTCTTCTTTTTCCGTTTGACTTACATATATACAGACTAACAGACCGTGCTTTTTTTTTCAGTAAGCTGTGCGTCTAGGTTTGTCAGTTTTGTTAGCTATTTCATTATTAATATTCTATTTTGTTCTCCCTTACACTTTAGTAATAACAGCTTCATTTCTTTTGCCTTTTTTTTTTTTTTTTTGAGACCGCATCTTACTCTGTCCTCCAGGCTGGAGTGCAGTGGCGCGATCTCAGCTCACTGCAATCTCCACCTCCCAGGTTCAAATGATTCTCCTGCCTCAGCCTCCCAAGTAGCTGGGATTATAGGCATGCACCACCGCACCTGGCTAATTTTTGTATTTTTAGTAGAGACGGGGTTTTACCATGTTAGCCAGGCTAGTCTCGAGCTCCTGACCTCAAGTGATCCACCTACCTCAGCCTCCCAAAGTGCTGAGATTATAGGCGTAAGTCACCGTGCCCAGCCTTTTTCTGGTTTTTAATTTCTTAGACATAAACAGTTTTTAAGCCATGCTATACAGATGATGCTAGCATGGGTCCCTCTAGACTCTTTTAGCCTAGTATTTTCCAACATTTAAGAAGACAGATCAAATGGCACCTCCTCTATGAGATTATTAGAGACCTCCAAAATTGGACCTCCCAATTTTTTCCCATGGTGTCTTGACTCTGCCTCCATTTTATAACACATTTTATAATGCTGTGTCTCTTTCAGTAAACAGTGAATTCCTCAAAAGCACTGACAGTCCTCTTCACCATTATAACTATGTGCACGGCCTGACGAGTACTCAGTAATATCTGCTGAATAAAGACTGATTTTTCCTGGTAGATGTTATATCCTAATGAAATTACTTCAGCAAGTATTATCACTATAGGATAATATTTAAGCACGTTATTAAATATAAATCACATGAACAGTGTAGAGCAAGCTTGTCTGATTCCTGGCATGTGACCCAGGATGGCTCTGAGTGTGGCCCAACACACATTCGTAAACTTTCTTAAAATATTATGTTTTTTTTGGGATTTTTTTTTTTTTTAGCTCATCAGCTATCGTTAGTGTATTTTATGTGTGGTCCAAGACAATTCTTCTTCCAGTGTGGCCCAGGGAAGCCTAAAGATTGGACACCCCTGGTGCAGAGCGTCGTTTATCCGGCATATCTCAAGAATTAGACTGTAGAGGAATTCTGTTTTCCTAGATCAAATTTCAAATTAATTTTATAATAAATAATTGTGATCTACACACACACACACACACACGAGCTGAACATGTAACCTCCTTCCAACAGCACGGTCCCACGATCATTTTTAAGGGGCTGTTGGGGAAGTAATCGACCCTTTGGCTAATTTTTCTCAGGAGCAACAACTCATATCACTAATGATCAAAACAAAATTTTTGTTTTTGACAAATGTCACCAAACACCTAGATAGACTGATACATTAGTGCTTTAATAACCTAGGGGGGCATGTTTTACAGTCTGCTGTAGAAACAACAGTAGCTCTGACAATTTGGTTATGGGTAACTTCTTTCCTCCTTTGTGAAATGGGATCATAATACTAGTCTCACAGGTATGGTTTTTAATATATACAAAATGTTTATTTTAGCTTTATTTATACTGTCAAAATCTTAAACCAAACTGAAGGTCCAACTGGAAAGGAATAGTTGAATAAAATGGCTACACTCCTGAAAAACAAACCAAACCCAAAACAAACCCAAAAACATTCCTAAGAGTTCAGGACAGGAGAGACAGACATCATTTGATCATCTACATTGTCCTAAAAAGAATAACAAGATTTGTTACTCCTTATTTATTTGCTCCTTATGATAGTTTTAAGATGTTATGTAAAAATCCTTTCAAAATTTTAAAAAAGGAAGTAGGTAGGGACCCAAGATGAAATAAGAGTTGATAAGCTTGGGGCCAGGCATGGTGGCTCACGCCTGTAATCCCAGCACTTTGGGAGGCTGAGGTGGGCAGATCACCTGAAGTCGGGAGTTGGCAACCAGCCTGACCAACACAGAGAAACCCTGTCTCTACTAAAAATACAAAATTAGCTGGGTGTGGTGGTGCATGCCTGTAATCCCTGCTACTCGGGAGGCTGAGACAGGAGAATCGCTTGAACCCAGGAGGCGGAGGTTGCAGTGAGCCGAGATCATGCCATTGCACTCCAGCCTGGGCAACAAGAGCGAAACTCCATCTCAAAAAAAAAAAAAAAAAAAAAGAGAGTTGATAAGCTTGAATGGATAATTGTTGAGGCTGGTGATGAGTACACGGAATCACTATGTTACTCACTCTACTTTCATGTCTGTGTTCAAAGTTTTAAACAAAAGTATTTTTTAAATTCTTTAGAAAATATGGCATCCTGTTTGGTTGAAAATATGGCATCCTGATTTGATAAAGCTAGGGAATGAGTACGTTAGTGTTAATGTCTTACTCTGTGTTCTTTAGACATATGTTCCTTTAATACTTCATATTTACAGTTGCTGCTTTGAAGTTTTTATGGGTTAAATCCAACTTCTAGGCCCACACAGTTTCTTTGGACTGCTTGTTTCCTGAGTATGGGCCTCACTTTCTTGTCTTGCTCATAATTTCTGATTGAAAACTAGACGATTTAGCAAGTATTGATTCTGACATAGTTTCATGGTTTTTTTTTTTAAAGCTTGATTGAATGTAACTGCAGAATCTGTCTCCCACACAAGAGAATGTAGCTGCTGATGTCTCTGCTTACAGTCTTTTTTACAGTCTGTTTTACAGTCTTTTTATCTTTTGGTCTGGCTTCCCCAGGGTCACTCCTGCATAGCTAAATGTCAGAGGAGGCTGTGCTAGTTAAACACCTCGAGCCTCTCGGAGGGCTTCTATGCACCGCGGGTGGATCTGAGTGTAGGCTAAGCAGCTCACTCAATGGCCAGTCTCATGTTTGTCTAGGCTTTTCCGTCCCATGGGGCGCTCTCAAGTCTCAGCCATGGCCCTTCTATGCCTCTCTGTTTCAGGAGGTCAGCATTAAATTTCTGCTGACCACCACCTGTCCTATCTGGAATTGCAATCTCAGGCTAGCAAAACGGAGTTTTCTCCGTTTGTTTCCTTCCAAGCTCACCACTTTTAGTTGACATCATGGGTTCTGCACCACCTAACCTCCACCATTGTTCACCACCTCAGGCAACAAAGCTGCTGGTTTTCATACCAGCTCAGGGCTAGAAAAGCCAGGAGGTTTGAGGGGTGACAGAAGCCCCAGGTAGGAAGGCCACAGACTCCAGGTTCCCACCCAAAGCTCTAGAAGCTTTTCAAAAATAACCCAATTTCTTCTCTGCCTTTGGTCAATTTCTAGAGACCCCAAATGGTTGGTTTTGACAACTTTAGTTTTATACTTGTTTCTTGCAAGGAGAATTGGCTGACCTCTTCACATCATCATAGCCGGATGTCCCTCCTAATATCCAATTGTCTCCTTTGTATGTGTTTTAAACTTTTGACACATACACATGCATACACACAAATTAAAGAATGACATCAGGGCCAGGCACGGTGGCTCATGCCTGTAATCCCAGAACTTTGGGAGGCCGAGGTGGGCGGATCACTTGAGGTCAGGAGTTCGAGACCAGCCTGGCCAACATAGTGAAACCCCGTCTCTACTAAAAATACAAAAATTAGCCAGGCATGGTGGTGCACACCTGTAATCCCAGCTACTTGGAGGCTGAGACAGGAGAATCTCTTGAGCCCAGGAGGCAGAGCTTGCAGTGAGCCGAGATAGCGCCACTGCACTCCAGCCTGGGCAAAAGAGTCAGACTCCGTCTCAAAAAAAAAAAAAAAAAAAAAAAAAGACATTGGGGTGAAATTTATTTTCAGCAAGTAACGCTGATGTCTAAATGGGGGAAAAAAAGTGGAAAGACTCAGAAAAAAGTCTTAATTCCTCAAGTAGCAATTTTATGAAGAATTGATTTTTACGGTCATCATATTTTTCAACACAGGAGTTACCAAGCTGCTGAGCGCAATGCTGACGAGAGCAGTACAGGTTGAATGCAGGCAGCTGAGACTACCCTCGGAGTACATGTGCATGTGGCATGGAAACGCTTTAGGGAGAAGACTTTAAAATGATTCCAAAAAATTTCAAAAACTAAGCAGTCCATATAAATTTTCAAAAATAAAACTTACCTCATTAGATCTTGTAAGTTTATCACCACCACCGTCTTTTTACTCCGAGAGTGTCTGAACATACCTTTAGTAAAGTGATCCTTAGGTAAAAGGGATTTATGTGTTGACTCACAGATGATACCACAGTTTTTAAAATACATCTAAACAGATGAAGAGGAAATAAGAAGCAAATATATATTTTCTAATTCTTAAAAAATTCATGTCTCCCTTCACCATCTGGGGGTGGGAAACTTGTCCTTTGGGAAACGTACACATTTCGAGTACAGTACGTTCCCGTTTACACATGGGTTACCAAGGACTTGAGACTGACTCATCGTGTGAGGAAAACTCACAGGATGATATCCTTCAACATCTAAGTGCCTTACATTTTACAGAAAGAAATGATGTATCTTACCTTTTTAAGAGTCCATGGACACTTACAAAACAACTTTACCAAACTCTTATATTAAGTTCGCAAATATTTCCAAATCATTGAGATTTAATTTTTAAGGTCAAAAATAATTCAATGAAGTCAAAGAATGTTAGAGCTGAAAAGATTACTCTTGTAAAAATAGTCACAGCTGAAAATTATCACAGTTAAAATATCACTACAGTGCAAATTATTACTCTTAACCCCAGAAAGGCTAAAAGACTGATATACAGGAAGATTCCATTTTAGGAGCTAAGACACAAACCAACTAAAGGTTCAAATATTTGCCCTAAGTGATCCATTTTTTAAACATTTTTACATTTTTCTCTCAGGGACGTTTTTGAATTTTTCTTTATCTTCAAGACAAATATTGTTATAATTATAGTGGATTATTAATTTACTGGATGTACTAAATTATGACAATAACATGCTATAAAACCCTCAGCTATACCATTATTCACATGACCTAAGTCCCAAGGGCAGGAAAACAAGGTTCTGATTAGTGACATTTTGTATTCCAGTAGAATTGGTTAGGGCAAGAACCACTAGGCTTTTATGTGACATTTCATTTCCTAGCTTGCTAAGTGCTCAAACACTGTTTCTTTCAAGATTTGCTGAACAACCACTCCCCCTCCTCCCATCGGTCTGCCAGGCCCAACTCAGGGCCCCTAGTGCTTGGCATGAGCCCCCCCAAGCATTTCTCGTACTTCTTTAGTCATCTGGACATGTGTCTGTCTCTCCCTCCTGTGAATTTCTCAAGCCCCAAGCCCTACTCCCCTTGTTTTTAGCAGATAAGCTCCCCTTCAACTGCAGAGAAAAATTCCCGCAACTTCTCCCACCCAAATCCCCCCACATCTACATCTCCCCTCTCTTCCATAGTGCCAGCCCCAATAAAGGGGTCCTTCCCATCTAAGGCCAATCCCTTCAAAACTGTGCTCCGATCCTGTTTCCCTTTCTCAGGAACTCTTCTCTGTATACTCTCTTCAGCCTCTCCATCTAATCATGTCCTCACCATAAGAATTTACCATAAGCTCAAGTCTCTAAGCTTCAAACAACTCTCCTTCCACCCCCACTTGCCTCTCCTACTCATGCCCTCTTCCCCCTCTGCAATCTGGTTTCTCAGCAGAGTTGCCTACAAACACTATCTCCACTTGCTCCCTGCCCACTCAACAATGAGGCTTTGTTCCTACCACTGCATCTACACGGATCTAGTCAAAGGCAACAACCACCTTCTGGTCCTCGAGTCCGTACAGTCTTCTTAAAACTTACCTCTCCAGCCCTCGCAGCAGCAGGCACTTCATGCATTGACCTCTCCTTACCTTTTGGAAAGAACTCTTGGCTTCAGTAACTCCCTGACATTCTTATCTACCCTTCGACAGTGATAAACTTTTAACATCTGCATAGAATTTTGGACTTTAGAAGGCATTTCTGTAAGTGGCACATTTATTCGTTAATAAACATTGCAAATGAATGTGTCATTTGATCCTAACAACCCCATGGGATTTACTAGGTAGGTGTCAGCTCATTGCAGAGACGAGAAAAATAAGACCCATAGTCAAGGTAATTCTGTGACAGGTCACACAGAAAGGGTCAAAATCAGTACTCGAATCATGCTGTCAACTTTAAAAGCCATGATCCCTCCAGTATTGCCATCATATGAGCCACTAGAAGCACTCAAGATCCGCATCTAAGAAAAAATGAAGACATACTGATTATCTTGCAAAAGGACCAGAGGCCAATGATGTACAATACCCTCTGAAGGAAAAAAAAAAAAAAAGGCTGGTTAAAACCGCTCAGATCCTCTTTTTTTTCATCTTTTTTTTGGGATAAAGAGTCTCCCTCTATCACCCAGGCTGGAGTGCAATGGCGCGATCTCGGCTTAATGCAACCCCCACCTCCCAGGTTCAAGCAATGCTTCTACCTCAGCCTCCCGAGTAGCTGGGATTACAGGCACGTGCCACCACGCCTGGCTAATTTTTGTATTTTTGTAGAGACGAGGTTATGCTTGAGATTATGTATGAAAATCTTCTTTTCATATTCATACATAATCTCAAGCATCTTTTAAATTGTTCATGCTTAAAATTTCCAAGGCTCAAATAGTATCCTAATAGCAGACATCCGGTGAATAAAGACAGTAGCTTCAGTAGTTAATCAACTACTGCTACAAACAACATGTGTAAATCATTTCTAAAGAAAAAGTCAGCAGCTGTTTGCTAAAAATTTTTTTTATTGTGACTGAAGACATTGCCAACTTACATATATCATTTTTATTTGGAGTATTTTTTTGCCTTGCAGTGCTCCTGAGAAATTCAAAAATGCATTAACTTTAGCTCTATAAATAACACAACCTAATATTAAGGTTGCGTTGGAAATTTCCCACGTTTAGATATTTCCCTAAAAATCAAAAGACAATTTAAATTGTTTTACATAGAGAAACCTTAATAAGTATTTAACTTTTTAATAAGTTAAAAAGTAAAGACTGGCAAATAATCACAAATGTCAGAACATTAAAGTAGCATTTTTTCCATAGGAATATATAAAATAAATATCATCTATACTTACTTGATATTTACAAAACTTAAAGATAAATTTTTGTGGATGGAAGATGTCTTGAATACTTCAATATGTGGAAAACTTCATTATCTTTAAATATCAGGTCCAAATGCTTTTAAGTTTGATGGATAATAGTGTTTTCTAAAAAATTCTCATCACTCTACTGTCCCTGAAGACATAGCTTTTCCCCCCATTGATTGGATAAGTATTTTGATAGTTTCTGTACTCTTTTCAATTAACCATTAAGAGGTTAAAAGAAACCTAAGGCTTTATTTGGGGAGATACTGGACGTTTTAATTGACTAGTTGGAAAGAAGCCATTCTTTTCCTAGGGTTTTGTTGTTTAGTTTTGTTTCATTTTTTAAAAATCAAAAATGACAGGAATGAAAATTCAAACAATTTGATCCAGTATTATGCTAAAATTAAATTCAGTAGTTAGATGAATTTTCTACTACAGTATAGAGGTTGAAAACCATTAGGAATGTGGTAAAAAACTATGGCAGCGAAGGTGGAATTCAACCACAAATTCTACTGAGTGGATAGAGAAATAAACAGAAAAATTACTGTAGTTAAAATATTGCAGTTAAACGCACTGTTAGCAATGTCCTATTGCCAACATTAGAATTATATGCTTCATCACTGGTTACTAAGACGGTTCAGTGAGCAGGTGGTTCATCTCTGACACAACTAAGTTTCAGAAAAGTCAATGACTTATATCTGGTTTAGATCAACGAACACTTAGTATACATACCAGTCAGCTATAGTTTCAATGACACAATGAAAACATTAGGTACTATAGCTTTTTTTTTTTTTTTTTTTTTTTTGAGACAGAGTCTCGCTCTGTCGCTCAGGCTGGAGTGCAGTGGAGTGGTTGCTAACTGCAACCTCCACTTCCCGGGGTCAAGCAATTCTCCTGCCTCAGCCTCCTGAGTAGCTGGGATTATAGGCGCCTGCCACCATGCCCAGCTAATTTTTGTATTTTTAGTAGAGATGGGGTTTCACCATGTTGGCCAGGCTGGTCTTGAACTCCTGACCTCAGGTGATCCACCCACCTCACCCTCCCAAAGTTCTGGGATTACAGGCGTGAGCCACTGTGCCCGGCCAGTATTATAGCTTTAGGACAAGGTCACATATTTATTTAAATAGCAGCCATTTAATATCATGCTCTGTGATGTTTAGCTATGCAATCCACCCACAACAGCTTTTAAACTTACGTTAAACCATGGGATGAGAGGCGGACAAGTTGTTTTGGTCAGAGAAGGAAATACTCAAAAATGTCACAAAAGGCATTTCAAATATGATGACATACTACTTAAATACCAACCATGCATCTCTTTTTCAAATTAAAAGAGAAAACTTTTTACATATTCTATTTCTTAAAAATAAAGGACCATGTGTCTTTTTTAACTTAGAAACTAGTATTTCATTTCTCCACACTGAAATGAAATTTCAATGGCAAGCAGCAAATAATGTAGGATAGTCAGTGAAAGTATCTTTGTTAGGAGCATATAAAAACCAAGGAGTAACAACTCACAGAGAAATAATAATAGGCAAAAACCAAGAGGCAGTTTGACAGTTCTAATATAGAACTTGCATGACAACTTCCTTTAAAGTATAGTAAATAAAGAATGGCAATATAAATTAGTTATCTAAGGAGATACAAGACATTCTGAAGCAGCATTTTCAGTTACTTCATTTTTCAGAAAAACAAGTTTCACCCATCAACATGGAATTAAGACTTCCAGTCTTCCAAATACATTAGAAAGTACAGTTAATCACAGTAAAACTTGCAAATAACCAAATTTAGTTCTGGCCTCAGCCAGGACTATTCACATATTTGAATTTGTTTTATTTTCATCCTTCCTTGTTATACAAATGTTTCTATTTTAAAAGCATATAGAAATTTACAAAATTTGCAAGAAATATCTTTTTAAATGTACAACTTCAACAACTAATAAAAATATGAACATCCAGATACAGTTAAGTTTCAAGTCGGGATTTTTTTTTTATGATGGGTTTATGAAAAATTAAAGAAATACTTTCTTAAGTTTCAAACATCTGGGTACTGGTGCTATCAAAGTGATTTCACTGCCCTCAGTGGCCACCGTGATAACAGTTGACTCTCGGATTGCTGTACCTCATATGTCAACACCGCAGACGGAGGCAGGAAGTGGCATGTTCAGTGATTTTGCTAATTATACTTACGTAGATGCAGCTGTATGGTTTAATGCTTATATGAAAGTTGCATGAATTTGTGTAACATTTAGTTTTAAGATGGTATCTTTAAATAGATACCTTAGCTGTTAAAACTAAGTGATATATCTGCACTATATGCTCAACAATAAAAAGGAACAAACTAGTGATACATCCAAAGCCTTGGATGGATCTCAAGGGAATTATGCTGAGTGAAAAAAAGCCAGTCTCAAGAGGGTATATATTGATTCCATTTATATAACATTCTCAAAATAACAAAATGACTGAGATGGAGAACAGTAAGTGGTTGTCAGGGATTAAGGAGAGGGCCAGGGAGAGAGGTGGCAATGATTATGAGAGGGCAACACAGGGGGATGCTTGTAATGGAAGTCTTCCGTGTCTTGCCTGTGGTGGTAGTCACATGAATTTACACACAGGGCCAGGCGCAGTGGCTCATGCCTTAATCCCAGCACTTTGGGAGGCTGAGGTGGGAGGATCACTTGAGCCCAGGAGTTTGAGGCCAGCCTGGCAACATAGTGAGACCCCATCTCTATTTAAAACAAACAAAAAAAGAATCTACACACATGATAATATTGCACAGGACCAAATACATACTTCACCTCAGGGAACCTATGACCTTCCAGCAACAATCTTGTTGGCCTGTCTCCACAAAGTCCTCTAAAGATGATCAATATATGCTTCAAATCAACTTTCTGCACTATGCAGAGAAGCCACTACTAGTATTTTTTTATTCTTCGTTTAAAAAAAAAAAACACTCTCTTGATAAACCACAATCTCTAGCTTAAATGAGCTTGGAAATCACAAAAGGAAATAAAAAGCTGCCATATAGCTACTAGTATTTTTGTCTGTCTGTATTTTTGTAAATTAAGGTAAAAGATAAATTAAATGTTCCTAGCTTAAATTAGGTCAAATCAGAAGGAATAAAGCAGATTATATAGCAAACACTTGCTCCTGACACCTGCAGTTTCTAAAAGCATTAGGAATATTTTTATTAAATTCAGAGAAAGCATAATTGCGAACAAATACATGACTTTCTCCCCAAAGGCCACTTTGTGATAAAGTACATACATATAGTGTTCATGGTTTCTTTAAAGTGCTAGATTGTCTCTGGCTTGAGAATCATCTATTGCTTTAAAAGGTCTTTCAGCACAACCCCAGCACTGTTGTCAGGTAACGCTGGCAAAGGTGTAAATGTGGGCAAAACATCTGAGATGGGTTTCAGAAGAAGATGCCCGGGCCCACCAGGTCCAAGTCCAGCTGGGTTAATAAGAGGTACAGCTGCCGAGCGAGGAGCCAAAAACGGATTTACATCTGTTCTTCTACCAGACCTGGATTCTGCTGTATCTAAAGAATAAAATATGGATTTAGTCTCCTATCTTTCACAAAGAAGTCAAAATGAAATAACTCTGAATGTAATAGCATAAAGTTATCTGTGTAATATTGTTAAATTGATTAGCATAGATAAATAAAAATAATCAATGTATCACTTATCAACTTAAAAATTCTCCCTTGACGGTAATAACACTGGCATCCAGCACATCTTTTTGGACTGGTCTTTATTCAAAATGAAAACGCAGCCAGGCGCGGTGGCTCATGCCTGTAACCCCAGCACTTTGGGAGGCTGAGGTGGGCGGATCACCTGAGGTCAGGAGTTTGAGACCAGCCTGGCCAACATGGTGAAACGCCGTCTCTACTAAAAACACAAAATAAAAAATTAGCTGGGCATGGTGGCGGGCGCCTGTAATCCCAGCTACTTGGGAGGCTGAGGCTGGAGAATCACTTGAACCTAGGAGGTGGAGGTTGCAGTGACTGGAGATCGCACCACTGCACTCCAGCCTGGGTGGCAAGAGCAAAGCTCCATCTCAAAAACAAAAAATTAAAATTAAAAAAAAAAATGAAAGCACAAACAGGCCTCAATTCCTAAACACAAATACTAATTTGTATGGCTAAAATCTGACTAATGTTCACTCTTGGTAATTCAAAACATTTTCTGATAAAAAAACAATGCTATACATGTGTTTTAAGTTCCCAGATTTGGCCCCCAAGTAAATTTAATTCATATGCTGCGGGGTTCTGGATCCCACAAGCAAGGTCTATGAAATACAGGAGGATGAAAGAGGATAAGGAATAAGAGGAACGAATAGGGAAAGAAAAGGCAAGAGAAGAATATTTGTATGCTTATCTAATACCTTATTAAACACATTACAGCTCTTGTTTTATACTTAAATACCAGTTATGTAACTGATGAACTTCATTTACCATAACAACAGCTTTTTAAATGGTGTCATCTATGTTGCAAGGCAAACTCTTTACTTACCCATCTGAATAATGAAAGGCTTAAGGAGTTACGTTCTCCCCAAATAATTACAATAAAGAAAAACAAACCCATATTACAATGATAACAGTTGAATTAATATTTGCCAGAAGAAAAAACAATATATACATACCTTACCTGATCATCTTTTAGGCAGTCAAAGGTTTGAAAACAATCTTGATTAGATTATTTTTCTATGAAGTTGGGCTAATACAATTCCTTTTTATTGGAATAGGTAAATTCCTAATGTCTTAGTGGACAGATTCTGCTTTAATGCCCAAGACCTCTGACAACTTCAATGGTAACAGACAAGCAATCCTTTGAAGGTGCCTACTTCAGCAATGGGAAACTCAAATAAAAAAGACCTCCTAAAGCAAAGAAAGCACTAAGACAAATTTGTCAAATCTGCTTATCATTGAGCACTCTTAGGGTTCCCAAGCCGTACTTTCCTATGAATGACAACTTTCCGAACTCTGGGCAAGCTTCTGGTGTTACCTAGTGAGCTCTGACACACTTCCAAATTCAAGATTAAAGATTAAGCTTGCTTTGTTCATGCAAAGCCTATATCAACCCAAGCCATCACCAGCTTTTGTATCCTATCAATACAAATCAGGCTGGGCACTGGACTTGATACAAGAAAGGGGAAAGGTAGGAAAGAGGAAGAAAAGTGAGAGAAAAGAAGGGGAAAGGAGGGAGAGGGAGGGAGAATAAAGAAGGAGAAGGGAAGAAAAGGGAAAGGAAGGGTGGGAAAAGAAGGGGAAGGGAAGAGAGGAAGGGAAAGAGCCTGCCATAATGAATTTGGGAATCTGTTTCAAGATGCTACAACCTAGTGTAAAAGAAAAACTGTTTTCAGTATAGCCTACACCTCTTAGATAAAGTTATGACTTTTCACAAAATTTAGCAGGCAAAACTACTTACTACCTAAAGGACTGATAAATTTTACTACTTTCCCTTCCTATACAAGTTCAGAAAAATAGAAATATTTGTCTAAACGACAGAAGTTTCAAAAATTTCAGAATATAAATTCTTTATTATTTTATCCAAATTTAAGCATCTGATGTGTGATATGAGTATATAACATATACCTTTACAGTCCAATTAGTAAACATATTAGTCTATTAAAATATGAAGATTTCAGAAGAGCTCTTCCAATAAAGAATTTGTTTATAGTCCAACAGATTATAATTCAATTTCAATTGATAAATTTTCTTGCGTGCCAGTATATATGATATGAACATAAATAAAACCCTTACAATTTAGTGAGACAGAAAAATATGTACACGTTAACCACCACCAACCGTCCGCTCTAGGCAGATCTTTCAACATAAAAGAGTGCTT
Source organism: Homo sapiens (assembly GCF_000001405.40). Lineage (NCBI taxonomy): Eukaryota > Metazoa > Chordata > Mammalia > Primates > Hominidae > Homo > Homo sapiens. The sequence continues at coordinate 91,972,202 of NC_000014.9, forward strand.
TCTACATTCTTGGAGTCTCAAGTCAGTTTGTTAAACTGCGCTTATATATATTAACATGCCAATGTTTGGTTACTGAGTGTAGCACTTAAATTTTCAAAGGAGAAAAACCCTTCTCAAACTATAAACTACACATCTAACTCGGATTAGCAAGAACCACCATTAGTGAGAAAGCAAAGCAGGTGGCCAAGAAAGATGTAACCAATTCCCCATCACTTCCAGAGGAATAATTCATAGCTGGTTAGGCAGACAGAGAAGAATTATTCTGATATACAAAGGGAATATATTTCTTACCATTTAAATTAATCTAAGTCAATTAAATATCAGATTGCTACAAGAATATATGAAGCAAAAGCCTGATGCCTTATTGGAAAAGCCTGATGCCTTATTGGAATTCTGGAAGTCCTGATTACACATTTCCAAAAATACTAAAAATTTAGTTAATATCACTGTGAAACATAATCATACATTAAACATTCAATTTTCAAATTATAGAAAAATTAAATCTCTAGTTTTACCTTTAAAACTTTCTGGTGCATTTGTATCTCTTTTTCTTCTTCCTGGTGAATCCAGAGGTTTCATATCATGAACAGAAAGCTTTGGTGGTGGAATGGATGGATGAGATTCTGTTTCTAGAAATTTAACAAAAAGTTCTGAAAAAGACTAAGAAAAAATATTTTGGTTATATTAGGCTAGATAATTAAGTTATATTCACTACAACTAAGGAAATGTACCAGCTTTTCTAATTAAATATTAAAAATTAATCATGCCACTTGAATAATTTTTTTTTACAAATCAGCTTTATGAACAATTGAAAATACTGGCACTTTTTTTTTTTTTTTTTTGAGACGGTGTCTTGCTCTGTCGCCCAGGCTGGAGTGCAATGGCACTATCTCGGCTCACTGCAACCTCCGCCTCCCAGGTTCAAGTGATTCTCCTGCCTCAGCCATCTAAGTAGCTAGGATTACAGGTGCACGCCACCACGCCCGGCTAATTTTTGCATTTTTAGCAGAGACGGGGTTTCACCATGTTGGTTAGGCTGGTCTCAAACTCCTGACCCTGTGATCCGCCCACCTCGGCCTCCCAAAGTGCGGGGATTACAGGCGTGAGCCACCACACCTGGCCTAAAATACTAGCACTTTAGATAGATGATCATCATTACAAAAATTTAACAATTTAATCAATAGTCTGATGGTAACACTCACTTCTAACACCTCATGGTCAGAATTAGCCAACTGATAATACTTATTTTTCTTGCCATCAATGAATAGCACTTAATGAATCTGATCATTTTAATAACTATTAACACAAACATAAAAAATTATATGAAAGGAAAACACACATTAGACATAATTTTCTAGTCAGGTCTAACCAATGAATATAATAACAAAAGATCACAAATAACATTGTCAGATTAAAATAATGTAGTGTAGACCTTTCCTTTAAATTAAATTTTATGCCAGCCAAGTAAAATAGGGTTTTATCTTTAACCAGCTCTGGGTAAATCACCTATCCTTCGTGTCCTCTTTATTAAAAAACTAAGAGAGGCCGGGCACAGTGGCTCACGCCTGTAACCCCAGTGCTTTGGGAGGCTGAGGTGGGCGGACCACGAGGTCAGGAGTTCAAGACCAGCCTGGCCAACATGGTGAAACCCAGTCTCCACTAAAAATACAAAAACTAGCTGGGCGTGGTGGTGGTGGGCGCCTGTTATCCCAGCTACTCGGGAGACTGAGGCAGGAGAACTGCCTGAACCCAGGAGGCTGAGGCTGCAGTGAGCCAAGATCGCACCACTGCACTCCAGCCTGGGCGACAGAGCGAGACTCTGTCTCAAAAAACAAAACAAAACAAAAGCTAAGAGAAAGAAACTCCACATTCTAACTGATACTACTACTCAATTCAATTAATATTCATCTAGAGCCTACAACATACCAGGCACTGTGTTTTCATGTTTATTAACTGCTTCCTCCTTCGAGAATCTAAGTTTTATGAGGGCAGGCGCCGTTTCTATCCAGTTTGCAGCTGCATCCTCAATGCTTAGAACAGTCTAGTTCACAGCAGGTACTCAGTAAGTATTCACTGGCTCAACGATTTGGAACATACATAGACGAATAAAATAAATCCTCTATCTTGCTACTATAATTTAGTAGCAAGACTGCCTATGGCAGCATGATCAAGTACAAAGGAAAAGTTAATATTTTGAAAAATAAAAGCACCATATAGAGTTAAAATAAAACCTATATGCAATAAAGTTATGAAAACTGGCTTGTTATCCTTAAGCTTAATCACCTCTCTGGAACTCAGTTTCTGCAACTTCAAAATAAAAGGGTTGTATAAAATAATTTTAAAAAAAAATCTGATTCTTTGCAAATGAATGTAATATACAGTCATTTTACTATTCACCTTAAGCAAGAATAAAATTGTTTCTTACACTATTAACCACAGATTGCTGATTTGGTCTCAAAGGTGTGTTGGGAACACTTTTTGATCCTCCTCCAAGCCACCCAGTCATCCACCTGGTAACACCGCCCTGATCGTCATGAAACAACTGAAAGATTATTTTAAAACAGACAAATATTATCAGTACAAGAAAAAAAAAAAAACAAGGACCACTTTTATATAATTTCTGATAGTTGTAAAGCATGCTTTTCAAGTTCAAGTCCTAGTAAATGTTTCCTACTGATAGAGTCTACAAATACAATAAAATGCCATCCCAAGCACCATCTCAAATGAAAGTCTGGGGATATTTCAACATTTCAGCATCCTGATATGAGTAGTTTGTAAGTTACAAAACATTTAAACTAATATCATACATATTGAACAAATCTGCCTCTTCAATGTTGTATGAAGTAATTCCATTTCCACACTGAGAAAATTACACTCAGTAAAAGTTACATACAGTAAAAGGAAGTAATTGTCTACAAAGCCACTATCTGGATTATGAATGTGTTCAGATGGCTTTCATCGTCCAGTCACCTGCTCCATCTCCTCCCTTCTGACGCCCAGGATGCTCCCCATTAACCGTAACACTTCATGACGCTGATTTTTCGGTGTGTGGAAATGACCAATGAAGAGGTTTCTCATTAGGACTCTATGAAAATAAAGGCAGAAACAGCTCAAGTGAACTCAACATTAAGTACACTCAAACACTAAGCATAGAAATATTTAATTATATTAAACAATTAAATATTTACTTATAAAAAAGTCTAAACAAAATATTTTAAAGTGTCTTTAAAAAATCTTGACAAGTCTAATATTTCAAAAAAAATAAAATAAAAAAGAATATTTCAAACATCCCAAAATGTGTATCTTTTAAAATCTCACTTACTAGCCACCCACTTTATTCAACCCAGTTACTGACCGAGGTGGCGCCTCCTTAGTAATTCCAAGCTCCTGACTGGGCTAATGTTCACCTGAAGCAGAAACTTAAATGGTGATGACTGTTGTGTTTAATGTTATGCTTATATTTCCCCATCCAAATGTATTAAAAATTTACTAATAATATATACATTTAAAAAATATTAAATGAGCTACTGTTGCATATATACTGAGGTTTCAGATCTAATACATTTGAGCAAGATTATGTTCATTTAAGGACAGTAAAAGAAGCAAAAAAGAATGGTAAAAATAAATTTTTTATTTTCTAAGTACTTCTTACTGAGGTGATATTTTAGCTCTTCTATATGGTTTTAAGAAAAAGAATGAGCTGGAAAAAAATCCACATTAAAAATAAAAGAAGGTAAGTGATTCTGCTGACTCCTCATTAAAGCTGCATCCTTCCTCACTAAGAGTGAGGGGAAAAAAGGCTTTTGAAAAATTTAATCACATATAAACATCTACATTTAGAAGTTTTTTTTTAACCATAAAAGTGATTTCCACAAAATATACAAACATTAAAAGCAAAAAGCATACTTGTCTACTTTTCCTTCTGAGCTGTTTGCTAAGCTCATCAATTTCTTTTGTACATCATCCAGCATTTCTTGTCGGAGCTCATCTGTTGTAAAATATGTGAATAAAGATAGCCATTAACTGATTAAAATAGTCTGGATGACTATATAATGAAATTTATGAGATCTTTATTATAACCTCTGAATATATACACTTATTCTAATTGGGAATATTCAATAACTTCTATCTCTTCTTTGGTCCAGGGAACTAGGCTCTCATATAGAAATCCTCTAAAAGCCAGAGTGCATTAATTCACATGGTTTACTCCCAAGAAAGTAATCAACTTTGTAATACAATACTGAAAAACCAAGAAACGTTTTCATCCTCTTTAAAAACTTAATAGCAAAGAAGAGATTTTCATCACTGCCTCCTTGCATGAAACATTTCCAGAGCCACTCTTATTAACAGGAGGAAGTAGAAAGGACTTTAATATTTTCCTTTTTCTATTTTCCTGGCCAGACTCTGTTTTTGGTGAGCTGACTAAGAAGCGTATCTAACACAACTAAGACCATGGCTCAGGATGCAGTGGATAGGACAAACTATTATGGGGGTAAGGAAATTGCAAAATATAATTCAGGTAATCGGCTCTAATATACAAATCAAGATACTATAGCTTATGACTGACTTAGAAGGATGCCTGGACTATTTTATTTTTAAATTATTATTTAAAAAGGAAGCAAAATCCATAAAATCTTGGTGGAATAGTTGGAATTTAAGCAGTATTAAAGGCAAAGTCTAGAATTACAACAGGAGATACCCTGTTCCTAAATTCAGCCATGCCACAGGGCAAGGATTTCTGGACTAAGGAACTCTCAGTCAAACAGAGTTTACACCTGTTCTGTTATGCCAGAAACGAATAGTTTGAGCTGAAAGAGATGCTCAGTAATTTTAAGCTAGATTATAAGTTTTTGTTCTGAAAGAAATAAAGAGGAGAGCTCTATCTAGAAACATTCACATCCAAACGCTAGACTCTGCCACAAACCTTTTCCTTTGAATTATGCTGCATTTTCCTAGTAGTAGCTGGATACAAGTTCCGTTATCAGATATGATTTACAAACATGTTTTCCCCATTCTGTGAGTTGTCATCTCACTTTCTTGATGATATCTTTTGAAACACAAAAGTTTTCAATTTTTATGAAGTCCAATGTACTTTTTCTTTTGTTGCTTGTGCTTTTGGTTTCATATCTAAGAAACTATACCTAACCCAACACCTGTTTTAAGCGTTTTATAGTTTTAATTCTAAAATTTAGGTCTACCAGCCATTTTGAGTTAATTTTTGTGCATGGTGTGAGGTAGGGGTCCAACTTCATTCTTTTGCACATGGATATCCACTTGTTCCAGCATTATATGGTGAAGAAACTATTCTTTTGGCAACCTTGTTGGAAATCAATTGACCATAAATGTATGGTATATTTCTAGACTCTAAATTCCCACTGTAAGAATTCTGCAAATGTTTTGTCATTCTTTTCTTTTTTTTTTTTTCCTGCCTGGAAAGCTCTTTTCCATCAGGACTGCCCTCACCTTTCATGTCTCTGTTTCCAACTCACTTTCTTAAAGAATTTTCCTTTGAGCCTTACAGATTAGGCCAGGTCTGTTTGCTTTATGTTTTCATTCTGCTCTGTACAATGCTTCTGCACAATGCCCAAAATTCCGATTTATGGTACTAAATTCGTATATAAAATGTCTCGTTTAACTGTTTACGATGGCTTGTGGTTTTCCTAAATTGCAAAAATCTAACTTGCAAAATGTCATTCATATAATAGGCCAATTTTACCAAAATAGAGATGGTTGCCATAACCATATTATAAAAGCAAGGTTTGTATTTGGAAAATCTACTACGAACTTTTCCTTTCCTGTCTTTCCAGTAAGGAATTTAAACTTGGACGAGAGAGGGAGAGAGAGAAGGGGAGAGAGAGGGCGAAAAGGTGGGGGTGGACAGGACTATTATTAAAGTCTGAGTCAGTAAAAGACACTTTAGATTCCTAATGTGCACATGTATACTACTAGCACATGGTGTTATCTGGGCCTTTTCTAGCACTATATTCTGAATGTAAATAGAACTCAGCAAATAAGTTAATCTCTCGTCACTGTTTTGACTTAACCGTCCCACTCACAAACTAAAGTAGGAGACAGAGTAAAGATGGGCATGGTCTTCTCCTCCTTCCTCCTCCATTCCTCCCCAAGGCTACAGAAAGATAGCAGAAAAACAGAGGTCAAGCTTAGCTAACCTACCTCCAACCCCCACCTTCCCTTTCCCTGAGACTTCCCTTCTCCTACCTACTTTCCTCTAAAATTAGTAATTTGTATATTGATTACATGTCTATATAATAATTTGGTTATACTGGGTTATATATAAAATATATATGTGTGTATATATATTTGAGACAGGGTCTTGCTCTGTTGCCCAGGCTGTGGCATGATCACAGCTCACTGCAGCCTCAAACTCCTGGGGTCAAGCCATCCTCCTGCCTCAGCCTCAGGAAATAGTTGAGATTACCAGTGTGCACCACCACAACCAGCTAATTTCTAATTTTTTGTAGAGATGGGGTCTCACGATATTGCCTGGGCTGATCTCAAACTCCTGCGTTCAAGTAATTCTCCTGCCATAGCCTTCCAAAATGTTGGGATTACAAGTGTGAGCCACTGTGCCTGTCCCTATATAAAACATATTATCAAACAATTTCACCTATAGCTTTTTACTGTTTTAACATGGCCACTAAAAAATTTAAAATTGCACGTGGCTCACAGTATATTCCTACTGGACAGTACTGCTTTTAGAACATAACCAGGATATAACACTACTCTATACTATCTCTTATTTTAAAAAGAGAGGCTGGGCGCAGTGGCTCACGCTTGTAATCCCAGTGCTTTGCGAGGCCGAGGTAAGCATATTGCTTGAGCTCAGGAGTTTGAGACCAGCCTGGGCAACATAGCAGAACCCTGTCTCTACAAGAAATACAAAAATTAGTCGGGTGTGGCGGCATGAACCTGTAATTCCAGCTACTTAGGAGGCTGAGGCGGGAGGATCGCCTGAGCCCAGGAGGCAGATATTGCAGTGACCTCAGATTGTGCCACTGCACTCCGGCCTGGACAACAGAGCGAGACCCTGTCTCCAAAAAAAAAAAAAAAAGAGAGAGAGAGAGAGAAAGTGAAATGACAGACATCTTCAGAGTAAAATTCACAAAGCAGAGCTGAGCCTGATAAAAATTTTAGTAAAATAAAGTAGAAAATTTTAACTTTGCTCTATGAAAAACTGATCAAGAAATCAAACTGCGTAGAAGTCCAAATCAAAAATACTTTCTTGATGAAAACTTACTAAGATTGGTATGGTTTTTATTAAAGTCTCTGTATTCAGAAAGGTAGAGTCAAAACATCCTTAAGGCGAAAATGACAGGGTTAAAATTTCCTAAACTCACTATCAGAACATACAGTTTGTCCCTGAGCTAATGTGATGTGGAATGCAAAGGGCTGTTGCAAACTCAAGCAGTAGTTAGAATGTACTCTGATATTTGAGTCTAGGGGGAAAAACTCAGAATTTAAGGGACGGTGCTAGAAGGATGGTATTAACTATGAGGGGTTTGGAAAGGAAAAGAAAGTCAAACACCTACTACAAAGGTCCCTACAGATGCCTCTTTTTCTTCAAGCACCCTTATTTTCCTCCCATCAGAGATTCTGAATATTTCTCTACAAAAACTGAACCCTAATTCAAACCACAATTTGAAATCAGAACTGTATTTATATGGGCAGGGAAAATATGGTTATTCAGAAATGAGTTTTAAGCCAAATAAAATATTTCTGTGAAATAATCTCACATGCCAAAATAATTTTTTGGAAGTTAAAAAAAAAAAAAGGTGGAGGGGGGAACTTTAAAAGTTCAGCAATAAAGCAACTGAGATTTAGTCTAGTTTGGAGAAAGAGTTACTCTACATCTGTGACATAGTAAAACTTGCCATATCAGAGTCTCTTCTCTGGAACACCTAGACATGGTGCCATGGTCTTCAACATTTGGTTTAAAATAAAAATTGAACATAAAATGTAATTGATTGCAACAAATTGGCACATCATAATTTTACATTTCATTTGTAATTAATGACAGTACACTACAATGCTGCCTTCAGAGAACATCTTAAAATGAATCATACTACATCTTAAAATGAATCATACTGCTTACAAAGTCATTTGGATATTTCATGAGTAAGCTCCTGTAGGCAAGATCCAAGTCAGATTTACTGAACAGTCACCTGACTGAGAAAAAAAAGGAACACAGAACTTGAGAGTCAGAAGTGGATATGAATCATGGTCCTATCACCAGGGCCAGACTTTGTTGCCTATTTTGTAAAATGAACATGCTTATCTCAAAGAATTTGATAGAATCAACTGAATGATCAAATGTGACTTTTCTAAATAGTAAAGTGCTACATAAAGCATTAGTACTTATCATCCAATTTCTTAAAATAACTAAAAAGTTCATATTTCAATCTAGCCTGAATCAGTATCACATATATTACTCTGTTTAATGTTAATATTTTGTGAGGTTTTCCCCCCTCCATTTTGCATGTTTGTCATCTTTGAGGCCAAGGAGTCAACAGAAGGAAGAAAAAAATGTTAGAAAGATGATTTCACATACATATATATATGTCAATAAATAAATTGCATCTGGTGTCTTATCTGCATCTGGATACCTTAAAACTAAATTTAAATCTGATACAATATTAAACCTAATAAGGAAATTTAACCTCTTCATTTAATTAAATATAATCAAAGCAAAAGCTAGAAATTAGATCTTTTTTATTACAGAATTTCAAGTTATACAAGATCACTTTTAACATCAAATTTTATATGTATATTATATATATATATATATATATATTTTTTTTTTTTTTTTTTTTTTTTGAGACAGAGTCTTACTCTGTCACCCAGACTGGAGTACAGTGGCGCCCCAGCTCACTGCAACCTCCACCTCCCAGGTTCAAGCAATTCTCCTGCCTCGGTCTCGCGAGTAGCTGGGATAACAAGCGCCTGCCACCACGCCTGGCTAATTTTTGTATTTTTAGTAGAGACGGGGTTTCTCCATGTTGGCCAGGCTGGTCTTGAACTCCTGACCTCAAGTGATCCACCCACCTCAGCCTCCCAAAGTGCTGGGATTACGAGTGTGAACCACCGCACCCGGCCCAAATAATATATTTTTAAAAGATATTATACTATTTGCAATTTGAGGTTAAGCTTTACAAGCATCTGTTTTGTCTTTTTTGTTGTTGTTTTTTTAGACAGAGTCTCGCTCTGTCACCCAGGCTGTAGTGCAGTGGCACACCCTCTGCTCACTGCAACCTCTGCCTCCCAAGGTTCAAGCGTTTCTTGCACCTCAGCCTGCTGAGTAGCTGGGATCACAGGCATGTGCCACCACACCTGGCCAATTTTTTTGTATTTTTAGTAGAGACAGGCTTTCACCATGTTGGCCAAGCTGGTCTCCAACTCCTGACCTCAAGTGATCCATCTGCCTCAGCCTCCCAAAGTGCTGGGATTACAGGCATGGGCCACCGTGCCCAGCCCTGCTTTGTCTTTTAACTCAATTATTTTCAACTGTATCCAACACAGAATTTGAAGGTCTAGAGTATATGGTAAATGTTTTGTTGTCCCATAATCATAATTGTTCACTGCTGAGTGAAAAGTATCTTTTAAAATTCTAGGCCAGGCCCAGTTGCTCATGCCTCTTGTAATCCTAGCACTTTGGGAAGCCAAGGCAGAAGGATCATTTGATGCCAGGAGTTCAAGACCAGCCTGAGCAACATAGACAAACCGTCTCCACAAAAAAAAAAAAATAAGATCCTGCCTCTTAAAAATAAAAATAAACTTCTACTTCTTAGCAATGAACTCACAGGAAAAGAATTATATTAATACAGTATAACTTCATTAATCTGAATTCCACTAGATCAGAATCTGTGATTGGTTGAGGTCTACTGGATTATTTGTAGACCAAATTTGGATTATTCACCAGAGTTACTATGTACACTTGATTTTATATAAATATTTTTAATATAACCAAATCAAATTTATTTTTCCTCACCATTCTCTTCCTTTAACCCTTTATTATGAATTCAGATAATCTGAACTATATTTCTCCATATTGAAACAGAACTAATTTTTTAAAAAGAGTAAATATTATGAGTGGTTATATACTTGTTACTCCTCTGGCATGTGAGACAGAATATATATTTAATTTTAAAAGTGTTACAAACTTTCTTACTTTCAGGCGGGAGCCACACATTGGGTACATACGGACATAAAGATGGGAACAGCAGACACTGGAGATACCAGAGGGGGAAAAGGGAGAGGGGGAGAAGGGCTGAAAAACAACCTAATGGGTACTATGCTCACTACCTGAGTGACAAGATCATTTGTACCCCAAACCTCAGTGTCAAGCAGTAATAAACCTATACAAGTAACCCTGTACAGGTACCCTTGAATCCACAAGTTGAAATTAATTTTTTAATGAGATATTTCATGAAAAAATTGCAGATATCCAGGGTCTCTTCAAAGATCTGAAGACATGGCAACACTGGGCCCACATTCCTGCATGGCAGCAGCTGGGCGGAGCTGAGAATCTGCTGCCTCCATAAGAAACACTTCAAATGATCAGTCTTTACCTAGTTTCATGTGCTCTTTTATATTATCATCATAGCCTCAGTTTACAATTTGTGTTTGTGATCCATACTAAGAGATTCTTATTTCCACACGGCAACCCACTTCTACCTCCACCTTTTCAGCACTCCACTCCAACACATGCATGTGCACACATACCCACCACCCTTGGTCATTACTAGTCAACTGTATCTTCAGCCAGTTTCCAGATTATGACACACAGTTTCACAGGAATTCCTCCCTCTGTCTAGAACACTTTTCCCCAACTTTCTGCCTTCTTAGCTATACCTATTCACCATTCAAGTAATTTCAAGTGAGCCCTTCACTAACCTTGTCTACCCTTCCATGCTACCAACACCAAGTACAAAGGATAGCTCTTTCCTTTCTAAACCATTTGTTTCATGTATTTGATGCATGTCATCTTCCCTTCCTGCCTGACTGTAAACCTCCTGAAGGCAGGACCCTTGTCTCCTGTCTTTATTTATATCTTTAGTTCTACTGCAGTGCTTAGCACACAGCAAATAAACAATGAATATTTGAGAAGTAAGTCAAATAATGATTGATTTTCTCTGGGAAAAGAGAATATCTGCAAAGAACAGAACACTGGACAAAAAGAACAATTTATGTTCTGAATTATGAACTCATCCATACATAAAGAAATAAGGGCAAGGACACAAAACACATTAACTCAAAACATTCTTATTGCTATATCATTTACTTTTCCCTTTAAACTTAGAGGAATTTTTTTAAACTGCAATTTCTAAAATACAGTTCAGTTGAAAAAGGTTTAATTATTTACCTAATTGACATACACTTTTTTCTTAACTCATATTTTGGCATTGTCTAGTATACCCAGATGTTTATATCATCAAAATAATTTTTTAACCATTTATGGCAACTCAGAAAACTGCATCTGGTACTTCTTATATGTTTCCTCTAAAATCACCACTTCTGCCAAAAACATCTATAAAGAAATCTCTCAAAAGGTTTGGGTAACAAAGCGTCTGGGAATGTATTTGGCCTGTGTTCAACAGGACATTATATGTTTTCTTGTATAAATCATGTCCTGGAAAACGGAATGTCTTTATTTAAAATAAAAACTTTACCATCCAGCACCGTAAAGGTAGTTCCACGAAAAATATTTTAAGCTTCTTTTATATCTGTAGCTTTAAAACATGTTTTTATGCTTCATATTACAGTAAGTTTTACTGGGACTCATTTTATACATTCTTCTAGATTTTCTTTTAAAAAATGGTCCAAGGAAATTTTCCATTCTCAACTCTTAGGAGACTTTTAAAAGTAGTCATTCAACCTTCTTAAAAAAAAAATCAGTTATGCTGCCCTTTCAGATACAGGTATAAACTAGCAGACAGACCAAAAGATCTTCCTGATGTTAGAACTAAATTTGTATTGCTTATGAAAACTCACTTTTCTTTGCACACCATAAAATTCACCACCTTTCTGAATCATAGTTATCAAAATAACAATATCTTGTGCTTTTTATTTCAATTTATCCAATCATTTTTTTTCTTTTCTTTTTTTTTTTTTTTTGGGACCAAGTTTCACTCTGTTGCCCAGGCTGGAGTGCAGTGGCGTGATCTCAACTCACCGCAACCTCCACCTCCCAGGTTCAGGCAATTCTTGTGGCTCAGCCTCCCAAGAAGCTGGGACTACAGGCATGAGCCACCATGCCTGGCTAATTTTTATATTTTTAGTAGAGATGGGGTATCACCATGTTGGCTAGGCTGGTCTCAAACTCCTGACCTCAGGTGATCCACCCACCTTGGCCTCTCAAAGTGCTGGGATTACAGGTGTGAGCCACCACGTCCGGCCAAATCATTTTCAATTAGCAGGAATTTATGTCAAGGATGATGGCAGAGAACAAGAAGGAAAGGAAAATGTCAAATTTGACCATAAATATAGCAAGATAATGCATTTTAATGGTTCAGTCACAGGTGTATAATTTCTCATCAATAGCAATTCCATGGAATTCTGAACTCTGATCAGCTCAGAGTAGTTAATGAAAACCACTGTCATATGTGCTTCATAGGCCACTCTACTGAGTTTGGATATGGGATGGCATGTGAAGTCTTTGGAACTGTATTGAAGAACACTTTCAGGTAAAATGCTGAAAGAATAATTTTTTAAAAGGAAGGATAGCAGTAATTCTTTTAACAGCCAACACTGTCTATTAAACTATAGTACTTAGGATCGTAGGATTTATTTTCTTCGTTACTTTCCCGGGAAGAGGGATAGAGGGGGAGGGAGACAGGGAGAAATATTTAAACAGTTCCCTACTGCTGGTTTATGTCTCTACTCAAGTTCCTTTTCTCCATGGAATGCTGCCTGACCCTTAATGGGATTCTGGAGGAACTAAATATGCCCTGTCTTATGATCACTGTTGTGCATCACTGTCTTCAATTACTAACCTACGGGGTATCTACACGATGTGTCATTTCCTTAGCTAAACTCCTTGGAAAAGGGATACTATCTAGTATCTCATATAGCACCTAATGGGAAGCCAAGTAGTTGGTTCTCATTAAATATTTAGTGCCTGATAAGCATCTGTCTTCATACTTTTCACACAAGGCCCAAAAATACTCTTAATTCATAAGCACAGATGCACATACATACTCTTAAGAAATGACTGAAATTATCAACAGTCTACTGTTTCAATATTGGCATTATTTGCAACAGCTCTCTTTTTCATATGTTTGACCAGACTGAATCATCTCATCTCTGGTAGCAATGATATAATCAACCATTTGGAATAAAATACTTTTAAAAGTGAGCTTCCTAATATTGTTTAAATGCTGAAACTGTGTATCAATTAATCATTAGTCTACAGATGCTTAGAAGTAACCAATACTTTGCCTTTACGATTCAAGTCTCCATGTACTTTCTTCCAACAAAAGGCAATCTGTCTTTTTCAAAATTGTTTCTCCTGGCAAATATTTTTGCTGTCTGGCCAAGTTTTGTGTTAAAAATAAAGTACAGTATTACAACATCAATCAACATTTAAAGTACTTAATGATCTAGGAGAGAAAATATACAGCGATTCTTTTGAAACAAGTGAGCTAATCAAAGTTTTGTTTACATTATCAAATCAAGAGTGCAGCTTTGAGAAAATAAAATTGCATTTGTATTTAGAGATATAAAAGTGATATTAAAGCACTTAGGTAATATAAGAAAACAGATTGTTAAGAAGAGCTGTAAATGGCAAGAATGACTTACAGACATAACAGAACCAACTGTCTCTTTACACCCCTTCCTGTTTGTGCAACACTGGCCTCTTGCCTGCCCTTTCAAATACCAGTTATACAAGCATAATCAGAGCTTTCTCTGTAGCTAATATTGATTCCACAAAATGAATCCAAAGTTCGTATACGTTTACAATGAATATTAGTATTTTCCACCTAAGCTTTATCATCTATAATCAAGAACATCTGAAAATATTCTACTAGTGGGGGCTTAAATGAGTGTCTGAAAAAGTACTAAATACAGGTTGAGTATCCCTTACCCAAAATGCTTGGAACCAGAAGTGTTTCAGATTTTGGATTTTTCAGACTTTGGAATATCTACATTATAGTACTACTGGCTGAGCATCCCTAATCCAAAAATCCAAAATCCAAAATGCTCCAATAAGCATTTCATTTGAGCATCATGTCACCTTTCAAAAAGTTTTAGACTTTGGAGCATTTCAGACTTTGGATTAGGGATGCTCAACCTGTATTTCAAGAACTCTGATAATATTTATTAACTACAATAAATCTTAGAATTTTAAATTTACCATCAACTATTGGGAATTACTTAGGTAGGTGTCTAAAAGAGGATGTGGCCTTAGATATTATAGTAGCATAACATATAGCACTGAGTTGTCACAAAGCAATGAGCTGGTTCACAACACTGCTGTTTCACCTCCATTAGTCTAGCCCAACCCGAAGATTATCAATTCCCAGTGTGTCTCCTCTCAGTTGCCCATATGTCTTCCAGATAATGTTGTAGTTGCACTGGCCTTCGATCTAACTAGACTGTTTTCTAAATAAATACTGCTCTTGGTAAAGGCAACCATTTCAACGTTAGGGCACAATACAGAAGATGCTACCATATTTTCAGGGGAAACTGGAGATATACAGAACAAAATACAAGTCAGACTATAAATAACCATTTTCCTGATAGGGCTACAATAACATGAAAAGACCACGAATTATGGTAATAGTTAAAAAGATCGGAGTTCAAATCTTGCCTCTTTAATCTATAAAATGGATAATACCACTTATTTTAGAGATGCTTATAAAAAGTAAATGATGAGAAGACTAAATACATAAATGTTATGTCAAATGTCCATAATAGACACTCAATACATAATTGTTTCCTTGCTGCCCATTTTCAGGCCCTCTACTAGATTTAGAGATCCTAGCCTGGTCAAGACTTACAAGGTAGAAGACTTTTGGTTTGGCAGTAACTTGCCTCAGAATCAAGTCATTTTGAGGACAATTACTTCACATCTATCTTTTTTTCTCTGTATTCCTAAAAATCTCCCCTGTCCTGTCTCCTGCTGGATTTAGGCCAGCTTACTTTGGCTTGTCCTTTGGTCTCCATGCGTCAGTGGTTCCTGCCGGCTTGCCTCCCTAGTGTCTAAGTCACTGCTTCTGTTGTTGACAGCTCCTCTGCTGTACCATCTCCTTCTATTTTTGCTTATTTCTAATTTCATGTTAGGTGGTATGTATTTCTTAACTACATGCCTTGTTACTATTGTGCCTAACCTAGACATCTAAAGTTGATGCATTTCTAGGCTCCGTTATCACCTTTCCAATAACCCTGAATCATTACCTACTAAATGCAGCCCTAGAATAGTTTTGACTTCCTGGTTGCCTCTA
Source organism: Homo sapiens (assembly GCF_000001405.40). Taxonomy (NCBI): domain Eukaryota; kingdom Metazoa; phylum Chordata; class Mammalia; order Primates; family Hominidae; genus Homo; species Homo sapiens. Next base: position 91,987,663 of record NC_000014.9, read on the forward strand.
AATCAGAGATGAAATGAGGATATGCCATCTTTGTCAGCTGTTGGATTCAACAAAGCCCTGTAAGCCACCTGATCACTGAACCAATTAATAATCCTAAGCATAGGACATACCTTAGGGTATGGACAGGGCATATGAGGCACCTTATAAACATCAAAAAATACATGATGCACCTGTGGTAAAACACCATCTACAATCATAAAAATCTAGCTATACCCAGACATTCATTCTACAGAAAGTTGCTCTTTTATTTGAGAATTCTGCCTTCTCTAACAGATCAGATGGCCTTAGGCAAGATGCACGTGAACTGATAAGGGAGAAATCATATCCATAAAAAGTCAAATCAGTCCAATCAACCCCTCTGATGGTCAACAGGGTGACAGCCAATGCAATGGCATTGCCTCAACATCCAGGAAAACTAACTGGACAGCCAGGGCCAACTTAATGACTCTGGTTTCACTAGGACCATACTTAAATTGAAGCAAGTCAGTCAGGGAAGATACAAATGGAAGTCACACATCAATGAAGTTGGTCTCACTCAACTATGCCAATTTATGACAGAAGACTACATTTGATTTAATATCAGTATTGTAGTGGGGGAAAAATGAAAAGAAAAAAACCTACTTTGTCTTTTAAGTTCTTCAATTTGTTCTTCTTTTACATCTAACTGTTCTGTAAGTCTTGATGCTGAATCCAATGCAGCATTTGCTTCATCCAAACATTCCTGAGAAAGAAAACTTTATTAAAAAAAAGTATGCAAAAATTATTTCACAAACTATAAGGCTGAGAGACATCTTAGAGTCAACCTCTACATTTCAGCTGGTGAAGCTGCACCTCTATGACCTTGGGCAAATGTATCCAACCAATAAGTATCAAAGGCAGAACCCACATTCTTTTCAATACAATACTGCCTCATTTAGAGGAACTAAATAAAAAGAGCAGATGCCACTGAAAGACAACATGATGACAGAAGTAAAAAAAAAAAAAAAAAAAAGTAACAACATAAACTACAAAAAAACAAAGATACAGGAAGTCCAGAAATATAGCAACAAATGTTCTCTTTTTCATTTTTGAAAGTCTAATAAAGTGATGTTGATTATGACTTTGTTACTTTAAATTTTATTTCCCTGACCACTACTAGTGAATTTGAGCATTACTTTTCATGTTTACAGGGCAAGCTGGATCTGTCCTTCTGTGAAAACCTCTTTGCATACATTGCCCAAGATTCTACTGAGTTCTATTTCTCCTGTCCATCTGTAAGAGCACCTTGTATAGCAGATATGAAGCTTTTTCACCTGTGCTAAGCAAATACCGTTACCATATCTGCCATTTTTCTACTGACTCTATAATATCTTTTGTCATGTAAACATTTTAAATACTATATAGTCAAACATGTTCTACTTTGCTTTTACAGCTTCTTAAGTTTTAGTCTTGGTTAGGATCCTCCTTGCCCTTAGAATGTAAATGTAGTCTTCCAGATTTTATTACAAGATATTTTGTAATATAGTTAAATCTTTAACACAGTGTTTCTTAATGGGAGTGGCTTTGGCATTCCTTGCCCAATAAATGCCATCTATCCCCAGATAATCAGCACCACTCCCAGTTGAAAATCCCTGCTTTAATACAATTAGACTTTACTTTTGTTTATGATGTAAGGTGAGGGTCTGTTGTTTTTTTTTCCTTCCTTCCTATGGACAGCTGGTTTTATCAACATCATTAATTAGATAAGCTATCCTTTTTCTCATTAAATTAGTTTAGGTTTTAGTTTCAAATTCTCAAATATATCCTGGGCTCTATTTCTGGATTCTCCTTAATCCACTAATCTAGTCAATATTGTATCGATTTATGGCTCTATTATGACATCTAGTAGGCAGGTCTCTCCTCACTGCATTATTTCTCATAATTTTCTTGGCTATTCTCAAGTATTCTCCCATGTAAATTTAAGGTCAAGTTTTGCCATCTTCAATCAGTGTGATAGCCTTTTTACTGTGTCATCCTGGATAGGTCACAGTCCCCAGTTATTCAATCAAATATGATCTAGATGTTGCTGTGAAGGTATTCTGCAAATGTAATCAAAGTCCTTAATCAGTTGAATTTAAGAAAGGCACATTATTCTGGATAATTTGGGTGGGCCCGACTGAACCAGTTTTAAAGTTCTTAAAAGCCAGGGTTTAGCCTTCCCCCTAAAAAAGAAGAAATTCCTTCTTTGGACCGCAGGTTCCGCCTATGCCTATGGAGTTCCATCCTGCTTGTGACTTTCCTTTCCTGGCTGCCTGTGGACAACAGCTTTGGCCCATGCCTGCTGAGTTCCAGCCTGCCTTTGATGTGGGCTTCCCATCTTGACTGCCAACCCTACAAATTTCAGACTTGCTTATCCAGCGGCTGCAATCTTGTAGCCAATTCCTTGTAATAAATTGCATGTGTGTATCCATATATATCAATATATAAATTTGACACATATACATACACACCCTACTGATCCTGCTTTTAGGGGCTGAAACCTGATTGATATATAGAGGGAATGAAATTGAAAATTTTAAATAAAATATTTACTATTCAAAAATCCACAAAACTAAATTTAGTGTGAAGGAAATGTAAACTTTCAAATGATTTTTTTAACCCACACCATTTGTACTTATGAAGTTATTAAAGCTTAAATCTACGCTTAGATTTTTTCCAAAATCAGCATTTAGATTTTGTTATTCTTTCTACCAGTTGTTTGGTTTTTATTTCATTAATTACAGCTTTTATTTTTATTAATTCCCTCAATTTCTTCTCATTTATTTTGTTCTTCTTTTAAATGTATATTACACTTTAAATTTTAAAAAATAAAACTAGTTTTAAAAGAAGATTTGGCTGGGTGCTGTGACACATGCCTATAGTCCCAGCTAGTCAAAAGGCTGAGGCAGGAGGATTGCTTGAGTCCAGAAATGCAAGGCTGTAGTGCACTATTATGATCACACTGGTGAAGAGCCACTGCATTCCAGCCTGGGAAACATAGCAAGATTTCATCTCTAATTAAAATAAGAAAAAAATGCCAGGCATAGAGGCTCACGCCTGTAATTCCAACATTTTGTGAGGTCAAGACAGGAGGACTGTTTGAGCCCAGGAGTTTGAGACCAGCCTGGACAACAAAGCAAGACTCTGTCTCTAAGAAAAAAGAGAAGAAGATCTGGACTTCCATTCTAGCAGTTCCACAGACTGTATACTCTGGATCCACTAGAAACCACTAAGAGTATTAGATAAAATACATCTTTTAAATGTATTAATGAGCTGACAAGAAAGTAAGTATAAATGGTCAATAAACATATTAAAAGATGCTTGACCTCACTGGTAATTAGGGAAGTGCAAATTAAAACCACAGGAAGACAGCCCTTCTGCTATGGCTTGAATGTATACCCACAAGTTCATTTGCTGAAAACCTGATTCCCAATGTGGCAGTATTGGGAGGTAGGGCCTGATGGGAGGTGTTTGGTTCATGGGGGCACCACCCTCATGAATAGATTAATGTCCTTATTGTGGGAGTGGGTTCATAATCAAGGAAGTAGGTTCCTTGCAAGAGGAGGAGTTTGGCTCCCTCTTGTTCTCTCACCTTACCCTCTCTTTGCCACAGGATGATGTAGCAAGGAGGTTTACCAGTTGCTGGCACCTTAATCTTGGATTTCCCAGCTTCCAGAACCCATGAGCTACTAAGTTTCTGTTCATTATAAATAAACCAGTCTGTGGTATTCTATTGTATCAGCACAAAATGGACTAAGACACTTCCTACCCATCAGATTGTCAAAAACTTTGAAAGTCTGATAATGTCAAGTGTTGACAAGGATGTAGAACAAGAAGTCATGTGCCTGCTAGTGGGAGTAAATTAGCACAACCACTTCAGAAAACAATTAATCATCTAATAAAGCTGAAGTTGACCATATATGTCCTATAACTCAGCAATTCCAATCAAGATATACATCTAAAAAAACTCTTGTATGTTTAGAAGATATCTGAAATACCCTTTATTAATAAAATGGGTAAATTATATATTAATGCAATGCATACAGAAGTGAAAATAACAAATCGCCTATATACAGTAACACACAGTAATATGACTGAATCTCATAAACACTATGGTAAGTTTTTTAAAAAAGCAAGTCTCAGCCGGGTGCGGTGGCTCACGCCTGTAATCCCAGCACTTTGGGAGGCTGATGTGGATGGATCACCTGAAGTCAGGAGTTCAACAACAGCCTGGCCAACATGGTGAAACCCTGTCTCTACTAAAAATACAAAAATTAGCCAGGCGTGATGGTGTGTGCCTGTAATCTCAGCTACTTGGGAGGCTGAGGCAGGAGAATCACTTGAACCCAGGGCAAAGGTTGTAGTGAGCTGAGATCACGCCCTTGCACTCCAGCCTGAGCAAAGAGCGAAACGCCGTCTCAAAAAAAAAAAAAAAAAAAAAAAAGCAAGTCTCAGAAAAATTACTGAATTTACATATAGTTCAAATTCCATTTACATAGACTTCAAAAATATGCAAAACCAAACAATGGATTGTTTGGAGCGTCAAACCTATGTGATAAGAACCATAAAGAAAACAAGCAGAAAAAGAAAAAAGAAAACCAAACAAAATAAGGAAGTAATAAACATAACATTTTGGAATAGTGGTTGCCTAAGAGGTGGAAGATGAGAATGGGATGTGAAGGGGTGCATAAGGAACTTCAAAGGATGAAGTTTTATTTCTTACACTGGGTGGTGACAGTGTGGGTATTTGCTGCATTGTTAGTCTTATATTTTATACATATTATCTAAATTGTTTTGCAGCCATTTAATACTTAATTAAAATGTTAAAACTTTATTAGGAAGTATATCTTCACTTACTTGGGACGTTAATGTTCCTGAAGAACAGCATAATTACCTCCACTAATGTCAGGTAAATGAATTTTATCATTTTCTACCAGTTATTGACAGTCTATTTATGACATAGAAAAGCTTCTCCTAGGCCGGGCATGGTGGGTAATCCCAGCACTTTGGGAGGCCAAGGCGGGCGGATCACGAGGTCAGGAGATCGAGACTATCCTGGCTAACATGGTGAAACCTCGTCTCTACTAAAAATACAAAAAATTAGCCGGGTGTGGTGGCGGGCACCTGTAGTCCCAGCTACTTGGAAGGCTGAGGCAGGAGAAAGGCGTGAACCCAGGAGGGGGAGTTTGCAGTGAGCCGAGATCGCGCTACTGCACTCCAGCATGGGCAACAGAGCGAGACTCCGTCTCAAAAAAAAAAAAAAAAAAAAAAAAAAAAAAAAGACAAGTTTCTCCTAAATCTAAAAGCACGTTGTTTTGGTGTCCTATCTCTTCATAGGGGTTCATTTTTATATATTCCTTATATATAATTTTTGTCCTATGTGTGAAATATAGATGGAATAGAAAAATATTTTAAAGGATGTTATTATACAAAAAAAAAAAGATTTAATGGGATAATATATATTGTTTTAATCCATGTGAAATGAGTGCTCACAGAGGTACAAATTTAAAATTTTGTTGAAAAAAGAAAATTACACGCCAGGCGCAGTGGCTCTCACCTGTAATCCCAGCACTTTGGGAGGCTGAGGTGGGCAGATCACCTGAGGTCAGGAGTTCGAGACCAGCCTGACCAACATGGTGAAACCCCATCTCTATTAAAAATACAAAATTAGCTGGGTATGATGGTGCACGCCTGTAATCCCAGCTACTTGGGAGGCTGAGGCAGGAGAATTGCTTGAACCCGGAAGGCAGAGGTTGCGGTGGGTCGAGATCACGCCATTGCACTCCAGCCTGGGTAACAAGAGTGAAACTCGGTCTCAAAAAAAAAAAAAAAAAAAAAAAGAGAGAAAATTATAAAGTTAAATTATAGATTAATTTGGGTGTTTTTTCCCCGGAGACCTCTAAAATACCTCTATGTGCCAAAAAAATTTAAATGTCCTGTCATCTTACATTTGCCGTGTCTACTCTAAACTATGACACCTTAGGGAAATCCTGGGTATCTTGTTCACTGTCAGGCTACAGCAGAGGGCTGGATTCAGGGTAGAAAATTTACTAAATGAACAGTTTAGGAGATTATTTCCAAGACAAAGACTCTACAAGTAACTGTTCCATGAATAATAAAACCTACAAGAGAAAACTATTTTGTCCTACCTGTAATGATATCACTTTTCCTTCCAGATTTTCTGCGTTTTTCTTCCATTCAGCTATAAGCTGTTTTTGCTTTTCGAGTTCAGCAGAATACATAGCTTTTTCCTCTAAAGAGAAAAGAAAGTTAACATTAGTATTTTGCAATCGTGTGTTAAGTTAGAATGTTAAGCCATTTTAAATTTTAATAATCCAACGAAAACAGTTCAAATGTCTCAAACAGAAAAGAATATATGCCTTAGTGATAATGTTAAGCGGTACTAAACTAATGAGATCACTTTCCTCTGCCTAAACACTTCTCCATCTTGTCTATCTTGCAGATTCTTCTCTCCCTTCGTAACTCTTCTCAAATATTTCCTCTTTGGCAACACTTTCTCTACAGTCTCAGTTCCACACTGCTTTGTATACATACCCACTCTAATAATTACATTATACTGTAAAGTAGACCTCAAAAACTTTTTTTTTTTTTTTTTTTTGAGACAGAGTCTCACTCTGTCACCCAGGCTGGAGTGCAGTGGTGTCATCTCGGCTCACTCACTGCAACCTCCTCCTCCAGGGTTCAAGCCGAGTAGCTGGGATTACAGGCATCTTCCACCACACCTGGCTAATTTGTGTATTTTTAGTAGAGATGGGGTTTCACCACATTGGCCAGGCTGGTCTTGAACTCCTGACCTCAGGTGATCTGCCCGCCTTGGCCTCCCAAAGTGCTGGGATTACAGGCATGAGCCACCGTGCCCGGCAAGAATTCTTATATCTAAAATTTAAGATTTCAACCCTGAAGTAACACAGAGGTACAAATTTAAAGTTTTGCTTAGGCATAAAACTACAAGTCCTTGTTACTTCCTCATTCTCATATCCCCTAATCACCTCCGACAACTAGCAGTTAATTTACTGTCAATAATTACTGAATGCATGAATAAACAAATGGATGGATGAATGATCTAAAGTGAATAAATGTAAGGATAGGAGGTAGAATGTGAAAAGGTATATTTGTTTCTCAGGGTAGAACTGCTCTGGTTACTATTATTGTGTCTCCAAAAAAGCACCTTCCATATGGACTAGAAAATGTAGTTACCTCAAAGCATAGATGAATAGCTATGAACATGTGAATCACCATTTCAAAGAACAATAATTAATGATGATTATCTGAAGTAGGTTCAACCTCCAGCCCTTATCTTAAAACCTAACTATTCTTTGTATGTGCGTATCTCTCTTTCTTTGTATTCTCCTCTTCATTACTTGATCATCTTTCCTTGTATTCTCCTCTTTATTACTTGATCATCTTTCCTTGTATTTCCTCAACTCTCATCTCTCACTGGTAATAGGATACTAAAACAAATTTTTAATAATTACTAAATAAAGTTTATTTTCTCGTCTTAATTGTAAAAGGAGTCTAAATTAACTTTTTGATGGCTACTCACCCTTCCCCTCTACCAGTGGGTAACCTTTCAGAGATTTCCCCGTGCCTCATCTAAAATAGCTCTCAAATTAGGCAAAATTACCAATAACTACAATTTTTCTTCATTGAAAGAGTGACCGTAGAGCTTACCTTGTTGGAAATGCTCTAGTACCATCTGCAGGTTGGCCAGTGACAGAGCATACTGCTTTACTTGTTCCTGAGAGACAGAAAGCTGCAGCGCAGTTTCATCCCTTTGCTTGGAAACTACATTCAACTGTTCTTGCAATGACTCTACCTGCACACTGGCTTGATGGCTTCAAACAAAAAGAATAAAAGTCAAACTGCTTCATCTATTTAGATACTTTAACAAGAAGAAGCCACCTTCCCTACATCTTATTACTTTATTTTATTTTATTTCTTTTTTTTTTTTTTGAGACAGAGTCTCGCTCTGTCACCCAGGCTGGAGTGCAGTGGCACAATCTCAGCTCACTGCAACCTCCACCTCCTAGGTTCCAGCGATTCTCCTGCCTCAGCCTCCTGAGTAGCTGGGGTTATAGGCGTGCACAACCATGCCTGGCTAATTTTTGTATTTTTAGTAAAGATGGTGTTTTACCATGTTGGCCAGGCTGGTCTCAAACTCCTGACCTCAGGTAATCCACCCACCTTGGCCTCCCAAAGTGCTGGGATTACAGGCATGAGCCACCGCCCCTGGCCTCTTATTGCTTTAAATTCAAGTTAGATTTCAAAGTATTTAGATACTTTAATAAGATGAAACATCCTACATTTTTTATTATGGTAAAATATACATAAAATTTACCATTTTAACCAGTTTTAAGTGTACAGTTCAGTGGCACTAAGTACATTCACACTGTTGTACAACCACCACCACCATCCATCTCCAGAACTTTTCTCACCTTCTCAAACTGAAACTCCATACCCATTAAATAGTAATTCCCCTTTCCCTTGAAAACTACCATCCTACTATCTATCTCTGTTAATGTGATCTTTCCTACACTTTATTGCATTAAATTCAAGTTAAATTTCAAAGAAACTTGAAGAGTTCTTCTGGTACCTGTTGCCCTGTTTTTGTAAATTCAATCACTCTTCCTGTGAAAGTGACTTTGAACAAATGGCAGTCCTTTTAAAGACTAAGAATTAAGTTAAATAAGAAAAGTCAGCAAAATAAAAATGTAGTCCAGGTGAGGCGGCTCTCACATGTAATCCCAGCCCTTTGAGAGGCCAAGGCAAAAGGACTGTTTGAGCCCAGGAGCTTGAGGCTGCACTGAACTATGATCACACCACTGTACTCTAGCCTGGGCGACAGAGTGAGATCCTGTCTCTAAAAACTACAAATAAAAGAAAAAGGTACAAATGAATAGCCTGCAATTTTTGTGCTTCCAGGCTAAAACTCTAAGATGTAATTTATCATAAAATGTTTTGTAAGGAACCCTGGAAGTCATTTTGTCCAGCTCCCAATTTAATACAAAATGGATTCTATGACACTCCCTTGCCTTTGACCCCCTTGTATTCATGGTGAATTCACAACTTTCCAAAGGCTATCCCACTGATGAACTGCTCTGAATATTAGTTATCTTTTACTATCATCTTTCTGCCTATATTAAACACAATAACCTCTATCTCTGACTCCAGAGAGTCCTAAGAGGTAGATATAGATAAAGCACCTATCTAGGCTTATGTCACTGGTGTACTTCCTTAATGTATAATGATTACATTCAAAATACTGCAATAGTCTCCCAGGGGTTTTAATTTCCGGTTAAATTCTTATTCAAGAGCAGCCCATTAAAGCTCATTAGGATCAACTCATTTTGAAGAGACTTTACCCATTAGCACCCTCTTGTGGAAAGAGCACAAGTTGGTAATCAGAAGATCTAAATTCAGCTCCCAAATATCTCTGGACCTTGTTCAACTTTGTTGGTTAGCAATCACTCAGTGGGTGATTGTAGGAATGAAATGAGCTATGATGGCACTCTAGAAGTTAATAAATACCAGGTGTTACTATTGTTAAGTAAGGGCTCACACCACCATAATCCGGTTTGTAGATCTGAGTTACTCATACAACAAGTATTTACTGAATAGCTATTAAACTCTGTGTAATATATGCTATGTGATAGGTAGAAAATGAATGAGCCCATTCCTACCTCCCAGTGACTTTACATTTCATTGGGTGGGAGGCAGTATAGGACACGTCGACAATTACCTGTACCCTAAATTAAAATATAAGTGCCCTCAAACTATAAGACTCAAACTAAATATTATGCAAGTTCAAAGGAAAAACATCACACCAGGAAGATTTGTTTTTGGATATGACAAGTGGGGTGCTAAATAAAGCACCCTTTAGGAAGAAAATGGAATTGAAGAATAGGCAAGATTCATAGAACAACTTGCAGGGGATCAGGTTCACCCTTCAGGCAGAAGAAGGCATATGAAAAGAAAAAGCAGAAGAAAAAGAAACAGGAAAACAGTGGCTCTGAGAAAGTGAGTAATACAGTTTGGCTGGATGTAGCTGATAACATGAAATAAGGCTAAGGTGGTAGGAGCCTGGGACCATCCTTGAGTCAAGACCAGTTTTTGAAAAAAGGAGTAAAAAGATCACACCTCTATGTAAGGAAGGTTATTCTCAAAGTTATTATGAAAAATAAATGAAAAGTGCAGAGACTAGAAACTATTTTAATTAAGAGAAAATAAGGGCTTGAAAAGTGCAAAAAAAGAGTGAGAATACAGAATGTTACAGCATTTCTGCCAAACTGAAACATATAGCCAAATGATCACTCATTGTTTTAATCCCCGTTTTAAACAAGTTTTCCAGCTGAGTCTGAAGGTATAATAATATACTCTGCAAAGGTGGGGTAGGGGTTAATTCGCAGGAATATTGTCTCTACTAGCCTATAATTTATTTGCAGACAGATAGAAATGATTATCTCATTTTATCTCCCTTTGTGTCATAAATAGTAAAAAGATAAATACAAAGATGCATATACAACTAATAGGAATACAAATGGACACAATTTTTTGTGAAATAATTTGGCAGTATAATCTCAGAAGTTTTAAAATGCTTCTTGATCTAGAAGTTCCGTTTCTCAAAACTTACCCTAAGGATATAATCTGTCATCAACACAAAAATACATGTCTTGGGATATCATGTCAACACTCAGTGATTTTGAAAAGTTAAAACACATAATAAATGACTGCGTTAATCATGGCAAATCCAAATAATGGCATATTATGTAGCCACAAAATATTGCAAACATACATGGCTTAACATGTACTGACATTCATATTATTGATAGAAACAGATTACAAAACAGTATGAATATTATAATCTCAGTTTTGCTTTAAAAAGGGTATATAATGTATACACACAGACATAAAAGTATAAAAAGGCACACAAAAAGATTATCTCTGGGCATGTGGGGCTCTGTGTGATTTGTGTGATTTTCCTAAACATGAAAAATATAACCTTTTTACAACTAAAAAAAAAAAAACAAGAAAAAAGTTTTCTTGAGAGAAATAAAAATCTAAAATATATAAACAGGGACCGGGTCACTCAAGAGTGCTAATAAACCCAGTTAATTCTTCATACTGACCTTGGTCTCTACTCTGCTACTTCCTTTACTCTCTTCCTGCTAACATCCACATCCTGTTCAACTTAAGATCATTTGATGAAAAATACAACCACATAAATAGTTATTTTGGAGTTGAACAGAGCCAATTAAAATCAGTCAGAATTTCAAACTATACTCCTAAAATGGTAAGAGGCAGTGATCTAGGGTGATGGTCAAAACACAGACAGTTTGAATGCCAGATCTAAAGAGTCACAGACTCAAATGTGAAACCCCCACACACACTCTGAGTGCCTACCTTGGGCAGGTTATTTAATCTCTTTACCTTCAGTTTCTTCATCCATAAAATACAGATAATGAATTTTGCAAGGATGAGCTAACATACAAAAAATACTTACTGAGTCTGATATTTAAGAAGTGTTCAGTTAAAGTTAATGCAAAAAAATGAAAAAATTACCTTGCATTTTCCATTGCATTAGAGGATGAAACTAGCTTTTCCTCCAATACTGTGACTTTCTTTCTTAGTTTAGCCTCTCTATCTTCTGCAGCCAAAGCTTCACGGGTATAAGAATCTTCTGATTCTAAAAGATGATTACGCAATCTCTCTAGCTCTTGGTTTGAACGAAATTCTTTGTCACGTAAACGTTGAACCTAGGTAGAGGACATTATTTTTCTTTTACAAAATGCTCCCTTTCCACTGCTACAAACCATTTTGTTATCAAATCTTTTTCCCATTATTGAAGATATTAATTGTATACCAATTTCTCATACTGCAAAATGTATTTATGCTAGGAAAAAATTATCTTGAAATCATCTTGAATATGCATCTGGAAGCTTTACTTCCCAGAATCTTATTCCCCTGTGGCTATAATGGAAAATGGAATTATAAAATTCATTCTGTATAAAGTACTCTTTGTGACAGGCCACTTTTTCAGCAAATCTCATTTTTTTCACACTTTATGGGTGGGCAATTTTTCTTATATCCGAGATATGCCATGATTTTCACTTTTGAAGACTGAAATAAAATGCACCATGGGAGATTAAAATTTTACTACTGCACAGCAGAGGAAGAATAAGAAAAATCACCTAACAGAGAAATTCATTTTCACTGATCACCTTTCCAGTTCTCTTAATAGTTATTAAACTTATTGTTTGATTCATAATTCTTTTAAAGTGAAAGTATACCTCATTCTGTAGGGCAGTATTTTCCATTTGTTTTTGTTTCAGGGCCAACATGACTTGGTCTCTCTCCTGTTGAAACACAACTGTCTTCTCCTGCATTGATTTAACTGCATTTAAAAGCTGATTTAACTCTCCAGTCTTGCCCTTTTGGAAAGAAAAAATTTTAGCTTTAAAAAACACACACACACACATATTTTAAAAGAGACATTTTCTTCACTCAATTATTAATTCATTTAATTTTTAAATAGGGCAGCCTCCCGATTTACTCTCTGAGTAGGCTCAGAGAGACTCCTAGTTAATTTAAAAACGTAGTTAACTATGTCAAAGTCATGAAAAACCAAAAAAGTCAGAGAATCTGTCACAATCTAGAGAAGCCTATGGAGCCATGACATCTAAATATAATGAATATAAAGCGGTATCCTGCCGGTACAGGAAAAGGACATTTAGTAAACATTAAGGAATTCGAGTCAAGTATGAACTTTAGTTCAGTAACACCTCAATATTGGTTCATTAGCTGTGGCAAATACCTCATAACAATGTAAGATGTTAACAAGGAAAACTCAGTATGAGGTCTATGAGACCTATCTTTGCAAATTTTCTATAAATTTAAAACTATTCTAAAAGAATAAGTTTATTAGAAATGTTTTAAAAGGAACCCAAAGGACAAAAATGTCTTCAAATTTACCCTATACAACAAAGTATTCAGAACCCCCAAATCAACAAAAAGTGTACGTGTGTGCACACGTATGTGCGTGCTGTCCATTCATAAAGTATCCACAATTGTTATGAGAGAAAGTAACTTCACTGCAAAAGTAGGGCCACAAGTTTCAGACAATAGCTGAAATTCTAAAAAGCACAAAAACGTGTCAGGCTGCTTTACAGCCACTTTCTTTTTTTTTCTTTTTTTTTTTTTTGAGACGGAGTCTTGCTCTGTTGCCCAGGCTGGAGTGCAGTGGCGCGATCTCGGTTCACTGCAACCTCCGCCTCCTGGGTTCAAGCAGTTCTCGTGCCTCAGCCTCCCAAGTAGCTGGGATTACAGGCATGCACCACCACGTCTGGCTAATTTTTGTATTTTTAGTAAAGACAGGGTTACACCATGTTGGCCAGGCTGATCTCGAACTCCTGTCCTCAGGGGATCCACCCACCTCAGCCTCCCAAAGTGCTGGGATTACATGTGTGAGCCACCATGCCCGGTCTACAGCCGTTTCTTTTCTCCATTTTAAATATGCATATCTTATGAACCTATTTACAGTTTAGTATATTTTTAGTTTTCATGTAAACTTTCCACTTCTTTAAGAATATGTAATGTATCCCCCAGGATAAATCATTATAACCAAAATATAAAACAATCTGTTCCTTTAATATTAACACTTCTGGATAGGGAGGCCAATATTTTCCAAATAGTTTTTCAGTTTTTTTTTTTTTTCACACTACAAAGAAAGAGCAAATGCTTGAGAAATTAAATAGATCTGAATATCTCCTATTGAGAACATCCTTTTCTCCCTAAAAAAAGATGTTACTCATTATATTCAAGATATAATCTAAAGGTACTTTTATATTATATACAGAGTATTGGAAGAAATTAGTTTACACTAATTACCCTCAAGTAATACAATAGTTAAGTACCACTTAGCTAACTTAGGGAAGCTTCCTAAAAGTGAGGAGAGTGTTAATAATATCTGCACACTTTAGATCTGCAAAGGTCAATGAAATAGAACTAAATTGTACAAAACGCTAAAACTCCAAAATATCTATAAATGACAGAAGACATCATTGTACTTTATTCCTCTGTTCTACTCTTATAACCTTAAGAAGCTAGAGCCAATTTGGGCTAGTGAACAATAGGAAGCTCTAGCCTCTAGGACTCTCTTCACATCAATTATAGACCAGTACCATTAAAGCTAAGAAGTTATCTCAGAAGAACACCTTAACACTGATAATCAGTGTGCCTACTTCATCAGATGACAAAGGAAAAAATGAAGTTTTCACAACTTTAATCCAAGACTCTAAGAGGGAACCTAACTGGCAAATGAAGTTGAATCACTTTGTATCTTATGCCTGGCAGCAAGTAATGCTCAAGAAGTGCTAGTTGAATATTTTATTGTTTTGCCTATCATCTCTTTTCAAAATTTCTGCTACTAAAAGCATAGAAATCACAGTAAAAAGGCACTACTAAACAAACCCTACACAGCACCCTATACACTGCCAAACAAGCCCTACACTATACTATCATATAGTACAGTATAGTATACAGTGTAACAGGAAATCCTCAATAATTCTTACTAAAATGAATTGCATATAAAAATTTAAATATTATCAAAAGCTACTGGCACTATCCATATAACTGCTATGAACTCCTGTTTTATAGCTGAATAAACCAATAAGGTCAAAACATACCCAAAATCACATCAGTGACAGAACTGGGATTAGAATATTTACTGAGCCTACTATGAGAAAAGTATTACTCATGGCTAATACTTTTCAAATTCCAGGTTGTGACTAATCAATACATAAAAATCAATTTAATGAGTCACTCAGCACATTTTCTTATTATTTTAAAAAAATTTCTAACCCAAGTCACTCTACCTGAATAACACATTCTTTTTTTTTTTTTCTTTTTCTTTTTTATTGAGACAGAGTCTTGTTCTGTCACCCAGGCAGGAGTGTAATGGCATGATCTCGGCTCACTGCAACCTCTGCCTCCTGGGTTCAAATGATTCTCCTGCCTCAGCCTCCCAAGTAGCTAGGATTACAGGCACCCACCACCATGCCTGGCTAATTTTTTGTATTTTTTTTAGTAGAGTCGGGGTTTCACTATGTTGGTCAGGCTGGTCTCAAACTCCTGACCTCAGGTGATCCACCCACCTTGGCCTCCCAAACTGCTGAGATTACAGGCATGAGCCACCGCGCCCAGCCAGCACATTCTTTTTCAAACAGAGTATCACACGTAATAAGAGCAATTTCTGGTTCCTCAAACTTTTCAGTTAGACACACACGCACACACACATACATACTCTTACTGTGTCACAACGTGAAATGTATTTCTTACTGCAGATGGTTAAAGACATATGTGTATTTTACAGTGCTTTCCTTATATATAAGAATCTCTAAAATGTTAACAGCTACTGTAATACCTAAAATTTGATTAAATTGAAGTAACTTCAAAATTCTCTCATGAGACACATCTGTTTCCTAAAGAAAAATATTAAGTACTACTTAGCAATCTGTAAAAAATTAATTTACTACCAAAAGCATTTGGAAATATCTAACAATTTGAGGGAGAACTTCCAGATGTCTCTGAGGAAAATTTACTTAGAATGAATCACACCTTGAAATAAATATTTCTAAATGAACAAATGCACAGTCCCCTTCAAAGACAATATAAATGAAATAACATTAAAAAAAGTCTCCTCCACCCCCAACTTCCTTCTACAATACTCCATCCAGAACACACCTGTTCTTTCTCTTTCAATAGCTGTTCAAAAGCAAGAGCCTTCTCCTTCATTGAGTGGCACTCAAACTCTTTTTCTCGCAGCATCATAGAAAACTTCATGTTAGTCTCTTGTAACGCTTGATATTCTGTTTCCTTTCCCCTGTATGTTTCCACTATTTTTTCATTTTCTCCTTTTAGTTTGCCAATGTCCATCTCTAGAATTAATATTCTCTCCTTCAGGTTTGTTACTGCCTGCCTCAAAAGTTCGTTTTCATTTACTTTGTTAGTGAAATTTTCATTGGAAGAAAGTAGTTGATCACTTTTGGCTTTGATTAAGAGGTCTTTTTCCTTAAGTAACTTTTGCAAAACATCTTGTTTCTCCTTTAGCTGCTTGATTTCTGAATCGGTTTGTTCGTGTTCTTTTCTTTCTAGCTCTGAGGTGGCAGCAATCGAATCAGACAATCTGTGGTTATTTTCCTGGAGAGTTCTAATTGTTGCATCTTTTTCCTGTAGTGATTTTCTTAGCTCTTCTAACTCTTGCTGAAGCAATTCAGAAGATTCACTCAATACTTCAGACTTACTTGCTCTAAGACACTCTGCAGACTGGGGAGTAAGCAATGATGCAGAAGACAGCTGGGGTGAAATAATATCAAGTTTTCCTAAAAGAAGATCCTTGGTATTGCAAAGCTGCCCAATGCTGTGCTGAACTTGTGCTAATTCCTGCCCAAAATTTTTGAGTTTGGTTTCATTCTGCTCATAACTTTGGATCAGGCCAGTATAGTCCACTTGTAATTTAGAATTATTATCACTGTCAACCAAAACCTGTGCTTGAAGTTGGTGAAGCTCTTCCTGAAGCTGGGCTGACTCGTGTTGCATATTTTGTACTGTGGTCATCACCTGCTGCTTCCACTCTTCCATTTTCTTTACTTGCTGTTTTAACTTGTCACGTTCCTGTAGAAGCTCCTCAAATTGATTACTATTAACACCTCCAGCCTCATTACCAGTGCTGGATGTTTGTAAAACTGCCAATAAAGTCTGACATTTCTGACTTAGTGCATCTATTTCGATGTCTTTTTCTCGAATGATACGTGATAAATTCTGAATAGTTTCTCTAAACATATCTTGGCCACTACTTTCAAATCTAGTGGACAATTTTTTATTTTCATCTTGCAGTTTGATAAGAGCTGCTTCCTTGGCAGCAACAATATCCATCATTTTGTGATATTCTGTTTTTAGATGGCTATTTTCCCTAGTCTTCTCATTCAAAACAGCAAATACCTTTTCTCTTTCCATAGCATAAGCCTGCAGTTGCTGTTGAAGGTAAACAACATCTTGAGTATGGGAAGTTGAAGAAATTCTAGCATGAAGAGCTTGTATCTCCAAATCTTTCTGCTGAATAATCTGAGTTAGTTTACCAACTTCATCTTTGGACAACTGATCAATCTGTTTAGTTAAAGATATATTCTTTTCATTTAGAAGTTTAATCTCCAGTTCTCGCTCTTTTATTCCTTTCACTAATCTTTCCGTTTCAGCTTTAGATAAATCATGCTTTTCACTTCCATTTTCTATATTAAGGCTCTGAACTTTTGTTTCTTGAAAAATATCAGAGTTATCTGTTTGAATGTCCTGTCTTTCTTCATGCAACTGGGTTTTGATTTGTTCAATTGTTTTTTGCAAACTCTTAATTTCCTCATCCTTCTCTAAAAAGAGCTGGGTGTGTGTGGCGTTCATTTGCTCATGCTGGTATCTAAACTCATCCATTTCCTTCTTTTGCTCTTGTAAAGACTGAAGTAGTTGCATCTTACTCTGGTTTTGATCTTCAATTATCTTTTGATGATGTTTAATTTCCTCTTCAAGATGTTCCTTGATCGTGTTCAGTTGAGATACCTCAGATGCTAGTTCAGTAACACTATCAAGGGTTTTAGGGTCAGCCACAGGTGCGGTTCGACTCTGCTCTTCCCTGAGTCGTTCCAATTCTTCTTGCAGATGATTATTTTCCTCTTTCATGGATCCAAGACTTCGGTCTTTTTCCTCTATGGTCTGTCTTAAAATTTCATTTTTTCTTAAGGCCTGAGAATATTTATCCAATTCCTCCTGCAGCTTTGAACTTCTTTCTTTAAGCTTTTCAATAAAAATTTCTTTCTTGTTTATAAGTTGTGTCAACTGCTTCTGCTCTTCTAAACTAGATGACAAAACGTCCTTAGTTTCTTTATGGTCAGTATCCATTTGTTCAATATTCTTTTTGAGTTCTGCTATTTCCATGTCTTTCTTTTGATTGAGTTTAATTAAATGCTCATGTTCCAGCTGTAAGGCAGAGGTATTCAAATTACGTGCATTTGACAGTTCTTCAATGGTTTTCTCATACTTGTTTGCTTCTTCCAACAGCCTCTTTTTAGCCCAACACAATTCTGCCTCTATCTCTCCTTTTTCCATTTTTAGAGTCTCCACAATAGTGTTTTTTTCCAGAGAAAGCTGATTGTTACCAGCAAGACATTCTTCTAACTGATGCCTCACATCTTCACATGCTAAAACTAACTTTTCATTTTCCATTTTGACATCAAAAGCAACTTTCTTTAAATTTTCATTGAGCTGTTCTAATTCTGAAAGATTTTGCTTTAAGTTTCTAACTTCAGCTTCTCTTTCTTTAAGTAAGGTATCCTTAAAATTACTATTAGAGTCTTGATTTAGAGACTGCATTAACTCATTCCTTATTCTAGAAAGCTCCTCCTCATTTTGTCTAATATGCTCCTTAAGTTCTAAATTCTCCTTCTGGATGCTTACATTACTTTCTTGTGATTTATTTAGCTGATCTACTAAATTTTCTACTTTGTCCTCAAGTTTCTGCTTGGTTAAATGTAAATCATTTAGGGCCACTTCACTTTGAATTAGCTTTTCTTTCTGTACATCTAACTCTTTAGTAATGTCCATTTTATCATCTTCAAGTTGATGAACTCTCTTTTTTTCATCATTTAGATCTTGTTTCAGTTTACTGATGATGCTATCTCCTTCATTTTGTTGTTTTGATAGCTGATCTTTTATCAAAATCATGTGCTGAAAGAAAAATTTGCATGGTGACTTTACAACATGTTCTCATTTTAGTACTCAAAGAAAATTTTATAAAATCTCATACATAATAGAAAATAATCCTCAAATATTTCTAATCCTTCTTAAAAACATTGTTTTTCTATCAAAAACACCCACTACAAAATTACTTATTATTATTTTACAGCAAACCCATCTTGTCTTTTTTGTTTTTTGAGACGGAGTTTCGCTCTTGTTGCCCAGGCTGGAGTGCAATGGCACAATCTCGGCTCGGCGCAATCTCGGCTCACCGCAACCTCCGCCTCCACCTCTTGAACCTCCCAGGTTCAAGCAATTCTCCTGCCTCAACCTCCCGAGTAGCTGGGATTACAGGCATGCGCCACCACACCCGGCTAATTTTGTATTTTTAGTAGAGATGGGGTTTCTCCATGTTGGTCAGGCTGGTCTCAAACTTCCAACCTCGGGTGATCTGCCTGCCTCAGCCTCCCAAAGTGTTGGGATTACAGGCATGAGCCACTGTGCCTGGCCCCATCTTGTCATTTCTTAAAGCATTTTAGGGATAAGAATTTAAAACCAAAGATGGTAAATAGTATTTTTTTTTTTTTTGAGACAGAGTCGCTCTGTTGCCCAGGCTGGAGTGCAGTGGCATGATCTCGGCTCACTGTAACCTCTGCCTCCTGGGTTCAAGCAATTCTCTGCCTCAGCCTCCCGAGTAGCTGGGATTACAGGCACCTGCCACCACGGCCGGCTAATTTTTTGTATTTTTAGTAGAGACGGGGTTTCACCATCTTGACCAGGCTGGTCTTGAACTCCTGACCTCGTGATCCACCCGTCTCTGCCTCCCAAAGTGCTAGGATGACAGGCATGAGCCACTGCGCCCGGCATGTTGTTTATTTTTAACTCTACACTAGAGTAAGAGTCAACGAACTATAGCCATTGGCCAACTCAGGGATGCTGCCTGTTTTGTAAATAAAATTTTGTTGAAACATGGTCACACTCATTTGTTGGTATCACAACAACAGAGTTGAGTAGACTGAGACAATATGGCCTACAAGGCCAATGATATTTACTATCTAGCACTTTACCAAAAAGGTTTGTCAATCTCTATGAACTAAAATATTAATTAAATCACACCCACCATTTCTGTGTTTAGTTTACTTAGTAGAATGTGCTGCCTTACTGTATTTAATACAGTGTTACCTTTGTAGCTTCTTGATTCTGTCTGTCCAATTCTTCTATCTCAGCTATCAGTGTTTCCTTTTCACTAATACTCTGATTGAGTTCTTGTTCCTTTGCCTCCAAATTAAGTCTTAAGTCATGTAATTCTGAATCCAAACTTATGTCTCTTGTAGCTGTACTTTTAATTACTTCATATTCATTGTTCAATTTTAAAAGTGACATCTGAAGTTCTTCCTGAAATGATAAAAGGAAAAAAGCAACACATACTTTCAATTGGAGACACCAAAAGATTAAAAACATACATAGAAGCAAAACTTGGGATTCTATTTAAGTGCTCTATATTGGAAATAATATTGAACAATACCTCAATAATTGTATGTGAAATTCAACAAACCACATCCTTCATTCATGTGCAATTTTACTTGTAGCTTCAAGCAAAACATTTCTATAACCCTAGACAGATGCAGCGACTGTAAGTTTGTCCTCTAGCACCAAGTTCTTCTTTATAAAAAACGTTCCCATTTGAGAGCCTCTCCTATCCTGCTCCACCGTGGCTACCCTTTATCCATCCCCTGGCCCCACCTACCATACATACATACTTTCCAAAATGTCCGCAAGTCTTTCTGCCTTCCTCACTTCCATTCTCTAACATCCAGTCATCAACAGCCTCAGACTAAATAAAAATATAAAAAATCAACACTCCTTCACCCAAATGTTTAGCCTCTCTAATTAGAAAATAAAAGGTTTCTTTTCTCTTACTAAAGGAATTTCCCTTATTACTTTTGCTTCTGTTAGAACATGGAACTTTTTCTTGACCCTAGAAAGAATCCTCCTTCCTTCCTTTACCTTTTAACCAGACTAGGTTCCCCTCTGTCACACCTGACATTCCTAAAGATAGTATATATACATTTTATAGTCTACTACCTGGTATTTAATGCTTTCTCCAAAATCTCAGAAGTGGGACAGTTCTCTATGCTTCAACATTATTTCAGTCTCTAGTTATGATGTTTGTAATAAACTATATATTAAAGCCTTCTTTCATTGACAGATTTTTAAAAATCAAACCCATATGGAATCTACTTTAAATAGAGTATTGAACCAGGCATGATGGCATTTATCTATAGTCCCAGGAGGCTACTTAGGTGGCTGAGGCAGAAGGATTACTTGAGCCAAGGAGTTCAAGGCTGTAGTGCACTATGATCATGCCATGATCAGCCACAGCACTCTAACCTGGGCAATACAGCAAGACTCTCTCTCTCTAAAAAATAAAATTAAAAAAATAAGAATCTCAAATTCCTTCAAAGAAACAGCCTAATATAAACCTTATAAAAGAAACTCAACATTGCTATGGAGAGTTGGTTGAAAAAACAGAGATCCGATAAAAGCTATACTAGAGTATCTGTATCACAATTCTTATTTCCTTCTAATTCAAAAATTTATTCTAACTACAGCTGAAAGATGGAAACAGCATTCTCTTAAGTCTTTCTAAAGTTATCTGTTCAAATTAGGAGAATCACAGACATTTTCTTTAGGTAGATCTTAAAAGCACACACAGCCTCATAGGTACTTTTTAAAAAAATTATTTAGTGTTTTTTTGTAGATATGGTGTCTCACTATGTTGCCCAGGCTGGTCTCGAACTCCTGGCCTTGAGCAATCATCCCACCTTGGCCTCCCAAAGTGCTGAGATTACAGCGTGAGCCACCACACTCGGCCCTCATAGGCACTTTTGGTATTCTTAATCAGTAAGCAGACACAACTCAAGGAAGAGTTACAATGGACTACTTTAACATCAAAAGAAAGGAGAAACAGCTATCAGGACAAGCTACAGAAACCAAACACATCATGAAAAGGTTACAGGCCCTGCCAGGTAAGTGCAGAGAGTTCTGCAAACTACAAACGACTAGGTCAGTCAGGTAAAGAGCAGAATACAATGGGAGCAAAAACAGGAAAGATAAAATATATATAATATAGTAATTTTTAAAACGACTGGGAGATACTGCTGGCACATAGTGGGTAGAAAGAGTGGCAGCAAGAATCCCACAATACACAGTGTAGTGCCCACAACTAAGAATTTTCCTGCTTAAATGCCAATAGCAGTCCCTTTGAGAAACACTGCATATATACTAATGTGGAAAGATGTTGGAAATATGGTATGTAAAAAGGATATTTATAATATGCTGACATTTGTATTTTTTAAAGCTACTGATACATACAATCATACATGCATAGACATAGTCCAGAAAGAAACACTAGAAATTGGTAACAGAGACTGCCTCTGGGAAAGAGGCCAAGCCACAGAGGTACAAAAGATACTCTACTTGTACTATCCGAAGGTTTTCAGTATGTATGTTTTCTGAACACATATATCAGAAAATATGCATCACTTTTTAAAATTAGGAATTTAAATTAAGACACTGGCCTTTAACTTAATAATACTAGCTTACAACTCTCCTATATTTAAGCACCTGCCTTAGCCAAGAAATTTCCCCAAAGTGGTTCAAACATAAAAATACTTCTAAATACCTTTCCCTTTCAGAATCTTATTCCTTCCTTGCTATGAATACATACAATAAAGCCCTTCTTTCTACCACTGAAACTGTTGCTCTGTACCCCTATAAAGACCTTCTTTCACCAGGCGTGGTGGCTCACGCCTATAATCTCAACACTTTGGGAGGCCGAGGTGGGCAGATCACCTGAGGTCGGGAGTTTGAGACCACCCTGACCAACATGGAGAAACCCCGTCTCCACTAAAAATACAAAATTAGCTGGGTGTGGTGGCTGGCGCCTGTAATCCCAGCAACTCAGGAGGTTGAGGCAGGAGAATCGCTTGAACCCGGGAGGCGGAGGTTGCGGTGACCCGAGATTGCGCCACTGCACTACAGCCTGGGCAACAAGAGCGAAACTCCATCTCATTAAAAAAAAAAATAGAACTTCTTTCTACCACTGAAACTGTTGCTCTTTATGCCTCACCACTAAGAAAGTACTGTCCACCAAAATGGACACATTCTGAAGCACACAAGCAGCATATACAGTTATTACAGTATGCTACTCCAGACCTCCTGACCTACCTGTGTATGTTCCTGCTGTCAGGACATCATCAGAAACCAAAACAGGACCTCCACCTATCTTTTCTGCTTGATTCTGTGTGCCTACTAGCTTATTTCTAAATACGAACTCAAGCCAGCCACTTATACTCTGAACTTTACCCAGGTACTTCCACCTAGCCTGAAAAGCATCAGTGAGATCAGCTTTATTCTAAGGACTTGAGCTCAATTACTCAACATTCCATTTGGATATCAACTGGCCCTTGGCTGTGACCTGTTACACATACCATTTTAATTCTGCCCCCATTTTTACAGCACCCACCTTTTCTTGACTCAGTAATGACTTCTCTTTTTCTAAAACTTCGATACGCATTTTAAGTTTCAGATTGTCTTCAGCAAGACTGTTATCCTACAAAAATGTTAAAGCAGTGTTTTCAGGTAACAAGAAATTTCCAGTTTATAAAAAAGCTGGCAATCTATACAATTGTGTGTTTCTATTCAGTATTTCTTTAATGATATGTAGTAATTATAAGAATGCAATACTTGGCCAGACACGGTGGCTCATGCCTGTTAATCCCAGCACTTTGGGAGGCTGAGGCAGGCAGATCACAAGGTCAGGAAATCAAGACCATCCTGGCTAACACAGTGAAACCCCGTCTCTACTAAAAATACAAAAAATTAGCCGGGTGTGGTGGCACGCTCCTATCATCCCAGCTACTCGGGAGGCTGAGGCAGGAGAATCGCTTGAACCTGGGAGGTGGAGGTTGCGGAGAGCCGAGATCGCGACTCCAGCCTGGGTGACAGAGCAAGACTCCGTCTCAAAAAAAAAAAAAAAAAAAAAAAAAAGAATGCAACACTTATAAAAGTGTCTAAAACGAATGAAACCAGTCATGCATTTTCGACACTCTTACAGAAGACTTCCTTATTATGCTTGGAAAAATATAAAAATATATTTACAAAATAACTTCTAATTATTAGAAAAAGAAACAACTCTTTGAATCTCTTAAGGAAAATTAAAACTCATTTCTCACTTGGTATAGGATCTGCTTCCACTGTCTCTATGCACATAACATTTGTCAAAATTAATTTACCTGGTTTAAACTACTCAATCTCATTATTTCATTTTCGGCATCTGTAAAAACAGCAAATGAACTTGACATTAAAATTATTTAGAGTAACTTATTATCTTCAATATTAAACTCAGAAATGCAACCCAATTAAAGTGTATATAAGCACCACTGGCAAGCAGTAACAGTTCTGAGTGAAACATATATTTGTATTCCTGTTTTGTCATATCAAATAAATCATAATGTAAATGCCAGTTAAAAACCACATTAAAATCCAAGTCTATGGATAAGCATAAGAAAAAATTGAAATTGTATTGTAGATGAGTCACAAGTTATTGCCTTGATAAAAATGCTAATGACAACCAGGTTTCAAAATGAATTGATTCATTTGAGAAGCAGGAAATAGTACATGGTTTAAGATTGGAGGAAAACAATTTAAAAGTAGTATTTTATTATGTATATTTAAACCACCACAATACCATAATCTCTCAATTATCTAACGTGATTTAGATATGAATGCTGAGAAAAAGACCATTCAATTTGGTATTATAGATAGATCTATAAAAAGAAGAGGGTACACAAAAAAACACAGCTGAAATCATTGATTCAACATTCACTCAGGAAATATTTAGCATTTACTATGAGGCCAGGTGCTAGACAAAAAGCTGGTAAAATTTAGCCCTTGCTCTCGAAGAGCTTACAATTCAGAGAGGAAGAAAAACTAGTAAGCACAGGATTATAACATAGTATGACAGAGCAAGCACGAGGTGCTATGAGAACAAACAGGGTAAACACCTAATCTAGATTAGGAGGAGCAAATGGGGCCAAGAAGTGGCAGTGCTAGGTACTTCTCAGTGGAGGTTAATACCTGCACTGAATCAATATACTGAGAGTCGGCTAAAAGAGCCATAGAGACACTCCACACAGAGAAAGCAGAAAATGCAAGGGTAACAGAGTGAAGAGGTAACATTGCTGCTTTAAGGAGCTATAGAAAATTCAATATGGTTCAAGTTTAGAATGTCAGGAGCATGGGAATAGTTGAAACTGAAGAGATAGGCAGGAACTAGATCATGAGAGACATTATCATGTCTAACTAAGAAATTTAAACATCATCCCGAAGTTCACAGGCAGCTATAAAGTACTAAATGCAGGGGAGTAACCTGCTTTGCATTTCTGACAAATTATTCTGGCTGCAGAATGAAAAAAATAGATTGAAGGAATCATGGAGAACAGAGAATTTTAAAAGCTAACTCTTCAGCTGGGGGCGGTGGCTCACGCCTGTAATCCCAGCACTTTGGGTGGCCAAGGTGGGCAGATCATGAGGTCAAGAGATCGAGATCATCCTGGCCAACATGGTGAAACCCTGTCTCTACTAAAAATACAAAAATTAGCTGGGCGTGGTGACACATGCTTGTAGTCCCAGCTACTTGGGAGGCTGAGGGAGGAGCATCACTTGAACCCGGGAGGTGGAGGTTGCAGTGAACCGAGATCGTGCCACTGCACTCCAGTCTGAGCTACAGAGCGAGACTCTGTCTCAAAAAAACAAACAAAAAAAAAGCTAACTCTTCAACATTTACTATTGGCTAGACACTATCCTAAAGAGCGGCAGAAAGTAACTCATATAATCCTCATTACTAAAACTACAAGGAAGATACCATTATTATCCCAACCCTATAGATGAAATAACCAATGCATAGAGATGTTAACCTGTCCAAGGTCAGCTAATTAGTGATAGAGCTCGATTCCAACCCAGTCATGTCCTTAACCACTACGCTATTCTGCTCCATTCAGAGAGCTGCCATAGTTAACATAGGCAAAAAGCAATTATGACTGGCTGAAGTAATTCTGTGTCAATGGAATAGAAAAAAGAGGAAGGACTAAGGCAGTGGGTTTGTCTTTTAAGCACATAAACTCATCTGGATCACCCAATATGATAAGTAAGTAAATGTATTAGTCTTATGTAAGTAAATTTATTTTTTAAATAAGTAAACTTATTTTTTAAAACGTAAGTACAATTACTTTAAAATTTATTTTATTTACTGGTGTTTGGCCTATTTCATTTAGTACTAATTTTCTGTAACACAGAATACTGGTACAGTAACTAAATATCATCATGAGCATAGAAAATGGTGGAAGACCTATGGCTCTAAGCACTCAGGGCTTTGCTTGGATATAGGAGATCGTTTCAAACAGGTAACAACTGACTTTGAAGAAGAAAGGCTGTATTCCCTAACTGGAGGATGTGGGCTGTGATGAGTTACAGAAAGTATAGCAATACCTAATCCTTTTTAATAGGAAATTCCTATTTGCAATCTATTAACTCTTACACTGAATCCAAACCACACAATTCTACCCAAATGACACACAGTCATTTCCAGGAATATGCCATTTCCACTAAGTATTCAGTTAGTGAAGCATCTGTCTCTAAAAACAACTACTATGCAATGAAACAGCAATCTGAAATAAGTTCCAAAGACTGTATACCAGACAGTGCTTGTTGTAGTCTGAACACTTCTTCCACTGATGCACTCTGGGCAAGAATTCTTTCCTTTTCTGTCATAGTATCACTTTGCTTCACAGCAGAAGGCTGCAATTTACTACATTCCAATTTCAAGTTTTCACATTCTTCCATTATTTGTCTCTTTTCCACATTTAGCTGTTCTTGTTCTCTCCTCAAAATATCTCTGTCATTTTCTGCAGAAGATAATTTTTTATTTATATCTTTTATTTTATCCTCAAGTTGTTCCATTTTTTTGGTAGACTCCACTTTTTCTATTTGTAGAACTTGAATAGTTTTTTGCATCTCATAGATTTTAGAGAGATCAGTTTCTATAACTCCAGAGCCACCTAGAACATAAACACAAAACAATGACATCAAATGTCAAGTACCAAGAAATAAACGGTTTGCTATATACAACTAAGAGATATAAGACAGTTCAGAATTTGGAAAGCTTAAAAGTTAAATTACTATAATAAACTAAGTGTTTTAAAATAAATAAGTTGGGGGAAAATATTTGAATCAACTACATAAAGGCCTATGTATCTTAGTTTGAAAGAAAGTGATAATATCTCTAATCATTTATTACCAAAGTATCATCACCAAACAATGCAAAGAAATCTATAAATTATAACTATTTACCACAAAGGTAAAAAGGACATTTCCATTTTCACAGAATTTTTTTTTTTTTTTTGAGATGGAGTCTCACTCTGTTGCCCAGGCTGGAGGGCAGTGGTGCCATCTCGGCTCACTGCAACCTCTGCCTCCTGGGCTCAAGTGATCCTCCCACCTCAGCCTCCTGAGTAGCTGGGACCACAGGCGAGCACCACCACGTCCAGCTAATTTTTGTATTTTTAGTAGAGACGGGATTTCGCCATGTTGGCCAGGCTGGTCTCAAACTCCTGGCCTCAAGTGATCCACACACCTTGGCCTCCCAAAATGCTGGGGTTATAGCCATAAGCCACCACTCCCGGCCACAGAATCTTAAAAGCAGAGGTGCCACTGCAAATTTCTGGCAGATAAGCAGAACTAGTCATTTACACTTCCTTATAACTTAGGGCAAGTTTACAGCACTGTCCTGGTCTTAGAATGCTAGGTCTATCATTTAGTTATGTCATCTAATATGTTAAATTAATAAAACTATCAACTGGCCAGGTGCAGTGGCTCATGCCTGTAATCCTAGCACTTTGGGAGGCCGAGGTGGGTGGACCACCCGAGATCACGAGTTTGGGACCAGCCTGGCCAATATGGCGAAACCCTATTGCTACTAAAAATACAAAAATTAGCTGGGCATGGTGGCAGGCACCTGTAATCCAGCTACTTGGGAGGCTGATGCAGGAGAATCGCTTGAACCCGGGGGGCGGAGGTTGCAGTGAGCCGAGATCGCGCCAGTGCACTCCAGCCTGGGCAACAGATGGAGACTCCATCTCAAAAAAAATAATAATAATAAAGAAATAAAACTAATAACCTTGTTGTAACAGATTTTCAAGTTCTTCAATTCGTTCTTCATAGTCACTTAATTCTTCTCGATGTCGTCGACTTATTTCTGTCAATTTCTGTTGGTGTGCATTCTGCAGTACTGACATTTCATGTTGATGGTCATCAATTTCCTGACTTCGGTTCTGTTTTAGTTCCTTAAAAAATAAAAACAAAGTTATTCACATTTATAATCAATAAATTTATGTAAGCTATATATTTAACTGTTGTCCAAAAGTGTGCATTATTAAAAAGAATTCTCAGAACATGTTAAGGCTGAAAAGAATTTAAACACAGACCCAAAATTAGGACTATTCTGAACAACTTCACCCTTTCCTTTCTTAGGTCTCAAAAACAGTTTTTCTACTTCTAATGAGGGAACATCAGCAAGAAAAGGCTAAAACAAACGATAAGTAAAAATGTCTTTTCCTTAATATCTGTGACCATGAACTTCTCCTTTTCCTAATGACACTTTCTGCCAATACCAGTGTCACCCCTCTGACCAATCTGTACCTGCTGTTCCACTACTTCCATCCTCTCACTCAGCCTTTCCTTTCACCAGTCTTATTGGGACTCCCAAACTGTCAACCTGGCGCCTTCCTACCCAAGTTGAGCCCACTGTGTCTCTCGCAGGAACCTGGATCTTGAGCTGAGTCCATCGACTAGGGAAACTGGTTTGACGGGAAGCACCAGGACAGGTGCCCTCTCAAGAGTCTGTCCACTGGGTCCCGCCACCCAGATTCCTAACACTCTTCCCACTCCTATCCAACCTGAGGCCAAAACATTCAACTCCTCCTTCAATCCTGCGGATGGACTACCCTGGGTTCTTCCAGTAAATCCTCTTTTGCTTTACTTGGCCAGAGATGGTTTTTGTTGCTTGTAACCAAGAATCCTAATCTACAGAAAAATTGATGCTCTTATGGAAAAAAGAAAAAAAAAGATCCTAATCTATAAATTAACTTCTTACTTATGTGCCACCACTGGGCTAAGAGCTTTACATTTAAACCTCAAAACAATCCTACAAGATAGGTATTATCATGGTCTCCATTGATAATAAAACAGAAGTAACTTGCCCGAGATTAGCATAGCATGTAAATAATACAGCCAGGATTCAAACACAGGTCTGATCCGGATTCTATCCACTCTAGTATTGTAATAATAATGAACCCAAAACTAAAAATTCTATATCTGACAATAATTTTAACACTAAAAATAATTCACTGCCACAATAATATATGCAACTAAGACTTTTCTTTAAAGAAATAATAATTGACACAAACTAGCGAAATTCTACCGCTAAGGTAAAATAAGTATTTCCAATGCATGATATTAGTATTTTATTTTGTCCATATCCTTTAACTCTAAACCTTGAAACTTCAGCAACCCTGCAATTAGGTTTTAATAAAGACGGTTTTACAAGATACAATAGAGTATAGAGACTTACGAAAGATAAGCTCCGTAATAAATGTTCAAAACCAAATGATTCTGGAAAGACAGAGATTTTTATATACTTTACATAAATAATAAAGAATATTAAAAAAAAATATTTTTAAATGGACCAGGCGCGTTGGCTCATGCCTGGAATCCCAGCGTTGTGGGAGGCTGAAGCAGGAGGATGGCTTGAGGCTAGAAGTTCCAGACCAGCCTGGGCACCATTAGCAAACCCCATCTATACAAAAAAAATCAGAAAAAATTAGCCAGGCATGGTGGCATGTGTGCCTGTAGTCCCAGTTACATGGGAAGCTGAGGCAGGAGGATCACCTGAACCCAGGAGTATGAGGCTGCAGTGACCTGATCATGCCACTGCACTCCAGCCAGGGCAACACAGTGAGATCCTATCTCTAAAAGAAAAAGAAGTACCATAATCTATATAATGATAATGACTTTTATAACTGAGACTTTTACTAATTCAGGCCTATGCTTTTAATAAGCAGATTTAGATGTATAACTCCCATCATCAATCAACAATTTGACTTACCTTAATGATATTTTGTAGTTTACATATTTCACTTTGATCAGAGTTATCTGTTCCTTGTGCTTTGGAAGTCTAGATCAGAAAAAGAGAATTAGTAAATAATTATACTGATTTTCTTGTCAACAGAAAGTCACAAACTAACTTCATTACAAGAATACTTTTGTAAAAAGGGGGATTTTCACAGATTCCGACTAAAGAATGCCATGGACCTTTTAAAGAACCTAGTCTAATAGTGAATAATACACAATAAATAAAAGATATCATATTTAAGAATGTATTAACTAATGGGGGGGACAACAGTTTTACAAAATAACTAAAGTTAAGGTAGAAAAATTTATAGAATATTTTACTTAGCTTGACAAAATGTAAGGGTAAAGATAATTGAGCAGCTTTCTAAAAGGAAATTTCTTTTTCCTTTCTTTTTTTTTTTTTTTGAGACAGGGTCTTTCTCTGTCACTCAGGCTGGAATGCAGTGGTGTGATCATGGCTCACTGCAGCCTCCACCTCCTGGGTTCAGGCAATCCTCCCACCTCAGCCTTCCAAGTAGCTGGGACTACAAGCACATGCCAGCATGCTTAGCTAATTTTTTTTTTGTAGAGATGGGATCTCACTATGTTGCCCAGGCTGGTCTCGAGCTCCTGGCTGCAAGTAATCCTCCTGCCTTGGCCTCCCAAAGTGCTGGGATTAGACATGAACCACCATGCCTGGCAAAATCAAATGATTTTACCCAGAAGATCTCTACCCAATAGAGAATAATCTTTGGTTTAATAAATAAATAAAACAACTTTTGGATTCTTCTCATTCAAAGCTGTATGTTGTTCATTTATCTTTATTAATATTACTATGTAGCATTTTAATGAACCAAAAGCTACTCTAGGACTGAAAGAAAGAATAAAGTATAATAGAAAAAATACAGGATTTAGTCAAAACACGTGTGTTTGAATCATAACTTAACCACTGTGGCAATGGATTATATGACTTAAACTTTTAGTTTCCTAGGGCTGGGCACAGTGGCTCATGCCTATAATCCCAACACTTTGGGAGGCAAGGCCGCTGGATCACAAGGGCAAGAGATCAAGACCATCCTGGCCAACAGGTGAAACCCCGTCACTATTAAAAATACAAAAAAAAAATTAGCTGGGAGTGGTGGCGGGTGCCCGTAGTCCCAGCTACTTGGGTGGCTGAGGCAGGAGAATTGCTTGAACCTGGGAGGCAGAGGTTGCAGTGAGCCGAGATCCCACCACTGCACTCCAGCCTGGTAGACAGAGCAAGACTCCATCTCAAAAAAAAAAAAAAAAAACAAAAAAAAAACTTTCAGTTTCCTTATTTATAAAATAGAGGTAATACATCTATCTCATAATTATTAACATAATAATATATTGGGATAATACATATGGAAACATAAAATGTAATGCAAATATTAATTTTTATTACGTCTTGCTAGAAAATTAAGTCCTCTGAACGGTCCCAATTATGCCTTTTTCAACTTTATAGTCTAGTACAGGTCTGTCATGGAGTAGGCATTCAAGATATGCTGAAATGAACACACCAAAAACCATTCTCTTCCCTATGAAATCTTACTCTAACAATGTTTCTTAAAATGTGTTCCTTAGGTTATCAGAATCACCAGGGCTATTTGTTTAAATGCAGTTTAAGGCCCTAAAACTGGCTAACAAATTGATATCCCTGAAGGTACCACAGAAGATCTACAATACTGCCAAGTTCTCCAGGTCATTTCTTATACATAGAAAGTTTACTGCTTTTTGGAGATAAGATGGACAAACAGATCATCCTCTCTAAAGCTTATTTTGGGTACTGAGAATGTCTAGCAACTTGTGAAAGAAGGAGATAATTTTAAGTGGGAAGATTTCTCCTTTACATAACTAGATTACATTCATAAAAACACAAAAAATAATCTCTTTACTCATGTAATTTTTTTTTACATTGATGAAATTAAATCCAAATAAACAGTGTTCCAGTTTACTCCAGGTCTCATGTCTACAATTTCCATAGTATACAGGTTGAGAATCCCTAATTCAAAAATCCAAAATCTGAAATGCTCCAAAATCTGAAACATTTGAGTGCCAACATGATGCCACAAGTGGAAAATTCCACACATAAATATTTAACGCAAATTTTGGTTCACACACAAGTTATATAATATTACTTAAAATAGTGTATAAAATTACCTTCACAAGTACCTATGGGTATAAAGTTTATATGTAACATAAATGAATTCCATGTTTAGACCTGGGTCCCATCCTCAAGATATCTCATTATGTTTATGAAAATATTCCAAAATCTGGCCGGATGAAGTGGCTCATGTCTGTAATCCCAACACTTTGGGCGGCCTGAGGTCAAGAGTTTGAGACCAGCCTGGGTAACATGGTGAAACCCCATCTCTACTAAAAGTACAAAAAAACATTAGCCCGGTGTGGTGGCGGGCGCCTGTAATCCCAGCTACTCAGAAGGCTGAGGCAGGAGAATTGCTTGAACCCGGGTGGCAGAGGTTGCAGTGAGCTGAGATGGTGCCACTGCACTCCAGTTTGGGCAACAGACTGAGACTCTCTCTCAAAAAAAAAAAGAAAAGAAAGAACAAGAAAAGATTCCAAAATCCAAAATCTGAAACACTTCTAGTCTCAAGCATTTCGGATAAGAGATATTCATCCTGTATAAAATCTGATATATAAGACAAAAAAGGGCTCCTTGGAAGAAAGTTTACAGCCCCAAATAGCAAAATATTAATTTCTAGTGCATGAGAAACAACACAAAATGGTTTATCATATTTTATAATATCAATTACCAGATTTTCATTTTACATGTAACTAGAGCTAGCAGAAACCTCAGACAACATCTAAGCAAGCGGTTTCAAACATGGTGCCTCGGAGTCCTGGTGTTTACACCAGAGGAGTCTCAGGGACTCCAGAAGAGAAGGTTCTTGGTTCAACCACAGCAACTCAATTTTTTTCCTCTCATGTTTTATTAAAAAAAAAAAAAAGGATCTGTTGCTTTTTTTTGAAAATTTTTTCCAAATAGTGTACAGAAAGGGAAACTCAGACTAGGAGAGAAAGATGACAGGACCAAAATCACTTAGAAAGTCATTGGCAGAGAGGCCAGGCGCAGTGGCTCATGCCTGTAATCCCAGCACTTTGGGAGGCCAAGGCGGGCAGATCACGAGGTTAGGAGTTTGAGACCAGCCTGGCCAACATAGTGAAACCCCATCTCTACTAAAAATACAAAAATTAGCCAGGCATGGTGGCACGCACCTATAATCCCAGCTACTTGGGAGGTTGAGACGGGAGAATCATTTGAACCCGGGAGGCGGAGGTTGCAGTGAGCCAATACTGTGCCACTGCATTCCAGCCTCGGTGACAGAGTAAGACTCTGTCTCAAAAAAAAAAAAAAAAAGAAAGAAAGAAAGTCACTGGCAGAGGCCAGGCGCAGTGGCTCACACTTGTTATCCCAACACTTTGGGAGGCCGAGGTGGGCAGATCACCTAAGGTCAGGAGTTCGAGACTAGCCTGGCCAAAATGGTGAAACCCCATCTCTACTAAAGATACAAAAACTAGGCATAGTGGCGTGTGCCTATAATCCCAGCTACTCAGGAGGCTGAGGCAGGAGAATCACTGGAACCCAGGAGGCCGAGGCTGCAGTGAGCCAAGATCACGCTACTACACTCTAGCATGGGAGACAGAGCAAGATTCTGTCTCAAAAAAAAAAAAAAAAAGAAAGAAAGTCACTGACGGAATTAGAATACACCTTTTCTATTTCCTAGTCCAGGGTTCTTTCTGATATCAAAAGCTCTACATACAGTTTTTTATATTACACCAGTAATTTTACTCAAAGTTTTCAAAAACTCTAAAAAATTTTTATCTACCTGAGCAATATGCCTCCAATGGCCAACTTCAGACTCAAGTCTTGAAACTTCATTTGAGAGTCGGTTTATTTCTTGTTGGGATGAAATTATATCACCAAAGTCCATGTCATCGTCATGGAAAGCTGAAGGATGATGACTAATCCCATAAGCGAATGAAGATGATGCAGTGGTTGCTGGTACACCAGCTCCTGAAGGTACTGACTGAGCAGCTGACTGCAGTTTCAGCAACTGATCCTGGAGTGCAATCTGTCTGGCTTTAAGATGGCTGATTTCTACCTATATATTTATAATCCAAGTTTTAGAGAAGGTACTTTAAAACAATCATATTGACTTTTTATAGATTTGTATTAAAAGACACAATACAATAATTTGTCTAAGATTATCCAATGATGGTCCTCTATCAACTGAATCTAAGTCTTATATAACATTCTAACCATAACATTTTTATTTAAAACACACTCACAATTAAAGCATAAATAATGTTACAAATAGTAGAAATATCAGAATTTTGTATGTTAACTAAAGCAATGAATTTCTCAGTTAAACATGGGTTTGCTATCTTCTCTGCATGGAGTAGTATAGGCAATTTCTTAGGGTTCTGTTTGTGATTACCAAATCTTAAATGATGAGAAAATGAAAGCTGTGTCCGTCTATGCACTGGAAATTTTCTTAGAATATCTCCTGTTACAAGGGTGTTGTGTAACTGATTATGGCTGGATGTAGGCTTAAAATGCACCATGAATCTGAGGTAACTTTGTATTGACCTGCACAACACAGCTGGAAGAATGCTTTGATTTATAAATCCAATCTTTTTAGATAAGATAACAGTGAAACAGTGAGCCCATGGTTATTAGCCCATGAATCTTAAAAAGAAATAATATACTGAAAGTGGTCTTAGCTTTAGATTTGGCAAAGAGGAGCCAGCGAAAATCTGACCTATTTAGGAAGAGAACAGTTCTGAAGTTCTGAAATTACCAGCAGTTTTGACTAAAGGCGGGTAAGTCATAGCGCAAAAGAAATTATAAACACAGGACCTACCAAAATGCCACATCCATTCTTGTAAAAGATTATTCAAAACACAAAATCAAACAATATAGACAGAACTGAAAAAAGTTTTCTATAAAGTAGAGTAGTCCAGAAGACACTGCCACAACTGAGGAAAATTTGATATTAGGAAGACAGCCAACAAGTAACAGTATTTCTATATGCATAAAGTTAAGCAAGTAGACAAAAACCAAACACATTTATGTTGTATGTCATAACAAACAAGTTTTTCATATTGGAGCCCCTTCTCAAATGGAAATTTATAGTACTGTACAAATTTCATTCATTTTCCCACAAATGACATGAGATAAATTCCATCTTGGAGAATATGAACATCACAATGAGGGCCGCACATAGATTCAGGAAATAACAGATCTATATAATCATATATTTCATCCTCGTAAAAAGTACTAAAATCCACATCTTTTTCAAATGTAGCTATATTTAAAAAGCTATCATTATATGATATTTATATCAACTTGTAGTTATACAAGTGCAAGCTGTAATAACAGATATTTCCAAACCTGAATGCTTAATGTGCCCTCTAATATCGATAGTTAAGTAGAACATAAAATACCAAAATTTTCCCCACCAGTGTTTTCAACTGTGAGGTAGGCATCAGAATAACCTGTGGAGCTTTTGAAAATGACCAATACAGGTTGAGTATCCTTATCCGAATGCTTGGGACTAGAAGGGTTTCACATTTCAGGTATTTTCCAATTTGAGAACATTCTCATAAATGTAATGAGATATCTTGGGGATGGGACCCATGTCTAAACACAAAATTCATTTATGTTTCATATACACCTTATACCCACAGGTACGTGTGAAAGTAATTTTATAAAATGCTTTTAACAATTTTGTGCATAAAACAAAGCTTGTGTTCAGTACTTATTTGTGGAATTTTCTACTTGTGGCATCAAACTGGCACTCAAAGTTTTGGATTTTGGAGCATTTCGAATTTTGGTAGGAATGCTCAACCTGCACCAGGGCCTCTTTCCAGTACACTAAGTTAGAATCTCCTAGGTGGTGTAAACATGTATATGCTTTTAAAGTGTCATAATGACACAGCTGTAAACCCCTGGGTAGGAGGAACTACTGTTCTATCATAATGTTTATAACTCAATGCTACTCAAAATGTGGTCCACAGACGAATGCAGTTGAATGCTCACTACCAGTCCAGAGCAAGTATAGCAATGTGAAAAGTAAGGTTTAAGACTTTTAAAGCAATTTAGTAGTAATTTTATATCTGCTGAACTTTTTTTTTTTTTTTTGAGACGGAGTCTCGTTCTGTGACCCAGGCTAGAATGCAGTGGCGTGATCTCAGCTCACTACAACCACCGCCTCCCAGGTTCAAGCAATTCTCCTGTCTCAGCCTCCCAAGTAGCTGAGACTATAGGCATACGCCACCACGTCCGGCTAATTTTTGTATTATTAGTAGAGATGGGGAATCAAGAAAAAAAAAAAGTAGCCTTGTAACTTTAAGTTGAACTTGAGGACAGGCACGGTGGCTCACGCCTGTAATCCCAACACTTTGGGAGGCCAAGGCGGGCAGATCACCTGAGGTCAGGAGTTCAAGACCAGCCTGGCCAACGTGGTGAAACCCCATCTCTAATAAAAATTCAAAAATTAGCCAGGCGTGGTAGTGCATGCCTGTAATCCCAGCTACTCAGGCGGCACGAGAATTGCTTGAACCGGGATGCAGAGGTTGCAGTGAGCCGAGATTGCACCACTGCACTTCAGCCTGGGCGACAGAGCAAGACTCTGTCTCAAAAAAAAAAAAAAAAATTATTTGAACTTGCAACTTTGCCTTTTTTAGTATTCATTTTATTTTTATAGTAATTCATTTTGTATTGTATTTTATGAAATTATCACTTCCCAACAAATTGGAAATTTAAGCACTACTTTCAAAACCTATGTATATCTTTAACGTGCTATACTTTTATCTTTCACCTTAGCATGTCACTAAAGGAACTAGAAAGCATAGGAATTAGAAAGCATGACACCTAAATTTTAAAAACCCAAATATAAAGTTATGGTAGAAATGAACACTTAGTCAACAAACTGAAAAACATCCAAATGATCTGGACAATATAACAGGAAATGGTTCCATTCAATGTAAGTATTTATTGGGGGCCACTTAGGTACTAAACACTAAAGAGAATTCAGTAACAGCATGACACATGAGGACACAGACTGTATTTTAAGGATTCAGAGTAACATTAAATTATATAATATCTACTACCAGCACTGTAAAGCAAAGATAAATCAATTCCAAAGCAGCCATTTCAAACTAAAAAACCCAAAAACATTTATAAAGCAATTATATGTAAATTATCATATATTTAATAGTTTTTCCATGGAAAATCAAGCACATGCCAATACAACAAATATTAGGCTTCATAAAATCAGAAATTATAAGCAACAGATCCCTAAAGATATTTTATACAAAAACTTTTTCTTCTTCTTTGGAAAGAAAAAAATTATACTTCACACAGGTTGGTTTATATATGTAAACTTAATAAAGTTTACATTACCTTACAAAGTTCTTATTAAATAAGGGATATCAAACTGAGTCGAAAATCATTAAATTCATCACCTTTTCATATTTTTACAGATCTGAATATACCTCGATTTATATTCTAACTCTAAAAACATACCTAAATACATTACAGTGAAGTACATATGAAGTAACTGTGATAACATTTACCTCTTTTTGTTGAAGTTGATTTCGGTAACTTGTAGATTGCTGCTTTATTTGAATCTCTGATGCTTCATGTTTCTCTTCTAGATCAGTACAAAGTTTCTTAAGCCTTTCATTCTAGAAAAAAAAAGTATTTTCAACAAAAAGACTGCAAGTAAAACATGTAATTAGTTATGTGCACAGCATTATGAAAAACGTACTGCTTTCCCCCCCCAAAAATGTCAAATATAAAAGGTCTCGGACAGAATTCTGGACTTTAAAATATGCTTTTAAATTAAAGTTAAAAATGCACTGACCAGCCGGGCACTGTGGCTCACGCCTGTAATCCCAGCACTTTGGGAGGCCAAGGCAGATCATGAGGTCAGGAGATCGAGACCATCCTGGCCAACATAGGGAAACCCCATCTCTACTAAAATACAAAAAAAAATTAGACGGGCGTGGTGGCGTGTGCCCGTAATCCCAGCTACTCGCGAGGCTGAGGCAGGGGAATTGCTTGAACCCGGGAGGCGGAGGTTGCAGTGAGCCGAGATCATGCCATTGCATTCCAGCCTGGTGACAGAGCGAGACTCCGTCTCAAAAAAAAAAAAAAAAAGCACTGACCATGTTTATACAGACAGAATATGCATAATTCTAAACCAAACAGTGAAATATTAACATTTTGCTCAGATTGATTTTCTGCTAAGAAAAGGCCACGAATCAATGTTTCCCCATCTTTGTATACCCAGTTCTAGCACACAGCAGTCAATACATGTCTAGTAAATAAATGGATTACATGTTTGAACTTTTGTTTTCTTCCCCAAACAGAACTTTTTTTAAAAAGAAATCTTTCTGGTTGAAGTACAGGGAGGAGGCTAAAATCTCACATAATTTGCTTGTCTTTCAGGGTCCCTGAAGGACCTCGGAAAAAATCCAATTTGAAAACCACTACTAGAACTGTTTGAAAAAAGTTAAAAGTACACAAAATAGCCTAATTCAATGAACCTAGACATTACACACTGTCTTTTAAGATGTTGAAAAACATGAAAAAAATTACTCAAATTGTATGTACCTAAATATTAAATTATCTTAACCTATTATCATTCCTTATTTGAATGAAATAATAAGAACATAATGGGGCGCCCCACTGGCTGCTCTGAAAAGCCATCTTTGCATTGTTCCTCGTCCGCCTCCTTGCTCGCCGCAGCCGGCAGCTTTATCGCCAGAGTCCCTGAACTCTCGCTTTCTTTTTAATCCCCTGCATCGGATCACTGGCGTGCCCTACCATGTCAGACGCAGCCGTGGACACCAGCTCCGAAATCACCACCAAGGACTTAAAGGAGAAGAAGGAAGTTGTGGAAGAGGCGGAAAATGGAAGAGACGCCCCTGCTGACGAGGAAAATGGGGAGCAAGAGGCTGACAATGAAGTAGATGAAGAACAGGAAGAAGGTGGGGAGGAAGAGGAGGAGGAAGAAGAAGGTGAGGGTGAGGAAGAAGGATGGAGATGAAGATGAGGAAGCTGAGTCAGCTACCGGCAAGTGGGCAGCTGAAGATGATGAGGATGACGATGTTGATACCAAGAAGCAGAAGACCGACGAGGATGACTAGACAGCAAAAAAGGAAAAGTTAAACTAAAAAAAAGGCCGCCGCGACCTATTCACCCTCCACTTCCCCTCTCAGAATCTAAACGTGGTCACCTTCAAGTAGAGAGGCCCGCCCGCCCACCGTGGGCAGTGCCACCAGCAGATGACACGCGCTCTCCACCACGCAACCCAAACCATGAGAATTTGCAACAGGGGAGGAAAAAGAACCAAAACTTCCAAGGCCCTGCTTTTTTTCTTAAAAGTATTTTAAAAAGGAAATTTGTATTTTTTATTTTCATTTTATATTTTTGTACATATTGTTAGGGTCAGCCATTTTTAATGATCTCGGATGACCAAACCAGCCTTCGGAGTGTTCTTTGTCCTACTTCTGACTTTACTTGTGGTGTGACCATATTCATTATAATCTCAAAGCAGAAAAAAAACCTTGTAAAAAAAGCAAAAACGACAACAGAAAAACAATCTTATTCCGAGCATTCCAATAACTTTTTTGTGTATGTACTTAGCTGTACTATAAGTAGTTGGTTTGTATGAGATGGTTAAAAAGGCCAAAAATAAAAGGTTTCTTTTTTTTCCTTTTTTGTCTATGAAGTTGCTGTTTATTTTTTTTGGCCTGTCTGATGTATGTGTGAGACAATGTTGTCCAACAATAAACAGGAATTTTGTTTTGCTGAGTTGTTCTAACAACAACAACAAAAAGAACATAATGGGGCAAAAGAAATGGACACTAAAACTCTCTACAAAAAAGAATTTACAAATAATTGCAGATAACAATTTACTAAGCATTCTACTAATATACCCACAAACACGGTTTAACAACAATGAATGAGAAAAAGAAGACTGATAGTGAGAAAGAAAGCTCTTGCTAAAAGGTGAAGACTTTTTCACTTTGGGGATGTCATTTGTTTTCTTCTTAGATTCTAGGAACTTCTGATGTCAACAGATGTGAAAATAATGATCCAGGAAGATTACATAAATTCCCAGAGAAAACCAATGGAATAATCAAAGGAATAATTACAGCATCCACAAATCCTAGTTTGGGACTCTATCCCCAGAAATCTAACACAGACCTTAATTATCCTGAAGAACTAGTAGTAAGAAACAGGACCAATGGTCCCAACAGCTGATTACCTTCTATTCTACTGGCTGCTTTTGCATGACTTTCTGTAAGCTGTTTATATGAAAAACACCATACATAACTCAGCGATATAATATACTGAAGTCAAACCCTGGTTATAAAAGTTCACTTCAGGTTTTTTTTCACACAAAAATACCTAAGGTTATTTATTTAACTCTGATTAATAAATAGAACTGTGAAACTTTGAATATGGTCAATATCTACTTGGTTGTCTGCCCTCATCTCCATAGCCATATGAGAGTCAGAAAGATTGAGAAAGGGCTAGGCGTGGTGGCTCATGCCTGTAATCTCAGCACTTTGGGAGGCTGAGGCAGGAGGATCACTTGAGCCCAGGAGTTCAAGACCAGCCTGGGCAACATAAGGAACAAAAAATACAAATACAAAATTAGCTGGGCATGTTGGCTTGCACCCATAGTCCCAGCTACTCAGGAGGCTGAGGAGGGAAGACTGCTTGAACCTGAGAGGTCAAGGCTGCAGGGGAGCCATGATCACACCACTGCACTCCAACTTGGGTGACAGAGCAAGACCCTGTCTCAAAACAAAAAGAAAGGCTGAGAGAGCAAATGAAGGACAGTTTCTCTTCATGTGGCCGAACCCATAAAATATGAAAAGAGTTGCCAGAGATAATATTTTCTATTATATGGAATATTGAACAGAGGGGGCTGGTCTGAAAGGAGAAAAGAATAAATGCATAGAAAGAAGAAAAGAGAGTACAAATGAAAAGAGAGACAGACTCCTGATGGCCTCCAGTTCTAGCTGCAGTCCTTCTAAAGTCAGACTACATTTCTGCTATTGAAATCCATAGGACACTCACATCTTAAAATATTCCGTCCTGCTTAATCTTTGGTTATACCATTAGGGTCCACTGAAATCAACTTAATTTCTTTTTTAGGCAGTCCTAACTATTCGTAAAACTTGATATTTATGATTTTTATTCTTTCTGAGGGGTCTACCAACAAAGAGAAAATTTACCTATTTTCAAAAATAGAATAAAACATTCTATCTTACAATTACCATAGGGTACCGTGGATCTTTTTATAAATCTAAGAAAAATCATGGGAGCAAAATCAACTTGTATTTTCTGTATCTTAAAACATTTGGCTCTTTTACTATCATGGGAATTTTAAAAAATCATTTAAAAAATTATTCCCAACTATTTTAAAAATGACAATAACAAGAAAACGGAAAACTTATGAAATCACCTAGGAGAATGATGCAATGGTAAAATAACCAGTTTTCTGACTGCATTGCCCAAAGTATTATTTTTTTTTTTTTTTTTTTTTTTTTTTTTTTTTGAGATGGAGTCTCACTCTGTCACCCAGGCTGGAGTTTACTGGCACAATCTCGGCTCACTGCAACCTCTGCCTCCCAGGTTCAAGCAATTCTCCTGCCTCAGCCTCCTGAATAGCTGGGATTACAGGCACGTGCTACCACACCCGGCTAATTTTTGTATTTTTTGTAGAGATGGGGTTTCACCATGTCGGTCAGGCTGGTCTCGAACTCCTGACCTCATGATCCGCCCACTTCAGCCTCCCAAAGTTTACAGGCATGAGCCTGTAATCATGGATTACAGGCGTGAGCCACCATGCCTGGCCTATATCATCTTTTTAAAAGAAAACAGCTGTCTACAGACACCACTTTTTGTAGTTTTGTTTTTTCTCTTTCATCGAACACAGTTAAAAACTCAGAATTTTTAATTATTTGATGAAGAGAAGAAAACTGACAAAGGAAAACATTCACAATTATTAGACAACTTAGAAGATTAATGCAGAGACAGAAAGCAGCATCCTAGAGTCTAATGGTTATGGTGAAACTGACTGTAGAAGTGAAATCTTACACAAATCTTCAGATGGCAATATCCTGGAAGAATTTTCTAAAAGTCAAGAATTGATGAGTGGGCCGGGCGCGGTGGCTCACGCCTGTAATCCCAGCACTTTGGGAGGCCGAGGCGGGCGGATCACGAGGTCAGGAGATCGAGACCATCCCGGCTAAAACGGTGAAACCCCGTCTCTACTAAAAATACAAAATATTAGCCGGGCGTAGTGGCGGGCGCCTGTAGTCCCAGCTACTTGGGAGGCTGAGGCAGGAGAATGGCGTGAACCCGGGAGGCGGAGCTTGCAGTGAGCCTAGATCCCGCCACTGCACTCTGCACTCCAGCCTGGGCGACAGAGCGAGACTCCGTCTCAAAAAAAAAAAAAAAAAAAAAAGAATTGATGAGTGAATAATATATTTTTAAGAACAAAAAAGAAATATGGCTTTCAGATCAATTAGTCATTCAACAGGAAAATACTTCACTCTGCATTATTTTGTGACAAGGACTTAAACCATTTCATTTTGCTAAGCAGATACATGACAGTATTCTTTTTTTATTTTTATTTTTTATTTTTTTTGAGAGTCTCGCTCTTGTTGCCCAGGCTGGAGTGCAATGGTGGGATCTTGGCTCACCGCAACCTCTACCTCCCAGGTTCAAGTGATTCTCCTGCCTCAGCCTCCCAAGTAGCTGGGATTACAGGCATGTGCCACCACGCCCAGCGAATTTTGTATTTTTAGTAGAGACAGGGTTTCTCCATGTTGGTCAGGCTGGTCTCGAACTCAGGTGATCCACCCACCTCGGCCTCCCAAAGTGCTGGGATTACAGGCGTGAGCCACCATGCCTGGCCATGTGACAGTATTCTTTCATCATGTATATTTGTACACCAACATTTACTTGATATGTTCATATGTAGAAGGCTGAAAGCAGGTGTGTACACAAAGGCAACTGGGAGGAAACAGATGACACAGAAATGAAAAAAACTCAGTGGACTGATCATTCTAATTGGCATTTATAAATCTAAGAATAAACATGCTTTTGAAATTATAGAGCAAAGATGACAGCCATCATCTCTTCAATAAAATCATGAGCCATTAAAATTTTCAAAAGTATTGCTTTTAATGACACAATCAAGAACCAGGCTGGGCATGTGGCTCATGCCTGTAATCCCAGCACTTTCAGAGGCCAAGGTGGAAAGACTGCTTGAAGCCAGGAGTTTGAGACCAGCCTGGGCAACAGAGCAAGACATCGTCTCTACAAAAAATTTTATTTATTTATTTATTTTTTTATTTACTTACTTACTTACTTATTTATTGGAGATGGAGTCTTGCTTAGGCTGGAGTGCAATGGTACGATCTTGGCTCACTGCAACCTCCACATCCCGGGTTCAAGTGATTCTCCTGCCTCAGCCTCCCAAGTAGCTGGGATTACAGGCGCCCACCACCATATCCAGCTAATTTTTGTATTTTTAGTAGAGACAGGGTTTCACCATGTTGACCAAGCTGACCTCAAGTGATCTGCCCACCTCAGCCTCCCAAAGTGCTGGGATTACAGGCATGAGCCACCGTGCCTGGCCTATTACAAAAAAATCTTTAAAAATTAGCTGGGTGCGGTGTTGCATGCCTGTGGTACCAGCTACTCAAGAGGCTGAAGCAGAAGGATCACTTGAGCCCAGAAGTTCAAGGTTGCAGTGAGCTATGACTGTGCCACTGTATTCCAGCCTGGGCAAAAAA
Organism: Homo sapiens; assembly: GCF_000001405.40. Lineage (NCBI taxonomy): Eukaryota > Metazoa > Chordata > Mammalia > Primates > Hominidae > Homo > Homo sapiens. The sequence continues at coordinate 92,031,562 of NC_000014.9, forward strand.
GCAAGACCATGTCTCAAAGCAACAACCACAACGAAAAGAACTAGAAGTAATAATAACCTGAAATCTATTAGAGAGGTAACTGAACTTTGGAATCAATATTTTACAAGATAAAGATATTCCAGGTTATACAATTAAGGGTTAAAAAGCAGTTCACTGAATTCAAAGAACATTGCTTATTTTGAGTCTTTATGCTTTCAAAACCAGAAAAAAATTAAATAAAAATTTGGATTTGCTGTATTTAAATTATTAAAATGTCTTTTTCTTTTTTTGATACAAGGTCTCACTCTGTTGCCCGGGCTGGAATACAGTGGCAGGATCACAGCTCACCGCAGCCTTGACTTCCTGGGCCCTAAGATCAGGTGATCCTCCCACCTCAGCCTCACAAGTAGCTGGGACTACAGACACCCACCACCACACCTTGACTAATTTTTTTATCTTTATTTTTTGTAACCGGTCTCAAACTCCTGGCCTCAAGCCATCCTCCCACCTCCACCTCCCAAAGCGCTGAGATTACAGGCATGAGCCACTGCGCCCAATCTAGACCCTAATAATGAATAAAACATTAAAATTAATTTGCTATTCCTGTATCCTTTTTTTCTTTTTTTGGATGGAGTTTTTCTCTGTCACTCAGGCTGGAATGCAATGGCGTGATCTCGGCTCAGTGCAACCTCCGCCTCCCAGTTTCCAGCAAGTCTCCTGCCTCAGCCTCCTGAGTAGCTGGGATTACAGGTGTGCACCACCACATCCAGCTAATTTTTTTGTATTTTTAGTTAGAGATGGGGTTTCACCATGTTGTCCAGGCTTGTCTCAAACTCCTGATCTCAAGTGATCCACCCACCTCGGCTTCCCAAAGTGCTCAGATTACAGACATGAGCCACTGTGCCTGGCTGCTATTCCTATATTCTTAACTTTTTTGTATCCAAATATTATTATCATTTTAGTGTTTAAAAAGCTCCAGGTTAAACAGAATTGCATTCTTAATATTATACTTAGCTGGGCGTGGTGGCTCACGCCTGTAATCCCAGCACTTTGGGAGGCTAAGGCGGGTGAATCACGAGGTCAGGAGTTTGAGACCAGCCTGGCCAATGTGGTGAAACCCTGTCTCTACTAAAAATACAAAAATTAGCTGGGTGTGGTAGCGTGCACCTGTAGTCCCAGCTACTCGGGGGGCTGAGGCAGAAGAATTGCTTGAACCCAGGAGGTGGAGGTTGTAGTGAGCCAAGATAGTGCCACTGCACTCCAGCCTGGGTGACAGAGTGAGACCCCGTTTCAAAAAAAAAAAAAAAAAATTATTCTTAAATAAATGTGCCACTGCAATTTAGTATGCTGTTAGAACACAGTAAACTCTGGATTATGATAAATTATTGATACTATTATTTCTACATTTGGCAGTTTTCCTACTTATACAGAAATAGAGATGGGAATATTAAAGAATAGCAAACTGCAGTAACAGGTAAATATATTTTTCATCTACAGAAGGTTGATAAAAGCTCAAAAAACAATCAAAATTAAACAAGAAGAGAAAAAAAGTGCTAAGCAGTACATTTAAAAAGAAAGGATCAAAGTAATGTTTGAGTAACCTTCATGACTTCAAAAAAGAAAAATCTAAGTAGTCTTTGATTTTTCTTACCTCTGATCTCAAGATTGCATGAATGGCTTCAATTTCCTTTGTCCTAGAATCAGGTAATTCTGCTACAAGAGAAATAACAAATATTGAATATTTAATCAATACCATATGAAGTAATAAATAGGTATTTTCAAGAAAATATATTTCACTGAGTTTACACAGAATAGTAGGCTGATATGAAAGCATTCAGAAGAAACAAATCGCTTTATTTCCATAACAACTTTTCACTGACACTAATGTTCTTCATTGTCATAAAAGTCATTCTTTTTGCCTATGCCCTGTATCTTAGGATGTCTACCTTTACCCCTTAGAAATGTTCATTAGAATTTTGTTGTGGGAAATTAAGCTTTAGAAATTAAAACTATTTCTCTGTGGGCTAATGCTGCTATAATTTTAGATGAAGCTTACTCAACTGGGGCTTTAGGCCTTATTTCTAACTGTAAGAATTAAAGAAAGAGGAGAGAAACACAAAGGGTGGCTTGCCAGTTAAGACAGGTTTATTTTAGAGAAAACAAACCTGAGAGGGGTGTTCGGCTGAGTTAGGTTAGAGGCACACTCTTTTCCAGACTAAGAGTTTTTAAGGATTTAGGGTGGGAGAATTTATTAGAGGCTTAGACTGCTTCTGTGTTTTTTTGTAGTGCTTATCTGGGAGGGAGAGTTGTGTATTTGTTCCATTTATTCTAGAGCTGCAGGCATACCCCCCGAGTCTGCTTTAGCTTCCCTATTTTAGTGCACCTGAAGGGAAAGGAATGTGCTTTCTAAGGCCCACTGCTTTACTGGGGCCCACTGTATGAGAGTGAAGTTTGGCAGTTACCCAAGAGACTTTACCCCCACCTCCCTTTGTGCCCGAGCACTCCCTCTGTATGTGTTTTACTGTCTGCTTTTTCTGGCTGCTTGTAGTTAGAAGAGAAGTGACTTCCTTGAAATGCATGAGGCTAGAAAGGGAGCTGGAGGTCAGGTACGGTGGCTCACCGCCTGTAATCCCAGCACTTTGGGAGGCCAAGGTGGGCGGATCACGTGAGATCGGGAGTTTGAGACCAGCCTGGCCAACAGGTAAAACCTCGTCTCTACTAAAAATACAAAAATTAGCCGGGTGTGGTGGCACACGCCTGTAATCCCAGCTACTCAGGAGGCTGAGGCAGGAGAATTGCTTGAACCTGGGAGGTGGAGGTTGCAGTGAGCCGACACTGTGCTACTGCACTCCAGCCTGGGTTACAGAGTGAGACTCTTGTCTCCAAAAAAAAAAAAGGAAAGGGAGCTGGAACTTAAAGTGGCACTGTTTGTCTGAGATAACAACAGTGCTCCTGCTCTGTCACTAACTTCTGCTCTCAATACTATCAAATAATAAGTGACCTATAAACGAAGAAAAATACACTGAGAACACTTATTTAAAGTAACATAGACACAATTTATTAAAAATGGGAATGAGCTCAGTCTGGTTTTCTACATTTTCATCTTTATTTTTTAATTTTCTTGGAAAGGGTCTCACTTCACTCTGCCACCTAGGCTGGAGTATAGTGGTGTGATCATGGCTCACTGTAGCCTCAAACTCTCTCGCTTCAGCCTTCCAAGTAGTTGGAACTACAGGCACATGCGACCACACCTACCTAATTTTTTTACTTTTTTGGAGAGATGAGGTTTCACTGTGTTGCCCAGGCAGGTCTCGAACTCCTAGCCTTAGGGAATCCTCCACACTCAGCCTCCCAAAGTGCTGGGATTACAAGTGTAAGTCACCATGCATGGCCCTTGGTTTTGTACATTTTCATTTAAAAGTAGAGTGAGAGCCCAGCAGTGTCAACATGGCACCACTAATGCTGTTAGAAAATCATCATCTGGCTGGTCTCGGTGGCTCATGCCTGTAATCCCAGCACTTTGGGAGGCCAAGGCAGGTGGATCACTTGAGGTCAGGAGTTCAAGACAACCCTGGCCAATATGGCAAAACTCCATCTCTACTAAAAATACAAAAAAAAAAAAACTGGCCAGTCATGGTGGTAGGTGCCTATAATCTGTAATCCCACCTACTTAGGAGGCTGAGGCAGGAGAAATTGCTTGAACTGGGGAGGCAGAAGCTGCAGTGAGCCAAGATCGTGCCACTGCACTCCAGCCTGGGCGACAGAGCAAGACTCGGTCTCAAAAAAAAGAAAAGAAAAGAAAATCATCATCCAGAGTTAGATTTTTTTTCTAAGTACTAGTATTTTTTTCATTACTCACAGCTCTTTAATATAAAAATAACTTATCTGGACTACAGTTTATTAGGAGTGTCCAATCTTTTGGCTTCCCTGGGCCATACTGGAAGAACTGTCTTGGGCCATACATAAAATACACTAACAATCGCTAATGAGCTTTAAAAAAAAAAAAATCGCAAAAAACCTCATTTTTTATTTATTTATTTATTTATTTTTTTTTTGAGACAGAGTCTCGCTCTGTCGCCCAGGCTGGAGTGTAGTGGCACAATCTCAGCTCGCTGCAACCTCTGCCTCCTGGGTTCAAGTGATTCTCCCACCTCAGCCTCCCCAGTAGCTGGGACTATAGGCCTGCGCCACCATGCCCGGCTAATTTTTGTATTTTTTAGTAAAGAGACGAGGTTTCACCATGTTGGCCAGGCTGGCCTTAAACTCTTGACCTCAGGTGATCCTGAGGCCCTCCTCAAAGTGCTCCCAAAGGGCTGGGATTACAGGTGTGAGCCACCGCGCCCAGCCAGAAAAACTCATAACATTTTAAGCACGTTTATGAATTTGTGTTGGGTCTCATTCAAAACCCATCCTGGGCCACATGTGGCCTGCAGACCACAGGTTGGACAAGCTTGGTTTAAATCAAAAGAAGCATGCAGTAATTACAGTGACAAACACTCTTGTTTAGAAAATCACCAGGTAGGGTTACATCTGTGGTTGGTTGTACATCTTGCTTGAAACTATGAAAGGACTGTTTAATTGCTACTCTGAAGAGGACAAGTTATAATCTAATTTGTTTAGGAAGGTAATTGTTAAAAGCAGCAACTATTTTAAAGAGGGATTTTACAAGTCCATGCAAACTCCACACCTCCCCCAACAAGAAAAACTTGGCCTTTTTAAGTACAAAGGGGAGATATTATGCAGACAAAAATATTCTGACTTTGTCAATAAGGGCAAATATGACATTTACCATTCATTAATGTTTACGATTCGGTAGACACAATTCCAGGCATTTTACACTCATGATTTCATTTAATCCTCTCAACCTCACAATAGGTATGATTATCCCTATTCAACATATAAGGAAACTGTGCTTTTGGAGGTTAATTTCTAATAATTTGCCAAAAATCCCACAACTTGTAATGCACAAAAGCAGAATTTCAACCCATGTCTCTCTGATTTAAAAGCCCAAGCTCCTAACCTTGAATAAATCAGTAGTGTTAGGTAAAACTGCAACCTTCTGATATTGTAAATATGGATGGCTTTCAAGTTGTCCACATAGTGCTATTTTGGAACTGTTTTATTTTTCATTACTGACACAGGGTAAACACTAATAAATACTTGTTCAATGAATAAAAGAACTGTACTCTGACCCTCCATTCCCTTTATTTTTTTAGACAGGGTCGTCTCTGTCACCCAGGCTGGAGTTCAGTGGTGCAATCGCAGCTCACTGGAGCCTTTAACTACTGGGCTCAAGCAAACCTCCCATTTCAGCCTCCCAAGTAGGTGAGACTACAGGCACATGCAGCCATGCCCAGCTAAAAACTTTTTGTAGAGATGAGATCTCCCTATGTTGCCCAGGCTAGTCCTCAACTCCTGGCTTTAAGCTATCCTCCCACTTTAGCCTCCCAAAATGCTGAGATTACAGGTATGAACCACACCTGGCCAGACCCCTATTTTTAAAAATTTACAAAATCAATAAATTAGGTGTTAAGCAAGTCCGATTGAAATACAAAGGGGAAAGAATAAAGGCATTAAGCAACTTTGCAGATTTCTAATCACGCACTTGTGCCATTTTTATTGAGCATCTACTATGTGCCAAAAGGAAGGTGTCACATATTTGGTAATATAAGGAGCAAAAAAATTCAGTCCTCACGCTGGGCATCAGGAAAACAGATAAATTATAACTCAACATGTTAAATGCTGTCAGGGAGAGATCCACAAAGTTCTGTTAGAACACAGATCACCAACATTCAACTCAACAACTCAACCTGTGTGGGAGTCAGAATGGTTCACCAAGTACTTAAGTACCTGACATATGAGCAGGGTTGTACAGGAGAATTGTTTTCTGGGTGAAGGAGGAAATAGAGAAGAAAGGGCTTTCCATGTAGAGGCTTGAAGTTGTGTAAGTGCCTGACAAAATCCCACACGACAGAAGCTGTGCGTACAAGCAAGCATATATATGTGCACATGTACAGCAACTGGTATGGCAACTAGAAAAGGTACATTGAAGGTCGGGTGCGGTGGCTCACGCCTGTAATCCCAGCACTCTGGGAGGCCAAGGCAGGAGGATCACCTGCGGTCTCAGGAGTTCGAGATCAGCCTGGCCAACATGGCGAAACCCCATCTCTACTAAAAATACAAAAATTAGCCAGGTGTGGTGGCACACGCCTGTAATCCCAGCTACTTGGGAGGCTGAGGCAGGAGAATTGCTTGAACCCGGGAGGCGAAGGTTGCAGCGAGCCGAGATCGCGCCACTGCATCCAGCCTACGCAACAGAGTGAGACTCAGTCCAAAACTAAGAGGTTTGGATTTTATTCTGTAACAGGGTCAAGAAATTTTTACGCAGGTTTGTTTTTAGAAAGTAACTGACAATACAATAGAAAATGGACTGGGGTAGGGAGAAATGGGTGACAGGACATGAAAGAGGAATAGTCCCTGGGAAAGATTATAGGGATCTAAAGAATAAGGAGTAATAAAGCAAAGGACAATTCTGGCATAGGATAAACAAGATATCATGACCAACTGGAAGTAGGAGATGAAAAAAGACATAAAACAAGGACACGAAGATTTACAGTTTAGGAAACTGAGAGTGAAGCTATTAAGAATGAGAAAACAGCACATTTGGCAGGAGAACAAAATGAACACCACCTTAAACCTGGAAGACATCCAGGTTGAGGGATGCATATTCTCTGGCTTAGGGTCTAAGGAACAGCCAACCGTTTTCCCCTATCTAGGATACAAGGAGCGACCAGTCATTTCCCATAGTTATCCAGCCCTTCTGTGCTTCTGACTGCCCTCAAGGTCCCATGCTTTCCCCCACACATAAAGAAGCCCTTTCATTTCTATCCCCAAAGCTGTCTCACTGATGCACCTTTATGGCATGGGGAACGTAAAGCGGTAAAATGGATTTCGGTAGCTCCCCAGTCTATTCTTCCTTCCATCTAAATAGACCCCACAGAAATTCAAAACATAAGCATTATCTTTCTATCAAACAATCTTTCCCGATTTCTACCAAATAAATATGAAGGATCTGTTAAATTAGCAATTAAAAAAAAAAACTAAGCCAGAATACTAATTTATTAAATTTATTTATAAGAAATACAATTGTCAAAGCAGCAGCTCTCACCCAAAAGAACAGCCCATTATCTCCCTGGAGCAGACTTAGATTGAAACTTAAAAACTGTTTTGATCCAAACATTGCTTACTAAAATGCCAAGAAATCAAAATAGTAATTAATGGATAGTAACTAATGTAGCCATTGATTACCATGTAACTCTGGGTCACTATTCATTAGTAAAACGAGATTGAGGACTTCAAAAATGAGTGAAGATTGCTAAGGGTACCTTAAGAATAGGGTTGTCTTCCCTATTCTACTGTCGAAATATGGGCGAAATGGGCGATTATACACAAAAATACATTCTCAGCTGGAACGCTATAATGTATCATCACAATAAGGAAAAGTAAAAAATAATTAAATAGAAAAACATGGCCGTGTTTCATAACATACTCAAGACAGAAAAGAGCAAAACTCACCAAGTGTTTAAATTATGAGTTATTTCAACTGTTACAAAAATAGAAAACAGATATACAATTCTTTAAACTGGGTCAGAATACAGGAAGATGTTAAGAATGAGATCAGCCCCCAAACTGAGGGCAAAGTGGTGGGCGTGGATCAACCAAACGAAAATAAACTCGACTTAACGTAGGAGCAGTTTCACTCTACTGTACTTTGAGATATCCAGAATATTTAAAGAGAGGAGAACCAGGACTCTTCCCCTGGCCCCCAGTGGTCTTTCATCATAGAAAATCTGTTGAGAAGAGGCAAGAGGAGGTGTGTGAAGAAAAAAGGGAGGAGCAGCATTCCTTTGCGACCTGTCCGCGTCTCCTGACTGATGGAAGTAGGGACCAAACGGACGTTCCCAGGGTCTTAGAAAAGCCCTCCCTTCCCTCGCTCCAGCTGTTACCTTCCACTTCCTCCGTGCCCTCCATCAGCATATCCTTTGTAAAGTTTGATATCTGGCCAGTGAGGGAAGCCAGGCTGCCCCCGACTTGACCCAGAGACTGGCCCAATCCGGAGCCGAGGCCCCCAAGCCAGGACGACATCGCGGCGAGTTTAGAGAACGACCCGGTCCGCTCGGAAAAAAGAAAACGTTTAGCGCCGCCGGGCGATCCGACCAAATATCCTTGAACGCCTGCCTTCGCGAGACAGGATACGATAACACAAAGCTGGGTTCTCAGGCAAGGCCGACTCCAGGTTCTGCCTAGAAACGCAGAGGCCTGGCCTGGAATTTTACCAGGGGCCCGCCTCTAGTGACACAGTCACCTACGGAGGGCCTTCTGCTCATTCCCACGAATTCCCACCGTCCAGATTGGGCCACTTCTTTCTCAGCTCTAATGACTTTCCTCAGTTCCGTGGGTTACTCCTGCCAACTCGACGCCGGCCGCCATGACACTCGCTCGGAAAGCGGCAGCGGATCATAGAAAAGCGCCGCGGTGGCGTAGACAGGCCCCGCGAAGCCGCCGGACGTGTCCTTGGCGCAAGGGAGGCTGGGATCGCGGAGGACCGAGCGCGGGCTGGATTAACCGCAGCCAGTGCCTAGCGCAAGGTTAGGTGCATGCAGGCGGCCAGCTTCGGCCGGGGAAGGAATGGCCTGGATAACTGGGGCATCGCGGCGCTCCTCGGCCTCCTGCAGCTGCGTTTCAAAGCAGAGCCGACCCTTGGTGGGTAGTCCGGGGACCCTGCGGACCCTCCTTGTGTTGTTGAAACCTAGTGTTTTAATTGGGACTACACCCAGCAGTGCCGGGAGACTTGGCGGGGACGTTCCACTGCGCAGGAAGTGGCTTCAAATAACTTACACGCGTCACTGTGTCGATTAGCTGCTCCGTGACAGGCACTATGGTAGGAGCTGAGGCTACAAAGATAGAACGGATGGGTTGCAAAAAAAAAAAAGGAAAAAGGAAAAAAGAAAGGATGGGTTGCAAATTCAGGTGTCCAAGCAGGAAACACACCTTCCTTCTATAGGAGAAATCTCCTCTGGTGGCTTTATAGCTCACAATTGAAACCCTACCTTCTTTAACATACGATGAGCTTTTTTCATGAAGCTGCCCTCACCCAAGTAGTTGAAAAACGGACAACCGTTTTTCAAAATGACTCGTTAGAAGACAGCAGGGCAACTTAATAGAGAAGTGCCGTTTAGTGTCAACGCTCCTATGGTATTGGCGGCACTAGCTATGCAAGTGCCCACACCTCCCTCAGTCCTTAGTTACCCACACTGGCTGTAACACACAGAGTCCTACCTTGCTTGCTTCCTTCCCTAAAGGAAGAAAGGTTGTCATGTGACTTTCAAGCAATTGGTGCAGGATACGTGGACACACAGCATCTAGCCAGGGAGACTTCCACATTTTTTGGTTTCAAAAGGATATGATAGATCTGCAGTTCTTTTAAGCATAGCAATAAGTATACTGGCATCTTTCACTTTGATTATATTCACAAGAGGGGCTATCACAGATTGCACAGTTTGTGAACAGAACATTGGGAATGCCTCCAGTATTTGGGATCTGATGGCACCAGGCAGTAGTAATTCTCCGTGAAAGCTGAATTTTTTTTTTTTAAATTTTATTTTTTGAGATGGAGCCTCGCTCTGTGGCCCAGGCTGGAGTGCAATGGCGGGACCTAGGCTCACTGCAACCTCGTCTCCCGGGTTAAAGCGATTCTCCTGCCTCAGGCTCCCAAGTAGCTGGGACTACAGGCGCCCATTCTTCATTTTACTAATGAGAAACCAGTGCCCAGAAATGTTAAGTAACCCATCCAAGGTCATACAGCTAGTAAGTGACAGACCCAGGCAGTCAGGCGTTGGAGTCTGCACATCTAACCGCTGGGCTGTGATGTTCACATGAATGCAGGGACAGCATTTAATAAACACTTCCAGAATGAGATGTGAATTTTATTTTAAGCACATTCAGATATCCAGTGTGACTCCGGGATGTAAAAAAAAAAAAAAAAAAAAAAAACAGGGCCGGGTGCAGGGGCTTACGCCTGTAATCTCAGCACTTTGGAAGGCCGAGGCAGGTGGATCACCTGAGGTCAGGCGTTCAAGACCAGCCTGGCCAACATGGTGAAACCCCATCTCTACTAAAAATACAAAAATTAGTGGGATGTGGTGGCAGGCACTTGTCACGGGCATCCGTGTGAAGAGACCTCCAAACAGGCTTTGTGTGAGCAATAAAGCTGTTTATTTCACCTGGGTGCAGGTGGGCTGAGTCCCAAAAGAGAGTCAGCAAAGGGTGTTAGGGGTGGGGCAGTTTTATAGGATTTGGGTGGGTAGTGGAAAACTACAGTCAAAGGGGGTTGTTCTCTGGCAGGCAGGGGCGGGGGGGTCACAAGGTGCTTGGTGGGGGAGCTTCTGAGCCAGGAGAAGGAATTTCACAGGGTAATGTCATCAGTTAAGGCAGGAATCAGCCATTTTCACTTCTTTTGTGATTCTTCAGTTCCTTCAGGCCATCTGGATGTATACATGCAGGCCTTGGCTCAGAGGCCAGACATTCCTGTCTTCTTATATTAATAAGAAAAATAAAACAAAATAGTGTTGAAGTGTTGGAGTGGTGAAAATTTTGGGGGGTAGTATGGAGAGATAATGGGCGATGTTCCTCAGGGCTGCTTCGAGCGGTATTAGGGGTGGTGTGGGAACCTAGAGTGGGAGAGATTAAGCTGAAGGAAGATTTTGTGGTAAGGAGTGATACTGTGGGGTTGTTAGAAGGAGCATTTGTCATATAGAATGATTGGTGATGGCCTGGATATGGTTTTGGATGAACTGAGAAACCAAACGGAAGACACAAGGTCCAAATAAGAGAAGGAGAAAAACAGGTATTAAAGGACTAAGAATTGGGAGGACCCAGGACATCCGATTAGAGAGTGCCCAAGGGGGTTCAGCATAATTACTTGCTTGGTTGGCAAGTTTTTGGACTCTGTCCTTGAGTTTTTTTATATTGTCATACACCAGGCCAGATTGATTTAGGTAAAAAGAACACTCTTCATTTAAAAATATACAGAGCCCGGCCGGGCGCAGTGGCCCACGCCTATAACCCCAGCACTTTGGGAGGCCGAGGCAGGCGGATCATGAGGTCAGGAGATCGAGACCATCCTGGCTAACATGGTGAAACCCTGTCTGTACTAAAAAAATACAAAAAATTAGCCGGGCGTGGTGGCAGGCGCCTATAGTCCCAGCTACTTGGGAGGCTGAGGCAGGAGAATGGCATGAACCCAGGAGGTGGAGCTTGCAGTGAGCAGTGAGCCGAGATGCGCCACTGCCTGGGTGACAGAGCAAGACTCCGTCTCAAAAAAAAAAAAAAAAAAAAAAAAAAAAAATATATATATATATATATATATATATATATACACACACACATACACACAGCGCCTTCCTTTTTCAGCAGTGAGTAAGTCAAGGCCTTGGCAGTTTTGGAGGACAACTGCAGCCAGAGAGTCAACTTGGGCCTGAAGTACTGATAAAGTTTAAGATATGTCTGTGATGCTAGTGGAGAAGTCATTAGAGAGGCTATGGAAGGTTGTGACAGAGGTTGAAATGCCTTCTATTCCAGTACCGAGAGCAATAGAGGAGGCAGAAAGTCCTAAACCGACAAGCAAGGGAATTAGTGGAATAACCCTTTTTTGTCATGTCGGTGTCATGAGAGGAACAGGAAGCTCTTTGGTCCCATTTGCAAATTGAATTTTGGGATTAAGGAAAATGAGTGTGCATGTGCCTGTCCAGTTAGCAGGTAGACACATGTAGGTAGAGGATCCACAGAGGAAGAAGAGAGCTTGTGCCAGGCAAAACTGGAAATGCAAAGTAAAAAGATGAGAAGGAGTGCTGAAAGGGGTGTCTTGTACCCAGACTCCTAGGGATCCAGCTAGGGCGGCAGCCGTCAGAGGTTGTAATGGGGACTGATGGGGTAACTGTGTAGAGGGAGAGGTTCAATTTTCATGGTGTATGAGAAAACGTCGAGTGTCTATGAGCAACCTTTCACTGTTATTTACGGGGCTGGGTATAACAAGAAGGCCTGGGAGGAGGGTCTGACGAGCAAGGGGAAGGTAGCCAAGGATGGAGTGAAATACAGGGTGTCTTCCTAAGCAATAATTACTTCTAATGTTTTTAAGTTTGCCTGTATTGATAAAAGGCTTATCTGTAATACGGAGCTGGAAGGCTCCAGTTGTTTCAGTGATGTGTGTAGTTGGGCTTTGGAGATGAAGAGTGAATGAACATCAAGAAGGTGAAAGGTTACCCAGGGGAATTCCAGTGGGTCTTTGCTGAGAGATACATAAAGGAGCAGCCACAGGAAAAGTAGTTTGTGTTGTGAGGGATCCAAATGTGGGGGGAGTAGAGTTGATATAAGGAGAAAGGTTTTTTAAGTAAGTGTGGAGGAGGGCGGCAGCTTGCTGATGTGAAATGTCTGGGGAGGCCTTGCTGGACCTGTCTAGAAAGTGAAGAAGTTCTTCAGGAGGGTAAAGATGAGGGCTGTTAAAGGAAATTTGGAGGTGTAGGGAGACAGGAGATGTTGCCCAGTCTGTATATAAGGCGGGGGCAGCTGTGTAGGTGCAGGAAGAAAGGGAAATGCAAAGCCAGCAATTATTCGCTAAGGAGGGATTAGAAACGGCTAGGAGAGAGTAAGATTGATAGTGTGGTGGAGATAGCTGGGGAGAGGTAGAGGGTGGCATAAGAATGGGAATGAGAATAAGAGTGAGTATAAAAGTAAAGAATAGAACTTCATCAGAGTGAAAATATTGGAGGTTGCCCTGCCAGCAAATATCATCTATCCACTCTAAGAGGGAGTTAAGAGTGGCGGTTTGGGGATAGCACCAGGAGATACCAGCTGTGATGGCTTAGAGAAACAGTGTAAACAGGCAATGTAAACAAGATTAGGGCATTTATGAGTAGTTGAGAATAGTGAATGGGAGTATGAGTAAACAGAAGATAGTAGGGATGACAAGTTTTTGGGGTTCAGTCCAAGTAGGGGGGGTGACTGTGTAAAGCCCTGTTGCAAAAAGTAGGGTAAGGATGAATAGAGCTAATAGAATGAAGGGATGTATTAGGCTCATAAGGGTTATTACTGTTCTTCAGAAATGAGAGTGACTTTAAGGGAAGTAGTGGGGAGTACTTGTGACTTCCAGGAGGAAGAAGAGAGATTAGGCTGGTTGTCCGATGGGCACAGCTTTATTCTGGAACGGTGAACCCAGTGGGGAGGATCCTGCAGGCGGACGGCAGTTGGGGTACTATAGATGACTAAGTAGGGTCCAGTCCATCGAGGTTGTAGAGTTTGAGGGGTCAGGTTCTTAATAAGAACTGATCGTCCAGCTAGGGTGTCTTCATATAGTTGGGAATCTGGAGTAGACAAGAGAAGATTAGCAGCCTGGTGGATTTCCTGTCTAGCCTGCCAGAGGACTGGAAGATAGTCGCCTAGAGGGCTGGTGTCTGGAACGAGGTTGGGGCTGAGCAAGAAAGTGCGTCCATATAAAAGTTCAAATGGACTGTACCCTGTAGCTTCTCGAGGACGGGCTCTAATTCTGTGAAGGGCAAGAGGTAAAAATACTGTCCAGTCCTTTTTAAGTTGGAGGCTGAGCTTGGTGAGATGTCTTTAAAAGACCATTAGTCCGTTCTACCTTTCCTGAAGATTGAGGACGGTAAGGGGTATGAAGGTTCCACTGAATACCAAGAGCCTGAGAAACTGCTTGGGTGATTTGACTAGTAAAGGCCAGTCCGTTATCGGACTGTATAAAGGTGGGAAGGCCAAACCGAGAAATTATTTCTGACAGAAGGGAAGAAATGACTGTGGTGGCCTTCTCAGACCCTGTGGGAAAGGCCTCTACCCATCCAGTGAAAGTGTCTTCCCAGACCAAGAGGTATTTTAGTTTCCTAACTCAGGGCATGTGAATAGAGTCAATTTGCTAGTCCTGGGTGGGGGCAAATCCCTGAACTTGATGTATAGGGTAGGGAGGGGGCCTGAATAATCCCTGAGGGGTAGTAGAATAGCAGATGGAACACTGAGAAGTGATTTCCTTGAGGATAGATTTCCATGATGGAAAGGAAATGAGAGGTTCTAAGAGGTGGGCTAGTGGCTTGTAACCTACATGGAAGAGGTTATGAAATGACAACAGAATAGAATGGGCCTGTGAGGCTGGAAGGAGATATTTTCCTTGGTCTAAGAACCATTTGCCTTGTGTGAGAAGAGATTGATAGGTGGAAGTTTCAGTCGGTGAATAGGTGGGAGTGACTGATGAGAAGAAGAAAAACTGGCCGTGAGGGACAGAAGTTAGAAAGCTAGCAGCTTCTTTAGCTACCTTATCAGCATAAGCATTGCCCTGAGCGATGGGATCTGATGCCTTTTGATGGCCCTTGCAGTGAATGACTCCAGCTTCCTTTGGAAGTAAAGCGGCCTTGAGAAGAGTTTTTATTAAGGAGGCAATAATGATGGAGGACCTTTGCGTACTGAGGAAACCTCTTTCTGCCCATATAACAGCATTGTGGTGCAGGATATGGAAGGCATATTTAGAGTCAGTATAAATATTGACATGTAGTCCTTTTGCAAGAGCGAGGGCTCGAGTTAAGGCAATGAGTTCAGCTTGCTGAGAGGTAGTGGAGGGGGGCAGAGCGGTAGCTTCAAGGATAGATGTGGAAGATACTACTATAGCATAGCCCACCTTTGCTGGTGAATGGCGATTAGGCCAGGTGGAACTGCCATCAATAAACCAAGTGTGATCAGGGTGAGGAATAGGAAAGAAGGAAGTATGGGGAAATGGAGTGAATGCCAGGTGGATTAGAGAGATACAGTCATGGGGGTCAGGTGTGGTATCAGGAATAATGTGGGGGCTAGCCTAAAACAGTAAGGTCAAGTTGTTTGGACAGAAAGGCTACAGGGCATGGTCCTGGCTCTTGTGTAAGAATTCCAACTGCACAGCCCTGCATTTCAGCTGTGTGTAATGAAAAAAGGGTTGGGATGAGTTAGGGAGAGCTAGTGTGGGAGCAGCTTTTAGGGCTGTTTTTTAAGGAATGGAAAGGGGAGTGGGGAAAGGATTTAGGATTTATGAGGTCAGCTAGGTTTGCTTTTGTGAGTTTATATAATGGTTTTGTTAGGATGGCAAAACCAGGTATCCAAAGGCAAAGGTATCCAACCATGCCCAGGAAGGAAAGGAGTTGTTGTTTTGTAGAAGGTGTTGGGGTTTGAGAGATCAGTCAGACATGATCAGCAGGGAGAGCACATGTGTTTTTATGAAGAATTATACTGAGGTAGGTAACGGATGGAGAAGAAATTTGAGCTTTGGAGGGGGACATCCGATATCCCTTGGAGAATAAATGTTGAAAAGTATCTTGTTGAGAAGATTCAAAGGAGGGGCTACAAAGTAGAAGGTCATCAATATATTGAATAAGGTGAGAAGCGAAGGGATGGAAAGAAAGTATATCATGAGAAAGAGCTTGGCTGAAGTAATGAGGGCTGTCCCTGAAGCCTTGCGGCAGTACAGCCCAGGTAAGCTGCTGGGACTGATGGGTGTCAGGGTCAGTCCAGGTAAAAGCAAAAGAGGCTGGGATGAGTGGTGTAGGGAATAGTGAAAAAAGCATCTGTGAGATCAAGAACGGAATAGTGAGTTGTGGAGGAAGGTATTGAGGACAAACAAGTGTATGGGTTGGGCACCACAGGGTGGATAGGCAAAACAATTTGGTTGATAAGATCCAGATCCTGAGGTAACCTGTAAGACTTGTCCGGTTTTTGAACAGGTAAAATGGGAGAATTGTAAGAAGAGTTTATAGGTTTTAGAAGCCCATGCTGTAGCAGGCGAGTGATAACAGGCTTCAGTCCTCTTAAAGCCAGTTGTGGGATGGAATAGTGGCATTGAGCCAGGTAAGGGTGATTAGGTTTTAATGGGATAGTAATGGGTGTTTGATCGGTTGCCAGGGAGGGAGTGGAGGTGTCCCATACTTGTGGGTTAAGGTTGGGGGATACGAGAGGAAGAGGCGAAGGAGGCTTTGGGTTGGGAAGAAGGGTGGCAATGAGATGTGGCTGTAGTCCAGGAATAATCAGGGAAGCAGATAATTTGGTTAAAATGTCTTGGCCTAATAAGGGAACTGGGCAGGTGGGGATAACTAAAAAAGAGTACATAAAAGAATGTTGTCCAAGTTGGTGCCAGAGTGGGGGAGTTTTAAGGGGTTTAGAATCCTGGCCATCAATACCCACAACAGTTATAGGGGCAAAGGAAACAGGCCCTTGAAAAGAAGGTAATGTGGAGTGGGTAGCTCCCATATCGATTAAACAGGGGATGGACCTACCCTCTACTGTAAGAGTTATCCAAAGCTCAGCATCCGTAATGGTCCAGGGGGCTTCCAAGGCGATCAGGCAGCATCAGTCTTCAGCTGCTAAGCTGAGAAGATCTGGGAAGGAGTCAGTCAGAGAGCCTTTGGCCAGAGTTCTAGGGGCCCTGGGAGTGGCTGCCGGGTTGGACAGTCCGATTTCCAGTGGGGTCCTGCACAGATGGGACATGGCTTAGGAGGAATCCTGGGCTGGGGGCATTCCTTGGCCCAGTGGCCAGATTTCCGGCACTTGAAGCAAGATCCTGGGGTAGGCAGTCCTGGAGGAATGCCTGGCCGCTGCAGTTCAGGCATTTGGAAGGTCTTGTGTGCTGGAGATGTGGCTGGGGTTTGTCTCACAGTGGAGGCAAGGAATTGCAACTCAGAAATACGTTACTACTTGGCTGCCTCTACTCTATTATTGTACACCTTGAAGGTGATGTTAATTAAGTCCTGTTGTGGGGTTTGAGGGCCGGAATCTAATTTTTGGAGCTTTTTCTAATGTCGGGAGTGGGTTGGGTAATAAAATGCATGTTGAGAATAAGACGGCCTTCTGGCCATTCTGGGTCTAGGGCGGTAAAGTGTCCAAGGGTTGTTGCCAAACAGGCCATGAACTGGGTTGAGTTTTTATATTTGATGAAAAAGAGCCTAAACGCTAACTGATTTGGGAGAGGTCAGATAAAGAAAAAGGAGCATTACCCTTGGCTATGCCTTCAGCTCCAGCCACCTCTTTAAGAAGAAATTGTTGGGCAGGTAGGGGAGGGCTAGTCACAGAAAGAAACTGTAAGCCAGACACGGTGTGAGGAGGGGGTGATAAAAGGATTATAGGGTGGGGGACCGGAGGCTGAGGAAGAATTGGGACCTGGCTCAGCCTGGTGAGGAGCAGCCTGGGGAAGAGGGGAGAGGTCAGATGAGTCCATAGAAAAGGAGGATTCAAAGGACTCGGAGCTTGGGGTGGAGACTGAAGGAACAGACAGGAGAGAAAGAAGAAAGATTTGGGATGAGTCGCACTGGGAGCAGAGACTAGGGAGGGACCAGTGTGTAAAAGAATGCCTGGATCTGAGGCACCTCAGACCATTTGCCCATTTTTCAACAAAAATTATCTAGATCCTGTAGGACAGACAAATCCAAAGTGCTATTCTCTGGCCACTTGGAACTACTGTTGAGTTTGTATTGGGGCCAAGCGGTATTGCAGAAGAAAATAAGGCTTTTAGGTTTTAGGTCAGGTGTGAGTTGAAGAGGTTTTAAGTTCTTGAGAACACAGGCTAAGGGAGTAGAAGGGGGAATGGAGGACGGAATGTTGCCCATAGTGAAGGAAGTAAGTTTAAAGAGAAAGGTAGAGACACGGAGAAGGGGGTGGGTGAGCAGCCAAAGCAGGCGTCCCCGCAATTGACTTGCCACCAAGGGAATGTGGGTGAATGACCAAGACAGGCACCCCCACGGTGATCAGACACCAATGGAGTGTGGGTGAATAATCAGGCAGTCGTCCCTGCAGTGATTAAACACCAAGAGAAGACTGTCTTCTTGAGTCCGTGACCAGCGCCGGAATTTTGGGTCCACGGATAAAATGTGTCTCCTTTGTCTCTACTAGAGAGGAAAAAGAACTGGAATTGGAAGGACAGGGAGATTGAAGGGTAGCGAGAGAGGGAGATTGAAGGGTAGCAAGAGAGGATGGAAAAGACCGCTTACCCGATTTGAAATTCATGAGATGTTCCTTGGGCTGGTTGGTCTGAGGACCCGAGGTCGTAGGTGGATCTCCTCACGGAGTGAGGGCAAGGACAGGGGACCCGTCTCCTGAAGGAGTCCTCCTGTCCCGGGTCTTCAGCACCAAATGTCACACGCGTCCATGTGAAGAGACTACCAAACAGGCTTTGTGTGAGCAACAACGCTGTTTATTTCACCTGGGTGAAAAAGAATGAGACATGTAAGTATCTGCGAAAGAGCAATCCAGGCAGAAAGAAACAAATACCTTGAGGCAGCAGAATCCTTGGCAGGTTAGAAAATTAGAAGGAAGGTAAGGATAGCTAGTGCAGAAAATTAGAAGGCAGGCAAGGATGGCTAGTGCAGAAATTAAGTAATTAACATAAAAGCTATGTCCTAAAAGTTTCTCATGGGGGATTTCTTTCTGTGAGATGGACTGTGACTGAAGAAACTTAATAAATAATGTGATAAATAATGTGATGTGATGTCTTGGATGTGCTTCAAAATAATGGAAGTTGACTTTGCTCTCGTGTGTGTGTGTGTGTGTGTGTGTGTGGTGTCTGTGTGTTTGTATGTGTGTATAATAGAGGTGGGATAGGTGAAACAAGAATTGTCAGGAACTGATAATTGTTGAAACTGGGTGGTGGGTACATAAGGTTCATTAAACTAGTCTTTTGCTTTTGCATATGTTTGAAATTTTTTATAATAAAAAGTTAAAAGACATACAAGTTTGATAGCATTTGAGCTGAAGACATCTCTTCCTTTTTCTGCAAAATATCTCAGTAGCTAATATGTTGCTCTTCATCACTCAATAAGCAGCAAAACCAACCCAGCACAATCTAACACAACACCTCAAACAGAGCCTGTGAACCTCAGTGGCTACAGGTGGTGGGATCGAAGCTGCCCAGCTGAAATTCCAAACCTAGGACAGTGGATAGAACAGGAAAAAAGACAAAAAATAACTATCAGCTGCAAGCTGGTTTCCATTACTCAAGCAGTGGGATCATCAATATTCCTCAAAGGAAAACAGTTCATCTGTTCTTTGTGTTTTTTTGAGACGGAGTCTCACTGTGTCACCCAGGCTGGAGTGCAGTCGTTCCATCTTGGCTCACTGCAACCTCCGCCTCCCAGGTTCAAGCGATTCTCCTGCCTCAGCCTCCTGAGTAGCTGGTATTACAAACGTGCACCACCACACCCGGCTAATTTTTTGGCTGGTCTCAAACTCCTGACTTGAAGTGAGCCATCGGCCTTGGCCTCCCAAAGTGCTAAGATTACAGGCATGAACCACCGCACCCAGCCAGTTCATCTGTTCTGAGAAAACCATCAAAATGAATTTATTTATGCAACTATAAAGCAAAGACTCAGTTTAAAGTAGACTTTAAAATTTAGTCTGATACTTTTCTGAATTTCTAAGCATTAGGCTTATGGTTGCCATTTTCTTATTAATTTTAGACATTACCAACTTATTGAAAAATAAAAGATTTAGCACTCTTGTATTTCCCTTTATTTCCCTTCCTTCTGGGCTTTCAATATGATGATATCATAATTTTTGGTAAAGTAAGTAATCAGTGTTTACCTTCTATGACTATGTAAGTCTTATTCATTGCAGCTAAGTCAAATGTTGTACCAAGATTATATTGCCTTGATTTTTCTACCTTTTGTTCTTCCTGAAGTTAACAGATTCCATTTTTTAAATTTGTACAATTTTCCATTACTACAGAATCTTTCTAAAACTTACCAAGAGAATTGTAAAGTGCTTCTGTTTTCAACAAAACATCAAGAATTCTATCGATTGGCTAGGCTCAGTTCGCTCTACCCAGGACTCTGTTTTCCTGCTCTACTCTACTCTGATTATTCTCTATGCCTTGTTTTCTTCCAAGAAGCTTGTCAGATCTTCTCTTTATTTCTGATGCTCTGAAATTAATAATGGTGTGCTTTGATGTGGGTTTGCTTTTGTTTCATACATTAAGCTGGGTACCCTGAGCCCTTTCAAAAAGGGCTTTTACTTCTGCGATTTATTTTAATTTTTTTTTTTTTTTTTAGTGATGAATGTCTCCTCTCTAGGGAATCTGCTGTTTCTTTTTTCTTTTCTTCTTTTCCTTTCTTTTTTTTTTTTTTTTTTTTTTTTTTTGAGATGGGATCTCTCTCTGTCGCCTGGGCTGGAGTCCAATGGCATGATCTCGGCTCACTGCAACCTTCGCCTCCCAGGTTCAAGCGGTTCTCCTGCCTTAGCCTCCTTAGTAGCTGGGATTACAGGCATGCGCCACCATGCCCGGCTAATTTTTGTATTTTTAGTAGAGACGGGGTTTCACATGTTGGTCAGGCTGGTCTCGAACTCCTGACCTCATGATGCACCCGCCTTGGCCTCCCAAAGTGCTGGGATTATGTGAGCCACCGCACCCAGCCTCTTTCAAAGAGTTTTAACCACACCTCCTGATTTCAGTCTACATCTAACCCCCACCTCTCAGGATACTTGTTGCTTTCCTTTCCTGCATATTGCTAGGAACTCTTTAACACTCAGTATTCAGCCTCCTGGTTCTGCTCATTCCTGCATCAACTTGTCATCCTCCAAAAAACAAAAAAAATGTTCGCATCTCTCGCCGGGTGCGGTGGTTCACGCCTGTAATCCCAGCACTTTGGGAGGCTGAGGCGGGCGGATCACCTGAGGTTGGGAGTTTGAGACCACCCTGACCAACATGGAGAAACCCCGTCTCTACTAAAAATACAAAATTAGCTGGGTGTGGTGGCCTGTAATCTCAGCTGCTCGGGAGGCTGAGGCAGGAGAATCACTTGAACCCAGGAGGCGGAGGTTGCGGTGAGCTGGATATAGCGCCATTGCACTCCAGCCTGGGCAACAAGAGCGAAACTCCATCTCAAAGAAAAAAAAAAAAATTAGCATTTCTCTTCTGTTGTTGTCTCACCTGGAAATGACTGCTAATTGTTCCCCAAAGTCTGTTCTCCCCTTCATATATAGTAATTGAGCCTCCACTTTTTACCTGGATGCATGACAGCCAAGATGCCAGTGCCCATATTGCACTCCCTCATCCCTTTACCACTTTTGTGCACACCAGCCAGCAGTCAGCAGACTGCCTCCAGGTTACTGGAGCCCATACTTTCCAGGTGCCCAGAGAGCTGAAATGCAACCTTATTCAGCCAGAGTTGAAAATTATGCAGCTTGCCTGTTCTGTTTTGGACAACTCTAAGATGTGAATATCCTGCCTCCAGACTGTCTGCAGGACTGAGGCTTTGCTTGATAGGCTCCTCTTGCTTGGCTTCCTTCTTTTCCTATTTCCACTTTCTTACTCCCCTATGCCCTTTCCATTTCCTCCTGGAACACTTTTAAAAAATCATTTTCAGCCAGGCACAGTGGCTCACGCCTGTAATCCCAGCACTTTGGGAGGCCGAGGCAGGCAGATCACCTGAGGTCAGGAGTTCGAGATCAGCCTGGCCAACATAGTGAAACCCCGTCTCTACTAAAAATACAAAAAAGCTGGGCATGGTGGCGCATGCCTGTAGTCCCAGCTACTCGGGAGACTGAAGCAGGAGAATTGCTTGAACCTGGGAGGCAGAGGTTGCAGTGAGCCGAGATCACGCCACTGATCTCCAGCCTGGGTGACAGAGTGAGACTCCATCTCAAAATAAATTAATTAAATAAGTAAATAATCATTTTCATAGGAATCATTATCTCAGGACCTGTAGGGTACTTAAGCTAAGATGCATGGCAACCCAGAATAAAAACCACCTTGTAGCTAGTAGTTGTCATGTTAAGTTCTGGCCAATGTAATGTAAACGGAAGTAGTATGCACAACTTTGAGAAGGTAACCCGAAAGAAAAGGTACATAGCCTTTTTCTGCTCTCCTTTTTTTTTTCTTTCTTTCTTTTTTTTTTTTTTAATTATTTGAGATGGGGTCTCACTCTGTTGCCCAGGCTGGAGTGCAGTGGTGCGATCATAGCTCACTGCAGCCTCAAACCTCCAGGCTCAAGGTATCCTCTCACCTCAGCCTCCCGAATAGCTGGGACCACAGGTGCATGCCACCATACCCAACTAATTTATTTTTATTTCTTGTAGAGATGAGGTCTCCCTGTGTTGCTCAAGCTGGTCTCAAACTCATGGGCTCATGTGATCCTCCCGCCTTGGCCTCCCGAAATGCTGGGATGACAGGTGTAAGCCACCAAACCCAGCCTCCTTTCTCTTTCTGATTGCTGGGCTGCAACATGAGCACCAACACAGCCATATTAGATCTATGAGCTGACCCTAGCCATGGAAGCCATGTACATAAAGCCATTATGTCAGAGGCCTGTAAACCAGAGCAACTCCATTTTGGTTTTTTTTTCCCCCGAGACGGAGTCTTGCTCTGTCATCCAGGCTGGAGTGCATGGCGCGATATCTGCTTACTGCAACCTCCGCCTCCCAGATCCAAGTGATTCTCCTGCATCAGCCTCCCAAGTAGCTGGCATAATAGGCGCACACCAACCACGCCTGGCTAATTTTTGTATTTTTAGTAGAGATGGGGTTTTGCCATGTTGGCCAGGCTGGTCTTGAACTCTTGACCTTGTGATCCACCCGCCTCAACCTCCCAAAGTGCTGGGATTACAGGCATGAACCACCGTGCCCGGCTGCAACTCCATCTTGAATAGGAGCTGGGTAAAATGAGGCTGAAACCTACTGGGCTGCATTCCCAGATGGTTAAGGCATTCTAAGTCACAGGATGAGATACAAGGTCAACACAAAATACAGGTCATAAAGTCCTTGCCGATAAAACAGGTTGCAGTAAAGGAGCTGGCCAAAACCCACCAAAACCACAAAGGCCACAAGAGTGACCTCTGGTCCTCCTTGGTGCTACGCCCCCACCAGCACCATGACAGTTTGCAAATGCCATGGCAACATCAGGAAGTTACCCTATATGGTCTAAAAAGGGGAGGCATGAATAATCCACCCCTTGTTTAGCATATCATCAAGAAATAACCATAAAAATGGGCAACCAGCAGCCCTCAGGGCTGCTCTGTCTATGGAGTAGCGATTTTTTTATTCCTTTACTTTCTTAGTAAACTTGCTTTCACTTTGCACTGTGGACTTGCCCTGAATTCAAGAACCCTCTCTTGGGGTCTGGATCCGGACCCCTTTCCTGTAACAATTATACAGAAAGAGCAGATTCCTGACACTGTGATGCTGTATCATCCCCGGACTGGCAGTCTCCACATTTCTTGAAGATGAGAGGAGAAAAAAAACCCATAGCATGTAAAGTCACTGTTATATTAGTTTGTTTTTGTTTTTGTTTTTGTTTGAGATGGAGTCTTGTTCTGTCACCTAATCTGGAGTGCAGTGGCGTGATCTCGGCTCACTGCAACCTCCGCCTCCCGGGTTCAAGCAATTCTCCTGTCTCAGCCACTTCAGTAGCTGGGATTACAGGCGTACGCCACCACACCCGGCTAATTTTTGTATTTTTAGTAGAGATGAGGTTTCACCATGTTGGTCAGGCTGGTCTCAAACTCGTGACCTCGTGATCCGCCTGCCTCAGCCTCCCAAAGTGCTGGGATTACAAGGTGTGAGCCACCGTGCCGGGGAGGATTTTTTGTTTTTTTTACAACCAAACGTAATCCAATGAATGCATCTCCTCTCCTGGTCCCTGTGTTCTTGTGGGTTTATATATTTTTCTTTACTTTAACCTAGGTGAGATTTTGGAAGGGAGCAAATATAGTGATCAATCCTCTATATTTTTTATTGTGATAAGATATATATAACACAAAATTTTGTAACCATTTTCAGTTGTTAAATGGTTATACGGTTCACCGGCATTAAGTACATTCACGTTGTTGTGCAGCCATTACAACTGTCCATCTCCAGAACTTTTTTCATCTTCCCAAACTGAAACTCCATACTCGTTAAACAACTCCTAATTTTCCCCTCAACCATCCCCCGGCAACCACCATTCTACTTTCTGTCTCTATGAGTTTGACTATTCCAAAGATCTTATGTAAATGGAATTATACACTATTAATCCTCTGCATTTGACTAGAAGCTCCTGGAAGATGTGTGAGACGGTGGCTCAAAGCAGTTAAATCTGGCCAGGTTAGGTGGCTCATGCCTGTCATCCCAGAACTTTGGGAGGCCGAGGCGGGTGGATCACCTGAGCTCAGAAGTTCTAGACCAGCCTGGGCAACATGGCAAAACTGCGTCTCTACTAAAAATACAAAACTTAGCTGGATGTGGTGGCCTGCGCCTATAATCCCAGCTATTCGGGTGGCTGAGGCAGGAGAATTGCTTGAGCCCAGGAGGCAGAGGTTGCCGTGAGCCAAGATCGTGCCACTGCACTCCAGCTTAGGTGACAGAACGAGGCCCTGTCTCAAAAAAAAAGGCAGTTAAATCTTCTCTGGGTCTGGCAAAAGGGGTTTCAGTGTTGGAGACAGAGATGCCCCTGTGCAGAATTCAAACACAGCTTTTGGAAAAAATGGATCTGGAGAAGGCACGGAAGCAATGGAGGTGGCATAGAATCTGCTCCCTCCTGGCCTCCTACGCTAGTTTGAGCCACTTTAGAGGGGTGAAGAACGAGCCTTAGCAGGACTCTGGGCACAAGAGCTCCTTGGGGCCCATGTAGTGACATGTGGCTCAGGGCTGAGACAAGGGCCATTCCTCTCTGCTCAGCTTGGATTATAGTACCTGTCTGGTATTCAAGAATTTGACATTTTCGGGCTTGGTATTTTCCATCTTATTTTTTTAACCAGGTTACTGCCGGTATGTAAAAAAGCTACTGGTTTTCTTTGATGGATAAATGAATAAGCAAAATGTGCATATATCATACAATGGAATATTATTCAGTTTTTAAAAAGAAGAAAATTTGGACGTATGCTACAACATGGATGAACCTTGACATGCTAAGTGAAATACACTAGTCACAAAAAAACCCTACAAATACTGAATGATTCCACTTATAGGAGATACTTAGAATCATAGAGACAAAGTAGAATGGTAGTTGTCAGGGGCTGGGGAAGGGAGGAAGGATAGGGAGCCATACTGACTGACTGAGCTCCTCTCTACCCTAATACAAGAGACTCTCATAGGCAGGAATATCATCACCCCTATTCAGCCTGAAGAATACAGAAGATGGATCTTCATCCCTCTGCAACCCTTAGGATTAAGGGTTTTCTTATAAAAGGGAGTAGGGAAATATCAGAGGCATTTGAACCAGAGCAACTCCATCTTGAATAGGGGGTTGGTAAAATGAGGCCAAGACCTACTAGGCTGCATTCCCAGATGGTTAAGGCATTCTAAGTCACAGGATGAGATAGAAGGTCTGCACAAGATACAGATCATAAAAACCTTGCTGATAAAACAGGTTGCAGTAAAGAAGCCGGCTGAAAAAGCCAAAATGGTGATGAAAGTGACCTCTGGTCCTCCTCACTGCTACACTCCCATTGGCACCATGACAGTTGACAAATGCCATGGCAATGCCGGGAAGTTACCCTAAATGGTCTAAAAAGGGCAGGCATGAATAATCCACCCCTTGTTTAGCATATCATCAAGAAATAACCAGCCAGGCGAGGTGGCTCATCCCAGCACTTTGGGAGGCCAAGGCGGGTGGATCACGAAGTCAAGAGATTGAGACCTTCCTGGCCAACATGGTGAAACCGCATCTCTACTAAAAATACAAAAATTAGCTGGGCGTGGTGGTGCACGCCTGTAGTCCCAGCTACTCAGGAGGCTGAGGCAGGAGAATTGCTTGAACGCGGGAGGCAGAGGTTGCAGTGAGCTATCATGCCACTGCACTCCAGCCTGATGACACAGCGAAGCTCTGTCTTAAACAACAACAACAAAGCGGGGGGAGGGGGCGCGGGGGTGGACATGGCAACCAGCAGCCCTCAGGGCTGCTCTACCTATGGGGTAGCCATTCTTTTATTCCTCTACTTTCTTAATGAACTAGCTTTCAATTTATGGACTTGCCCTGAATTCATTCTTGCACAAGATCCAAGAACCCTCTCTTGGGGTCTGGATCGGGCCCCGGTCCTGTAATGTTATTATGTTTCAAAATTTGTGCCCAATCCTAATTAAAGTTAAAATGAATAGTCAACCCTCATAAAATTTGAGGACAATATATTCCTCAATCAGTCTAGGTGGATTCCAATCACTACATTTGGATTCTGGTGTCCAGAGTTGGATAAAATGAGGAAAAGCAGCACTTAAAAATTTGATGTGCTTTGTTTGGCCCTCAGTATTAAAAATCAGTTGAGCAAACATTTATTTGACTTTTTTAAGGCAGCATTGTCTCTATTTTTTTTTAATAGAGATGGGGTCTCTTTATGTTGCCCAGGCTGGTCTCAAACTCCTGGGGTCAAGTGATCCTTCCACCTCGGCCTCTCAAAGTGCTAGGATTAAAGGCATGAGCCACTGGCACTGGGCCAGTTGAACAAACATTTAAAAAATATATTTCAAATAAAAATTTGGAATTCTTAGCTTCTCTTGGAAAAGACTGAGGATCCAGTAATAATGGACCTTTTGGCAGGCAGTAAGCTGGAATAGAATATCAATGGACTGTGCTGGCCTGCGTTATTCATATTCATCACTGCAGCTGGTTAAGAACAATCCACACAACAGCGCTTCTCAAGCTTCACTCTATACTTTAGTGTCCTGGGGATCTTGTAAAAAGTGCAAGTTCTGATTCAGTAGGTCCGAGTGTAGCCTGAAACTCTGCATTTCTGAAAGACTCACAGGTGATACAGATGCTGCTGGTCCTCCATCCATACTTTTTTCCTGTTTTGTCGCCCAGGCTAGAATTCAGTGGCAGGATCATAGCTCACTGCAGCCTCGAACTCCTAGGCTCAAGCAATCCTCCTGCTTCTGCCTCCTGGGTAGCTGGAACTGTAGATGCAAGCCACCAAGCCCAGCTCTAATCACACTTTGAATAGCTATGAATTAACAATAAACACAAATTCAAAAGGAAATAGAAAAGCAAACATTATCTTTATTTAATAATCTTTGATATTTAAAATACAACTCATTGAACATCCACACTAACAACAGAATCCTGTGTTCAACAGTGCTTTGGAAGCCCGGCTTTTCTAACGACCAGACAGGAAGGCCTGTGTGTGTAATAACAGCAAATGAACTTAACGAGGGAGCACACACAGAAGGGCTGCAGGGCTGGGTCCTGAGCAAGCGGCACTGCCACAGTGCACTTGTATCATGGCCAAACAACAATGCTTTTTGTTTCAGATATTTTCTGTACTTGAATTTCAAATATTTATACAGAACAGTAATTTTTAAAAAGTTATTCCTAATAGCCCAGTGTTGTAAAAATTAGATAATCACATTTAAAAATGTATGTTTTCCTCTTTCAAAAAAAAAAAAAGCATTAAAAAAATTCAGAAAACATTCCTTGAACTATGCAAGAGACAATTGAGAGCTTCCTAAATGCATCAGGAATATCCATTTATATTTTACTAATGTTTCTCATTGCTTTGTCTATGAATCCACAGGCTTAAAATGTTTTTTGATATGCTATTAAACATGCCAATTACGACAAATTTAGAAGTTACGTTATTAGCACTAATTCTTAAAATGCCAGACCACTTGGAAAAAATAATAATAGCAAAGATTTTCTTCAAATTAAAAAACAAAATCAAAATTCTAGAATTTACCAACGATGTCAATAATCTTCACTCATGAAAGCAAATTAGAACAAAAATATTTTTATTATGTTTAAGACTAAAAAAATACAAAGCCAGGTCATTTTTTAAAGCAAAAAGATGCTGGTTATAAAGGGGCCAGAAATAAAAGAAAGTTTTTATTTTGAATATGAAAAATAAAGTTATTTACATTGCTGACATGATTAGTTGATCCAATCTGGTAGTTCTTAATTAGGGTCACATATATATCCATACTTAAGGACTCGATACAACAAACAATTCACTTTGAAAACAGTGGCCCAAGGCCGGGTGTGGTGGCCTGCACCTGTAATCCCAGCACTTTGGGAGGCCAAGGCAGGCAGATCACCTGAGGTCAGGAGTTTGAGACCAGCCTAACATGGTAAAAGCCCGTCTCTACTAAAAAAAACAAATATTCGCCAGGTGTAGTGGCAGGTGCCTGTAATCCCAGGTACTTGGGAGGCTGAGGCAGGAGAATCGCTTGAACCCAGGAGGTGGAGGTTGCAGTGAGCCAACATCGTGTCATTGTACTCCAGCCTGGGCAGCAGAGCTAGACTCCGTCTCAGAAAAAAAAAAAAAGAAAGAAAGAAAGAAAGAAAAAGAAAATAGCGGCCCAACGCCTCTTCGTTTCCGGATTAAAAAAAAACAAACAAACCTTTAAGATGGAGTTTTACTCTTGTTGCCCAGGCTAGAGTGCAATGGCACGATCTCAGCTCACTGCAACCTCCACCTCCTGGGTTTAAACGATTCTCCTGCCTCAGCCTCCCAAGTAACTGGGATTACAGGTGCCCGCCACCATACCTGGCTTAAGTTTTGTATTTTTAGTAGAGATGGGGTTTCACCATGTTGGCCAGGCTGGTCTCAAACTCCGGACTTCAGGTGATCCACCTGCCTCAGCCTCCCAAAGTGTTGGGATTACAGGCGTGAGCCACTGCCCCCGACTGGGATAAAGTTTTTAATAGGAAGTCATATATATATACATATATATATACACACATATATATATATATATATATATTTTTTTTTTTCAGAAACAGTGTCTCACTCTGTTGGGCAGGCTGGAATGCAGTGGTGAGCCCTTGGCACTCTGCAACCTCTGCCTCCTAGGCTCATGCGATTCTTAGCCTCCTGAGTAGCTGGGATTACAAGTGTGTGCAACCACGCCCGGCTAATTTTTGTATTTTTAGTAGAAACGAGGTTTCACCATGTTGCCCAGACTGGTCTTGAACTCCTGGCCTGAAGTGATTCGCCCACCTCAGCCTCCAGAACTGCTGGGATTACAGGCGTGAGCCACTGCACCCAGCCGGGAGATCATCAATATTAACTATTGAATCCTCGTAAGAATTTAAAACATCAAGATTTATTTTTCTACTTAAGATTTTAAAATTATCATATTTTGATTATGCACTGAATCTATTTTTTATCTGTACAGGTCCAATGGGCCGGTTTTAAGAATTTAGTAGCTCTTGGCACTAGCA
The DNA here is from genome assembly GCF_000001405.40 of Homo sapiens. Lineage (NCBI taxonomy): Eukaryota > Metazoa > Chordata > Mammalia > Primates > Hominidae > Homo > Homo sapiens. The sequence continues at coordinate 92,060,732 of NC_000014.9, forward strand.
TGATTTTTTTTTTTTTTTTGAGACAGAGTCTCACTCTGTCGCCCAGTCTGGAGTACAGTGGCACCATCTTGGCTCACTGCATCCTCTGTCGCCAGGGTTCAAGCAATTCTCCTGCCTCAGACTCCCAGGTAGCTGGGATTACAGGCACCTGCCACCGCGCCCAGCTAATTTTTGTAGTTTTTAGTACAGATGGGGTTTCACCATTTTGGCCAAGCTGGTCTCGAACTCCCGACCTCGTGATCCACCCACTTCGGCCTCCCAAAATGCTGGGATTACAGGCGTGAGCTACCACGCCCAGCCGCCACTAGCATGATTTTAAAAATAGTATCAAAAATTCAGACAATCAAAATGTGATTTAGGCTCTGACTGAAATAAAATTTATTTTATTCAACTTAATATTAAACAATATGGACTACTGGTAGTTTTGTCTGCAATGATACTCAACTGGTTTTGAGTTTTTTTCCTCATTTACTTTGGCATCATGAATAAAGTTAAGAAAAATCAAGTTTTAAGGACAAAAAAAAAAAGCACCACCTTAAATAAAATATTCTGTGAATTGTAAATTATTTGGCCAAGATCCTAGTATAGAGTTTACCTGCAGCAGCCTTTTCAAACAGTTTATATTACTGAAATATTTACATGATTACCGTAAAAAACATAGATTGATGGTTTTAGATCAGAGATTAACTATTCTGAATTTTAAAAACATAAATTACTCATTAAATCCATGACATCTGAAAATATGAAAGTGGTATTTCCAAGGCTTAAACTTCTACTAGCATCACCACTGTACATACTTGATCCCAGTAATACAAATTATACATTAGAAAAATGATACCAATAGTTTAAATATTAAACATTAAGATGTTCCCAATTAGTAAAACAAAATGGAAATCTTTAATACACTTCTTAGCAGGACAGTTCTTGTGAATTTAGTTGTTCCTGACTTTCTTGCAGGTGGTTTACAGTAAATGGCAGTACCTGATGTATAAACTATAGCTTTGAATAATTTTTAACTTTTTTGATACTATGGTTACTTGCACTGGCATCTTTTCATACTGGCCAATCAATTAAGAAATGGAATCTAAACAGTCAATTAAATTTAAGCCAACCCCACCAAGATGACAGTTCACTAGTGCTTCTGGATCTGCCTGCTAAATGTAACAATTTCACAACAAACTACACAAACACATTCAAACGCATCCAGTGTGTGCTCAGCTCTGCTTTAAAAACTCTCTAGCTGGCCAGGCGCAGTGGCTCATGCCTGTAATCCCAACACTTTGGGAGGCCAAGGCAGGCGGATCACCTGAGGTCAGGAGTTCGAGACCAGCCTGGCCAAACATGATGAAACCGCGTCTCTACCAAAAATACAAAAATCTGCCGGGTGTGGTGGTGGGCGCCTGTAATCCCAGCTACTCTGGAGGCTGAGGCAGGAGAATTGCTTGAACCCGGGAGGTGGAAGTTGTAGTGAGCCGAGATCATGCCACTGCCCTCCAGCCTGGGAGACATAGCAAGACTCCGTCTCAAAAAAAAACAAAAACAAAAACAAAAACTCTCTAGGAACTAAAAGTCAAACATGCCATATTTTCTTAAGTGCTTTAACTAGGGTATATATGAACTTTATAAACTCTAAAGTTAAAACTTTAAAATGCATATTGGTTTTCTCATTTTTATATTAGGTAGCTCATCAATTCAAGTGTATGAAAAGTTTAATGTAACTTTTCAATGGAAAAAGGTAATGAACAAATATCCATGGAAAATATGACAAACACACTGGTAATAATTAACATAAATGTTCAGTCTTAAAATATTTAGCTTTTTAAATCTTGAGGGAGTAGTACTAAACTCCAACATCCCTTGCAGTTTTAAAGTTTTATAATTCTTCTGAAACATTTTTAACTATTAAAAGAAACTTTAGATTTTAAAATAAAGCTATCCTTTTGTGTAAGGGAAACTTCAGAAAACTGATTGGCACAAAATAATGACTTAAAAAATCTGTTATATCGAAGAAAAAGCTATTTTATAATCATAAATAAAAGATATTTTTTCTTCTCTTTTCAGTTAGTTAGCAATAAATCCTAGATCAAAAAACTTTCCCTGATAAAATGTGTGCAGCCACACACCAGGAGGGCAATATACCATATTATAATTTTCGAAGTTGTCAGCTGAAATTTCTTGGATTTTAGCTTATGAACAATTCAACATTCAAAAGAGCTTCAAAAGGAGATGGAGAATGAGGGATAGGGAACACTGAAACTAAAACATCAATTTCAGAGACATGGTTTTCACCAAAATGATACTATCCTATTGACCCAGCAAGAAACTCTCTGTACATCTCAATTAAAGAGAATATTTATCAAAACTATGGACTTTCTTATTTATAGATCCACTAAGTACTGTGACTTCCATTGTTCTTAAGCTATCTAAACATGATGCAAGTGTCAAATCACAGTATAAATTTAAACATATTTTCATTAGTAAATTATTTTCATGTTCCAGATCACCATCTTTGACAAGCTATACCTACTAAAAGATGTGAAGCAGACACCTACATTCCATGACTCAACTGTAAAGAGAACACAAAGCTCCAGTCATAGGAGAAAAAATAAAATAAAACTGCTATTAAAATTGAAGGCCAAATTTCATGTATCATACATTCATGGTGGGTACGTATGTTTAGTCTTCTAACAGAAGGAGACTTGCCTGCATACTATGCTTCTCCTAGTTTTCTCAATTGGAGAAGAAAGGAAAAAATAAGGCGCAGGAAGAAGGGGTTGCAACAAAGCTGTAAGGTTTTGATATAAGTGAAAAGACATTCATAAAGCATCTGGGAAAGCACATGCTCACACATTTTAAAAAATGCTCATTTATTCTCAAGTACTTGTGCAAGGCTGATTTCAGAGTTTAGGAACGCACCAGTCATGAAATAATGATCCCATCGTAGGGCTTAAAACGCTAAACCTCAGAAAAGATTACCATCTTTCAAAAGAATTGTGGGAAAATAATGAAAACCAGGTAGCAGAAAAGTTGTGATCAGAGAAAACAACACAAGAAAACACTGGAGCACACGGTATACAGTTGAAGGGAGAACTGTTCATCCTTCTAGAACCATTACTATTATCAACATCAGGAAAGTAGAGATACTTTCCTGAAAGGTTAATTTGGTTAATAAGAAATGAAAGCCACTATTACATGATGTGAGCCAACTTACCTACAAGACAGAAAAAGAAAACAAACTATATGGAAAAAGCCTGAGGCGAGAGCTAATTAGCTAGTCTGCAAAAAGATCCAAGAAAAATGCCCTAACTTTAGACATGTTACATATTGCACACTCAAAAAAGAAAAAGAAACATTTAGAAAACTATTTTAAATGTCTTTAATTGCTGAATGCCTCTTTGGCTAATATTTGGAAGATCATTATTTAGTCCTACAACCGACGCATTGTTCCACTTTCCCATCATTTTGTTTGCAAACCGCTAAAAGTCTTATTTCCTCATCTCTTTGACACATTACCAAAGTGGACCCTATGCTGTAATCACACAGGATAATGTTGGAAAGTATGAATATCTAAATTATTTTTTAAAGGTATTATTTTTTTCCTTCTGTTTTCAAATCATTTCTGACAGTTTCTAAAGACATGGTCACAGCTGCCTGAAGCATGTCTTCTTCACTCATAGCATCACCTGTTGGGAAACAAAACCACATTTCTTTAAAATTTCCAGAAAATTCTCAAAGTCATCAAAAGGCAAGTTCTCAGAAAATGTATTTCTATTTGAGCACGAGTTTCTTTTTTTGATTTAATACATATAAAGCAAAATTTACTTTTATAGTTCTATATATTTTGACAAATACACCATCAAGATACACAACCATTCCATTGCCCCAGAAAATTCCCCCATGCTGCCCCTTTGTGGTCGATCCCCATTTCCTAATCCCAGATAGCCACCAGTATATTCTCTGTCCTACAGTTTTATCTTTTCCTGCACGTCATATAAAAGGCATCAGTAGGTATGTAGCCTTTTGAATATGGCTTCTTTCACGTAGCATAATGCATTTGAGATTTGTTGTGTATATCAACAATTCATGTATTTACAAAAACCCAACTTTCTATTTTGAAAAACTGTCAATTCAAAGGAAGTTGTAAAGATATTTAAGAGAGGTTTCGTGTACTCTTTTGCCCAATTTCACCCAATAGTTACATCTTATGTAACTAAAGATCAAACTAAAACCTAGATATTGACATTGGCACAACGTTATATGTAGTTCTACATGGCATTTTATCACACGTGTATTCATGTAACCACCACCACTACAATCAAGACATAGAAGTGTTATAATACCACAAAGATCTCCCTGCTATCGATTTATATTCCCACCCACCTATCTTTTACCCACTTTCTCTAACTAGTGGAAACCACTAATATGTTCTCTATCTCTATACAGCTGTCATTTTTAGTTGAACAAGTGGAATCATACAGTGTAAGACCCTTTGAGGCTTTTTTGCACTCAGCATAATGCCCCTGAGATCCAGCCACGGTGCTGCCTGTGCCAACAGTGGGTTTCTTTTTAATCCTGACAGTAGAGTATTACATGCTATGGATGTACTACAGTTTGTTTCACTGTAGGACATTTTGGTTGTTTCCAGTTTTTGATTATGACAAGTAAAGCTGCTATAAACATTCATGTACATGTTTTTGTGAGAATATAAATTTCTATTTTTGGCTGGGCACAGTGGCTCAAGCCTGTAATACTAGCACTTAGGGAGGCCGAGGCAGGCAGATTGCTTGAGCCCAGGAGTTCAAGACCAGCCTGGGCAATTGCGTCAGTGGAACAATGTGTCAGTTGTAGGACTAAATAATGATCTTCCAGGCTGGGCACAGTGGCTCACGCCTGTAATCCCAGCATTTTGGGAAGCCGAGGTGGGCGGATCACGAGGTTAGGAGATGGAGACCATCCTGACTAACATAGTGAAACCCCATCTCTACTAAAAACACAAAAAATTAGCCGGGCATGGTGGCACACGCCTGTAGTCCCAGCTACTCGGGAGGCTGAGGCAGGAGAATGGCGTGAACCCGGGAGGCAGAGGTTGCAGTAAGCCGAGATGGCGCCACTGCACTCCAGCCTCAGTGACAGAGCAAGACTCTGCCTAAAAAAGAAAAATAATAATAATGATCTTCCAAATATTAGCCAAAGAGGCATTCAGCAATTAAAGACTTTTAAAATAGTTTTCTAAATGTTTGTTTTTCTTTTTTGACTGTGCAGCATTGCCCAGGCTGGTCTTGAACTCCTGGGCTCAAGCAATCTGCTTGCCTCAGCCTCCCTAAGTGCTAGTATTACAGCACTTACGGAGTGTAATACTAAAAAAAAAATAAATAAATTTCTGTTTCTCTGGGATAAATGCCCAGGAGTATAGATGCTATGTCATATGGTCAGGGTATGTTCAGTTTTTAAACAAATAGTGAAATTATTTTCCAAAGTGCCTGCATCAGTACAAAAGAAATATAGAAAGGTTACCTCCCTTTATATCCTTTGACCCTCCTTCATCTGTAACATAATGCCTTAAATATTTCCAATATATATACTGAAAACCAAATCAGTGCTATAATTCTTGCTTCAACCATCATACAATTTAGAAAATTCAAAAGGAGGGGAAAGTCTATTGTGTTTACCCATATTTTACTCTTTTTATTGTTCTTTCTTCCTTCCTGATGTTCCAAAATTACTTCTTTTATCATTTCTTTTCTGTTTAGAGAAATTCCTTTAGCCATTCTTTTAGGGTAGGTCTCCTGAAGACAAATCGTTAATTTTCCCTTCACTCCTGAAGGATATTTCACTGGATATGTAACTCTGGGTTTAGAGTTTTTTTCTTGTTTTTTTTTTTTTTTTTTTTTTTTGAGACAAGGTCTCGCTCTGTCACCCAGGCTGGAGTACAGTGGCATGAGCTTGGCTCACTGCAACCTCCACCTCCTGGGTTCAACCAATTCTCTTGCCTCAGCCTCCCAAGTAGCTGGGACTATAGGCGCCCACCACCAAGCCTGGATAATTTTTTTTTTTTTGAGATGGAGTCTCGCTCAACTGCCCAGGCTGGAGTGCAGTGGCGCGACCTTGGCTCACTGCAACCGTCGCCTCCCAGGTTCAAGCGATTCCCCTGCCTCAGCCTCCCAAGTAGCTAGGATTATAGGTGCGTGCCACCACACCTGGCTAATTTTTGTATTTTTAGTAGAGACAGGGTTTCCCCATGTTGGCCAGGCTGGTCTCGAACTCCTGACTTCAGGTGATCTGCCTGCCTCAGCCTCCAAAAGTGCTGGGATTACAGGTGTGTGCCACCGTGCCCAGCCTAGAGTTTTTGTCTTTCAGCACTAGAAAAAATGTTGTATGTACCCCTTCCTTCTGGCCTTTATGATCTCTGATGGGAAATCTGCTGTCATTCAAATTGCTTAGGTAAGGTCATTTCTTGCTAATTTCGAGATCTTCATTTTTTGTCTGCAGTGTTCAGAAATCTGACTGTGATGTGTCTCTGTGTGAACTTCTTTGAGTTTATCATATTTGAGCTTCATTCAGCTTTTTCAATCTGTAGGTTTCTGACTTTTGCCAAATTTGGGAAATTTTCAGCCATGACTTCTTCCTCAATTTTTTTCAGCCCCACCCTTTCTCATCTCCTTCTGGGAATCCTGACACAAATTTAGATGGAGTCTTGCTCTGTTGCCCAGGCTGCAGTACACTAGTGCGATCTTGGATCACTGCAACCTCCGTCTCCCAGGTTCCAGTGATTTTCCTGCCTTAGCCTTCCCAGTAGCTGGGATTACAGGCATGTGCCACCACGCCCAGCTAATTTTTGTATTTTTAGTAGAGACAGGGTTTCACCATGCTGGCCAGGCTGGTCTTGAATTCCTGACCTTAAGTGTTTGGCCCACCTTGGCCTCCCAAAGTGCTGGGATTACAGGTGTGAGCCACCATGCCCAGCTTAGTGATTTTCAATTAAATCCTGAAAATTTGGGGTATTATGTTATGAGAATGTGAATCTTATTTACATCTTCCAATTTAGCAAGCCTCCACTGACACAGCACTGGCAACAGGGAAAAGGGAGTGCCACCTCGCTACAACCAGAGGGGAGTGAAAGTCCAGGTTTCTTCAAGGCCTGTGATGTCAAGGAGTGGCGGTCATGGGGATTACTGCTGAACGCACATGGGAGTTCTAGCCCCCTAGTCCTCCACTGACATCTCTCTGACTGGGAGGGAGAGCAGTGCCTTGTTACTGATCTCCACATGGCCTCCACGGACATTGTGGAGGTGTCCTTGTTACTGCTGGGTGTCAGCAACAGTCTGGATTCTCTACTCGGCCTCTTCTCCAACATCACCCATATAGGAGCCAGAGAGATGCCTATGTATTACTGGGTGGAAGTTCAGCCTCCCTGTGACCACTGACACCATGTGAAAGGAGTGTTATCACCTCCTGGAGGGAATGAGAATCCCAGCTCCCCAGTCAGCCTTCTCTAACACCACCTTGGCTGGGAAAGGGGAGAAGTGTACCTTATGACTTCCAGGTTGGGGTACATATCTTGGCTCCCACTTGGCCTTTGCTGACAGGGGTGAATGGGGCCAGTTTATTCTGTTTTGTTTGACTGGAGTCAAGTGCTTATTATCTAAAGGTTTTTATCTTGCTAGGTTGCCTCTTTTGGCTAGAGAGAGCAGGCTTTTCATGGGGTTTTCTCTTGGTCTGAACCCATAGCTTCTCCAGCACCAAGTCCAGGATAAATGAGGCAAAAAGAAAATCCAGTCCACTCCCCACCACACTGCTCCTCTGGTTCCAAGGTCCCTAGCCAGTCTGTCTTCTCTCTGCCTTTGAGATTCAGCTGAATGGTTTTTTTTTTCTTTTTGAGACAGAGTTTTGCTCTTGTTGCCCAGGCTGGAGTGCAATGGTGCAATCTCAGCTTACTGCAACCTTCGCTTCCCGGGATCAAGCAATTCTCCTGCCTCAGCCTCCCAAGAAGCTGGGATTACAGGCATGCGCCACCATGCCCGACTAATCTTGTATTTTTAGTTGAGACAGGGTTTCTCCATGTTGGTCAGACCGGTCTTGAACTCCCAACCTTAGGTGATCCACCCGCCTCAGCCTCCCAAAGTGCTGGGATTACACGTGTGAGCCACCGCACCCAGCCCAGCTCATGTTTTATACAAATGTTGAGGTGTTTTGGCTGTACTTAAACAGGAGGAATAGAAAAAAGTACCAGTTCATTCCTTTTTTTATTCAATTGTTTGGATATACCACAGTTTGTGCATTCATTAACTAAATGAAGGTCTACATTTAGGCAGTTTGTAATTTTGGGCAATGATGAATAAAGATGCTATAATCTTTTTTTTTTTTGAGAAGGAGTTTTGGTCTTGTCACCCAGGCTGGAGTTCAATGGCACAATCTTGGCTCACTGCAATCTCCGCCTCCCGGGTTCAAGTGATTCTCCTGCCTCAGCCTCCTGGGATTACAGGTGCCCACCACCATGCCCAGCAAATTTTTGTATTTTTAGTAGAGATGGGGTTTCACCATGTTGGCCAGGCTGGTCTTGAACTCCTGACCTCAGGTGATCCATCAGCCTTGGCCTCCCAAAGTGCCGGGATAACAGGCGTAAGCCACCGTGTCCAGCCCTTTTTTTTTTTTTTTTTTTTGAGACAGAGTTTTGCTCTGTCACCCAGGCTGGAGTATAGTGGCACGATCTCGGCTCACTGCAACCTCTGCCTCCCGGGTTCACGTGATTCTCCTGCCTCAGCCTCCTGAATAGCTGGACTACAGGTGCCTGCCATCACGCCTGGCTAATTTTTGTATTTTAAGTAGAGACAGGGTTTTGCCATGTTGGCCAGGCTGGTCTCGAACACTTGACTTCAGGTATCTGCCAACCTCGGCCTCCCAAAGTGCTGGGATTATAGGCATGGGCCACCATGCCTGGTCAGCTATAAGCATTTGATATAAGTTTTTATGTGAACCTAAGTTTTCTTTTCTTTTGGTTATATATACATGATTGGGACTGCTGGATCACATGGCTAAGTATACATTTATCAAAAAAATGCCAAACTGTTTTCCAAAGCTGTACACTTTTACATTCCCATTAACAGTATATGAGTCTCAGCTGCTTGGATCCTTGCCAACACTTGGTATTGTCAGTTTTATTTCTTCATTAAAGCCATACCTACAGGGGTGCCATGGTGTCTCACTGTGGTTTTATCGTGCATTTCCCTGTGACTAGTGATGCTGAGAGTCTTTTCATGTGCTTATTTGTCATCCCTATGTCTTATTTGGTGAAATATCTTTTCAAATCCTTCACCTTTTTATTGAGTTGTTTTCTGATTATTCAGTTTTAAGAGTTCTTTATATATTCTGCTTATAATTTCTTTGTCAGATAGTTACTTTTTCTCTCAACTTCTACTACTAATTGGCCAAAGTTTAAGACATATTTAAACCGAGACCTGGAAAGTAACTCTGCACTTCCCATTGTTATTTAGATTATACTCAAGTATTTTTCATTTTCCAGGTGGTAAAATGTGTTTATTTTTCACCTACTAATATTCATGATTTCTGGCCGGACGTGATGGCTCACGCCTGTAATCCCAGCACTTTGGGAGGCCGAGGCGGGCGGATCATGAGGTCAGGAGATTGAGACCATCCTGGCTAACATGGTGAAACCCTGTCTCTACTAAAAATACAAAAAATTAGCCAGGCGATGTGGCGGGCGCCTGTAGTCCCAGCTACTCAGGAGGCTGAGGCAGGAGAATGCCATGAACCCAGGAAGCAGAGCTTGCAGTGAGCCGAGATCGCGACACTGCACTCCAGCCTGGGTGACAGAGCAAGACTCCATCTCAAAAAAAGAAAAATATCCATGATGTCTAAGGAATTTTTGGAGACTGTACAAATTACTGTGAAGTTTAAATTATTATGTTAAAGTATTCATTAAATGTTCTAGCAATCCTCTCCTGCCTTGGTTTCCCAAAGTGCTGGGATTACAGATGTGAGCCACCACATCTAGCTTTTTTTTTTTTTTTTCTTTTGGTAACTGCTCCTTAATCCAGGGAAATTTAGTAGATTACAAATTTACTTAAGATTCTTAATATGATTAAAGAGGGAATGAAGAATAATGTAAAGCAAAAATCACATGGAGCTCGTATGTCAGATAAAGTGTGAAGGTAGCGAACATGATGAATGGTGAGCAGGCCTTACCTAGATCACTCCCAAGTGCTCCTGAACTGGTGGCTGGCCTTTCACATGGATGTGAACTCTGTCCTGATAGGTCCCCCTGCTGCTGCTGCTGCTGCTGCTGTTGCTGCTTTTGCTGCTGTCTGAAACATTCAAAAGTGAAGTATATTTAAAAAACAAAACTTAAAAGAATAAATACACCATGAGAAAAACTATTCATAAGGAAAATACATTGTTTCACGAATCAAAGTAGTCACTGGTATTAAAAGAATGCAAGAGCAGTTAGTCTGATACAGATTACTTTAAAATATGGAAGTGCTGATCTTAGGAAATCTAGACATAAAATTTAAATTTATCAGACAAATTAAGAGGTAGGTATTTTCATCACAAAATAACCTATCATGGCCAGGAGTGGTGGCTCACACCTGTAATCCCAGCACTTTGGGAGGCCGAGGCGGGTGGATGGCTTGAGGTCAGAAGTTTGACACGAGCCTGGACAACACGGTGAAACCCCATCTCTACTAAAAATACAAAAATTAGCCAGGCGTGGTGGCAGGCACCTGTAATCCCAGCTACTTTGGGAGGCTGAGGCAGGAGAATCACTTGAACCGGGGAGGTAGAGGTTGCAGTGAGCCAAGATCGCGCCACTGCACTCCAGCCTGGGCGACAGAGCGAGACTCTGTCTCAAAAAAACAACAAACAAAAAACCTATCATACAAAAAGATTCACTGGTAGTTATTCTTATGCAAATGAGTGTTGGTTTATAGACCCTTAATATTGTTGAAAGTCACCAAAAATAAGTACCTTTGATCAGATAAAGCATTTCAAACTACCATGTGAGTTAACATAATGTTTCCATGGCTGGCTCATTCTTTTCACTCAGGTCTGAGCTTAAAATTTATCTCCCCAGAGATGCCTTTCCTGACCATCCCACCAAAAGTAGCCACCTGACATTCCCATTATTTCATCACTTCATTTTAATTCTCAGCATAAACTTATCATCATCTGGTGTTCTCTTTATTTCCCTCTTTATGGCATGTAAGCTAATGAAAGTGCAAATCTTATCTTACTCATCTATTTCCCCAGTGCTGATAACTGTGCTGTTACATAGTAAGCATTCACTGAACACCTGATAAATGAAATAAATGAAAACTACTATTTAACACACATTATCAGATTTTAAGTAATACTGATTGCATTAAGCTCCTCTGTAATTTTTTCAAAAAGAGAAACAATGTAATACAAATCCCCATTTTAAAATGTTTAAACATGACGGTTATCATGTAAATATGTAGGAATATATTCTTGTACTTAGAAAATATACACTGAACAACTGAGACATAATGGAAAATCATATCTGCATATTATTCCCAAATGGTTCAGAAAGGCCAATAATTGGGGAATCTGGGTGAAGGATATAAGGAGCTCTGTGTACTATTTCTGCTTTTATGTAAATCTGAAATTACAGGTCAAGCATCCTAAATCCGAGAATCAGAAATCCAAATGCTCCAAAATCAGAAACTTTTTGAGCACCAACATGATACTCAAAAGAGGTGCTCAGTGGAACACTTCAGATTTGAAATTTTGGATTTGGAATGCTTAACTGGTAAGTATAGTGCAAATATTCACAAATCCTAAAAAACCCCAAATCTAAAACACTTCCAGTCTTAAGCATTTTGGATAAGGGATACTCAATCTGTATTTCATATATGTAAATACAAACACAGAAAACCAAAAACCAAAACTTACAAACAGCTGACAATCTCAGTGAGAAGCTATAGGTTAAAAAAAAAAAAAAAAAAAAAAAAGATTGCTTCTCGGTCTTTTGGCTAAGATCAAGTGTTTAAAAAAAAAAGGTATATAAGAATTTGAAAAGGAACAAGGATTTTTAAATTACCAGCAACAATTATTAATAGAATGGCACATTTTTTATAGAGTTCCTCTCAATTTTGTGTTTTAAAACTGTGAACAATAAAGAAAGTTCAACTAATGAGAACTGCAATTTCTCCCTGTTGGTCTCTGAGCCAGAATACTGACCTGTGTGTAGGTGTAAGACCTTAGTGTGCATGGCTAATGATGCACGTAAGGGCAGTATCCTCCCATTAGCAAATCCTGATGCTGCAACATAGCACAAGAGGGACGGACTGAGTTATGGAGAATTCCTGGCACATCTGCTATCACTCCATGCCCTCTGCCCCTCCACTCAAGAAGGTATGTGAGAATGCAAGGGAGTGACAGGTGAGATAGCAATTTTAGAGGAATAGCCTTTATTCTACTTTTAGTTTATGAAAAATGAGAAGTAAATCAATTGTCCACCTTGAAACAATGTAGACACCTTCCAGCTGTGAAGACACTGAGGTGGAACATGTTCAAGTGGTACTCAGCATCCACTCCCACTGTGCCATCAATATTATAGAGGTTACAAAGCTAAAAGCTACATGTCTTAGATTATTTTACAAGTAGGATTCTGGTTACAAATTAAGTGCTCACATGAGCTTTAAAAAGCAGAAACGGGTCAGGCACAGTGGCTTGCGCCTGTAATCCCAGCACTTTGGGAGGCCAAGGCAGGCGGATCACCTGAGGTGAGGAGTTCAAGACCAGCCTGGCCAACATGGCAAAACTGTCTCTACTAAAAATACAAACCTTGTCTGGGCACGGTGGCTCATGCCTGTAATCCCAGCACTTTGGGAGGCCGAGGCGGGCGGATCACGAGGTCAGGAGTTCGAGACCAGCCTGGCCAACATGGTGAAACCCCATCTCTATTAAAAATACAAAAAAATTAGCCAGGTGTGTTGGCGCACACCTGTAATCCCAGCTACTCTGGAGGCTGAGGCAGGAGAATTGCTTGAACCCGGGAGGCGGAGGTTGTAGTGAGCCCAGATCATGCCACTACACTCCAGCCTGGGTGACAGAGTGAGACTCTGTCTCAAAAAAAACAAAACAAAAACAAAAATTAGCCAGGTGTGGTGCTACACACCTGTAGTCCCAGCTACTCAGGAGGCTGAAGCAGAAGAATTGCTTGAAACTGGGAGGCAGAGGTTGCAATGCGCCAAGATTGCACCACTGCACTCCAGTCTGGGCAACAGAGTGAGACTCCACCTCAAAAAAAAAAAAAAAAAAAAAAGGGAGAAATGGGCCAGGCATGGTGGCTCATACCTGTAATCACAACACTTTGGGAGGCTGAGGCGGGCAGATCACCTGAGGTCAGGAGTTCAAGACCAGCCTGGCCAACGTGGCAAAACCCCACCTCTACTAAAAATAAGAAAATTGGCTGGGCACAGTGGCGGGTGCCTGTAATCCCAGCTACTCAGGAGGCTGAGGCAGGAGAATTGTTTGAAGCTGGGAGGCGGAGGCTGCAGTGAGCCGAGATCACACTACTGCACTCCAGCCTGGGCGACAGACAAGACTCCGTCTCAAAAAATAAAATAAAATAGGCAGAAATGAGGCCTAGCCATCTCCCTCCACTTTGGTTGTTCTCTGGTGGCAAGCAAAGCCATTTGGGAGATGCCAGTCCCAAAATTCTGCTTCACTGCTGTTGCAATGGGGGCCAGACTTCATGTTCCCATCTCTAGGCAATTGTGGTGGCAGCTTTCTATGCCAAGGATCATTGCTATAGCAGTATGTTCTTAAATTTAATATCCTCATTACCCATTGTCCCAACTGGGGCAGTGGTTACAGCTCTTCCTGCAAGTTGGTTTGTGGTACTGTGGAGGCCTGGCTAAGAGCTGCACCTTCATCCTTTCTTAAGATTATGTAAACCCCTAATTTCTATATTAAGTATTTTCCTCTTTAAAACATCCCCAGTAGTTTCTGTTTCTCAACACTGTTTGATAAATTATACCATATCACTGAAGTGGTGGCTCAAGTATTAGGCAATCAAACACTCATAGCAATCCATGTCCATGAAGATATTTGTGTCTCTCCTTGTTATAGAACATTTGCAACTTATGTTTTTTGTAACAGAAAGCATCTGCATCCATTTCAAAGCCACACCTAGAGAAGACATTAATAACTGCCAACATGTATGTATGGAATACTTTACAGTTTATAAAATAGTTTCACACACATTGCTTAATTTCATGCTTCTGTGAGTTAAGGCAGGTTTTACAGTGACACAGCTGATGTAGTAGAGTTTTGCTTGGGGTTTTATGATGGTAAAACAGATTTAGAGACTACTGCTGGAAAAAATGTCATGGCTTGAAAATATTATTTAATGACTCATAAATTATGAATCTGTAATAGGGAGTTTTTTTTTTTTTTTTTTTTTTTTTGAGATGGAGTCTTGCTCTTGTCGCCTAGGCTGTAGTGCAATGGCACAACCTCGGCTCACTGCAACCTCTGCCTCCCAGGTTCAAGTGATTCTCCTGCCTCAGCCTGCCAAATAGCTAGGATTACAGGCGCCCGCCACCATACTCGGCTAATTTTTTTGTATTTTTAGTAGAGAAGAGGTTTCGCCATGTTGGCCAGGCTAGTCTCGAACTCCTGACCTCAGATGATTCGCCTGCCTTGGCCTCCGAAAGTGCTGGGATTACAAGCGTGAGCCATAGCGCCCAGCCAAAACTAGTTTTTTTAATGCATGAAAACTATGATTACTTTATGCATTTATGCAATTACTTTATGATTTTCTTTATGCATGAATACTATGATTACTATATTCAGTATGAAGCTTCAAATACTCAAAAAGGGAAAAGAAAAACTAGAAAATCGTATGAATAACAAATCAGCACCAGGGTCAATTTGGGAAGGGTGAGAGGGAAGAAAGAGTTAGCTTGATAACCTTAGACCCAAGCTCCCAAAGACAGAACCTAGAGAGACAACGAACTACCTAGGCTAAGTAATCAGGAATTTTAGTGAAAGGCAAATATTAGCTTCTTAGCTCCTACTAATGAGCTCTACAAGGTTTTGAATGCAAGCCATTGTTAAAAATGAACATCAAGAAGTTAGTTCTTAACTCTTCTCAGCAACATGTGACTATGTAAGATATTCTCAAGCTCTTTCCAAATTCTCACCAGTATTTGCAAAGTCAAGCCAAGAGGCTGAAGCTGGTAACCATCACTGCACACTTTCCTCCTCAATCAATCCTCCACCAAGTAGGAAGGAGGTATATCGATATTCGAACATTTTTAAAAGGGTACAAGGTTGCCTGACCCTGTTTACTAAAAAGCACTAGTTATTGCTGACATTGTACTTGTTATAACTTACTTAGTCATTATTGGACATTACTGAATTATCGTTACTACTATAAAAAGTTCAGGCCGAGTGCAGTGGCTCATGCCTGTAATCCCAGCATGTTGGGAGACCCAGGCTGGCAGATTGCCTGAGATCAGGAGTTCGAGACCAGTCTGGCCAACATGGTGAAACCCCCTCTCTACTAAAAATACAAAAAAATTAGCCCGACGTGGTGGCATGCGCCTGTAATCCCAGCTACTTGGGAGGCTGAGGCAGGGGAATTGCTTGAACCAGGGAGGTGGAGGTTGCAGTGAGCCGAGATCGCGCCACTGCACTCCAGACTGGGTGACAAAAGCGAGACCTCGTCTCAAAAAAGAAAAAAAAAAAAAAAAAAGCTCAATTTGTTGGAAGTTTCATATTTTTAATCCAGTTTTTAAAAAATTTTAAGTAAAAGAGCAGTTTATTTTTATGCTTTAAATATACTTTTCTTTTCTTAGATATACCTGTAAATTTTGTATTATAGTTTCTCTATGATGTATGTCTTTAGACCATTTTATTTTGACAAAAAAGACTCTGATGGCTGGGCGCGGTGGTGCACGCCTGTAATCCCAGAACTTTGGGAGGCCGAGGTAGGCAGATTGCCTGAGCTCAGGAGTTCGAAACCAGCCTGGGCAACATGGTGAAACCCCATGTCTACAAAAGACACAAAAATTAGCCAGGCATGGAGGCACTTGCCTGTAACCGCAGCTACTTGGGAGGCTGAGGCAGAATAATCGCTTAAACTCAGGAGGCGGAGGTTGCAGTGAGCCGAGATCATGCCACTACACTCCAGCCTGGGTGACAGAGTGAGATTTCGTCTCAAAAAAAAAAAAAAAAAAAAGTCTGAAATAAACATGGTGAAAGTATCACATGGGAATTATTCTGGAAAGCAATTTAGAAATCTGTTCCAAGGCCTTAAAAATGTTCATATCCTTTAACCCAATAATCTGACATCCTCAGAAAAACTAGAAGAAATGATAAGACATTTGAGGTGTAGAGGCAATATAAGAATTGTTCATTGCAATATTAATTATAATAGCAGAATTCAAAAGGCTCACATATAAATTATGCCACATCCATTCATTTTATGAAATATCATGCAGCCTGTTACAAAGACTATTTACTGTCATAGGAAATGAGTACAACACTTACAAGGTAAGTGTGTATATGTCACAGAAAAAGAATGTGCCAAAATACTAACATCAGTCACTGAAGGAGGTGAGAGTATGCTTTCTTTTTTTTTTTTGAGACAGAGCCTCGCTCTGTCGCCCAGACTGGAGTGCAGTGGTGTGATCTCTGCTCACTGCAAGCTCCACCTCCCGGGTTCATGCCATTCTCCTGCCTCAGCCTCCAGAGTAGCTGGGACTACAGGTGCCTGCCACCACACCCAGCTAATTTTTGTGTATTTTTTAGTAGAGACGGGGTTTCACTGTATTAGCCAGGATGGTCTCCATCTCCTGACTTCGTAATCTGCCTGCCTCGGCCTCCCAAAGTGCTGGGATTGCAGGCATGAACTACCGCGCCCAGCCTTTTTTTTTTCTTTTTGAGACAGTATCTCGCTCTGTCACCCAGGATAGAGTGCAGTGGCACAATCTCGGCTCACTGCAACCTCCACCTCTGGGTTCAAACGATTCTCCTGCCTCAGCCTCCAAAGTAGCTGTGATTACAGGTGTGCACCACCATGCCCAACTAATTTTTTTGTATTTTTAGTAGAGACAGGCTTTCGCCATGTTGGCCAGGTTGGTCTTGAACTCATGGCCTCAAGTGATCTGCCTGCCTCAGCCTCCCAAAGTGCTGGGATTACAGACATGAGCCACTACGCCTGGCCATGTATGCTTTAATTTCTATATTTCTTTTCTCTTTTTTTTTTTTTTGAGGCGGAGTTTCACTCTGTCACCCAGGCTGGAGTGCAGTGGGGTGATCTCAGCTCACTGCAACCTCTACCTCCTGGGTTCAAGCGATTCTTCTGTCTCAGCCTCCTGAGTAGCTGGGATTACAGGTGCCCATCATCATGCCTGGCTAATTTTTGTATTTTTAGTGGAGACAGGGTTTCGCCATGTTGGCCAGGCTGGTCTTGTACTCCTGACCCTCCTGACCTCAGGTGATCCGCCCACCTCAGCCTTCCAAAGTGCAGGGATTAGAGGCGTGAGCCACCGTGCCCAGCCAATTTTGATATTTCTTAAAATAAAATTTTTAGAATGTTAGTTTTTCTAATTAAGTAGATTTAAGTTATTTTTTATTATTTATTTATTTATTTATTTGAGATGGAGTTTCACTCTTTTTGCCCAGGCTAGAGTGCAATGGCACGATCTCGGCTCACCGCAACCTCGCCTCCCGGGTTCAAGTGATTCTCCTGCCTCAGCCTCTCAAGTAGCTGGGATTACAAGCATGCGCCACCACGCCTGGCTAATTTTTTGTATTTTTAGTAGAGATGGGGTTTCTCCATGTTGGTCAGGCTGGTCTTGAACTCCTGATCTCAGGTGATCTGCCCACCTCAGCCTCCCAAAGTGCTGGGATTACAGGTGTGAGCCACCGCGCCTGGCCTTAGATTTATTTTTTACATTAACTAGATAATTGATGATATAGAATTACAATTAATTATTATGATTATTATTTTATGACAATAGCATTTAACTATGTTAAAAATAAAGCTAATATATTTTAGAGACACATATTAAAATGGTTATAGAATAATATGATGATTGAGATTTGTTACAAAATAATCCAAACTTGCAGGTGGGACAGTGGAAAGAATGGGAGATGGGAGTATTATAAAACGAGATTGGGCCGGGCTCAGTGGCTCATGCCTGTAATCCCAGCACTCTGGGAGGCCGAGGCAGGTGGATCACTTGAGGTCAGGAGTTTAAGGCCAGCCTGGACGACATGGTGAAATCCCGTGTCTACTAAAAATACAAGAATTAGCCAGGCATGGTGGTGTGTACCTGTAATCCCAGCTACTTGGGAGGCTGAAGTGGGAGAATCGCTTGAACTCAGGAGGCAGAGGTTGCAGTGAGCAGAAATTGTGCCATTGCACTCCAGCCTGGGCAACAGAGCAAGACTCCATCTCAAAAAAAAAAAAAAAAAAAAGCAAGATTGGCCGTGTGCTAGTATTTGTTGAATCTGGGTCATAAACAGGAGTATGCTAGTTTTTCTACTTTTGTATAAATTTGGAGTTTATTATAATAAAAAAGTTAATTTTGAAACTTAAAAGTAAAAAGCACTAATAAGCACTACTTTGAAATTTAACATATAATTAGCCATTAATCTATACTGAATAAAGACTAGAAATATCTCACATTAAGAGGATGTCAGCTGATCAGAATTTTCCTTCATCTACTTCTGAGTTGTGACTTAAAAACAAAACAGAAAAAAAGGTAAATATTTTCTTCATTATACCATCAAATGTAAAATGAGCCAATATTTATAGGTGCTGCTAATATACTGTCAATTATGACTGTAAGATGCTTCTCAATTTCAGAGACATTGAAATGTGAAACTATGTGCATCTCAGAATGGATGAAATACAGCAAATAGTAAGTCAGATTGAGCTATGACTCTGTTTTCTGACCTAGGATCAGTGGGTCTGATTATTTATCTTGTAATCTTTAACATGAAGTTTTCTTTCTCTTTTTTTTTGAGACGAAGTCTCGCTCTTGTCCCCCAGGCTGGAGTGCAATGGCGTTATCTCAGCTCACTGCAACTTCTGCCTCCCAGATTCAAGCGATTCTCCTGTCTGAGCCTCCCAAGTAGCTGGGATTACAGGCACCCACCACCATGCCCGGCTAATTTTTGTATTTTTAGTAGAGATGAGGTTTCACCATGTTGGTCAGGCTGGTCTTGAATTCCTGACCTCAGGTGATCCACCTGCCTTGGCCTCCTAAAATGGTGGGATTACAGACGTAAGCCACCGTGCCCAGCCTTTTATTTTTCTTTAAAAAAAAAAAGTGGGGGACAAAAGTCTGAATGATAGTTACTTGAAAAGAATGTATTTTCATATGGTGGAATTCCTATTTAGCAAGCACTTACAAGGCTGGGCACAAGGTAAGGTTTTAGGAGTTGATCCAGATTTATGGTTTGCATCCATTCCCCTGATGCTAACAGGCTTACAGGACTGCCTGAAGCGGCCATGAGCAGCTAAATGAACTACCACGTCTATTTGGGAATGCGCTCCCATACCTCCAAAGCTGTTTTTCGTACTGATTGGTAGAGGAATTTTGCAGGGTTAATCAGGTAAGCAAGAAGTACATCCAAAGGATCAATTGGCATTCTTCTTGTCTTGTCCTAATTTCATTTTTCTTTTAATAAATGAAATTTTATAAGGTTTCCTTCACTCAGTTTAAAAAATTTATCCAGTATTGGGGCAAGGTTTTTTTGTTTCATGTTATTTGCCGTAAATTTTTATTTTTATTTATATATATATACATATATTTTTGGAGACGGAGTCTCACTCTGTCACCCAGTCTGGAGGGCAGTGGTGCGATCTCGGCTCACTGCAACCTCCACGTCCCGGGTTCAAGCAATTCTCCTGGCTCAGCCTCCCAAGCAGCTGGGACTACAGGCGCACGCTTCCATGCCCAGCTGATTCTTTTGTATTTTTAGTAGAGATGGGGTTTCACTGTGTTGCCCAGGCTGGTCTCGAACTCCTGACCTCAGGCAATCTGCCCGCCTTGGCCTCCCAAACTGCTAGCATCACAGGCGTAAGCCACCGTGCCCGTCCTATTTGCTGTAAATTTTTAAAAAATACATTCAAATATTCACAGGATTCAGGCAGTAACCATTTACAAATAGACAAAATAGCCAAAGCAAATATTAAACATGCTACTTTAACTTGTACCAACTACTTTACTTTTCAAAGTAGGCTTCTCGTCTCTTCCGAAGCTCTTCTGAAGTAAGATTTGTACCTGATGTCTGTGTCATATCTTGAGATATGTTTCTGGAACTACCTGAAAACAAAACACAACACAACAAAAACCAATCACTGTATTTACCAATTCAAGCAACAATATGTTTGTTTATACTCATTTGAGTAAGCCTTTAAAACGTTTTCTCTTTAAGAATATTCTACTCTTCTGGCTGGGCGTGGTGGCTCACACATGTAATCCCAGCACTTTGGGAGGCCAAGGCAGGTGGATCACCTGAGGTCAGGAGTTCAAGACCAGCCTGGCCAAAAGGGCAAAACCCTATCTCTACTAAAAGTACAAAAAATTAGCTGGGCGTGGTGGTAGGCGCCTGTAGTCCCAGCTACTCAGGAGGCTGAGGCAGGAGAATCGCTTGAACCTCGGAGGCAGGGGTTGCAGTGAGCCAAGATCACTGCACTCCAGGCTGGGCGACAGTGAGACTCTGACTCAAAAAAAAAAAAAAAAAAAAAGAAAGAAAAAAAAAAAAGAAAGAAATCTAAAGCTGATTTCTGTCCCTGCTAATCCAGCAGGACTCTATTAATCAAAAATGGGATTGCACACCATATGGAGTACTCAGAGGCATGCATAGAGGCAAGAAAAGTTCAGGATAAAAATAATCTTCCCATTAATGAAATTTCAATTTTATTTAGATATCTAAGGAAATCAACTGATAAATAATTTCATTAGAAAGTAGAAGCAAATACATATGAGTTAGAAAAAAATAAAACAAAAAACCCACTTCAAACTTTTAATTAAGCTACTTTGAGCTATGTCTTAACATTTTTCTTTGCCTAGATTGTCTAGGGGATATGTTTTCGCTTTTCTCTATTGATAGTTTATATCACTAAAAAACTGGGCCCACCAAAGTGGGCTTACGGTTTAAGTTGCATAGCCAATAAATGTTGGGTTTTTGTAAAATCAGTTTATATTCCCTGTCCAGGCCCTTCCATAGTGTCTAATGGCACATATTTATGTAACAGCTGATTTGGATAAGGGTCAACTGATACCCACAAAGATTAAAACCACAATTTACTATTGTGTTAGTACAGTGTTGAAACCAAATAAAATAACCAGGAGTAAAAATATAACTACTCCTAATAAAATATAGGTTGTAAAAAGTGATTTCCATTATAAGAAATCTAAAGGGAAAGCCCACTATATAGCTATTGCTTCTGCAGTAATTGTCAAAACACCTCTAAGAGTACATTAACTTCCATGAAATCTAAGAATAATTGGAATCAATTCTTCAGCAATGAATACAACACACATCAGAATGTCTTTACCTTGCATACTTAGCTGAATAGCCCTGCGGAGATCTGCTTCCTCATCTTCCATGTCAATTTCTTGGCGACTTAGTGCCAGAGCCCTCTGCAAATCCTCCTCATCTTCGTCTAACATTCCTGAGCCATCATTTGCTTCTAACACTCGTTCCAGGTCTGTTTTATGGACTCTAAAGAACAAAAGCACTGGTAATAACTGCAACCAATCTTCTATTTTAGACATAACATAAAGGCATTTGTAATGTAAAGGCTTTAAGTAAGTCAAAACTTAAAATGTTTTCTGGCAAATAAGCTCTAGTAATATAATGATTGTGTTGCAATTTGAATCCAACTAAGTTTTTTTTTTCCGTTTCTTTTTTTTTTTTTTTTTGAGACAGGGTCTGACTCTCTCGACCAGGCTGGAGTGCGGTAGTGTGATTATGGCTCACTGTAGTCTCTACCTCCCCAGTTTCAGGTGATCCTTCTTCCTCTGCCTCCCAAGTAGCTGGGACTATAGGCATACACCACCACATCTGGCTAATTTTTGTACTATTTGTAGAGATGAGGTTTTGCCATGTTGCCCAGGCTGGTCTCGAACTCCTGGGTTGAAGCAATCAGCCTGCCTCAGCCTCCCGAAGTGCTAGGAATATACCATACCAGCTAACTAAGTTAATATATTTAAGTATTTCAAAGAGTTGATTCAAGTTTAAACTAATAAACTTCACTAAAATATAAGGTCCAAAATAGAGTCGCCAACAACACAAGGACCACATATTCAATCTAAGCATGAAAATTTAATTCTCATAATGAAATACTACCATATATTCCATACTGCAGGCCTCATTTTTACCTTTGCTCTTTTAGTTGTGCTAATTCTTCTCCAATAAGTTTTGGTCGATGCATCTGTTGGACCCTAATCATCTGCAGGAGTTGGTCAGCTTCGCAATCTGGCAGATCACCCTTAACGACAAATATAGAATAACCTAAAAAAAAAAGGCAAAAATCAACCTAACCAGTTAGTAAAGAGATTCAAAATTGATGTAAAACACTAGTAGATAAAAAGGCAGCACAGAACACTGGAAAAAAATACAAGCTGAGGATTCAGAAAGACTTTAGTCCAAATAATGATTCTTATACTTACTAGTAAAGTCGTCTAAGGTAAGTTACTTAAAGTCTCTGAGCCTCACTTTCTCCATTGTAAGACTGGAAGAGCCGTCTCATTGAGTGACTGTGAGAAATAAATATGTCTGTAAAGGGCCCTACTAATATAGTACTTGACTGAGCAGGCTACTCACTTACTGTTGTCAGAGTGGGTAACAGCAACTGATTTAGAATCAGACTGCCTGCATCTGATCCCAGTTCTCCCACTTCCTAGCTGCATTTGTCTTGGTTTCTACTGTTAAACATATGATACTAGTACCTTCCTGTGATGGTTAATATTATCAACTTGATTGGATTGAAGGCTACAAATTATTGTTTCTGGGTGTGTCTGCGAGGGTGTTGCCAAAGGAGATTAACATTTAAGCCAGTGAACTGGGAGAGGTAGACCCACCCTCAAACTGGGTGGTCACCATCTAATCAGCTGCCAGCTCAGCTAGAATAAAGCAGGCAGAAATAAGAGTGTGGAAGTACTAGACTTGCTGAGCCTTCATCTTTCTCCCATGCTGGATGCTTCCTGCCCTCAAACATCAGACTCCAAGTTCTTCATCTTTTGGACTCTTGAACTTACACCAGTGGTTTGCCAGGGGCTCTCAGGCCTTTTGCCACAGACTGAAGGCTGCACTGTCAGCTTCCCTACTTTTGAGGTTTTGGGACTTGGACTGGCTTCCTGGTTCCTCAGCCTGCAGAGAGCCTATTGTGGGACTTCACCTTGTGATCATACGAGTCGATACTCCTTAATACATTACCCTTCATATATACATCTACCTTATTAGTTCTGTCCCTCTAGAGAACCCTAATACACTTACTCACAGGGCTGCTGTGAGGACACAGATAATGTGTGCAATAACTAGTAACATGGCTAAAACTAATCATCTGCGGAAAGAGCTACCCCCACCCTGACCCACACATGTACACCCCTTGTAACTAAAAATAGGGGCTGGGAAGCCAAATACCTAAAAGCTATTTAAGGTGTCAAACGTGTGGTTTGCATCCCAAAAGAATTACATTAGTCTAGTGTGACTGTGTCTAAATATGATTCCAGAAATCCAGGGTTTCCCCAAGCTAGATGCTACACACAAAAACCAAGGATGGGCTATACCTAAAACAATCTAACTGATTTAAGTTTCTCTATCATTAATTTTTTTTTTTTTTTAATTTGAGATGGAGTCTCACTCTGTCACCCAGGCTGGAGTGCAGTGGTGCAATATTAGCTCACTGCAACCTCTGCCTCCCAGGAGGTTCAAGCGATTCTCCTGCCTCAGCCTCCTGAGTAGCTGGGATTACAGGCACCCACCACCACACCCAGTTAATGTTTGTATTTTTAGGAGAGGCAGGGTTTCACCATGTTGGCTGGGCTGGTCTCGAACTCCTGACCTCAGGTGATCTGCCCACCTCGGCCTCCCAAAGTGCTGGGATTACAGGTGTGAGCCACCGCGCCTAGCACATTTTTCTTAAACTTTGGTGTTTGTTATTGGATATCCTTTGTTGGATTAACACATAATGGGACAAAGATTATAAGAACTATTAATGGAAAACCTCAAAATAGTATGTTGAACATTTTTTATGAGGACAACTGTATTCAGAGTTTAGACGGTTTAATGTGTTTTCTGCCAGTAAAATTGTTTCTGTATTGTATAATAAATATGCCAGCTCACCATGGTATTCTATGAAGAGTGTCTGAAGAATGGATACTCTGCCCTGTTCAGGGGCCATGGTAAAGATCTTGGGTTTTATTCAAGACTTCACATATTTTTTTTTTTTAATTTTTTTTTGAGAGTCTCGTTCTGTCACCCAGGCTGGAGTGCAGTGGTATGATCTTGGCTCGCTGTAACCTCTGCCTCCCGGGTTCAAGTGATTCTCCTATCTCAGCCTCCCGAGTAGCTGGGACTACAGGTGCACAACACCACACCCAGTTAATTTTTGTATTTTTTGGTAGAGACAGGGTTTCACCATGTTGGCCAGGCTGGTCTCATCAACTCCTGACCTCAAGTGATCTGCCCCCTCATCCTCCCAAAGTGCTGGGATTGCAGGCATGAGCCACCAAGCCCGGCCTAAGACTTCAGATTTTATTCTAAGTGTGCTGGGAAGCCACTGAAGGACAAAGAGTGAGGGTGGGACATAACAGGCCTTACACTGGTTAAGAAGCACTCTGGGCTGCTCTGTCGGTATAATATATAGGAACCAGAGTACAAGAGTCACCCTTATGGAAATGGAAAACCTGATGGATAGCATGGATAGAGAGAAAAAAATAAGTCTTTCATAGACATGTTCAGTTTGAAACACTTTTTGGATTTCCAAGTGGAGATGCCAAAGCTAGGAGTTAGTCAAAGCTAGGTGTTCAGGGTAGATGTCAAGACTAAAGATAAAAGTTTGGTAATTATTGACACATAGATCTTATTTACAGATGATATTTAAGATCCATGAAAGGAATCTGAAAAGTGCAGGCAGCAAGTTAGGAAAACCACAGCATGGTGGGCTGAAGGCCAAAGGTAGACAGGGTTTCTAAGAAGGGATATCATCAGGAACCAAGGTTTTAAATATAAAAGAAAAAAGATACAAGTATCTAAAATCAAAGAATTAAAAACCCTATATTCCTAAATGTGAATTCACAATAACTACATAACAAACCCAGCAGCAATAAGCATGCCAGCACTCAAATTGTGATCTCCAAATACCATTACTAAAAGATGGCTAGGCAAGGTGACTCACGCCTGTAATCCCAGCACTTTGGGAGGCTGAGGCAGGTGGATCACTCGAGGCCAGGAATTCGAGACCAACCTGGCCAATATGGTGAAACCCTGTCTCTACTAAAAATACAAAAAAAAAAAAAAAAAATTTAGCCGGGGCCAGGCGCAGTGGCTCATGCCTGTAATCCCAGCACTTTAGGGGGCCGAGGTGGGCGGCTCACCTGAGGTCAGGAGTTGGAGACCAGCCTAACAAACATGGAGAAACCCCTTCCATCTCTACTAAAATACAAAATTAGCCAGGCATGGTGGCACATGCCTGTAAATCCAGCTACTCGGGAGGCTGAGGCAAGAAAATCGCTTGAACCCAGGAGGCAGAAGTTACGGTGAGCCGAGATCACGCCATTGCACTCCAGCCGGAGCAACAAGAGGGAAACTCCATCTCAAAAAAAAAAAAAAAAAATTAGCCGGTCATGGTGGTGCACGCCTGTAATCCCAGCTACTCGGGAGGTTGAGGCAGGAGAATCGCTTGAACCCAGGAGGCAGAGTTCAAGAAAAGGAGAAGGCACACTAGAGACAATCCTAAGGAAAAAATAAAAATGGGGAGGCAGCTGGAGTTTCATGGAATTAAGAGAGGATTTTTATTTTTAATCAATGGAAATAAAAAGCTTATTTTACTGCTTATAGGAATATTACAAAAAAAGGGGGGGGGAACTGATTATATAAGAGAGTGGAGAGATGAAAGCAGGAACATCTTGAGTAGGTGAGAAGAGCTGGGATCCAGCCCACAAGTGAGGGACTGGTTTTGGTTAGAGGTAGGGGACCATTCATCTATTTAAATAGGCTCAAAGCACAGGTGAAGATATAAGCAAATTGATAAATTTGCTGGTAGAAAGAACATAATTTTAATTGCTTCTATGTTCTCAGCAGAATGTAACGGAAAGCCACAAGGAAGGTGTGTAAGGGAGAGGAAAGTGCTTAAAGGTTTAAAGACATAAGCTGTGAAATTAGTCACCTTGGAGGGTGGCACATTATTTTTTATAAACTTCTTGGAGAGTGGTACATAATTTTTTATAAACACCTTGGAGGGTGGTACATCACTAAGAAAACATAGTAGAAATATCAGACAGCACTAAAGGCTCATCTGAATTTTGTGATTATAATAAATTTAAAGTAAAACCTTAGCTAGGTGTGGTAGCACAAGCCTGTAGTCCCAGCTACTCAACAGGCTAAGGCAAGAGAATCACTTGAGCCCAGGAGTTTGGAGCTGCAATGAGCTGTGATTATGCTGCTGCACTCCAGCCTGGGCTTCAGAAATAGGCCTAGTCACTTTGATAGATGGATGGGTGAATGGATGGATAGATCATTTAAGAAAAAAGTAAAACCAATCATCATGTTTTATGTTATTTTTTAGCCACGTCCAGCTACTCTGGTACAGGAATGGACAAGGCCAAGATGTGGTTTAACCAGGGTTGAGATTTTTGTCATTCAAGTATGATGGAGGGAGAGAGGGGAAACACGTTGAAGAATGCAATGGAGTGATTATGATGACGGATTACAGAAAATAAGCAGTAGAAGAAAGGAAGAATGCGTATAAAGGAAATGCTTGGGCCCCACAGTAGGGTTTAAAGAATGGCTGGAATAAAAAAACAGACAAAACATGGTTTAAAGATAGGAGGTGGTAGTTAAAGAGTAATATGCTTGCAATTGAGATTTGACAGTGGTTATGATTACTGGTAATAGCTAAGCAAGAGTAAGTGATTTTGAAACTAAGAGGCAGGTACTGGATTGATTGACGATACAGAAATAATTAAGAATGATAAAAGTAGTTGAAGTAGAGAAAAAGACAACGAGTCAGATCCTAAAATCACTGATGAAAAGAGACTTGTGGATGAGTGCAAAAGGACAAGGGATAGTTTAATCTAGGGGCATGTATTTCTTTTTTTTTTCTTTTCTTTTTTTTTTTGAGACGGAGTCTCGCTCTGTCGCCCAGGCTGGAGGGCAGTGGCGCGATCTCAGCTCACTGCAAGCTCCGCCTCCTGGGTTCACGCCATTCTCCTGCCTCAGCCTCCCGAGTAGCTCGGACTACAGGCGTCCGCCACCACACCCCGGCTAATTTTTTGTTATTTTTAGTAGAGACAGGATTTCACCGTGTTAGCCAGGATGGTCTCGATCTCCTGACATCGTGATCCGCCTGCCTCAGCCTCCCAAAGTGCTGGGATTACAGGCGTGAGCCACCGTGCCCAGCCGTTAGGGGCATGTATTTCAAAGAAACTGGAGTTTATAAGGAAGAACAGTGGCCTAGAAGAGGCAAAGAAGAAAAACATCTATCCCTCCTCTCAGCCGTGTGATATGTGATGTATAAAAGAAAAAGCCATTACTTAGAAGGGCTGCAAAGAAAGCAGCATCCTCAGAAGAGGAAGGGCCAGGTGTCAGTGAGAACTCTAACTGAACAGCGTCACCCAAATCACAGCCTATCACCACGTCAAAACTAAAGATTGTTTCACTGCCACTGCCAGAAAAACAGTTTTATCACACTGTCATCTAATGTGCCTGGTTATTTAACTACTTCGAAAGGTAACATTACAAAATGTTCAGCCGTTACTTACCTTCCTGTTGTAATTGAGCCAAGAAAAGTGCAAGATATGTATCTGATATTAATTCTGGACCCGTCAAGAGAGAATTCAAGTTAAACCACTGGAAAAAAATTGTCAATATTTAAGTTAGTGTATATTATAGGTAATAAGGAAGTTTCACATGTTAAGAATAGATACAACCCATCAAAGCTTAGTAAGATTGTTTAAACTCTGGAAATATTTCAAGTTGAGCTCTTTTCTTTGACTGAATAATATGATCTTAAAAACTACAAGAGAATACTGCAGATTTATCACTATTAAATACTTTTTTTTTTTTTTGAGAAGAGTCTCACTCTGTAACCCAGGCTGGAGTGCAGTGGCATGATCTCGGATCACTGCAACCTCTGCCTCCCAGGTTCAAGTGATTCTCCTGCCTCAGCCTCCCAAGTAGCTGGGACTACAGGTCTGCACCACCACACCCAGCTAATTTTTGTATTTTTAGTTAGAGACAGCACATTTGCCACATTGGCCAGGCTGGTCTCAAACTCCTGACCTCAAATGATCCGCCCGCCTCAGCCTCCCAAAGTTCTGGGATTACAAACATGAGCCACTGCACCTGGCCTCTGCTAAATACTCTTTTTTTTTTTTTTTTTTTTTTTTTAGACAGAGTATTGCTCTGTCGCCCAGGCTGGAGTGCAGTGGC
This sequence comes from Homo sapiens, assembly GCF_000001405.40. NCBI lineage: Eukaryota > Metazoa > Chordata > Mammalia > Primates > Hominidae > Homo > Homo sapiens. The sequence goes on from NC_000014.9 coordinate 92,089,400, forward strand.
GCGATCTCGGCTCACTGCAAGCTCCGCCTCCCGGGTTCATGCCATCCTCCTGCCTCAGCCTCCCGAGTAGCTGGGACTACAGGCGCACGCCGCCACACCCAGCTATTTTTTTGTATTTTTAGTAGAGACAGGGTTTCACCATGTTAGCCAGGATGGTCTTGATCTCTTGACCTTGTGATCCGCCCGCCTAGGCCTCCCAAAGTGCTGGGATTACAGGTGTGAGCCACCGCGCCCGGCCCTGTTAGATACTTTTTTAAAAACAACAGTTTGCTTTAAACTATAAACATTAAACCCTCCCAAAAGAATAAAAATGCATAGTCAGTAGTTTAAATGTCTTTATTAATAGCTATAATTAAATCTTTTTTCAAAATATCAGTCCAACATAACTCCAATCATATCTATCACACTGATGGGAGGAAAAATGACAACTACACAAAGTTTTCCCATTACTGATAATTTTTGTCAAAAGATTCCAATTGTGAGAAAGTCAGAAGTTCCAGGAAGAGAATTTATAATTACCAGCTCAGTTTTTAAAAATCACTAAATTAGCTGGGCATGCAGCTCATGCCTATAATCCGAGCACTTTGGGAGGTTAGCTAAGGTGGGAGGATTGCTTGAGCCCAGGAATTTGAGACCAGCCTGGGCTGTAACATAGTGAGACCCTGTCTCTATAATTTAAAAATGTTTTTAAAAAGCACTATCACATATAACATATAAACACATTTTTTTAAAAGAGATGGTCATCTAGTCTGGAGTGCAGTGGTGCAATCATAGCTCACTGCAGCCTCGAACACCTGGGCTTAAGTGATTCTCTCGCTTCATCCTCCCAAGCAGCTGGGACTACAGGTGTGCACCAAGATGCTTGACAAATTTTCTAATTTTTTTGTGTGGAGAAGGGGTCTTACACTATGTTGTACAGGCTGGTCTCAAACTCCTGGATTCAAGACATCCTCCCACCTCAGCCTCCCTACATGCTGGAATTACAGGTGTTAGCCACTGCACTCGGCCCTAATTAACATCATTTATCACTACCACATAGTAATCCTAATTTAACCCACAAGATACAAAAAGTTTCTAAAGTTAACGATCAATATCATGACCAACTACTTTTCCTGGATTTTGACAATGTTAATACTTTTTCCAGCCTTCTTTTTCATTATACAGGGACCTCGAGAGACAGAAAGAGTCTATAGTGAAAAATATAGTTTTAAACAAAAATATAAATTAGAACCAAAGAAAATAAACCAAAATTTGACATCTTCTGTATTTGTCAAAGATAACGTAATTCAAAATGTGAAAATGCAATTTTGAAGAACTAAAATTTTTTAAATCTCTCAAAATAATAAGATAGACATTTATTTGCAAATTAATACAACCTTAAAAATTCAGTGCTTACTTTATACAAAAAAAAGTAAAAAATACTGGATCATAATTTTTAAAAACACATAAATAAAACCCAGAGGTTAAATAATCTCAGCAGTACGCTACACTGGTTTTTACCTAGAGGTGATTCCCACTCGCATCAGCCTCTACTGCTGTAAGCTGCCTTTTTTTTTTTTTTTTTTTGTAGAGACAAGGTGTCACTGTGTTGGGCCAAGCTGCTCTCAAGCTCCTGGCCTCAGTGATCTCCCTGCCTCAGCCTCCTAAAGTGCTGGGATTACAGGCGTGAACCACTGCACCCAGCTAGCCTCCACTGTAAGCTTCTAGGTTACATCTCCTTAACTTGCTCTTGGCTCCTCAGGAAGAACTTTAAGAAAGAACCAACTTAGGGCTCGGCATGGTGGCTCACGCCTGTAACCCCAGCACTTTGAGAGGCAGAGACGGACGGATCACCTGAGGTCAGGAGTTCAAGACCAGCCTGACCAACATGGCGAAACCCCGTCTCTACTAAAAATACAAAAATTAGCTGGGTGTGGTGGTGCGTGGCTGTAGACACAGCTATTTGGGAGGCTGAGACAAGAGAATTGCTTGAACCCAGGTGGCGGAGGTTGCAGGGAGCCAAGATCCCGCCACTGCAATCCAGCCTGGGCGATAGAGCAAGAATCCGTCTCAAAAGAAGGAAAGAAAGAAAGAAAGAACCAACTTAGGATGAAGCTAAGTAGGTGACTTTTCCCAAATTTGATTTGGGTGACTTAAAAGATAACAATAGGGTTTTTGTTTTTGAATTATCTCTTACAGATTTAATTCAATATATTTTCTTGACTTATACCTTTTTTGGCTTGTATTTACATTTTAAAAAAAACAGATTTATTGGGGTATAAGTGACATATAATAAACTGCACATATTTAAAGTGTATAATTTGAAACTTTTTTTTTGAGACAGGATCTCCTTCTGTCACCCAAGCTGGAGTGCAGTAGCACGATCATGATTCACTGCAGGCTTGACCTCTGTGCTCCCTCCTCAGCCTCCCTAGCACCTGGGACTACGGCCATGCATCACCACGCCTAGCCAATTTTTTTTTCTTTCATTTTTTTTTTAGAGATGGGGTCTTGTGCCATTGCCCAGGCTGGTCCTGAACTCCTTGAGCTCAAGCAATCCTCCTGCCTTGGCCTCCAAAAGTGCTGGGATTACAGGCATGAGCCACTGCATCTGGCCTCTGAAATGTTTTCACATTTGTATACTGTACTCCCATGAAACCATTACTACAACCAAGATAGTGAACACATTCCTCATTGCCATGTTTCCCGTGCCTCTCTGTAACCCTCCCCTCTCACTCCTCCATAGCCTTCTCGTCCCCAGGCAACCGCTGGTCAATCTGCTTTCCATCACTACAGATGAATCTGCACTTTTCTAGACTTTTAATAAATGATACCATACAGCAGGTAGTATTTTGTTTGTGGGTTATTCTTTCAGCATAATTATTTTGAGATTCATCCATATTGCTGCATGTATCACTAGTTTATTCTTTTTTACTGTCCTAGCTGGTTTTCAATAACCCTCTTTCAAAGATTCAAAATTCTAATAACAAGGACGTTAAATGATTGTTTCTTAAAATAGCTTGCTCAAGACATATTTCATGTTTTATTTAAAAAATAGAAGTGATTTTCTGTAGACGTACGTATTACATGGCTTTTGGAATCATAATGAATAATCTTACACTAAAGCAAACATAATTGAATGCTTTATTCATGCTTGACACTATTTCAGGCTTTGTGACAGCACTATGCTAAATACAAATCTATAAATGTAATAATTAACTGACAGAACATAGTCATCACATAAAAACCCACTTAAAAGTAACCACATTTGTATTATCTTTAATATAGAATTTTTCTTATGATATAGTTAAATTGCATATACTTGTCACAAATAAATTTATAAGGAAAACTGATATTATCTTTTAAAATGACAATTTCTATCTATCAAGAAGGATAAACCATGCTACACACACACACATTACTGGTCAGTTTCCTAATTTTAAAGTCAGCAATCCTTTTTTTTTTTTAATTTTTAAATATATTTTTTTTATTTTTATGTTTTATAGAACAGTCTTACTCTGTCACCCAGGCTGGGGTACAGTGACAAAATCATAGTTCACTGCAGCCTCAAACTCCTGAGCTCAAGTGATCCTTCTGACTCAGCCTTCCAAGTAAGCTGGAATTACAGATGTGAGCCACCATGCCTGGCTCTTTGTTTTTTTTTTTATTTATTTTTATTTTTATTTTTATTTTTTTTTTAAGAGACAGGACCTCCCTTTGTTGCCCAGGCTGGTCTCAAACTCCTGGCTTCAAGTGATCCCCCCACCTCAGCCTCCCAAACTGTTGGCATGAGCCACCACACCTGGCCCACATTTTAGTTTTAAATGGGGTACAATATAAGAAAAAAAGACAAGGAAGGGTAAGAAATGTTACCTGTTTTCCTAATTTTCTAACTGTAAACCAGTGTTCCTTATAATTGCATATAAATGATCTTTCATTTCTAAAAAAGAAAACAGACAATATTAACTTGAAATATTGAATTCATATTTATGTTGTCTACTGGCAAATATTATATAAAATTTGTGATAATTTAAGATTATATTTATAGTTAAGTGTCACTGATGTTTTTAAAAGATCACACAACCATATGAACGTCTCTGCAGCAGCTTAGTGATGCTGTGCCACAAGATGGCCTCATGCACCACTTATGGGGTCAGCTCTGTGCTGCCACAGACACTGGGGTGCCAGGAAGGCTACAGGGCAGATGCTCATGGACATCACAAAGGTGAAATAGGAAAGTCTGAGTGAATGAAACAGGGAACATCAAAACAAAAGTATTCAAAATGTATTTCTCTTCTTTAAGAAATTACAACTTTAAAAATCAAATTTGGGAAAAGAAATGTATGAAATGCAAAACAGAATCTTACATAGGATCGATCCTGAGCCTCTGATACTCTGGACTGTTGAACAGGATTAGTTCTAAACCCCAAACTTTCAAGGCATTGCTTATAACCTGTTAAGAAAAATAGCAACTTTTCATAAGCTAAACCACTCCATTCCAAATTTAGGAAGTGTAGCTATGTTAGTTGTGTACTTCATATATAAATTTCTCTAGAAGGCTATAGGTTTTTTTTTTTTTTTTTGTGACAGAGTCTTGCTCTGTCGCCCAGGCTGGAGTATAGTGGCACGATCTCGGCTCGCTGCAACCTCCGCCTCCCAGGTTCAAGCGATTCTCCTCCTGAGGCTCCCGAGTAGCTGGGATTACAAGCACACGCCACCACACCCAGCTATTTTTGTATTTTTAGTAGAGACAGGGTTTCACCTTGTTGGCCAGGCTGGTCTCAATCTCCTGACCTTGTGATCCACCCGCCTGGGCCTCCCAAAGTACTGGGATTACAGGCATGAGCCACCACGCCCAGCCGGCTATAGGTTTTAAAAAGTGTGTGTGTATAGATATATCACTAAATCCATAAAAAAAAACACATATATATTAGAAGAGTGCTTTTCATACCAGGTCTCTGAGATGTTCCAGAAAACCACACAATTCCTAAATAAAACTGCCTCAAAAATCCAGATGTATATTCTACCCATAAGTGCTTTTCTTAAAACTAGTCTACTATATACATCTGATAATTTGGCTGCTGTGGGTGCTACTTTAGAAAAATTATATTCAACTTGCTACCTGCAATGTCAGAAATCATATCTACCAAAATAAGTTCTCCCTGGGCATTTAAACTGAAGGTTCCATAGATGTCAGACTTCTAGGGTCATGGGCTTGCCGCTTGTAGAAAAAACAAAATGCAAACCTGTTTATTTCAATCTGTCTGACAAAAAAAGGGAAATTTCTGAAAATTCACTATCTGCCCTCCAAGGTAGCCAACAAAGAAGCAAGTGAGCCAGGTACCAGCAAAGACAGAAATTGAGTGCAAGGTAGTGGGCACACATGAACAGGCACCAAGAGCAGCAAGGCACAAATAGGAAACGCCAAGTGCTGGGCCTACTCTGGCCTCTGATTTCAGCCCTGCAGTAGCCATTACCTGTTAGCAGTGGCACGGTAAAGCACTAGATGGAAATGCTGGTGGATGAGGAAGAGTCCAGGAGGGCAGTACAAGGGAAACATAAACAAAGATATCTGCAGAGATAGGTCGCTCAGGAGAGGTTCCGAAAGTACTCTGGATACAACTCACAGTGTTAGAAAAAGAATGAAAGACCCACAGATAAAAGAATCTTGCGAGTACATATATATATAACCACCAAAGAATTCAAAGAGAGCTATACATTAAAAAAAAAAAATCAAAAGCCACAAACCATAATAAGGAAATCCAGTCTGGTAGGCTGATTTAAAAGGATGGTAGCAAGGTATTGCATTTTCTCAAATTTACCCAACAGATGGTAAGTTTGAGACATTGTGACTTATTAGAATTAAGGATTTCTTTTTTTCTTTGAGATGGAGTCTCGCTCTGTCACCAGGCTAGAGTGCAGTGGCGCGATCTTGGCTCACTGCAACCTACGACTCCCTGGTTCAAGCGATTCTCCTGCCTCAGCCTCCCGAGTAGCTGGGATTACAGGCACGTGTCACCACGTCCAGCTAATTTTTGTATTTTTAGTAGAGACGGGGTTTCACCATGTTAGCCAGGATGGTCTCAATCTCCTGACCTCGTGATCCGCCCACCTCGGCCTCCCCAAAGTGCTGGGATTACAGGTGTGAGCCACCGCGCCCGGCCAGAATTAAGGTTATTATTAGCATCCAGATGCAAATTAATCTTTCTCAAGAAGGAATTTTTAAATGCCCCACTCTAATATGAAGATTCTACAATCCTTTCATGTTTATCTATATAAAAATCTAGTACTCTAGTTGGCCAGGTGCAGTGGCTCACACCTGTAATCCCAGCACTTTGGGAGGCTGAGGTCAGGAGTTGGAGACCAGACTGGCCAACACGGTGAAACCCCACTATCTCTACTAAAAATACAAATATTAACTGGTGTGGTGGCGGGTGCCTGTAATCCCAGCTACTTGGGAGGCTGAGGCAGGAGGATCGCTTGAACCCGGGAGGCAGAGGCTACAGTGAGCCAAGATCACGCCACTGCACTCCAGCCTAGGTGACAGAACGAGACTCTGTCTCAAGAAAAAAAAAATCTAGTACTCTAGAGTATAATCTATACTCTGTAGACAGAAGAACTTCCGAAGGTCGCCTTGTTACAGTGACTATTGAAAGGCTGTGAAACGGTGCCTGGGATGTAAGCAACACATAGTACATGCTTGTGACTACTTACCTGAATAGAGAAAAAACCACTGTCATCCATATTTCCAGAAGGCTGCTGTTAATTTTGACAGGTAGTTGAAGCAAGGGTGGGGGTGGGGAAAGAAGGATACAAACTGTCATTAGCGTGCATATTTAAAACAATATCTTGTGCATTCCCATTTCCAAAGTTAACAGCACAGTTATAATTCACCAGTCAGATCCCTATAGGAAGAATGGCCCATCCTTTTCTAAATGGTATCCACATTTTTAAAAGAAATGTAAGCCGGGTGTGGTGGCTCACACCTATAATCCCAGCACTTTGGGAGGCCAAGACAGGTGGATCATAAGGTCAGGAGTTTGAGACCAACCTGACCAACATGGTGAAACCCCATCTCTAACAAAGATACAAAAAATTAGCCGGGCATAGTGCCGTGTGCCTGTAATCCCAGCTACTTGGGAGGCTGAGGCAGGAGAATCGCTTGAACCCGGGAGGCAGAGGTTGCAGTGAGCCGAGATCGCGCCATTGCACTCCAGCATGGGCAACAGGGCGAGACTCCGTCTCAAAAAAAAAAAAAAAAAAGAAATGTGACTTAGTGAGTTTAAAATCAGTACCTGTAAAAACGTGCGATAATCTTCACTAGTAACTCCTCCTTCTGCCATTCTCATCCTCTCCTCCTCATCCAGCTGATGTGCAATTGAGGATAATTCCACAGGGCTAAAATATTCTCCTTGCAATAAGTTATTCAGGCAATGTTGAGCACAAAGTGAGCCTTCTTGCTAATATTTCCAAAAGAAAAAATTAAAATGTGACTTGTTAAACAGAATTGTATAGTATCTTCCCCTAAATAATTTTTTTTTTTTTTTGAGACGGAGTCTCACTCTTTCACCCAGGCCGGAGTGCAGTGGCGCTATCTTGGCTCACTGCAAGCTCCGCCACCCGGGTTCATGCCATTCTCCTGCCTCAGCCTCCCGAGTAGCTGGTACTACAGGCACCCGCCACCACGCCCGGCTAAATTTTTGTATTTTTAGTAGAGACGGGGTTTCATCCTGTGTTAGCCAGGATGGTCTTGATCTCCTGACCTCGTGATCCGCCCGCCTTGGCCTCCCAAAGTGCTGGGATTACAGGCGTGAGCCACTGCGCCCGGCTCCCCTAAATAATTTAATCATTAATTTTTTTTTTTTTTGAGACAGAGTCTTGCTCTGTTGTCCAGGCTGGAGTGCAGTGGAGCAATCTCAGCTTACCACAACCTCCGCCTCCCGGGTTCAAGTGATTCTCCTGCCTCAGCCTCTCAAGTAGCTGGGACTACAGGCATGCACCACCATGCCTGGCTAATTTTTGTATTTTTAGTATATACAGGGTTTCACTCTGTTAGCCAGGCTGGTCTCAAACTCCTGATCTTGTGATCCGCCTGCCTCGGCCTCCAAAAGTGCTGGGATTACAGGTGTGAGCCGCCACACCTGGCCAACTTTTTTTTTTTTTTTGAGATGGAGTCTTGCTCTGTCACCCAGCCTGGAGTGCAGTGGCATGATCTCGGCTCACTGTAAGCTCTGCCTCCTGAGTTCACGCCATTCTCCTGCCTCAGCCTACCAAGTAGCTGCGACTACAGGTGCCCACCGCCATGCCCGGCTAATTTTTTGTATTTTTAGTAGCGATACGGTTTCACAATGTTAGCCAGGATGGTCTCGATCTCCTGACCTCGTGATCTGCCCACCTTGGCCTCCCTAAGTTCTGGGATTACAGGCAAGAGCCACCCTGCCAGGCCCCTACTATGTTTTAACATAGTTGAACTGAACTTTCAGCTTTAGATAAGGATAATTAACATAGGTACATGCATTTTCATTTGGTAACATTTATTTTACAAATCTACCATTAATGAAACTATAATTACATGATCAAAAATTTAAGAATTATTTTAAACAAACATCATCTATCAAATGCATCAAATCTCATATTTTACTAAAAACTACTGTATAAAACATTTAGTCTCCCTCATTTTCAGTACCTAAAATAAGTTCATTCTTGGAGATTCTACAGTAAATTACTAATGGTGAAAGGAAATTTTAGTCCCTAGAACAGTTATTTATTTATTTAAAAAAAGAGATCTCACTATGTTGCCCAGGCTGGACTTGAACTCCAGGGCTCAAGGGATCTTCCTGCCTCAGCCTCCCGAGCAGCTAGAACTACAGAAACATGACACTGTGCCCAGCTCCCTAGAACATTTATTCTTTTAACATGATGATGTCAGTCAAGCATGGTGGCTCACACCTGTAATCCCAGCAGTTTGGGAGGCCGAGGTGGGTGGACTGCTTGAGGCTGGGAGTTCGAGACCAGCCTGACCAATACGGTGAAACCTCGTCTCTACTAAAAATACAAAAATTAGCCAGCATGGTGGTGTGTACCTGTAGTCCTAGCTAATCAGGACACTGAGGCATGAGAATCGCTTGAACCCAGGAAGTAGAGCCTGCAGTGAGCCAAGACCATGCCACTGCCACTCCAGTCTGGGTAACAGAGCAAGACTCTGTCTCCAAAAATAAAAATAAAAAAATCTCCACACAATCTAAATGCTTGTTGATAGAACTTCAAATCTTAAGAATTAATACAGGTGAGAAAAATTCTGTTCCATGTTAAAACTTGCAGTTACAGTGCTGAAGTTCTCTTCATGGAACTCTACAGATAATGTATACACAGTGTAAAGCAATGAGCAGAACTGTCCCAAACAACCCTGGAGCTCACTCCTGGACAAGCCAGCAAGAGGGACTGCACCCAAGCTCAGCTCCCATGGGATGACAGGATTCCTCCTCATGGGAGGTAGGTACAACTTCTCATGGGTTCAGGGCCTTCAGGTGCTGGGCAGTTTCTCACACAACTGGCAACCTGAATCCAAGTCCAGGGTGCCTGGTACTAAGTAGCCTGCGTGTGACCCTCCTCCCCGCAACAGTGTAGCTTTCCCATGCTACCTGATAAGAAGGGAGAATCACAGATGGATGGATCCCTCCCTGTGAACACAGACACCAGGTTTGCCCCTCCCTGAATTGACGGCAGATGAGAGAACATTTCCTTCTCCTGCTAACCTTGGCCCTCCAAGTTCTCTCTTTCCCCAATAAGGTCTATTCCTTAACCCAACCTATCTGACATCACACAATTTGTCCTGAGCTATGTCACACAGCAGACTCTAAAGAGAACCACCTTGCAAGACGGATATTTTTCCTGATGAATCAATTTTCTAGGAGCAAAATTCAGCTGGTGAAAAAAATATGGGTTATATGTGTATAATGGAATAGGAAGACAACATTGAGACAGCCTCAGTCTGAGATAAGTTTATCTTCAACTTTTCGTAAGGAATAAGTAGCTTGGAGCTAGAGAGAACACTATCCCCCAAGTCTTCTCATGAGAATAGACTTTTTGTTTCCACTTCTTTCTCCTCCTTATATATTTCTACTACCAGAGTGCAACTCTTACTGAATAATATGCAAATTGAAGGGATATACAGATGTTCTACTTATATCCTTTTGAAAAATAGCCAAGGCTGGCTGCGGTGGCTCATGCCTGTAATCCCAGCATTTTGGGAGGCCAAGGCAGGAGGATTACTTGAGCCCAGAAGTTTGAGACCAGCCTGGACAACATGGTGAAACCCCATTTCTACAAAAAATAAAAAATTAACTGAGCATGGTGGTGCGTGCTTGTAGTCCAGCTTCTTGGGAGGCTGAGAAAGGAGGATAACTTGAGCCCCAAAAAGGTCGAGGCTACAGTAAGCTGAGACTGCACCACTGCACTCCAGCATGGGTGACAGGGCAAGACCAAGAAAGACAGAAAGACAAGAAAGACAAGAAAGAAAGACAGAAAGAAAGAAAAGAAGGAAGGAAAGAAAGAAGAAAGAAAGAAAGGAAGGAAGGAAGAAAAAGAAAGAAAGAAAAGAAAAATAGGCAAGACAAACAAGCACTTCACAAGACAGTCAAATGGCTATAAAGAACACAAAAGAGGTACTCAACTTTATTAGTCATCAGGGAAATGTAAATTAAAACCACAATGTGTTAGTACACAAACTCTAAAATGGCTAAAATGTTGGAGATTAGAGATACAGAAACTGTTGTATACTACTGATGAGAGGATAAATTGGTATAACCAATAATAACTAATAATTATGTAATGCATCCACTAAAGCTTAATATATACATCTCCTATGATCTAGCAATTCCATTACTAGGTACATAATGTAAACAACAGCAATGCAAACATACATTCATCAAAAGACATGTATAAGAATGTTCACAAAAGCAGTATTTTTGTGCCACAAATAGCATTACTATTTGTAGTAATACAAAATAGCATTACAGATAGCATTACTATTTGTAATGGACCCCAAACTGGAAACGACCCAAATGGATAGCTGGGATCACAGTAGAATGGAAATTGTGTTTACTCACAAAAGAATACTAGATAACAATGAGGATGAATTAACTACAACAGTAGTTAATTAACAATAATTAACAGTAGTTAATTCTGGAACAGTATGGATAAATTTCTCAAACAATGGTAAACTAAAGAGGACAGAATCGAAAGGGTATATACACTGTACACTTCCAGTCACAAAAGCTCAAAATCAGGCAAAACTCATTTATGATGTCAGAATTCAGCATAGTGGTTATATTTGGTGGGAATGCAGTGGAGAGACAGTACCTAGAAAAGGGAATAATGGGAGGTTATAGGATGCAGGTAAATCTTTTGTTACTTGCTGTTTACACATGTTCACTGTGTGAAAATTCGCTGAGCTGTACTCTTAATGATTTGTGTGCTCCTCTCTGTATTGTATCTAATTTTTAAAAAATTCAAACAGTAAGAAAAAAGCCTTTGCTAACACAAATTTCCTGTCTTGCTGTCAGTTTGGAGTTTACAAACTATGGTCACCATACTTAATACCATATATAGCAATAGTGACATCCAAATATTTGATTAAAATTCTCTCTATAAAAAATAGCTTTAAATTATGAAAAATAAGTACTTGAAATCAAACTTCATCAAAGAAAAACTGTATTGCTACAGGAAATATCAAGTTCTGTACTTCTAATATGATTTAATGGAAGGAAAGGACAAACTGTTCAGTACAAATTTAAAAATCACTTAAGGCTAGGCACAGTGGTTCATACTATAATCTCAACTGTTTGAGGGGCTGAGGTGGGAGGATCACTTGAGCCCAGGAGTTCAAGGCTACACGGAGCTAAGATTGTGCCACTGTATTCTGGCCCAGGTGACAGAGCAACATCATGTCTCTCAAAAAGACACAAAATAAATAAAAATAAAAACAAAAATAAACATAACTTAAGTCATAGGACGGATCAAATTCCACATGGACCAAAAGAATTGTACAATGACAATGAGCCCACGTAAGATTATGCATTTTCCTGCCTTGCCCTTATCTCAAACTATCCCCAGCCACCTCTCTCATCAAGCTTTAATCAAAGCAGAAGTTCACTTTGCCATAATCAAAGTTCAGCGGTATTGAAATCTCATGATTTGGCTGGGCATGGTGGCTCATGGCTGTAATTCCAGCACTTTGGGAGGCCAAGGCAGGTTGATCACTTGAGATCAGGAGTTCGAGACCAGCCTGGCCAACATGGTGAAACCCCGCCTCTACTAAAAATATAAGAATTAGCCAGGTGTGGTGGCAGGCGCCTGTAGTCCCAGGTGCTCAGGAGGCTAAGGCAGGAGAATCACCTGAACCCAGGAGGCGGAGGTTGCAGTGAGCTGAGATTGCACCACTGCACTCCAGCCTGGGTGACAGAGTGAGACTCTGCCTCAAAAAATAAAAAATAGGCTGGGCGTGGTAGCTCACGCCTGTAATCCCCGCACTTTGGGAGGCTGAGGCAGGTGGATCACGAGGTCAAGAGATCAAGACCATCCTGGCCAACATGGTGAAACCTCGTCTCTACTAAAAATAAGAAAATTAGCTGGGCATGGTGGCACATGCCTATAGTCCCAGCTACTCGGGAGGCTGAGGCAGGAGAATCTCTTGAACTCAGGAGACGGAGGTTGCAGTGAGCTGAGTTCGCGCCACTGCACTCCAGCCTGGTGACAAAGTGAGACTCTGAAGAAAGTTCGTGCCACTGCACTCCAGCCTGGTGACAGAGTGAGACTCCAAAGAAAGAAAAGAAAGAAAGAAAAGAAAGAAGGAAGGAAGGAAGGAAAGAAAGAAAGAAAAGGAAGAAAGGAAGAAAGGAGGGAGGGAGGGAATAAATAAATTAAAAACAAAAAAAAAAATAAAAGAAATTCTATGATTTTAGGCCCAGACTTCATTGTGTTGGGCTCAGAGAATTAGCAAACTGCAGTTCTACAAAGATAATGTATAAAATCACAAAAGAGAACTGCTACCAAATCATTTACCCCCAACCTCCCCAGGTTTTCAAGACCAACCTGAAACTAGTTCAAATTACCAGAGACACTACTAACTACAACACAAATCAGGTATAAACCTAAGGTGCTCTCGGGAATGGGCTATCTGGGGACAAGCTGTCAATCTAGCAGCATTTCTCACCTCCTCTTAGTGCTCTCCGAGCCCTTACTATGAGGTTCAGCAAACACAAGCACCTGAGTAATGGCAATGGCCAGTACTTCTACAGCACTATCTGCCAGGGAGCCTTCTCTACACTCTAACTCTCAGGTTATGTCTATGTTATTATCCCCACACTACAGAGGAGGAAACTAGAGGACAGGGATACTAAGTAACTTGCTCAGGATCACACAGGTAGTAAAAGGCAGAGCTGAGACTCAAACCCAGGCAGAGGTTTCAAAACCTGTGCTATTAGCACTTCAAGTCATTTATACAGAATTTGGCTTCTCCTAAAGCTCAAATGTCCTAAAGATGGCTAAAATCCAGCAATCACAAAAGGGCATAATGAATGCCACAGAGTCAATGCTCAGCATCTTTTCAATCTTTTCAATAATTTTATGTACAACCCCAGCAAGTTTAGATATTATTACCAGTTTGCATTACATTAAAAGCACCAATACAAATGGCACAGTAACTGCACCAAGAAACATCAGCAAGAGGATTAAAAAAAAAAAAAAAAACAAAGCAGGCACCAGAACTAAAACAAACAACAACAAAAATCCAGTAGTGGTCATAAAGTTAGTACAAAGGTTTAAGTTAGGGGTTGGCAAACTCTAGCCCATGGGCCAAATTCAACCTGCCCCAGTAGCTAAGAATGCACTTTACATTTTTACATGGTTGGGAAAAACATGCACAAATAAGAATGTGTGACAGAGACTACAGCTGGCCTGCAAAGCCTTAAAATATTTACAGAAAACTTGTTTACTTTAGATAAACAGCACCATATATATCTCAGAAACTCAAAGCCATCTCTTTATCCATTCAAATATATACATTTTTTTCTTTTGAGACAGGATCTTGCTCTGTCCCCTAGGCTGGAGTGCAGTGGTGCGATCATGGCTCACTACAGCCTCGACCTCCCAGACTCATGCAATCCTCCCACCTCAGCCTCCCAAGTCTACAGGCATGTGCTAACACGCCCAGCTAATTTTGTTCATTCTTGTAGAGACAGGTCTCACCACGCCCGGCCCCATTCAAATATTTATTGAGTACTTACTCTGTGCCAGGCCCTCTCTCAGGCACTGCAGATATATCAGTGAGAAACTGTTTTTACATTCTAACTTAATAAAGGGTACTCAAAGTGACTACTCAGAAAGAGGAAACCAAGGTTCCAAGAGGAAATGGTTGCAAGGCCCTTCGTAGGCAGATATTGCTACCTACACAGCTTCTTTAGGGCCAAAGTTGGTTCTCTGGCTCTCCAAACCCAGGACCTAGCAAGGGTTAAAGGTATATTGCAGAGGGGAAGGCAGTGAACGGAAAAATGGCACAGTAAGCCCAAACATTCCCAGAATGGACTGTATAGGAGATTAACAATTGGGCCATATGGTTATAGGTGCGTACTCTTGAGGACGCCCAAAAAACTAAATTGTTGAATCTTCACATGCTATGTAGATACAAGTTGATGATAATGGTAAAGGTATTCCTGAAGTATCTGTAGGCCTATACACATGCTGATAATTAAGAGGGACTCTTTTTTCCTTTTCTTTTTTTTGAGACGGAGTCTCGCTCTGTTGCCCAGGCTGAAGTGCAGTGGCACGGTCTCGGCTCACTGCAACCTCTGCCTCTCGGGTTCAAGCAATTCTCCTGCCTCAGCCTCCAGAGTACCTGGGATTACAGGCGCCTGCCACCACACCTGGCTAATTTTTTGTATTTTTAGTAGAGACGGGGTTTCACCATGTTGGCCAGGCTGGTCTCAAACTACTGACCTCATGATCCGCCCGTCTGGGCCTCCCAAAGCACTGGTGTGAGCCACTGCACCCAGACTAAGAGGGATTTCTTTCGGGTAAGTAGATTTTCACTAGGCTAGCACTCAGCTTTTTTTCATCCCATGGGTCAGTACAAATGTGTCCCAACTAGGTAACAATATTGTTAAAAATCTTGTCTAATTCTCAGGAAGTAGTGTGGAACATGTTTAAGGCCTTCCATGTTGAAATGTGGTCCCACACCAAAGCCTTTGAAAATTAATAACAAAAATATGGCCGGGTGCGGTGGCTCACGCCTGTAATCCCAGCACTTTGGGAGGCCGAGGCGGGCGGACCACCTGTCAGGAGTTGGAGACCAGCCTGGCCAACATGGTGAAACCCTGTCTCTACTAAAAATACAAAAATTAGCTGGGCGTGGTGGCGGGCGCCTGTAATCTCAGCTACTGGGGAGACTGAGGCAGGAGAATCGCTTGAACGGGGAGGCGGAGGTTGCAGTGAGCCATGATGGCGCCATTGCACTCCAGCCTGGGTGACAAGAGCCAAACTCCATCTCAAAAAAAAAAAAAAAAAAGTACGTGTGTATTTTTCACGCACTCTACTCAGCCAAGCAACCAAATCTCTATTGTCTATGATTTACGAGTCATGTCAATCAAGTCAAAAAATTAGTGACAACTATACGACTGAGTCCTTCCTCCCCCACTGAACATCAGCCTATTTCAAAAGTTTCCGAGATGTTTTCTACAATGAAAAGCATTGTACTTAACAATTTGTTCCAGGCACAGTGGCTCACGCCTGTAATCACAGCACTTCGAGAGGCCGAGGTGGGAGAATCACCTGAGTCCAGGAGTTCGAGACCAGCCTGGGCAACACAGCGAGACCCCGTCTCTCCCAAAAACATTACCTGGCCCTGGCGATATGCACCTGTAGTCCCAGCTACTCTGGAGGCAGAGGCGGGAGGATCGCTTGTGCCTAGGAGATCAAGGCTGCAGTGAGCCATGATCTCTCCATTGCACACCTGCCTGGGTGACAGAATGAGACCCCATCTTTAAAATAAAAATTAAAAAAAATTTATGCTACAGATTTACATTTGGTAAATGTATTCTTTTGTCTTTGCTTTATTTGTTGTGTGTGTGTGAATTTTAAATGTCTGGGATAAATGATCATTTATAAGTATTTAATAAAACAAAAACCCTTTGCTCCTCCTATTAAATAACAGCCTTACCAGCAACTCTTTCCAAACACGAAACTATTATGAAACATGATACCATGTGCCAAAGCTGTCCTGGGGAAGGCTTCACTCACACACAAATGGCTGGATAATAGTATGAGAGAAACGAGGAGTTTCTTTACATATCACAAACAGTATCTTCAAGTGCATGGTCACGGAAGAGTTAAAGGGACAGCAGGCTAGGCAGACTACAACAAAATCATCCCAGTCCACTCCTAATACCTAAAAACAAAGCTGGCCGCCTGCTCCGGAAAGATGGGAGTACCAAAAGAAACCAAACCCAAACATCCCGTAATAAAAACTCTTGTGACGACTTCCCTGTTTAGGGGCACGCCGGGTTTCCTACTTCACTTCCTAAATGTCAGGCCCTACAGTGGGCGAGCCAAGGTCTCCTCCCTCGGGAGGCTCGCGGACCTAGTGCAGGGGAAAGACACGAACAAGACCCCAAAGATCTACGTGTAGGGAAGACTCCAATATAGAATTGAGCAGTCCGGAGGAGGAAAAGTTAATTCTGCCAGGATTAGGGTAGGAGGGGTTGAGGGAGGTGTCCCAGAGATGACTCTAGCTAGACCCTAGGGAGAGGGAAGGATTGGGGAGGGGTGAAGGAATCCTCCGAAAAGCGATGGAAAGTGACGGAGAAAGGCAGAAGCAAACCCACTGGGCGCCACCCCACTCCCGTGTCCCGAGACGCCCCCGGCCCCGCCCATACTCCCTCCCGGCTCCCAGGGCGGGGGCCGCGGGGGAAGTAGGGGCGTAGGTGATGCTCCCCTCCTCGAGCCGAGGAGGCGGGAGGCTGCGGCGTCGCCCCTCGCCGGGCGAGATCGGCATGGGGGCGACTCGGGCCCCACCCAGCCCTCCGAGAGGCGGTGATGCCGCGCTCCACGCCCGCCACCGCGCGGCAGACAGCTCCCCACCGAACGCGGACACTCACTTTCTCGTGGAAGATGGACTCCATGTTTATTTGTCTGGAGCCAACGGCCCCCACGCCGAACCACCCCCTCCAGCTCCGCCCCCTGCCCCTCTCCTCCGCCCACCCCGCCCCTCCCCGGCCCGCCCCGGTACCCCGCCCACGTGCCGCACGCAGACCAATCACCCGTGAGGATGCGAGTGTCGTGAAGCGAAGAGCGAGTGAACGCCGGGGACACGTGACCTTGGTAGCGCGTCCTCCTAGCTTCTGTTAGCGGGCCTTCTGGGGGATGCTACATCGCCACCTGCTGTCTGGAGGATCTTCTCCGCTTCCCACCCATTTCTATGGATTCTTAGGTTTCTGGGGGGAGGTCTGGACCGCTCACCTGGGTTCTATGTTCTTTTTGTTTTCCACTTTGACTTTCTACTGTGTTCATATAACTATTTACTTTCTTTCTCCTCCTCCTGCACTGAAAGTTTAGTAAGAAAAAAGCCATCATTACATTCTCCCAAAACCCAGCACTTGTATAAAAATGATAGCTAGGCCGGGCGAGGTGCTTCACGCTTGTAATCCCAGCACTTTGGGAGGCCGAGGCGGGCGGATCACCTGAGGTCGGGAGTTTGAGATCAGCCTGACCAACATGGAGAAACCCCGTCTCCACTAAAAATACAAAATTACCCGGGCGTGGTGGTGCATGCCTGTAATCCCAGGTACTCGGGAGGCTGAGGCAGGAGAATCGCTTGAACCCGGGAGGCCGAGGTTGTGGTGAGCCGAGATCGTGCCATTGCACGCCAGCCTGGGCAACAAAAGCGAAACCCCTCCCCCACCACCCCAAAAAAGAAAAAAAATGATAGTTAATATTTACATAAGGCTTTCTATGAGCTAGGCACTTTTCTAAATGCTTTGCATATATTATCAAATTTAATACAGCAAACTTTGATGTAGGTGTTGATGTTATTCATACACATGAGGAAACCGAGGCACGGAGAGGTTAAGAACAGCACAATGTCCAAGGTCAGATAGTAAGTTGTCTTGCCAGGATTCAAATCCAGGTGGCTTGTTACCAGTGTAGGTGTTCGGACCCTTTAGAGGGAACTTAGAAGTCCCATAAATTGTGTGGGAGACGGGGAGGTAGCAGCGGTTTGATGAAACTTAAATGGAAGGATAGGTGCAGATCTTGCACCTTGAAACCAGATTAAGGTGTACTTTTTTTTTTTTTTTTTTTGAGACGGCCCTCTCTCTGTCCCCCAGGCTGGAGTGCAGTGGCACAATCTCCCCGCTCACTGCAACTTCTGCTTCCTGGGTTCAAGTGATTCTCTTGCCTCAGCCTCCCAAACAGCTGGGATTACAGGCGTGCACCACGAAGTCCAACTATTTTTGTATTCTTAGTAGAGAAGAGGTTGTACCATGTTGGCCAGGCTGGTCTCGAACCCCCAGCCTCAGGTGATCCACCTGCCTTGGCCTCCCAAAGTCCTGGAATTACAGGCGTGAGCCACCGCACCTGGCCAAAGTGTACCTTTTAAAGGATGTGGGGAGCTATATAAATATTTTAAAAGAAGACATGTGGTCATGTTTGCCTTTTAGAAAGATCACTGGCTGCAGAAAAAAGCAGTTGCTGTTGAAGGAATCTTGGGAGAGACGATGGTGGTTTAAGAGAGTGTCTTAAAGATGGAAATAGCCCATTTTGAGAGATTCTTTGGACGTAAAGAGACTCAACAGAATGTGGTGATGATACCGAGTGGAGGAATACTAGCCTTTTTCGTCTTGAGTCGAATTACATAAAACGACATGGACAAACGTGGAGTGGTTTTAAGGAGCGGAGAGTTTAATAAGCAAGAAGGAAGGGAGAAGAAAGAAAGAAGCAGCTCCCCTGTACAGAGACAGAGGGATGGGTGCTCCAAAGCTGAGAGAGGAGACCCAGAGTGCGTGGGAGATACCAGCCAGTTATAGGAGGAGGATGCAGGAGGCGGTGTCTGATTTGCATAGGGCTCAGGGGACTGGTTTGACCACGCATGTCATTCATGTAGCCCCCTAATAAAACTGGCCATTCCACCCTAGCCTTTTAATATGCAAATGCAGGGCGCTATGATGTTCTACTCATGTGGGGATATGTGGGGGTGGCCATGTTGCCAGGCACTTGTGAGAACAAGGGCAAGAGGACGATGGTGGGAATCACCGTGTTGGTGGACCCAGTTTCTAACTGCCGGCATTTGCATATCAAACGTTGCCAGCTCGGGTCTAAAAGTCAGGGCTTTTATGCTAGACAGGAAACGTCTCAGGAGCTGCTTCAAAAGAGACAAAAACTTTTCAAGGACCCCTTTTCCTCTCTATCTGCCTAAAATAATTTCTTAATAACTCCTACCACAATGAGGGATTGGGGAAGGTAGGAGACAGAAATGTGAAGGTGACTTCTGGGTTTGTGACCTGGGCAGCCACTGTGGCAGGAGTGGTATTGAGAGCAGAAACATGGGAGGAGCAGCAAGGTTTTGGGAAGAGAATAAGATAGAGTTTACATTTTGGAGATACTGAATTTGAAATATCTATGGACATTTGAGTAATTATGTTGAGTAATGGTTGGATACCGAGTCTGAAGTTCAGGAGGCTGCTTTGAACTCAATGAGGAATTGTCATTAAAAAACAGATAGCTAAGGCCATTGTGGTGGTGCATGCCTGTAATCCCAGCACTTTGGGAGGCTGAGGCAGGCAGATCTCTTGAGGCCAGGAGTTCAAGACCAGGCTGGCCAACATGGTGAAACCTCATCTCTACAAAAATACAAAAATTAGCCGGGCGTGGTGGCTCATGCCTATAATCCCAGCTACTCAGGAGGCTGAGGCAGGAGAATCACTTGAACCGGGAGGTAGAGGTTGCAGTGAGCCAAGATCGTGCTATTGCACTCCAGCCTGGACAACAGAGTGAAACTGTGTCTCAAAAAAAAAAAAAAAAAAAAGTAACTGAAACCATAGGAGTGAATAAAATCATTTTAGGGAAAAGGAAGTGATTGAGAAGAGGGCTAGAGCTGAGCCGTGAGGATAGGAGAAGCAATAACCAAGGAGGAGGGAGGAGAAGCAAGAGAGTGTGACATTGTGGAAGGCCTGGGCAGGGGATGCTTCAAGGGGTAGTCAGTGTCAGTTGCTGCCAAGAAGTCAAGCAATATAAGGTCGTATAAGAGCCCACTAAATTTTGTTGCTATGGAGACCATTGGTGACTTTGGGGACTGCAGGTTCAGAGAAGTAGAGGGGGCAGTGAGAGGTAAGAGAATGGAGACTGCCAGAGAGGACCAGGTGCTGAAGGAGAGGATTCGGTACCATTTATCGAGCATCTCTGTGTGCACGGTTCACAGCCTTGTATGGGGGAAAGTCCATGTTCTTAAGGATTTGTGTGGCCTACCCAGGGAAATAAATTATAGTCTCATGAAGTGAAAAAAATTGCAAACCACCTTTTCTGTTTTTGTTTTGTTTTTTTAAATTGTAGTTGATGTCTTTCAAATGAATTAATGAAGTCGAAGGTCTTAGTCTTTTTGGGGCGCTTTAACAAGATATCTTAGAGTAATTTATAAACAGAAGTTTATTACAGATCTGTAATAAATTTACAGGCTAGGAAGTCCAAGATCAAGGCTCTAACGGATTTAGTGTCTGGTGAGGGCCCATTCCTCATAGATGGTGCATTTTTTTGTCCTCACATGGTGGAAGGGGAAAAGGGGCAAACAAGCTTCCTCTCTGCATAAGGGCACTAATCTCAGTCACAAGGCTTGGCCTTATGATCTAATCATCTCCCAAAGGCCCCATCTGTTAAACCAACACACTGGAGACTACATTTCAACAAATGAATTTTGGAAAGATACAAACATTCAGATCATAGCACCAAGTATCTGGGAATCATTTTTTATTCTCTTCCCACAACTTCTCCACGTCACCCCTTATTCCAATCAGTCCTCAAATGCTATAAATCCACTCCTAACTCTCTCTTGCCCTTGTCTTCATTGCTACTACTTAGTTCAAGCCCTCTTGGTATCTTGTGT
Organism: Homo sapiens; assembly: GCF_000001405.40. Taxonomy (NCBI): domain Eukaryota; kingdom Metazoa; phylum Chordata; class Mammalia; order Primates; family Hominidae; genus Homo; species Homo sapiens. The sequence continues at coordinate 92,110,524 of NC_000014.9, forward strand.
ACTCTAGTCCAAGGATCTTTGAATTGGTCTTCTGATTCCAGTCTCAATATGTCTAATTCATGGTGCTGTCAGTGATCTTCCAAAAATGCAAATCTCACAAGATTTTCTTTTGTTTAACAAGAATAACTGCATATCAGGCCCTGGGACTATAACCATGAAAAACACAAACAGTCCCACCTTCAGGGGACTTACATTGGCAGGGATTCTTAAATGATTACACAACTCTGACTTCAAAATCCTTCAGTGATGGCCGGGTGCAATGGCTCATGCCTGTAATCCCAGTACTTTGGGAGGCCGAGGCGGGTGGATCACCTGAGGTCAGGAGTTCAAGACCAGCCTATCCAACATGGTGAAACCCCATCTCTACTAAAAATACAAAAATTAGCCGGGTGTTGTGGTGGGCACCTGTAATCCCAGCTACTTGGGAAGCTGAGGCAGAATTGCTTGAACCTGGGCGGCAGAGGTTGCAGTGAGATGAGATCGCAACAGTGCACTCCAGCCTGGGCAACAGAGTGAGACTCTGCCTCAAAAAAAAAAAAAAAAAAAAAAAATCCTTCAGTGACTTCCTATTGCCATCCTATTGCTGGCCTGAAAAGCTCTGTGATCTGGACCAACCACCTGTCCTGTTCTGTTCTCCCCAAATTCTCTCTGCCCCAGTCACTCCAGACTCTAGTCATACTAGCTTCTTCCTTTTACTTCTGGAAAGTTCACTAAGGAAAAGTATTTTGTGCCACCGCTACACCTTGAGCATGCCTACATTACAGCACCATTACATCATACTGGAAGTATTACTTTATATACTACTGAACTATCAGCTTTTGAGGGGCAGAGGAATCTTACTCTTCTTTTTTTTTTTTTTTTGAGACAGAGTCTCACTCTCTCGCCCAGGCTGGAGTGCAGTGGCGTGATCTCAGCTCACTGCAACCTCCGCATCCAGGGTTCACGCCATTCTCCTGCCTCAGCCTCCCAAGTAGCTGGGACTACAGGCGCCCTCCACCATGCCCGGCTAATTTTTTTGTATTTTTAGTAGAGACAGGGTTTCACCATGTTAGCCAGGATGGTCTCGATCTCCTGACCTCGTGATCGGCCTGCCTCGGCCTCCCAAAGTGCAGGAATCTTACTCTTTAGGTCAAGGGTTGCTATAGAGCAATGAATTAATGCATGAAGTCTTTTTGATTGACTGGCACAAA